>NC_000008.11:118214222-119464222 GCF_000001405.40 Homo sapiens | reverse complement strand
GTGTGGTGGTGGTAGGATCCATCCTTGTTTGCATTTGCCAGCAGCAGTGGCAGCAGCAGTGGCAGTGCAGTGGGGTGCATGCATGCTGAAGGGAGGGTGCTAGTGGGTACCAGGGTGCCTGCCTCTGTGTGGGTGTTCACTACTGTGGTGGAGGCAATGTGGCTTGGGGGGCTGGAGGATGGTCCTTGCTGGCAACTGTGCATGGGGTCGCGCTGGTGGTGGTGTTGGTACAGGGGCAGGGTCCTGGCAGGTGCAGTTCTTTGTATGTCCTCTGTGCACCACAGGCAGGGGTGGTTGCTCAGGGCTGGGGAGGGTCCACTGTTTTCTGTGCCTAGTTTCACTCCTGCAGCAGTATTGGCACAAAGGCAGGCTGCTGGTGGGGGTGGGACTGGCTGGCTCTGTGCCCACCAAGGCTTTGACTACAGTGGTGCTCAGCGGTGGGAGTGGGGGAGATGGGAGGGGTTGGGGGTGGTCTACACTCTCACTGTAGCAGTGGCAGGACAGGATGCACACACACACACGTGCTGGTGGAGCAAGGAAGGGAAGAATCTTTCCATGCACACATGCAGGCAAAGCAATGTAGGGAGTTGCTGTGGGCCTGGGGGAAGATGTACTGTGGGGAGAGAGTGGGTGAGCTGGTGCATGACTGTGTGGGCCACCCTGCTGGAGCTCTCTGCAGGTAAGTCATGGCCTGCCAGTGCTAAAACTATGATGCTGGCCACCAGGGTGCCAGAGGCTGTCCTGCAAGTAGGTGTGGCCAGGCTGGGGCCCCGGGAGAGGCCAGCAGACCAAGGGGTGCTCATGTCCAACAACTCATCTGATGGGCAAGACATCCCTACAGAATTCAGGTCTGACAGTTCCCCTAGGGCTAAAGTCTCCTATGGGAGAAAGTCAAGCCTGGGGAGATAGGCTTCTTTGGCGGTGCTCCACTATGGAGGCTCCCACACCAAACCCTCTGGGCTCCACATCAGCTGGTGTGCTGCCCCTACCATTTCTCCAAGCAGCTCTTCCTGCCAACTTGAGTGTTTATGGTGGTCAAGGGGTCTTCTCCTGCTGTGATTCCAGAGGCCCATGGTGAGAATGGGTTTCTTCTTGACAGTCCAACTCACTGGTTCTCCCAAAATTGCTGGGGGCCAATAATGAGTCCTGGTGCATGGTAGCCCCATGTAGCATTCCTAGTTCCTTCCACCGAAGCCCAGCTTCTGTGTGTTTCCGCTGTCTGCTGTTGGTGCCTTCCCTCTGAAGATCTGTTAGGAGTGTGCCAGTCGCCTTGGTCTCTAGGTGGGAGCTCTTCCACTGGGCTGCGTCTAGATGGCCATTTTGCTCTCTCTCTCTTTTATATTTTTATTATCATCTAGTATGAAATAGTTTCTAATTTTCCTTGTGATTTGTTCTTTGATTAGGGGTTAAGAGATGTTTAACTATTTTTTCCAATATATTGGAGATTTTGTAGATATTTGTATTGTATTGATTTATTGATTTATTTTGAGATGGAGTTTCCCTTCTGTTGCCCAGGGTGGAGTGCAGTGGCTCGATCTCAGCTCACTGCAACCTCTGCCTCCAGGTTCTAGCAATTCTCCTACGTCAGCCTCCCAAGTAGTTGGGATTACAGAGACCCGCCACCATGCCCAGCTAATTTTTGTTGTTGTTGTTGTATTTTTAGTAGAGATGGGGTTTCGCGATGTTGGTCAGGCTGGTCAGGAACTCCTGACCACAGGTGATCCACCCACCTTGGCCTCCCAAAGTGCTGGGATTACAGGTGTGAGCTACTGCACTTGGCCTGTTATTGATTTGAATTCAGTTGAATAGTGATCTAGTCAGAGAATATACTCTGTGAAATGACTTTTTAAAAATATTTTTGAAGGAGGGCAGCCAAGATGGCCGAATAGGAACAGCTCCGGTCTACAGCTCCCAGCGTGAGCAATGCAGAAGACAGGTGATTTCTGCATTTGCATCTAAGGTACCGGGTTCATCTCACTAGGGAGTGCCAGACAGTGGGTGCAGGACAGTGGGTGCAGCGCACTGTGCATGAGCCGAAGCAGGGCGAGGCATTGCCTCACTCAGGAAGCACAAGGGGTCAGGGAGTTCCCTTTCCTAGTCAAAGAAAGGGGTG
Source organism: Homo sapiens (assembly GCF_000001405.40). Taxonomy (NCBI): domain Eukaryota; kingdom Metazoa; phylum Chordata; class Mammalia; order Primates; family Hominidae; genus Homo; species Homo sapiens. The sequence goes on along the minus strand of NC_000008.11, from coordinate 119,462,109 downwards.
ACAGACGGCACCTGGAAAATCGGGTCTCTCCCACCTGAATACTACACTTTTCCGACGGGCTTAAAAAATGGCACACCAGGAGATTATATCCCGCACCTGGCTTGGAGGGTCCTACGCCCACGGAGTCTCGCTGATTGCTAGCACAGCAGTCTGAGATCAAACTGCAAGGCGGCAGCGAGGCTGGGGGAGGGGCACCCACCATTGCCCAGGCTTGCTTAGGTAAACAAAGCAGCCGGGAAGCTCGAACTGGGTGGAGCACACCACAGCTCAAGGAGGCCTGCCTGCCTCTGTAGGCTCCACCTCTGGAGGCAGGGCACAGACAAACAAAAAGACAGCAGTAACCTCTGCAGACTTAAATGTCCCTGTCTGACAGCCTTGAAGAGAGCAGTGGTTCTCCAGGCACGCAGCTGGAGATCTGAGAATGGGCAGACTGCCTCCTCAAGTGGGTCCCTGACCCCTGACCCCCGAGCAGTCTAACTGGGAGGCACCCCCCCCCCCAGTAGGGGCAGAACGACACCTCACATGGCCGGGTACTCCTCTGAGACAAAACTTCCAGAGGAACTATCAGACAGCAGCATTCACGGTTCATGAAAATCCACTGTTCTGCAGCCACTGCTGCTGATACACAGGCAAACAGGGTCTGGAGTGGACCTCTAGCAAACTCCAACAGACCTGCAGCTGAGGGTCCTGTCTGTTAGAAGGAAAACTGACAAACAGAAAGGACATCCACACCAAAAACCCATCTATACATCACCATCATCAAAGACCAAAAGTACATAAAACCACAAAGATGGGGAAAAAACAGAGCAGAAAAACTGGAAACTCTAAAAAGCGAGCACTTCTCCTCCTCCAAAGGAATGCAGTTCCTCACCAGCAATGGAACAAAGCTGGACGGAGAATGACTTTGACGAGTTGAGAGAAGAAGGCTTCAGATGATCAAACGACTCCGAGCTACAGGAGGAAATTCAAACCAAAGGCAAAGAAGTTAAAAACTTTGAAAAAAATTTAGAAGAATGTATAACTAGAATAACCAATACAGAGAAGTGCTTAAAGGAGCTGATGGAGCTGAAAACCAAGGCTCCAGAACTACGTGAAGAATGCAGAAGCCTCAGGAGCCGATGTGATCAACTGGAAGAAAGGGTATCAGTGATGGAAGATGAAATGAATGAAATGAAGCCAGAAGGGAAGTTTAGAGAAAAAAGAATAAAAAGAAACGAACAAAGCCTCCAAGAAATATGGGACTATGTGAAAAGACCAAATCTACCTCTGATTGGTGTACCTGAAAGTGATGGGGAGAATGGAACCAAGTTGGAAAACACTCTGCAGGATACTATCCAGGAGAACTTCCCCAATCTAGCAAGGCAGGCCAACATTCAGATTCAGGAAATACAGAGAATGCCACAAAGATACTCCTCGAGAAGAGCAACTCCAAGACACGTAATTGTCAGATTCACCAAAGTTGAAATGAAGGAAAAAATGTTAAGGGCAGCCAGAGAGAAAGGTCGGGTTACCCTCAAAGGGAAGCCCATCAGACTAACAGCAGATCTCTCGGCAGAAACTCTACAAGCCAGAAGAGAGTGGGGGCCAATATTCAACATTGTTAAAGAAAAGAATTTTCAACCCAGAATTTCATATCCAGCCTAACTGAGCTTCATAAGTGAAGGAGAAATAAAATACTTTACAGACAAGCAAATGTTGAGAGATTTTGTCATCATCAGGCCTACCCTAAAAGAGCTCCTGAAGGAAGCACTAAACATGGAAAGGAACAACCGATACCAGCCACTGCAAAATGATGCCAAAATGTAAAGACCATCGAGACTAGGAAGAAACTACATCAACTAACGAGCAAAATAACCAGCTAACATCATAATGACAGGATCAAATTCACACATAACAATATTAACTTTAAATGTAAATGGACTAAATTCTCCAATTAAAAGACACAGACTGGCAAATTGGATAAAGAGTCAAGACCCATCAGTGTGCTGTATTCAGGAAACCCATCTCATGTGCAGAGACACACATAAACTCAAAATAAAAGGATGGAGGAAGAGCTACCAAGCAAATGGAAAACAAAAAAAGACAGGGGTTGCAATCCTAGTCTCTGATAAAACAGACTTTAAACCAACAAAGATCAAAAGAGACAAAGAAGGCCATTACATAATGGTAAAGGGATCAATTCAACAAGAAGAGCTAACTATCCTAAATATATATGCACCCAATACTGGAGCACCCAGATTCATAAAGCAATTCCTGAGTGACCTACAAAGAGACTTTGACTCCCACACAATAATAATGCAAGACTTTAACACCCCACTGTCAACATTAGACAGATCAACGGGACAGAAAGTTCACAAGGATACCCAGGAATTGAACTTAGCTCTGCACCAAGTGGACCTAATAGACATCAACAGAACTCTCCACCCCAAATCAACAGAATATACATTTTTTCAGCACTGCGTCACACCTATTCCAAAATTGACCACATACTTGGAAGTAAAGCTCTCCTCAGCAAATGTAAAAGAACAGAAATTATAACAAACTATATCTCAGACCACAGTGCAATCAAACTAGAACTCAGGATCAAGAAACTCACTCAAAACAGCTCAACTACATGGAAACTGAACAACCTGCTCCTGAATGACTACCGGGTACATAACGAAATGAAGGCAGAAATAAAGATGTTCTTTGAAACCAACGAGAACAAAGACACAACATACCAGAATCTCTGGGACACATTCAAAGCAGCGCGTAGAGGGAAATTTATAACACTAAATGCCCACAAGAGAAAGCAGGAAAGATCTAAAATTGACACCCTAACATCACAATGAAAAGAACTAGAAAAGCAAGAGAAAACACATTCAAAATCTAGCAGAAGGCAAGAAATAACTAAAATCAGAGCAGAACTGAAGGAAATAGAGACACAAAAAACCCTTCAAAAAATTAATGAATCCAGGAGCTGGTTTTTTTGAAAGGATCAACAAAATTGATAGACTGCTAGCAAGACTAATAAAGAAGAAAAGAGAGAAGAATCAAATAGATGCAATGAAAAATGATAAAGGGGATATCACCACCGATCCCACAGAAATACAAACTATCATCAGAGAATACTACAAACACCTCTATGCAAATAAACTAGAAAATCTAGAAGAAATGGATAAATTCCTCGACACATACACTCTCCCAAGACTAAACCAGGAAGAAGTTGAATCTCTGAATACACCAATAACAGGATCTGAAATTGTGGCAATAATCAATAGCTTACCAACCAAAAAGAGTCCAGCACCAGACGGATTCACAGCCGAATTCTACCAGAGGTACGAGGAGGAACTGGTACCATTCCTTCTGAAACTATTCCAATCAATAGAAAAAGAGGGAATCCTCTCTAACTCATTTTATGAGGCCAGCATCATCCTGATACCAAAGCCAGTCAGAGACACAACCAAAAAAGAGAATTTTAGACCAATATCCTTGATGAACATTGATGCAAAAATCCTCAATAAAATACTGGCAAACCAAATCCAGCAGCACATCAAAAAGCTTATCCACCATGATCAAGTGGGCTTCATCCCTGGGATGCAAGGCTGTTTCAATATATGCAAATCAATAAATGTAATCCATCATATAAACAGAACCAAAGACAAAAACCACATGGTTATCTCAATAGATGCAGAAAAGGCCTTTGACAAAATTCAACAACCTTCATGCTAAAAACTCTCAATAAATTAGGTATTGATGGGATGTATCTCAAAATAATAAGAGCTATCTATGACAAACCCATAGCCAATATCATACTGAATGGGCAAAAACTGGAAGCATTCCCTTTGAAAACTGGCACAAGACAGGGATGCCCTCTCTCACCACTCCTATTCAACATAGTGTTGGAAGTTCTGGCCAGGGCAATTAGGCAGCAGAAGGAAATAAAGGGTATTCAATTAGGAAAAGAGGAAGTCAAATTGTCCCTGTTTGCAGATGACATGATTGTATATCTAGAAAACCCCATCGTCTCAGCCCAAAATCTCCTTAAGCTGATAAGCAACTTCAGCAAAGTCTCAGGATACAAATTCAATGTACAAAAATCACAAGCATTCTTATACACCAACAACAGACAAACAGAGAGCCAAATCATGAGTGAACTCCCATTCACAATTGCTTCAAAGAGAATAAAATACCTAGGAATCCACCTTACAAGGGATGTGAAGGACCTCTTCAAGGAGAACTACAAACCACTGCTCAATGAAATAAAGGAGGATAGAAAGAAATGGAAGAACATTCCATACTCATGGGTAGGAAGAATCAATATCGTAAAAATGGCCATACTGCCCAAGGTAATTTACAGATTCAATACCATCCCCATCAAACTACCAATGACTTTCTTCACAGAATTGGAAAAAACTACTTTATAGTTCATATGGAACCAAAAAAGAGCCTGCATCGCCAAGTCAATCTTAAGCCAAAAGAACAAAGCTGGAGGCATCACGCTACCTGACTTCAAACTATAGTACACGGCTACAGTAACCAAAACAGCATGGTACTGGTACCAAAAAAAGAGATATAGATGAATGGAACAGAACAGAGCCCTCAGGAATAACGCCACATATCTACAACTATCTGATCTTTGACAAACCTGAGAAAAACAAGCAGTGGGGAAAGGATTCCCTATTTAATAAATGGTGCTGGGAAAACTGGCTAGCCATATGTAGAAAGCTGAAACTGGATCCCTTCCTTACACCTTATACAAAAATCAATTCAAGATGGATTAAAGACTTAAACGTTAGAGCTAAAACCACAAAAACCCTAGAAGAAAACCTAGGCATTACCATTCAGGACATAGGCATGGGCAAGGACTTCATGTCTAAAACACCAAAAGCAATGGCAACAAAAGCCAAAATTGACAAATGGGATCTAATTAAACTAAAGAGCTTCTGCACAGCAAAAGAAACTACCATCAGAGTGAACTGGCAACCTACAAAATGGGAGAAACTTTTCGCAACCTACTCATCTGACAAAGGGCTAATATCCAGAGTCTACAATGAACTCAAACAAATTTACAAGAAAAAAACAACCCCATCAAAAAGTGGGTGAAGGATATGAGCAGACACTTCTCAAAAGAGGACATTTATGCAGCCAAAAGACACATGAAAAAATGCTCATCATCACTGGCCATCAGAGAAATGCAAATCAAAACCACAATGAGATACCATCTCACACCAGTTAGAATGGCAATCATGAAAAAGTCAGGAAACAACAGGTGCTGGAGAGGATGTGGAGAAATAGGATCACTTTTACACTGTTGGTGGGACTGTAAACTAATTCAACCATTGTGGAAGTCAGTGTGGCGATTCTTCAGGGATCTAGAACTAGAAATACCATTTGACCCAGCCATCCCATTACTGGGTATATACCCAAAGGACTATAAATCATGCTGCTATAAAGACACATGCATACTTATGTTTATTGCAGCACTATTCACAATAGCAAAGACTTGGAACCAAGCTAAATGTCCAACAATGATAGACTGGATTAAGAAAATGTGGTACATATACACCATGGAATACTATGCAGCCATAAAAAATGATGAGTTCATGTCCTTTGTAGGGACATGGATGAAATTGGAAATCATCATTCTCAGTAAACTATCGCAAGGACAAAAAACCAAACACCGCATGTTCTCACTCATAGGTGGAAATTGAACAAAGAGAACACATGGACACAGGAAGAGGAACATCACACTCTGGGGACTGTTGTGGGGTGGGGGGAGGGGGGAGGGATAGCATTAGGGGATATACCTAATGCTAAATGACGAGTTAATGGGTGCAGCACCCCAGCATGGCACATGTATAAATATGTAACTAACCTGCACATTGTGCACATGTACCCTAAAACTTAAAGTATAATAATAATAAAATAAAATAAAATAAAAATATTTTTCATGCTTGTGTTATGATCTACCACATGGGAGATCCTGGTTAATATTCACATGTGCACTTGAGAGAATGTGTATTCTGCAGCTATTTAGTGTAGACTTATGCAAATTTAAATTAGATTAAATCGGTTGATAGAGTATTCCAGTCTTCTATATCCTCATTGATTTTTTTTTTCTTTTTTGTTTTTTGAGATGGAGTCTTGCTCTGTCGCCCAGGCTGGAGTGCAGTGGCGCGATCTCGGCTCACTGCAAGCTCTGCCTCCAAGGTTCACGCCGTTTTCCTGCCTCAGCCTCCCAGGTAGCTGGGACTACAGGCGCCTTCCACCACGCCTGGCTAATTTTTTTTTGTATTTTTAGTAGAGACGGCGTTTCATCATGTTAGCTAGGATGGTCTCGATCGCCTGACCTTGTGATCCACCTGCTTTGGCCTCCCAAAGTGCTGGGATTACAGGCATGAGCCACCACACCCTTCCTATCCTTATTGATTTTTAATATACTTATATCAAATATGTAGAGATGTATGTTAAAATCTCCAATTCTGATTGTTAATTTGTCTATTTCTCAGTTTTTGTCAATTTTTGATTCATGTTCTTGAAACTCTGATAATAAGGGCATACACATTTTGAAGTGTTATCTTTCTTGTTGAATTCACTATGTTGACATTATGGGGTGGTCTTTTTGATGACAACTTTCATTGTAATACACTTTATCTTATTTTAAAGTAACTACATCTACATTCTTATTCTTAAGTGTTTTCACGTTTTTCTGTACTTTTAAATTCTGCATATCCATTTATACTTAAAATATTTTTCATGTAAATAGCATATAATTGGGTCTCGTCCACTGGCTGAGGGAATGTTCTACACCCTTTTTGGTAGCTCTCACAGGGGTGCTAATCAGTACCAGTCAGGATGTGATCTGGTTTGGGGTGGTGTTTTGAATTTGATCTCACTATTAGGGCCATTAAAAAAACCAAGAGTCCAAGGTGGTTTTACTTCTTTTCATTCCAACCCCAACCTCCTTGCTGCCATAAGACTGAGATATTGGTTTTATCAGAAGTTATATTGAGCTTTTGGTTGCAGATTTGACTCAATGTCATTAAGTGCTTTGGAAGTGATTCAGGGTTCACCCTTTAGAAGTTCCCTGGGACCAAACATTGAGAGCCTGTTTCACCTTAAAACTAAACTATGAAACTTTAAGATTGTTAGACTCAGGTTTTGCTAGATGGTGAGGCTTTGATACTGCAAAGTCATGAGAACTGCAAACTGTAAGACTGTGAATTCAGGAAACTTCTTTTTCTTTCCAGCCCCACCCTAGCCTTTGCTTACTTTGAAAAATCCCCATGTGAGAAAATTACTGGATAGTAAAAGATTGTATCTGGGGCTCCTCCATTTTCAAATCTTGCATGCCAGCCCACAGAGTTGTCAAAAGCTGGGCTACTTTCTTCTCAAAGTGATGTGTGCAACATGTGTGTCATATCCTTAAAAGAAAGCTTGCGGGCTTCTTTCTCCTTTGTTCTTAATGGCTAGGAATTAGCGACAACCAGAGCAACTGTCTAGGACCCAGAACAAAAGTTAAATTTAAGACTGGCAGAACTTTATTCCTGAGTCTCCTTGAGGAGCAGAGCTTCTAGCCCCTTAAACTACCAACCTGTGGGACTGTTTTGTGATAATGAATGAAATTTCATCTTCCTAATCCCACTGTAACTTGGGATCTCTTTGTTACAGCACTTCAGCCTGTACCCTGTGTGATACAGAGTATTATATAGATGATATGTCTTGCTTAACATATTGTACTTTGTGTTATCTAGAGATTCATGACTTTAATTAAAATCTGATTAGGCCAGGTGCTCATGCCTTTAATCCCAGCACTTTGGGAGGCCGAGGTGGGAGGATCACTTAAGCCCAGGAGTTCAAGACCAGCCTGGGCAATATAATGGGACACGATCTCTACAGATGTGTGCCTATAGTCCCAGGAACTCCCAGCTACTTGGGAGGCAGAGGTGGGAGGATTGCTTGAGCCTGGGAGGTGGAGCCTAGAGTGTACGGTGATTGTGCCACTGCACTTCAGCCTGGATAACAGAGAGAGACTCTGTCTCAAAATAAAATAAAAAAGTAAAATAAAATAAAATAATAAATCCAACTAGTCCTAGAAAGTTCTAAGGCATTATCTCTTCACATACTGCACTTTCTTAACTTTTTCTGTTCTGTCTTTCTGGAACTCTGATTAGAAATCAGGTATTTTAATTCTATATTTGGTATTTCTCGACTTCTCTTCTATATTTTCCGTGTTAGTTTCTTGTGCTACATTCAGTATATCTTCTTGAGATCTATCTTTTAATTCACTTCTGTTATGTCTATTTTGCTCTTTTATCCATGTATGTAGTTCTATATTTAAACAACTGTTATTTCATTCCTAAAAGTTGTCTTTCTTGTTTTCCAAATCTGTGGGCTCATTATTTTGCTCTTTGACTAATTTTTATCTTAGCTTTATTTAAACTGTCTATACCTAGCTATTTTATATTCTGTGTCTGACAATTCTAATATCTATAGTAGTAAAGTCTCAAAATTGTTGATTTGTTGCTTCTAATGACTTTCACTCATGGTGGCTTATCTTATGTGTTTGGAGATCTTTGAGTATAAGCTCAGCTATGGTTGGTTTTAATTTGTGGGGATTCTCAGAATCTAAGCTAAGCTAAGGATACTTTCTTCCAGAGAAGATGTGTATTTGCTTTTATTTGAAGGCAGAGGTTGCTCTTAACTTTGGGTGACTGTCCTTAAGGCAATTTCAGCTTTTGCCTTTGCTTACTTGTCCCTCAACCTGTTTGAGGTTATCCTTCATTTTTCTTCATTGCTTTTTTTTTAAAGGAGAGTTTGAAGATTACCTTTTCTTCCTCCATTTAGAAGGTACATTTTTATGCAGGTTAATTGTTTTGTAGAAAATAGGCTTCCAATCATGAAAGTTTATGGCTTGTCCTTTTAAATTTGTTTTTGTATACTCTTCCTAAAGTTCCTTTTCTCTCCCCTAAGCTTGGCCAACTGTCATATAATCAACCTAGTTGTGCCCAGATTCTTTCTTTGCTGCCATATACATAATAAAAGAACACCATAGAAATTCTTCCATTGTATTAATTACCTCTTAAAAATGTAAGAAGTTATTTATCTTTTTTACCTTAGTGTATGAATGGACTAATGGTGGATACATACCACTGTAACCCAGGGTCCCCAAGTTTTTTGGGGTACAACTGTGGAAAAGTAACCACATGTAACTGTTGCACCTTGAGTTCTTATTGTTTCAAAAAGTTCCAGGAAGAAACTCAGCCCCAGAAAAACGAAAACCAATTGGATCCAGAGATGCCTGAATTGGAGATGAATTTTGGTGAACTCATTACCATACTAAAAACCCTGCCCAAGGAGGAGCTTATTCACCATTTTCTATACATGCAATACATGTAGAAGAATGATCAGTGACTGCACTCAAGCTCCCTTGACTCCACCTCTACATACAATGACTCAGCCAGCCAGCCTCATAACAGCCCTGTTTTCACCATTGTTCCAGGAGGCATTGCTTTGGGGAACTATCTGTGGTGTCCTCCTTCCTTATTGCAAATAATAATATCCCCTTGTTAAACCCTTCTTGGTCATGGTCATTGGGCTGTCACCTGCCAGGCAATTGAATCTACCTGTTGTGTGGGTAATACCACCTCTGACTTTTTCTGCACCTTTACACTCCGGTACAGGGCCTGGTGCCCAATAAATTCTGGTTGAAAATTTTCTATCTTCCATATTTTCTGTGGCTTGCAAATAACTGGAGACTTGGAGATAATGTGATAAATGAAGAAATCGCTAGAGTCACAAGAGAAACAAGAAGTTCAGTTTCTTCTTTGGAAATATTCCAAATACAATTATTTGTGGAAGGATTTCTGAGTGGTATGAAGAATGGAGATAAGGGGCAGGAAATTTACATTTTAATTTTCTTGGAAAAGTAAAAAAATGGCTAAGCAAACGTAGATATAAAGATATTTTTGTTTTGAAAACTAGTTTTTGCCCTAAGATGATAAATCACTTGAATGTGTGCAAAGAAATATATGCAACTATAATGCTCCCTAGTGGTCACTTTCTGCCAGAGCAAAGAACAAAATTGAGGTAGTATTCAACAAATAGGTGGTGTGTTGGGTATTCTGAAATGCAGAGACTGTGGTTTTCTTGAAGTCAAAGTTGCCCATGCAGAAATCCAAGAAAGTTTCCCTTTCCCCAGAAAACATTCCAATCACTAATAAATGTACATAATATTGGCCGAAGAAATAAAACCTACTTCATTATAAAAGACCACATACATACTAAAATTTTTCTTTTTTTCCACCAACATATTGACATTTGCTATCTGACAATCAGAAAGTTTAATTACTCATGACTTATGCTCCCAAAGTGCTCAGAATATTATGGGTTTTACAACATCGTCGACAAAAACTACTACTCACTGGGATAAATTCAATAATATGGGTTTGCATAAAATTAAAAGAAAGGAGAGAGGGCAGGTCAAGGATGGTATAAAGAGGAGCTGGCCTTTGATTTATGCTATAAAGGGTGACTATACATCTATTAGGTAGAGCAGTAGGAGATGGGAATTCCAGGTAGATAAGGTGCACGGAGGAGCGAGAGACATGGCTTACTCAGGGACTTGGCAGTAGTGGTCTGAGCATAGGCTACATGTGGGGCGTTGACAGAAAATATTGGAAGGAGATGGCTACAGGAGTCAGACAATGTGAAGACATGGATGTAATACTAAGGAATTTTGGTTTGTGTTGGAAATGGATGTTACAGTAGATTTTAATCTGGAAGGTGATTAAAATTTGGTTGTAGTGAGAGATCCCTGGTGTTAGCATGGAGCGGGGACTAAAGGAGGGAATCACTAGTATGAGTCTGATGTGCTAACCCAGGAAGAAAATAATGAAGTATCTATTCAGAATGTTGCAGGAGAGATGGAGAACAGGAGACAAGTTTCAGAGAGCCTTTGTAATACACTTGAATGGACATGGAGACCAGCTGAATGTAGGAGAGGGGAAAAAAATGGGAGGTGACAATACTTAGAACTTATCTGCTTGGATAAAAATCCTATTAACATAGAGAAAGAATATAAGGGGAGGAGCAGACCGGAGCAAGGAGGGATAATGATCAAAGATAGTCTATTTTGGGATGAGGTCGGTACGAAACATCTACAACAAACATTGAGAAGGATTTTACTACATAGTTGAAATTATAAGTTTGGAGCTCAACAAAGAGGTCTAAGGTGGTGCTACCTATGTGAGGGACGTTGGATGGCAGTTGAAAACATGGCATTATTGAGAGTGTCCAGGGAGAATACATGGAGCAAGGACTTCCAGAGTATGGATCAGGGAGTCCCAAAGTGATTGATGGATGGGTTTTAGGGGGTCTTTAAATTCCCCCAAATTATATACTCACCTATATGTTATGGGTTTGCGCATTTTAAAGGTAATTTCTTCCATTTTCTCAAAGCAACTATAATCTAAAGAGGACATGACAGGCTGATACAGGGCAAGAAGAGAATGGAGCCAAGGGCAGAATGATAACAGGTTATTCACAGCTGGGCACTATGGCTCACACCTGTAATCCCAGCACTTTGGGAGGTCGAGGTGGGCAGATCACCTGAGGTTCAGGAGTTTGAGACCAGCCTGGCCAACATGGCGAAACCATGGTTTTTTTTTTGTAAAATGTTGTAAAAATACAAAAATTAGCCAGGCATGGTAGTGCATGCCTGTAGTCCCAGATACTTGGGAGGCTGAGGCAGAAGAATTGCGTGAACCTGGGAGGTGGAGGTTGCAGTGAGCCAAGATCTTGCCACTGCACTCCAGCCCGGGTGACAGAGCGAGACTGTCTAGAAAAAAAAAAAAAAAAAGAAAGAAAGAAAGAAAAAAAGGCTTATTTACATTTAAGACACGATGGAAAAGCAAGACTGAATGGAAAGGGGCACAGAGATACTGGGACATTAGGATAGGGTGATGTGAAATTACTTGTTCCAGTAGAAATTTGTGGGAAGGAGGAAGTAGTCAATATGCTAAAATTCTGTAGGAGGTTCAAACAGAAAAGGGGCTTAAAGTTCGCATGCTCCACCACTGCACTCCCCAGACACTGCTGTCTCTTTAAACTAAAAGGATGATGAGCATAGCCAATTCTCTTGGCCAATTTACCAAGGGCCACTCTCTTCACTTCTTCCCTACAGGCAGAGTCTCCTGCTGGGATAGAGTCTTAAAATGCTTTTGTGGTTTTCCTTGTTAGTAGAGATGGCCATGCGATTTAAATCTGATCAAGGGGAACTACAGAAAGACCGCTAGGGAACTTTTTCTCACAGATGAAAAGGAAGAGGGCCGGGGGCCGGGTGTGGTGGCTCACGCCTGTAATCCCAGCACTTTGGTAGGCCAAGGCAGGCAGATCACAAGGTCAGGAGATGGAGACCATCCTGGCCAACATGGTGAAACCCTGTCTTTACTAAAATACAAAAAAATTAGCCAGGCATGGTGTCGCGTGCCTGTAGTCCCAGCTATTCGGGAGGCTGAGGCAGGGGAATCACTTGAACCCGGGAAGCAGAGGTTGCAGTGAGCTGAGATCATGCCACTGCACTCCCGCCTGGTGGCAGAGCAAGACTCTGTCTGAAAAAAAAAGAGAAAAGAAAAGAAAGAGAACAATGATTAAGAAGAGCCTTCTTCCTTGTCTCCTGTTCCTCCTGTTCCTCCTGTCTAAGTAGTTGTGTGAGGATGTGATCCCTGGAGATGCTCTTAAAGACATGAGGACACCATCTGAGGATGAGGGAATCAAAGAAAGGAATGAACTTACATATCTGAAGATATTATTGTGCATTAAACAAATGCTGGAGGCCACGTATCTCCTAGCTTATTATGCGAGTCAATAGAATCCAATTTGTTTGGGGAAATTTTTAGTTGAGTAGTCTGTTTCTTGCAGCCATAAGTAAGATACAACAACAAAGTAGAGAAGGGAGCATAGACTATTCTTTCAAGAAGACTTAGTGTGACTGGAAAGCAAGAAATGTGATGTAGTTTGGGTATTTGTCCCTGCCCAAATCTCATGTTAAATTGTAATCCCCAGTACTGGAGTTGGGCCCTGGTAGGAGGTGTTTGGGTCATGGGGGTAGATCCCTCACAGCTTGGTGCTGTTTTTGTGGTTCTGAGCTAGTTCTTGCAAGATCTGGTCATTTAAAAGTATGTGGCAATTTCCCCCACCCAACCCTACTTGTTCCTCTTTGGCCTCATGACATGCCTGCTTCCTGCTCACCTTCTGCCATTATACTGAAAGTTCCCTGAGGCCTCCTCAGAAGCTGAGTGATGTCAGTGTAGAGTCTGCATAACCATGAGCCAACCAAACCTCTTTTCTTTATGAATTACCCAGTGTCAGGGTTTTCTGTTTTGTTTTGATTTGTTTGTTTGTTTTTGTGACACAGTCCCACTCTATCACCCAGGCTGGAGTGCAGTGGCACCATCTCGGCTCACTGCAACCTCCACCTCCAGGTGCAAGCAATTCTCCTGCCTCAGCTTCCTGAGTAGGTGGGACTACAAGTGTGCATCACCATGTCCGGCTAAATTTTTTTTTTTGTATTTTTAGTAAAGATGGGGCTTTGCCGTGTTGGCCAGGCTGATCTCAAACTGACTTCAAGTGATCCACCCGCCTCAATCTCCCAAAGTGCTGGAATTACAGCTGTGAGCCACTGTGCCTGGCCTCCACTGATTTATTTATAGTGTTTTTTGGTACATATCTTTGTATAATTTTCTTAGTGGTTGCTCTGGATATTATAATATATATATGTGACTTATTGCAGTCAATGTATCAATACTTTATTAATTCAAGTAAAGCATGGAAACCTTACTTCCATTTCGGTTCCTTTTGCCTTTTCCACTTTTAAATATCATTGTCTTGAGTATCAGGAGGTATTATAAGTTTTGTTTCAATGATGAAATATTATTTATAGAACTCGTGAGGAGAGGAATAGATCATTGTATGTATTTATATTTCTGTCCCTCTTCTTCCCCTATTAACTGGCAGAAGTGCTAATTTATATGAATGAATTAGCTTATAGTTATGCTTATGTTAAAAATACACTCATAAAGATTTATTGGAATATGTTCCCAGTAACTCTATCCAGGATCAAAAATATTTCTGTTGAGTGGAGTTGGGGTTTTCAGTGTCCTTACCTATAAAATAAAAAGGGGTGGAACTGATATCCATTCTAACTTCTAATCATGTAGTCATTGGGCATATTTCTTCTGTGAAACAGAAATCATAGCTTTGGGGAGAAATTTATAGTAATCTTATAATACTTCAAGCTGTGAGTTCCTCCAAATTTTGACTAAGGGTTTGCTAGTTTCATTGTTCTTTATTTGGGGTAAAGTTATTCTAATGGGGAAATTTTTCCCAACATCATTATTCTCTAGATGAAAGACAGGATGATTTAAAAGTTAAAATAAAACTGAGAGCCAGTCAGCACCACTAATCCTTACTTCCATACCTCTCTTCTCTTTTCATGGCTATTTTCTCCCTTTTGCTACCTGATAGTGGGAGTGTATGAGAAGAAACTGATCTGTCATTCATTCCAAATCTTTTCAATCCAATGGGAAAATTCTGATAACTAGAGCTTTAATAGTTACTTGGTCATTCTTACCTTCTTTGGGATAACTACAATTTCAAATGAAACCCTAAATTCATACAAAGTGTCTCCTTTCCAGTTTTATTTTATAGTTAATTTTATACCCCAGCCATCTTTAGTAAATTCCAGGATTTCCCTTTCTCTCCTTCTCCCGGGTGATGGGGCATCGGGGTCTTGACCTCCAACCAGTATAATCTACCAGGTAGGGGGCATTTCCTAGTAGTTTCCATTTCCAAATTCTCTGAGAATTTCTTCCAATAGGAGCCTCACATTGTTCTGAGTTACTTAGTAACAAAAGCAACTGATAAGTGTACTATCTACTACAGAGCTATTCAAGTTGAAATGGTTATTTCTATGTTACGCAAATTTCACCTCAATTTAAGAAAAAAAAGCAGCAGCTCATGACTTTCCCTTTTAATCCTTCCTTTCTCTGAGCAGAAATAGTGTTAGTTGAACCAGATGAAAAACTTAAAGCCAGCCAGGCATGGTGACTCATGCCTGTTATCCCAGCACTTTGGGAGGCTGAAGTGGGTGGATCACGGGTGGTCAGGAGTTCAAGACCAGCCTGGTCAACGTGGTGAAACCCCGTCTCTACTGAAAATACAAAAATTAGCCAGGCGTGGTGGCACTCACCTGTAATCCCGGCTACTCGAGAGGCTGAGGCAGGAGAATAGCTTGAACCCAGGAGGCAGAGGTTGCAGTGAACCGAGATCGCACCATTGCACTCCAGCCTGGGCAACAGAGTGAGACTCCATCCCCCTGCGCCGCCCCCCCACCAAAAAAAAAAAGAACTTAAAGCTGCTTCTCAGAAACTGCACATGTAATTTACATTCATATTTCATTGGCCAAAGAAAGTTACATGACCACATCTGACTTCAGTAGGGCGGGAATATGAAATCCTCACATTGGATGAGGAAGTGAATATTTTGAAAAAGAAAAAAATATATATACACTCTACACACATGGACTCTAGCCTCAAGGAGCTAATACAAGAGACAGATATTAAACAAATAAATAATGTATAATTCTAATTTATGATAAGTGCTATAGAGTAAGGGAATGGTATGCATAAGGTAGAGGCCTATTTAATTAGAATGGCCAGACCAATCTTTTCTGAGGAGTTAGTAATTAAGCCAAGTCCCAGTGGGTGATAGGAGTCAGCCGTGTGATGTTAGAAGGCAACAGCAGAGACAGAAGCACCTGGAAAGACTCTGAGAACTTGGGATGCTCGTGTACATGAAGGACACTGTTGTAACTTGGGTTAGATGGTTCAAGGAAAGTGGTCTGAGAGTAGGGACAGGCTGGTTAATGCCAGGCCTTGTAAGCCATAAGTGTAAGTAGGGTAGGTTAAACTGCTGTTAACAATTAGACGTCAAAATAAAGACTCAAACACAAAAGGATTCTATTTCTCATTCAAGTTCATATCCAAAGTGTCTGGTAGTTGGGAAGCTCCCTCTAATACATTGATTGAGAAACCTATGGTCCTGCAATCATCATTTGGCTTTGCCATTTCCTGGATCTAGTCACATTTTTGCACTCTGCCAATGAAAGGAGAACTAGAGTATGAAAGAAGCCACTTGCTTCTTAAAAGAGTTGACCCAGAAGTAGTAAAACTCACCTCTGCTCACATTCTATTGGGAAAACCAGTCACAGTTGTGGCAGTTTAAAATATGTCCATGACTTTTTCTTAACAATCTCTTTAAAAGGTGGAGCCAAATTTTGCACCTGTGGAGTGTGAGTTTGATTTAATGATTCACTTCTAATGAATAGAAAAGAGAGGGGGGGAATGGTCTTTTGTGACTTCAGAGACTGGGTTATAAAAGACACTGTAAATTCCTGCTAGCTTTCTCTCTTGTATCACTTGCTCTGGGGGAAGCCAGCTGCCAAGTTATGAGTATACTCATCTATAAAGGGATCCACATAGCAAAGAAGTAAATCCTCTGGCCATCAGACAGCAGGAAACTGAAGCCTTCTGCCAATAGCTACATTAGTGAGGCTGGAGGATCTTTTAGCTCCAATCAAACCTTCAGATGACTGCAGCCTTGTCCAACATCTTGACTGCAAACTCATAAAAGACCTTCAGCCAGAATCACTCAACTAAACTGCCTCTGAATTCATGCTCCACAGAAACTCCGCAATAATACGTTTTAATTGTTTTAAGCTACTATGTTCCAGGGTGAGTTGTTATGCAGCAATAGATAACTAACACACAGATGACGTGTAGCCACAGAAAGGGCTGTAACCCTGGTTTGGCAGCTGCTTCTCTGACACAAATCCATTTCTATGGTAGGAAAGAAGATATTAAGAGATTTTAGTAAATTGTGAGTTATCTTCTCCACCTTATAGTAATGAATTTGGGTTTTGATTAAAAAAAACAGTAAGCTGCTGAATGATTTTAAAGACAGAAATGGGCAATACACATGCTTTGTTGTGAAAACGATAGAACATGTTTAGAAAGGAAATGGGAAGATTAGGTAGAAGGCTCCTGAAATGGTCCAGGGAAGAATTGTTTGTGCCTTGAACCAGCATGGAAGCAATGGGGAGAAAGACATGTGCACATTTAAACTATATTTTGAGAGTACTGTAGTAAAGATAAGATAACTAAAGAAGGGATTAAAATTTTCACCACTCCCAAAAAGTTGGGGGGGGAAAGGCTTCTCAAGACAAAGAGAAAGACTAAAGTATGAAGCCAAACAAAACAAAGACCTTCTGAAGCCAGGATGTGAAATGGTTTTAAATGAATGGAAAGAACACTGGCCCAAAGTAATTCTCAAATATTCCTATAGATCTCTGGAATTGTTCTTGATCTGGTTCTTGAGTGGGCATGCTGGGTGTATTTAAAACGAAAAAATGCTGCAGATGTAATAAACATTTTTATCCACAGAGTCAAATCAGAGTCTGGAACCTAGGTGAGGATAAAAACTGCTGTATTTCCATCCAGGTTCCAATATTACATAGATTATCTCATATAATTCTCATAGCAACTCCACAAAAGAGATCTATTATAATTCTTATTTTACAAAAAAGTAAACTAAGGCCCAGAGAGAATAAGGGACCCAACCAAGATCACAAAACTCATAAGTGGCAGAGTATTACTTGAACCAGGAATGTCTGACACCAAAGTCCTTACTTTTAACCACTAAGCTTCACTGCTATATGCAGCAGGTGGTCAATTAATGTTGAATGAATGAATGAGTCTGAGGATTCTAATTTAGCTTCCTCTCCTCACCTCTGCCTGGAACCCAGCACATCTCTGACACTTGAAACTGGACGAGCTTTGGCAGCTCCCTGAGACAGCTCCCTTGTATATTATACTGGCATTCTCAAGGTGGGTTGTTAACAATGACAATGAGAAGTCTGTCTAAAGCAATGTTAGGGACAAGTATTGACTCAGGGAAATCAGAACCTGATAGAAAGACTATAGAAGATTTTCAAATGGTGTCAACAGCTAACAGACTGAATTGTGAGCATACATGAATGTTTTGGAGCATTCTCAAAATCCTTGAGGGAAGGATTGTACGTGTATGTGTGTATATGTGTGTGTGTGTGTGTGTGTGTGAGAGAGAGAGAGAGAAAGAAAGAGAGAGAGAGAGAAATCCTAAAGATGTAGTTAGCACTCAAGAGCAGAAATTTTGGTTATAGATGTAAAGGTCACTTCATTTGTGTCTGGAGACAGGAAGGATATGGTGACTGAGTTACTGCACTGTTGGATTCAGGGAGCAATTTGTGCAAAACTGATAAGTCATTGATCTGAATAAACCTGAGTAGACTTGTATATAGAAACTTAGAACTGGAAGGACTTTAGCCCTGTTACTTAAATGTGGAATTCTTCTCTAGGTAGAAATAATAGTCATTTCTGTCATATTATCTTCAGAGTGATTTTAAAATATGTATATATTCTGTGTTTAATTAAAAATTTAGCTTTCCTGCAGGATGCAAATGTATTATAAACATTTCTCATTCATTTATCTGATATTAACTGCAATTTGAAGTCAAAGACTTGGCCTATAGATGGTGGCCAAATATTTTGAAAGCATAATAATAATAATGTAGTTATTATATAATAGCAACAAAATTAGGTGATCTTTTCAATTCAAAAGACCTTATTGAAAACAGTATTTAGTGTTTGTACATACGCTATCTCATTCAACCCTCATGCTGAGGCAGGTATTGTGAGCTGCATTTTGTGTATCAGCATGCAGAGGCTCAAAGAAGTTAAGGAACTTGTTCAAAGTTACACAGATGATAAATGAAAAAGCCAGGACCAGAACTTATGGCCTATTGGCTGGGTGTGGTGGCTCATGTCTGTAATCCCAGCACTTTGGTAGGTTGAAGCAGGTGAATCACTTGTCAGGAGTTTGAGACCATCCCGGCCAACATGGTGAAAACCTGTCTCTGCAAAAATACAAGAATTAGCTGGGCACGGTAGCGTGCACCTGTAATCCCAGCTACTCGGGAGGCTGAGGCAGGGGAATTGCTTTAACCCTGGAGGCAAAGGTTGCAGTGAGCTGAGATTGTGCTACTGCACTCCAGCCTGGGTGACAGAGCAAGATGTTGTTTCAAAAAACAAACCAAAAACCAAACCAAAACAAAACAAAACCCACCAAAACTTATGGCCTATTGAGCTTGTCTTCCCAGTATTCATTCCACCTCCACCTAATATTTCCTCAATTTCAGATTTTCCTTGGGAAATCAGTGCTCCCCCACACATAGTCCATGACTACCTTGGGTTGGGTTGATCACACTCCCAATGCCAATAGATTGTGCCCTATCCACTCCAACTAGCCTTAGCGCTGCCCACAAGTTCCCCTGTTTTACCCCTAGTCTATCTACTCTACCTCTAGTTCCTGCTCCCTCTTCTTCTCTCCTCCTCACTCTCATCAGGGTGAGAAATGTTAAGCAACAAGAGAAGTTCTGCAAGTTCCCACCACATTATTTATCCATTCACCTGAATCTGTGCTTATTTTCTCTGCCTTGCCTCCAGTTATTATGGAGAGAATGTCTATATGCTTATATAAGACCAACCCTTCTCTTTGTGCCCAAGATCCCATGACTTCAGCAATTCTCTTTCCCATCTTCCCACCCCCAATTCAGGTAATTTTTTTTCTTCTTTGCCTACGTAATTCCAGTCAGCATACAAATATTCTATAATGTACTTTGTTATTGAAAAAAGAACAATAACTCCAAACCAACCCTCTCTATCCCATATCATTCTTTAAAATTTTTTAAGTTTAAAATTATTATTTCTAGTTTACACATAATAATTGTACATATTTGTGGGGTATAGTATGGCATTTCAATACATGTATACAATATATAATGATCAAATTAGGGTAATTAGCATACCCCATCACTCAAACATTTATTATTTATGTATAGAACATTTGAAATCTGCTTTTCTAGCTATTTGAAAATAAACAATATTTGGACACAGTGGCTCATGCCTATAATCCCAGCACTTTGGGACTTAAATGTGGAATTCTTCTCCAGGTAGGAAAAATAGTCATTTAGGTCATGCTGTTTTCAGAATGATCTAAAAATATGTACATATTTTGTGTTTACTTAAAAATTCAGCTTTTCTACAGAACGCAAATGTATTATGAACATTTCTCATTCATTTATCTGATATTAACTGGAATTTGAGGTCAAAGACTTGGGCTCTAGATAGTGGCCAGATAAAAAAACAGGGAAAAATTGCCTGAGCCAGGCGTGGTGGCTCACGCCTGTAATCCCAGCACTTTGGGAGGTTGAGGCAGGTGGATCACTTGAGGTCAGGAGTTCAAGACCAGCCTGGCCAACATAATGAAACCCCGTCTCTAATAAAAAAACAAATATTAGCCGGGTGTGGTGGCACATGCCTGTAATCCCAGCTACTTGGGAGGCTAAGGCAGGAGAATAGCTTGAACCTGGGAGGCGGAGGTTGCAGTGAGCCAAGATTGCGCCACTGCCCTCTGACAGAGGGAGACTCTGTCTCAATTAAAAAAAAAAAGAAAAAGAAAAGAAAAGAAAAAAGAAAAAAATTGCCTGGGGGTAGGGAGATGGAAAAGAGAATTGCTGGAGTCATGAGATATAGAGCACAAACAGAAGGGTTGGCCTTATATAAGCATATAGACATTTTATCCATAATAACTGGAGGAAAGGCAGAAAATAAGCACAGATTCAGGCAGATGGATAGATGATGTGGTAGGAACTTGCAGAACTTCTCCTCTTGTGGCTTGAAAGGTTTTACTCTGATGAGGCTGAGGCGGGCAACTTCCTAGAGCTCAGGGGTTCAAGACCAGCCTGGGCAACATGGTGAAACTCTGTCTCTACAAAAAACACAAAAATTAGCTGGGTGTGGTGGTACGCTCCTGCAGTCCCACCTACTTGGGAGGCTGAGGTGGGAGGATTGCTTGGGCCTGGGAGATTGAGGCTGCAGTGAGCTGTGATGGTGCCACTGAACTCCAGGCTGGGCGACAGAGTGAGACTCTGTCTCAAACAAACAAAAAACCAACCAACCAAACCAAACCAACAAAAAAGAAAATACACAATAAATTGTTGTTTATTATAGTCACTCTGTAGTGCTATAAAACACTATAACTTGTTTCTCCTCTCTAGCTATACTTTTGAATCTGCTAACCAACCTCTGTCTGTCATTCTCTTTACTTTCCTTGAAATGTTATCTGCAATCACTGTCCCCTGTTTCTCTCCATCCATTCTCCATAGAAACTAATTCATTCAGTCTAATATCCTATCACACCCATGAAACTGCTCTTATCAATATTTTCATGACAAGGGTGACTGTTCCTCTTAATTTGTACAGAAAATACTGGCCCCTGCCTATTCTCTAGGAATAATTTTTCAATT
Source organism: Homo sapiens (assembly GCF_000001405.40). Lineage (NCBI taxonomy): Eukaryota > Metazoa > Chordata > Mammalia > Primates > Hominidae > Homo > Homo sapiens. Next base: position 119,440,664 of record NC_000008.11, on the reverse strand, counting down.
ATTATTATCAAAATAATAATTTGAATATTATTGAAATAATAATCATTGAAATTATTATTTTAAAGTGACTTGATTTGGATGATAAATTATATGTTCAAGACTATTTATGATCTCCACACTTATAAATCCAGCAGTCAGCTCTCAGTTCTGATTATAAGCACTTAACTTACGTATTTCCTATGTGTTAAGCTACTAGTATTTAACACACATTTTCATGTCTGTCTTTCTCTTGGCTTCAGGACCTCATGATCTCTTGGTTTTCCTACCTTTCTAGCAGTTTCTTACCTTCTTAACTGGCTCATTTCTCTTTGTAGACTTAATAGTGAAGGTTGCAGTCCTCCAGGGCTCAATCAATTAAATACTTTTCTTCCCTACCCCATCTATACTAATTTCCTTGTTAACTTCATCTGGTCTCATGGCTTTAAACACCATTTATGCACAACTGGCTCTCCATATGCTTGGATTTCACATCCGTGGATTCAACCAATAGTAGATAAAAAATATTTTAAAAATTGTGTCTGTATTCAACATGTACAGACTTTTTTTCTTGTATTATTCCCTAAGCAATACAGCTTAACAACTATTTACATACAATTCACATTGTTATATGTATTATACATGATCTAGAGATGATTTAAATATAGTACATGGGAGGATGTGTGTAGGTTATATGCCAACACCACATGATTTTACATAAGGGACTTGAGCATCTGCAGATTTTGGTATGTGAGGGGGGTCCTGGAACCAATCCTTCACAAATACTGAGGACCACCTGTACTAATTATAACCCACATTTAAAATCTTCAGCCTAGAACTTTCTCCTGAACTCCAGGCCCAGAGATCTAACTATTTATCTAATAACATCCCTATCATAACATGCTCAAAAGTGAACTCTTGACACACCCCTACAAGGAAATCTGCTCTTATGCCAGTCTTCCTCATCACAAGTTCAAACTACAGTTTGCCTGAAGCAAAAACCTTGAATTCATCCTTGACCTTCACTTTTCCTCACACCTCGTATCTAATATGTCAGTAGATCCTCTTCTAACAATAAATCCTACACCTCTCACCACCTCCACTATTACTCCATGCATCTCTCTCCTGGATAATTGCAGTATCCTCATAATAGGTCTTTCTACTTCCATCTTTGCTTCTATGGGATATATTCTCAATAGGACAGCCAGAACAATGCTTTTCATAAACATCATATGACATGTCACTCTTCTACTCAAAATTCTTTAATATCATATTTCACTCAGCATAAAAGCCAAATTCCATGCAGTATCCCACAGGACTTTTGTCATCTTGCTCCATTTATCTCTCTGATTTATTACTCCCCTTTCTCCCTGTGACTCACTTTGCCCCAGGCACAAGAACACCCTTGTGATCCTCCTGCCTCAGGGCCTTAACACGTGCTGTTTCCTCTGCTTTGATTACTATCGCACGCAACCCTGTGAGTTGCTCCTTCACCCTCTCACTGAAGCCTTTCTTTGCCACCCTTTTAACAGTAACAATTCTCTCTGTTTCTGCATTAGTTTCTTACGGCTGTGTTCTGTGTGGCTTAAAACAACAGAAATGTATACCCTAACAGTTCTGGAGGCAAACCAGCTGATATCAAGGTGTCATCAGGATCATGGCCCTCTGAGAATCCTTTCTTTCCTCTTCCCAGCTTGAATATGGCCAGCAGTCTTTGGCATTCCTTGGTGTGCAGCTGCATCACTCCTGTCTCTTTCTCTGTCATCAGATGGGGCTCTCCCAGGGTCTGTCTTCCTGTGGCATTTCATCTTCTTACGAAGACACAAGTCATACCAGATTAGGTCCTACCTAATGACCTCTTCCTAACTTGCTTACATCTTCAAAGATCATATTTCCAAATAATATTGCATTAACAGGTACAAGGAATTAGTTCTTCAATATTTTTTGGGGGAAATGCAATCCAATCTATAACATTTTTTTAAACTCATTATTCCCTGTCCTGCTTCTGCCTTGAAATATTCTAACAGTAGTTACTATCATTTGACTTACAAGACCTGTTATTTATATATTATATTACTAACGGTAAATATAAGCTCCACAAAGACAGAGAGGTCGTTAACTGCTGTCTTAGTTTGGGCTGCTGTAACAGAATATCAGATACTGGGTTGCTTAAACAACAAACATTTATTTTCCACAATCTGGAGGCTGGGAAGGCAGGGTGCTGGCAGTCTGGTGTCTTGTGAGGGCCCTCTTGCTGCTTTGTAGATATCCAGCTTCTTGTTGTAATCTTACATGGTAGAAGGATGGAGATGAAGCAAGTTCTGGCCTGTCTCTTCTTAGACACTAATTCCATCATGAGGACTCCACCCTCAATACCTCATTATCTCCCAAAGTCTCCATCTCCAAATGCCATCCCACTGGGGATTAGAATTTCAACATTTCAACATTAAATTTTGAGGGGATACAGCACTTGGTCCAGAGCAACTGTCTTGTACATTGCTGTGACTGTGGCACCTAAAACAGTGTCTGGAACATGGTAAATAGTTGTATTAATGTTAGTGAATGAATATTGATGTGTCTTTTTGCAGTGATTCTTCTAGTTGCCTTAAAATTTGAGGGAGGGAAAGGGGCAGTTAAATGTACAGATTGAAAAAGCACATACATTCTATCTTCTCTTGCAGGGGTTAGGAAACTGTTGCCTATGGGCTGAATTTGGCTTGCTGTCTGCTTTTGTAAGTACAATTTTATTGGAATGCAGCCATTCTCATTTGTTTACATATTGTTTAATGCTGCTTTTGTGCTATAACGGAAGAATTGAATAGTTTCAACAGAGACCATATGGCCCGCAAAGCCTAAAATATTTACTGTCTGGGACTTTACAGAAAAAGTAAGTGTGCCAACACATGTTCTTTTCTCCCTTCATAAGTTTAATTGTGGGGATTGTTGATGATTAACAGAAGATCAGATTTAAAAATTAATAAACATTTCTGAAGTGAAAATAAAATGAAGCAGGCTTTCAGCAACTCAGTTAATTTAGACCACTGGGTGTCTCTCTTTCCTAAACTTTACAAGTAGATGTTCAACCAGCCATCAGCCAACTGGGGCTGTGACATACCAGACAAATATTGACAGTTGCTAAGGCAACTGGGATAAAGTATTGGCTAGAGGATAATATAGGCGCCAATTGTGCATGCCATATTTCTCACATAGGGGAGACACAAAGAGAGAAAATGAATGAAAAATATATTTCAAGATCTCTCTTCAACTGTAGCGTAAGAACAACTCACAGTGTATGTTTAACTTAACCCCTCCTCTTTCAATTTTTCTGGAAATTAACACTTTGGGGACTTGGAGGCTCTTAAGTCAGCTAACATGCATCACAACAGGGAAATCTGTTTGGGCATCAACTCTTTTTTCCAGTTGTCTCTGGCATTTACTTTTCCAAATTGTATTGTAAGACCCAACTGGAAGGCCTTTTTTTTTTTTTTTTTTTTTTTGGCTTGGTTGATTGTGTCACAAAAGTGGTCTCTGTAACATCTCTTTTCAGAGATTTCTTATTCACCACTGAAATGATTAGACTGCTTTCTTTCTCTGCTTCCTGCAACATGGTATGAGGGAATTTTTATCTGTCGTTAAAACTGAGCTTTGGCCATTGGTTAAACTTGGGTTTTTGCCATTTTGCTAGTGCAAGGCTTTCCAACCATGGCATTATTGACATTTGGGGGCAGATAATTTCTTGCTGTGGAGGGCTGTCTTGTGTAGGATATTTAGAATTATCCCTAGCCTTTACCCACCAGATGCCAGTGGCAGTCCTCCCTCAGTTTGCCATGATCAAAAATGTCTCCAGATATTACTAAATGTTGTATGGGGACTAAAATTATCTCTGGTTGAGAACACTATACTAGTAAATTCTAAAGCTCCTATTCTTCAGATTATCCTTAAAATATCCTCAAGTAGAGCTAGGGTTTCAAAACACCAGTGAGAGAAACTGAAAAATTAGACTTGTCCAAATTGTAAAGGAGAACCTCAGTTTTTCACAAAGTTGAGCAGTCCAGAAATTAAAGATATTGATTAATCCAGAGAGATCAGTTAACAGAAACTGCTTTCATTAAGTGAGATATAAAAGAAGATCTCCCAGAGGATATTTTGGTGTCCTCTTCTGCATGGAACGTTTAGAAATCCTGCTACTTGGAATCTCGTGTATAGTGAGAAGTCATTCACTATTGTCTCTGAACATGCCCATGCTTTGCTGTTCCAAAGCTTTCTCAATGAGTGACTTTGGCTCTCTGAGTTTGGAGCAGATGGGACTGATTATGGCATGGCATCTAGGAAACTTCTACATCTGACATTTTTCTTCTAGAAAACCATCAGCCTATTCACAGCCCTTGTGAACTGCCCAGTCTTTAAGTCTCCCCTCGAAGTCTGAGTAATTCCACTTTCCCCACTGGACAGGAGGGGCTGGCTGAGGTCATTATGACGATTTATAAGCAGCATGTTGGGCTGTAACTCCCAAAGGAACTTGAAATATTGATTTTATGCATGTCATGCTAAAGATTGAGCAGTTGTAATCTTGCTTTGTATATTACTTCTTGAAGACTTTAAACAAGATGGCTTTGCCACCAGCATAGCTGACACATTCTAATTAATCTTTGTAAAAAGAGTTCGACATGTTTAAATGAGCTCATCCAAAAAGCATCAGTTATCCTTCTGGATATTGAGAATAAATTGAAATGAAACATGATTTAGAGAGAATAGAACGCTCACCCTCATTTCTTAATTTTTCTTGGGTAGGTCAGTCATCTGCAAAGTGGGTTATCATTTGCAAAGTCTGTGAAAGTGTGTTATATAACATATTTTCTATGCCTTATAATACAGAGAAAAGGGTATACTCTCAGCCCATGATGACGGATTGATGTCTATTTAATGAATATTACATTCTATAAGTTATCTAATGAAGACTGCTTAAGAGCTTTCTAGAAAAGGGCAAATGCCACACAACCGGGAAGATGCCTTTCTATTCCTTTGAAAAAGTAAGACAGTTAAAGGTTTAAGTAGTTTGTGGGAAACATGACCGATGGTTCAAATAAACTTATTTTATGTTATCTCTTTTGAGCTTACAGATTGCTTGTTTTTCTCTCAAATGCCAGAATCATTAACTAAAATGTAAGCATTTTTAAGGTACCTTAACAAATAAAATGGGCAGAAATATACATGCCTCAGTGGGTAGTTTCGAACGTTGAATGAGATAAAGTGTGTAAAAATGTTTGAAATGGAACTTAACCTAGTTAGAACTTGAGCTACCCTATCAAAATGGAGGAGAATCAATCAGGCCTAAGAAAGGGTCATGTTCTCCTCCTTCAATAATTCTAGGATCCTTGTTTCCCCAGAAGGTGAGGTCAAAGTCATGCTGAAAGGAGACATTTCATTTTTCATGATACCAGAATACCAGATTGTATTTTTCGGTTTCGGTTTGTTTTTTGAGGAAAAGTCAATCCTTGCCCTGAGGTGCTCTCTCTTTTTAGGTAAACTTTTGAAATCAGCTGACCCTCTTGATGACAAAAGATGAAACTCAAAACATTTACTTTCTGCTTCATCCACAGGAATCTGCTCTAGCCCTGTCCTCATAAATCAAACAGAACCAAGTAGAGTGGAACCTTCATTAACTCGGGCCAATGCCTGAGGCACCTGAGTTTGTAGAGGTTAAGGCTTTATGGGGAAGGCAGAGTTATCTGAGAAAATAGATTGGACATTGGAGTGGAGGACTTGAAAGAGGGTTGTGTGAATCAAATAAAAGAATATTAAGGAAATATATAGAATTCATATAGGACACGTTTCTTTTAAGGATTTCCTTTCCTAGTGAGCCACAAAGGAATGAGTAAGTTGGACAAAGTTAACCTCTCCTCCTACTACCACATACTCTTCTTTTGAGATCTACCCTACTTTATCCTTCACTTGTTCCCATCATAGTCCAGGAGATATTTGGCTTGAGAAAGAAAGGTAAGGTGGTTCTCAAGGGAGATAGAGTGTGTTATGTCACTCCTGTGGTGATAGAATTGGGACAGCTAAGTTCCCCTATTTTCTCTTTCACTCCACTGTAAATTGCCAAATGAAGGTATCACAAGTATTGGGCTAATGGCAGCAGGTTAGAGACCCAGAAGCTGAAAATGGCAGCAGAGGAGTTCTCTCTAGGCTGGAGGAAAAATACAATTGAATTCTTCCAATATCCTTCAGAATTTAACAATGACTATCTTCTGTGATAGGGAAGGAGGATGTTGCCATGTTTGAGTTTCAAAACTGCTCCGTAATGTTAGGTTATTAATTCTCAGGTATATACTACATCTTCGTGGAATTAAGTATGAGGATCTTAGACATCAAGATCTTTGGGCATTTTGCATATCACCTTTATGGGAATAACCTTACACATGCTGGTTGCTTAATAAATATTGTCTTTTAAAATTAAATCAGGATAGAGAGAAGTTTGCCCATAGAAACTTTTACCTTATTAGCATCATAAAGAATACTTGTAAGAGGAGTTACTCTCTGAAACATTTGATATGATCTACAAAGAACAGAAACATAACCAAAACCAAGATAATTGTCTTATCAGCCACTTGTCATTTATTCTTTAATTAAATGATTCACATTGCTTGCTCATTTTTGCATATGGTCAAATTTTTAAAAATCTAGCTATAATATTTTAGTCTCTGCATCACAGTTAGGGTACTTAAGCATTATAGAGAAAATGTCTACAAGATAACAAATATTGACTCTTCCTGATTATTGCTTCTTTAATCATTCAGGAGGTTACGTCTAGAATGCCAAATGGGCTTTTTCAAATAGAAACCATCTGGATGATCAAAATTTTAAATTTATATTCAAACATCTTAGGGTTGTGTAGACAGCTTGTGACCCCAAATAGTAGCTTACTTCAAATGAGGATTTAGAATTTGCAAACTGCTTTTACAACATTTTCCCCTAGAGTTGAAGAGGTTACTATCTTCCTTAAACTACTATGGGTTTAATCCTGAACAAAATTAAAAACCTGATGGCAAAGACAGACCTGTAATTCACAATGATGTGAGAGTCCTTTGTTATTCAGGCAAAGGCAAAGAGAATAAACAATATCAATTAGAATGATGCTGGTCTTAAGTTTAACAACTCAAGTAAATGATCCAATTCTTACAACTTGATGGACAAGTTGGAAGAAAGAGGGTCAACCTAGCTGGCCAAGCTCACAAAGATGGAAGGGGCAAACTGGGGAGATCATGGCTGGAAGATATACATCAGAAATTGTGCCAGGGTAAGACTAGGAATAGGAATCAATAGAAACAATGTACACTGAGGCACAGAACTAAAAGGAGAAGTGCTGAGAGCCAGGAAAGGGAAGGTGGAGTCCTTAATGGGAGGAAGTATGAACTCTGTACAGATTTCTGAGATGATTGTTAATGGAACTTTTTACACTTCTAGCATCAACTTTACAAAGGCTTTTTTTTTTTTAGAAAAAGGAGGAAATAATAGTCATAAAGTTCTAGTTCTCATTTGTTCATCTAATTAATACCTTTATCCACCCTTCTAATGTCTCCATTTAATATCCTTCTAGTTTTTCATCAATTTATTCCTCTTTTTAATCTAACATTTGTTGAGTGCTCATTTTGTGCAGAATATTGTTTGACATTTTGTAGAGATGTGAAGGGTTAAACACACCCCATAAGGTATTATCTGTGACCTATAATGATGACTATGATAATTTCAGATTGAGCATGAAGCTGCTTGATGTACTCTATTATTGATGGATCAAGGTTCTTTCTTAGTTGTCCTTATCTAGAGATTCCTCCTATGTTTGCCTTCTACCTCTCAAGTTTAAGGACGATCCCAAAGATGATTTTCTAAGCTTGATGAAGGCAGTTGTGATGGTTTATCCTAGAAAAGAGGCCATCAGTGAGCACACAGAGCAAGTTCAATATCACTCAGTGGACCAATGGCCTGAGGAGTGCCTACGCTTTCCAAAAGCCTTTGAGGAAAAGAAAGCAAGGCATTGATACATTGGAGAGAGAGAAGAGAGGGGAAGGCAAACATGAAAATCTTGGAAACAAAGAATCACCTTTTTAATATTAATCTAGGTGGTCCATGGTGAGTTGTATTGTTACCAGCCCTTTAAAACATTCTCATGTAGCTAGCTGGGAAATCTGAAATAGTGAGAGTGTGTAAATAGGCTTTTATTCTTTAGAAGATGCAAATCCTGAGCAATTTAGAATTTGGCCAAGTGCCTATAAAAATCTCTAGATGACTAATAAAAGCACTTTCTTTTCTAGGTTTACTAGAAACCCATGTACAAAATGCTATATACACCTAGTTAGCCAATGTGGGGTTGAGGGCTCGTAGCAGAAATCAGGGGGCCTTGGCTGTTACTATATTATTTGGAGTGAAACTGTAAAGTCCAGGGACATCCAAGTCAAAAAACGCCATTTTTTCCCCTCAGAATACAATAGAATACCTTCTCTGCACATTTGCAAAGTTAGTCTTCAAATAAGAGAAAACACAGAACTAACAAGTAGATGGAAACTGAAGAAAAAGGTGTGTGACTCTTATGAGATTTGAGGATCTTGTAAATTCACAGCCCACTTATACAGAATTGAAGAAATGTATAAATCAATACAAAGTTTTGTGAGAAAAAAAAATGCCCGTTAAAAGGTATGGCTTTGTGTCATTAAGGAGGGCCATAGAAAATAATTCTTGGACCTTGTGTTTAGTCTAACCTTGAGCAGTCTGTGTTGCATTAACCATCTTGGTGTGTACTGAAGTTCAACTGTTTTGTTAAAGAATCTGTGTCCAACATTGTAAGAATTTACCTGTGATGGCCAATCCAATATGACAAGAGGTGTGTGGTCAGACTTTGGACATGCCCAAGTTTTAATTGAGTGAAGGTATTAACTAATTAATATATTTTTCTCAGGTACATTGTATAGATTGATTTCAAAAATGTTAGTGAGGCTTTACCAAATGGATGAATTGTTTTTAATAGATCAAATGGGCAATAACTAGTTAGTAACTTGGGTTACAAACAAATTGTTTGACTGAAATGACCCATTTCAAAAAATAATCTGACCAATTCAATGAATCAGTCTATGCTTTATATTTCTAGATGCACCTCGATATCTCATCTGAGCAGACTGCCAAAGCAAGTGGTCCCATAAAAAGAGAAATAAAATTGTTCATTGGATTTCTTTTTTCTTTTCTTTTTTTTTTTTTTTTGAGACAAAGTCTCGCTCTATTGCCCAGGCTGGAGTGTAGTGGTGCAGTGGCGTGATCTCGGCTCACTGCAACCTCCACCTCCTGGGTTCAAGCAATTCTTATGTCTCAGCCTCCCGAGTAGCTCAGGTTACAGGTGCATGCCACCACGCCCAGCTAATTTTTGTATTTTTGGTAGAGACGGGCTTTCACCATTTTGGCCAGGCTGGTCTTGAACTCCTGGCCTCAAATGATCTGCCCGCCTCAGCCTCCAAAAGCGTTGGGATTAGAGGAGTGAGCCACCGCACCTGGCTGGACATGGTTTTAACAGCTGGTTTCATAGTTGGCTTTTCTATATCTCTACCATTTTCTGGGATGTTGTGTAGATGCAATTTTAATTAATATTTTCATTGCTGATTTTGTCACTCCTTGCCTAGAGAGACCAGGATGAATCTGAAGGCTATGGTGGTTATTTTCTAATCCAAAAACCAGAAGCAGTACTATTCAATGAGGTGAGCCTTTAGAATGATCATTATAATAAAAGAGAAAAAGAGGAGGAAGGGCACCATAAGCTCTTGGGGGCTGTGGTGTGTCATTGCTGCTAAGAGTCTGGGCTGTAAAATCAGGCACCCCTGGGTTGGAATCTGTTCCAGTCTCATCAATAAATGAGGTAATAGTACTCATCTTGTACTTGTAGGAAAAATAAGTTTATAAAAATGATATGACACATAGTATGTACCCTATAAGTGTTAATATAGATGGGACCACAGAAGTTGCTGAATTCACCATCCTCATTTTGTGGACATAGAAGCCCAGAGGCTAGGCAACTAGGACATGGCTTGGTTTTTTGACTCCAAGTTCAGTGTTTGCCAGTATGTTCTGCTACCATGTTTTGCCTTGGTTGAAGAAGTAGGGTGGGGATTGGGAAAAACTTAGTAAATATAAATAGCTTTTTATGGCGGCTGGGTCTTGAACAATAAAAATGATTTCAAAAGATGAAGTTAAAGGAAGGAGGGCACTCTAGGTAGATAATATAGCACCAAGAAGGGTATGGGCACAATATAACTTGAGCCTTTCTGTCAAAGGGAAAAAGAGCACTACATGATGTTTCTGAATACACTATTGAACATAGGCTTGGGGATTAGATGGTTCTCCTAATGAATGAGGTCTTACAGGGGAGATCTCTGAAACCCCTAACTTTCTGTGTGCTTCTGGAATTGTCCAGGTGTGTATTTAGTAGGTACAAGAGATTCTCCTTCCCCATGGTTGTTGCAGAGAGACCTACATAATTATCTGACCTTCACATGAGAAATTGGCATCTGAGGAGGCTTCAGCTGAGGAGCTGGCTTACAGGGAGGGGCCAGAAATGCTTCAGACTCAGCTCTAGGGATCTTCTCTGGAATTTGGGAGGCACCAACCATGGGGCTCAGTTCTAAGGAGTCCAATCCTATGAGCATAAAGTGGTAAGCAGAAAAGGAAAGGCAAACAAACAAACAAACAAACAAATCTAGATAATTTAGTCCGGGGAATCAGGGTTTAAAGAAAAACTCATACAACCCACCAGACTATAAGCTTTAGGAGGGCAAGGACTGTAGTTGCCTTGTTCACTGCTTTATTCCCAGTTCCAGCAAATGACTTGGAGTATGGTAGATGATCACTACGTTTTTGTTGACTTGATCAATTACTTAATTAATCCAGAAAAGAAAGACCACTACCTTAATTTCAGGGGCCAGTGAAAAGCTCAGGACCATATTCCTAACAGTTCTTGGTCACAAAATTGTTGGCCAAAATCAACTGTTTTCCTTGGCAAAGATCTGCATATGGCCCCCATGCATCCTGTCGGGGAAGTTCCTCAGGTGGTGACCAATATCCAGGCACAAATCCTTTACAGCTTATTAGCTGGTCATTCATTCATTCATTCTTTCAAGTTTCTTGTGCAACAATTACTTGTTTCTCCAAATGGAGTACATGAAACCCAGAATATAGGCAATAAGGCAGAGTAAATATACACATTTTGGATTCAGAATGTGAGGATTCATATTCTGGCTTTACCACATAATAGGTTTATGATGCCATGCAAGCTATTTTTCTTTCTAAAGCTTCATTTTCCTCATCTGTAATTTTGAGATAAAATAGTACTGACCTCAAAGGACTGTTATAAGAATTAAAGGAAATAAAGTAATCTACGTAAAGCACTTTGCATAGTGTCTAGAACCTAATAAGCTTGATAAATGTCAGTTTTTTCCTCTTCCTCCACTTCCTCCTTTTTCATTTTTTCCCTAAATTTCATATATTCTAAAATAAACATTAGATTTTTTTTTTCATTTCTGAAAGTGATATGAGTGTTCCAATTGATGATGTGTCCTGAGCCAATTGACAGAATTTTAAAATTTCTTTTTGATATGTACATTAATAGTATACCTTACAATTGATGGCACCTAAATTGAGATAGAATTTGGAATCTTTTTTATTATTACTGCTAATTTGACTACATGAAATATGCAAGAAGATGCAAGAGGTCTCAGTGTAAACATGGTTCATTTTTCTGGAGCATCAATTTTACTTGAAGATTAAGGAGAAGTCAAAAAGTACTTGCATTTTTAGGAGAAAATGTGAGAAGCTATAGAAATTTTGGCCTGAAATGTTGGGTTTTTGCTGCTAGATGGTTAGATAATAAGTGTTCAGTCTGTTCAGCTGTTTGGAATACTGTGCTGAACAACCTTGAGAATCACTGTGTAAAACAGCCGTGAGAAAACCAGACAAGGTCCTTGCTCTCATGGAGCTTAGGGTTTCGTGGGAAACACACATACAAACAAGTAACAGAGATGGTGTTTCAGCTGCTATGATAGTAATTGTTACAAAGAGCAGTTGGGCACAAAAGAGGTTGGGTCAGGCTCATTGTAGTCAAAAGAGTGCTGGTGAAGAAGGCTTCTTAGAGAAGGTGAACTTAGAGTGGATTCTTGAACCATGAAATGGAATTTAGGGAGATAACATGGTACACTTAACAGGATCCTTATGGTCTTTATTCTCTTTTCTGGGGGCTATGATTTTCTACAAATTATTGGGGAAGATTCTCACTGCTCAACTTTCAGAGGAGCTAGAATGCCCACTTACTAGCATCTCCTGTATCAAAGTCCTCCCAGGATCTTCTAAGTGGCCTTGCTTCAGCAGGACAAACTTGGGTCAGCTTGGAGCATACTGACCCATATTTAACCCAAGCTAAGAACTTTATAACTTCTTCCAAACTTCTGATTCTATGCTACAAGCAGAGTCTGGTTCTCAGATTTTGCTAATAAAATGTAAGTCCAAGCCACATTTTCTGCTTGGATTATAAAATATTTGTTGCCAATTTCCTTCCAGTAGGACCTGTGGGCTGTTCATTCTGTGAAACCTTGTCATTTGAATGGAATTGTATACTGGGCTGAAATTCAGACCATTTTTTTTGTCCTAAGGAGAAAGACACACATTCTTTAGGAAGACTGGTACAACATTGCCATCTTTACCCTTTGCACCTCCTGATTATCCCCAGAACAGCTGGCTTAATGTAACAGTAATTCACGGTCCTCAGCTGGAAGGCTGCAGATAATCCTTCATTATTCAGAGTTCAGCAAGTGCCAGCGGTGTTATTGAAGTAGTAATTGAATTTTGTGAACCCTCTGTGGTCCAGACAGCATAAGAATGCCTGCAAGAACTGTGCAGTGTGGTTAAGATGAATACATTTCCAACAATATTGGATTGTCAAACTAAGCCCTATAGCCCATAGCCAAAAGGACATACTGTTTTGATGATTTGACTTGTGATGTTGAACATTTTGGAGTGAAACCCATTTGGAAGGATGACAACATGTACCTACAAGGAAGACATTGTGAGAGAAATCTAGTACTGCCCAGAAATCTCCACCAAAGCTTCACTGATAATCTCATCAAGTACAGATATGTATGTAACAAATTAGCTCTTTGTATAGTTAAAGATGTTCTTACCTCATTGTTGAATTGAATCTTTGTGTGGAAAAAGAAAAGAAAAATCCCCAAATAATTTTCAATGAAATGTGAGTTATCACTACACCAGCAATTAAGTGCTTTCAAAATGTGACATTCATAGAATGATCTCAACAGTCTCAATACTTTGCAATGCTGTTACTAAAAGAGAACATTTATAGTTTGGGAAAATAGCACAAAAATGAAACTGTTGGAATTGTTTTGGTTGCTGAAAATATACTTGGCCTCAGTGTCTGTGGCACTGTGTAAAGGAAAGAGCTTTGGCTCTGAGCTCAGACAGACCCTGAGTTTGAATCCTAGCTCCTTCATTTACTGTGTCCTTAATAGGTCATTAACTTCTTTGAGTTTCTTCATCTTTCCATGTAAAAATAAGGTCAATAATGTCTACCTTTGAACATTAAATGTGTAGAATAAGGGGCAATGCTTGGCTCTACTAAACACTTATATCAGCAGCTGCCATTTGCAGACCTACTATGTGCCAGGCACAGTCAAGCGCTTATGAATATATATTGTAATACTATGAGGTTGATATTTAGGGTGACCAACTTCTCCCAGTTTGCCTGGGACTGTCCTGATTTTATAACTGAAAAGTCCTGACTCCTAAAACGAGATAAACTGGAGCAGTCGGTCACCCTATCCATACATGGTCTCATCTTACAGATGTGAAAATTGAGCTCCAGAGACTGTGCAGAGAGCCCAGTATCCCATAGCTGGGAAAGAGTAGGCCTGGCATTCAGACCCAGGCTTGGATAATTCTCAAGCCTGTGCTCTTTCTGCAGCCCTAAACTCTGCTCAGTCAATGTTTCCTGCCTTGCTGTGTTACTAGAATGTTCCGAAATTTGCAAATATTTGTACATCAGATCACATTTTCTGACTGCCTTTAATTATAACTTCGGGAATGCATGCATGTGTGTTTATGTATGTTGGAGAGCTCTCCAGGTGATGGTGATAACGAAAATGATAGTCTAACATTTATTTCAAAGAACATTCTTCTGCCAGTGCAGAGACCATTCATTCATATATTTATTCATTCATTCAACAGGTATGCACAGTGAGGTCTTACTGTGTGTCAGGGACTTGGGCAGATACAGAGGACTAAAATGCTGGCCTCAAGATGCTCATAATGGGGGTATAGAGAATTGGTTGTAAAATACTGTGAGAACTATGATGACAGAGGCAAGTCCTGATACTCTTGCCCCTGCAGATACATCATCTCCCACCTCTCCTCCTATTCTGTACTCTAGCCTCATGGATCTTCCTTAATACTCCCTGACACTGTTTTTGTTTTGTTTCGTTTTGTTTTACAATAGATGTTACCTCTCACTGGAAGATTCTTTCTCTTTGTCATTCTGATGAAATGTCACCTCTTTAGAAAGAATTTCCTTGCCTCAAGCTAAATTAGCCACCCAGAAGTTTTCTATGTTATCACTCTGTTTTGATGATCCTCACAGATTTATTTACACATTGTTTGAAATTCACCTTCTTTGTTTGCTGCTTTTTTGCCTGCCTTTCCCAACAGCGTTATGTAAATTTCAGGAAGAAGAGAGAACGTGTTTATTTTTATTGTTTATTTTACTCATGGCTGTGTTCCCAGGATCTAAAACAATGCTAGGCACATAGAAGCAATCAGTAAGTAGTTTTTGAATGAACAAAGTGAATGACTTAACAAATGCTTTAGCTGCTGGAAGGAGCAGCCATCTCTATATGAGTAAGTAGCAGTGCAAGAACTATGCCAGAAGGGACATAAGTCAGCCTTAATTTTTGTTTTTCTGGTGATAAAGGTAGTATATTCACAGTTTTAAAAAAAAGTTGGTAAAGAAATGACAGAAAAGAACAAAAATGAGACTAGTCTGACGTTAGTCTAAATCACTAATCAGATTTTGTTACACGTTCTGTCCTAGGTCTCTTTTGATTCATGTTCATAGATACTTTTGAACAAAACCAAATCACTCTTTTCCTAGTTTCATGCCATTCTGTGGTATATTTTCGGATATCTTTTCTTATATTCTCAGTTTGAAGATTGCTTTGTTTTTCATCCTAACGGGTATACTATAATTAATGTAGCCAGATCTACACTGTGGAATCTTTGTTTCTATTTTTTTTTTTGCCTTTATGAACAACACATGGTAGAACAGTCTGAAGATAGATCATCTTTGCCAGGATCCATATGTTAGCAAGTAGAAAGTAAAAGGACTTTGGTTTGAATTCTAGATCCACCAGTTTCTTTTAACATTTTTTTTTTTTTGGTTTCCTCATCCATAACATGGGTACATGAAGAATGCCTACTTCATAGGACTATTGTGCCAATTAAACAATATAATGCAAGTACAGCTCTCAGCACAATGCTGTTGTGCAATAAATGTTTGCTGTCCTTGATAATTTCGTGTGAATAAACTCCTAGAAGGCAAAGTTGCTTTCTAATCCATCTTAAAGGACAAACAGAAACTAGCTAAAGAGAGGTGCAGAAAGGAGGGGGCAGACCCAGGAAGTGAAGTTGGTAATAGTAAAACTCTTTTGAAAAGATTTTTCCTTACAAATTATAGAACTTGAGAGCCACACTGCATCAGCAAGAAGCTTCCAAACACAAAACTTCTATTAACTGTGACTCTGCCCAGTGTGCAGCCCAGTTTGTCACGCAATTCCCCATGATCAATGGAAATATGCTTTTCTGGGTACTTGGCAAGATAATACTGATCAAGAAAGTGCTGGCCATTTAAGCCGTGCAATTGGGAGGATGGGATGCCCTTTGATTAGATGAGGAAGCCACAGAGCTGAATTTTGTTTGGTCAGATAACAAGTTTAAATTTCAATATACAGAGGTGTCTAGCGGGCTGTCCAGAAAAAAAAAGATCAGGGCTTGAGATGAGGGTCTGGGTAAGTAGTGTGGAGGCTAGTTGAGGCTGTGATGGTGAGGAACATCTAACTCAGGAATACTGAGTTGTCTTTTGTTTCCCTTCTGATAAGAAGTTGTAAGCTCATCCAGAAATACTCATTTTGCTTTCAATAGATGCTATTGATTGATGTCTCATTTAATTCATAAATTTTAATTTTATTTTCAGTAAACAACAATGTTCAACTTTTATGCACCAAAGTAATACAGAGTCACGCAGCAATAAAATCGTGTTTATTTAGTGATATGACAAGTAGAGAAATCAAACATAATATTTTACAAAATGTACAATTTATATTTTTATAAATACTTTAAAAGAGAGAAGCGGAACACGTGTGGTGGCATTAAAAGAATGTCTAGATTTAATTTTGCAGCCTACCTTGTAGCCTGACAAACCAGATACATGTATGTATACACATATATCTTGATCATGAGTTTTCATAATTATGGCCCAAGGATAAGTTTTGGGCATGTCTACAATAATTCCAAACTCTCATAAAATGTGTGGTCTCTCACCACCAGTCATGTTGATTTTGCTCTATTTTTCTCAAAATTCCACAAAATGCACATTTGAAACAGCTATCAGAGGATGTAAGCAAGTGCTTTGGGCCTCAGTTTACTCATCAGTTAGATGAGAGAATCCCTGCTAATATGCTGTTTCTGCTTAATTAAAAAACTTGGGGGCCTCAGCAGCTTCCAATATATAAATGTCTGAGGGCTATGAGGGACCAGTCATCTTTGTATTGGGAGTTTTCTGTTTAGTTTCTTTCTATTGGAAAGGAGTCAATGTGTCTTAAATGGAGAAAGTTTATGACACCAGTCCACTTAGTAAACATTTCATTACTGTAGATACAACACGTTTCCTAGTGTAAAACTAAACAGAAAAGTAATAGTCATCTCTGGATGTCATGTTGAAGAGCTGCATGTTTCCTTGGATTTGGAGCTTGGAAGTTCAGAGCTGGTTTACCCAAAAAGGGAGCCAATAGAGAATCTTCCCAATGAACCTCAATATATGGTTGTAATACTTGTACAATGAAATGTTAAGTATGATTCTAGACTTCACTGACTCATTACAGTGATATTTTCTTGGAATTGCACTAGTGCACAACAAAATATGATGAGTGCAATGTGAAACAGTCTACAAAGTAAATTATATACTTGTTTTCTTAAATTTATAGAAATTTGCATTTGTAATAAAACCACAGGAAAGTAAGTCATTCCTAAGCCATATCCTGAGCTTACCTTGATTCCAAGTTTACAGTTAATTACATTTTTTGTTAAATAAAAGACAGATATAAAGGTCCTCATATGATCACATTAGGAAAATACATAGGATTCAAGGATGAAATCGTGATTCTTCATTACTTTTCTTATATTCCTTTGATGGTGGGTGGCGCAGCAGCTACAGGTGCTCTGTAGGTGTGCTTCTTGAGTGACAGGTTACATTTTCCCTCTGGTAGTCTTCAGCTCCAGCTCCTGGAGGAAGGCCTCATTGTTCTTAGGACAGTTGGTGTGACAGGTGCAGGTCCCAATGACCATCACTGGCTTCTTGACTATTTGCCCTGGGGAGCACTGAAACTCTGCCTGGATGGTTTTGGTATTGTGGGGAGTGCAGCAGCGGCCATCACTGCAGACCCCACAGAACCTGGGCTTGTAGGTGTGCAGGCTGGTGCAGTTCTTGAACTGCAGGTGGATGGCTTTGAGTGACTTCTTGGTGCGGAGACACTTTTTTCCTTTCTAAGAAAGAAAAAAGAAGTGATGTATTGAATGGCTACCATTCCCCTGAGGGACAATTTTAGAGTATGGAATTACCTGCTAGTTGCCCACCCAATATCTATTGGTCTTTCTTCTTTGCTATCAGAACATTAATTTTGCTTGAGCAATGTAGTCAGCTAAAAGTATTTGCTTCCACAGACTATGTGGGACTTGGGATAACCTTGTGGCAAAGTTCTGGCCAAGAGAATCTGGGAAATTCTTTGCCCTTTGAGTAGGTACAATTCTTTATTGTTCCTGTATTCATTTTCCTTTCTTCCTGGAATGTAAACACCTTGCCTAATTGTACATAATGGTCTTTTGACATTGAGGAGATGAGCATGCAGGTGAAAGCATAACAAAACCTATCTTTTAAGACACTGTAACATGCTTTGGTGTCATTTTTAGCCAAATGGATTTTTACACGTGATACAGTTTGGTTCTCTGTGTTCATACCCAAATCTCTTCTCATATTGTAATCACCACGTGTCAGAGGAGGGGCCTGGTGGGAGGTAATTAGATCATGGGGGCAGATTTTTCCCTTGCTGTTCTCGTGATAGTGAGTTCTCACAAGATCTGATGGTTTAAAAGTGTGGCACTTCCCCTCTCACTGTCTCTCTCTCTCTCTTTCTGCCTTTCTCTCTCTCTTTCTCTCTCTCTCTCTGTCTCTCTCTGTCCTGCTGCCATGTAAGATGTGTTTTGTTTCCCCTTCACCTACTGCCATGATTGTAAGTTTCCTGAAGTTTCCCCAGCCATGTGTAACTGTAAGGCAATTACACATCTTTTCTTTATAAATTACTCAGTCTTGGGTAGTTCTTCATAGCAGTTTGAAAATGGACTAATACAACATGTTATAAAAAGAATGTTTATAAATCTGGCATTATTTTATGTTTCAAATACTCTTCAAACATTAACTCAACCTTATTAACAGTGTTCATTCATACAAGAAATAATCATTCATAGAAAGAACAATTGCCCAAGTTTTACAGATGAAGAAACTGAGTCTCAAAGACCTAAAGGGATCAGAAAACATCTAATATTTGAATTTGTCTGTACAAAGCCCATTCTTTCTATTACGTGATGAACCCAGGAAATTCCAAGACATGGAATTTGCATGGAGGCAAATAAAGTGGAGAATGTTTTCAAGATTGTATTAGTAATGATAAATGAAGAGGCCCAATGTTGATAATTCAGCAAAGAATTGGCTATATTTTATTTCTTACTTATATTTCTTAATCTACTAATTTCCTACAGTTATCCACTGTTCACCTTCATAGGCATGACCCACAGCTTGTGGGGTGATTAGACTTGGAATTATCTTAAATCAGTGGCTCTCAAACTTCAGTGCACATCAAAATCATCTAGAGGATTTCTTAAAACAAGCTGTCAGACCTCACACCCTGAGTTTTGGATTCAGTACATCCGATGTGGGACCCACACCACAAATTTACATTTTAACAACTTCTTAGATGATGCTGCTGGTTTGGGGACCACCCTTTAAGAACCACTGTCGGCCGGGCGCGGTGGCTCAGGCCGGTAATCCCAGCACTTTGGGAGGCCGAGGCGGGCAGATCACAAGGTCAGGAGATCAAGATCATCCTGGCTAACATGGTGAAACCCCGTCTCTACTAAAAAATACAAAAAAATGGTGGAGGGCGTCTGTAATCCCAGCTACTGAGGAGGCTGAGGCAGGAGAATAGCGTGAACCCGGGAGGCGGAGCTTGCGGTGAGCCAAGATTGTGCCACTGCACTCCAGCTTGGGTGACAGAGCAAGACTCCGTCTCAAAAAAAAAAAAAAAAAAAAAAAAAGAACCACTGTCTTAGATTTAAGAATCTCTTGGAGACAAGGAAGTAATGATTGTTATACTAGTACAATTTTTATAAAATATGTATACTATAAATAACCATCTTTAAAATAACATATCCAAATATTAAAGAAGATTCAAGTTACAAGAAAAAATACAAATTTTGCAAAATGACACAATAGAAAAAGCCACATCTTAGAGGCATTAAATGGAAACATCTTGTTTAATAAAGAAGTTGCTGTGCTATTGAAAATATTTAAGGACTTCTTCTTACTTTTTCAATTTAATATTTAGCGTGTATTCTTGTCAACACCCACAAAATGGTACAGGATAACAACATTCCTATGTGTGTGTATGTGTTTGTATGTGAGACTGCTTATGTGGGTGAACCTATATGACTATGTTAGATATATGTTTGAATTCCTCTGAGCGTGGGGAAGTGCATCTCCTAGGATATAATTTTAGGGATAAGGTGTTTCTAGGTGTTCTTTCTAAACTGGTGGAAGAAAAGTAAAGTTAGGATGGACTTCCAAAAATTATATAGCTAAGCAGCCATATAACTAATGCAACCACTAGGGACTCTTATTTTACCAGTAAATAGAAATCATAAGTAATGGTGGCTACTGTTAACAGAGTACTTAATCTATACCCAGCATTTTGCAAATTCATTCTATGTAATCATCGTGACAAGTTAAGGTAGGTACTTTCAGCCGCCCCATTATGTGGGAGAAGGAATTGAGGCTGAGAGGTTAAGAAAATTGCCCAAGATTACATAGCTGGTTCATGTGGAAAGACAGAATTTGAAGCCAAGCTGTCTGGCTCCACAGTTGTCCTCTTACGCATTAGATGATATTGCTTCAGTGTCAAGATATGTAAATCTTGAATTGCTAAGGGCTGTTTTATTTTAGTCTTAGGTTTGTATAAGGATCCATATAATGGTTCAAATTGGGTATTGCATTTTTCTGATATAGGGCTCTGGTAACAAGGCCTGTGATGTCATCAGCAACCAATCAGAGCTTCTGAACTGCACGTCTCACATTCAGTGTTAACATACTGAGTTGATGTAATTCCAACAAAAAAAAAATAAAAAGATATGTGCTGTTTTATTTGGCCCATATTGCTTTATGCTGGCAAATGTATTATTTCCACTAGGTTTTTAAAAATACCAACAATAATTCCCAGACAGTCACTCGCTTATTTATCAACAGTTGTTTATCACGCACACAATATCTGCCAGGTAGAAAGCTGAGGACTGAGAGGTAAGACCCACATGGCCTCTACCCATACATACAGAACCTGACGAATAAAGAGAACTGAGGTCAGAAGTGACCTCTTTAGAATCAGCTGTGCTTGACAACTGTAGCCAGTTTTCTCCAGGAATGGAATGGGATTTGCTAGACCATTCTCTATTGGGAAAAGCATTATAGTTTTCCGGTCCCTCTCCCTCTTTACCTGAGGGTGTACTGTGAGTTGCTTAGAGTATTTCAATATGTTAAAGAGAAAAAAGAAGATAGGCTGGCTTCAAGAACCCCACTGCCTTTTCTCTGGGGTTAACTCCCCGCTATAGCTGCTCTCTCCGTCACAGAGTGACACAGTGACTTTCTGAAGCCCAGGCTCCAAGGACACAAGGCCATTACCTTCAGGATGGGAGGTTTCCTCCAGGCTCCTACCTTATCTGTTGGCTGCTCTGGCTCTTGTTCACAGGGCCGCACCATGCAGAGCCGAGTCTGTTTCAGCATCTCACATTGACGGTTCCTATTGGTGACCCGGGTGGAGAACCCCATACCACAGCTCTTGGAGCATGCTGTCCACTCTGTGGTCTGTTCAATGCAGTTGACACTTGAGTCAGAGACTTCTACTCCTAGGGTGGCTTCTGGCCTGTAAGCTATGGGATGTATAAATAAAGACAGCCATATTAGGTACAATGTGAGGATTGGAAAGTGGTCCTTTTCAGCCATTATTAGAAACTGGGTCTCATTCGACTCTGTACCTACTAAACACCCATGCTCCCAGGACACAGAACTGAATTTATTTATCTATTTATTTATTTCTGGCATGGCTGATAATGTCTGCCCTCAGAAATAGTATACAATTCCGGATACTGCTAATATAAGTAATCTGGCTAATTAATGGCTTCTAAAATAATCCTCTATTGTCTCTTGAGATTTTTTATTTAAACTATTTCATTGATAAGAGAAAACAAAAATAAGAATAAAAAAAGGTCCTGAAGTGCCATCTGAGCCTTACTACAGCATCTAGAAAGATGACACTTTTCAGTGACACCTGTGCAGGGATGAGTAGCCTTCTTTAAGGAGGTTAATCATGAGACGGCCTAGGTAGTGTACAGAATCCAGAAAAGAAAGAGAATTTAAAATTTTGTCTTTGTAGTGCTAATGAGGGTCAAGTGGGATGGATTAAAATACAAGTAGTAGTCATCCAATAAGACAAAAATAAGACAAAAGAGTGAATTTGGGAGGTCCTCTTCAGGAGAAATTGCAGCAACCTTCTATAACTTAGTTTGAGTTTATAAATATGTTTGATCTAATGTCTACAAATGTGTTTGATCTCAGTGGGCAACCTGAAACCCACAACTGAATGACCAGAAACTGAGGCCAGTTTCTCTTTTCAAATCCAAGAGATTGCAAATTCTTCATGTTTGTATTTACCCTCTACTATGACCAGCCCTAGGTATATTGAGTTTCTCACCTGCAAGGGTAAGGCCTCCCAGTGAATCCTCCTCATCTGGGCCACAGATCCACTTTTCACAGCACTCTCCAGGCACCTCAACTTTTCTTGGAGCTGGGCAGTTAGGCTCAGGCAGTAGCACATCCAGCTGACAGCGGGGCACACAGCCAATCTGCCCATCTCTGCAGGTGCACTGGAATTTGCAGCTTGGCTGAAATTTCTCTCCACTGCGGTAGATGACCCCATCGAACACACAGTTATCTCCCTCTACCGCTAGAATATTGGGGAAGCAAAGTGAAAAGCAAAGAGGAAGAGGAAAAACAAGAACACAATACAGTGAAGAAGCTATGTAAGATTTGGAGGGCATGTTCCAAAACCCAAGTCCTTTTCTAGTTCAGGCGATCTGGTTTCTCATGTATCTACTGTAGAGTGATGTCCTCATGGAGGCCTCTCAGAGCAAGAAGAAACCTTCAAGATCATCTAGTCTTGCCACTCATTTTATGGATGAGGAAAGAGGTGTGCAACTGTGAAGTGATGTCCCCAAGGTCCCCTGGCCATTTTTCCCAATGTTCAGTCATTTTGCGAGAACCTCCTTAGAGTTTCCTACTCCAGCAGCTTAGACTTAAAAAGAGAAAAAGTGTACTTTATGTTTTCCAACAGGTTAGCTGATCAAATTGGGAAGGGCATTAAGATTCCTTGACACTCAAGCATAATAAAATCATCAGTAGCTTAGAGAAAAAAGTAAAAGCCCTCCTGTCCAGAAAGGAAGGGACAATCTTCAACTACAATGTTGTATCATGTGAAAAATTGATCCCCGACTGATTACGTTTTAGAAGCCTGGATTGGCTAGTTGCCTGCATTTTATTTTACTTGCAGCCAGAAAAGGGTTACATAGTTATCCCAGGAGACTAGCAGCTGCTTTGGTTCAAATGGGACAATTACAGGTGTGAAAACAAACCTGCTGGGTTTTCCCCAACTGCAGTTTGGGAAACTGTGAGCGTGTGAGTAAACCCGAGCTTCCATCAGCCCCAAGTGGCCCCCTAGAAGTGTCCGAAGGAAATGACTTCACTGGCCCTTAACTCTGCGTGGCTCCCCCTTTGCTTAGATTCTTGTCTAGGAAGCCAAGTGAGGAATGCCTTTCACCCCCAGGGCAGGTTTCCTTTCTGGCTCTGGCGCTCCCCAAAGCCCCAAGTGCTCCCCAAACCATGCCTGACACACAGTAAGTGCTCTATACATGTCATTTATTGCATTATTATTATTTGCTTATCGCCCTCTGGGAAGGGGAATACAAAAGAGAAGGGAGGAAGCAGCTTCACTTAGCTGCAGGAGAAGAGGTCAAACAGCAGAGGGAGCAGGATTACCCGTGCAGATGCCAGTCTGGTTGCTGGGGTCCGCGCTGCGATCACAGTAGAGGCCACTGCTCTCGTCGCATGGCTCCAGATCTGAGCAGCTCTCGCCACGCTGGCGGGCACACACCAGACAGCATGAGCAGCCGTCCAGCACCGCGCGCACCCCGGGGGCGCAGGTCGGCGGCGTCGCAGGGCACCGGCCCGGGCACTGGGGAGGGCAGCGCTGAGTCGCAGCGACCTGAAGGCAGGCGAGACAAGGAGAAACCACTCAGCTGGGACAGAAGACGCAGTGAGCCCGGTGACCAAATGGGGGCCACCAAGGCGGGCAAAGTAACTTGGGGGCATCTTAAGGGTGTGCCACTTACCTGTCCCAGGAGATGGAGAAGCAGGAAGGTCAGGCAAAGGCACTGCTTTCGGAGACAAAAGCTCGTGCTCTGCACACTCTGCATGCTCAGGCTTTCCCCTCTCGCTTTTACCAAACGAGACTTTCTTCGCTGTAGATTGGCACTGCTCGCCTTCCCCCTGGTCCGGTGCTTGCCGATCACGCCCAGCACAGGTTTTATAGCGCGCTCCTGGGACGCGCACAAGCCGGTTGGCTGCAGTGCAGGGAGGAGGGGGGAGATCGGCTGGGTGGGGAAGTGGAACGAACCCCGGGGTTGCCATGGCAATTGGCTGTGGGTGCTGCTCTCCTTAGGGCGCGGCGCCGGGGCCTGCGTGTGCCTGTGTGTGGCGACTGGCTTTTCCCAGAGGGTGGGGAGGGGCTGGGTGGAGTTCCGAGGCCAGGACCCAGGGCTCGCTCGAGCGCGTGGGAAGGAAACGCCCGTTTCCTCCTGGAAGTTGCTTCGCCTTCTCCCAGGACGAAGACACCACCACTCCCCACCATCCTCCTCCACCCTGACCGTTCCAACCAGGGCTGCAAGCGTGGGGTCCCCTTACGGGATGCCTGCAGTTTGGGGCCATCTGCAGGGGATTGGCAGAAGGCCCAGGGGTTTAGTCATGAGGGAAGCACATGCAAGTTTGTCACCGTTTAGGGCACTCATTGAATGTGTTGAGAGGGAGGGGAGAGAAGCAAGGGAGGAAAGGAGAGAAAGAGGAGAAAGAGAAAAGTGTGTGTGTGTTGGGGGGAGGGGAGTGGCAGGGGGAAGGGAATCTAGAAAAAAAATCGATATGTCAGGAGGTGGGGAATGCTATTGGCCAAATGGCAAAATTCTTTTGACTCTAATCCTTCTAGCTTCACTCAGTCTTAAACCCCAAGGTCCACAGGTTTGTTAGAAATAAAAGTAAAACACACACACACACACACACACACACACACACACACACACATAAAGAAAACATCATAAAATAAAACAAAGAAATCTTGGCAGAAGAAAGCCTTGAAGCACCTGCTGTAGCAGACCAAATGTGAGACGGCACACCTGAGAGTCCAGAAACCTTTGACAGTTTTCTAAGTGGGTTCAGTTCAACCACCATCACCACCATCAAAACCTCCAGCCAGGGAAGAAATGAGGAAGAAACTGGCTTAACTTGGCTGACCCTTCAGCAAATCAAATCCTTCTCTCACCGGGCATCCGCTTTCAAGAAATGATTGCTGGGGCATGCTTGTCATCTCTCATGGGAAAAAGGGAGCAGTTTTACTGCTCCAAAGGTGACATTGTTTGAAGGATTTAGAACAGTTTCCCCCCACACTTCAACACTGGTGCTGCCCCTAGGAGAACTATGCCCAGCTCTTTTGAGGATAGTTGCTTTGGAAAAAAACAAAAAACACTTTTTAAGGAAAATTATACAGGCCTGTGATGTAATTCTAGAGTTTAAAAAGAAACAAATGGCCTCTACCTCATCTGTCCCCAGCATGAAGGAAATCAAAGGCAGCTTGCGGAAGGGGCCAGGTCTGCCTCTGCAACACCCGCAGATGATGAGGTCACCTCAAGCCCCTTCTAGATAATTCTCTCGGCAGCCTGAAACCACTATGACACACTTCCAAGCCTCTAATAGTTCTGCTTTCTTTGAGGTAAATGAGACTGAGTAGTACTCAAACTTAACTAGAGATGAAACAGTTCATTTGCACTCTTGAGTAGGACATTTACCTACTCTTCAAATTGATAGGCTTTGGAGGGTGGAGGGTGGGAGCAGGGAGAAGATCGGGAAAAATAACTAATGGGTACCAGGCTTAATACCTGGGCGATGAAATAATCTGCACAACAAATGTCCATGACACACATTTACCTGTGTAAACAAACCTGCACATTTACCCCTGAACTTGAAATAAAAGTTTAAGAAAAAGATAAAACAAAAAACAAAAAAACTGATAGGTTTTGTAAGCCATTTGGCCTAATGATGCCTCCATCTGGCTGCAGATCGAATCAACCAGCATGTATTTTGTTAAAAATACAGATTCCTGAGCCCCACTCTTGACCCACTCAGTAGGATTCTCTGGTGGTGGCTCTTGGTAGACAGCATTTTAATGTACTTTGAAATGGAGCAACTAGAAGCACTGCTAATGGGGAGGCAAAGAGCATCGGCCAAGTGTTCCAAGCATGAATAGACTCAGATAGAACAAGGAGAAATTGGCAACATGGAGATTGGGCTAGCTCTTCTTGGAAAGAGTGGGGTGGGAGTGGTGACAGGGAAAATGTAACTTTAAGACAAGGATTAACATGTCAAGAAGTCACTGCAAGTGTAAAATTGCTATTCAGTTTTGATTGCAAGAGATGGAAACCAAACTTGAACTAGTTTTTGCGAAAAGAGGACTTTACTGGAAGGATGCTGTGATGTTTCACATAGTGACAGCACAGGAATGGTACAGGGAGTCCTCAGAGGCAATTGGGATCTAGAGAGAGGAGGGCCAACAGGATTACTTCCACATAAGGGAAAAATGATCCTTCCAATCTTCTTACTTTATGACCTTATCACCACAGAAGGAATGTCCCTGTCTCTTAGGCCCAACTTTAAAAGTTCCAGGAATTAAATTGGATGGGTTCACCCTGGACTAATCAATGGGGACAAGGAAGGTGAAGTATGGGGATTAGTTAGAACCTCATGGTTGGAATGGAGAGAAAGAGCAGTTCTCTTGGGAAGAAAGGACTGTTCCTTAAAAAGAAAGCAAGCTTGGTGAGCAAAACAATACACATCCACTCCATCATCTGCTATAAATGCTCTAGGATGAGGATCTTCATCTTAAAACAATTGTAAATTGAAAGTGATACCATCTGATGATAATCATGTCATGTCATGCTTCACTGCCTCCAGGACATAGTCTCTGAAATCCTTCATGCCGGGATAGATGTTATCCGCAGTGCAGGCCTGGGATGCCGAGCTTATCTCTTTTATCTCATAACTCACTGGATAATCATTATAGTCACACCATTTAATGATGGGGATATTGTTGGAGAAATGTGTCCTTGGGTGATTTCATTGTTGTGTGAACATCATAGAGTGTAGTTACACAGATGCGGATGGTGTAGCCTACTACACACCTAGGCTGTATGATATAGTCTATTACTCCTAGGCTACAAACGTACAAACAGTACAGAATATACTGCACTGAATACTGTAGGCAACTGTAATACAATGGTAAGTATTTGTGATTTAAACATATCTAAACTTAGAAAAGGTGCAGTAAAAATATGGTATAAAAGATAAAAAATTGTCCACCTGTGTAGGGCACTTACCGTGAATGGAGCTTGCAGTGGGTGTCAGTGAGTCAGTGGTGGGTGAATGTTAAGGCCTTGGACATAACTGCACACTACTATAGCCTTTATAAACACTACACTTAGGCTAAGCTAAATTTATTCAAAAATTTCCTTTTTCAATGATAAATTAACTTTAGCTTACTGTAACTTTTTTACTGTATAAACTTTTAATTTTTTTAACTTTTCGACCCTTTTGTAATAACACCTACCTTAAAACACAGATACATTGTACAGATGTACAAAAATATTTTCTTTATATCCTTATTCTACAGGCTTTTTTTTTTTTTTTTTTTTTTTGAGATGGAGTCCCTCTCTGTCACCAGGCTGGAGTACAGTGGTGCAATCTTGGCTCACTGCAACCTCTGCCTCCCTGGTTCAAGCAATTCTCCTGCCTCAGCCTCCCAAGTAGCTGGGACTATAGGCACACACAACCACGCCCAGCTAATTTTTTGTATTTTTAGTAGAGACAGTGTTTCACCATATTGGCCAGGGTGGTCTCAATCTCTTCACCTCGTGATCCACCTGCCTCGGCCTCCCAAAGTGCTGGGATTACAGGCATGAGCCACTGTGCCTGGCCTCTATAAGCTTTTTTCTAGTTTTAATATTTTTATTTTTTTTTTTTTTGTGAAAAATAACACACAAACATACATATTAGCCTAGGTCTACACAAGGTCAGGATCATCAGTGTCACTGTCTTCCACTCCACATCCTGTCCCACTGGAAGGTTGTCAGGGGTAATAACACACATGGAGCTGTCATCTCCTCAGATAACAATGTCTTCTTCTGAAATACTTTCTGAAGGATCTGCCTGAGACTGTTTTATAGTTAACTTTTTTTTATGAGTAGAAGTATGCTCTAAAATAATGATGAAAAGTATAGTAAATACATAAACCAGTGACATAGTCACTTATTATCATCATCAAACATGGACTATACATAATTATATGTGCTATACTTTTATATGCCTGAAAGTGCAGTAAGTTTGCTTACACTAGCATTACCATAGACACATGAGTGTGCTACAATGTCATGACAGCTACTATGTCACTAGGCTATAGGAATTTTTCAGCTCCATTACAGTCTTATGGGACCACCATTGTACATGCCGTCCGTAGGTGACCAAAATATTGTTATGTAAGATGTGACTGTACTTGTCTGTTTTGGTGACTGCCTCCCTGTCCTGCCTGGGAGTCCTTGAGGACACAGAGCATGTCGTATTTACAGTAACATCCCCAACATCCACCTCAGGGTCAGGCAAGTGGTCAGTTCTTGGACCTTTTGAGATACTGCAAACTCCACTTTAAGTTTTGCCACTTTTCATTGCTCTGCATAAGATGAGATAAGAAACAAACTGGAGGCTGTTTGCTCTTCAGCAGCAGCTAAATTGGTCCTATCAGCCACCACCCATCAGCCTGTGACATGAAACTTCTCTGGGTCTTGCTTGGCACTAAAAGGATGGAATACAGGCTGGTGATCTTCTCCTGTTTGAAATAATCCATGTGGCAGTTGAGGTCTCTGGGAGAAGTCAGGGGATACCTTATTAGAGATTCTTTTTTGAATTGCTGGGCTTGGCAGCTAACCATGGGGTTATGAACTGCAAGGACTTTGGCCAATTTACTTTTCCCCCTTTAATTTTGTCCTCTCCTTTCATCCCCTCATCACAGATGTGACATCAGGGGCTCATTTTTGCCTTTTCTTTTTCACATAGCCTGTTAATTGATTTATATTCTTATTACTTCTCAGTCAGTACTCTTATCCAGAACACACTTAGAGAATTGCCTACATTTTCTAAAGGTACTATGTTGTTTTCAGTGCTATTGTGTTATCTTTCTTATTATTATGAAAAATTTAAAAAATTGGTGCTAAGTTCTGTAGCAGGTAGTTAAAATAGCACAGCCCCTGCCCCCATATTAAAAAAATGAAACAACCTCATAGAAGTAGAGAGTAGAATAGTGGTTACCAGAAGCTGGGGGAAGTCAGGAGGGGAGGACATGAGGAGTCAGTCAGTGGGTACAAAGCTACAGTTAGGAGGAATAAATTATCCTGTTAAATTGCACCATAGGGTGACTATAGTCAACAATAATATTTCAAATACTAAAAATGCTCATCATCACTGGCCATCAGAGAAATGAAAATCAAAACCACAATGAGATACCATCTCATGCCAGTTAGAATGGCAATCATTAAAAAGTCAGGAAAAAACAGGTGCTAGAAAGGATGTGGAGAAATAGGAACGCTTTTACACTGTTGGTGACCGTAAACTAGTTCAACCATTGTGGAAGATAGTGTGAAAATTCCTAAAGGATCTAGAACTAGAAATACCATTTGACCCAGCCATCCCATTACTGGGTATATACTCAAAGGATTATAAATCATGTTGCTATAAAGACACATGCACACGTATGTTTACTGTGGCACTATTCACAATAGCAAAGACTTGGAACCCACCCAAATGTCCATCAATGATAGACTGGATTAAGAAAATGTGGCACATATACACCATGGAATACTATGCAGCCATAAAAAAGGATGAGTTCATGTCCTTTGTAGGGACATGGATGAAGCTAGAAACCATCATTCTGGGCAAACTATTGCAAGGACAGAAAACCAAACACCGCATGTTCTCACTCATAGGTGAGAATTGAACAATGAGAACATTTGGACACAGGATGGGGAACATCACACACTGGGGCCTGTCATGGGGTTGGGGGAGGAGGGAAGGTTAGCATTAGGAGATATACCTAATGTAAGTGACCAGTTAATGGGTGCAGCACACCAACCTGGCACATGTATACATATGTAACAAACGTGCACGTTGTGCACATGTACCCTAGAACTTAAAGTATAATAAAAACAAGTTTCAAATACTTCAGAATAGCGAGAAGACAGGATTTTTAATGTTCCTACCACAGAGAAATCAAGAGCATTTGAGGTGATGGCTATGCTATTACCCTGATTTGATCATGATGTAATCTATACGTGTCTTGAAAAATCACACTGTACCCCTTAAGTACGTAGAATTATGATGTATCAGTTTAAAAACAACATACAACTAAAAAAAAGGAACAAAAGTGGTGATAGTGATGTTATCACCTTCAAGACAACTCCCTGCCTCTTTTTTTCTCAGTGATTGTATTCTCCGTAAACTCAAAGGCATTCATCCTGTCTTCATTTAGTCATTGTTTAGCCAAGCCACATGTACTTAGCTTTCATAATGTGCCTCATAAATCAACCCCACAGCTTTTTAATAATTTTGTTGCTCTTTTCTGAATTTCATTCATATGTCCCTTTTCTGGGGCCCCAGGGAGTTGATAGAACACAAGGTAATTTCCACTATATGTTAGGCAGGCCAGGCCTAAGTGACGTCCAGTTATATGGCTAATTTCAATCACACCCTCTTGCTTTTCTGACAGATCCCTTGACTTCTTGCTTTTCCAACAACAATGAGGAGCAGAGAAGAAGCTGTGATGGGAGGTGAAAAGTTAAACATAAAAGTTAAATGTTTCTTTGGAAACATTTTCCTACTGCCTGTATTTAAAACATTTTTTATTCTTAAGTGAATTTCTTAAAGAAAAAACCCAGGAGGTTAAGTAAAAAGTCATTCAAGCTAGCAATTTGCTAGGAATGAGAGAAACAAGTTAATTCCTTCCATTAGATAAGGTCTTTCTTATAGGGAAGTAGGCTCTGTGGAAATCAAATAAGTATTTAAATGTTTTCTGAACTGGAGAGGAGTGCATCAAGCTTCTATGCATGCAGCATTCCCAGCTTCTGGGCACCAACATTGCCCACTTCCATGCTCAGCTAAACAAAGTGGTCCTGAGCAGTTTTTTTTTTTTAAAGAAAAAATATGAATTCTTCATTGAATTCCATTGTAACAGCATGGTAGGGTAAACTCAGTCCTGCTCCCTTGACCAGAACTCTTTAGACTAGGAATTGGTGCCAGAGACAAAGGCACATACATATGGACTGAACATCAGATTAACCAATAGCTTGTCAAGAGTGCTCCATATTGGATGATGGTAGACCCAACTCACAAATGCTGGTGGCTGAGTATACAAAGAGCAAGGAAGGCAGCATCACTTAAATACAGGAGAGGTCCTGAAAATTTTCAAATTATTGTCCCTCGAGAAAGAAGAAAAAAATTTAGGCTCTTTTTTGAGAGAGTTCCCTATTCCCAAATGATATCTTAGAGCCAAGAAATACAACCTCTCCCACCCAGTTTCTGGATTTGTAGCACCTTTTAACTTAGACTTTTGGAGAGGCATGACCACAGAACTTTGTTGCATTTAACGATGTGAATGTTCACAATGTCCTATTAACTTATTGATAACTACTTAATACTTCATGGCATAAATGTAAGATGAATAAGATGCTTTGTATTCTCAAGGATTTTTTTTAACCTCATAAGAAAATGAAGTAAATAATAACTACCACATGAGGCAGAATGTGATAATTCCTACAAACAAACATGAGCGAAGTAGAAGAGAAGCTTAGAGGAGGATGAAATTAATTTCTTTGCTGTGAGAAGTTGAGTGTGGTGGAGTCTGCAGAGGGAATGTTGAGAAAGACTCTAATTCCATGTTTCATTGTTTGTCTTTTTACTAAACCACATTGCCTTGGAGACTAAATGACATTGAGTTGGATCAAGTATAGATAGAATTTTTTTGTGTGATTACTAAAAATGATTTAAGATTTTAAAAAAATAATTTCAAGTTTTATTTTAGAATCAGGGGATACATGTACATGTTTGTTTCATGGTTATATTGTGTCATACTGAGGTTTGAGGTATAATTGATCTTATCACACAGGTCATGAGCATGGTACCCAACAGTTAGCTTTTTAACCCTTGCTCCCCGCCTCCCTTCTCCCTCTGGTAGTCTTTCAGTATCTATTGTTGCCACCTTTATGTCCGTGAATACTCAATGGTTAGCTCCTACTTATAAGTGAGTACATGAAATATTTGGTTTTCTGTTCTTGCCTTATTTTTTTTAGGATAATGGCCTCCAGCTGCATCCACATTGCTGCAAAGGACATGATGTCATTCTTTTTTATGGCCACACAGTATTCCATTGTGTATATGTACCACTTTTTTTTTTAAATCCAGTCCACTGTTGATGAACACCTAGGCTGATTCCATGTCTTTGCTATAGTGAATAGTATGGTGATGAACATATGAGTGCATGTGTCTTTTTGGTAGAATGATTTATTTTATTTTGGATATATACCCAGTAATGGGGTTGCTGGGTCAAATGGTAGTTCTTTTTTAAAGTTTTCTTGAGAAATCTCCAAACGGCTTTTCACAGTGACTGAACTAATTTATATTCCCATCAGCAGTATATAAGCATTCCCTTTTCTCTGCAGCTGTGCCAGCATCTGTCGTTTCCTGACTTTTTAAAAGTCAGAATGCTGACTGGTGTGAGATGGTATCTCATTGCACTTTTGATCTCCATTTCTCTGATGATTAGTGATGTGGAATATTTTTTTCATGTTTCTTGGTTGCTTGTATGTTGTCTTTTGAGAAGTGTCTATTCGTGTCCTTTGCCCACTTTTTAATGGGGTTACTTGCTTCTTTGCTTGTTGAATTAAGTTCCTTATAGATTCTGGATATTAAACCTTTGTCAGATGCATGGTTTGCAAATATTTTCTTCCATTCTGTAGGTTGTTTGTTTACTCTGTTGATAGTTTCTTTAGCTGTGAAGAAGCTCTTTGGTTTAATTAGGTCCCACTTGTCAATTTTGTTTTTTGTTGCAATTGCTTTTGAGAATTTAGTCATAAATTATTCCCTAAGGCCATGTCCAGAATGGTGTTTCCTAGGTTTTCTTTTAGGATTCTTGTAGTTTGAGGTCTTACATTTAAATCTTTAATCAATCTTGAGTTAATTTTTGTATATGGTCAAAGGTAAGGGTATAGTTTTATTCTTCTGCATATGGCTAGCCAGCTATCCCAGCACCATTTATTGAATAGAGAGTCCTTTCCCCATTGCTTATTTTTCTCAAATTTGTTGAAGATCAGATGGCTATAGGTGCACAGCTTTACTTCTGGGTTCTCTATTTATGTTCCATTAATTTATTTGTCTGTTTTCGTACCAGTACTATGCTGTTTTGGTAACTGTAGCCTTATAATATTGTTGAAGTTAGGTAAGGTGATTCCTCTGGCTTTGTTCTTTTTGCTTAATATTGCTTTGTCAATCTAGGCTTTTTTTGTTCCATATGAATTTTAGAATAGATTTTTTCTAATTCTGTGAAAAATGATTTTGGTAGTTTGATAGGAATAGCATTGAATCTATATATTGCTTTAGGCAGTATGACCATTATAACAATATTGATTCTTCCAACTCATAAGCATGGAATATTTTTCTATTTGTTTGTGTCATCTATTGTTTCTTTCAGCAGCATTTTGTAGTTCTTTTTGTAGAGTCCTTTTACTTCTATGGTTAGATGCAGTTCTAGTGGGTTTTTTTTGTGTGTGTGTGGCTATTGTAAATGGGATTACATTCTTGATTTGACTCTCAGTTTGAATGTTATTGGTGTATAGAAATTCTAGTGATTTTTGTACATTGATTTAGTATTCTGAAACTTTACTGAAGTTGTTTATCAGTTCCAGGAGACTTTTCGCAGTCTTTAGGTTTCTTCTAGGTATAGAATCATATCATCAGTGAAGAGAGATAGTTTGACTTCTTTTTCTATCTGGGTTCCCTTTATTTCTTTCTCTTGCGTGATTGCTCTGACTAGGACTTTCAGTACTATGTTTAATAGGAGTGGTGAGAGATGGCATCCTTGTCTTGTTCCATTTATCAAAGAGAATGCTTCCAGCTTTTGGCTCTTCTGTATGATGTTGGCTGTGGGTTTGTCATAGATGACTCTTATTATTTTGAAGTATGTCCCTTTGATGCCTAGTCTGTTGAGGGATTTTATCATAAAAGATGTTGAATTTTATCAAAAGCCTTTTCTGCATTTGTTGAGATGATCATATAGTTTCTGTTTTCAATTCTGCTTATCTGGTGAATCACATTTAATGATTTGCATATCTTGAACCAACCTTGCGTCTCAGAAATGAAGCCTCCTTGATCAGAATTAACTTTTGATGTGCTGCTAGATTTGGTTTGCTAGGATTTTGTTGAGGATTTTTTTTGTCTATGACTATAAGGGATATTGGCCTATAGTTTTCTTTTTCCATTGTGTCTTTGCCAGGTTTTGGTATCAGGGTGATGCTGGCTTTGTAGAATGTGTTTGGGAGGAGTCCCTCCTCTTCAATTTTTTTGTAATGGTTTTAGTAGAATTGGTATCAGCTCTTCTTTCTATGTCCAGTAGAGTTATTCTGTGAATCCATCTGGTCTGGAGCTTGTTTTGGTTGGTAGATTTTTTATTACTAAATCAATTTGAGTACTTAATACTAGTCTGTTCAGGGTTTTAATTTCCTCCTGATTTAATCTTGATAGATCGTGTGTTTCCAGGAGTTTATCCATTTCCTGTAGATTTTCTAGAGGGTGTGCCTAGAGGTGTTCATATAAGTCTCTGAGAATCCTTTGTATTTCTGTGGGATCACTTGTAATGTCATCTTTGTTATTTCTGATCATGTTTATTTGGATCTTCTTTCTTTTTTTCCTTGTTAGTCTATCTGGCAGTCTACTAATCTCATTTATTCTTTCAAAGAACTGACTTCTAGTTTCACTGATTCTTTGATTGGATTTTTGGGTCTCAATTTCATTCATTTCTGCTCTGATTTTAATTGTTTCTTTTCTTTTGTTGTCTTTAGGGTTAGTTTGTTCTTATTATTCTAGATCCTCTAGGTGTGATGTTAGATCATTAATTAGAGATCTTCTAATTTTTTGAGGTAAGCATTTAGTGTTATGAACTTTCCTCTTAACACTGCCTTTGCTGCATCCCAGAGATTTTGGTGTTTTGTCTCTGTTTTCATTTATTTCAAGAATTTTTTTTTTTTATTTCGGCCTAAATTTAGTTGTTTACCCAAAAGTCATTCAGGAACAAGTTGTTTAATTTCCATGTAATTGTGTGGTTTTGAGAGATCTTCCTGGTATTGATTTCTATTTTTATTCAGCTGTGATCTGAGAGTATGCTTGGTATAATTTTGACTTTTTTGCATTTATCGAGACTTGTGTTATGGCCAAACATGTGTTCAGTCTTGGAGTATGTTCTGTGTGCAGATGAAAAGAATGTGAATATATATTCTGTAGTTGATGGGTAGGGTATTCTGAAGATGTCTGTTAGGTCCAACTGGTCAAGTGTAGAATTTAAGCCCAGAATTTCTTTGTTAGTTTTCTGCCTTCATGATCTGTCTAATGCTGTCAGTGGGGTGTTGAAGTCCCCCATTCATGTATAGAATTTTGAAACCTAGAAATGTAGGCTGAACAGAGACAGTGTGAACCAAGGCATAAGAATGAGACAATTGAGGACTTGTTCAGGAAATGATAAGGAGTTTAATTCATCTGGAGGGAGGAAGATAATGGGAGAAATGATATGAAAATAGACTGCAGCTGTCAACTGTTAGAGGAGTCTAAATGACAAACTGTACAGTTTAGTGGCTTTTCATCTATCTATCTATCTATCTATCTATCTATCTATCTATCTATCTCTCTATCTATCTATCTATCTATCTATCTATCTATCTATCTATCATCTGTCTATCGATCTGTCTATCACATATCTTCTGGCAAGGAATTGCGTGATCAAGGCTGTGTTTAGGAACATTATTCTTTAGGAATTTATATTTGATTACAGGAGGAGGTGACTGGAGGTAAACATTGCAGTTGACACATTTTGCAGCAGTTTAAGGAGAGATAATGAGGATTTGAACTAGCAGAGTGGCAATGAGAATGGAAAGAGGAGGTAGGAGGTTGGAGGTAGAGAATATATTACCCTCGTTGGTGCTCTGGCTAGATATGAAAGGGCAGGGTAATGCAGATATAAACATAACAACAGATTTTGACTCTGGATAACTAAATAGATTGTGGTAGCATTTTGCTGGAAGCCAGACAGCTTCTGTGATGAAACATCTCTGCCATCAGACTGCCTGGGCCCAAATCCTTAGATCTTAGATTCTTTACCTTACCAATTTGTGCGTCAGTTTGTTTTTCTATCTGTAGGATGGAAGTGCTAATAATTCTTTCTTCCTAGGATTGTTAGGCTAAATAAAATAAAATATACACAGAAAGTCCTGCAGCCCTTCTGAATTGGGTCCTGTGAGAGAATGAAGTCCTAATGCTTTGACAAATCCACTGCAATAAATTCATTTCTCTTTCCTGCAACTTTAGTGGTACTTGCATGTAACACACACCATAGGGAACTGTGGAACGTCTCAGAAAGAAAAAGTTAGGAGGGGCTTGTTATAAGATTTGGGCTTGGGTTAGGTGATTTTGAGGATATTTCATGGAAGTTGGGTTCTGTCCTGAATTGAGTACTGACAAGAAACAAAAGTAAGTTGATGATTGGTTATCTTAATTATCTTTATTGCAGAGGCAGGATAAAGTAACCACAGATTTTGTGTTTGGAGAAGAGGCAATAGTTTCTTGTGTTAGCTGGAATGGGAGTTTGGTCATTTTTGTGGTTGTACAATGTCTTTATTTTTATCAACATCAGGCATGATTATAGAGTGTACTAATCAAACTTCTACTCTTTTCCATCGTCTTCCAGAACTTTCCAGAGTAGAGCTGAAGTTTCAGAAGAATTCTTTCTTGCTGGAGCTACCCTGTGTGTCCAGGTCTTCTGCAAACCAACTAGAACAGTGGCTTTCAAGCATTTTTGGCTATGAACCAATATGCATAAATGCATGTTCACATGTACACATACCAGCCCTTTATAAAATGGTTTTTTTTTTCCTTTTTCTTTTCCTTTTTTTTTTTTTTTTTTTTTTGAGGTGGAGTCTTGCTCTGTTACCCAGGCTGGAGTGCAGTGGCACAATCTTGGCTTGCTGCAACCTCAGCCTCCCGGGTTCAAGTGATTCTCATGCCTCAGCCTCCCGAGTAGCTGGGATTACAGGCACCTGCCACCACACCCAGCTAATTTTTGTATTTTTAGTAGAGACAGGGTTTCACCATGTTGGCCAGACTGATCTCGAACTCTTGACCTCATGTGATCCACCTGTCTCAGCCTCCCACAGTGCTGAGATTACAGTCATGAGCCACTGTGTCCAGTCGATAATATGTTAAGGTTGTGTAGTCCATGTTTAGGCTTTTGCTTTTTAACAAAGGGAAGCCATTGAAAACTTTTATATAGTAGAATAAAATGATTTCCAAATAACCCAACTTGATGAGTAACTGCATGGAGCACGAGGGCATGTAAGGAGACCAGTTAGAAGGCCATTCCAATTACTCAGCTAAGAGATAATGATGGTGTGGGCCAGAATCTGGCAGTGGAGATGGGGAGAAAACATTTTAGAAATAATTGCAAAGTAAATATTTTGTATTTATGATTTTTAGTTGAAGTGACAGAAACAAACCAATACTAGCAAAGCAAGCCTAATCATAAGATTACAGGACTGCCTCCAAAGAAATGTAGGGATATAGCTGAGACTTAGAAAAGACCTGGAACCAAGAAAATGGAAAGTCTTAGGAAACTCATGCAGAAACTTTCCTTTATCTCTCATCTCTTTTTCTAAATTTCCATGGCCTTCTCTAACTAAGCATACTGATTTAATCTATGATATGTACATAGGGTGAAAGATAGCCATAACACATCTCCAATTTTTGACATCTTTTCTGTTTAAAAGAAAACATGTAAAATTGAATATATAATTTATTAGTTTTAATTCTAATTTCTCAAGAGGGTGAATGAGGTTGGTCCAAGGTCAATCTTTATAAGTGGATTCAGGAGGAAGTTTTATGGTTACAATAAGATTCTGGGGACCTATCACATTGGATAGAGATATGGTTGGAGTTAGGAATACACATGAGAAAGTTACTCTCTAAAAAATTTCTATTTTCTCATGAAGAAGTAGACTGCTGATAGTAAGAGAAGGTGGTAGAGTCAAAGATTTGAGGATACTGGTAAATAACTGAAATTACAATTGCAGAAAGAGAGAAACTGAGTAGAGGGTCTTAGTGTGACCACAGGTAACATTGAGAGCTCTGCTGGGATTAACAACTTTCAATTTGTGGTGGTACTAATCTGCAAATTGACAGATACAGAAAGTTTAAGTATCAGGTGATGACAATGATGGAACATGGATATTAAGAATGAGAAGATGTGTGAAGAGAAGACACTCATGGGTAGAGTGAAAGTAGAAAGAACAGCACGTGTAAATGCCCTGAGGTAGGAGGGCTTTGGTAGGTTTGAGGCTCTATGAGAAGTCTAGGAGTGGGCACACTGTGTTTGCAGGTCGGAGTCACCAGTTGGCTTTTTAAAAATTTATCACCTTGTACAGTGCCTCTAGCACCCAACTTAATTTTTGCATATAGTAAGTGCTCAGTAAATATTTGTTGAATGAATCTAGCCTTATCTGTGTTATATCTAGCAATTTTCCTTCAAAGTTTCTGTCCTGTAGATGGCATCCTTCCTTAATTTACAGAGGTGACATGGGTTTTTATCTCATACTGAAATTTTACATGAATGTTCTGGGTCTCAATTTCCTCATCTGTAAAATATGGGTTTATTATATTAGTAAGATCTATCTCATAGGTAGTATATTAGGATGTTCTTGCATTGCTATAAAGATATACCTGAGAGTAGGTAATTTACAAGAAAAGAGGTTTAATTTGCTCATGGTTTTTCAGGCTGTGCAGGAAACATCATGCCAGTATCTGCTTCTGGGGAGGCCTCAGGAAGCCTTTACTCATGGTGGAAGGTGAAGAGGGAGCAAGCATCTCACATGATGAGAGCAGGAGCAAGAAAGAGAGAGGGGGAAGGTGCCACCACTTGTAAATGACCAGATCTTGTGAGAACTCCCTATCACGAAGAAAGCACCAGCCATGAGGGATCTGCCCCCATCATCAAAACACCTCCCACCAGGTCCCACCCCCAGCATTGGGGATTACAATTCAACATGAGATTTGGGTGAGGATAAATACCCAAACTATATCATTCTACCCTTGGCCCCTCCCAAATCTCATGTCCTTATCACATTGCAAAATACAATCATGCTTTCTCATCAATCCCTCAAAGTCTTAACTCATTCCAGTGTTAACTCGAATGTTCAAAGTCTCATCTGAGACAAAGCAAATCCCTTCCACCTATGAGCCTGTAAAATAAAAAGCAAGTTAGTTACTTCCAAGATACAATGGGGGTATAGGCACTGGGTAAACCATTCCTGTTCCAAAAGAGAGAAATTTGCCAAAAGAAAGGGGGCTATAGGCCCCACACAAGTCTGAAATTCAGCA
The DNA here is from genome assembly GCF_000001405.40 of Homo sapiens. Classification (NCBI taxonomy): domain Eukaryota; kingdom Metazoa; phylum Chordata; class Mammalia; order Primates; family Hominidae; genus Homo; species Homo sapiens. The sequence goes on along the minus strand of NC_000008.11, from coordinate 119,400,958 downwards.
GGGTAGTCATTAAATCTTAAAACTCCGAAATAGTATCCTTTGATTCCATGTCCCACACCCAGGGCACACTGGTGCAAGAGGTGGGCTCTGAAGGCCTTGGGCAGCTCTGCCCCTGTGGCTTTGCAGGGTAAACCCCCTCAACTGCTCTCACAGGTTGTTAAGTGCCTGTGGCTTTTCCAGATGCAGGGTGCAAGCTGCTGGTGGATTTACCATTCTGGAGTCTGAAGGATGGTCGCCTCCTTCTCACATTCCTCCACTCTGTGTGGGGCCTCCAATCCCACATTTCCCACCCCCACCCCTCACTGCCCTAGTAGAGATTTTCTGTAGGGACTCTGACCCTGAAGCAGGCCCCTGCCTGGGCACCTGGGATTTTTCATACAACCTCCAAAATCTAGGCAGGGGCTGCCAAGCATTTTTCACTCTTGTACTCTACACACCTGCAGGCCTAACACCACATGTAAGCAGCCAAAGCATACAGCAGCTTGCAGTCTCCAGAGTGGTGACATAACCAAAACCTAGGGCCCTTTGAGCCACAGCTGGAGCTGGAGTGGGTGGGATGCAGGGAGCAGTGTCCTGAGGCTGCGCAGGGCAGCAGGGTCCTGGGCCTGGCACATGAAACCATTCTCCCCTCCTATGCCTCTGGAACTGTGATGGGAGGGGCTGCCTAGAAGATCTCTGAAATTCCTTTGAGGCTTTTTCCCTGGTATCTTGGCTATCAGCATGTGGCTCCCTTTTAATTATGCAAATATTTCTAGCAAGTGATTGCTACACAGGAAGCTTGAATTTCTCCCCCCAGAAAGCTTTTTCTTTCTCTGTCACATGGCCAGGCTGCAAAATCTCTAAACTTTTATGCTCTGCTTTCCTTTTCAACAGAAGTTCCAACTTTAAGTCATTCCTTTGCTCCTGTATCTGAGAATAGGCTGTTTGAAGCAGCCAGGCAACATCTTAAACACTTTGCTGCTTAGAAAGTTTTTCTGCCAGATACCCTTAATCATCACTATGAAGTTCCAGCTTCCACAGAGCCCTAGGGCAGGGGCACAATGCAGTCAGGCTCTTTACTATGGCATTACATTTATGAACTTTGCTTCAGTTACCAGTAAGTTCCACATTTCCATCTGAGACCCCAGCAGCCTGGACTGCAACTGCTCATTTCACTGTCAGCATTTTGGCCACAACAATTTAACCAGTCTCTAAGAAATTCCAAACATTCCCTCATCTTCCTGTCTTCTTCTGAGCCCTCCAAACTCTTCCAACCTCTGCTTGTTACCCAGTTCTAAAGCTGCTTTCACATTTTCAGGTACCTTTATAGCAATGCCCCACCTCTTGGTTCCAATTTTCTGTATTAGGCCATTCTTGCCTTGCTATAAATAACTATCTGAGACCAAATAATTTATGAGAAAAGAGGTTTAATTGGCTCATGGTTCTGCAGGCTGTATAGGAAACATAGTGCCAGCATCTCCTTCTGGGGTGAGGAGTTCTCAAAAAGATTTTTTATTCATGGTGGTAGGTGAAGGGGGAGCAGGTACTTCATTTGGTAAAAGCAGGAGCAAGAGAGAGAGAGAGCTGGTGAGAAGGTGCCACACACTTTTAAATGACCAGATCTTGCTAAAACTATCACAAAGACAGCATCAAGCCATGAGAGATCTGCCCCCATGATCAAAACACCTCTGACCAGGCCTCATGTCCAGCATTGGGGATTACAATTCAACATGAGATTTGTGTGGGGACAAATATCCAAACTCTATCAGATAGTGTGAGATGTCAATCAAATAAAACATGTAGGCCAAGTACAGTGGCTCACGCCTGTAATCCTAGCGCTGGGGAGGCCAAGGCAGTTGGATTGCTTGATCCCAGGAGTTTGAGACCAGCCTGGGAAACATGGCAAAACCACATCTCTACAAAAAATTAGCTGAGCATGGTGGTGCATGCCTACAGTCCCAGCTACTCAGGAGGCTGAGGTGGGAGGATGGCTTGGGCCTGGGAGGTTGAGGCCGCAGTGAGCCATGACTGTGCCTCTGTACTCCAGCCTGGGTGACAGAGCTAGGCCCTGTCTCAAAAAACGAACACACACACACACACACACACACACACACACACACACACACACACACGTAAAGCACTTCGGTGGCTGTCTTAATCATTAATTAGTACCCATTATTAAATGTAATCACTAATTTTATTGTTACAGTCATTATTTCAGCCTTGAGATTACATGTCTTCATGTTATTGTCTTGGCCAGAAATATTTCCATTTGTATGGGGCATTGACAGCTTGAAGGACACCAAGCACCCATCTTAATTGTATCCAAGTCCTTTGAGAAGCTAGCCCTTCCCAATCCTGAATCTAAGTGTTTTGAGTGAGATGCCTAGTCCAGTGGCAGGGTAGCCACCTTAGAGGCTCGTGTGAATACTCATGTTTCATCCTCCCTGATTATATTGGGCCAGGAAGTCCAACCAGGGCTAATAAAATGCACAATAATTTGAGAGTTTTTGGAAAAGAAAAATAGCTTTGTCTTTCCTCTATGGAAACTACATCAGGACACAATCACTTTCCCCTGCGATAGTGTGAGGTGAGGCTGTGAGATTTGTATTTGTGAAAGACACTGTTGCTACAGGGGGAGCTGAGAGAGCCTTTATGGGAAGACTGAGCCATCAAGCAGAGTACCAAGGGAAGAGATGCTGAAGAATTGACTTCTCGGTGATATTTTTTGAGCTCCTGGATAAAACCTGTCTGAAAGTTGTTATGTTCTAGATATTTTCCATTATGTGAGCTAGCACATTTCATTCATTGTTTAAATGAGTTCAAGTTGGGATTTTGTTATTTGTAATACAAATCCTTGTTGATATACAATTTTCATCAAGAATGTGATTTATCTTATGTGAAGTATACATTGGCAGAAATAGAATTACTCTTTCAATATTCTTATCTAGAAATTCCTTTGCTAGGCTAATCAATGGATATTATGCCAGTAAGTACTAAATATATTCATTTATTTCAGTGTAAGTCAAACTCTACGACAATATAGTCTTTTGAAAAATCAATGTCTCTCTTTTAATAATTAGGCTGTGATTCTCATTGGCTATTTCTGGGTAAATTATTTCTACATACAAATTAGTTTTTATTCTACAGTTTATTTCCCTTTTAATGTAAAATAAGAACATTACAGAAATCTATTTTAATCACTTCAGAAAGCTGAGTTCAACACTTTGCTATTTAATATCTAATATTTAATTTTTATATTCCCATTATATTCAAATTTTGAGAGATCATAATTTTTATTACTCACAGAGGGAACATTTGAGGTGGAACGAATTTTGAATCAGTTACGACTGGGTTCCAATCTCAGTTCTGCTACTTACTAACTAGCTCAGTGAACTCAGACTAGTTATTTAACTCTGAGCCTCAGTTTATTTACTTACTATTTTCAAATAGGGAGTGATACTATAATCTTCCAGAGAGACATGCAGTGAGGAATACTGAGACAGCATACTTAAAGCTTTTATACTAAGGCATCTAAAAGCCCATAACCTGTATTTTCTTTTCTTTTCTAATTAGTACATTTAGATTTGTCCCCCAAAATGTTTACTGTGAAGACATGCCAAGCAGATATATTGTTCTATGCATTAAAAATATTAAATGTTTGGTTGGGCTGGGTGGTTGACACTTGTAATCCCAGCACTTTGGGAGGCTGAGGTGGGTGGATCACCTGAGGTCAAGAGTTCGAGACCAGCCTGGCCAACATTGCAAAACCCTGTCTCTACTAAAAATACAAAAATTAGCCAAGCATGGTGGTTTGCACCTGTAATCCCAGCTACTCAGGAGGCTGAGGCAGGAGAATCACTTGAACCTGGGAGGCAGAGGTTGCAGTGAGCTGAGATTGTGCCATTGCACTCCAGCCTGGGCGACAAGAGTGAAACTCCATGTCTCTCTCTCTCTTTCTCTCTCTCACTCTCTCTCTACATATATATATAATGTTTTTCTTTATTTACTAGATTCTAAACACTCTGTGGGAAGGGGCTAATTGTATTTAGATTAGATCTTGTTCAATGCTAATTTGATGTCAGGTTTATGAATTACTTCAAATAGTGTATCTATGAATGGTTGTAGGAATACCCACATTTCTTACCACACTATGCATTTACAATTATGAGGAGTATAGAAAGCTATCGAATCCTTCTCCTTACCATAATATCCATACATCCATTTACTTGTATATTTTTCTAGTTTTAGCTGGAGAGCTTCATTTATTTTTTAACTTCATTTTATTTTGTGTTGCTGTTAGCTCATAATAAGAAAATTGAAAAAATATGTGTGCAATCATACTGCAAACTGTGACCCATCCATTTAATGTGAGCTGAGACAGAAGCAGCTCCTCATTAGTTTTATTCTCATTTTTGAAGGCTTCTTAACATTTGGATCCCATGTCTGAAGGAAGAGTTTTGTTCTTCACAATTTTTTTGGTATCAATGTCTTGAATGGTTTTCATGTAAAATAAATTTTGCTCTTCCCCTGGATCTCAGTCCTAACTTTGACAATCAGAAACCATTTTGAAACCTTCCAATTACATACCTTGCCCAGTGGCCTGATGGCCATGACCTTTTCATGCCAGTTGGATCCTTCCTCAGTTCCCAGCTGGAGGGTGAGCCGGAGTAGCTAAGAAACCTTCTCAAACAGAAGGATAAACATATCCACATTTGAATTTGTCTGAATACTAGTATAATTACATGAATGACTTAGCTATCCTTTTTACTGAGTTGAATTCAGGAGGGAGAAATAATGCCCTGGAAGTTAGTGAAGACAGAAGTAGGGAAACAAGATATTACCCAAAATCATCTGAGATATCCCTTTATATGGAAAGATAGTCACAATTTGTTACCAAGAGTCAAGGGGGCATGGTGGTTAAAATCATGGGCTCTTGTGTCTTCTGGGTTTGAATCTAGATCTGCCACCTATTAGCTGTGTGATATTGGAAAGCCTCTGTGCCTCTGTGAAGTGGAGAAAACAAACAGGACCTACTTCATGGGCTCTTCTAAAGAGAGGTAAACATAAATAAGATAATAGCACTTATAACAGTGCCTGTCATAGTGTAAATGCTCAAAAATGTAAGCATGTAAGCTTTGGTTTGTATTGTGTCTCTGGGAATTTAATTTAATGATATTAACAGATATCATTTAACAGATATTTCAAATAAATAAATTCAAATTATGTTGATGAAATACCAGGTAAACATAATTTTAGGGTTCTAGTAAATTTGATCAAGTGGAAATCAGTGAGAAGATATTTTATAATGATATATATTAATTGGAATTATGATGGTTGGATCACACACAAATTTTTCAGGAATCTTCACTTCAGAAATTTCTTCATAAGCACAGAAAAAAGTATACTTTACATATATGGCCTAAAGGAAAAAGCGACAAATGCATTTGATTTCCAAAGCAGTGCTTTTGTTATTTCCCCAAAAATTAAATCTGAAGGCCGCTTGAGCTATTCCCATTCTCTCCTTACCTCTTTCTTAACCAAGGTTCTTGAAAGAATCGTGTCTACTTGAGGTTACAACTTATCACCTACAGTTTTCTCCTGGATTCGCCATCACCTCATTTCACTGCTTCTCAGCAGCTGTTTTGTGGAAACCATTTGAAAGCCTGAACTGCTAAAAACCCCAACAATTCCTTCTTAGTTTTGACTGATTGATGCTTCAGACCATCAGGCCATGTTTGCTTTTCTTTTCTTCCTGAAGCTCTTCCTCTCCCTTGGTTTCCTTATTCCTACCTTTTCCAGCATCTCTATGTACTTCTTAATCTTTTCAGATGTCCTTTTTTGCAGTTATGTTTTCAATTATATTATTCAGAATTTGTTTCTTGAACACACTGTTACACTTGCTCTTCATTAATTTTATCCAAGCCAAAAATTTCAAGTAATACCTAAATTGTCTCAATTTATGTCTTAGTTGCTTATATTTCTGTCTCTTAGATACCATGGTGCCCCATAAAAATCTCAAGGTCAATATGACCCAATCTAAAACTTATTATTTTTCTTCCCCCTCCAAAGATACTTCTCAATAATCCTTATTTACATGTATAATTCTATCATCAATATGCTCACCTAAGTCAGAAACTTTGAAAACATACTAGTCTTTCTTCTCCACAACTCCTAGTATTTCTCATTGGTTCCCAAGACCAATTGATCTAGCTTTTAAATGACTTAACTCTATCCTTTTCTTCATACCAAGAGCCCTTGTCCTTAGTTTTCATTGTTCCCATATTTTGCTTGCATTATTAACACAATTTATATTGTGGAGTTAGGAAGTAATACAAAGGTAACTGAAGAACATTGAATTATTGGAGAAAAAGAAACCTATATAAGGAGAATCTCTAACATAATGTGAAAAGAGTGTGGTAAGTTGGCATCTGGTTGTTTGATAAATTTTACCATAAGATGAAATCTAAGGCTGCTGATTATTGAAATGTGATATTCCAAAGGTCAGATGATAATTTTGAGGAAACAGTGATGTTTGAATATTCCCAAGGGATTTTCTGTTCTACTGAATACCTGTGCCACTTAATTCTGTCTCAATTTAATTAATTTAAAAAGTGTTTATCAATTATACACTAAAAATTTGGCAGGCATGTATGCAGAGCTGAAGCCATCATCTTTCTCCCAGACTAACCTCTGTTTTCCCTGTCTTGGTAAGTGGTACCTGCAGAAGGCCATTCTACCACCCTAGAAACCTCAAAATTTTCCCTGCTTTCCCATCCTAGAATCTTCACTTTGATTCCCTATCACCCACAGCTTAGTTCAAGGCTTGCTATTCATTTTCTTGAGAGCAGTGGTCACATTTTTGTTGATATTGGTTCTTTAGCACTCTGCATGACATTTACTATTTTTACATAAATATTTGTTCATTTGCATTTTAAAATCCTAGACATTGCTATCTATGGTCTGGACTATTCCAATAACCTTCTAACTTTATACTGATAGCATTTTTCCCAGTTCAACTCACCCTTTATGTTGCCAACACAGTTATCTACCTGAAAACTGAAATAAATCTGTCCTTGCCTCCACTGGCTTTCAATGGCTTCAAGCTCAAAGTTCAATATCCTTCACTGGCTATTCCAGGCCTTTTATAACTGGTTCCAATTTACATTCACAGTCACATTCTTGTCACTTTCCTTTCTGCATCTATCTTCCTTCCTTCCTTTTTTTTTTTTTTTTTTTTTTTTTGACATTGTCTTGCTCTGTCGCCCAGGCTGGAGTGCAGTGGCACTATCTTGGCTCATGGCAAGCTCTGCCTCCTGGGTTCATGCCATTCTCCTGCCTCAGCCTCCTGAGTAGTTGGGACTACAGGCATGCACCACTATGCCCGGCTAATTTTTGTATTTTTAGTAGAGACAGGGTTTCACCATGTTGGCCAGGTTGGTCTCAAACTTCTGACCTCAGGTGATCCACCCGCCTCGGCCTCCCAAAGTGCTGGGATTACAGGCGTGAGCCACCGCGCCTGGCCCTTTCTGCATCTTATGCCCCAGTTACTTCTTGCCATTCCTCAAATAAGCTAGGCCTTCCTTCATGTGTTTCTGTACAAGCTGTTCCGTTTGCAAAGAGGCTGTTTTCCCTTAGTCCACCTGGCAAATTTCTCTGAACTCACAGGTCACCCAGGCAGCTGGCCTTTCCTTCACAGCCCTGTGTCGTACCTCTATGGTGTATAACTCACGTTGCCTATTTACCCCATACTTTGTGAACATCTGGAAAGCATGAATTTTTATTTATTCACTTCAGAATTTTCTGAACTTTTTGTATAGTGGGTGTGTAGTTGTTCCTAGGAAAGATTTATTAAATGAATAATCAAATCATAAGATGACTATTTTAAGTTATGCACAGATTTTAATATCTTACACAATTATGCATAAGTACATTTTTACAGTTTTGTTTTTTTCTCTAGTCACAGAGATGTTTATGTGAGTTCTACAGAAAAAATAAAGAAACATTGTAATCGTGCAAGATTTCAATTGAGATATTTAGTGACCCTGTTATCTAGGCACTCTAGGCTCTGAAAGGAAGAAAAAAGAGAGAAAGAAGAAAGAGGAGGAAGGAAAGAAAAGCGAGAGAGAGAAAAAGAGAGATAAAAGTAAGATTAAACAAAAAGGGTAGAAAAATGATAAACTAGCATGGGCATAAATATGAACTGGCTCCAATAAACGAGACCTTTTATCATGAAAGTTCTGAGTTTTGTCTCGTTAGGGGCCATTCCACAGTGACCCAACCCACTTTTTCATCCACAACTTCAACTTTGCTCAATCAATCAGCATAATTAATCATTACTAAGGATGCTTCTTTGGTTTCTTTTCTGTTTGTCATTCTCCTCTTTCCTTTGTTAGGATACTTTAACCCTTTATTCATCCTCCTCTATCAAAATCCTACATAAGCACTCAAGATGTCACCACCTCCAGAAAGACTTTCCTGATTCTCTCACTGAATGAAAATTTCCTTTTCTCAACTCATCTAACACTTGCACCCCTTTTAAGGCCCTCGTCACAACCTGCCCTCTACTGTGGTTATTTGTATACTTAGCTTATCTCACCTATTAGGGTTTAAGCTTCTTAAGTTCAGGAAAAGCCTCTCATGTCTCTCCTCCCCTCTTTTATAGAAGTGCGTGCTATAGTTTTGACATTCAATAAGTATTTCCAACATAAAATGGAAACAGGTCATGGGCCTTGATACAGTTTGGATATTTTCACCACCCAAATCTCATGTTGAATTGTAATCCCCAATGTTGGAAGTGGGGCCTGGTGGGAGGTAAGTGAACCATGGGGCTGGATTTCTCATAAATGGTTTAGCACCATCCCTTTGGTGCTGTTCTTGTGATAGTGATTGAATTCTTGAGCGATTTGGTGGTTTAAAAGTGTGTGACATATCACTCCCCACTGTCTCTCTCTCTCGCTCCTGCTTCCGCCATGTGATGTGCTCGCTTTCTGTCTGCATTGCTTCTTAGAAGTTGGGAAATGTCCATGACGTGCTTGTACAGCCTGCAGAACTGTAAGCCAATTAAACCTCTTTTCTTTACAAATTACTCAGTCTCAGGTATTTCTTTATAGCAATGCAAGAATGGCCTAATACAGGCCCTGTTTGGCATTAATAAGCGTCTTGGGGCCTGAACTATCAGATAAATATATGTCTCTGCCTTAATCTGTGCTAAATTTTATGCAATGTCTCTGTCTTATTTCCACTTAGGACTAAAAATCTGTATTTCAGGGCTATTAAAGAATATATTATTAAAACAATAAGAATACTTGTAAAGATTTTTGAAGTACCAATCTTCAGACTTCTTAGCCCTCAAACATTATAATATTGAAAGAGACAATACGTTATTTTGTCAGGAGCACAGACTCTGGATCTAGATCTACTTCGGTCTGAATCCTGGCTCTGCCACTTAAGAGCTGTGTGACCTAAGTAAGATCCTTAACTCATCTGTTCCTCATGTTTAGTAACTATAAAACAGGAATAATAACAGTACCTATCTTATAGGGTTGATGTGAGAATGAAATGCGCTAATGTATGTAAAATACATAGGATAGTATATGGCACATGGTTAGTGTCTAGTAGATTTTAGCTATTACTTTACTATTATTATTTGCTCTCAGTTGCATATGTCTGCTCCCCCCAACCCCCACTCCAAAAGCATGAGCTTCTGAACAGTCAATACCCCATTTTCTCAGACTTTGTATTTCAAGTGACTCGCACAGTCACAGTGCCTGCTACAGAGTAAACACTGAAAGAGAAGAACCTTGAAGAAAATTCTTCCTTGCCCTAGAGGTGAACCTGAACTTGCATGCTCCCTGCCATGGGTATCCAAATAACTTTCTTTTCTTGCTCCCATCAACCTCATATTTAACCCTGCTGGTTTTCATTTATTTTATAATTCAATCATAATGAATTTTAAAATCCATTCTAACTTCCAGGGATCTCTAGAGACTTGCTTCCTCAGTCTGACATCACATTCATTTACATTTCTTATTTTTTTATTTCCTTGTATGAGGTCTAAGAACTGTTCCAATAAAACGCTTTGAAGATTGCATTACACATACTGTGTGCTATTTATTCCTGGCTAGATGTTCAAATTGACAAGCAAGAAATTGCTTATGCCTTGATCAACGATTACAAATGGTAATGCTGTATCTGTTATAATAGAAAAAAAAAAACTGGACTGTTCTTTTGTAAACTTCTAAGCTAATAGTTGAAATGGAAAATGTATGTACAAAAAATAGCCAATTCAAGTTTAGGTAAATGTTAGAGACCATCCAGCTTTATCACTTTCCCAAGATGGTAAGTTCTTCTGTATCCCCATGATAAGTCCTCATCTGTCTTTTGCCTGTATTGTCCCAGGATGAGTGAACACATTACTTTTAAAGTTCTCTTCTGCCTTTGGCGGGCAAGTTTAATTGGTAGGCAATTGTTTCTTGTAGTACTCTTAAAAACAATATAGGGTAGAAAAAAATCACCATCTTCCATGATGGCATTCAAATATTTGAAAACAGGTATTTTATTTCTTGACAAGTTATATATCAATAGATTTTACTAATGGAGCTCAAGAACTTTTAGACCTGGATGGCACATAAACATAATTTAATCCTATTATTTTGCAGATAAGGAAATAAAAAATGAGAGGTTCAGTAAATTGCCCAGTTTCACTCATTTGTTCATTCAGTTATTGGGTACTTAGCAACTGGCTTAAGAAATTCACACATGAAAGTTCATTATAACATATACAATTTTATAATTTACCATAAAGAATAAACTATGGACACATTTATAATTTAGTATATAAATAATGTTGAAGACCTTGGTGAGCCACAGCTAATCCATTCTCCTCCCTCCATCCCCAGAGGCTACTGCTAATCTATGTATGTTATTTAACATTCAAACATATTGTATCAGTTAGTGTTCCAGCAGGAAAGCAGAACCACTTTGAGTGATATGAAATAAGGGATGTGTGATGGAGATTAGGTTTTACATGATTGTAGAAGCTGTCGAAGAAGTGAAAGACTATTGCCTCTGCCTCTGGTCATGGGCCTGAAATTACTATAGTTTAGTAAGGTCAGTAGTGAAGAAGACAAGATAGACATGAAGTGGGGCAGAGTGAGAATAAAATGGAACATAAGTCAGTATTTCACTGCCTCCAACCTCAATGATGAAGGTAATGTAAAAGAAGCTGGGTACCCTTTGCCATGGAGCAGCACACACACTTGGCATTGTACTCAGAGAAGCTGAGGGAGGATCTGTGGACCTGGAAAAGCTGTGCACCTAGAGAAGCTGCATGCCTGGAGAAGCTGCAGGCCAGGCTGCTGCTCTATGCCAACAAGGCCAGCAACAGTCACAACAATGTGAATGAGATGTAGTGGCTTCTTTTTACACTGACCTTTGGAGTGTACACTTTTACACTGACCTTTGGAGCAAAATGTCTGTTTCTTCTCTTTTGCCTTTCAAAGCATTTGGAATATCACCTGCCATCAACCGTGACTTACTACATGTATATGCATCCATAAACAATACGTGAAATTGTATTTCATGTTTTCAAGCTTTCCATTAATGGCATCATCTATCTGTCCTACTGTAACATTTTCCCGTTTCATGTTATGTTTGTGAAGTTTAACTATGTTGATAATTATTGTTGTTATTTGTGTTTTGTTTTATTTTGCATAGTATTGCATTGAAGAATTTCGCACAGTTTCTCTATTCTCCTTGATCAATATTTAGATTGTTCTCAAATTTTCAATAGTCAATCAATGCTGCAACATTTTTGGACATGTCTTTTGGAGCACTTAGGTGAGATTTCTCCAAGCTATAGAATTAAAAATACCTTATTTGATCATAGATTCTGTACCTCTTCAGTTTTACTAGTTATTGCCAGTTTACTTCTGAAAATTGTAACAATTTACACTTTCACCAGCAGTGTTTGACACTGGTGCTTCTCAATGGAGGTGGGGGGTGATTTTGCCCTCTAGGTGACATTTGGTAATGTGTAGAGATATTTTAAGTTGTCACAACCAGTGGGGGTGGGGTCATTCTATTGACATCTAGTGGGAAAAGGCAAGGAATATACTGCTAAACATCCTTTTCTTTCTTTTTAAATTTCTAGATAACAATCATATAAACATAAGTTTACATTTCCAGAGATGTTCATATAATGAATATGAATGAGTCTTGGAACCAGCCTCCCTAAGTTAGCTCCACTATATACAAACCACTTGGTTATTAGCAACCCAGAAGGGTTACAATGTGTATTCACCAGGCAAAGCACATTTGCAAGGCTCAAGAGATCTATGCACGTAGTCTTGTCAGGGAGAATTTGAAATGCAGCTGTTGTAAAATCTCATTGATTATCAATGAAATAGCTATTAGAAAATCACCTGTGGCTTGTGTTGTATTTCTATTGGATACTGCTCATCTAGGTAATGGAAGCAAAACAAGTAGCAGTTTAATAAAGGGTTAATAAAATGTTCCCAATAGACTGCTTGCTAGCAAGGTAACAGATAAAAAAATCTAGTGGGAAATTATTTTATGGTCATTTCCCTGGCAAATGAGAAACTGCATTCTAAAAATCTTGGTAATTACCATTTGCTAAACATCCTACAATGTGCGGGACATCCACCACACTACAGAATTATCTGGCCCCCAGTGACAAGTGTCCAGCTTGGGAAACACTGCTTTACCTCTTTGCAGTGGGCACTGTCATTGTTTTATAGTTTGGCCAATCTGATGAGTGTGAAATAATATCTAATTGCTTAAATTGTTCATTTCATTGAAGTTTAAAGTGTTTTTCAAATGTTTATATTAGCGATTCAGATTTTCTTATGGATTTTCTGCTCATATCTTTTGACTACTTTTCTATTGATTATTTTGTTATTGATTGTGTCTGTGTGCGTGCGTGTGTGTGTGTGTGAGTTCTTTATATATTTTAAATACTCAGTTTTTTGGATACATGCATTAAATGTATCTTTTCCAAGTCTTGGGCTTGTCTTTTTATTTATGCTTTTGTTTTCTATTTTTTTGAAAATGTATTTTAAAGTTTATTGTGACAAATCAATTAATCCGTGTAGCTTGTGATTTCTTGTATCTCGTATCTACAATTTATAAAGCTGTTTTCTTTCTAAAGTTTCTTAAGTAGTGACTGTTATTACTTCATTTTCACACTGCTATGAAAAACTACCTGAGATTTGGTCATTTATAAAGAAAAGAGGTTTAATTGAATCACAGTTCTGCATGGCTTGGGGGGCCTCAGGAAACTTATAATCATGGCGGAAGGTGAAAGGGAAGCAAAGTACATCTTACATGGTGGCAGGAGTGGGGCAGGTAGTGGCACACATTAAAACCATCAGCTCTTGTGAGAACTCACTCACTATCACAAGAACAGCAAGGAAGAAATCCACCCCCATAATCCAATCATCTCCCACCAGGACCTTCCTCCAACATGTGGGGATTACAATTTGATATTAGGTTTGGGTGGAGACACAGAGCCAAACCATATCAGTGCCTTTCATATTTTAGTTTTTCATCAACCTGAAATTTATTTTTTTGTATGTAATAAAGTAGAAATTGGATTTTTAAGATATGAATAATAAAATATCTTGAGAACAAATTTCTGGTTATTTTCATCCTTTTTGAAATTTTCATTTCCATTTATTTCCTTGACAGCCCTTTTTCTCATTATTATTTTAAAAATATTTCTCTGTTGTGTCTGTTTCCATCTGTTCAAAAGAGTCTTTCCTTTGCTCTTTAAATTTTTGCAATTTCTGTGGTTTACTCTTACTCCTTCTTTCTCTCCTTATATGTTCATTCTAGATAAATATTACTACTATGATTTACATCTCTAGTCCAGCTCTGTCTTTTGAAAGCCATTCCTATTTGTGCCCCCTAGATACTTCTACCTCAGTGACCACAGATACCCTACAAACAGCATTTACAAAACTACATTCATTATTTTTCCCCTGCTCCTTTTTCTATTTTCCCATTTTTATGGCTGTTCCATTGATCATCCAGTCATCCAACAATGGGTTCATACTGGAACCACAGACTCAATCGAAACTCATAGAACATTTATCCTATCATATCATTGACTGGCTATCAAGGAGTTAGATCCCAGTTTTAGAATTGTGCATTCCCTTCTTCTTAGATTATTTAGGTTGATCATTGTCTTTTGCGTTTTGGTCTAAAGCCCCAAAATGAACAGCTCCAATCATTTGCCACTTAAGCAAGAGATTCTTTCTACCACCAACAAAAGGATTTATTTCTAAATGGTACCATATGAGTCAGCTGAAGAAAAGGTTCCAGTACATCAACAGTCAGGGTCCCATCCAGCACTCCCTATTCTCTGAATTCTGTGTAGTTGTTTTGCATGCAGCATTTAACATCTGCAGGTCATCCAAGGTTGGGGCTCACTAGCAGAGATGACCTACAGATGTCTTCCCTCACCCTATTGACTCCAAGCAATTTATTTGTGTGGCTCAATTTTATATACTATATTGGACTGTGGCTTAGACTAAAAATGGCACCATGCTAGTTTCAACATCTGAAACATTTGCTCCTTTAACCACTCATAAATGGAGCATGAGTGGTGAAACATGAGAATGTAGTGCTTACATTGTTCTGAAGGTGAAATGAGATGATTACGAAGCGCTTTGCTCACTGAGAGGCACATAGTCAAGTACTTAATGAATTGTTGCAAATATTATTATTGTTGCACCTACAAACTCTTACTGCTTTTGATTGTGTATCTTACCACTAAACTAATACGCCTTTCTCAGATAAACTCTGTGGCTGATTTAGTCCTATATCCCCGAAAGCCTAGCTTAGAGCCTGACCAATAAAAGGTATTCAATAGTTGGGGATTTAAATGAATTATAAGTATCAGTGCCTTATTGAAAATGAGTTTATAAGACACTTTCCTGGGAGCAGTTTTAGTAGAAGGGGAGGGAATGGATGAGGAGACTGGGTACATGAGAATGAAGGGGGCACCACCATTGGGAGAAAAATAGCCAAATGTCTACCATATTGTGTGCATGAACTCAGATATTAGATCTTAAGATGCTTTTGATTTATTCTGTACTCAGTATTGGTACAGTTTGCTAACAATTTGGAAAAATAGAGTATATCCCTATTAAACATCATATAGTAAAATGGATTCCAGATAGATTAAATGGGTAAATGGAAAAAATACAACCATCAAATTTTAAAGGAAAATAGGGAGGGATGAATGTGTGACCTTGGAGCAACATTTTCTCTTTTTCTTTCTTTCTTTCTTTCTTTCTTTCTTTCTTTCTTTCTTTCTTTCTTTCTTTCTTTCTTTCTTTCTTTCTTTCTCTCTCTCTCTCTCTCTCTCTCTCTTTCTTTCTTTCTTTCTTTCTTTCTTTCTTTTTTTTTTTTTTGAGACAGAGTCTAGCTCTGTTGCCCAGACTCGAGTGCAGTGGTGCGAGCGTGGCTCACTGCAAGCTCCGCCTCCTGGGTTCACCCCATTCTCCTGCCTCAGCCTCCCGAGTAGCTGGGACTACAGGCGCCCGCCACCACGCCCAGCTAATTTTTTGTATTTTTAGCAAAGATGGGGTTTCACCGTGTTAGCCAGGATGGTCTCAATCTCCTGACCTCGTGATCCCCCCGGCTTGGCCTTCCAAAGTGCTGGGATTACAGGCGTGAGCCACCGCGCCCAGCCTGGAGCAGCATTTTCTAAGCACGCCACCCAAAAAAGGGAATTGATAAAAGACTTACTCTTACAAAAATAAGAAAAAACCTGCCCTATTTAAAAATATTAATGAACGAAAGAGAAAAACAACTTGTAATGCTACTTGCAAAATATATTCTTTTTTTCTTTTCTCTTTACTAGGTGTTAATATTCTTAACATGTGAGATACTCCAGTAAGTTAGGATGAAAAATATAGAGAAACCAATCAAAACATGGATCAAGGGCATAGATATCCATTTCAAAAAAGAAGGATGAATCACCAATACAAATATGAAAAAAGTTACAATCAATAATTTAAAAATTGTCGATTAAAATATAATTTTTGCTTTTTAAGTTGACAAACATTAAAAAAATCACCAGCAATTTTCCATTTCCAGGGTGCACACTTTGTTATAAGCTGAGTAGGCTCTGGAAACCTCATGTACAGCATGGTGGCTATGGTTAATAGTAATGTATTGTATGCTTGAAATTTGCTAAAGGAGTATATCTTAAGTATTCTTACCACAATAAAAAGAATGTAACTATATGAGGTGACAGATATGTTAATTAGCTTGATTGTGGTAATCATTTCACAATGTATACATATATCAAACCATCATGCTGTACACTTATATATATATATACAGCTTTTATTTGTCAATTATATTTCCATAAATCTGAGGAAAAGATCACCAGTGTTGATAAAATTTTGGAAGCAACACCTCTATGTACCACAGGTTATACATGGGTACCACTTTCTGGAAAGCAATTTGACAATATTCATCAAAAACCAAAAATGTGTACTTATGCTTTATCCCAGGAATTTCAATTCAAGGAATTTATAATTTGTACCCAAAGTTTTAACTGTAAGAACCTTAATCAAAGTGTGGTTTGTAAGTGGAATTACAATTCTATTTCCCAAATGACTGTGGTGGTCATGATGCCATTCGTATTTTAGTTATCTTGGGTCTTACTAAGGTCGCTGTGAATCATTACAAGATATTTTGGTTTTATACCTCAGCACCAAGAGCTTGGATAATTTGAGTCTTCCCCTGAGATATATCTAAGTTTATTGAAAGTAAACATGTTTCTGAGCCTACAAGTCTCAGACTGCAGATGCTGAATTACGGCAAATTTTCTTGTGTAATAGATTCCACTTAGAGAGACCTCTTAGGAGACAGCCAGATTCCCCCAGATGACAGATTCCTCTACTTCTCCATCTTGGCAGCAAGGATAAAATTTTTCTCGATTGTATCTTCTACAGTATATATCAATTTTCTATTGCTATTAGAACACGTTACCATAAACTTAGCAGCTTAGACCAACACCCACGTATTAGCTCATCTCTGCAGGTCAAGAGTCTAGGGGAGCTCAGCTGGGCTTCCTCCTTAATGTCCCATAAGGCAGAAATCAAAGTGTCATCAATGCTGGGCTCTTATATGGAGGCTGTGAGGAAGAATCCATTTCCAAAGACATTCAGGCTGTTGGCAGAATGCAGTTCTTTACAGCTGAGTGATTGAGGTCCCTTTCTTTTTTGACTCTCAGCCAAGGTCACTCTCAGCTCCTCAAGGCTGGTCCTTGCAGTGCCCCTATTCATCTTCAAAGCCAGCAACAGCACAACAAATCCTTTCCCTATGTGGAATCTTTTTACTTTCTACTACCAGTCAGATAAATACTCCAATTTAAAAAGACTTGTGTGATTAGATTGGGCCTGCTAGAATAATTTTTCCTTCAACTAACTCAGAGTCAGCTGATTGGTAACCTCTAACTACATTTGCAAAATCTCTTTACATAATCATTTTCACAGTCCTGGGAAGTAGGGTAGAAAATCTTGGGCAGGGGGTTGCATTTTGGAATTCTACTTACTGCAACATAAGTTGTATTACTCTTGACTCTGACTGTTGATACAAAATAACGATAAAATTATAGAATGTAGAAATTAATCATGCTGTGCAGAGGTTATGAGTACTCATTGCTACCATTTGGAATCATGGGGGTAGACAGGTATCAAAAGTGTGAGGCTGGCTAGGTGGGAACTGGGGAGAGTTAACACTGGAAGATTATTGCCATGGAGGAAAATGGTTCAGTTTTGCCAAATCTTTCGTGTTTCCAAGACATTATATATATATATGCACACACACATATATCTTTTATGTATATATAAGATATATATATATATATATACATACACATATATCTTTTGTGTACATATAAGATATATATAAAATCTTCATTTGTAAGAGTTTGTAACTAGTCTATACTTTTAAACACATTGCAAAAAAATTTACAACATATGTATATTTAATTATACTTTAAGTTCTGGGGTACATGTGCAGAATATGAAATTTTGTTACATAGGTATACATGGGCCATGGTGGTTTGCTGCACCCATCAACCCATCATCTATGTTAGGTATTTCTCCTAATGTTATGCCTCCCCTAGACCCCCACCCCCTGACAGGCACCAGTGTGTGATGTTCCCTTCCCTGTGTCCATGGTTCTCATTGTTCAACTCCCACTTATGAATGAGAATATGCGGTGTTTTGTTTCCTGTTCTTGTGATAGTTTACTGAGAATGATGGTTTCCAGTTTCATCCATGTCCCTGCAAAGGACATGGACTCATCCTTTTTCATGGCTGCACAGTATTCCATGGTGTATTTGAGCCACAGTTTATTTATCCAGTCTATTATTGATGGACATTTGGGTTGGTTCCAAGTCTTTGCTAGTGTGAATAGTGCTGCAATAAACATATGTGTGCATGTGTCTTTAGAGTAGCATGATTTATAATCCTTTGGGTATATGCCCAGTAATGAGATTGCTGGGTCAAATGGTATTTCCAGTTCTGATTGAGAAATCACCACACTGTCTTCCACAATGGTTGAACTAATTTACACTCCCACCAACAGTGTAAAAGCGTTCTTATTTCTCCACATCCTCTCCAGCATCTGTTGTTTCCTGACTTTTTAATGATCACCAGTCTGACTGGCATGAGATGGTATCTCATTGTGGTTTTGATTTGCATTTCTCTAATGAACAGTGATGATGAGCATTTTTTCATATGTCCGTTGGCTGCATAAATGTCTTCTTTTGAGAAGTGTCTGTTCGTATCCTTTGCCCCCTTTTTAATGGATTTTTATTTTTATTTTTATTTTTAGTAGAGATGGGGTTTCACCACATTAGCCAGGATGGTCTCGCTCTGCTGACCTCGCGATCCACCTGCCTTGGCCTCCCAAAGTGCTGGGATTACAGGCATGAGCCACCACACCTGGCTGATTGTTTATTTTTTTCTTGTAAATTTGTTTAAGTTCTTTGTAGGTTCTGGATATTAGCCCTCTGTCAGGTGGCTAGATTGCAAAAATTTTCTCCCATTCTGTAGGTTGCCTGTTCACTCTGATGATAGTTTCTTTTGCTGTGCAGAAGCTTTTTAGTTTAATTAGATCCCATTTGTCAATTTTGGCTTTTGTTGCCTTTGCTTTTTGTGTTTTAGACATGAAGTCTTTGCCCATGCCTATGTCCTGAATGGTATTGCCCATGTTTTCTTCTAGGATTTTTTTGGTCCTAGGTCTTATGATTAAGTCTTTGATCCATCTTGAGTTGATTTTTGTATAAGGTATAAGAAAGGGGTCCAGTTTCAGTTTTCTGCATATGGCTAGCCAGTTCTCCCAACACCATTTATTAAATAGGTAATCTTTTCCCCGTTGCTTGTTTGTGTCCAGTTTGTCAAAGATCAGATAGTTGTAGATGAGTGGTGTTATTTCTGAGGCCTTTGTTCTGTTCCATTGGTCTGTATCTCCGTTTTGGTACCAGTACAATGCTGTTTTGGTTACTGTAGCCTTGTAATATAGTTTGAAGTCAGCGTGATGCCTCCAGCTTTGTTCTT
The DNA here is from genome assembly GCF_000001405.40 of Homo sapiens. Classification (NCBI taxonomy): domain Eukaryota; kingdom Metazoa; phylum Chordata; class Mammalia; order Primates; family Hominidae; genus Homo; species Homo sapiens. Next base: position 119,381,369 of record NC_000008.11, on the reverse strand, counting down.
CTTGCCCAGGGTTGCCTTGGCTATGCAGGCTCTTTTGTGGTTGCATATGAAGTTTAAAGTAGTTTTTTTCCAATTCTGAGAAGAAAGTCAGTGGTAGCTTGATGGGGATAGCATTGAATCTGTAAATTACTTTGGGCAGTATGGCCATCTTCATAATATTGATTCTTCCTTTCCATGAGCATGGAATGTTTTTTCATTTGTTTGTGTCCTCTCTTATTTCCTTGAGCAGTGGTTTGTAGTTCTTCTTAAAGAGATTCTTCATATACCTTGTAAGTTGTATTCCTAGGTATTTTATTCTCTTTGTAGCAATTGTGAATGGGAGTTCACTCATGACTTGGCTCTCTGTTTGTCTGTTATTGGTGTATAGGAATGCTTCTGATTTTTTTCATATTGATTTTGTATCCTGAGACTTTGCTGAAGTTGCTTATCAGCTTAAGGAGATTTTGGGCTGAGATGATGGGGTTTTCTAAATATACAATCATGTGATCTGCAAACAGAGACAACTTGACTTCCTCTCTTCCTATTTGAATACCTTTTATTTATTTCCCTTGCCTGATTGCCCTGGCTGGAACTTCCAATACTATGTTGAATCAGAGCGGTGAGAGAGTGTATCCTTGTCTTGTGCCGGTTTTCAAAGGGAATGGTTCCAGTTTTTGCCCATTCAGTATAATATTGGCTGTGGGTTTGTCATAAATAGCTCTTATTATTTTGAGATCTGTTCCATCGATATCTAGTTTATTGAGAATTTTTGGCATGAAGGGGTGTTGAATTTTATCAAAGGCCTTTTCTGCATCTATTGAGATAATCATGTGGTTTTTGTCATGTGGTTCTGTTCATGTGATGGATCACATTTATTGATTTGCATATGTGGAACCAGCCTTGCATCCTAGGGATGACGCCGACTTGATAGTGGTGGATAAGCTTTTTGATGTGCTGCTGGATTCGGTTTGCCAGTATTTTATCGAGGATTTTCACATTGATGTTCATCAGGGATATTGGGCTGAAATTTTCTTTTTTTGTTGTGTCTCTGCCAGGTTTTGGTATCAAGATGATGCTGGCCTCATAAAATGAGATAGGGAGGATTCCCTCTTTTTCTAGTGTTTGGAATAGTTTCAGAAGGAATGGTACCAGCTCCTCTTTGTACCTCTGGTAGAATTCAGCTGTGAATCCATCTGGTCTTGGACTTTTTTTTAGTTGGTAGGCTATGAATTACTGCCTCATTTTAGAACTTGTTATTGGTTTATTCAGGGATCTGACTTCTTCCTGGTTTAGACTTGGTGGGGGTGTATGTATCCATGAATTTATCCCCTTCTTCTAGATTTTCTAGTTTATTTGCATGGAGGTGTTTATAGCATTCTCTGATGGTAGTTTGTATTTCTGTGGAATCAGTGGTGATATCCCCTATATCATTTTTTATTGCATCTATTTGATTCTTCTCTCTTTTCTTCCTTATTAGTCTGGCTAGTGGTCTATTTTGTTGATCTTTTCAAAAAAACCAGCTCTTGGTCTCATTGATTTTTTTTGAAGGGTTTTTCGTGTATCTCCTTCAGTTCTGCTCTGATCTTAGTTATTTCTTGTCTTCTGCTAGATTTTGAATTTGTTTGCTGTTGCTTCTCTAGTTCTTTTAATTTTGATGTTAGGGTGTCAATTTTAGATCTTTCCTGCTTTCTCTTGTGGGCATTTAGTGCTATAAATTTCCCTCTACACACTGCTTTAAATGTGTTCCAGAGATTCTGGTATGTTGTGTCTTTGTTCTCATTGGTTTCAAAGAACATCTTTATTTCTGCCTTCATTTCGTTATTTACCCAGTAGTCATTCAGGAGCAGGTTGCTCAGTTTCCATTTAGTTGTGTGGTTTTGAGTGAGTTTCTTAATCCTGAGCTCTAATTTGATTGCACTGTGGTCTCAGAGACTGTTGGTTATGATTTCCATTCTTTTGCATTTGCTGAGGAATGTTTTACTTCCAATTATGTGGTCCATTTTGGAATAAGTGTGATGCGGTGCTGAGAGGAATGTATATTCTGTTGATTTTTGGGGGAGAGTTCTGCAGATATCTATTAGGTCTGCTTGGTCCAGAGTTTAGCTCAAGTCCTGAATATCCTTATTAACCTTCTGTCTCATTGATCTGTCTAATACTGACAGTGTTAAAGTCTCCCACTATTAATGTGTGGGAGTCTAAGTCTCTTTGTAGGTCTCTAAGAACTTGCTTTATGAATCGGGGTGCTCCTGTATTGGGTGCATATATAATTAGGGTAGTTAACTCTTCTTGCTGCATTGATCCCTTTACCATTATGTAATGCCCTTCTTTGTCTCTTTTGATCTTTGTTGGTTTAAAGTCTGTTTTATCAGAGACTAGAATTGCAACCCCTGCTTTTTTTGCTTTCCATTTGCTTGGTAGATCATCCTCCATCTCTTTATTTTGAGCCTATGTGTGTCTCTGCACGTGAGATGGGTCTCCTGAATACAGCACATTGATGGGTCTTGACTCTTTATCCAATTAGCCAGTCTGTGTCTTTTAATTGGGGCATTTATCCCGTTTACATTTAAGGTTAAAATTGTTATGTGTGAAGTTGATCCTGTCATTATGATGCTAGCTGTTTATTTTGCCCATTAGTTGGTGCAGTTTCTTCATAGTGTAAATGTTCTTTACAATTTGGTATGTATTTTCAGTGGCTGGTACTGGTTGTTCCTTTCCATGTTTAGTGCTTTCCTCAGGAGTTCTTGTAAGGCAGGCCTGGTGGTGACAAAATCTCTCAGCATTTGCTTTGTCTGTAAAGGATTTTATTTCTCCTTCGCTTATGAAGCTTAGTTTGGCTGGATATGAAATTCAGTGTTGAAAATTCTTTGCTTTAATAGTGTTGAATATTGGCCCCCACTCTCCTCTGGCTTGTATGGTTTCTGCAGAGAGAGCTGCTGTTAGTCTGATGGACTTCCTTTGTGGGTAACCTGACCTTTCTCTCTGGCTGCCCTTAACATTTTTTCCTTCATTTCAACCTTGGTGAATCTGACGATTATTTGTCTTGGGGTTGCTCTTCTCGAGGAGTATCTTTGTGGTGTTCTCTGTATTTCCTGAATTTGAATGTTGGCCAGCCTTTCTAGGTTGGGGATGTTCTCCTGGATAATATCCTGAAGAGTGTTTTCTAACTTGGTTCCATTCTCCCTGTCACTTTCAGGTACACCAATCAAATGTAGATTTGGTCTTTTCACATAGTCCCATATTTCTTGGAGGCTTTGTTCGTTTTTCACTCTTTTTTCTCTAATCATGTCTTCTTTCTGTATTTCATTAATTTGATCTTCAATCACTGATATCCTTTCTTCCACTTGATTGATTCAGCTATTGAAACTTCTTATGCTTCACGAAGTTCTCGTGCTGTGTTTTTCAGCTCCATCAGGTCATTTGTGTTCTTCTTTACACTCGATATTCTTTTTTATTTTATTTATTTTTTAATTTTGTTATTATTATACTTTAAGTTTTAGGGTACATATGCACAATGTGCAGGTTTGTTACATGTGTATACATGTGCCATGTTGGTGTGCTGCACCCATTAACTCGTCATTTAGCATTAGGTATATCTCCTAATGATATCCCTCCCCCCTCCTCCCACCCCACAACAGTCCCCGTTGTGTGATGTTCCCCTTCCTGTGTCCGTGTGTTCTCATTGTTCAATTCCCACCTATGAGTGAGAACATGTGGTGTTTGGTTTTTTGTCCTTGTGATAGTTTGCTGAGAATGATGGTATTCTAATTAGTGATTCCTCTAACCATTTTTCAAGGTTCTTAGCTTCCTGGCATTGGGTTAGAACATGCTCCTTTAGCTCAGAGGAGCTTGTTATTACCCACCTTTTGAAGCCTACTTCTGTCACTTCGTCAAACTCATTCTCTGTCCAGTTTTGTTCCCTTGTTGGGGAGGAACTGTGGTCCTTTGAAGGAGAAGAGGCATTCTGGTTTTGGAATTTTCAGCCTTTTTGAGCTAGTTTCTTTCCTTCTTTGTGGATTTATCTACCTTTGGTCTTTGATATTGGTGACCTTCGAATGAGGTCTTTGAGTGGACATGCTATTCCTTTCTGTTCTGTTAGTTTTCCTTTTGACAGTCAGGCCCCTCTGCTGCCAGTCTGCTGGAGTTTGCTGGAGTTCTACTCCTGACCCCCTTCGCCTGGATATTACCAGTGGAGGCTTCAGAACAGCAAAGATTGTTGCCTGATCTTTCTTCTGGAAGCTTCTTCCAAGAGGGACACCTGCCAGACGCCAGCCAGAGCTCTCCTGTATGAGGTGTCTGTCGGCCCCTACTGTGAGGTATTTCCCAGTCAGGATACACGGGGTTTAGGGACCCACTTGAGGAGGCAGTCTGACCCTTAGCAGAGCTTGAAGGCTGTGCTGGGAGATCTGCTGCTCTCTTCACAGCTGTCAGGCAGGGATGTTTAAGTCTGCTGAAGCTGCGCCCACAGCTGCCCCTTTCCCCAGGTGCTCTGTCCCAGGGATACAGGGGTTTTATCTATAAGTCACTGACTAGGGCTGCTGCCTTTTTTTCAGAGATGCCCTGCCCAGAGAAGAGAAATCTGGCAGTCTGGCCACAGTAGCCTTGCTGAGCGGCAGTGGGCTCTGCCCAGTTCCAACTTCCCAGCAGCTTTGTTTACACTGTGAGTGTAAAACCACCTACTCAAGCCTCAGCAATGGCAGATGCCCCTCCCCACACCAAGCTCGAGCGTCCCTCTAGTGGATCTCAGACTGTTGCTGTCCTGGCAGTGAGAATTTCAAGCCAGTGGATCTTAGTTTGCTGGGCTCCAGGCGGGTGGGACCCGCCGAGCCAGCTACTTGGCTCCCTGGCTTCAGCTATATATATATAGATGTGTGTGTGTGTGTATATATATATATGTGTGTGTGTATATATATATAGATGTACATATATACACACATATACATATATATACACACATATGTATATACATATGTATATATATCTATACATCTATATATAGATGTGTGTGTGTATATATGTATATATTTTGAGCCAGAGTTTCACTCTCGCTCATATATATACATATGTATATACGTATATATATAGATACATATGTACATATATACATACATATGTATCTATACATCTATATATATATAGATGTGTATATATATGTATTTTGAGCCAGAGTTTCACTCTTGTTGCTCATGCTGGAGTGCAATGGCATGATCTTGGCTCACCACAACCTCTGCCTCCTGGTTTCAAGCGATTCTTCTGCCTCAGCCTCCCGAGTAGCTGAGATTACAGGCGTGTGCCACCATGCCCAGATATTTTTTTGTATTTTTAGTAGAGACTGTTTTCTCCATGTTGGCTAGGCTGGTCTCAAACTCCCGACCTCAGGTGATCTGCCTGCCTCGGCCTCCCCAAGTGCTGGGATTACAGGCATGAGCCACTGTGCCCGGCTATATATATTTTTAATTATTATTTTTTTGGGGGACAGAATTTCACTCTGTCACTCCGGCTGGAGTGCAGTGGCCTAATCTCTGCTCGCTGCAACCTCCACCTCCTGAGTTCCAGTGCTTCTCCTGCCTCAGCCTCCCGAGTAGCTGGGACTAGAGGCATGCACCACCATAGCTGGCTAATTTTTGTATTTTTAGTAGAGACAGGGTTTCAACATGTTGGTCAGGCTGGTCTCAAACTCCTGACCTCAGGTGATCCACCTGCCTTGGCCTTTCAAAGTGTTTACAACATATTTAACAGGCCAATTCCAAATTCTATACCACCAGTTTTCAAGCTCTGCTTTATCTCTTCTCTACTCCAAGCTATTATATTTCTTAGAAAACCCAAATACAGAGAGGTTAGAGGATATACTTAAAGTCACATAGCAAATTAGTGACAAAGCTGGAATAGAAGGTAAGTATATTGGCACTCAGAATAGATTTATTTCCCTTGTTATACTAGTTTCCTATTGCTGCTCATAGAGCTTTAAAAAATACAACTTTATCTCTTACATTTCTGGAGGTCAGAAGTCCAAAATGAGTCTTAAGAGGCTAATATCAAGGTTCTGGTTGGGCTGGATGCTCCTAAGGGGGCTATAGAGAATCCATTCCTTGCTTCTTCCAGCTTCCAGAGGCTGCCAGCATTCCTCAGCTCATAGGCAGTTTATTCCAATCACCGCTTCTGTTATCATATCATCTTTTATTGACTTTATCCTCCTGCCTCCTTCTTATTAGGACCATGATGATTATATTGGGCCCATCTAAATAATGCATGATAATCTTGCTAACTCATGATTCTTAACTTAATAATGCCTGCAAAGTGCTTTTTACCCTAAAAGGTAGCATATTCACAGGTTCCAGGGATTAGGATGTAGATGGGTGTGTGTGTGGGGGAAATAATTCAGCCCACCACACTATGCTAAATATCATTGACTAAAATTTACATTTCTCATATTCCTCTGCTGTGGATAACACTAATACCCAATCAAGGAAGAAAAGCACACTAGACAGCAACTTGCCCTGGCAGTTTGCCTAGGGTTTGAGTAGCCCCACCACCACAGCATATCCCATTTATTTTCTGTAACTTAAACAGAAGTCAGACTTTCAAACCGTTGGTTCTGAATTTTTAAAAAATCTATTAAGTAACCATAAATATTCATTTTTTTGCCTTCTTCCTTCCCATCCCTCAGCTTTATGGTGTGTTAAATAGTTTAGAATATTATTTTACACTCAAACTATTTTCCTTTTTCTTTTTGGTAAGTATTAAATTTGAGGGTTGAAACAAGGGAAAACACCTCATCAAGAAGTAATGGGTTTACCTTGCAGTCACGGTAAAAAAATTCTCTCGGAATCAGACTTGCAGTAGTCTCCATCCTTCTTAATCGATTTTACACTTGTACTTTACTTGCAGACACAAAAATACTTGATCACAAAACAGGAATAAGAAATCACAAGAGTGTGCCTTCAAGTTTTTGAGTGAATCAGCATAAAGTTGTTCCGTGGATGTTTTGGCCATTTTTAAGAGGCAATGAAATTCGGTGGAAAAAGCTCAATCAAATCACTGTTGTATTCTGCCTGTGGCTCCCACCTGCAAGTTGGGGAGAGCCCCATTTACCCTTATCTTATCATGTAATTTAAAAATCTGAAATGTGTAGGCTAATGTGCCTTTAAAAATTTAGATAATATTCATGTTTTTCTTTTGCATGTGCTGAGGGTTAGGAGTTCAATTTTATGCACCCATAAAATTGGAGTTTTGTGGTCGTGTTCTCTTCACTCTCAGCATCTGGTCAATCTCTCATTCAGTGAATATCTGACAAGTATCTATTCCTTCAATAAATACTCATCAAAATGGCCTGCTTGGCACTCCAAAATGTTAAACTAGAAATTTATATGCAACTTAATTATAAAATTTAGCAAAGTGCATAAAACTGGACATGGAGCAAACTGTCAGCATAAATGCTGAAAGACAAATTTGGAAAAAGTAGTGTAAATGATTGGCACAAAGGAGACAGGAGGATGGGAAAGCTATAGGGAGTCTGAGACCTTCATTGAATCGTTTTGTATTGTTTCCGCTGTATTTGCTACAATAAGGGAAAACCAGTGCAGGTAGCCATTTCAAATAATTTATATTTATATTCAAATTAATAAAAATATTCAATATAAAATTAATTCAGCCTACCTAAGTCAAACTTTCCTATGAATACACATATGCGTACATATATATTATTTTGGGGTAGGCGTAAAAGGCCTCTGTGCTTAAAGCTCTGGATGGATGAGTGTTATGGTTAATGAATAGTCCTGTAGATGTGGAAGGGCTCTCATTCTCTCTCTAGTGGCTGGCTAGACTGACACTCTGGGTATGACCAAGGATGTGAGAGATATAGTTGCTTTGACATCTAGAGCTTCTGGCCAGAGGTTAAACATTCATGTGTTAAGAGAATGTAGGAGTGCATGCTTAGGATTTCTATATTTTATCATAGGGAATTCCATTTCTGTGATTGGTTGTCCCAGGGTTGTTGCTGTTCATGCCTTTCCTAGAAGAGGCTCTATGCGAGGTAGCTAATCTCACGTGTTGATCCAGATAAGATTAGTGAACCTATTGACTTTGATATTTCCCACCTATCTGGCCAGCTAATTTGACTGATATGCAAATTAATCAATGCTCATGTGTTGGTGCAGAGAGGATGTGTGGACAGAAATTGATTTTATGAGTCATAATTCATATAGCCATACACTGTATGGAGGGTATTCTAGGCAGCTGGAAAGGTAAAATCAAATACCTAGAACTGAGATGGATGAGTTCTATAGACCTGCCTGAAGGAGCAACTATCTTATTGGAATAGAGCAAGAAAAGAAGTTGGTGATGGAATATCTAGATGAATCACTTTGATGTGATCCATTTATTCTGTTGCACCTACACATTTTGTTCTAATAGCCAGTGAGGGCAATTCATACCCAGAAGAGTGGGCTGCAGATGGTTGGGTGGGACAGAAGAAACTCTTTGAACTCTCTTATTTCATAATTACAACTCATCTGAAGTTTTTGTCCTGCTCATTTTTAAGAACTTTTCAATTTGATTCTACCATCATGTTTCAAATTACTTAGCATCCAAAATAATTGGCATCTCAGGAGTATATATTTTTAAAGCTTTGAGGCAAATAGCTTAGTGAGTAAACATGCAGGCTATGATCAGTTGGACTTCCAGTTAAAACCTCAGCATTCCCACTTATTAGTTTTGTGACATAGAGCAAATTATTTAGTCTCTCTAAGCCTCAGTTTCCTCATTGGTAAAGTGAGGATGATTATGATAGTACCTACCTCATAGGAGTATTGGGAGGATTAAAGGAGAAGAGGCACTTAGAGAACTAAAAATCCATGTTTTGCATATAGCCAATGCTCAATAGCTGTTAATTATTTGTTATTATTATTATCCTAAGGTTTACCATACACTCTGGCTTTGTACTATAGTTAAGGAATAAAGGCAACTAGAATGTATTATAACTGAAATATCAACCCCACAATAACAAGGCAAAACCCCCACCTTTTCCAAATCACCTAGAGAGATAATAATTCCACACGCATTCTCAATGGTGCCACAGGACATTGTGTCAGCTGGTGGGGAAAATGTGGCTTCTGGTCTCTCTTGTTCCTACTGGGAGATGGACTAAGGAATTTCTCTATGGAAAATCATGACTCTCCTATAGCAAAACATCAAGAGCTGGGGTGAAAAGCAAGCTTCAGCTTTTAAGCAAAGCTCAGAGGCTCTTAACAAGCCTGCGTAGAGTGTGTGCCATTAGCCTGAAACTTCAAAATCACACTGCAGAGTCTTGGATTCCTCCCAAATGTGGCTAGCTTTTTCAAAGACTGCCCCATACCGTAAGGATGAAATGACCACTCGCCCACCTTTCCACTTCGGACCCTTCTTATACTTCACATGAAGCCCAAGACTAGATTAACCCACTGACCTTCAATATATCACTCAAAATAACTGTGAAACCTATATAAGGAAATTATAACAATTATCATTTTGAACTGTAGTTGCATATTTACTTGTCAGCATTGCAGGGGGATCAAGTTTTCTGAGGACAGTGATTAGCATTTTCTCTATTTCTGGGTCTCCAGGATAGAACACAATACTCAGCGTGTAGTAATTACTGAAAACATATTCATTAAATACATAAATTAATGAAAGAATACGATACTTCCTTTTAAGGCAGCCAGTCTCTAGAGTGGCTCCTGGCATAGATAAGGATGATGTTAAGTAATTTTAGTGCCCCCAATTTAAACAGAGAGTAGAATATTTTTAAACAAAAGGCTTTTGTTCTTCTTGGATATTTGGGTATATGTCTGACTACCATTGGCAGTGAAAGGATAGATTTCAGAGGTCATGAAAGCTTTCTCTAATATTTTTCAGGAACATCCAGAAATCTTAGCCTTATGGGTACCTGGAGCATGTACTGAGGCTACCTATTGGGTAATTGATCCCCATGACATCCAGACTTTCCTTGCCTGAGGCAACAGCTTGAGAAGGCCAGAGCAAAACATGGAAAGGAAATTGACATTCTCAGGAGTGATGTGGATTTTGAGAAGAGGAGAAGATTCTTTAAGGAGGTCACCTTATGAAGAAGGAATCCAAAAAAACATAAATGGGAGAGAAAGAAATAAGATGAATTAACGTTTTGGTGCAAAGATTTATTTAATGTGTAGAAAATAGAACCATAGAAGGCTAGAGCTGTCTGAAAGCTTTGAGAAGATTTTATTCCGAATTGTTCATTCTACAAACCAGGGGACCATGGCCAGGGTGTTTAAGCAGCTTGTCCAGAGTGACACAGGGAATTAGTGGTGGAGCCAGGATTGTAAACTGGGGTGCCTGGTTTCTAGCCCCTGCTCTTTCCACTCTCTGAGCTGGCTGCCTAGCCCTGGTGCAGAAGGAGAAACCACTCCTGGGGTTATTTGGAAGAGCATTTGTCATCTGGCTGCCACACTCCTGGGAGAGCCAGACCACTTGATGGTGGAAAAAGAGGATGGAAATGCAAAATACTAAGATGGAACTGCAGATTTTATATGGAAAACATGAACCATCTATGGTTTGAAATATTAAAAATAGGTTAAATTCAATTTAAATTCTACTGGACACTGACTCTAAGGCTATAAACAAAATGTCTGGAAAAATTTATACAGCGATCTCCCTTTTTGCTGCATTAAGCAAATTAAAAGGACTGTCCCTATCCTCTAGCAACTTATTTAAACGTTGAAAACATTAACCTTAATTTAAAAAAAAGGGTATAAAGCATAGAACAAAGATTACTCTTATTATCTCTGTTCTTTCCCCCTGTGACATAGAACAAACAGCCTTGGGCTAGAAATGAAAGAACTGGATTCTAGTCCTGTTTAACCCATGACTTTGTTCAGTTCACCATCATCACTATGGAGTTCAGCTTATTTATCTGTAAAGTGAGGGGATTAGGCTAGATGTCACTAACAGTCTTGTTCAAATTTAGCATTTTAAGATATGCTTTCTTAGTCTGCTTGAGCTGCTGTAACAAAATATAGATGGTTCTTGACTTACTATGGCCCGACCTGGGATTTTTTGACTTAACAATAGTGCCGAGGTGATATATATTCAGTAGAAACTGTACTTTGAGTTCTGTTTCTTACTTTCAGTACAGTATTCAATGAATTACATGAGATAGTCAACACTTCATTATAAAATAGGCTTTGCGTAAGATGATTTTGCCCAATTGCGGGCTAATGTAAGTGTTCTGAGAACATTTCAGGTAGGCTAGGCTAAGCTATGATGTTTGGTAGGCTAGGTGTATTAAATACATTTCAACTTGCGATATTTTCAACTTATGATGGTTTTATTGTGATGTAACCTGTCCTGTTGTAAGCTGAGAAACATCTGTGTTATAGACTGTGTGGCCTAAACAACAGAAATTTATTTCCCACTGTTCTGGAGGCTTGGAAGTCCAAGATCAAGGTGCCAGTTTTGGTTTCTGGCAAAGGTCCTCTTCCTGGTCTGTAAATGAGTTCCTTTTTTTTTTTTCTAACTTTAATTTTAGATTCAGGTTTACATGTGCAGGTTTGTTAAATAGGTAAATTGCATGTCTCCGGGGTTTGGGAGTACAGATTATTTCATCACTCAGGTAATCAGCATAGTACCTGATAGGCAGTTTTTCCATGCTCACCCTCTTCCCACCCTCCACTCTCAAGTAGGCCCTCATGTCTGTTGTTCCCTTCTTTGTGGACACAATGTTTAGTTCCCATTTATAAGTGAGAACATAGAGTATTTGGTTTTCTGTTCCTGTGTTAGTTTGCTTAGGATAATAGCCTTCAGCTCCATCCATGTTGCTGCAAAGGACATGATTCTGGATGTATAGTATTCCATGGTGTATATGTACATTTTCTTTATCATGTCTTTATCCTTACACAGTGGAGAGAGAGATCATCTCTCTGTTGTATCTTCCTAAGCGCTCTGATCCCATCATGAAATCTCTCCCTTCATGACTTAATTACCTCCTAAAGTTCCCACCTCCAAATATAATCACATTGATGATTGGGGCTTCAATACAGGAATTTGTGGGAGGGGAGACATAGACATTTAGTCCATAGCAACTTTTGCGTGTTTGTTTTTTGTTGAAATAGAGCATACGTGTTCATTTCTTCACTCCCAATGTGTGTCTGTTACAGTGCACGGAGTTGTGTGTACTACAGTGAAGAAGAAAGACCTCTGTGACTCCATGGAGCTTACATTCTAGTCAGAAAGACAAGCAGTAAACGAGAAACAATAAGTAGATAACTTCTAGATGTAACTGTATTTATATATCTATTTAAACCTTATGTATCATAAGTAATTAATATAACTAGTAATAGAAGCTAAGCTGGGTTAGAGAATAAATGTCAGGGGTGGAAATCTATGAATCAGGTTTACAGAAGGCCTCAGGCCTCAATACAAACATCTAAGAAGCCATAGGAAGAATATTTCTAGTAGAGAAAAAGGCATATGCAAAGGCCCTGAGGCCAGAAAGAGCTTTCTGTGGTTGAGGACCTGAAAGAAGGTGGTTGTGGCTGGGAGCTAGCGATCAAAGGAAAAGGAGGCATGGAATGAAAACAAAAGGCAAGTCATGAAGCTTCTTGCAGGTCATGGTAGTGCAATGGGAAGCCACAGGAGGCTGTAAAATGATTTAATTCATGCATAAAAAATTACTTTCAATTCTGTGTAGAGAGAATGGATTGGAGGAGCTAAGATGTAGAAGGGAGACTGAAAAGGGATAGCTGTAGCAATTTAGTTAAGAGAGAGGGTGACTTGGATTAGAATTGCACAGCAAAAATGAAGAGGATGAAATAGATTTATTAACATGTAGTGGGTGGGGGAAAAGAGAAATCAAGGTCAAGGATGATTTGAGTATCAGGGTAGATGGTGGTGCCATTAACTTGGAGGCAGAAGGCTGGAGGAAAAAGAAGATTCAGGTAGAGACAGAAATCAGCAGTTCTGTTTGTACTTGCCAACTTTGAGTAGCCTCTTAGACACATGCATGAACATACTAAGTAGGCAATTGGTTACTTGAGTCTGAAGATCTTAATAATGGCCTGGGCTGAAGCAATACACATTTTCAGAATTGTCAGAATATAGATTAGAATCAAAGACATGAGAGTACTTAGAGAAAGAGTGAAAGTAAGGAAGAATGCCAAGGAATTGTGGCATAAGCAGGGAAGTCCACTGCAAAGGCTGAGGGGTGGTACATGTGGTAGAAGGAGGACTAGAAGTCACATAAGCAATAAGAGGTGTGGCAAGAAAGGAGGGGTCAGTGTTGCAGAACTTTCTCCTCAGTTCAGCTAAAACCGGTTTCTTGCCACAGGACCAGGAAAGATTAGGCTCACGGACACATAGAAGGGTGAGGAGTAGAATTTATTGGTCAAAAAGGAGAAAGGAAACACAAACACAGCTCTCAGCAAAGCGAGAAGGAATCTTACCAACAGGCTCCTGCCTCACAGATTGGACACCAGACCACCACACAGAAACTAGAGGCCAAGCTCCTCCCCACTACAAAAGGCACGGACTTCCCGTGGCTCCACCTGCTTCTCCCAGTGCGTGGGTGGGCATTATCAGAATCAGTCGGGAAAGGGCGGGCTTCATCTGGACCCGCAGTCTGGTTTTTCAATCTTCAGGCTGTTTTAGGCTTGAAGGTGGTGTTTCGCTGGGGACTCTTGGCTGTCTCCTGTCTCTATCATCAGCTGGGTTAAAAACTGTTGGCAAGTTGAATAAAATGTAGACCCAAAAATGTCACTCAATTTGGAAACAGAGATAATTGATGACCTTTATGAGAGTTTTTTTTTCTTTCATAATAGTGGTGTCATGAAAACTACATTAACATGATTTTAAAAATAATTGAAAAATGAGGATGTGGGATTAACTGGTACAATAGTTTTAAGAAGTTTTGTCGTAAAGATCGACGGAGAAGTAATATAGTATCTACAAAGTCTTGTAGAATCAAAGGAAGATAATTTTTAAAAAACTTATAAGATACTGGAGCATATAATATAACTGGTTGTCAATCTTCTGCTAAGTAATGAGAGATAAATAATGTAGAACAGGGATTAACAAACTATAGCTTGTGGGCCAAATTTGGTCTGCTGACTGTTTTTGTAGACTGTTAATGGCCTGTGAGCTAAGAATAGTTTTCACATTTGTAAGTGGTTAACAACTTTTTTTAAAAAAATTTATTGATGTGAAAATTATACGAAGTTCAAATTTTGGTGTCCATAAATGAGCTTTATTTGGACACAGTCAGACCTCTTTGTTTATGTATTATCTATAAATGCTTTCCTGCTATGATGGCAGAGTTCTGAGGTAGCAGCGGAGACTGCATGGCCAGCAAAGTCTGAAATATTTACTATCTGGTCCTTTACAGGAAATATTTGTTGACCTCTGATGTGGAAGAAAAAAATTATATTGTGAGACCACCTTGAGAAGGGAATGAGGCAGGGTCCCAAAGGACAGGGGTAGGCTAGAAAGACATCAAACATGAGTATACAAGATGTACAAGGTGTCTTGGATTTGGCAACTGTGAGACATCTTTCTTCTTTGATGCCTCTGTTTTCTCAGTGAAAAGGAGGTGATCTGAAATAGGTGTGGGGTCACCCTGGAAGTCTGAACTAAACCTTCTCGTCCTTAGGAAAGAATCGTCACAACAACACAGAGCTTAAGGTATAAAATTCATGACTTTCAAGTTTTCATAGTGAAGTGAAATCAAATATCTCTAAACTTGAAACAATTATCTGATCTGGAGAAGAAAAGAGAAACACTGAGAGGAAGCAAATGAGTTTGATGTTGTTGTTTCTCTGAAGGGCTCTGCCTCTGCCCTTCTCCTGGGATTATTCAGAAAGAGGGAGATGCCGGACCTCCCGAGTGATTTGGGACATCTTCAAATAAAAGAGAAATTACCATGATTTTTCTCTTTGAACCTGAGGAATCAACAGACTTGTAGATATTTTTCCAAGTGATTATGACACAGAAGGAGTAGAGGAGATGTGGATGCACAGTGGGCAGGGCAGAGAGACTGGGACAGTCCTGTTGAGTTCTCTGTAGATACAGAATACTGTGGAATCTCTGTAGATACAGAATACCATGGTGGAAAATCCAGTTGTGCCAAGGGATGTCGTAGTCAGGACAGCAGCTGGGGTGAATGCACATGCCGTGTGGACAGGGACTAGGCAGCAGTGACAGCAAGGAGGACAAAGGACAGCCAAGGAGGTCTAAGGACAACCCCTAATGAAACAGAGTTGTGTAAATCTTAGTGGAAGTGAGCAGGATAGCTGATGACTTAAAATAAAGTGTCTTACCCTGGATGCTAAGTTACTTCAAGGGTCTCCTAATTCTTAGGAGCCCCACAAAGTCAGGGAGGTGCTGAACCATAAATTGGCTGAGTTTACTTGGAATTGATTGAGAAAAACTTTGAGTGAATGAATTTCCCTTGAAATTGCAAAATTCAATTTCTGCTCTAGGTACCATAGGAGTTTTGGACAGAAAGTAGGAAAAATACTTGCATTTTTTGCATACTTGAGATTTGTGGTTTGAAAATTCAAAATCTTAATAAGAGTTTAAAGAGAGAGAAAGTGGAGAGTTTGAAACAGTCAGTTATTCTCTCTGAAAGGGGAAAAATGTTTTTACCATGTAAATAATTTCTCCTTCCTGATATACCAAGTTTACTTCCATAATCATAATTATCATGAATAAGGATTGAACATGATGCCAACATTTATATGCATATTTCATTTGTGTCTCATATTAATCTATCAGGTATAAGGAATTTTGCTCATTTTGTAGATGAAAAAAACAAAGGTCTAGAATATGTTAAATAATTTACCAAATGTCACAAGGCAAAATTCACCATATTCCAAACTGTTTCTTTCTAACCTCTCTTTCCAGCTTTCATCTCACCCAGCCAATAACTAATGGTAATTACTTCCATTTAGCAAGACTTCCTTTTGACAGAGATCGAGCCAATTGTTCCAAATATTTAATTTCCCTTAATCCTTAAAAAAAGTTCATGGTTTTTGGTATGATTTATTTCAAATCACTACTTGGATGATTTGAAATAAATTACCTAACTGAGCCAACTAGTAAGCACTAGAAGCAAGATTTAAACCTAAGTCTGTCTGTCTCAAAAGCTCATATTCTTAATTATACTAACACTCTTCTGCCACTCAGACACCTGAATCTACCACTCCTAGGAAACCTTTCCTAACAAACTGAAGGAGTGATGATTATGCCCTTTTATCTTTCTGTTCACTTCAACAACATATGTATTGGTCAGTCACAAAATTCATGCCCCCTTCTTCTTGGGTATGGTGGTGTGTAGTAGGAATGGAAGTGATAGGTGCCATTTCCAGGCCTGGTGCATTGATTCCCCAATGCCTTTCACCATGCCCTTTCTCCTGGATCTGGCTGCATACAGGTGCAGATAGACCTTAGAGGATAGTAGAACAACAGGATGGAAGCATCTGGAGTCCCTGAATAACAGCTTGGAGGAGCAGCATCTCCAGAGAACTGATACCTGCTCAGGACTGTCGGGGAAAAGCTTCTACTGTACTGAACCATGATTCTATTTTGGTATATTTGATATTTGCTGCAGCATCTTAGTTTATTCTAAAGAATACAATGGAAAAGGACATGGCAGGAAAAAGGTAACCAATAGAAAGTAGGGGAGATGTATTAAAATCAGACAAAAAGCATTATTGAGAGATTACTATTAGCACATGGCAATGACATGCATTTTACAGAGAACACTCTGGCTGTAACGTGTTTTGGCTGTGAGCAAGCCCAGAACAAAATTGGGAGTAGGAAGAGCAATTAAGAAGCTATAGTAGCAACCCAGGATAAAAATGATGGGGACTGACCCAGAATGGTAGAAGATGAGTGAACAGATTTTAGTGATTTTAAGTTTGGAAAATCAATAGAACTTTAAGTGGTTGGTTATATGTGACTGAGAAAGGGGAAAGGGGGAGGACTCAAGGATAAGACCTATGCTTCCGGCTGGATGATGGTGATGTCATTTACAGATATACATACTATAGGAGAAATGGTAGGTAGGTGAGTGGAATGGCAATGATGAGTTTGGTTTTTATTTTTATTTTTTAAATTTTAATTAATTTATTTTTGAGGCAGAGTCTCACTCTGTCACCAGGCTGGAGTGCAGTGACGCAATCTCAGCTCACTGCAAGCTCCACCTCCTGGGTTCAAGCGATTCTCTGGCCTCAGCCTCCTGAGTAGCTGGGACTACAGGCACGTGCCACCACGCCTGGCTAATTTTTGTATTTTTTTAGTAGAGACAGGGTTTCACCATGTTGGCTAGGATGGTCTCGATCTCTTGACCTCGTGATCTGCCTGCCTTGGCCTCCCAAAGTGCTGGGATTACAGGTGTGAGTCACCACGACTGGCCGGTGAATTTGTTTTTTAACATGTTGCCAAGAGGGACTTGGAGGGTTGACTAAACAGATTTGGAGCTCAGGAGAGAGAAACAAACTGGAAGTCTAGCTTTAGAATCAATGAGTGTTTACTTGGTAATACCAAGAAAGTAGATGAGTTTTTTTTTTTTTTTTTTTGTATTTCATGTAATAAATGAGGTGTTGTAATTGCTCCTCACAACCCCCACTCTTGCTGTGGACTCACCAGGACATAGAATGAAAACATCTCCACTATCCCCACTTCTTCCAAGAAAATCCAGCAGGTCTGAATTCTCCTTATCTCCAAGGGTCAGTGAACTCTGTGTGTGTGCATGCATGTGTGTGTGTGTGTGTGTGTGTACACTCATGCATGCAAGCCTAGGCTTGTGCATGTACAAGGCTCTCGGTATGATGAGGCTCCATTGTCAGAGACAAAATGAGGAGGCAGGCTGTGGTTTCAGTGGATTGAAACAGAGCCCAGTCTAAACCAGATAGATAATTTTACCAGACTGCAAATGTGAACAAAGTGTAATGAATTGGATAATTCCTGCTCATAATAAAACTATGAAGGTAGAAAGCTCTTTGGTGTAGGGGACTTACGCTGGTACCAGGAGAGACTTGGCACCAAGCTCCTCCTTTGGGAGCCTAGGTAAAGATCTCTATATCTGAAGGTGACATGAAGAACATGAGGCTGCTAGAAAAAGCTGTGCATATTTGAGTGGATAACAGTCTTAGGAAACAAACAATCACAATGTCTACCACTTTGTTATTGAAGATGAGATGCCACTGTCACAGTCTTCCTTGACTATGTAAGTCTGGGTTCTGTTACCCACAAAGAGTAGGGTAGAAAACATCCAGAATTGGCCCTAAAGCTTTTGCTTCTCTTAGTAAGTGGATACTTAAACCAGGTTTAATTTACTTTAGTGGGAGTAGGGGATACGGTGACATTTCTTTCACCTATATTATTAATAGAACATCTGTGACTATGGATAAATAACCTAGGGATGAAGAGGTTTAATATCCCTTTTCTAAAATCACATAAGCCATTCTTCTGCCTTCTAAATCCAGGTTGTTGTTTTTTTTCACTAAGATGGGTTGAAAGAAAATTCAGAGCTTCTAATCCCTGGTACCCTCATCTTTGCTCTACGCTACTTTCTTACAAAAGCAAGTTACCTTTGAATCTAACAGGTATGGTCACTTGAGGATGAGGAGAGTTATGTGCAAAGATGACACCCCTGTGATCAGAAGACATTCTCATAAGGATTCATATTGAATGAAATAGGATTCTGATCTATAGTGTTATATTTCTGATGCACAATACTGATGTTTGCCAAAATTAGCTTCCCCTCATTCTTGTTACCTTTAATGGCTAGGTTATTTCAGCTCAACATATAGTATCTATATGGACCTGAATTATTCATGAGGCTGAAAGCATAGCTGTATTCAAAGGTGTTCTGGGTGACCTGCGTTTCACAAGCTGCTTCATCAAAGCTGAGCATGGTTCCCTGGGTTTTAGTGATGCTCTCATCTGCCAGAGACTGACTGGAATATGCAGTCACTCATGGTGAAAGGGAAACATGTTTCTCATTCAGCAAGTATGTGGTTCCATCCACAGAGTTTACAGCACGGTTGTATTTGAAGTTCAGTCCTAGAACTTTGTAGCAGTAAAAATGATCGTGATTTATAGGAAAATGTCACTCGGCCATCTCCACTATAAAAGCCTTTTATAACTCTCATCGAATATAAATCAGGATGTATGCAGCCAACAAAATGATGATTTTGGCATAACGTTTTCAAGACAAAAAGAAATGGCCTAGAATTGTCTTGGCTTTTTACTGAGGACAAATATTACAGGAATTTATTGCTGGTCCAAGATCAATATTCCTGTCTTTAAAAATAGATATGAGTAAATTTATGTCTTGGTGAAATTCCAATTACATAAATTAATTAAAGCAGTCACCACAGAGTTCACCCACAAATACCAAGGATGCCATGCCCTTTTTTTTTTTTAGGTTTTAGCTTTTGTTAAACCATATTCTAAGATACATAACTCAAGCTTAAAGCTATATTTCATTCTAATGGGGGAGGAAAAGGATGGGCCTCACAAAGGATTGATTCAAACTTGCTAAATTTCATGGTGGAAATACAAAAGAAGCTTCATATTGTACTCTTCTCCAAATGTCAACAAGATGTGAAAAATGATGATCGAACAAAAACTGCATTTGAAGTGATGGCCCCATTTTCTCATGTATTTTTGCATCACAGAATACTCAAGGTAGAGATCAGCATAAAGAAGTGAGGGCCAGGTGCAGTAGCTCACTTCTGTAATCCCGGCACTTTGGGAGGCTGAGGCGGGTGGATCACCTGAGGTCAGGAGTTCAATACCAGCCAGGCCAACATGGCAAAGCCCCATCTCTACTAAAAATACAAAAATTAGACAGGCATGGTGGCGGGTGCCTGTGATCCCAACTACTTGGGAGTCTGAGTCAGGAGAATCACTTGAACCCGGGAGGCAGAAGTTGCGGTGAGTGGAGATCGTGCCACTGCACTCCAGCCCGGGAGACAGAGTGAGACGCCGTCTCAAAAATAAATAAATAAATAAATAAATAAATAAATAAATAAATAAATAAATAAAAATAAAAAGAAGTGAGGATTGAGAGAATCCACGATCATGTGAGAATCTGGAAAGAACATCCAGTTCTGTGGCAGCGAAGGAGAGGAGGTAAAAGATCCTTACGTGACTGCCTCAGGGGTGGAAAAAGAATGTTGAGATGCATTGGGAAGAATGATCTCTAAAAGGCTATAAGGAGGTGCTCAGAAAGCAAATCAGGTAAATAAAAAAAAACTTGGCTTTTCTTTTTTTCAGGCAAGTGAGCTCACTCCCCTTACTCCTCTCACTCCAGCACTTACCTTGACATATCTCACCCAAAATATTGTTGAGAGGCAATATTAGGCTCTATGCTGGGCAACTTCGAAGTCCTACTGCTGGCGTGAAGTGAAGGGCAGTCAATATAAGAACTTTTAGGAACTGTTGAAGGAATCAGAAATGTTCATCCTAGACAAGGGAAGTCCCTAGAGACCATGGTACCTGTTGTGTAGAAAAGGAAATATACCTGTTGTGTGAGGTCTCAATGGTTTGATGTAGTATTAATAGAAAGATCTCACATTCATATATTCCACAAAATGTGTATTAAGCGTTATATGCCAGGCAGAGTTTTAGGCACTGAAAATACAGAGAGAGAGAGAGAGAGAGAGAGAGGGTTTTGATTTAATATAAAGCACAGCATTCTTCCCGTTTCTTTTTTTATTTTTAAATTTGAGACAGGGCCTCACTCTATCACCCAGGCTGGAGTGCAGTGGTATAATCTCGGCTCACTGCAACCTCTGCCTCCCAGATTCCAGCCGTTCTCCCACTTCAGCCTCCCCAGTAGCTGGGACTACAGATGCATGCCACTACACCAGACAAATTTTTGTATTTTTTGGTAGAGAATGGGTTTCACCTTATTAGCCATGCTGGGCTCGAACTTCTGACCTCAAGTGATCCGCCTGCCTTGGCCTCCCAAAGTGCTGGGATTACAGGCGTGAGCCACTGTGCGCAGCCTATTCTTCCCTTTTCTTAATCAACATTATTGATTCTAGGTAGTATTCTAAAAAACATCATTTCACATATGGTTCTACTGCTCCTTTCATTGGCCAGTGTTTCCTCTTAGCCTTTGCTTATATAGCAGAAAATCTCTATCATAGTTATAAGGATCAGATATAATTTTATTCTACTTTTAAAATTTAAAAATAGGCCAATCGCTTCCTATGAGTATGAGGTATGAACTTTTTGGTGATGCACTGGGCTGACCTACAAACCAGTGAGTTTTCTATCCTGGGGTCTTTTAAGAAGAATCCAGGTGATTACTTGGAAGTTATTCAAATATTTATAGCAAGGCTGTAGGGATTGTTTTGAGAAGACACTAAAAGAAGGATAATGTGAAAAGAGGCCTAGTGACTCAGAGGTCTGGTGTTAGTGTATATAAAGGGGTTTAATATTGAAGCAGTATTTGAAGCTCATATTCCTCTCTTCTACAACTGTCTAATACTTTCTCCTAGTTCGTGTTTCAATGATTTTTGAATAATTGTTCTCTTTTTTTCTAGTTATCTTCTTAACAATATTATGGCTTTTTTTCCCCTAACAACTCTATGATAAGGAAGAACCCTTCTCATGTAGAAAATTCAGTGCACTATGGATGTCCCAAATATACTATCATCTTTATGGTGTTAGGATAAGCATCTCCAAGGAAGAGACAATGTTCCTAGATAAGATGGTGTTATGTTCTATTCCTCTGCCCTATTGTTAAGAATCATGGAAAAGAAGAGGGAAAATGGAGAACAGAGTCAGTGATATATAGTGTATCAGTAAGATACATGGAATCTTTGTAGAAATTCCTCTGAGTCGAGCTTGAGGCCTGTGACCTGTATGACAGTAAAATTATACTAGCTATGTAATATTTGACTCTCTTCTAAATTATCCCAGGATTATGAAGTATTACAACACAGATTCTGGTATCAATGATATTATCATATGAGACATATTATCAAATAAATTATGTTTAACTTTTCCAATGTATAAAAAAAGCATATAAGAAAATAATAGTGTTAAAATATTGGAAAGAAACCAGAATCACAGGACTTTTTTCTCCCTACATTTAAAAAAATTTAAAAAACAACAGGAAGTATTCATTTAGATACACACATGCTCTAATTTGCCAAATGTAGTGGTAAAGAAAGAAATAGAAGATTTTAATGAGGCTCAATTATTAACTTCTGGCAATGTCCAATTGCCAGAAACAGTATGGTGAAAGATTAGTGGACAACATCTTGAGATTTTGTATTAACAACTGCCCCTCCCCTTCTCCTTCCACATACTCACAGTAATTTGGAAAGAAATAAACTAAGGAGGAAAGTAAACAGAGAAAAAAAATAAGAAGAGAATTTTATATGAACTATCACATGAACTTGGAATCTTAGAAGAGGCCGAAAAACCAGCCTTGGCTCACTGTATTCTAAAACCCTAGGCTCAAGAAAGGAAGTGAACCCAGAAGGAGTGCACAGATTAGGTGATCTTGGGTTCCTGGACGTTTGGCAGAAATCTATGAAGAAAAAGAAGCACTTGGGCTCTTCCACAAAGGCTGAACATGGGCCCAGCAGACGAAATCCACCTCTATCCAGACCCTGAAGCTACAGAAAACTAGACAGAAGGGTAGGCATCCTACTCCTTGGGTGCAGCTAAGAAATGAAAACAAACAGGTCTTAAGTAAGAAAAGAGAGCTGACTTAAAAATCATTTACATTCAATAGAAGTTCTGGACAGAGTGCCATCTGCACATATTAAAAAGGAGAAATATTTTTAAAGAAATACTTGGCAATAATGCAAATATACTACCAGAAAGAAATAGAGGACAGAAGGAAGGAAGGAGGGAAGGAAGGAAGGAAGGAAAAAAGGAAGGAAGGAAGGAAGATAATGGAGGCTGGAGAAAGGAAAAGAGGGAGAGAGGAAAAAAGTGAGAAAGAAGAAAAGAATAAAAAGAAAAAAAAGAAGAGAAAAGAGAATGCAGGCAGGAAGGATACAAAAGGTAGACAAAGAAAACAGTTTGGAAGAAAGCATAAATAAATGAAAGGAAGAAAATTCTCTGTGGCAAGTTAATAAAAATATAAATTTCACAAACCTTGAAATCAAAGATGGAATGTTAAAAGAGTAAATGTTTGCGGAACTGAAAACTAGGACAGTGAATTATGTGCAAGTCACTTAACTGTGTATGCTTAAACAGAAATAAAAAACTTCTGCTTTATATTCCTATAATAAAAATGGAAAAATATATTTCCCTACTCATTGATAAATTGAAAGAATTAAAATACAGTATATCTGGAAAGTCACTAGCAGAGTGGCTAGAACATAGTAAGTGCTCAATGAAAGCAGGATTATTAGCTGCGTGGTATGTATAGCTAGCAGAAGAGAAAGGAAAATCTTAATCGTGATCACTTTAGAGTCTATGCTCTTGTCATTACATCAATTATGAAAACATATTAATAAAAAGCACAGAATGTATGATTATCAAATGTTCTGCCATTCCAATGTGGCAAGGGGTAGATGTGAATACATTAGTTATCACAGTCAAGGATCCAAAACAATAGACTAGAAAATCTAAATTAAAAGAGGATAAATGTGGTGTACTAAACTTTGGTTTTAAAAGATCAAACAAGAATTTAAAAACTAAGTGACAGAATTTCTCAAAAGTTTAAGTAACAGGCAATGGCAACCTCAGTATTATTTAAGTGTAATACAATGTCATAAAAAGCTAAAACCATCTTGGTTTGCTTTATTGAAGGACCCATTTGCAGAAGAGGGATACAAAAATACAATTGAAATTTGCAGAGTTAAGATCACATCTGGATCACAGGATTTCCTTCGGCACACCACACATTTATAAGATATTGACAAATGGAATGTACCCAGGTGTTTCCTGGTATGGTAAAGCATCTGGAAATGACTGAAAGAACTGAGTACATTTAGCATGAATTAAGTAGTGACGTTGGAGTTGTCATCAAATAATTGAAGAAAAGACAGATGGAAGAAGGATAATACGTATGCTGTTCCAAATGCCTGAATTTAGGTAGGACCAGTAATATAATTTAGGCTCAATATAAGGAAGCTTTTTATGTAAAGTTTCATATTATCCAAAGATAGAATTTCCTTTTGAGATGACTTTGTCATTGGATGCGTTCAAGAAGGCAAATTACAATCTCACTGGGTCTATTGTAGAAAGGATTATTGCAATCTTTGGAAGATCAAACTAGATGATTTCTGAGTTTCCTTCAATGCTATTATTGTTGCTATAATAAGAGTTCCGTATGTGAGCTTTGCGGCCAGAAATCCTAAGCGTTTAAAGGTCTGTGTCTATTCGGAGGAGCAGGACATGATATAGATAACCCTTTGCAAAGGGGCTATAACTTACACAATGGCAGTACCATTGTTGGTAGAGATCACAGCATTTGACTGAATGCCAAATTTCCCAGACTGTTGATCTGCAGGTTTTTACCTGAAGAAATCATCTTAATTTTCTTACAGATTTTTGGGAGTGAAAGTATACAAGCAGATGGTGACATCAACAAGAATAGTGGGTATGTGGGAAAGCAATTTTGCTACTATTTTTCAATTATAACCATGGTGAGATATTATTGAAAGGGAATAATGTCAATTTTTTTTAGACATTTTGTATACTAACCCGTATCTGGTGGGAACAGAAGGATGTTACCAAGACAATAGGATCTTGTTGATCAAGTATAAGTCAAGTGTATGATTTCCTTGACATTTACATGAATTAATGCATTCCCTCTTCCATATCTATGGAGTGCACACTGCCCCCCTCCACCCACAGTCACATGGGCATCTCTGCTTCTAATTTCCTGTGCCTTCTGAGCCCTAAGTCTCCTTTCACCACCCTTTACTGATGCAGATACACAATAAACTTCCTTTTTTTAGATGTCTCTCATACAAGAATTTGGGATGAAGTAGGTTGTACTGAAAGTTTGGGAGATAAAGGATGCTTTCATAGAGATATATAGCAATAAACTTAAATATTAAAATAAGCAATTTCTTGTTATGATAATTCTTCTCGCCAATTTGCCACAGAGATTTCTCCTAGACAGCATTTCTTTACAGGTTGCAGACCACTACAATGTTTTCCAGCTTCCTCCTTTTTCTTTTTTTTTGTTTTTGTCCTCCTATTCTCTTTATTCCAAATCCAAATATCTGTTGTTCTTCTTAAGCAAAGCAGTTAAGTATCTCCTCTCACTCAAACCACTATGTTTTCACATTTCCTAGCTAAAGTAACCAAAGGATCTTTCTAAATAAAGTTCTTAACCTACGTGAAATTAAGGTGCCAACTACTAAAATATATTTTTCTACAAATTCTTATTTTTGATTGTCTGAATGGGGACCCTCTAATAGCTATATCATTGAATCTGGACTATTGATTATTGAGGATAGCAGAGTTAGGTGGAAGAAATGTGAGATTTGGAGTGAAAGGTTTAGGTTTTATATACCTGCTTTTCCATTTAAATGCTATATGGCTTTGGAGAACTGACACAGACCCTCTGAGCCTCTTTTTGCCATCATAAATTTGGGATGACTTCCACTTTAGAAAATAATTATAGGATTATCTGAGAATGTGTAGACAAATCGCTCAACTAAGTAGCTGGCATGTACTAACCCTCAATAAATGTTCAGTTTTGTTATCTTGGAATTCATTCCTCTTCTTCCTAGCTTCCCCCACCCCTGCCAATATCTTGTAACCATATTCTGATTTATAGCTTGGAATAATGGGAAATGCTATCAAACAGGTAGATATGGATAAAAAATATTTTTACAGTCAAATTTTAGCCCTTTCTTTATATATTTCATAACCAAACTCCTGCATTACTATGCACCCACACAATGGAATTGAGAAATTAGCTTCTAAACGTACTGAAAGCAGAATAATCATGGGCAGAAAATGGACTTGGGAGGACCCTGGAAGCTCTTAAATGCTGGGACTGTGTGGAAATATTTCATACACTGTTATTGGTATGTTTTCCTCATTTGTGGCAACTGATGCAGTGGTATTTTTGTTTGTTTGTTTTTTTCATTTCTTTTGAGCAGAGCATATGCTCAGAGAATGATGCCAAGCAGGGTGAAAGGTTGGAAACTAAGCAGGACTCAGGCCTCATCTTCTGCAGCTTTTGGAAATTATAATGACAATCTGATAATGGAAAAAGAGTGCTGTTTACAGCTTAAGCTAAAAAATTATGTGTGTCTCCCCTTTGGCAATTTTTATTTTTAATGGATCTTTTCTGTCTCCTCCTTATAGAGTGCCTGGACATCAGCATCAGATCAATTTGGAATTTCATGCAAATAAAACACACCAACTTAATGGGATGTGAAAGAGTTGGCTTCAAAATAAATCCTTGTTGAAAGGCACTGGAATTACATTTGAAATGGAAGTGAAACAAAGTTGAATTTTATGGCACTGGCTTACAGGCTCTGTCTTGCACTGTTTACAGATTGACCCAAATAAAGTGAAGAAGACCAGAATCAGGACCCATCCTGGCATATACCTTTCACCTGATAACATCTGTTGGTTCCTATGTATTTAATATATGTATTTTCATGTTTATTTCTTTATTTTTATTAACTTTTCCAATAAGATTTCTCCCCCAAAATACTAATGTCAATTAACATTTAAATATAGAACTGTAAGTTTAAATATAGAACTGTGTTGGGCTAGACACAATATGATTTCCTAATTATTACCAACCTGTTTCATTTAATTTGTAGAATCCCTTGCAGTTTTTAAATAACTCTCTACAATCTCATTTCTTCCTGTTATCAATCCAGTACTGATAAAGTAGTATCCCTAAACTATAGTTGAAAACATTGTAATTCAGAAAAGTGAAGAGACTCATCCAATGCATATATTTGAAAGCAACATAGCTGATTTCAGGGTTTTCTAGATCTTATTTCCTGGCTGGCTTGGTGTAGGTGGTAGTAAATAACATATGTGGTTTTGGTACTGCAGATTTTAATCTATGGTGATCCACATTCTGTTCCAGAGACACCATGCATTACTATGGTCTCCAGGCTGTTGGCGATCATAACACTAGGGGGCACCATTTTGACTTCCTTCTTACATTAGCCTTTAGGGCCTTCATATTTTCGTATTGAAGGTTGATGATGAAATCATGGGGAATTTTATTTCATCTTGTTCAGACAAGATTTTTGCAAGAGGCTTTACTTATGAAAGGGAGATGATGCTTTCTTTCCACTAGTGAAGATGTGTAGAAAATTAATTCCTACAGAGTTCTAATTCCTATGACTAATATCAAGAAATGAGTATTGTAGAGTAGGACACATTCTTAGGGACTGTCATGCTCATTTAACTCTTAAACAGCTGGATTCCTTTCTCTTTTTCTCCTCACCCTTACAGGGATATGGGCAGAGGGCCCCTTGTGTGACTTTAGAAGGAGGTTTTGAGGGTAAGAGAAGGATTTCTCTGTCATCAAAGATAGCTACTCTGGTATTGTGGCTTAGCCGCAGCAACTATGCAGAACCAAACCATTAGCACCCAGCTCTCAAAGAGATGTTGCATTTTGGGATGTTTGTATATGCAGAGGTTACAAACTACTTGATGTATGAATTGATTTTTGCTGCATAACAATTAATCAATTATTTTCATACTCATGGGTCTGCAGGTTGACTATTTTCATACTCACGGTTCTGCAGGTTTTCTGATTAAGAGGAGAAGCTCTATGATAAGCCAGAGAAGAAAAGCAAGAATCTAAGAACAAGGTGCTACTTGGTATCTGCTCTCTGGGTCTATGTAATTTGGAGTTCCTAGCAGAGTGCGTAATGCATTTAGAGAGAGGTATTTGTCTTTTCAAAATAGGATCCTGGACCTAATGGGCACTGCTTGAATTCAATACCAGAATATGATTCTAAATATCAGTAAAGTTTAAGATCATATACATGCAATACTTCACAAGGTTTCTGGGTAGGGATTTTATGAAGAGATGACTTAATTATTTTTTGAGTATTCCTGACTCAATACTCAATAAAGATAGTGCTATGCTGTTTACACGCACGTGCATAACAAACTATAAAGGACACATAGTAAGTAATAAACTCAGTGTCACATTCCTCTCACAGCCTGCTGATGACTATAATTAATAACTGTTTTTTTACCTTGAAATTTGATGAGAGCAGATTTTAATTGTTCTCACCACACACACATGCCCACATGCATGCACACACACAAATAACTGTGAGTGATGCTGAATGTGTTAACTAATTGGATTGTGGTCATCACTATACAATGTATACTTATATCAAATCATCATGTTTTATACCTCGAACATACACATTTTTTGTCAATTATATCTCATTAAAGCTGGAAAAATGTATTTCTGATAGGTCGAGGAAAAAAAAGCAATTCTTAAGAAAAAAAAAACAGAGGCAAGTAGATGATCACCTCCTGAGGTTATCAATGACTGTACATTGATGTCTAGTTTTGATGTTTATAATTCTACCAAGTGAATATGTTCTGCATTCTTAGACTTTCACATCGAGGTTTCTCTAGGGATTGGAAGGAGCTCCATAAAGATTAACTGTGTAACGACATTCAGCATCCCCAGAAGCAGCATCCTACTGCTTAATAACCTCATTTCCAATAGTGTGTTGTCTCCAAGTGCATGAGCACATGCACAAATACATAACACACATGATGGAACCATATAATCTCCATGTTGCAAGGGACTCTAAAGAGACTTGTAGTTCAGGAAGACTTGCCCAGTAATAAGTATTCTTCACATCATCTCTAACTCTTCATAATATTGGATTCTACTAGAAAAATACACAGGAAGAAAAATCTAACTATATCTTGTGGTTGCCAATTTCATTTATGCTTATCCCAATTGTTAAGAACTTTCTGTTTTCATCGTATGGAGCAGGATTTCATCTCCCCACAGACACCTCTCTGGGGTCCTAATTAAACCTTCTTGGATTAAAATCAGCTATAACAATCTCAGTTTTTGTAGTTATCTCCACACTGCATTGTGGATTCTGGTGACAAAACATTTGTTCAGGGTCTGCATGCTTTTAACTTACCTGTCTATCCTTTTAGTTCTCTCCTTAACTAAACTGGAAACACCAATAGGCCTCCAGGGTAGAATATGAAGCCCTAAGCAATTAACAGATGTGGAGGGTTATAGGAACACTGAGAATTGCTATGATTGGTGTGTGGGGAGTCATAGCCAGGGCTTGTAGCCCAGAGACAGATGATTTTGATTTCCCACCTCTCTTTGATGCCCTTGTTGACAGATGATGTGAAACTAGCTCCCCTGAGTGTAGTTTGTCTGAATTTACTGGATTTGCAGGTGTTTGGCTTCATCCCACTAATGTATAATGATACAAATGGTCTCTAAGGCTTACTCAGTGCAGAAAGATCTCATGTATCATAGAAAACCAGAATATTAGAGTGAGAAGTAACTTTAAAGATGATCTAGTCTTACCCCGATTTTATTTTTTATTTTATTTTTTTTCTTTCTTTTAGACTTCAAATATCGAGTGTCCTGTTAATTATATTTCCTAGTGGTTCAATGATACTTCGTCTTGATGTCCTCTTGAGTATTTTCCCCTTTATCACCCATCTCTCTCCATTCTCCCTTTCCCATGATTGGGTACTCACTCTATGTCTTTAAAGATGTATGATTCTTTGAAAAAATTATGTCATTATTTTATGCTTACATGTGTTTTTAATTTGCATAAGTACAGGTACTTTATATCTCATTATTTGTAGTTCTTTTCCCATCAACATTATGTTTTGTGTGTTTGTATCCTGTGTTGCTTCTGACAGCTGCTTAGTAAAACACTGAACACACTCCCCGTTTTCTGCCTACCCATCCATTCATAGATGCATACCTAGATTGTCATAAACTCCCCACTTCCATACATAATGCCCCGATGAACATTGTTAGCTATGCATCCTTATAGATCTATGAACAGTTGTTTCTGGGATACATATTAAAGAGGGGGTTTCTAGGATTTACTAATGTTTGATTTCATTAAATACTTCAAAGTGCTTTCTGGAATGACTGCAAGTCTATACTTCTAACTGCAGGTGCATTACCTTTTTCCCATATTCATGCCAAATGTAGCATTACTCTCTTCCTAATTTTTGCCAACATAATGGGTATAAAGTGTATAAAGTGTTATAGTTTAATGTTAGTCTGAGATTTTTTATTACTTGTATTTTAGGCATCTTATATGCTTGGTGGTGTTTTAGGTTTCATTGTCTGTGAATTGCTTATTTGTTTCCTTTACCCATTTTTTCAACTTAGCTTACGAGGTTTTAAAGTACATTTGCAAGAATTCCTTGAATATTTTTGACATTAACACTATGGTTTTTTTTAAACATAATATATTTATCACACTCAGGAAATTTGACATTGGGGTTATGTTGTTACATGCATTTCATATTCACGTTTCTTATAACAATAAGAACAATAACAAAATAATAAAAATAGTGTCCTTAATATTGTTTTTGTTAAACCCACTATCCAATTAAAGATCATACATTGCAGTTATTCTCATATCTCTTTCCTTTCCTTTAAAGATTGTCCCCAAGCACTTAAAAAAATTTTATGGGTACATAGAAGATGTGTATATTTATGGGGTACATTAGTTCTTCTTTAAATGTTTGGTAAAATTCAGTAGCGAAGCTATCAGGTCGTGGGCTTTTCTGTGCTGGAAGACTCTTTATTACTGCATCTATCTCATTACTTGTTATTAGTCTGTTCGGGTTTTGGATTTCTCTGCTTAATTTCAGTGTTCTCTCTTACAAGTTCTATTCTAGCAGTGATTGTTCATAATTTTGGTTTTTCTTTCTGGAAGAGGCAAGTGTTGGATGCCTCCTTTTCTATGGTAGGTTTTTTATATTTAGCCTCTATCAAATTAAGAATGTCTTTTTCTATTCTTAGTTTTCTGAAAAAGTTTATTTTAAATTATGTATTGGTATTGAACTTAATAAAAAATTTGTTTTTATGTATA
Source organism: Homo sapiens (assembly GCF_000001405.40). Lineage (NCBI taxonomy): Eukaryota > Metazoa > Chordata > Mammalia > Primates > Hominidae > Homo > Homo sapiens. Next base: position 119,350,344 of record NC_000008.11, on the reverse strand, counting down.
TATATATATATATATAAACTCATGCAATCTTTGCTAGTTAGCCCATTAATGTGAAGGATTACATCACAAATATTCTGATAATAAATAAAAGGCATGTTTTAGGGATCCACCATTATTTTATCATAATATATTATTTTAAAATAAATTTTTTGATAAGATTTTAAAAAATTTAGCTAGTTAACGTTTTGTTTATTTATTTATCTCACAATGACTTCTAGATAAAAATATGGATTCCATTGTAGTGAAGTGATTTGCTTGAAGACAACTTATCAGCTTTAGACCCCAGAGTTCCTTATTCTTTATCTGGTCCCTTTGCTTAGTTCTTCTCTAAGATTGAATTCTAACAAATTATAATCTTGCTTATTGTGCATTTTAATGGAAACTTGTGTATTATTTTTAAGATGGAAGCTTTGTCTTATCACAACTGGTTGAAAGTAAAAATTTTAATAAGCAGATAATGTTTTTTGTCTATGTGATACAAAACAATGGTTTTTAACTTCTTAATTTTAAATTGGATTGATTTTTTGTGTGTGACCTAAAAATGATGTGATGAATCAATTATCCATGGCCTTCATACTTACGAGTCACTCCTCTCATAATTTCTTTCTGCTTGAAAGAGCTTCTCTCTCAATTTATGAGAAAAGATATTTCTGCAATGAGGCATATCAAGGACATATGAGAATTTACCTACCCTTGTCCTCCAAGGCTTCTCCTGTGTGCCATAAAAATTAAGAATGATGCAAATATATTCATCAAATATCAATTAATGTAATCCACCACATCAAAAGACTAGAGAAGAAAAATTACATGATCATATCGATAGATGCAGAAAAACGTTTGACAAGTTTTAACAGCCATTAATGATTAAAAATTCAGCAAATTAAGAATAGAGGGGAACTTCCTCAACTTGACTATAGAATATTTATAAAGCTCTACAGTTAATATTATACTAAATGGTGAGAAACTGAAAGCTTTCCTGTTAAGATCAGAAACAAGGCTAGCATGATGCCTCTTACTACTACTTTTAAATACTGTGCTGAAAGCTAATGCCGTAAGACAAGAAAAGGAAATTAAAGGTATACTGATTGGGAAGGAAGAAATAAAACTATCTTTGTTCACAGATGATGTCATCATGTATCTAGAAAATCTGAAAGAATCAGCAAGGAGAATATATACACACACAGACACGAACATACCCTAGACTTCCTGGAACTGAGCAGTGATAATAGCAAGGTTGTATGATACAAGGTTAATATACAAAAGTCAATCACTTTTCTGTATATAAGCAATGAACAACTGAATTCTGAAATTAAAAACACAATACCATTTACATGATCAACCCCCAAAATAACATACTTAGATAAAAATCTAATAATATATGTACAAGATCTGTATGAGGGAAACTACAAAACTCTTATGAAAGAAATCAAAGAAACAGTAAATAAATAAAGTGATATTCCATTTTCATGGATAGGAAGACTTAATATTTCCAAGATGTCAGTTCTTCCTAACAGGATCTGTAGATCCTGTGCAATTCTAATAATAATTCCAGAAAGTTATTTTGTAGATATTTTGTAGATTTATTTTGTCAATAAATCTAAACTTTATATGGAGAAGTAAAAGACCCAGAAGAGCCAACACAATATTGAAGAAGAGTGAAGTTGGAGGATTAACACTATCTAACCTCAAGACTTACTATAAAGCTACAGTAATCAAGACAATGTAATTTTGGTGAAAAAATAGATGTATCAAGACAACAGTATAGAGTCATGTACCATATAACACTATTTTGTTCAATGACAGGCTGTATATACAACAGTGGTCCCCTAGGTTTACAATGAATCATATATAGAAACCTGACTTACAGCACTTGATATTGGCATTACAGGTTAACTAGGGGAAATGATTAGTATTCAGAGGAATGGTGCTGGGACATTTGGTTTTCCTTAAGAAAAAAAAGTATAAGAATATGTATCATCTAGATTTCTGTAAGTATACTTCATGATGTTTGTACAATAATGAAATCACCTGACAATGCATTCTTCAGAACAAATCCCAGTCATTAAGTGATACATCACTATACAGAGCTCATAGGCAGACTCACACAAATATAGTCAACTAATCTTTGACAAAGAAGCAAGGAGAAAATGGAGCAATGAAGAAAAGACTCTTTTCAACAAATGGTACTGGCACAACTGGTCATCCATATGCAAAAAAAAAAAAAAAAATCTAGACACAGAGCTTACACCCTTCACAAAATTAATTCAAAATGAATGACAGCCCTAAATGTAAAATGCAAAAATACTAATCTCCTGGAAAATAACATAGGGGAAAATCTAGATGACCTTGAGCTTGGGAGTGACTTTTTAGATAGAACACTTAAGCAATGATCTACAAAAGAAATAATTGATAAGCTGGCCTTTATTAAAATTAAAAACTTCTGCTCTGAGAAAGACAATGCCAAGAGAATGAAAAGATAAGCCACATAATGAGAGAAAATATTTACAAAAGAGTTATCTGACAAAAGACTGTTACCCAAAATGGATAATGAACTCTTACAACTCAGCATAAAGAAACAAACAATTTGATTTAAAAAAAATGGGCCAAAGACCTGAACAGACACCTCACTGGAGATGACAGACAAATGCCATATAATCACATGAAAAGATCCACATCATATACCACTAGGGAATTGCAAATTAAAACGACAATAAGCCACCATCGCACACCTGTTAGAATGGTGAAAGACAAAACACTGACAACAACAACACATGCTGGAGACAATGTGAAGCAACAGGAACACTTATTCATTGTCAATGAGAATATACAATAGTATAGTCACTCTGGAAGACAGTTTGGCAGTTTCTTACAAAACTAAACATACTTTTGCCCTGCAATCCAGCAGTCATATCCCTTAGTATTTACCGAAAGGGGCTGAAAACTTACATCCACAGCAAAACCTGCACATGGATGCTTATAACAGTTTTATTTATGATTGTCCTAACTTGGGAGCAAGCAAGATGTCCCTTGGTAGATGAATGAATAAATAAACAGTGGTACATCCAGACACTGGAATATTATTCACCACTAAAAAGAACTGAATTCTCAACCCATAAAAGACACAGAGGGATCTTAACTGCTTATAAGAAAGTGAAAAAAAAAAAAAAGCCAAGCTGAAAAAGCTACATACTGTATGATTCCAACTCCATGACATTCTGGAAATGGCAAAACTATGGAGAGAGTGGTTGCCAGGGATTAGAAGGTGAGAAAGGATGAATCAGTGAAGCACAGAAAATTTTTAGGGCAGTGAAACTATTCTGTATGATACTATAATGATGGAAGCCTTCCACTATATATTTGTCAAAGCCTATAATGTACAAAACCAATGTAAATTATGGACTCTAAGTGATAATCACGTGCCAATGGAGGTTCATTAATGAAAACAAATGTATTATACTACTCTGGTGTAGGGATCTTTATAATGGAGGAGGCTATACATTTGGGTAGGGGTAAGAGGTAAATAGAAACTCTTTGTACTTTTCACTCAATATGCCTCTGAACCTAAAACCTATCTAAAAATAACATTTATTAAGAGGAAAAAGCATATAGTCAGCCCTCAACTAACAGATGAACTGTGCTTCATAGATTATGTAATGGTTTGAACCAAGAGCATGTTCCCATAGAAATATCCATGATACTTAAGACCCAAAGCTAAATCACGTGAACCTTTTTAATTTACAACATGGCTGGAATTGTGTGGTTGGGACTGCAATTCCATCAATAAGAAAAAGCAATCCTTTCTGGAAATGCCTTCTGTGGCACATGATAATATATGAATGACTTTCCTTCCTTTTGACCAGTTCTGCTTCTTGCCAGATGTCTATGAATGTATCTCTCATGTCTCATTAATTCAATACACATTTATCAAGCATCTTTCCTGTCCTAGTCACTGCGCCAAGTGCTGGAATTCAATGATTATTAAGACAGTGTCTACAGATTCAAAATACTTAGTCCTGATTGTCCAATGTGAGAAGAGAGCAGCAAGTGTTCATAGAAAACAATGCCAGTCTTGTTATGAAGAGTCAGTCATATCTGCATAACACTTGAGAATTTTAGAATGCAAAAAATACCATTAGAGTGCGTTAAAAGTATAATACATTTTAAGGTTTTCACATATCTCATATCTGACGTAAGCTCCATAGACATTGTGGTGGACATTCTGCAGATGATAAAACACAGTCGCTAAGATGTTTACTAGATGTTCAAGATCAGACAGATATAGATACAGAATCGGGTAACCAGAGACAGAGATATATACCAGGAGGAAAGACTTGGCCATGGGGAAAATGAGTCCCATGACATGACACTCTTTCATCTTTTCCTAAATTCTTCTACCAAAGACTACTCTTTCTATATGTATCTTTTCAAATCAATAACCTAAGAAAATAATGATAAATAAGTCAGTTTGTCCAATATAGTGAGATCTTTGGAAAAATTTGGAGGCATGATTAATCCCCACATACTTGGGATATTTAAACTAGTTCCTGGCTGGTAAATGTCACATATTGCTCTCTAGACTATCAGAACTGAGAAGAAACTTAGAGATAATGAAATCTCCTGAGATAAGGAAACAGATAGTGAAAGATCTAGTGTTACAAAAATACCAGTTCCTTTAAAATGTCTTTGACTCTCAACCTTCCTTTGTGTCCTATATACACGTCTATAATAAATATCACAATGTTTGTTAATGTTTGTTTTATTTATCTGGTTGGGATTGAATAAACAACTGTGAATAGCTTGTGATCAATAATTTCATCTTGTTAATCTTTGTATCTTTAACACCTAGCATGATGCCTAGGAATAACATAGAGAACTAATGTTTTGACAAAGTGTCAGTCATTATTGAATAAATGAATAATTGAACACGTGAACACAATTTAAGTCACCAAAAACTAATTATTGGCATACTTGAGATTAGAACTCAAGTCTTTTTACTACCATTTCAGTATTTTTGATATTTTCTATGTTACTTCCTCATTATTACAGTTACGAATATTCTCCAAGTGATGTTAGCCTTATTAATACTTTTTGAACAAGCTGCTGGAAATGAGATAATCATTACAGTTGTGTTTATCTAGGATACTTGCTGTAAAGTTATCAGTGTGTGGTACCAGTATTGCAGCTTTCACTAAAATAGTCAAGCCCTCTGATTTAATCTGATATTTTATATAATCCATGTGGTAAAATGAGAACATTTATAATTGCCAGTGGTGAAAAGGTCATGACAAAGCAGAGAATCAGGCTGACCCACACTCAATGCCTAGGGTATCTGAACAGGATTCCGAATTTTAGCCTGGGGATCAAAAGCAGGAATACGGAGAGAAAGAGAATCTAGATCAACACAAAGCAGAACTTTCAAATCTGTCCAGAATGAGACGTGTGAACTAGGGCACCAGGAACACCCAAGATATGCGGTTCAGAAATTGGTTAGAAGGGAAGGCAGGGAAAGCCATCCATCCATCCATATGTGTCTTAAAGTGCTGGATTTTTATAAAGAGAACTATCCTTTTCTTTTTTCTTTACTTTTCTTCTTCTTTTTTTTTTTCCACTGAAAACTATAGCCCAGTCACTCTGAGCCCTCAGACTGATCATAAGGTTTAACCCAGCAGTGTTTATAAAAAAACCTTTGTTACATAATAACTCTGAAATAAATACCATTAAGTTGTAAGAAAAAAATACCAGTATTTTTTCTTAAGGTAAATAATAGAAAATAAATTCAGTTAAAAAACTCTACAGAACGCCAAAAGAAAAAGGATATTGTCTCTAAAGAGAAAAAAAAGCATCAAAATATTAAAATTAAATGTAACATAAATAACAACATGGCGATTTCTGGGTTGTGGCATTATATTTTTTATTACAGTTTTTTCTATATTAAAATAATAAATGTCATTCTAATTTTAAAAAATCCTAGAAAATAATCTCATTGCTAGATGATCAAGCTATTCATGAGTTTTGGAAATCATTAAGTTTCATTTTATTCTATTTATTACAATTTAACAATCTTTCACTGAGCAAAGCATTGTGCCAGATGTTAGGAAAAATAGTTGGATGAAAGACAAGCTGTGTCCTTAAAAGAGTTTACAATCTGATGTGTGATAGTAATGCGAGGGAGCAAAGGGCTGGGTTTGTGTAACTATGGAACTTCTGATCCCCTGGGGTCCAAATTGGAATGCTGGCATTGCATGCAAGCCTTTTGAATTTCCATCCGTGGAGTATGATTATTCTGAACCAAATCAGAGCCGCCGTCTAGGAAAGGTTAAGAAATAACCTCAAAAAGTCTCTCCTTTCTCTTCCATTTCAAAGAATAAGGTAGGTTGATTTGAAGATGACTGGACCGTATAGAATGAAGGACAGAGAGATGGTAGGGGGAGAAGATCATGGGCCAATGATGTCCATACACTTATTTATTATTATTATTATTACACTTTAAGCTCTAGGGTACATATGCACAACATGCAGGTTTGTTACATATGTATGCGTGTGCCATGTTAGTGTGCTGCAGATGTCTATACACTTCTAAGAGCACTGTGTTCCTTGCAGTGAGCAGTGAAGATGAAAATGAACTGGGACAGGTGGGGACATTTTTAGAACTGGGTAAGTCCGACAACCTTTAAATCACAAAATCTTTGACATTTTGTATGGGAAGAAATAATGAGAGGCCATTTGATAATTCTTTTTCCTGCAACTGTCCTTAAGACAGGAATAGTAACAGCTCAACTACAGAGTGCTCACCATATAGTAAACACTGATTTAGGTGCTTTAACATGTATGTATATGTTTAATCATCACTCTTTGAAGTAAGTACTGTTAAAATCTCCATTTTTTTAAAAAGAAGGGTAATGAGGCATCAAAAGCCTAAGTAACTTGCCCAGTGGCACATGCTAGTAAGAAGGAAATATAAGATCAAATACAGAGAAGATTCAAATGTAAACATGTGGCTTCTGAGTACATGTTTTTAACTATTACGGTCTCTTACTTTTCCTAAAGATAAATACCACTCTGCCATCACATACACAAGGAAATCTATAACTCCCTCTCTGATAGATAAATTATTTATTTTGCCTAGATCAAGTTTCTCCCTTTTTCCTCTTTGATGCTGATGCCTTACTTAAAGATTAATATAAGGTCACCCATTGACATTCTTATCTTTACATATCATTACTGTCTTAACTTGGAAGTTAAATTATGGCAGTAGGGGTGTGTATATACGCCAGGGTGACTAGGGTTGATCTGTATTCTGATGTCTGTTGTTAACTTGGCCTCGCCACCACCTTCTTCTAAGGTCTCATATGTAACACAGAAGAGAAGATAGGGACATCTCCCTTATCCCTTTCTTCAATTGGTTTCTGGCTAGAGTTTTGTGATAAAAGGCATTCATATAAGACTTGGAAAGAAGCAAGGGAATACAGACATTAATCTCATGAGTCAGATGCAGCCAGATTCATAGCAGACATGAGATTCACAGTGGTCCAATTTAGTTTCCTCAAGGAATAGTGTCTTATTAGGGGTACATTTTCAGGTTCTGTTGCTATGGGTTAGACATTCAAAGGCATTGATAAAGAGAAGTCCATGTATAGTCTTCATCTCTACTGCTGTAGACATGCTCTTTATGTAACCACATGGTTCAGGGATGGCTGATGACATGGGCCAAAGTCAAGAGGCTGAGATGCTTTTTTCTGCTTAGTTACTTGGTGTTTCCTCAATGGTGGATGCTTTCTGGCAGGTGTTAACATGTGATACAAGGATCTTTAGACATGGTGCTCATTCCCATACATACATGCTCATGTTTCTGGCCCTGAATTCTTTTCTTTTAAGCAGACTATTTTTTTCTAGAGCTGTTTTAGGTTGACACCAAAATTGAGCAGAAGGTCCAGAGATTTCTCATATGCCCCCTGTCATCACACATGCACAGCCTTCCCCGTTACCAACATTCCACATCAGAATGGTACATTTGTTACAATTGATTAGCCTACATTGACACATCATTATCACCCAAAGTCCATAATTTACATTAGGTTTCACTCTTGGTGTTGTACACTCTATGGGCTTTGGCAAATGAATAATGACATAGATCCACCATTAATAGTATCATATAGAATAATTTTACCTTATACCTCCCTACTTTCCGGCTCCTGGAAACCACTGATTCTTTTCAGATTGGCTTTTTTCACTTAGTAATATACATTTAAGTTTCTTCCATGGTTTTTTGTGGCTTGATAGCATATTTCTTTTTAGCACTGAATAATATTCAATTTTCTGGATGTACCATAGTTTATTTATTCATCTACTGAAGGACATCTTGCTTGCTTCTAAGTTTTGGCAATGATGAATAAAATTGCTATGAAAATCCATGTACAGATTTTTGTGTGGACCTAAGTTTTCAACTCTTTTGAGTAAATACCAAGGACCACAGTTGCTGGATCATATAAGAATATGTTTAATTTTGTAAGAAATCACCAAACTACCTTACAAAGTAGCTATACCATTTTGCATTCCCACCAGCAATAAATGAGAGTTTCTGTTGCTCCATATCCTTGCCATATTTGTGTTGTCAGTTTTTGAATTTCAGCCATTCTAAAAAGTATATAGTGGTTATCTCATTTAAATTTTTTTTTTATTTCCCTGATGACATATGATGTGGAGCATCTTTTCATAAGCTTATTTGCAATCTGTATACCTTCCTGGGTGAGGTGTCTGTTAAGACCTTCTTCATTGTTTTAGTTGAGCTATTTTCTTATTGTTGAGATTTTATATTTTAGATAATATCCTGAATTTTTGTCTCCAAATTTCCACTCTGTTTTCTTCCAGACCGCTGACCAGCCTGTCAAGCTGTTTACCACTGCCAGTCATTGACTTTATATTAATATATATTCTCACCTAGGCTACCTTAGGCCATTTCTCTTTCATTAAGAGTGGGTAAATCAGGCTTATTGCTTATGCTTCTGCCCAGCAGGAATATTTTCTTCTCTAGTATCTTTCATAGCCATCACTAAGTGTGGCTGTAGTGTAGCCATTTAATTTTGGGTTGCATTCATATATAAAATTATGTGTAAACCGAGCTCAGTCTGTTTCCTTCCCTTTTGAGGGTTTTGTAGAACTCCTCTCCCTGCCCCATAGTTCCATTAGTGTGAGCTTCCACAGCAGCATCATGGTGATGTGGGGGTCTGGGATGCCTGATCACACAGTTTACTTATGCCCTCTGGTCTTACTAGTGTTTACTCCTGTATATAACTATCCTTTTAACCTTAACATGGATTCCTGCTGGGCCTATTTGATTTTATGACTTGATGGCTCCAATAGAACTCAGCTCTTAATGGGAAGTTTGGATGCATGGTCACTTGTTATCCCTTGGTCAAGTATACCATCTCTCCCTGGGCCAACTAAAATACACTAGAGGCTGTCCGACAAAAGGCAAATAACTCCCCCTTACCTTAGCATGACCTTGCTCTATAACCTCAGGGGCCTGCATTGTGGTACTCCCACTTATCCTTGCCATAACCTCTATACTGCAACGTTTCCACCATTGACACCTCCAAACATAAAAGGTCTGTTGAATTGTGTGGCCCAAGTGTTAGGGCTGCTTGAACTGCAGCCTGGACCTGCTGCAGAGTCCTTTTGTATTCTGGACCCCTCAAAACTGGCTACTTTTCATATCAATCAGTGTATAGGCCAGATAAATATTCCTAAGGGTGGAATGTGTTTTTCCTAGATTCTAAAAGTTTTCTTCTTTGTTATTGGAGATGCACATTATGACAATTTGCATTTTGCAGAGGATGTCTGGGTAAATCCCTGACTACTGGCATTCTTTAATTATAGGCGTCTGGGTGGTAAGTGTCCAAATCATATTCTCAAACCATTCTCGGTACCAACTCTGACAAATTCTGATCTTTCAGGATTGAGGAAGTTGGAAGTGCAAGCCATTCCTTGGAAGGTATGTCTGTGAGAGACACAGGGGGAAGAAGCAAAATTAGGTAGAAGAAGACTTCAGACCATGATCCAGATCTGAAATCTGAAAGAAAAGGAGATTAAAGCAGGATTGTGTAGAGAGAGCCTCAGACAAGGTCTCTGTCAAAGTTCTGGGTGGAGATTGCCTGTTAGAGGCGTCCATGCTGGGGAGAAAAGACCAGATGCTAGTAGCCTCTCCATGGTTGGTCTTTGGTTGAAGGCAACCTAGGAAGCCAGAGACTTGCCTTGAAAGCTCAGGCTGACTCAAAGCGTCTGCAGGTGAAGGCTATCATCTAACTATCCTCCTTTCAGCTTATTATTGTTTTGTTTTTCTGGAAGGAAGATCTGAGTGATTCACCTGTACAACTGCCACATCAGGTGATTCTTATGCATAGTAAAGTTGGAGAATCACTGATATAAAACTCTACAGGTTGTTAAACAGATTTTTTTATTTTACTCTGAGAGAAGTGGAAACATTAAAAGCTTTTCACATGAGGAGTGTATGCCCCAAATGTTAGGGCTGCTTGATTTATTCAGCTATTAACAGGATGACTGCAGCTGTTGTGTTGAAGAGCAGGTTTGGGGCGTAAGGGTGAGAGCAGGGTCACCAGTTAGGAGGCAGTAAATGATGGCAGCTTGGACCAGACTGAAATCAGTGTAGATGCTGTGAAGTGGCTGGATTCTTAATACATTGTAAATAAATTCCTAACGAATTAGATGCAATTTTGAGGGAAAGAAAGGATTTGGGATGGTTCCAATATTTTGATCTAAGCCACTAGGAGGATGGTGTTCCATCAACTGAAAAGAGAAAGGCTGAATATATCAGGTTTCAGGGGATAAATTAAGACTTCAGCTTTAAACATATTAGGTTTGAAATGTCTCCTAGACCTCTAGGTGACTATATCAAATAGGTAGTTGGGCATTCAGGTTTGGATTTTAGGAGAGAGGTCCAGCTGGAGATAAAACTTTTGGAGTCATCAAATGGTATTTAAAGCCATGAGACTGAATGCTATTATCAAATAAGTAAGTATTGATAGGGAAGATGTCCATAAATTAAGTTCTGAGGAACCAACATTAAGAATTTTGAGATTGTATAGAGGTAGAAATAGCAGCAGGATCTAAGAAGATGGGGTCATCAGGTAAAAGGAAAGCCAACAGTGTGATCCTCTAGAGTCCAAATGAAGAAAGTATTTCCAGGAAGTGAATGTGATCAGTAATGTCAAATGCTTCTGATGGGCCATGCATCATGAGAACTGAGTTTGACCTCTGGACTTTGCAATGTGGAGGTCACTATTGACCTTTACCAAAGCAGCTTTCATAGCATGACATTGGTGAAAAACCTGATTGGAATGGAAGTAGGAGAGAATGAGGGGAGACGAATTAGAGATATGGAGAATAAAGCACTTTTTCTGGAGTTTTGCTACAAAGAGGAGCAGAAAAATGATGTGGAAGCCAGAGGATGAAGTAAAGCTAAGAGAGGAATTTGTTTTCCCAGATGGGAGAAATAATACCTTGTTTATACCCTGTTGGGAGTGATTCAGCAGAGGAGAAATTTGATGCTGAGGGAGAGAGGGAAGCATTGCTGGAGTGATGTCCTTGGGCCAGTAAGGATCTTGCACAGGCATACAGGGGCTATTTTTTGATAGAAGCAGAAACAGTTTATTTATAGTTACACAAAGTAAGGCAGGGTTTATAGGTAGAGATACTAAGGGGTAATAGTTGTGGTGAGAGTTGGTGTCGGTTCTCTTCTGATGGTTTTAATTGTCTTAGAAAAGTAGAAAGCAAAGTTATCAATGGAATGTGGGGGTGGAAAAGGAGGCATTAGAAAGTTGAGAAAAGAGAAGATATGTGTACCATACAAATAGAGAAAGACATTCCAAACAGAGGAACTCGTTTTATGACTATTTGTCTGAATAACCACAAGTAGATTTGTATGGTTTGAGTGTAAGCTTATAATTGGAAGAGGTTAGGATAGGGCTGGAAAGGTAGGTTGGAATCAGATGATGAATGGACTTGAATGACATGTTAATGGTTCAGAATTTTTTTTCATAAAATGTTGGGAAGTATCAGTGTTTCAAAAGAAGGGAACTGATTAATTAGAATAGTATTTATGTTAGAAATACGGTCTTTTGACAGCTCACAGAATAAATTGAAGAGAGAAGTTCAGGTATCCCTCACTGTATGAATGCTCACTCTCCAAATATTTGCTGTAAATATTTGTAAAATTTATATGTAAAACTCACTACTTTAGTTGAAATACAAGCCAATATATCATCATACATGTGCTAGCAAAAATAGTTTAGGTTGGAATCTGGACAAGAGGATTCAGAGAGCACTGCTTTCATATCTTCTCTGTTCTGATAGGAAGACTTTTCATACTTCTGTTTTTAAAACATTTTGTGCATTCTTTTACTTATTTGCTTGACATTATGAAGTGAAAATATTTTTAATATATTTTTTGAAACACTCTGCAGAAACAAATTTTCTAGAAAAGCTCATATGCTTAAAAAGATGTTGGAGGTGGTAAAGTCTATTGAACAAAGTAAATGCATAAAACATCTAAAGCTTGACCATACACATTTCTATATCTATTGTGTACATAAGGAGAAAACAAATATTATAAAAGCATTGTTGATGCTGGAAAGCATCGCTGTGTTACTTGAGCACAGCATAATATTTTTTAATAACTAGAGAAATAGAGTATGTAATGGATTGAGAGACACACTCAGCATGGGATGTAATTTAGCCTTGTATTGAGATAGCAGAAGACACTGGACATCTCTAAAGATCTGAAGAAGGCAGCAGAGAAAGGGAGTGATTAGTGGAGGAAGCTGAGTTCCAAAGCAACTCAGGAATGGTTTGAGAAAGTTGAGAAGCTGTAAGATTATATAATTTAAAGATCATTGACAGGCCCACCCTTAAGCTTTGTACAGCCTGAGGTAGAGAAAAATGAAGGGTTCCAGCCCACAGCTCACCCAACTTTGCCTCCATCAGCTACCCCATACTGTGAGGGACTTTGCATATGTGAGTGTGAATATTCCAGCCCACATTTAAAAGTTCCATTCACTGACTCTTTCCCCATCCCCAGGCTCAGCAAAGAGCCACAGTGTGGCCACCCCTCATTGGGCATCCACTGTTTACAGGATCAGTCTAGAGAGAGGTGTATGCAGGCTTGTGTCCATTTGGGCAGGAAATTCTAGGGTCTTAGTTACCTGATTTTGATCTAAATGAGAGGCAGAAACACTAGGTGGGCACATCCTCTTGATCTCTAGAACTATATTCCCTATGAGGAGGAGTCTGGCAGGAGAAAATCCACAGCCAAGCCCAGGCAGGTTTGCTGAGATCTAAGGTAAATACTAATTAGGGTTGAAGCAGTTTCTATTAATAGCAAGGCTGAATCCATTTTTCTTGGTGAAATACAGGGAACTATTGGTGGAAAAAAAGTGTCATGAATAGAGGATGCAAAACCTTTAAAAGAAATTTTAGATGATGCAGACAAAATTATTGCTGTTGCTTGTGAATATGATCACGACATGAAGAGAAACATCACATTTAAAAAGATGATGACATGCATGGTGTCATACTCTCAGGAACCACGTAATTGTAACCAAAATATTTCAAAGCGATTACTGAGACTTCCATCCCAACGCCTTCTCTATGGTTTTAGATGGCCATCTGAGTGTCAAGAAGTGCAACCTGTACTACATACCTCAGATATCTACTTTTTTTACTCGTTTTTTTTCTCCAGCTCACTATAACTAATCTTCACTTACCGCCAAACTACATGTTCCTCTTCTTAGTACCAAACCTCACTCAAACAACTCTTTAATAAGCACTAAACAGTTTAGATTGTCTTTTTGTTTTTGTAATAGTTAAATTTTATTGCTTTTATTATATCCTAAATGTATTACTGCATTTCACTATTTATTTACTTTATAGTTCATATTTATTGAAGTATAAAAGGAAAATATAATTTGTATAAAATTTTTATAGTTTCATTCTGTAGTGCAGATAAACACATCCACTGTACTCATTAAATTTTAGATAATTAACACAACACAGCTCAAAGGAATCAGACATGACACAAACAAATGGAAAAGTATTCCATGCTCATGGATAGGAAGAATCAATATTGTTAAAATAGTCATACTGCCAAAGCAATTTATAGATACAGTACTATTCCTATCAAACTAACAAACATTCTTCACAGAACTAGAAAAAACTATTCTAAAATTCATATGGAATCAAAAAATAGCCTGAATAGCCAAGGCAATCCTAAGCAAAAAGAACAAAGCTGAAGACACCATGCTGCCTGACTTCAAACTATACTACAGGGCCACAGTAACCAAAACAGCATGGCATTTGTACAAAAACAGGCACCTAGATCAATGGAACAGAATGGAGAGCCAGAAATAATGCCACACATCTAAAATAATCTGATCTTTGCCAAAGCTGATAAAAACAAGCAATAGGGAAAGGACTCCTTCAATAAATGGTTCTGGGAAAACTGGCTAGGCATATGCATAAGATTGAAACTGAACCTCTTCCTTACACCATATACAAAAATTAACTCAAGATGCCATATGCATAAGATTGAAACTGAACCTCTTCCTTGCACCATATACAAAATTTAACTCAAGATGCATTAAAGATTCAAGTCTAAAGCCAAAAATTATATCAATCCTGGATGATAACCTAGAAAATACCATTCTGGACATAGAACCTGGTGAAGACTTCATTACAAAGACACTAAAAACAATTGCAACAAAAATGAAAATTGACAAATGGAACCTAGTTAAACTTAAGAGCTTCTGCACAGCAAAAGAATCTATCAACAGAGTAAACAATCTACAGAATGGAAGAAAATATTTGTAAACTATGCATCTGACAAAGATCTAGTATCCAGGATCTAAAATAAACTTAAATAAATTTATAAGAAAAAAAGCCAACCCCATTAAAATGTGGGCAAAGGACATGAACAGATAATTTTCAAAAGAAGACATACACATGGCCAATAAGTATATGAAGAAAGGCTCAGAATCACTGATGATTAGAGAAATGCAAATCAAAACCACAATGAGATAGTATCTCACACCAATCAGATTTGCTATTACTAAAAAGTCAAAAAATTACATGCTGGGGAGGATGCAGAGAAAAGGGGATGCTTATACAGTGCTGATGGGAAGGTAAATTAGTTCAACCATTGTGGAAAACAGTGTGGTGATTTCTCAAAGAGCTAAAAACAGAGCTGCTATCCCACCTAGCAATCTCATTATTGGGTCATTGTACCATAGAGACACGTGCACACATATGTTCATTGCAGCACTATTCACAGTAGCAAAGACATGAAATCAATCTGAATGTCCATCAATGGCAGACCAGATAAAGGAAATTTGGTACATATGCTCCATGGAATACTATGCAGCCATAAAAAAGAACAAGATCATGTCCTTTGCAGGAACAGTGGATGGAGCTAGAGGCCATTATCCTTAGAAAAATAATGCAGGAACAGAAAACCAAATACCACACATTCTCACTTATAAGTGGGAGCTAAATAATGAGAATGCATGGACACAAAGAGGGGAAAAACAGACACTGGGGCCTACTTGATTGTGGAGGGTGAAAGGACAGAGTGGATCAGAAATATAAAAAACTATTGGGTACTAGGCTTAGTACCTGGGTGATTAAATAATCTGTATAACAAACCCCCATGACACAAATTTACCTATATAACAAACCTGAACATGTAGCTCTGAACCTAAAATAAAAGTTAAAAAATTTAGATAATTAGATAATCGGTGCTTTGTATGCTTTGTATCATGTAGGAATCCTTGAGGATTACTTTATAGGTAGTTACAACAGTGCTTCTAAGTCTAGCTGGAGAGAAAAGCTTATTTTTTTAAAAAAGGCCAGTCCCATACAGACCAATATTGCAGAAAATACAGCAAAAATAAATTACTAGGGCATCAGGGTTAAATTGATAGACTTCAGGGAACAGAGTTTGATGGTAGCATTTCCCATTGTCATTCCTATGCTACAAACAATGGAGCTCTTCAAGAATGCCAGACATCCCTCATGAGTGTATTTCTCACAGTCTTGGTGAAAGGAGAGTACTCTGAACCCACCAGGGGATGTAATGAGAAGTGGAGTGAGCAGATTTAACTTGATAAATCTACTCCAACATCCCAAAAGCATTCTAAATATTTGGATATCTTATACTGCAGTATACCAGAACATTCCAGCATTTCAATTTTACTTTACTTAGGTAAAGCTATCTTTAAAAATTTGGGAAATATAAAATATAAAAGTGGTTATTAAATGATAGGTATGATATAATTTATTTCATATAACTGTTATAAACATGCAGAGGGATAATGTATATTATATATAGTTAAAGACATATGGAGCAAACTTCACAAAGTATACAGAAAAATAACATTTCAGAATGGTAATTATCTCTAGGAAGGAAGAGAAGAAAATGAGATCAGGGAGTTATATACATAGAACCTTATCTATAGTGTCGCATTTCTTTGAAAAACATTACCAAAAATATCTGAAACAAATATAGCAAAATATTTATATTTGACAAATTTGGAAGGTGATACACTGTTTTTATTATCTCTCAAAATATGCTTGAAATTTTTCATTATATATGTATTTAAAACAACTAAAAGCAAATTTTATTACTTCCCTGTTTGTAGTCTGAGTGCCCGGGTGATGGTGATTTTATTTCACGTGACAGGAAAGAAAGAGAACAGATTTCTTTCTTTTTTTTCTTTTCTTTCTTTTTTTCCTTTCTTTTTTTTTTTTTTTTTTTTTTTTTTTGGAGACAGAGTCTCGCTCTGTCGCCCAGGCTAGAGTGCAATGGCGCGATCTCGGCTCACTGCAAGCTCCACCTTCTGGGTTCAAGTGATTCTCCTGCCTCAGCCTCCCGAGTAGCTGGGACTACAGGCGCCCGCCACCATACCTGGCTTTTTTTTTTTTGGATTTTTAGTAGAGACGGGGATTCACCGTATTAGCCAGGATGGTCTCGATCTCCCGACCTCGCGATCCGCCCGCCGCGGCCTCCCGATGTGTTGGGATTACAGGCGTGAGCCACTGCGCCCGGCTGGGGAACAGATTTCTAAGCAAAGATAGGAATTAACTTTCAAACTTAATGGGTTAGAGAAGCCCATTGTGTGTCCCACCTATTATCAGGTGCAACAACCTATTGTGTCTTTTTCTTTCCCCCTTTTTTAAAAATGAGTTTTCTAGACTGATAGGCATATCATGAAAATGAATGACTTTGACAGAGTATGTCTAACTTTTGATGAAGAATGTAATGAAGATTTACATGTTCTCAGATGACTGGATAGAGAAATGTAGACTAAACAGAAGGCCAGTTAGCTGTGCTCAAGGTTTTGCATAGGATTTGTGATAGTTTGGCCCTGTGTATTATTATTGTTAAAATTAAAACTTTAGCAAAATTAAGTTTAACGGTTTAATTAAGCAAATAACTATTTGTGAGCCAAGCAACCTTCAGAACCAGAAATTACCAATGAGATACAGAGACAGTTTGATTGGTGACATCTTGGTGTTTGCCTCATTTGAATATGGCCTAATTAATTGGCTGCCTGTAACTGACTGAAGCTTGGCTGCTGTGATAGGCTGAGACTCAGCTATTTGTTTAAAAAGTATACTCCTAAATTAGGCTTTTGGTTAATTTATGCACTAAGTTAGGTTGCAGTTCATTACATGAGGACTCAAAGTACAGAGACATCCTTATGCCAAATTTAACACTACCAAACAGCAAAGATGTCTGTAATATTTAAAATGAATTTTGTTAGAGTTTTTATATAGTAGGTGGTAAGAAAGAGTTTGTGTATTAGTGTTCACAGCAGATAATAATAGCTAACATTTAGTTCTCTCGGTGCTAGACTATGTTATAAATTCTATTGCACTATCTTATTTTAATAAACACAATGACTCTTTGAAATAAGTATTGTTACGATGCCAGTTTCACAACTGTGATATTGTGATACTTGTATTATAAGAAATACATATTTAGTCTCTGTCCCTGGTTCCTGGCACACAGCTCGTAAAACTCTTGGGATCTCTGGAGTGTTAAGGGTATCTTTTATATGCTATTAAGCTGACTAGTGGCTGGGACCCCTAGATAGCTTCAGGATGGGGGGCTCGTCACCAGAAAGACAAAGGCATGATTATAGTTTTGGGACTTTCAGCCCCCAACACACAACCTCCAGAGGAGAGAGACTGAGGTTGAGCTGATCACCACTGGCCAGTGATGTTATCCGTCATGCCTACTTAGTGAAGCCTCTGTAAAACTGCAAAAGGATAGAGTCTCTGGACTGATGAACACTTGGAGGCACCTGGAGGGTGGTGCACCTTAGAGAGGGCATGGAAGCTCCGCAACCCTTCCTACATACATTGCCCTATGCATCTCTTCCATCTGGCTGTGCATCTGTTAATTGTTGTGATATGCTTAGTCTTTGTGTCTCCACCCAAATCTCATCTTGAATTGTAATCCCCATGACCCCCTTGTGTCTAGGGAGAGATCAGGTGGAGGTAATTGAATCATGGGAGTGGTTTCCCCCATGCTGTTCTCGTGATAGTGAGTGAGTTCTCACGAGATCTAATGGTTTTATAAGGGGCTCTTCCCCTCTTTGCTTGGCACTTCTCCTTCCTGCTGCCTTCTGAAGGCGGTGACTTACTTCCCATTCACCGTCTGCCATGATTGTAAGTTTCCTGAGGCCTCCCAAGCCTTGCTGAACTGTAAGTCAATTAAATTACTTTCCTTTATAAATTACCCAGTCTCAGGCAGTTCTTTATAGCAGTATAAAAATGGACTAATACACTTCATAATATCTTTTATAATAAGTGGGTAAACAAAAGTAAGTGTTTTTCTGAGTTCTGTGGGCCACTGTAGCAAATTAATCAAACCCTAGGTGGAGTGGTGGATCAGAAGCACAGGTCACTATCTGAGGCTTGTTATTGGCATGTGATATAGGGACCAGGCTTATGGGACTCGAGCCCTTAACCTTTGAGATCTGACAGTATCTACAAGTAGATAGGGTCAGAATTGAATTGAATTACAGGATACCCAGCTGGTGTCCTTTAGAGAACCAACTGGTATGAGAGAAGGCCCATACATCTTGGTGACCAAAGATGAAGTATTCTGTGTTGAGTGGTGAGTTGTGCATGTGAAAGTAGAAAGTAAAGGGTTTTTTCCCACCTTTCTTTTTCAAAACAACTAAGGAAACTCAGAGAGGTTAAGTGACTTGCCAAAGTTACTCAGTAGCTCACACACTTAGTACTTGTCCTGAAATTTCCTAGGGGCCACAGGAGGAGGCAGTACAGCAACGTGGCTGGAATTATAGCTTGCCATTCGCTAACCCTGTGTTCTTGGTAAAGTTACTTAACCTCTCTAATTCTGAGTACAAATTGCAATAACAGTAAACACCTGATATTTTCCTCACTACACCTGCTAATTTCCTCACTACAGTAAACACCTGATAATTTCCTCACTACAAACGGCAATAACAGTAAACACCTGATATAGTTGTCTGTGTTCCCACTCAAATCTCATCTTGAATTGGAATTCCCATGTGTTGAGGGACCTGGTGGGAGGTGATTGGATCATGGGGGTGGTTTCCCCCCATGCTGTTCTCGTGATAGTGACGGAATTCTCACAAGATCTGATGGTTTTAAAAGTGGCCATTTCTCCTGAACTGTCTCTCTTTCTCCTGTTGCCTTGTGAAGAAGGTGCCTGCTTTCCCTTCACCTTCTGCCATGATTGTAAGTTTCCTGAGGCCTCCCCAGCCATGCAGAACTGTGAGTCAATTAAGCCTTTTTGTTTATAAATTACCCAGTCTCAGGTAGTTTACTTGCAGCAGTGTGAGAACGGACCAATACAGCACCTGATTTCCCTGGGTTTTGTGAAGAGAAATGAGATAAGATAGCACTTAATACAGAACCCCGTGTCATTGAATTCTGATTTCACTGGGCTTTGTGAAGAGAAATGAGGTAATATATAGCACTTAATACAGAACCCTGTGTCATTAAATGTCTTCCAGGAGAGACTTTGGTATACTACACAAGGATGACTTAATATGAATGACAAGCTATTGAGAAGACATGTTTTGCCAGACACCCTTGATGTTGAACCATCCTGTTGGCTCTTATGTACAGAGTGGCTCCATGTTAATCACACTATGGATAATATGCATGTGGACCATTTTAGAATCAAATGTCTACAATGGTGACAAAGCACAGAACTAACTTCTTGGACTACTTTCTCTTATTCGTAGAGTCCACTAGGCTATAGTCCAAGTCCATTTAGACTTTGGAAGATGGGAAAGAGTAACCCTGGTGATGTGTGAGGTTATCACATATGTTTAAGTTTTTGACAAGCAATTAACTCACAGTGGATGTCCTGTCACTGCTAAGCAGGACATGGTGGAAGAAGCTTCAAATGATAACTCAGTGATAAATGCGTCTCTCCGCCACGCTTGCCAAGCTCACTCAGACCTAAAAGGAATTGTTCTCAAGTAGCCAAGGGGAAGAGAGTAAAGCATTTAAAGGCTTTTATGTAGCTTTTCTCATTATAACTATAAAATAATATTTATTATATAAAATTTAGTCAGAGATTTTCTTTTCGGTTCTTTTTAAAATTTTTAACTTTTAATTTTTGTGGGTATGTAGTAGGTATATATATTTGTGGGTTATGTGAGATGTTTTGATACAGACATTCAATATGTGATAATCACATCAGGGTAAATGTATCCATCACTCAAGCATTTATCCTTTGTGTTACAGACAATCTAATTATACTCTTTTAGTTATTTAAAAATGTATAATTAAATTACTTCTGACTATGGTCTGACTGGTGTGCCAGCAAATACTAAGTCTTATTCTATTTTCTTGTATCCATTAACCAATCCCATTTTCCACACACCCTGCCCCACCCTTCCCAGCCTCTGGTAACCATCCTTCTACTGTCTATGTACATGAGTTCAATTGTTTTAATTTTTAACTCCCACAAATAAGTGAGGACATGTGAAGTTTGTCTTTCTGTGTCTGGTTTATTTTACTTAACATAATGACCTCAGTTCCATCTGTGTTGTTGCAGGTGACAAGATCTCATTCTTTTTTATGGCTGAATAGTACTCCCTTGTGTATATGTACCACATTTCTTTATCCATTTATCTGTTGATAGACACTTAGGTTGCTCCCAATTCTTGACTATTTTGAATAGCACGGTAATAAACAGGGAAGTGCAGATATCTCTTAGATATACTGATTTTCTTTCTTTTGGATATATAACTAGGAGTGGGATTGCTGGATCATATGGTAACTCTATTTTTAGTTTTTTGAGGAAACGCCAAACTGTTCTCCATAGTGGTTGTACTCATTTACAACCCCATCCAAAGTGTTCAAGGGTTTCCTTTTCTCCACGTCCTTGACATTTGTTATTGCCTGTCTTTTGGATTAAAGCCATTTAACTAGGGTGAGATGATATCTCATTGTAGTTTTTATTTGCATTTTGGAAATAGAGATTTTCTACATATATTAAAAGTAAAAACATTTTCCAGTGATAGATGGTCCTAGTTATAGTCATACCCTTTTCTAGATTTTCTTTGAAATATACAGTTTCATGAATAAAGGAGAATTATTTTGAAAGTGAGTTTCACAGATATTTTTCATGGATGCAGTGTATTTCAGGCTGTGTCTTGAAAAACGTCTTCTCTATATCATACTGTAAAATTCAAGTCAATGTAACGTGTGTGTGTATATATATAAAATTTATTTATTTATTTTTTCTTAAAAAAGTAGGCTCACTTCCCTGAATGCTGTAAAGGGCTAATTTAAACCTCCACAAAAGTGTTTATGCAGACTGCCTTTTCTGAGGATTCATTTTAGCAGGTGGTATTTTACACACTAATCATAATATATGTGCTGAACTGACCCCACCCCCACCCTGCCCTGAAAAGCACAGTTCTTTAAAGGAATGATTACTTCACTTTACTTTGTCCTTAGCTGCTTCTTTTAAGACAGGACATTTCCAGGTATAGAATTCAGGAGAGTAAAAGTATTTTTGATAAAGTTTAAAGGGATTTTCTCAAAGTATGTGATTTTCTCAAAAGTAGGAGTATTTGATTTCTCATATAATTCTCCAATAATTCTTTTTAAAAAATGTTTGTTCAGAGAAAAATTTGGAAAGCTAGAAATTACAATTATCTTTTAGTGGAAAACATTGTTTTCCTATACAGTAAACTTTTATTATTATTTTTTTTTGATGCAGTCTCGCTCTGTTGCCTAGGCTGGAGTGCAGTGTTGCAATCTCAGCTCACTGCAATCTCCTCCTCCCGGGTTCAAGTGATTTTCCAGCCTCAGCCTCCTGAGTAGCTGGGATTACAGGCATGGGCCACCACGTCCAGCTAATTTTTGTAGTTTTTAGCAGAGATGGAGCTTCACCATGTTGGCCAGGCTGATCTCGAACTCCTGACCTCAGGTGATTTACCTGCCTTGGCCTCCCAAAGTGCTGGTATTACAGGCGTGAGCCACCTCGCCCTGCCTCCTGTAGGATAACCTGAAACTGTTCTTCCTTTCAGAACAATAGACGGATTGCATTGGAAGTCACCACCAGTAAGATGCCAGGTGCTTTCAGACTTGGTAATACCAGGCATGTGTTTTATACAAATAAAAGAATTTCTATTTTACTTCCTAGAAAAAAACTGAGTTTAATAAGTCAATGTATAAGTTATACAGGGAAATGATAAACTTCTCTTTGAAATTTTTGGGAAACAGAACAAATAAATTATGTAGTGAAATAATTCTACATTTTACAGACTCTTTTAAATCCTGACTTTAATAATGACTCTCAGATGGCATCTGTGATTCACAGATGAACCTGTAGAGTCTAAAGAGAAGGCTATAGTGATTGGGGAGGTTATTTACTCAGCCCTTGCCAAAGTTCCGGTCCCAGTTTGCTTCCTGAAAAGAGTGTCTGAACCAGTGACTATCAATGCATGAGGACAAAGGGAAAAAAATGTAGGGAGAGAATCTCACTATATTTAGAATCTCTCATACGAGTTTTGTGGGTTATTTTTTAAAGTGTACATGATCACAGATTAAAATCTTTTGATATGAAAGATAAGGAGGTGTATGGAGATAATATGTAATGTAGAAAAAAATACAGTTAGACAGATAACCAACTAGCTGTATTGGATCAAACCTCTCTCTGAGAACAACCAAAATAGCTGAATAAAGGGGAAAGAAAAGAAAACAACAAATCGTTTGAAGATATCTGAGATCTTACTGAGGCTGCCAAGATTTGTGAATTCAAGATTCCAGGGAGAAAGAAAGGGCAGAGAGCATGACATTAGGCATCGCTTTTCTTTCAGGGCATTTGTAAATTTGAAAGCAGCAGAGAGGCTGAAGAGCTGAACAGAGATTTTGGCTTAATCATGGGACTAGAAGAATAGGAATTAGAATTTGAATCTTTCAAAGCTACACCAGAGTTGTGTGGGTAAACTGGAAACAGACAAACTCAAAAAAGACAGAAGCTCAGCTTCAAATTAATTCAATCCTCAAAGGGAAGCAAAACAGAACAAAGATCAAAGCCAAGGATATCCTATCTCTTTCATATCAGTTACCAGAAAGGAAGTGACCTCTCTTACCCAAGGCCAATCCCTCCTAGGGCTCTGCCTTATTTATCCTCTCTCAATCTTGTGTTGTTAGTTATCTTTGCTCTCTCTCCTGTACCTATAACCACACCATAAGGCATTTTTATAATCCCAAATTCCTTATTCTTTTGGCATGCATCGTGTCATGAATTCAGAGGGATTTGTTTCTTGCTACACTAATCTTCACAGAAAACCTTCCTTGAGTAGAATTAACTAGCACATCAGCTAGGCATATGGACTTTTTCTGGGCTTCCTTTTATTTTTCCCCCAGATGATTTTCATTAACACATTTCAGGCTACTGTAGATTGCTTAATATGTTAATTAAACACATTAACTTTCTTGTCAAGAATCTTGCTTTTTGATTACTTACTGTTGTGCAAGCATGCTACATTGCAGACCCTTCTAAAAAAGCCCATGAAACACTGTTGGGTAGGGTCCACGAAATTACACATTTTAGCTGAATGTCTAGCCAAGGGTTAAAGTCAATATTCAGCCTAAGTTGAAGTTGAAGATGAATATCACTTCATGGCATGAACTTCTGGGAAAAAAGAATAAATATTAAAATTTCCACATTTTATTTTAATTTTGTCATTAAAAATGCTCAAAGTCAAAGTGTATAATTTGACATTACTGTACAACACAATGATTTCCCAGCCTTCTCAGTGGAGGTCAATACACTAAACCTGTGTAATCCCAATACAGTAGACTCTCACTTTCAATTTAGATCAAAGGAGGAGCAAGCTATTCTGTTTTGAGCTCTGCCATTGTAAATATTGATGGTGAAATGGACCCTAAGATAAGATTTTCTGGGAAGAATTGCAACATATAAAGCATATATGGATATTAATTTTTACTCCAAGTCAATTTTGAATATATTTGAAAGTGAATGTTTAGGTAGTAATACTACACTTTGAATGATATGCAATCCTTCTAACTAATATTTTTATGGTGATAATAATTTTGGTTGTCTCATCCTTGATCATCAGCAAGTTTAGAGTTCCGGAGATGATAAGTAAGTCTTTCACTATTCTTCCAAAGAGCAAGCTTGAATCCCAAAACAAATTTTGTAAAATTTCCACGTCAAATCAAATTCTGGTACATTTGTGTTGTGGGTAATTTCTTATTGCATAGTATCCATACTCTCAACACCTTCAATATCATTTACTTTGTTGATCAGCATATGCAGTACCAAAGGAACTTAAAGTTGCCAAAGCACACAGGCCGAGTCTGTCTTCCATATTCTTATTATTGGTTAGTTGTTTTATATGAATGATTATAAGATGGCAGTTTTGATAGACCAGTCCCATGCTACACCACTGAAAGTGCTCTTGCCAGAGTCACCAATAATTTCTTTAACTGATCCTCAACTGACTTGATCTCTGTGCAGCAAATTTATTAGGTTGGTGCAAAAGTGATTGCAGTTTTTGCCATTAAAAGTAACAGCAAAAACCACAATCACTTTTGCACCAACCTAATACAATCTTGAATATTCCCTACTTTGTGAAATATTTTTCCCTATTATTATTACATTTTTTAAACTTTCTCTAATTACTCTGCTTTTTCCCAGTTTGTTTTGAATTTCCCTGCTTTCTGCTAATCTCTTGTATATGAATTTTCTTCCAGATTCTAGCCTAGATAGAATTTTTATTTTTTTGCTTCACGTAGCCTCTCTTTGAGGATTATATTTTTCATACTCACAAATTCAATTATATAATTTCAATCATGATTCTCAAATCTATATCTTCAGCCAAGATATTTCTCCAGAGCTTCAGATCTAATTTGTTAGTCACCTAGTAGATATCACCACATAAAATCCTATAAATATCCCCCTTTAGTGTCCTTTTTATCAGTGAAATTACCACCATCTACCTAATTATAAAAGCCAAATACCCAATAATTTTCCATGACTTGCCCTTTTCTCATTTACTTTTTATATGTAATCAGTTATCAAGCCTTGTGTTTCTATTTGATAAAATGGCTCTCCTTTTATTTTTTGCTTACCTTCATCTTTTGTTATTATCATAGTTCAGGCAATCATCTTTTGTCTTTAGTCTCAAAACACCTTCCTTTCTGGTCTTCCGTATTTTGAATTCATTACTTCCAAAAATGTTTCTATTGGAGCCAGAGGGATGGTTCCAAAAATCCAGTCAGATCATAGCATTATCCTGATTAAATATCATCCCCCATTACATTTAGAATAATACTTTGGGGGTTATTTATAAACTGCCTTCATTTAGCCACTCAATCCCATCTTTTTTCCTTCTCTCTTGTTTTCTCTGCTCCAAACATTCTGAAATTTTCTTTCTTTCTCTGAATAAATCATGATTATTCTTACCTCTAGGCCTTTGCACAAATAAAAGTTTTGATGAAGAAGTTTCAAGTTAATGGTTTGTGAATGTAAGACAATTCTATTTTTTTTTTCAATAACTGTTGCCAGGTTTGCTTTGTTGAATTCCTTCCCTGCTGGGCAACAAGAAACAGTGATATCTCAGTTTGACAAATAACTTTTTATTTACTTCTGATTAAAAATAGTCTTAATTTGGGGTAGTAAAACTTTCCTTTTTTAAAAGCTTGTGCAGGGCTTCTGTATAGTATACGTATTGAACAGGGTTTATGTGTCGATATGGATAGGGTTGGATGTGTTGTTGGCTTTCTCCCTCTCTTTATCTTTTTCCCAGTGCCTGTTGTATTGATGATGATGTAAAGGGGTGTGTGCATGTTGTGGGTGGGGGGGTGTGAATGTGTGTACGTGTGTGCATGTGTGGATGTCTATGTAGTATGAAGGGGGAGATGGTAGAGGAGTGGGATGTCTTTGCTTATGCTGTATTAGTGATAGTGAGGTGTTATGGTTGAATCACCTAATACACACTGTTTCCTTATGTCTGGTGTTGTTACTTGGTCTACACTGAGAGAAGTCAGATGCCAGGTTTAGAGTTATAATAAGATTGATCTGATTTTTGGAAATATCCTTCTGGCTAAGTTGAAACCCATTAGGAGTAATCAATTAGAAATATAGGCAGTCTTCTAAGGCTGACAAAAACAATAAATTGGGGAAGGACTCCGTATTCAATAAATGGTGCTAGGATAACTGTCTAATCATATGCAGAAGAATGAAACTGGACCCTTTCATCATATACACAAATCAGCTACAAATGGGTTAAAGATTTTAATGTAAGACCTCAAACTATAAAAATCCCAGAAGAAAACCTAGGGAATACCCTCTTGACATCAGCCTTGGCAAAGAATTTATGGCCAAGTCCCCAAAAGCAATTGCAGCAAAAACAAAAATTGTTAAGTGGGACCTAATTAAACTGAAGAGCTCTCCACAGAAAAAGAAACCATCAACTGAGTAAACAGACAACATATAGAATGGGAGATAATATTCCCAAGCCATGCATCTGACAAAGGTCTAATATCCAGTCTATAAGGAATTTAAACAAATCAACAAGCAAAAACCAAATAACCCTATTTAAAAATAGACAAAGAACGTGAACAGACACTTCTCAATAGAAGACAAGTGGCCAACAAACATGAAAAAATGCTCACCATCACTAATCATGAGAGAAATACAAAGCAAAACCATGAGATACCATCTCACACCAGTCAGAACAGCTATCATTAAAAAGTCAAAAAACAGCATGTGCTGATGAGGCTGTGGAGAAAAGGTTACACTTAGACACAGTTAGTGGGAATGTAAGTTAGTTTAGCCACTGTGGAAAGCAGTTTGGTGATTTCTCGAAGAACTTAGAACTACTATTTGACCCAGTAATCCTATTACTGGGTATATACTCTTAAGGAATACAGGTCATTCTACCAAAAAGAGACATGCACTCATGTGTTCACCATACTATTCACAATAGCAAAGACATGGAATCAACCTAGGTGCCCATGAGTGGTGGGCTGGATAAAGAAAATATATGTATATCACATGTGATATATATATATATCACATATATATCACATTTGATATATATATATATATCACATATATATATGATATATATATCTCATGGAATACTACACAGCAATAAAAAAATGAAATCATGCCTTTGCAGCAACATGGTTGGAGCTGGAGGCCATAATCTTAAGCGAATTAATCAGGAACAGAAAACCAATACCACATATTCTCACTTATAAGTGGAAGCTAAACATTGAGCACAGATGGATGTAAACATGGGAATAATAGACACTGTGGATTACTAGAGAAGGATGGGGGGTTGTGGGCTAAAAAACTATTGGCTACTATGCTATCTACTGGGTAGTTATATAGCCTAAGGAATGTTCATCACCATACTGCTTACAATAGCAAAGACATGGAATCAGCTTAGGTGCTCATCAGTGGTGGACTGGATGGCATAGTAGCCACCAGGTAGTTTGCATAGTAGCCAATAGGTAGTTTTAAAATCCACAATTCACAATACCTGTGTAAAATACATGTATTTTAGATACATGTACCCTTGTATCTAAAAGCTGAAATTAAAATAATAATTTAAAAGAGAAATATAGGCAATCTTCAAGTATCAGCTGATACTACCCTTCTACATTATTCTAAACCTTGGGATCACTTAAGGAGTAGAACCACTTCTCCCACATCACTGTTGAATGCTAGTATCCAAGCATTTTCTGATAAGGTAGTGGCGTAGTTTGTTCCCTTTTCTGTGATCTGACTTCAGCACCCAGGGAATCCAGCGATATATGCTATGCGTGACCTAGCTTTGGGGGAAGTATACTTTTCTTTTCCTTGATTGGTCTTAATATGTAGCTTGAGGTTTCCACTTCTTTCCCTGGCACTCCTCCACATAACTCAGCCCATAAAATGAAGAAAAAATACCTAGTGACTTCAAAAACCTCCAACAAGAAAATGTGATGGTGGTAGTTCCTTTCTCTGATGCTCTACTTCCCAATGTTGATGAATATTTATTTAGAGGAAACATGTTAAGTGGATGCTATAGGAGCTCAATAAACTCTTAAAAATAACCTAACTTTGTCTCTATTTTTATCCATCTTAATATACACTGTATCTTTTCTCACTTAATGTTCACTCTGGATACACTTTTCTGTTGCTTTTTTATTTAAAAAGCAAAAGAAATAAATATCCAATTTCCTAACATTCCTTGAACTTAGGGTGACCATGTGATAGAGTGCTGATCAATGACATGGAGGACAAAGCCCATGAGAAATATTTTTATCCTTAATTTCAAAACAAAAAGCAAATACTTTGTAGAAGAAAGCCCCATTCCCACTCACCAGTCCCTTTTCTTTTTGCCTAAAATGAAAACCTCATGCTCAGAGGTGAAGGTAGAGTTACAACACACCTGAGGAAAAGTCCACAGGACTCGCATTGTTAACCAAAAATCCAAACTCAGGAAAATATTTCAAAGAGGTTTTTTGAGTCAATATGAATGACCTTGGCTTGGGAAAACAGTCTCAAGGAGTTCTGAGAAAGTGTGCCCAAGGTGGTCAGATAACAGTTTGGTTTTATACATTTTAGGGAGCCTGGAGTTATAGGCAAAAACATAAATCAATACATGGAAGGCGTATATTGGTTTGGCCAAAAAATACAGGTATCTTTAAGCAAGAGCTTATAAGTCATAGGTGGATCTATAGATTTTTTAACCTGTAATTGGTGAAAGGAACAAAACTTTGTCTAAAAACTTGGAGTTAGCAAAAAGGAATGTTCCAATAAGGATGATATGTCAGAGTTAGCTACAGTATGACCTGTTGACAAGACTGATGGTCAGCAGGTGTATGACTTGATTCTTATATGGCCTTAGGTCTTGTTTGAAATTTGGTATATATTTTTTGCCACAAAGAGTATATTTTGTTTGTTTTATGATCTCTATTTTAACATTAATACTTGTCAGTGGTTGTGCCTAAACTCCAAAGGAAAGTGATTATAATGAGGTGTATCCAATCTCCCTCTTGTCATGGGTAGGAAGTCAGCTTTTAAGGTTTCTCTGGGGTACCCTTGGCCCAAAGGGGGTCCGTCCAGTTAGTGGGGGACTTAGGATTTTAGTTTTGGTTTATACATGGATGCTGGCCTCTATCAGCCATTATTAACCTCTGGACTCCCTGTTAGGTGGAAAAAAAACCCTCAAATTCCATTGTTTAAGCTGTTGCAGTGAGTTTTCTGTTATTTGTAGTTGAATGCAAGTCTTTATAGGGATACAAGGTATTGGGAGGGTTGTGGTGAGAGTTCTGTTGGAATGTTCCCTGATATGGTTTGGCTGTGTCCCCACCCAAATCTCATCTTGAATTCCCACCTGTTGTGGGAGGGACCTGGTGGGAGGTAATTGAATCATGGCGGCAGGTCTTTCCCATGCTGTTCTTGTGATAGTGAATAAGTCTCGTGAGATCTGATGGATTTATAAAGGGGAGTTTCCCTGCAGAAACTCTCTTCTCTTGTCTGCTGTCATGTGAGATGTGCCTTTCACCTTCCACCATAATCGTGAGGCCTCCCCAGCCACATGGAACTGTAAATTTACTAAACCTCTTTCTTTTGTAAATTGCCCAGTCTCAGGTATGTCTTTATCAGCAGTGTGAAAATGGACTAATACGGTAAATTGGTACCAGTAAAGTGGTGCACTGCTGAAAAGATAACCCAAAATGTGGAAGTGACTTTGGAACTGTGTAACAGGCAGAGGTTGGAACAGTTTGGAGGGCTCAGAAGAAGACAGGAAATGTGGGAAAGTTTGGAACTTCCTAGACACTTGTTGAATGGCTTTGACCAAAATGCTGATAATGACATGGACAACGGAATCCAGACTGAGGTAGTCTCAGATGGAGATGAGGAACTTGTTGGGAAATAGAGCAAAGGTGACTCTTGTTATGTTTTAACAAAGCGACTGACAGCATTTTGCTCTTGCCCTAGAGATTTGTGGAACTTTGAACATGAGAGAGATGATTTAGGGTATCCGGCAGAAGAAATTTCTAAGTAGTATTCAAGAGGTGACTTGGGTGCTGTTAAAAGCATTCAGTTTTAAAAGGGAAACAGCATAAAAGTTTGTGAGGCCTCCGCAGCCACAGGGAACTGGAAGTCCATTAAACCTCTTTCTTTTGTAAATTGCCCAGTCTCAGGTATGTCTTTATTAACAGGGTGAAAATGGACTAATACATCCCCTATTAGTAAACTCTGTGGTGGGAGGGTTGGAACCACTGGCATTCTTCTGAACTAAAAGGGTGGGGGGTATACGGTTCCTTTTGTCACAGCTGTGAGTTATCTCCGTGGCCATTTGTGTTCTCATAAGAAATAGAAAAACAGCAGTCATCATCATTTGATATCCTCATATTACATATTACATCCTCATAGTGCTGTTCTCTGGGTCAGGACACTATTCAATCCCTGTAACCCCTTTACTAACTTGCTGACATTAATTTTCTTAGTTTAGACATCATGTTCTTGAGAAAATATTAGATCATCCTCTATATTAGTTTCCTAGGGCTGCTGCAACAAATTGCAATAAATGTGGTAGCTTAAAACAATGGAAATGTTGTTACCTCACAGTCTAGAGGGCAGAAGTTTGAAATGAAGGTGTTAAAAGCACCACGTTCCCTTTAAAGGCTCTAGGAGAGAATGCTTCCTCGTCTTTTTTTTTTTTCTTTTTTTTTTTTTTCCTTCAGGTAGCTCCTGGCATTTCTTGGCTTGTGGCAGCCTAACTCCAAAATTCTGCCTTCATTTTCACCTGGACTTCTTCCTTGTCTTTATGCCATGTCTTCTTTTATAAGGATGCTAGTCATTGGATTTAGGGCCCACTCTAAATCCAGGATGATCTTATCTCGAGATCCTTAATAAAGACACATTCACAGGTACCAGGGGTTAGGACTTGGATATATCTTTTTGAAGAACACAGCTCATTCCACTGAACCCTCCATGTCTAGATTAAGTGTTTTTACATGTCTCCCATGAACTGCTTATATCTCCAGAGGACCAATTATTATAACATATTTTAACTGCCTTTGTATTTATCTCTATATCTTTGTTCATTGAAGGCAGGGATTGGGTCTTTACATCCCTCAATGTCTAGCATGGTGCCTTGACCATAGTAGAAAATCAATAAATATCATTAAATGAATGAACTAAAACCAATAAATATTACCACTAGTGGGACACATTCTGGGTTAATATAAGGGTATAGGAAGTAACATTTTGTTACTTTAAAGCTTGTTAGTTTAGCTGGTTACTTTAGGAGCCAAAGACAGAGTTAAACTAGTGAGAAAATTATTCTTTTGTGTACAAATAATTCTATAATACATATTATGCAAATATAGGTTTCCAAATTAGTTTGGGTGGAAGAAGCTGGATATAGAGAGAATTGTTCTCCATAATAAAGTAAGAAAGAATCGTCTGAATTCAGCTCTGGACATTTTAGGTTGGAAGGAAGAGAATGGGAGACAAGTGTCTGAGACGGTGGGTGAGATAGTGGTAGACCACAGACTAAGGAGAAGAAAGGCCATGAGAAATTAAATCCTTGTACAGCATACAACTAAGTGTCTTGGTAAATGTCATATCTAGTTGCTTTCCTTCTGTGACCCTGCCAACTTGCAGTAAAAAGTTTCATAAGCAGCTTTTAGTAGTTGGTGTTTTAGAAAATGAAATGTGAGCAAGGCTATCCACACTTGGGTCACAACAGTGTGTCAAGGTAGATAGGAGCCTCTGTAATAAGATTGAAAAGATTAGATGGTGCACTTAATGTGAGTAGGAATCCAGAATGAGACTTGTCCAGGAGATTACTAGATCCACAAAGTACTCCCTAGAATATTAGAGGAAAACTGTAATTTTCTAAGCACAAAAGATGAAGGCTTGAGCCATTTTGCTTTTGGATTAGTGAAAATTAATATCTAGAAAGTTATATATTAAAGACACATGAATAGCTTAAGTAACAGCTATTTTAACAGCCTGAAGCACCCTTAGGTGAAAATGCAATGAGTATTTTGGCACTATAGGTATATAAACATGATCCAGAAGACAGTGTGGTGGGGACATTGCATAGTAGGTTCCTGCTTTTGACTTTTGAGTATCCCCTATAATATCTATGATAGTCTATGGTGCAATGATTCTAAGGTTTAATGTGCCACAATGTAATTTTGGGGTGAAGGGAGTAGAATTGTTTATATAGATCAACTCCATAAATAAATCATTGGTGGTGAATGGTTTCAAAAAAATAAGAAAGCGTGTTTTCCCACCTGTTTGAGCAAGTTTTTTTTTATTTTTTTATTTTTATTTATTATTATACTTTATGTTTTAGGGTACATGTGCACAATGTGCAGGTTAGTTACATATGTATACATGTGCCATGCTGGTGCGCTGCACCCACTAACTCGTCATCTAGCATTAGGTACATCTCCCAGTGCTATCCCTCCCCCCTCCCCCCACCTCACAACAGTCCCCAGAGTGTGATGTTCCCCTTCCTGTGTGCATGTGTTCTCATTGTTCAATTCCCACCTATGAGTGACAATATGTGGTGTTTGGTTTTTTGTTCTTGTGATAGTTTACTGAGAATGATGATTTCCAGTTTCATCCATGTCCCTACAAAGGACATGAACTCATCCTTTTTTATGGCTGCATAGTATTCCATGGTGTATATATGCCACATTTTCTTAATCCAGTCTATCATTGTTGGACATTTGGGTTGGTTCCAAGTCTTTGCTATTGTGAATAATGCCACAATAAACATACATGTTCATGTGTCTTTATAGCAGCATGATTTATAGTCCTTTGGGTATATACCCAGTAATGGGATGGCTGGGTCAAATGGTATTTCTAGTTCTAGATCCCTGAGGAATCGCCACACTGACTTCCACAATGGTTGAACTAGTTTACATTCCCACCAACAGTGTAAAAGTGTTCCTATTTCTCCACGTCCTCTCCAGCACCTGTTGTTTCCTGACTTTTTAATGATTGCCATTCTAACTGGTGTGAGATGGTATCTCATTGTGGTTTTGATTTGCATTTCTCTGATGGTCAGTGATGGTGAGCATTTTTTCATGTGTTTTTTGGCTGCATAAATGTCTTCTTTTGAGAAGTG
Organism: Homo sapiens; assembly: GCF_000001405.40. Taxonomy (NCBI): domain Eukaryota; kingdom Metazoa; phylum Chordata; class Mammalia; order Primates; family Hominidae; genus Homo; species Homo sapiens. The sequence goes on along the minus strand of NC_000008.11, from coordinate 119,316,628 downwards.
TCTGTTCATGTCCTTTGCCCACTTTTTGATGGGGTTGTTTGTTTTTTTTCTTGTAAATTTGTTTGAGTTCATTGTAGATTCTGGATATTAGCCCTTTGTCAGATGAGTAGGTTGTGAAAATTTTCTCCCATTTTGTAGGTTGCCTGTTCACTCTGATGGTAGTTTCTTTTGCTGTGCAGAAACTCTTTAGTTTAATTAGATCCCATTTGTCAATTTTGGCTTTTGTTACCATTGCTTTTGGTGTTTTAGACATGAAGTCCTTGCCCATGCCTATGTCCTGAATGGTAATGCCTACGTTTTCTTCTAGGGTTTTTATGGTTTTAGGTCTAACATTTAAGTCTTTAATCCATCTTGAATTGATTTTTGTATAAGGTGTAAGGAAGGGCTCCAGTTTCAGCTTTCTACATATGGCTAGCCAGTTTTCCCAGCACCATTTATTAAATAGGGAATCCTTTCCCCATTGCTTGTTTTTCTCAGGTTTGTCAAAGATCAGATAGTTGTAGATACGCGGCGTTATTTCTGAGGGCTCTGTTCTGTTCCATTGATCTATATCTCTGTTTTGGTACCAGTACCATGCTGTTTTGGTTACTGTAGCCTTGTAGTATAGTTTGAAGTCAGGTAGTGTGATGCCTCCAGCTTTGTTCTTTTGGCTCAGGATTGACTTGGTGATGTGGGCTCTTTTTTGGTTCCATATGAACTTTAAAGTAGTTTTTTCCAGTTCTGTGAAGAAAGTCATTGGTAGCTTGATGGGGATGACACTGAATCTGTAAATTACATGTTGTCCTAGGTTATGCTCTGATCATGGCATGTCCACTGTTATTGCATTTCTGGTTTTCTCTCTGTGAGTCTAAGTTCTATATACATGGATCTTGGGTAGCTATTCCTCCCCACCCTAGCACCATTCTCTATGAGCTTGCTATAAAAAAAGATTCACTGTGTTCTACAAATTCTGGCTGGCATTCAGAGAAGATTTCAAATAAAGCTCCAGATGGAGACACCTACATGAATCTAGAGGCTGAATAACTAAAGAAAGCAAGTAAATGTCACCACTACCTTATATGTTAAAAGAATAGAACATGTAAACATGCCAACAAAAGTTCAGTCTCTACACTTTGATGATTCTTTCCCCATCAGAGCCCCTTTGATTATTGCTAAGAGTTTGCATTGCAGACATTTATTAGAGAATCTTAGCAATATAAGCAAGATGGACTATTTCCTGCCAGATTTAGGGCCTGATATTTGCTTTTATTTGGACCTAAATAAAATTAGATTTTTCTTGTTACAGTTTGGTAATGGTTGACTGAAAGCAGAACTGAAATATCTCCATGAGGTCAGGACATTGATAATTGCTGTATTCTATTGCCTAGAAAATTATCAGAAACATAGTAAGAACTTATAAAGTGTATTTGGAATTAAAAAATAGTTCTTTATTATGTAAGTAAGGAACTTTTTTAATGAGTGAACTGAAAACTATGATCATGCTAAGAAGGAAACACAGAGAGTAAAGTGAGAGCATAATTTGTCAAGGCCACATAATTTAAAGTGAATTGAAAGAGTGATGGATGAAGAAGACTTGAACCAAGTGCAAAGGCAGAGAAAAAGCATTATGGGCAGGAGCACATGCTGGAAACTCCAAGGAAAGGAAAGACTTCAGGTGTTCTAGAAATGTAAAAGCAGGCTAGCATGGCCAGAGCAGAGTGACTGAGAAGAATTATGCAAGTTGAGAGGAACAGACAGGCATCCAATAATTTGTGGTCTTGAAGGCTGGGATAAGGAACTTTGAATTATTTTAAGATAAATAGAATATCAATGAAGGGTTTTACAGTGGATCTTAGCCAAAAGGCCAAGAAGTGATCACTGAAGGGTTTTAAAAGGGCTGTGCCATGATCTGAATTAGGTTTTTGAATATTTATTCTGGCTGCTACATGAAGAAAATATTAGAGACAGTCATGATCAGGGAGGTCGTGGGAGGCCAGGCAAGAGAGGTGATTATCACTTAGGCTAGGGTGATGGCAACAGAAATGAAGAAAAGAGGGGTGGCATCGTGATGAGTTTTGAGAGTAAAATAGAACCAATTTGTTTATCAATTGGAAACAGAGAAGGACAAGGTGAAGGAAAGACAACAATGAAGAATGACTTCTATTTCTTGAACAATTAGTGTTGACATCTTTCTAAAATTTATTTTGACAAAATTATATTTGTGGTATAAAACACAATGTCTAGAAATATATATACATCATGGAATGGCTAGAATAAGCTAATTAACGTATTACCTCATTTATCATTTTTGATGTGAGAACACTTAAAATAGACTCTTTTAGCAATATTGAAGTACACGATTCATTGTTATTAAGTATAGTCACCATGTTCTAAAATAGATTCCTTGAACTTGTTCCTCTTGTCAAACTGAAATTTTGTATCTTTTGACCAACATTTCACAAAGCCCTTCCCCTCTCTAGGCACCCCCCTCAAACCCCTAGTAACTACCGTTCTCCTCTCTGCTTCTATTAGTTCAGTTATTTCTTAGATAATACATATAAGTGAGGTCATAAAGCATTTATCTTTCTGCGCCTGGTTTATTTTAGTTAACATAATGTCCTCCGGTTCATCCATTTTCACAAATGACAGGATTCTCTTTTATTTTTTATGGTGAAATGGTATTCCATTATGTGTATGTACCACATTTTCTTTATCCATTCGTTGATGAACTCTTATGTTGATTTCATATCTTGGCTATTGTGAACAATGCTGCAATGAACACGGGAGTGCAGATACCTCTTTGGCACGCTGATTTCACCTCCTTTGGATATATACCCAGTAGTGAGATTGTTCAACCATATGATAGTTATATTTCTATTTTTTTGAGAAATCACTATACTGTTTTTGATAATGAATGTATTAATTTACATTCCTACCAACAGTGTGCAAGGGTTTCTTCTTCTCCAAATCTCTGCCGATACTTATCCTTTGTCTTTTGATAATAATCATTCTAACAGTTATGAGGTGACATATCATTGTAGTTTTGAGTTTCTCTGATGATTAGTTGAAAAGTACCAATTTTTTTGTGTACCCCATGGTCATTTGTATGTCTTCTTTTGAAAAATGTCTATTTCTGTCCATTGCTCTTTTCATGGAGTTATTTATTTTCTTACTATTGAGTTGAGTTCCTTATATATTTTGGATATTATCCCCTTATCAGATGTATGGTTTGCACATATTTTGTCCCAATCCATAAATTTTTCTCTGTTGATTATTTCCTTGGGTGTTCAGAGCTTTTTGATTTAATGTAATCTTATTTGTCTATACTTTTGTTGCCTGTGCTTTTGGGGTCCTATCCAAAAAAATTACCCAAGCCAGTTACTTAGATTTTTTTCCTATGTTATCTAGTAGTTTTACAATTTTAGGCTTTAACATTTTGAGTCTTTACTCCATTTTGAGATGACTTTTGTATGTGGTGTGAGATAAGGATCTAGTTTCATTATTCTGCATGTGGATATCCAGTTGTCCCAGCCACTATTTATTAATATGTATATAGTTGCATCTTTGTTGAACATCAATTGACTACAACTGTGTGGATTTATCTTTGGGCTCTCTATTCTGTTCCATTGGTCTATGTGTTTGTTTTTATACTAGTACCATACTGTTTTTATTAATAAGCTTTGACGTATATTTCAAAGACAAGTAGCATAATGCCTTTAGCTTTGCTCTTTTTTTTAAATTATACTTTAAGTTCCAGGACATGTGCACAATGTGCAGTTTTGTTACATAGGTAAAGGTCTGCCATGTTGTTTGCTGCACCCATCAACTCGTCATTTACATTAGGTATATCTCCTAATGCTATCCCTCCCTCAGCCCCGCACCACCCCCCTGACAATCCCCAGCGTGTGATGTTCCCTGCCATATGTCCAAGTGTTCTCATTGTTAAATTCCCACCTATGAGTGAGAACATGCTCTGTTTGGTTTCCTGTCCTTGTGATAGTTTGCTGAGAATGATGGTTTCAAGCTTCATCCATATCCCTGCAAAGGACATGAACTCATCCTTTTTTACGGCTGCATAGTATTCCATGGTGTATATGTGCCACGTTTTCTTAATCCAGTTTATCATTGATGGACATTTGTGTTGGTTCCAAGTCTTTGCTATTTTGAATAGTGTCACAATAAACATAAATGTGCATGTGTTTTTACAGTAGCATGATTTATAATCCTTTGGGCATATACCCATAATAGAATTGCTGGCTCAAATGGTATTTCTAGTTCTAGATCCTTGAGGAATTGCCACACTATCTTCCACGGTGGTTGAACTAATTTACACGCCCACCAACAGTGTAAAAGTGTTCCTATTTCTCCACATCCTCTCCAGCACCTGTTTTTCCTGACTTTAATGATTGCCATTCTAACTGGCATGAGATAGTATCTCGTTGTGGTTTTGATTTGCATTTCTCTGATGACCAGTGATGATGAGCATTTTTTCATATGTCTGTTGGCTGCATAAATGTCTTCTTTTGAAAAGTGTCTGTTCATATCCTTTGACCACTTTTTGATGGGATTATTCATTTTTTTCTTGTAAATTTGTTTAAGTTCTTGTAGATTCTGGATATTTGCCCTTTGTCAGATGAGTAAATAGCAAAAACTTTATCCTATTCTGTAGGTTGCCTGTTCACTCTGATGGTGTTTCTTTGCTGTGCAGAAGCTCTTTAGTTTAATTAGAACCCATTTGTCTATTTTGGCTTTTGTTGCCATTGCTTTTGGTGTTTTAGTCATGAAGTCCTTGCCCATGCCTATGTCCTGAATGGTATTGCCTAGATTTTCTTCTAGGGTTTTTATGGTTCTAGGTCTAACATTTAAGTCTTTAATACACCTTGAATTAATTTTTGTATAAGGTGTAAGGAAGGGATCCAGTTTCAGCTTTCTACATATGCTAGCCAGTTTTCCCAGCACCATTTATTCAATAGGGAATCTTTTCCCCATTTCTTGTTTTTGTCAGATTGGTCAAAGATCAGATGGTTGTAGATGTGTGGTGTTATTTCTGAGGCCTCTGTTCTGTTCCATTGGTCTATATCTCTGTTTTGGTACCAGTACCAAGCTGTTTTGGTTACTGTAGCCTTGTAGTATAGTTTGAAGTCAGGTAGCGTGATGCCTCCAGCTTTGTTCTTTTGGCTTAGGATTGACTTGGTGATGTGGGCTCTTGTTTGGTTCCATATGAATTTTAAAGTAGTTTTTTCCAAGTCTGTGAAGAAAGTCATCAGTAGCTTGATGGGGATGGCGTTGAATCTATAAATTACCATGGGCAGTATGGCCATTTTCACAATATTGACTCTTCCTATCCATGAGCATGGAATGTTCTCCCATTTGTTTGTGTCCTCTTTTATTTCATTGAGCAGTGGTTGGTAGTTCTCCTAGAAGAGGTCCTTCACATCCCTTGTAAGCTGTATTCCTAGGTATTTTATTCTCTTTGAAGCAATTGTGAATGGGACCACTCATGACTTGGCTCTCTGTTTGTCTGTTATTGGTGTATAGGAATGCTTGTGATTATTGCACATTGATTTTGTATCCTGAGACTTTGCTTAAGTTGCTTATCAGCTTAAGGAGATTTGGGGCTGACACGATGGGGTTTTCTAAATATATAATCATGTCATCTGCAAGCAGGGAAAATTTGACTCCCTGTTTTCCTGATTGAATACCCTTTATTTCATTCTTTTGCCTGATGGCCCTGGTCAGAACTTCCAACACTATGTTGAATAGGAGTGGTGAGAGACGGCAACTTTGTCTTGTGCCAGTTTTCAAAGGGAATGGTTCCAGCTTTTGCCCATTCAGTATGATATTGGCTGTGGGTTTGTCATAAACAGCTCTTATTATTTTAAGATACATTCCATCAATACCTAGTTTAGTGAGAGTTTTTAGCATGAAGCGCTCTTGAATTTTGTCAAAGGCCTTTCTGCATCTTTGAGATAATCATCTGGTTTTTGTCATTGGTTCTGTTTATGTGATAGATTACATTTATTGATTTGCATATGTTGAACCAGCCTTGCATCCCAGGTATGAAGCCAAGCTGATCATGGGGGACAAGCTTTTTGATATGCTGCTGGATTTGGCTTGCCAGTATTTTATTGAGGATTTTTGCATCGATGTTCATCAGGGATATTGGTCAAAAATTCTCTTTTTTTGTTGTGTCTCTGCCAGGCTTTGGTATCAGGATGATGCTGACTTCATAAAATGAGTTAGGGAGGATTCCCTCTTTTTCTATTGATTGGAATAGTTTCAGAAGGAATAGTGCCAGCTCCTCTTTGTACCTCTGGTAGAATTTGGCTGTGAATTCCTCTGGTTTTGAACTTTTTTTGGTTGGTAGACTATTAATTATTGCCTCAATTTCAGAGCCTGTTATTGGTCTGTTCAGAGATTCAACTTCTTCCTGGTTTAGCCTTGGGATGGTGTATGTTTCCAGGAATTTATTCATTTCTTCTAGATTTTCTAGTTTATTTGTGTAGAGATGTTTATAGTATTCTCTGATGGTACTTTATATTTCTGTGGGATAGGTGGTGATATCCCCTTTATCATTTTTTATTGTGTCTATTTGATTCTTCTCTCTTTTCTTCTTCATTAGTCTTGCTAGCGGTCTATCAATTTTGTTGATCTTTTCAAAAAAAACCAGCTCCTGGATTCATTCATTTTTTGAAGGGTTTTTTATGTCTCTATCTCTTTCAGTTCTGCTCTGATCTTATTTTTTTCTTGCCTTCTGCTAGCTTTTGAATTTGTTTGCTCTTGCTTCTCTAGTTCTTTTAATTGTGATGTTAGGATGTCGATTTCAGATCTTTCCTGCTTTCTCTTGTGGGCATTTAGTGCTATATATTTCCCTCTACACACTGCTTTAATTGTGTCCCAGAGATTCTGGTATGTTGTGTCTTTTTTTCTCATTGGTTTCAAGGAACATCTTTATTTCTGCCTTTATTTCATTATTTACCCAGTAGTCATTCCAGAGTAGGTTGTTCAGTTTCCATGTATTTGTGCGGTTTTGAATGAATTTCTTAATCCTGACTTCTAGTTTGATTGCACTGTGGTCTGAGAGACAGTTTGTTATAATTTCTGTTCTTTTACATTTGCTGAGGAGTGCTTTACTTCCAACTATGTGATCAATTTGAGAATATGTATAATGTGGTGCTGAGAAGAATGTATATTCTGTTGATTTGGGGTGGAGAGTTCTGTAGAGGTCTATTACGTCTGCTTGGTGTAGAGCTGAGTCCAGGTCCTGGATATCCTTGTTAACCTTCTCTCTCATTGATCTGTCTAATATTGACAGTGGGGTGTTAAAGTCTCCCATTATTATTGTGTGGGAGTCTAAGTCTCTTTGTAGGTCTCTAAGGACTTGCTTTATGAATCTGGGTGTTCCTGTATTGGGTGCATATATATTTAGGTTAGCTCTTCTTGTTGAATAGATCTCTTTACCATTATGTATTGGCCTTCTTTGTCTCATCAAAAGATCTTTGTTGGTTTAAAGTCTGTCTTATCTGAGACTAGGATTGCAACACGTTTTTTTTTTTTTGCTTTTCTTTTGCTTGATAGATCTTCCTCCATCCCTTTATTTTGAAATGATGTGTGTCTCTGCACGTGAGCTGGGTCTCCTGAATACAGCACACTGATGGGTCTTGACTTCTTACCCAATTTGCCAATCTGTGTCTTTTAATTGGGACATTTAGTCCATTTACATTTAAGGTTAATGTTGTTATATGTGGATTTGATCCTGTCATTGTGATGTTCGCTGGTTATTTTGCCCGTTAGTTGATGCAGTTTCTTCCTAGCATTGATGGTCGTTACAATTTGTCATGTTTTTGCAGTGCCTGGTACCGTTTGTTCCTTTCCATGTTTAGTGCTTCCTTCAGGAGCTCTTGTAAGGCAGGCCTGGTGGACAAGCAAATCTCTCAACATTTGCTTGTCTGTAAAGGATTTTATTTCTCCTTCACTTATATAGCTTAGTTTGGCTGGATATGAAATTCTGGGTTGGAAATTCTTTTCTTTAAGAATGTTGATTATTGGCCCCCACTCTCTTCTGGCTTGTAAGGTTTCTGCCGAGAGACCTGCTGTTAGTCTGATGGGCTTCCCTTTATTACCAGACCTTTCTCTCTGGCTGCCCTTAGCATTTTTTCCTTCATTTCAACCTTGGTGAATCTGAAAGTTATGTGTCTTGGGGTTGCCCTTCTTGAGGAGTATCTTTGTGGTCCTCTCTGTATTTCCTGAATTTGAATGTTGGCCTGCCTTTCTAGGTTGGGGAAGTTCTCCTGGATAATATTCTAAAGAGTGTTTTCCAACTTCGTTCCATTGTCCCCATCACTTTCAGATACACCAATCAAGCGTAGATTTAGTCTTTTCACATAGTGCCATATTTCTTGGAGGCTTTGTTCATTTCCGTTTAATCTTTTTTCTCTAAACTTGTCTTCTTGCCTTATTTTATTAAGTTGATCTTCAATCACTGATATCCTTTCTTCCACTTGATCAAGTCAGCTATTGAAGCTTGTGCATACGTCATGAAGTTGTTGTATCTTGGCTTTCAGCCCCCTCAGGTCATTTAAGTTCTTCTCTACGCTGTTTATTCTAGTTAGCCATTCGTCTAACCTTTTATCAAGGTTTTAGCTTCTTGCAGTGGGTTCAAACATCCTCCTTTAGCTCAAAGATGTTTGTTATTACTGATCTTCTGAAGCCTTCTTCTGTCGACTCATCAAAGTCACTCTCCGTCCAGCTTTGTTCCGTTGCTGGTGAGAAGCTGCGATCCTTTGGAGGGGAAGAGGTGCTCTGGTTTTCAGAATATTCAGTTTTTCTACTCTCGTTTCTCCCCATCTTTGTGGTTTTATCTACCTTTGGTCTTTGATGTTGGTAAGCTACAGATGGGGTCTTGGTGTGGATGTCCTTTTTGTTGATGTTGATGTTGTTCCTTTTTGTTTGTTAGTTTTCCTTTTAAAAGTCAGGTCCTTCAGCTGCAGGTCTGTTGGAGTTTGCTGGAGTTCCACTCCAGACCCTGTTTGCCTGGATATCACCAGCAGAGGCTGCAGAACAGCAAATATTGCTGCCTGATCCTTCCTCTGGAAGCTTTCTCCCAAAGGAGCACCTGCCTCTATGAGGTGTCTGTCAGCCCTTACTGGGAGGTATCTCCCAGTTAGGCTACACAGATGTCAGGAACCCACTTGAGGAAGCAGTCTGTCTGTTCTCAGAGCTCAAACACCATGCTGGGAGAACCACAGCTCTTTTCAGAGCTGTCAGACAGGGACGTTTAAGTCTGTAGAAGTTTCTGCTGCTTTGTGTTCAGCTGTGCCCTACCCACAGAGGTGGAGTCTATAGAGGCTATAGGCCTTCCTGAGCTGTGGTGGGCCCCTCCCAGTTCGAGCTTCCTGGATGGTTTGTTTACCTACTCAAGCCTCAGCAATGGCAGATGCCTCTCACCCCAGTAGGCTTCAGCCTTGCAGGTTGATCTCAGACTGCTGTGCTGCGGGTGTGGGACCCACCGAGCCAGGCAAGGGAGAGAATTTCCTGGTCTGCCGGTTGCTAAGACGATGGGAAAAGCTCAGTATTTCAGCAGGAGTGTCCCATTTTTCCAGGTACAGTCTGTCACTGCTTTCCTCACCTAGGAAAGGGAAATCCCCTGACCCCTTGTGCTTCCCGGGTGAGGCGACACCCCACCCTGCTTCAGCTCACCCTTCATGGGCTGCACCCAGTGTCCAACCAGTCCCAATGAGATGAACCATGTACCTCAGTTGGAAATGCCAAAATCACCTGTCTTTTGCATTGATCATGTTGGTAGCTGTAGACTGCAGCTGTTCCTATTTGGACATCTTGGAACATCTAGCTTTGTTCTTTTTGCTGAAGTTTGCTTTAATTCAGTTTTTTTATGGTTCTGTACATGTTTTAGAATTGTTTTTTCTTTTTTTTATTTTTATTTATTCTTTTATTATACTTTAAGTTTTAGGGTACATGTGCACATTGTGCAGGTTAGTTACATATGTATACATGTGCCATGCTGGTGCGCTGCACCCACTAACTCGTCATCTAGCATTAGGTATATCTCCCAATGCTATCCTTTCCCACTCCCCCCACCCCACAACAGTCCCCAGAGTGTGATATTCCCCTTCCTGTGTCCATGTGATCTCATTGTTCAATTCCCACCTATGAGTGAGAATATGTGGTGTTTGGTTTTTTGTTCTTGTGATAGTTTACTGAGAATGATGATTTCCAATTTCATCCATGTCCCTACAAAGGACATGAACTCATCATTTTTTATGGCTGCATAGTATTCTATGGTGTATATGTGCCACATTTTCTTAATCCAGTCTATCATTGTTGGACATTTAGCTTGGTTCCAAGTCTTTGCTATTGTGAATAATGCCGCAATAAACATACATGTTCATGTGTCTTTATAGCAGCATGATTTATAGTCCTTTGGGTATATACCCAGTAATGGGATGGCTGGGTCAAATGGTATTTCCAGTTCTAGATCCCTGAGGAATCACCACCAGTTAGAATGACAATAATTAAAAATTCAGGAAACAACAGGTGCTTGAGAGGATGTGGAGAAATAGGAACACTTTTACACTGTTGGTGGGACTGTAAACTAGTTCGACCATTGTGGAAGTCAGTTAGAATTGTTTTTTCTAATCTGTGAAAAATCTCATGGGAATTTTGATAGGGATTGCACAAAATCTGTAGACAGCTTTGGTCAGTATGGACATGTTAAAGAGATTAATTCTTCCAGTCCGTGAACATGGGATGTCATTCAATTTATTTTTGTCTTTTTTCTTTTTATCTCTATTTTATCGTTTTCAATGTACAGATCTTTCACATCCTTGGCAATATTTATTGCAAAGTATTTTTTTCTGTACTATTGTAAGTGAGGTTATTTTCTTAATTTCTTTTTGGGATAGTTTGTTGTTAGTGTATTGAAATATTATTGATATTTTATACGTTTATTTTGTATCCTCAACTTCACTGCATTTGTTTACTAGTTCTAAAATTTTTTTGTGGAGTCTTTAGGGTTTTCTACATATAAGAGCGTCTGTAAACAGAAAATTTAATGTCTTCCTTTCCAATTTTGATGCATTTTATTTCCTTCTGTTGCCTAATTGCCCTAGCTAGAACTTCCAGTACTACATTGACTACAGGTGGTGAAAATGATCACCTTTTTTCCTGATCATAGAGGAAAAGCTTTCAACTTTTCACCATTAAGTATAATATTAGCTGCAGGCATATCATATACAGCCTCTATTGTGTTGAGTTTTGTTGTTTCTATTTACAATTTATTAAAAATCATTCTCATGAAAGAATATTAAATTATGTCAAATTTTCTGCATCTGTTGAGAAGATTATACACATTTTTGTCCTTCATTCTGTTAATGTGGTATATCCCATTTATAGATGTGCATGTGTTGAACCATACTTGCATTATCTCTGGGATAAATCCTACTTGCTTATGGTGAATTATTCTTTTAAGGTGCTGTTGAATTTAGTTTGTTAGTATTTTGTTGTATTTTTGTATCTATGTTCATCAGGGATGTTGGCCTGTAATTTTGTTTTCTTGTGATGTCCTTGTTTGGCTTTGGTATTAGGGTAATGCTGGCCACATGAAATAAATTTGGAAATATTCCCTCTTCAAAATTTTGGAAGAGTTTGAGAATAATTGGTATTAATTCTTTAAATGTTAGGTAGAATTCAGCAGTACAGTCATCAGGTATTTGGCTTTACTTTGATAGGAGGCATTTTATTACTGACTCAATCTCCTTAATTATTATTGGTCTGTTCAGATTTTCTATTTCTTTATAATTCAGTGTTGATAGTTTATATTTATCTAGGAATTTATTTCTTCTAGGTTATTCAGTGTGTTGGCATATAATTGTTCATAGTAGTCTCTTATGATCCTTTGTATTTCTCCGATATCAGGTGTAATGTTGCCTCTTTAATTTCTGATTTCATTTATTTGAGTCTTCTTTATTTCTTAGTCCAGATGAAGGTTTGTCAATTTTGTTTATCTCTTCAAAAAACAATTATTAGTTTTATTGATCTTTTGCATTGTTTTGCTAGTCTCTGTTTCATTTATTTCTGTTCTGATCTTTATTATTTCCTTCATTTCACAAAGTTTGGGCTTAGTTTTTTTTTTCTAGTTCCTTGAGGTATAGTATTAAGTTGCTTATTTGACATATTGTTTCTTTTGTTAGGTGAGCCTTTATTGCTGTAAACTTTCTCTTAAAACTGCTTTTGATGCATTCCATAAGTTTTGCTAGGTTGTGTTTTCATTTTTGTTTGTCTCAATAAATATTTTGTGTTGCCCTTTAATATCTTTGATGCATTGGTTGTTCAGGAGTATGTTGTTTAATTTCCACATACAGTCATGGATATGTTATGAGAAAAGTGTCATTAGGTGATTTTGTCATTGTCCAAGCATCATAGAGTGTAGTTACACAAACATGGTTGGTACAGCTTACTACATACATAGGCTATACAGTACAGCTTATCAATCCCAGGCTACAGAACTATACAGGACATTACTTTACTGAATACTCTAGGCAATTATAACACAATGATAAGTATTTGTGTATCTAAACATATCTAAACATAGAAAAGGCACAGTAAAAATACAATACTACAATCTTATGAGACTATTGTATTTGCAGTGCATCATTGACTGAAATATCATTATATGGTACATGACCGTATTTGTGAATTTTCCAAAATTCCTCCTGCCATTGATTTCTAGTTTTATATCATTGTGGTCAAAAAAGATACTTTATTTCAATTTTCTTACATTTGTTAAGACTTGTTTTGTGGCTGAACATATAATCTATCCTGGAAAATGTTTTCTGTGACTTGAGAAGAATACTCTGCTGTATTCTGCTGCTGTTGGATGAAATTTTCTGTACGTATCTATTAGGTTGGATGATCTGTCCGTTGTTGAAAGTGCAATATTGAAGTCTCCTATTATTATATTACAGTCTTTCTCTCCCTTAACATCTATTAATATTTGCTTTATACATTTATATGCTCCAATGTTGGGTGCACGTATATTTACATTATATCAACAGCATATTGTAGTATAGAATGTAATGACCCCTTTCCATTATATAATATCATTCTTGTTCTCATTATACAGTTATTGACTTAAAGTATATTTTATTTTATGTAAGTGTAGCTATTCCTTCTCTCTTTTGGTTTCCATTTCCATGGAATACCTTTTTTTTCATCCATCCACTGTTAGTTTATATGTGTCCTTAACGGTGAAATGAGTCTCTTATAGGTAGAATATAGTTGGGTCTTTTTAAAAATCTATTCAGTCATTCTTTGTCTTTTGAATGGAAAGTTTAATTCTTTATATTTGCTATGGTTTGAATATCCCTCCCAACCTCATGTTGAAACTTGGCCCTTCATGTGACAGTGTTGAGAGATGGGGCTTTTAGGAGGTGATTAGATCATAAGGACTCTGCCTGAATGTATGCATTAACATGAATGAATGAATTAATCCATTTATAGATTAACAAATTAATGGGTTGATGGATTAATGGGTTATCATGGAAGGGGAACTGGTGGCTATATAAGAACAAGAGAGACCTGATCTAGCAACATGTTAGTATGCTCAGCCCTCTTGTTATGTGATACCTTCTGCCACTTCAGGACTCTTCAGAGTCCCCACCAGCAAGAAGGCTCTCACCAGATATGTCCCCCTCAACCCCTCTCAATCTCTAGAACTGTAAGAATTTAATTTTATGTCTTCTAAATTATCCAGTTTTAGGTATTCTGTTTTAAGGGACAGAAAATGGACTAATAGAATATTCAAGGTAATTGTTGATCAGTAAGAATTTACTACTGCCATTTAAATTGTTTTCTGGTTGTTTTGTAGCTTCTTTGTACCTTTCTTTTTCTCTTGCTGTCTTCCTTTGTGATTAGATAATTTTGTATAGTGCTATACTTTTTTTTCTCACTTTTTATAATTTGTGTATATACTACAGGTTTTTGCTTTGTGGTTACCATGAAGTTTAGATAAAACATCTTATGGTTATAATGTCCTATTAGGTTGTGAATAAATACACTTTGATCACATATAAAAGCTATAGTTTAATTCCTCCATATTTTATGTTTTAGATGTCACAGTTTATATGTTTTCATATTGTGTATCTCTTAACAAATTATTGTAGCTATTATTACTTTTAATAGTTTTGTCTTTTAACCTTCATACTAAAGATTTAAGTGTTTTACATACTGATAGTATAGTAGTAGTAGAGTATTCTGAATTTGACAGTATAATTACTTTTATCAGTGAGTTTTATACTTTAATATGTTTTCATGTGACTCAGTATTCTAGAACTCCCTTTAGCATTTTTTGTAAAGAAGGTCTAGTGGTGATGAACTCCTTCAGCTTTTGTTGTTGTCATTGTGGGTAAAGTGTTTACCTTTCCTTCATTTCTGAAGGACAGCTTTGCCAGGTAAAGTATTCTTTGTTGACAGTTTTTTTTTTCTTTAAGTACTTTATTCTTTTTTGTTTGTTTTTGTTTATAATTTTCATAAATTCTGGCCTAATAATTAAGCACTTTAAATTTATCATCTCACTCTTTCCTGGTCTGTCAGGTTTATGCTAAGATATCTGTCAATAACCATACTTGACTTCTCTTGTATGTGATATGCTTGTCTTGCTGCTTTTAGGATCCTCTCTCAGCTTTGATTTTTTAAAGTTTTATTATCATATGTCTTAGTGTAGTTTTGTTTGGATTGAACCTGATTGGAGACTTTTGTGCTTTCTGCACTTGGATATTTGTATATATTTTTCATATTTGGAAAGTTTTCTGTCATTATTTCCTTAAATAAGCTCTCTGCCCCATCCCCTTCTCTGATCCTTTTGGGGTATTTGTAATACATATATTGGTTTGCTTGGTGGTGTCCCATAATTCCCATAGGCATTCTTTACTCTTTTTCATTCTTTTCTCATTTTGTTCCTCTAATATCAAATGATCTGTCTTCAAAATCACTGATTCTTTTTTTCTGCTTGAGTTTTCTGTTGAAGTTCTCTATGGAATTTTTTAGTTCAGCCATTATGTTTTTAGGTGTGGAATTTCTGTTGATTCTGATTTTTATTTTTGTTGAAGTTCTCATTTTGTTTGTGTATTCTTTTCTGATTTTGCTTAGTTATCCGTCTATATTTTTATGTAGCTCATTGAACTTATTTAAAATTGTTATTTTGAATTCTTTGTAAAGCAGGTCATAAATCTTTCTTTAGTGTCAGTTACTGGTGTTTGATTTTTGTTTCTTTGGTAGTATTATATTTTCTTGATTCTTTTTCTTTTTCTTTTTTTTAACCAGGTACCCAGTGAAATGGCCTTGCATTGGTGGCAACGTATTTGAAAAAGTACTCCAGTCTTTGCATATTGGCTTTGCTGGGAACATACTGGGTCCCTGTGGATCCAGGTTGGAAATTGAGCCTGGAACCTAGATCCACTGGGGTGGACCTGTTGATTAAGTATGTGGGGGCAGACCTGGAACTTCCATGGGCACTGGCCTGAACAGGGATGGACCTTGAGCCTGTCTGCAGAGGTTGGCCGGGTGCTGGGATAGGACTGGTGTCTGAGGCATACCTGGTCTGAGTCCATTGGGCAGATATGAGACTTTGGTCTATGGGGCTGTCCTAGAGCACATGTTTACAGAGGTGGTCCCTGAACCTTGGTCTGCAGGATCTGGGATGGCACTGGGGTCTACTGGGGTGTGCTTGGACCCTAGGTTCTGCGGAGCCTGTGTCCACAGAGGCCTGCCTAGAACGTGAAGCTGGCCTGGTGCTGAGGCAGGCATAGAGTCGGGGTCAATGGGGCCAGTCTAAAACCTGGAACCATGGGTGCTGACTTAATGTCTGGAGCCACAACAACTAACCTGGAGCCTAGGGCTGTGGTGACCAGCTTGGAGCCTGGTTTGTGGGATCCAACCTACAGCCTGAGTTTGTGGAGTTGGCCTAGCATTGGAGTGTGTCCAAAGCCTGGGGCTGCAGTATCAGGCCTGGTGTAAAGATGGACCTACAGGCTTAATCCACAGGTAGCAACCTGGAGTCTGGAGCTTAGAGGCCTGCAAGGCAGTGGATTTTACTGGTGCAGGACCAGTGTTAGGGTCCAAGGCAGTCTGGTGCTTGCTTCACTTTTCTTTCTCAAAGTAGTGGGTATCTCTCTCCTCTGCCTGGGATTGGGAAGAGGGGTAATGCAGGTAATGTGAAACTGTCCTTCTTATAAATTTCAATGTGTCTTATATGGTTTAGCTGTGCCCCCACCCAAATCTCATCTTGAATTGTAGTTCCCATAATCTCCATGTGTCATGGGAGGAACCCAGTGGGAGATAATTGAATCATGGCGGTGGTTACCCCTATGTTGTTCTTGTGATAGTGAATTAGTTCTCATGAGATCTGATGGTTTTATGAGGGTCTCTTCTTCCTTTGCTCAGCACTTCTCCTTCCTGCCACCATATGAAGAAGGACATGTTTGCTTCCCCTTCTGCCATGATTGTCAGTTTCCTGAGGCCTTCTAACCATGCTGAACTGTGAGTCAGTTAAACTTCTTTCCATTATAAATTACCCAGTCTTAGGTAGTTTTTTATAATGGTGTGAGAATGGACTAATACAGTAAATTGGCATTGAGGTAGTAGGGCATTCTCTGAGATACCTGAGAATGTGGAAACAACTTTGGAATTGGGTAATGGGCAGAAGTTGGAACAGTTCAGATGGCTCAGAAGAAGACAGGAAAATGTGGGAGAGTTTGGAACTTCCTAGAGACTTGTTGAATTGCTTTGACCAAATTGCTGATAGTGATATGGACAATGAAGTCCAGGCTGAGGTGGTCTCGGATGGAGATGAATAACTTCTTGGGGACTGGAGCAAAAGTTTAGCAAAGAGACTGGTGGTATTTTGTTCCTGCCCTAGAGATCTGTGGAACTTTGAACTTGAGAGAGATGATTTAGGGTGTCTGGTGGAAGAAATTTCTAAGCAACAAAGATTCAAGTGGAAGCAGAGCATAAAAGTTTGGAAAATTTGCAGCTTGATGATGTGTTAGAAAATAAAAACCCATTTTCTGGGGAGAAATTCAAGCCAACGGCAGAAATTTGCATAAGTAGCAAGAAGCCAAATTTTAATCACCAAGATAATGGAGAAAATGTCTCCAGGACATGTCAGAGAACTTCACAGCAGCCCCTTCTATCACAGGCCTGAAGGCCTAGGAGGAAAAAATGGTTTTGTAGGCTGGGCCCAGGGCTTTGCTGCTTTTTATAGTCTTGGGGCTTAGTGCCCTATATCCCAGCTGTGTCTAAAACGGCCAGCATACAGCTCAGGCTATTGCTTCAGAGGGAGAAAGCCCCAAGTCTTAGTGACTTACAGATGGTGTTGGGCCTGCAAGTGCACAGAATTCAAGGACTGAGGTTGGGGAACCTCTGCCTAGATTTCAGAGGATGTATGGAAATGCCTGAATATCCAGGCAGAAGTTTTCTTGCAGGGGCAGAGGCCTCATGCAGAACCTCTGCTAGGGCAATGTGGAAGGGAAATGTGGGGTTGGATACCCCATGCAGAGTCCCCACTGGGGCACTGCCTAGTGGAGCTGTGAGAAGAGGGCAACCATACTCCAGACACCAGAATGGTAGATCCGCTGACAGCTTGGACCAAGTGCCTGGAAAAGCAACAGACACTCAATGCCAGCCTGTGAAAGCAGCCAGGATAGGGCCTGTACCTTGCAAAGCCACAGGGATAGAGATGCCCAAGTCTGTGGGAGCCCATCCTTTGCATTAGCATGAACTGGATGTGGGACATAGTGTCAAAGAAGATCATTTTGGAACTTTAAGGTTTAATGACTACCCTATCAGATTTTGGCCTTGCATGGGGCCTGTAGTCTTTTTAGTCTTAGCCAATTTCTCCCATTTTGAATGAGTTTATTTACCCAATGCCTATACCTCCACTGTATCTAGGAAGTAACTAACTTGCTTTTGATTTTACAAAGCAGAAGGGACTTGCCTTGTCTCAGATGAGACTATGGACTTGAACTTTTGAGTTAATGCTGAAATGAGTTAAGACTTTGGGGAACTGTTGGGAAGGCATAACTGTGTTTCGCAATGTGAGAAAGATGAGATTTGGGAAAGTCCAGAGGTGGAAAATAAGTCTGGCTGTTTCCCACCCAAATCTCATCTTGAATTGTAGTTCCCACAATCCCCATGTGTTGTGGGAGGGACCTGGTGGGAGGTAATTGAATCATGGGGGTGGTTACCCTCATGCTGTTCTCATGATAGTGACGTCTCATGAGATCTGGTAGTTTTATAAGGGGTTCTTCTCCCTTTGCTCAGCACTTCTCCTTCCTACCACCATGTGAAGAATGACATATTTGCTTCCACTTCTGCCATGATTTTAAGTTTTCTGAAGCCTCTGTAGTGCTGCACAACTGTGAGTCAATTGCCTCTTTTCTTTTATTATTATTATTATTATACTTTAAGTTTTAGGGTACGTGTGCACAATGTGCAGGTTAGTTACATATGTATACATGTGCCATGCTGGTGTGCTGCACCCATTAAATAGTCATTTAGCATTAGGTATATAGCCCAATGCTATCCCTCCCCCTCCCCACACCCACAACAGTCCCCAGAGTGTGATGTTCCCCTTCCTGTGTCCATGTGTTCTCATTGTTAAATTCCCACCTATGAGTGAGAATATGTGGTGTTTGGTTTTTTGTTCTTGTGATAGTTTACTGAGAATGATGATTTCCAGTTTCACCCATGTCCCTACAAAGGACGTGAACTCATCATTTTTTATGGCTGCATAGTATTCCATGGTGTATATGTGCCACATTTTCTTAATCCAGTCTAACATTGTTGGACATTTAGCTTGGTTCCAAGTCTTTGCTACTGTGAATAGTGCCACAATAAACATACGTGTGCATGTGTCTTTATAGCAGCATGATTTATAGTCCTTTGGGTATATACCCAGTAATAGGATGGCTGGGTCAAATGGTATTTCTAGTTCTAGATCCCTGAAGAATTGCCACACTGACTTCCACAATGGTTGAACTAGTTTACAGTCCCACCAACAGTGTAAAAGTGTTCCTATTTCTCCACATCCTCTCCAGCACCTGTTGTTTCCTGACTTTTTAATGATTGCCACTCTAACTGGTGTGAGATGGTATCTCATTGTGGTTTTGATTTGCATTTCTCTGATGGCCAGTGATGGTGAGCATTTTTTCATGTGTCTGTTGGCTGCATAAATGTCTTCTTTTGAGAAGTGTCTGTTCATGTCCTTTGCCCACTTTTTGATGGGGTTGTTTGTTTTTTCTTGTAAATTTGTTTGAGTTCATTGTAGATTCCGGATATTAGCCCTTTGTCAGATGAGTAGGTTGTGAAAATTTTCTCCCATTTTGTAGGTTGCCTGTTCACTCTGATGGTAGTTTCTTTTGCTGTGCAGAAGCTCTTTAGTTTAATTAGATTCCATTTGTCAATTTTGGCTTTTGTTGCCATTGCTTTTGGTGTTTTAGACATGAAGTCCTTGCCCATGCCTATGTCCTGAATGGTAATGCCTACATTTTCTTCTAGGGTTTTTATGGTTTTAGGTCTAACATTTAAGTCTTTAATCCATCTTGAATTGATTTTTGTATAAGGTGTAAGGAAGGGATCCAGTTTCAGCTTTCTACATATGGCTAGCCAGTTTTCCCAGCACCATTTATTAAATAGGGAATCCTTTCCCCATTGCTTGTTTTTCTCAAGTTTGTCAAAGATCAGATAGTTGCAGATAGTTGTAGGTAGGCAGCATTATTTCTGAGGGCTCTGTTCTGTTCCATTGATCTATATCTCTGTTTTGGTACCAGTACCATGCTGTTTTGGTTACTGTGGCCTTGTAGTATAGTTTGAAATCAGGTAGTGTGATGCCTCCAGCTTTGTACCTTTGGCTTAGGATTGACTTGGCAATGCAGGCTCTTTTTTGGTTCCATATGAACTTTAAAGTAGTTTTTTCCAATTCTGGGAAGAAAGTCATTGGTAGCTTGATGGGGATGGTATTGAATCTATAAATTACCTTGGGCAGTATGGCCATTTTCACGATATTGATTCTTCCTACCCATGAGCATGGAATGTTCTTCCATTTGTTTGTATCCTCTTTTATTTCATTGAGCAGTGGTTTGTAGTTCTCCTTGAAGAGGTCCTTCACATCTCTTGTAAGGTGGATTCCTAGGTATTTTATTCTCTTTGAAGCAATTGTGAATGGGAGTTCACTCATGATTTGGCTCTCTGTTTGTCTGTTATTGGTATATAAGAATGCTCATGATTTTTGCACACTGATTTTATATCCTGAGACTTTGCTGATGTTGCTTATCAGCTTAAGGAGATTTTGGGCTGAGACAATGGGGTTTTCTAGATATACAATCATGTCATCTGCAAACAGGGACAATTTGACTTCCTCTTTTCCTAATTGAATACCCTTTATTTCCTTCTCCTGCCTAATTGTCCTGGCCAGAACTTCCAACACTATGTTGAATAGGAGTGGTGAGAGAGGTCATCCCTGTCTTGTGCCAGTTTTCAAAGGGAATGCTTCCAGCTTTTGCCCATTCAGTATGATATTGGCTGTGGGTTTCTCATAGATAGCTCTTATTATTTTGAGATACATCCCATCAATACCTAATTTATTGAGAGTTTTTAGCATGAAGGGTTGTTGAATTTTGTCAAAGGCCTTTTCAGCATCTCTTGAGATAACCATGTGGTATTTGTCTTTGGTTCTGTTTATATGCTGGATTACATTTGTTCATTTGAGTATATTGAACCAGCCTTGCATCTCAGGGATGAAGCCCACTTGATCATGGTGGATAAGCTTTTTGATGTGCTGCTGGATTTGGTTTGCCAGTATTTTATTGAGGATTTTTGCATCAATGTTCAACAAGGATATTGGTCTAAAATTCTCTTTTTTGGTTGTGTCTCTGCCTGGCTTTGGTATCAGGATGATGCCGGCCTCATAAAATGAGTTAGGGAGGATTCCCTCTTTTTCTATTGATTGGAATAGTTTCAGAAGGAATGGTACCAGTTCCTTCTTTTACCTCTGGTAGAATTCGGCTGTGAATCCATCTGGTCCTGGACTCTTTTTGGTTGGTAAGCTATTGATTATTGCTGCAATTTCAGAGCCTGTTATTGGTCTATTCAGAGATTCAACTTCTTCCTGGTTTAGTCTTGGGAGGGTGTATGTGTCGAGGAATTTATCCATTTCTTCTAGATTTTCTAGTTTATTTGCGTAGAGGTGTTTGTAGTATTCTCTGATGGCAGTTTGTATTTCTGTGGGATCGGTGGTGATATCCCCTTTATCATTTTTTATTGCATCTATTTGATTCTTCTCTCTTTTCTTTATTAGTCTTGCTAGTGGTCTATCAATTTTGTTGATCCTTTCAAAAAACCAGCTCCTTGATTCATTAATTTTTTGAAAGGTTTTTTGTGTCTCTATTTCCTTCAGTTCTGCTCTGATTTTAGTTACTTCTTGCCTTCTGCTGGCTTTTAAATGTGTTTGTTCTTGCTTTTCTAGTTCTTTTAATTGTGATGTTAGGGTGTCAATTTTGGATCTTTCCTGCTTTCTCTTGTGGGCATTTAGTGCTATAAATTTCCCTCTACACACTGCTTTGAATGTGTCCCAGAGATTCTGGTATGTTGTGTCTTTGTTCTCGTTGGTTTCAAAGAACATCTTTATTTCTGCCTTCATTTCGTTATGTACCCAGTAGTCATTCAGGAGCAGGTTGTTCAGTTTCCATGTATTGAGTGGTTTTGAGTGATTTTCTTAATCCTGAGTTCTAGTTTGATTGCACTGTGGTCTGAGAGACAGTTTGTTATAATTTCTGTTCTTTTACATTTGCTGAGGAGAGCTTTACTTCCAACTATGTGGTCAACTTTGGAATAAGTGTGGTGTGGTGCTGAAAAAAATGTATATTCTGTTGATTTGGGGTGGAGAGTTCTGTAGATGTCTATTAGGTCCGCTTGGTGCAGAGCTGAGTTCAATTCCTGGGTATCCTTGTTAACTTTCTGTCTTATTGTCTGTCTAATGTTGACAGTGGGGTGTTAAAGTCTCCCATTATTAATGTGTGGGAGTCTAAGTCTCTTTGTAGGTCACTCAGGACTTGCTTTATGAAACTGGGTGCTCCTGTATTGGGTGCATATATATTTAGGATAGTTAGCTGTTCTTGTTGAATTTATCCCTTTACTGTTATGTAATGGCCTTCTTTGTCTCTTTTGATCTTTGTTGGTTTAAAGTCTGTTTTATCAGAGGCTAAGATTGCAACCCCTGCCTGTTTTTATTGTCCATTTGCTTGGTAGATCTTCCTCCATCCATTTATTTTGAGCCTATGCGTGTCTCTGCCCGTGAGATGGGTTTCCTGAATACAACACACTGATGGGTCTTGACTCTTTATCCAATTTGCCAGTCTGTGTCTTTTAATTGGAGCATTTAGTCCATTTACATTTAAAGTTAATATTGTTATGTGTGAATTTGATCCTGTCATTTTGATGTTAGCTGGTTTTTTTGCTCATTAGTTGATGCAGTTTCTTCCTAGTCTCGATGGTCTTTACAATTTGGCATGATTTTGCAGTGGCTGATACTCGTTGTTCCTTTCCATGTTTAGCACTTCCTTCAGGAGCTCTTTTAGGGTAGGCCTGGTGGTGACAAAATCTCTCAGCATTTGCTTGTCTGTAAAGGATTTTATTTCTCCTTCACTTATGAAGCTTAGTTTGGCTGGATATGAAATTCTGGGTTGCAAATTCTTTTCTTTAAGAATGTTGAATATTGGCCCCCACTCTCTTCTGGCTTGTAGAGTTTCTGCCGAGAGACCCGCCGTTAGTCTGATGGGCTTCCCTTTGTGGGTAACTTGACCTTTTCTCTGGCTGCCCTTAACATTTTTTCCTTCATTTCAACTTTGGTGAATCTGACAATTATGTGTCTTGGAGTTGCTCTTCTCGAGGAGTATCTTTGTGGTGGTCTCTATATTTCCTGAATCTGAATGTTGGCCTGCCTTGCTAGATTGGGGATGTTCTCCTGGATAATATCCTGCAGAGTGTTTTCCAACTTGGTTCTATTCTCCCTGTCACTTTCAGGTACACCAATCAGAAGTTGATTTGGTCTTTTCACATAGTCCCATATTCTTGGAGGCTTTGTTCATTTCTTTTCATTTTTTCTCCTAACTTCCCTTCTCACTTCATTTCGTTCATTTCATCTTCCATCACTGATACCCTTTCTTCCAGTTGATCACATCGGCTCCTGAGGCTTCTGCATTCTTCACGTAGTTCTCGAGCCTTGGTTTTCAGCTCCATCAGCTCCTTTAAGGACTTCTCTGTATTGGTTATCCTAGTTATACATTCATCTAAATTTTTTTCAAAGTTTTTAACTTCTTTGCCTTTGGTTTGAATTTCCTCCTGTAGCTCAGAGTAGTTTGATCATCTGAATCCTTCTTCTCTCAACTAGTCAAAGTCATTCTCCTTGCAGCTTTGTTCCATTGCTGGTGAGGAACTGCTTTCCTTTGGAGGAGGAGAGGTGCTCTGCTTTTTAGAGTTTCCAGTTTTTCTGCTCTGTTTTCTCCCCATCTTTGTGGTTTTATCTACTTTTGATCTTTGATGATGGTTACGTACAGATGGGTTTTTGGTGTGGATAGCCTTTCTGTTTGTTAGTTTTCCTTCTCACAGACAGGACCCTCAGCTGCAGGTCTGTTGGAGTTTGCTAGAGGTCCACTCCAGACCCTGTTTGCCTGGGTAACAGCAGCAGTGGCTGCAGAACAGCGGATTTTCATGAACCGCGAATGCTGCTGTCTGATAGTTCCTCTGGAAGTTTTGTCTCAGAAGAGTAACTGGCCATGTGAGGTGTCAGTCTGCCCCTACTGGGGGGTGCCTCCCAGTTAGGCTGCTTAGGGGTCAGAGGTCAGGGACCCACTTGAGGAGGCAGTCTGCCCGTTCTCATATCTCCAGCTGCATGCTGGGAGAACCACTGCTCTCTTCAAAGCTGTCAGACAGGGACATTTAAGTCTGCAGAGGTTACTGCTGTCTTTTTGTTTGTCTGTGCCCTGCCCCCAGAGGTGGAGCCTACAGAGGCAGGCAGGCCTTCTTGAGCTGTGATGGGCTCCACCCAGTTGGAGTTTCCCAGCTGCTTTGTTTACCTAAGCAAGCCTGGGCAATGGTGGGCGCCCCTCCCCCAGCCTCCCTGCTGCCTTGCAGTTTGATCTCAGGCTGCTGTGCTAGCAATCCGCAAGACTCCGTGGGCGTAGGACCCTCCGAGTCATGTGTGGGATATAATCTCCTGGTGCTCCTTTTTTTTAAGCCCCTCGGAAAAGCACAGTATTCGCGTGGGAGTGACCCGATTTTCCAGGTGCCTTCTGTCACTCCTTTCTTTGACTAGGAAAGGGAACTCCCTGACCCCTTGCACTTCCTGAGTGAGGCAATGCCTTGCCCTGCTTCAGCTCACGCACAATGCACTGTACCCACTGTCCTGCACCCACTGTCTGGCACTCCCTAGTGAGATGAACCTGGTACCTCAGATGGAAATGCAGAAATCACCCGTCTTCTGCGTCGCTTACGCTGGGAGCTGTAGACTGGAGCTGTTCCTATTTGGCCATCTTGGCTGCTTCTCCCAATTACCTCTTTTCTTTATAAATTACTCAGTTTTGGGCAGTTCTTTATAGCAGTGTGAGGACAGACTAATACAGTGTCTTTTCTTATTTTTGTGCTATGCTCAAATGTTGTAATTTTCCTTCAAATGTTTTAATTTCTCCTCTGGCTTCCTTAGCTCTTGTGAAGGTATTTTCAATTATGGATAGTTACTCAAACTGGTATTTCTGTATGAGGACAAGTGCAGGAAAATCCTGTATCACCACTTGCTGATGTCACTCCTAGTGATGCCTTTTCAAACAGTTTATTTATAAAATGTGGAATTAAGAGCTTTGAAGTATCTGAGATGGAGATGATAATCACATAGTTAAATTATGATTTGGAGGTCAGCAAAGTTTTAATTGGAGTTGTAGATTTGGGAGTCAATACTGTACAGATGATATTTTAAACTATGATTCTAGGTGATCTAACTGAACGAATGATGTATATAGGGAAGACAAAATAAGCTAGGACTGATATCTGAGTCATTTTCTGTAGAAACCCATCTTGTGAAAAGTCTGGGACACATAAGGAGGTAAATCAATTAGGGTCTAGTCAGAGACAGAAACCATGCAAGTTATCTGGACAAAGAAAATGTAATATAAAGTAGAGTTAGTTAGCTACTAAAAGGGTTAACCATGAATTTTAAGATATCCAAAAGTAGCATTTACAAACTACCATGTCTAGAGCAAAACAAAAAATAATTTAAGACTAGAAAGAGGTTCTTTCCCTCAACTCTTAGATTTGGGCCTCTTTGGAGAAGCTATGGCTACTGTAGAAAAATGCAGGCTAAAAGTAGCAAATAAGTGGGCGGGGGAGGAGACTGTACGTTGTTGTGGCTCTATGGAAGGGGGTTGCAGGCTGGAGCTGCTGCAGTGAAGCCCAGGCTGGGCAGCATGTGGCCTGAAGGTCCAACTAGAACTACCACAGAAGCTGCCTGCTGTCATAACTTAGAAATGCCTACCACTGGGGAGAATGTGGTCTGAAGCTACAGTTGAAGCTAATCCACATGGGCCACCAAGCACCAATACTGAATGATAATGGAGAATTATAACCCAGAAGAGAAATTTCTTCCTGTTGCTATCACCTTGCAGTGTCACCCCAGTGCCTTCTATTAAAAAGCCTCTCATTTCACAAGCTGATGGGGTCCAGCTGCAATATCACAAAACTGGGCAGAGAAGGGTAGATTTGGAGCTGAGAGGCAACAAACTGGTAGCTGGTACGAGAGGCCATGTATACACACTTCAGTAGATAGCCCCAGCTGAATTCCCAACTGATAGCTTAAACTGTCAACTATGTAAATGATTCATTTTGCTTGTTTATCTCAGTTAAGCCTTCAGATGAGTGCAGCCCCAGTAGATATCTGGCTGCAACAGCACATGACACTGTAAGCAAAAAACATCTGGGCCCAGTTAATCCAGGTCCATGGAAGAAAATAATAGGTTGTTACTGTAAGTCAGTAAGTTTGGGGTGCTTTTTTACACAGCAATAGATTAATGGAAATTGCTAACTTTATAGAAGACTGCTGAAAAACCATTTTGAAATAAGACTTATCGAGGGGTGTTCCAAGATGGCCAAATAGGATCAGCTCTGGTCTGCAGCTCCCAACGTGATT
Source organism: Homo sapiens (assembly GCF_000001405.40). NCBI lineage: Eukaryota > Metazoa > Chordata > Mammalia > Primates > Hominidae > Homo > Homo sapiens. The sequence continues at coordinate 119,290,401 of NC_000008.11, read as the reverse complement.
GATGCAGAAGACAGGTGATTTCTGCATTTCCAACTGAGGTACCTGGTTCATCTCATTGGGACTGGTTGGACAGTGGGTGCAGCCCATGGAGGGTGAGCTGAAGCAGGGCGGTGTGTCACCTCACCCAGAAAGTGCAAGGAGTTGGGGAATTTCCCTTTCGTAGCCAAGGGAAGCTGTGACAGACTACCTGGAAAAATGGGACACTCCCTGCCCAAATACTGTGCTTTTCCCAAGGTCTTAGCAACCAGCAGACAAGGTGATTCTCTCTTATGCCTGGCTCAGTCAGTCCTGTGCCCACAGAGCCTTGCTCACTGCTAGCACAGCAGTCTGAGACTGATCTGCGAGGCGGCAGCCTGGCTCGGGGAGGGGCGTCTGCCATTACTGAGGCTTGAATAGGTAAACAAACCAGCTGAGAAGCTTGAACTGGACAGAACCCACCGCAGCTCAACAAGGCCTACTGCCTCTAGACTCCACCTCTGTGGGAAGGGCATAGCTGAACAAAAGGCAGCAGACAACTTCTGCAGACTTAAACGTCCTGTCTGTCAGCTCTGAAGAGAGCAGTGGTTCTCCCAGCATGGTGTTTGAGCTCTGAGAACAGACAGACTGCTTCCTCAAGTTGGTCCCTGACCCCCGTGAAGCCTAACTGGGAGACACCCCCCAGTAGGGACTGAAAGATACCCCATGTAGGCGAGTGCCTCTCTGGGACGAAGCTTCCAGAGGAAGGATCAGGTAGCAATATTTGCTGTTCTGCAGCCTCTGCTGGTGATACCCAGGCAAACAGGGTCTGGAGTGGAACTCCAGCAAACTCCAACAGACCTGCAGCTGAGGGACCTGACTGTGAGAAGGAAAACTAACAAACAGATAGGAGTAGCATCAACATTAACCAAAAGGTCATCTACACCAAAACTGCATCTGTAGGTCACCAATGTCAAAGATGACAGGTAGATAAAACCACAAAGATGGGGAGAAACCAGAGCAGAAACGCTGAAAATTCAAACAATCAGAGCACCTCTTCTCCTGCAAAGGATTGCAGTTCCTCATCAGCAATGGAACAAAGCTAGATGGAGAATGACTTAGATGAGTTGACAGAAGTAGGCTTCAGAAGGTCAGTAATAACAAACTTCTTTGAGCTAAAGGAGGATGTTTGAACCCATGGCAAGGAAGCTAAAAACCTTGAAAAAAGATTAGATGGATGGCTAACTCGAATAGAGTGTAGAGAAGACCTTAAGTGACCTGATGGAGCTGAAAACCATGACACGAAAACGTCATGACACATGCACAAGTTTCAAAAGCCAATTCGATCAAGTGGAAGAAAAGGTATCAGTGATTGAAGATCAGATCAATGAAATAAAGTGAGAAGACAAGGTTAGAAAAAAAAAGAGTAAAAAAAATGAACAAAGCATCCAAAAAATATGGGACTATGTGAAAAGACCAAATCTACGTTTGATTGGTGTACCTGAAAGTGATGGAGAGAATGGAACCAAGTTGGAAAACATTCTTCAGGATATTATCCAGGAGAACTTCCACAACCTAACAAGGCAGGCCAACATTCAAATTCAGGAAATACAGAGAACACCACCAAGATACTCCTCCAGAAGAGCAACTCCAAGACACATAATTGTCAGATTCACCAAAGTTGAAATGAAGGAAAAAGTGTTAAGGGCAGCCAGAGAGAAAGGTTGAGTTACCCACGAAGGGAAGCCCATCAAATAACAGCGGGTCTCTTGGCAGAAACCTTACAAGCCAGAAGAGAGTGGGGGCCAATAATCAACATTCTTAAAGAAAAGAACTTCCAACCCAGAATTTCATATCCAGCCAAACTAAGCTATATAAGTGAAGGAGAAATAAAATCCTTTACAGACAAGCAAATGTTGAGAGATTTTGTCACCACCAGGCCTGCCTTACAAGAGCTCCTGAAGGAAGCACTAAACATGGAAGGGAACAAACAGTACCAGCCACTGCAAAAACATGATAAATTGTAACAACCGTCAATGCTAGGAAGAAACTGCATCAACTGATGGGCAAAATAACCAGCGAACATCATAATGACAGGATCAAATCCACACATAACAACATTAACCTTAAATGTAAATGGACTAAATGCCCCAGTTAAAAGGCATAGATTGGCAAATTGGGTAAAAAGTCAAGACCCATCAGTGTGCTGTATTCAGGAGACCCAGCTCACGTGCAGAGACACACATCATTTCAAAATAAAGGGATGGAGGAAGATCTATCAAGCAAAAGAAAAGCAAAAAAAAACAGGCGTTGTAATCCCAGACTCAGATAAAACAGACTTTAAACCAACAAAGATCAAAAGAGACAAAGAAGGCCAATACATAATGATAAAGAGATCTATTCAACAAGAAGAGCTAACCTAAATATATATGCACCCAATACAGGAGCAACTAGATTCATGAAGCAAGTCCTTAGAGACCTACAAAGAGACTTAGATTCCCGCACAATAATGGAGACTTTAACACCCCACTGTCAATATTAGACAGATCAATGAGAGAGAAGGTTAACAAGGATATCCAGGACCTGAACTCAGCTCTGCACCAAGCAGACATAATAGACCTCTACAGAACTCTCCACCCCAAATCAAGAGAATATACATTCTTCTCAGCACCACATTGCACATATTCTCAAATTGATCACATAGTTGGAAGTAAAGCACTCCTCAGCAAATGTAAAAGAACAGAAATCATAACAAACTGTCTCTCAGAATAAGGTGCAATCAAACTAGAAGTCAGGATTAAGAAACTCATTCAAAACTGCACAAATACATGGAAACTGAACAACCTACTCTGGAATGACTACTGGGTAAATAACGAAATAAAGGCAGAAATAAAGATGTTCCTTGAAACCAATGAGAAAAAAAGACACAACATACCAGAATCTCTGGGACACAATTAAAGCAGTGTGTAGAGGGAAACTTATAGCACTAAATGCCCACAAGAGAAAGCAGGAAAGATCTGAAATCAACATCCTAACATCACAATTAAAAGAACTAGAGAAGCAAGAGCAAACAAATTCAAAAGTTAGCAGAAGGCAAGAAATAACTAAGATCAGGGCAGAACTGAAAGAGACAGGGACACAAAAAACTCCTCAAAAAATGAATGAATCCAGGAGCTGGTTTTTTGAAAAGATCAACAAAATTGATAAACCACTAGCCAGACTAATAAAGAAGAAAAGAGAGAAGAATCAAATAGACACAATAAAAAATGATAAAGGGTATATCACCACCTATCCCACGGAAATACAAAGTACCATCAAAGAATACTGTAAACATCTTTACACAAATGAACTAGAAAATCTAGAAGAAATGAATAAATTCCTGGAAACATACACCATCCCAAGGCTAAACCAGGAAGAAGTTGAATCTAAGAAAAGACCTGTAACAGGCTCTGAAATTGAGGCAATAATTAATAGCCTCAATTTCAGACTCAAAAGTCCAGGACCAGACGGATTCATAGCCAAATTCTACCAGAGGTACAAAGAGGAGCTGGTACCATTCCTTCTGAAACTATTCCAATCAATAGAAAAAGAGGGAATCCTCCCTAACTCATTTTATGAGGCCAGCATCATCCTGATACCAAAGCCTGGCAGAGACACAACAAAAAAAGAGAATTTTTGACCAATATCCCTGATGAACATCGATGCAAAAATCCTCAATAAAATACTGGCAAGCCAAATCCAGCAGCATATCAACAAGTTTATCCCCCATGATCAGCTTGGCTTCATACGTGAGATGCAAGCCTGGTTCAACATATGCAAATCAATAAATGTAATCTGTCATATAAACAGAACCAGTGACAAAAACCAGATGATTATCTCAAAGATGCAGAAAGGCCTTTGACAAAATTGAAGAGCACTTCATGCTAAAAACTCTCAATAAACTTAGGTATTGATGGAATGTATCTTAAAATAATAAGAGCTATTTATGACAAACCCACAGCCAATATCATACTGAATGGGCAAAAGCTGGAGCCATTCCCTTTCAAAACTGGCACAAGAGAAAGTTGCCGTCTCTCACCACTCCTATTCAACATAGTGTTGGAAGTTCTGACCTGGGCAATCAGGCAAGAGAACAAAATAAAGGGTATTCAATTAGGAAATGAGGAAGTCAAATTTTCCCTGTTTGCAGATGACATGATTATATATTTAGAAAACCCCATCGTGTCAGCCCCAAATCTCCTTAAGCTGATAAGCAACTTAAGCAAAGTCTCAGGATACAAAATCAATGTGCAATAATCACAAGCATTCCTATACACCAATAACAGACAAACAGAGAGCCAAGTCATGAGTGAACTCCCATTCACAGTTGCTACAAAGAGAACAAAATACCTAGGAATCCAACTTAAGGGAATGTGAAGGACCTCTTCAAGGAGAACTACAAACCACTGCTCAATGAAATAAAAGAGGACACAAACAAATGGAAGAACATTCCATGCTCATGGATAGGAAGAGTCAATATTGTGAAAACGGCCATACTGCCCAAGGTAATTTATAGATTCAATGCCATCCCCATCAAGCTACCAATGACTTTCTTCACAGAATTGGAAAAAACTACTTTAAAGTTCATGTGGAACCAAACAAGAGCCCACATTGCCAAGACAATCCTAAGCCAAAGAACAAAGCTGGAGGCATCACGCTACCTGACTTCAAACTATACTACAAGGCTACAGTAACCAAAACAGCATGGTACTGGTACAAAACAGATATGTAGACCAATGGAACAGAACAGAGGCCTCAGAAATAACACCACACATCTACAACCATCTGATCTTTGACCAATCTGACAAAAACAAGAAATGGGGAAAAGATTCCCTATTGAATAAATGGTGCTGGGAAAACTGGCTAGCCATATGTAGAAAGCTGAAACTGGATCCCTTCCTTACACCTTATACAAAAATTAATTCAAGGTGTATTAAAGACTAAAATGTTAGACCTACAACCATAAAAACCCTAGAAGAAAACCTAGGCAATACCATTCAGGACATGGGCATGGACAAGGACTTCATGACTAAAACACCAAAAGCAATGGCAACAAAAGCCAAAATAGACAAATGGGTTCTAATTAAACTAAAGAGCTTCTGCACAGCAAAAGAAACTACCATCAGAGTGAACAGGCAACCTACAGAATGGTAGAAATTTTTGCAATCTACCCATCTGACAAAGTGCTAATATCCAGAATCTACAAAGAAGTCAAACAAGTTTACAAGAAAAAAAAAAACCCCATCAAAAAGTGGGCAAAGGATATGAACAGACACTTCTCAAAAGAAGACATCTATGCAGCCAACGGACACATGAAAAAATGCTCATCATCACTGGTCATCAGAGAAATGCAAATCCGAACCACAATGAGATACCATCTCATGCCAGTTAGAATGGCAATCATTAAAAAGTCAGAAAACAACAGGTGCTGGAGAGGATGTGGAGAAATAGGAACACTTTTACACTGTTGGTGGGACTGTAAATTGGTTCAAGCATTGTGGAAGACAGTGTGGCTATTCCTCAAGGATCTAGAACTAGAAGTACCATTTGACCCAGCAATCCCATTACTGAGTATATACCCAAATGATTATAAATCATGCTACTATAAAGACACATGCACATGTATGTTCATTGCAGCACTATTCACAATAGCGAAGACTTGGAACCAACACAAATGTCCATCAATGATAGACTGGATTAAGAAAACGTGGCACATATACACCATGGAATACTATGCAGCCATAAAAAAGGATGAGTTCATGTCCTTTGCAGGGACATTAACCTTGAAACCATCATTCTCAGCAAACTATCACAAGGACATAAAACCAAACACTGCATGTTCTCACCCATAGGTGGGAATTGAACAATGAGATCATTTGGACACAGGGCAGGGAACATCACACACTGGGGCCTGTCAGGTGTTGGGGGTTATGGGAGGGATAGCATTAGGAGAAATACCTAATGTCAATGATGAGTTGATGGGTGCAGCAAACCAACATGGCACATGTATACCTGTGTATCAAACCTGGACATTGTGCACGTGTACCCTAGAACTTGAGGTATAATTTAAAAAAAAAGACTGATCAGAAGTGTCCATTCAGTTTTGTAGCATGACATGAAAAAATGGAGACGCAGAGTTAGACTTTTGGGGATAAAAGAGTAGAGACAGAAGCTACACTGGTGGGAGAGAAAAGTGAGATATTCTCTTCTTTACGACATTGTCTTTTTTGTTTTGTTCCCGCTTCTCTAGCACTCCTTCTCAGTCAACTTTGCTACCCACCATTCCCTGTGAAATATTTCCAGGTGGGATTCCCCCAGATTTATGTGACTTGCCTCTTTTCTTCTCAACCTACACTCTTTAATAGGCAACCAATCTCTCCTATGGTTTGAAATAGTATCTGTATGTTTATAAGTTCAAAATGCACATCTTCAACATCAGCTATTTCCTGAGTTGTAGACACATGCATCCAGTTCCCCATTTGACATTTATACTTGCTTCTTTCTAAATTATTTATGTCCAAAATGAAAGTTATGAGTTTCCCTTGCAAACTTTATCCTTTTCTACTTGCTCTATCTCAGTGAATGCTCCATTGCACACTCAGTTGTCCAAGCCAGAACTCTGGAGACTATCTTTTACACATCTGTTTTCAACTTCCATATCTAATCAATTACCATGTCTGGATTTATTCTACCATCTAGCATCTCCTGAATCCTTTCTTCATTTCCACTATTATTAGACAAATCTAAAATACTTTTCTCTTTTGCCTGTTTTGCCACAGGAATCTCCTAGATTGTCTTTTCATATCCCTTATTGTCACATTTGTAAACTGGCCTGCGCATGGACTACCAGTATAGTGTTTAAAAATTACAAATATGAATGTTTTATCCCCTTTAAAAGCCCTGAAGTAACTTTCCATTGTTTGTCTGGTAAATCTTAGCATCTCTAACATGTCTACAATGGTCTTCAGCATTTCCCCTGATTAATGCTTTAGCCTCATTGTTCCCCATTTCTTCATACTCCTTATTTATCTCTATACGTTAGCAACCTTTCAGTTCTTTTATGGCCTGAAATAGCCTTGTAGACCAGGCCAGTGACCGAATCCAAACTAGGATAGGTGCCTTTATTTGTCTACAATGTCCTTTCTTCTCCACCTATGAACACATTGTCTCTAAACCAGTTCAAAACTGTTGATATACTACAAGTAATGGATGGTGATGTCTTGGATAGGGTTAGTAGTGACAGTGGTGAGATGGAGGCCTTATTGTGAATGAACTTAGGAAGTAGACCCAATGGATACAAGGTTGTCTATAAGAAAAACAGAAGAGTCATACAGCTTCAAGGATTTTGGCTTGGGTAACTAGGATTGAATTGTCATTTATTGTGTTACCTTTCTCTGAGAAGGCATCTCTGAGTTTAGACACTGCCAGCATCATAGGTTTTCTCACTATGAATTGTAATTTTTGGTTTCTTTGTCTATTATAGGCCTAGTCTTTATGTAAGGGAGTACAAGCCTTGGTCTTATTTATCACTGTATTTCTAGTACCTAACATATTATCTTGCAAAAGTATGTAGTTGCATCCCATTAGAAGCCATAAAATAAAATAAATATCTGAATTCATACTTATATAAATAATTGAGTAAATAAATGACTGATTGATAAGGTACAGCTTTTAAAAAGGTGTAATAGCAATTAATAAATATCTAAGGGATGAGGGAAATGGAAAAATTATTGTTAGGCAGAAATGACAGTAATAATTTTATAGGCAAGTATCATTGATAACACTAAAATTAGTGAGAAAAATATATATAAAAAATAGAAACTTGCCCTACTGTTTTTGCAACTGTTCTTCAGTCCAAAATTATTTCAAAATAAAAAGTTTTAAAAACATATGTGCTTCATACATATTTGTTAACTTGTCTGATGAATAACATATTTTTGCATGACATACTCAAACACCTAGAATCTCTTTCAGACTGTCTACAACAAGTTTTTCCTTCCTTAATCTAGATTTCTCACTTAACTACACTTATCTCTTTTTCTAACTCTGCTGTTCCCAACCTTGATGTACAGCTAGCTACTCATTTTTCAGTTGCCTTCTAATTAATATTTTCCAGATTGGCCTTCCTGCTTTATTTACAATCAATTTGCTGCTACATGGAGATACAAAGCCTAATATTATTCTCATTCATGACACACCCAAATGCCTATGGGCTACATCACCAAGGCCCTGTATATTTATCTATCTTTACCTTTATATGTGAGATTTTTTTAAAAAGTAAAGCCAAAATGTTAATCTTTACAACAAAGTTCCCAAGAATAAAACAAGCCTAGATGGTACCCTGACCTTTCCTATGGCAGCTTTCACCAAGGAACACAACACATTTTATGGAGATGAATTGTGGTAACTAGGGTTGGCACTTTGGACAAATCCTGTAAGGCTTGTTTTTATGAAGGGATAAAATACTGAGCCCTGAATTTGGGTTTTTCATCCAACACTTACAATAAACTGGCAGCAGCATAGGTGGTGGAGTCTGTCTTCTGACCTCCATTTCCCTTCCCTCATTAAGAGTTCAAACCACTCTCCCTTTTTTGAGATTCTTAATCTATATTGATGGTCCAAGGGTGACTGATTCTGAGAAGTCATCAGAGAGAAGTCTGCCCTGTCTTGCCTCCCAGACACAGCTAAATGAGATGTGGAGGAGATTACAGATTTGCTGGCCACTCAACTCTGAGTGGCTCAGTTCTTCTACTCAGAAAGTGGCCTACAATTCATGTTTGCAGTCCGTTTGTTCTTGTTCTCAAGGAGACAGGCTATTTTTCTTTTCTCTTCTTTGGTGAAGTGCACTCTACTATAGGCACTACTTCAAAGGGAATAGTTGAATCAGGCTACCCTGAAAAATCTCTAGTAACCTGCCATAAATTAAAAACCTTTCAGTACAGTCAATATTTTTCAAATGCTAAAGATAGGAAATGTGGCAATTTTTAAAAAATCAGCAAATGTGTTCCCTAAGGAGAGCTAGTGACTTCTCCCTACTCCCAGCCCTGGGTTAGTCTAAAGAAACTTTTTTATCTTAAAAATGTTGACCATAGGAGTGAGCCAATAGGAGTTAGCTCCAGTTAGACAAGATAGATGTCTAGACTGTGGACCCTTGGATACATATCTAAATAAACCTTTTGTTCATTTTATATCACTGAACCTTTCTAGGAGCACTAGTGTATCAAGGATTCTTCCTGGTTTGTTTTTCTCAGACTGCAAATATTGCAACCTAACAATTCCAAACTTAAATCCCCTCTTATTTTCACATAGAAAGTTAACATTTATCTCCACCAGAACAAAGTGTATAGAAATGAAGAAAATCTATAAGATGGCCACTACAAATATGTTCTTTCTTAAATTTAGACAAACCAGACTGGGGTTCTATAAGAATCACCCAACAATCTTGCTAATAATACAGATTCCTTGCTCTAATATCTGATATTCCAATTCACGGATTCAAATGCATAGCAAGACCAGGAAATTATTACCTAGAAAAACAGAAGGACTAAACCATACTAGTGGTTTACGAACCTGGAAAATATCTCTTGTTTGTTTTTCCTTTCATCTATCTCTACCCATCAGTCTAATCAATATATGTCTATTAAAGGTTTCCATATAAACTCTTGATATATGTTAGGAATGAAACTATGTGCTAGGTGTTACATAATTATATATTACTATGTGCTAGGTGTTTCGTGAGTATAAATATAAAGTGATATCCTAAAGGGGCATTCAGTCAGAAGGGAAGATGTACTAGAAAATATGCAATTATAGTATGGTCCATTAAAAGTAATCATAGGGGCATGCACATAGTGAAATGGAAGGCATAACAGCATCGAACCTAGCCTTGAGAAGTTGTACAACATTTCTAGAAGTAAGTAAACTCTGGTCTGGGTTCCAGAGAAACTGATCAGCTCAAATTAGTAAAGAAAACTTGGTAAAGAGGAGTAAGATGATGACAAGGTGTGTGCTAAGGCCCCAGAAGGGAAAAGAATGTGATGTGAGATTTCTCATAGCTCAGCATTAAAGTAAGAGTACCAGAAGGCAATGAGTGAAGTGGTGAAGGGTGGGGTTAAAAAGTTGGAGCAGTCTTATAGTCACATGTCCCTGTTTGCCTGTGACAGTCCTGGTTCAGGCTTGTTGTCTAGATCAGTTTTAATAGCCTCTTCTTTCACTCTCAAAATATGATACATTTTACAACTGGATGATGCATTGTGTGATTGGCCACTTATAGCCAGTCTCAAGAGTCTAGCTTTTTGGCCAGAGGAAATTGAATTGGCTTTCAAGGGTTTCAGAAGGATTGCGAATTGATCTGTTTTCTCGTTTGACTATCTCACTCTGGTTGCAGTATAGAAAATAGATTGTAGAGGGACAGGATTGGGTTCAGGGACTGATATACTTTGGATCTGTGTCTGTGCCCAAATCTCATGTCGAATTTTAATCCCCAGTGTTGGAGGTGGGTCCTGGTTGAAGGTGATTGTATCATGGGAGTGGTTTCTAATGGTTTAGCACTAATCCTTTGGTGCTATTCTCATGATAGAGTTTTCATGAGATCTGGTCATTTAAAAGTGTGTGGCAACTCCCCTCACTCTCTCTTTCTCCTGCTACAGCCATGATTCCCCTGTATCTTTTTCCATGAGTGTGAGTGTGAGTTTCCTGAGGCTTACAACTAGATGAAGAAGTAAAAGCTGCTATGCTTCCTGTACAGCCTGCAGAACTATAAGCCAATTCAACCTCTTTTCTTTACAAATTACCCAGTCTCAGATATTTTTTATAGCAGTGTGAGAGTGGAGAATATATAAAATTGGTGTTGATGAGTGGGGCATTGCCCTAAAGATAGATACCTGAAAATGTGGAAGCAGCTTTCGAACTGTCTAATGGGTGGAGGTTGTAACGTGTGAAGGGCTCAGAAGAAAGGAAAATGAGGGAAAGTTTGGAACTTTCTAGACACTTGTCAAATTGTTGTGACCAAAATACTAATAGCGATATGGACAATGAAGTCCAAGTTGAGGAGGTCTCAGATAGAAATGAGGAACTTATGGGAAACTGGGGCAAAGGTCACTTTTGTTATGCTTTAGCAAATAATTTGGAGGCATTCTGCTCCTGCCCTAGGGATCTTTGGAACTTTGAACTTGAGAGTGATGATTTAGGGTATCTGGCAGAAGAACTTTCTAAGCAGCAAAATGTTCAAGATGTGGCCTGGCTGCTTCTAAAAACCTATGCTCATATATGTGAGCAAAGAAATGACCTGAAACTGGAACTTCCGTTTAAAAGGGAACCAGAGCATAAAAGTTTGGAAAACTTGCAGGCTGACCATGTGTTAGAAAAGAAAATCCCATTTTCAGGGAATGAATTCAAGCTAGCTATAGAAATTTGCATAAGTAAAAAGGAGCCAAGTGCTAATAATCAAGACAATGGGGAAAAGTCCTTGAAGGTATTTCAGAGAACTTCCTGGCAGCACCTCCCATTACAGACCCAGAGACCTAGGAGGAAAGCATGGTTTGGTGGGCCTGGCCCAGGGCCCTTCCACCCTGCACAGGCTTGGGACACTGCTCCCGAAATCCCAGTTGTTCCAGCACCAGCCATGGCTCAAAGGTACAGCTAAGGCTGCTGCTTTATAGGGTGCAAACCACAAGCCTTGGTGGCTTCCACATGGTGTTAAGCCTGTGGGTATAAAGAGTGCAAGAGGTGAGGCTTAGAAGCCTTTGCCTAGATTTCAGAGGATGTATGGAAAGGCCTCGATGTCTAGGCAGAAGCCTGCTGCAGGGGTGGAGCCTGTATGGAGAACCTCTCCTAAGGCGGAGTATAGGGGGAAATAGGAGTTGGAGACTTGTTGAATTGTTGTGAAACAAAATGCTGATAGTGATATGGACAGTGAAGTCCTGGCTGAGGAGGTCTCAGATGGAGATGAGAAACTTATTGGGAATTGGACAAAGGCCACTGTTACTATGCTTTAGCAAAGAGACTGGCAGCATTTTGTCCCTGCTTTAGAGATATGTGGAAGTTTAAACTTCAGGGAGATTAGGGTATCTAGCAGAAAAAGTTTCTAAACAGCAAAGCATTCTATACATGGCTTAGCTGTTTCTAAAAGCCTATGGTCATTTACATAAAGAAATGACCTAAAACTAGAACTTACATTTAAAAGTGAAGCAGAGCATAAAAGTTTGGAAAATTTGCAGTCCAACCATGGGATAGAAAAAAATCCATTTTCTGGGGAGGAATTCAAGGCTGCATAAATTTGCATAAGTAAAGAAGAGCCAAATGTTAATAGCCAAAACAATGGGGGAAAATTCATTCAGGGCATTTAGAGACTTTTGTGGTAGCCCCTGCCATCACAGGCCTTGGAGGCCTAGGAGGAAAAAATGGTTTCAAGGGCCAGGCCCAGGGCCCTGTTTCTCTCTGCAGCCTTGGGACATGGCACCCTGTGTCCCAGCCACTCCAGCTCTGGCCGTAGCTAAAAGGGCCATTGCTTAGGCCATTGCTTCAGAGGGTGCAAGCCCCAGGCTTTGGCAGCTTCCATGTGGTATTGGGCCTGCAGGTGTGCAGAAGGCAGGAGTTGAGGTTTGGGAGCCTCCACCTAGATTTCAACGGATGTATGAACACCCTGTATGTCTAGGTAGAAGTCTGCTGCAGGGGGTGGAGGCCTCATGGAGAATCTCCATTAGGGTACTGTGGAGGAAAAATGTGGGGTTGGAGCCCCCACACAGAGTCTCCACTGGATCACTGCCTAGTGGAGCTGTGAGAAGTGGGCCTCCATCCTCCAGACCACCACATGGTAGATTCACTGTCAGCTTGCACCTTGTACCTGGAAAAGCCACAGGCATGCAACACCAGCCCTTGAGAGCAGCTGTGGGGGCTGATCCCTGCAAAGACACCCTGCCCAAGGTCATGGGAGCCCACCCTTTGCCCCAGTATGTCTTGGATTAGAGACATGGAGTCAAAGGAGATTATTTTGGACCTTTAAAATTTAATGACTGTCCTGCTGAGTTTTGAACTTGCATGGGGCCTGTAGCCCCTTTCTTTTGGATGATTTCTCCCTTTTAGAATAGGAGTATTTACCCAATGCCTATACCTCCATTGTGTCTTGGAAGTAACTAACTTGTTTTTGATTTTACAGACTCATAGGTGGAAGGGATTAGCCTTTTCTCAGATGAGACTTCTTTGGACTTTTGAGTAAATGCTGGAATGAGTTAAGACTTTGAGGGACTGTCAGGAAGGCATGATTATATTTTTGCGATGTGAGAATGACATGAGATTTGGGAGGGGCTGGGGGAATTATATGGTTTGGAGGTGGGGCCTGGTGGGAAGTGATTGGATCATGAAGGTGGTTTCTAATGGTTTAGTATCATCCCTTCGGTGCTGTTCTCATGAGAGAATTTTTACAAGATCTGGTTGTTTAAAAGTGTGCGGCACCTCTCCCCTCACTCTCTTCCTCCTGCTAAGGTCATGTGAGATGTACCTGCTTCCTTTTCTCCTTCTGCCATGATTGTAAGTTTCCTGAGGCTTCCCAACAACAGGAGCTGCTATGTTTCCTGCATAGCCTGCAGAAGCATGAGAAAATTTCACCTCTTTTTCTTATAAATTACCCAGTCTCACATATTTCTTTATAGCAGTGCAAAAATGAACTAATATAGGGATATTGTTTTGTAGGCAGTTGTAGAAATACTGGCAAGAGCTAATAGTGAGTCTAACAAGATAATGACACTGGGGGTGAACAGAAAAGAATGGATTTTGAAAATACTAAGAATCAGACATATTTGCCACTTAATGTGTGATCTTGGACAAGTTACTTACTGCTTCTTCCTTTGCTTATAAACATTTATGCCTCATGCCTATAATCTCAGAAATTTTGGGGGCTTAGGCTGGAGGATCATTTGAACCCAGAAGTTTGAGAATAGACTGTGCAACATACAGAGATCTCCATCTCTACCAAAAATTAAAAAAAAAATTAGCAGGGCATAGTGGTATGTGACTGTTTTCCCAGTTAGTTGGAAGGCTGAGGTGGGAGGATCACTTGAGCCCAGGAGGTTGAAGCTACAGTGAGCTGTGTTTCTGCCACTGCACTACAGCCTGGATGACAGAGGAAGGGACTGTCTGTCTCAAAAACTTTTTTTCATCAATTTCTTCTTAGAACTAACAGAGAAACTTGGTTAGAATGTGAATAATTCATCCTGTGAAGCCCTCAGTGATTGTCTCTTTTCCTTCCAAGAAAGCCCCTCAATACCCACATGGTGATCTCCATAGCACAGTTCCCAGGTCTACCTCCCATGGTCAGTTCTCCATTCTCCAACATTATGTGTTCCTAATCTTTCTCCCAACTTCCTAGTCCTGATACGTCCACTTAATTCCCAGATACCAGGTGGATGTCACCAATGATAGCCTTATTTACTAGAATATGTGCTTGATAGTTCTAATTGCTTGAAGGATGCATTTAGTTATTAAAGTAAGGACAGTCACAAAAGCCCCTACAGGCTTTAACCTCAAAGCATGTACCTTGAGGCTACACATATAAGCAGTGTGGCCTATGGACATGGTAGCCATGCATCCAGGATCTCCTGCAACAGTTTGGTCATGGGCCCTGGGTTTTATTAATTCAGAAAATATGGTATCTTTGGGCAAAAATCGCTGTGTATTTATTTATTTATTTATTTATTTATCTATCTATTTATTTATTTGAGACAGAGTCTTGCTCTGTCACCAGGCTGGAGTGCAGTGGCATGATCTTGGCTCACTGCAACCTCTGCCTCCCTGGTTCAAGCAATTCTCCTGCCTCAGCCTGCTGAGTAGCTGGTATTACAGGCATGTGCCACCACACCCAACTAATTTTTGTATTTTTAGTAGAGATGGGGTTTCTTCATGTTGGCCAGGACAGTCTCGATCTCCTGAACTTGTGATCTGCCCACCTCGGCCTCTCAAAGTGCTGGGATACAGGCGTGAGCCACTGTGCCCAGCCCTGATCACTGTGTATTTGAATCAGCTTTACTGTCTACCATAATTACCCCTTTCTTTTTTCACTCACTTTTTCTTTAATTTCTTTTCAATTTTTTTCCTTTTTCTCACTTTTACCCTTCTGCTGTATATATGATTGCCTCTAATGACACCCCCAAGGACCTTGACTTTTTTAGTTTGGTTTCAGGGTGCTTTGAAACCAGTTCTCTACCAAGGTGGGCTCTTTGTTTAAGTCAATCCCTTTCCTGAAGTATGGCATCCTTCCTTTCTTGTCTCTGTGCTTATTTATGCTGAGATTTTACCCATAAAACCTCTGTGTCTGAGTTGATTCTGCTGAGCTGAATTTCCATATTCTCCAAGGAGTGCTTTCATTTTGTATGCTAGCTTGAATTTGGCACTCTCCTTCCCTCTCTTCTCCCAATTTAAAGTTGTCCTCACTATGGACAATATCCAGCCTGATATCTTTCTTGCTTTTCATTATTACTTGAGTTACTTCTCCTCTGGCTAACTGGCATTTGTCCTTAAATCTGAAGGTCACCTATATTCCTGGTTTATCTCTAAGTAAAAGTCGAGAAAGAAAACTTGTAGAATTCACTCTAGTATCCTAGAATTCTGAATATTTAATTTTTCTTAATTTGTAAAGATAGTTAAACAATGTACATTGGTGGAACAATTCAGTATGATGTATTTTCTGTGGTTTGAATGTATTCCCTCCAAAATTCCAGTATTGTCAATGTGATAGTAATAAAGAATGGGGCGTTTAAGAGGTGATTAGTCTGTGAAGGCTCCTCTCTCTCCTTACTGGAAGTAAGAACCTTATGAAAGAGGTGCCACGCAACATTCCACTAGCTTGCTCTCCTGTCCGTATGCCATGAGAAAACATGAAGTTCCTCCTCTCTGGAGGATGCAGCCCTCACCAGACAACCAAACCTGCTGGTGCCTTGAATCTTGGACTTTCTGGAGCCTTGAATCTGGAAGTTCCCAGCTTCCAAAGCTGTGAGGAAATAAATTTCCATTCATTATAAATTATTCAGTCTCAGTTATTCTATCATAGCAACACAAAAAGTCTGTATTCATTCAGGCTATGGGTCATAAAACATAGTACAGGATACTTTTTTCTTTCTTTCTGAAATACTTTGGTTTCAGAGAAGTTTTAGATTCCAGCAAAATTGAGCAGAAGGTACAGAGCTTTCTTATCTGCCCTCTATCCTCACATTCCCCACCAGAATGGCACATTTGTTATAATTGATGAGCCCACTTTAATATATCATAATCACCCATCGTTGACACTATGGTTCATGCTTGGTGTTTTACATTCTATAGGTTTTGGTGAATATTTAATGAAATGGACTCATCATTATAGTATCATACAGGGTATTTTCACTGCCCTAAAATATCCTCTGTGGTCCATTGATTTATCCCTCCTCATCCCCTATGACATCTGGCAACCAGTAATTTTTTTTTTTTTTACTTTCCCCATAGTTTTGCTGTTTCCAGAATGTCATATAGTTTGAATTATATAGTATGCAGGATTTTCAGATTGGCATTTTGTTTACTTAGTAATACGAATTTGAAATTACTCCTTGTGTTTTTGTGGCTTGGTAGCTCATTTCATTTTAGCACTGAATAATATTTCATTGTTTGGGTGTACCAGAGTTTAGCTATCCACTCACCTACTGTAGGATATCTTGGTTGCTTCCGCACTTTGGCTATTATGAATAGAGCTGCTATAAATATTTGTTTGCATGTTTTTGTGTAGACATAAATTTTCAACTCTTTTGGGTAAGTATCAAGAAGCACAATTGCTAGACTATATAATAAGAATATGTTTAGCTCTGTAAGAATCTGCCAAACTGTCTTCCAAAGTGGATGTCCATTTTGCATTCCCACAAGCAATAAATGAGTGTTCTTGTGGTTTTGGATTTTCATCATTCTAATAGGTGTGCAGTGGTATCGTGTTGTTTTAATTTGCATTTCCCTGATGACATATGATGTGAAGAATGCTTTCATATGCTTATCTGCATGTGTATATCTTCTTTGGTGAGGTGTCTGTTTAGGTTTTTGACTCATTTTTTAGTAGGATTGTTTGCTTTCTTATTGAGTTTTAGGAGTTTATTGTATATTTGAAAAACAGCTCTTTATGAGATGTGTTTCTTACAAACATTTCTCTCAGTATGTGATTTATCCTCTCATTCTCTTCACATTATCTTCACAGAGCAGAAATGTTTAATTTTAATGAAGCCCAGGTTATCAATTATTTCTTCCATAAATATGCCTTTGGTGTTGTATCTAAAAAGTAATTGCCAAACCCAAAGTCATCTAGATTTTCTCCTATGTTATAATCTAGATGTTTTGTAGTCTTACATTTTACATTTAGGTCTGCAATCCGTTTTAAATTTTTGAAGGGTGTGATGTCTGTGTCTAGATTCAATTTTTTGCATGTGGATGTCCAGTTGTCCCACTACCGTTTGTTGAAAATATTATCTTTTATCCATTGTATTGCCTTTGCTTCTTTGTCAAAGATCAGTTGACCATATTTATGTGAGTCTGTTTCTAAACTCTCAATTCTGTTTCATTGATTCATTTGTCTACTCTTTCACCAACACTATACTGTCTTAATTGCTATGGTTTCATAATCAGCCTTAAGGTCATGTAGTATTAGTCTTCCAACTTTGTTCTTCAATGTTGCGTTGGTGATTCTGGGTCTTCTGTCTCTCCATATCAATGTTAAATTAAATCAATGTCCATAAAACTAAATTGCTGAGGTTTTGCTGGGGTTTTGATTGGGAATCCATTGATAAGATTGGAAAGAACCAATATCTTGACAATATTGAGTGTTATCTATGAACATGAAATATCTCTCCAATTTATTTTGTTCTTCATTGATTTCTTTCATCTGAGTTTGATAGTTTTCCTCTTTTAGATCTGGTACATATATTGTGTGATTTATACAGAAATATTTAATTTTGGGGGGCCACTTCAAATGGTATTGTGTTTTTAGATTTAAAATCCATTTTTTCATTGTTGGCATATAGGAACATATGACTTTTGTATATTGACCTTTGTATCCTGCAACTTTGCTGTAATCACTTCTTAGTCCCAGAAGTTTTTGTTGATTCTTTCGGATTTCTTACATAGATGATCACGTCATCTGTGAACAAAGCCTTATTTCTTTCTTTCCAATCTGTATACCTCTTCTTTTTTTTTCTTCTCTTCTCTCTTCTCCCCTCCCCTCCCCCTCTTCTCTTTTCTTCTCTTGTTTTCATTATCTAGCACTTCCAGTATGATATTAAAAAGGAGCAGTGAGAAGGGACATTCTTGCCCTGTTCCTATTGTGTGGGAAAACTTCTCATTTCTCACCCATATGCTGCTTTTTGTAGTGAAACTTAATGACAGCTAAACAAATAAAGCCTTCTTTCCGCAAACCTAGCTAAGATTTCTACTCTTTGGTCAAATTAGCCTTCCCTCTTTATAGGTGATCCTTTAGGTAAAGGGAAATCTTTGTGGAAAAAGATGGAACAGGAGCATAGTTGTACAATTGCCTTCCTTAAGCCCCTTATACATTTTCACAAATATTTATTGTTTGTACACTATGTACTAGGCACTGTTCAAGGCTCTGGAAACAGTAAACACCAAAAAAGTTATCTTTGCACTTTAGGGACTTACACTCTAAAAGGAAGTGATAGGCAATAAATAAGCTATGAATGGTCATTATAAGAGTGGTAGAAGAAGCTACCAAGGTGTTATGAGAGAAAATAATGGGGTGTGGACTACATGAGATTGGACGAGCAGAGGTCTGAGAATATCACATGGACCAATTTGCAAAGAGCCACAGAAAGAGCTTTCTAGGTAGAGAGAATGGCTTGTGCAAAAGCCCTGAGATATGAAAGAACTTGACAAGTTCAAGATACAGAAAGAGGTATGACATAGCCAAATGGAGGTAGGGAAGGGGAGAGTGGCATGGAGCAAAATTGGAGAAGCAACAAGCCAAAAACTGAAATGAGAATAGAAATGCCTAGGCAGGTAATTTGGAAACTGAATAAAAGAGTGAAGTTTCCCTTCATGAGAAGATAGACATAATCAATCACTGTTGCTATCTTTACACAACCCTTGCCCTTTTCCTCCTAAACCTGAAACTGTCTTGTCACTGTTGGTTTGCCCCATCTGAAGAGTGGTATATGAGTTGCCTTGTCTAACTTAGACCTTCTTCCATTGATTTTACTCAGGCAAATTCTCTGTTTTGGAGGCCATGGGAAGACACTTTTCATATGCAAATAGGGTAATTATTCAACAAAAGTGGCCCTATTTAGTGTAGATAAACATGTTAAATATTATCCATTCTCCCTTGGGGTATTTTGCGATAAAAAACTTTCCCTTTGGTTTGTATATTCACGCAGATTTGAAAGCAAACAATCTGGATGATTCTGATTCATTTGCATTCAACTCATTACCATGTCATTGTTTTATAGTGGTTTGAAGTTTAAAAACCTTTTGTGACTTATTTACCTAAAAAAAATTTTTTTAAAAGATCTTTTTAACTCTCTTTGTTCATAAGAACAGGAAATATTATAAACACAAAAACAGAAAAGACCAATTCCAGATTTCAGTTTGCAACATAAAAATTTATGATGCTGGTTTAAGTTTCAAATTAGCCAAATGGATTTACACATCTATGATAGAGTGAGAAAATCAGACTTTGTTAACATGAACAATGGGTGTCTTTTACGTAGCGTAGAAAACTACAGCATATCATTGAGAGGTAAGAGTTTCACTCTGCTTATTTCTTTAATTCAGTAAGCTGTTGAGTTTCAGAAGTACCAGACCTTTACAGAAAAAAAAAAGGTCATCAAATTACATACTGACAGTGTTTGAAGAGACATTGTAAAAGGTCATTTTATTGGGTAAGGCCCTGCTGTTCGTATGTAACAGAGAATTCACTAGACTGGGCTTAAAATAAGAAACTAATTGGTTTAAGTGGCTGAAAAAGTCAGAGGTAGAGTGAGTTTCAGGTATGGGAGAATTTAGAGACTCAAACAATGTCATCAGAACATGTCAAATAAACAGTGTCAAAGACAGATTTCTGTGTCTTTCCACCTCTGATCTTTGGTTTCCTCTCTTGTCTTCATGTGATAGGAAAGTGTTTTTAAGTAACTTGAGGCCATGTACTCCTAGTTTCCTGAGGCCTGATGGAGGATTAAAATGACATGCACATGCTCCTTTCTCAGTAATTATACCAAAACTCCTTAGGTGTCTGATTGGGTCAAGAGTTCATTTATGAGCCAATCACTGTGGTTGAAAGCTGTGGTTTTCTGATTGCTCAGGGCCGAGTTATGTGCTACCTGGTGGAACTAAGGGTTTGAGTGATTTCTACTTGAAGCACTGGGAAAGAAACAGGGGAGGAGATATTGGAAAGGAAACTTGAGGTATCACACCCAGAGGAAAAGACAACAAATACTGGATAGTAAAACAGCCCAACCAGCAAATAAAGTGAAACAAAAATGTCCATTACACACCTACTGCACCTATTTCTCTGATGTTTGAATCTCTTGATTGGTAAAGTGAAATCACCACCTGGATGGACATCCTAGCTTTGTCATAAATTTCCTAGATGATGTGGCCAAATCCCTTCACTTCTCTGTGCCTCTGTATCCTCATTTCTAAAAGGCAGGGATTGAACTCAATGCTCTCTCCAAGTTTTCTTCCAGCTCTGAAATGGTAATGATCCCAAGCTTGCCAAATGAGAATGGGAAGATTCCCCTGGCCTAAGATTTCATGGAAAAGAAAACGGAAGCAGGCCCAGGTGCAGGGCAGAAAAGGGAGCCAGCAGACCCTGGGCCATAGAGCGAAGGAAGCAAAAAGAATTCTCAGGGGAGCGAGGTCAACTCCAGGACAGGACATCTCTCTGCAAGCTGAGTAGCACCCTCCAGTCACCACCGACTGCTTTGTGAGCGAGTGCACTGGAGCAGTGGTGATAGTTGCCATAGAGAGGGATAAATAGACTGTTGTTTGGTGCAATAACTTGGTTTCCACCAGAAAGTTTCACATTCAAAATAAATATTATATATGGCTCCCATCAGCAGTGCATAATACAGGAAGAAAATCATATATTTTCTGAGGTGTTAAGAGTGTTATAATTCTACATATCCATAATCTCTCATCTAGAGGCTTTGAAGCCATGTGTGTTCTGGAATTCAATTTTTTTAATTCTAAAAAGCAAATAGAAAATATGTATCATTTATGATATCAAAAGTGGGATACAGTGTAGCACCCTTTAATCATCTATATCAATATTACTATAGTAAAATGTATGAATGTTTACACTGAGAAATATTACAAATAGTTTTCCGTTAGTTCAGGTCATGTTGAATTTTTTTCAAAAATTAAGTTTCCAGAGTTTTCTGGATTCTGGAGTAGTGGACAAAGGATCTGTAGGCACCAGAGGTGATTGAGATCATCTTGGATAAAATAAAGAAGAGAGATGGAATCTGGAATGTCAATGAATAAGTTGAATTGTTTTTATTATTGTTAAGGTACATGGAATTTACGTCCTTGTCTTTTTCCTCTGTGCGAGTCTATAGTAGGTGTTTAATAACTATTTGTGAAATGCATACTTTCTATTCATTTTGGGCTCACGGGTTGTGTTTTCATCTCACTGTCTCACTCTCTCTACTGAATGGTCACATCACATTCATGAATGGCCTCTATAGCATTTGATGGGTAGAGCGCTCTCTCTGTGTCTTTTACTGATTTTCATCAAGTCACATTGTATCTCAATCTCTGGAGGGTCCTGCTTGATTTCTCTCTTGGGCTACTTTCCCTCCATCTGCTCCTTGTGTATTGGTGTTCCACTAGTCTTGTTCCTCTGCATATTTTTCACTGGTAAACTGCATAGATTACTCACTTAGGATTTTTGTGATAGATAACCCTAAGTGGGTATTCTGTCAACCAGGCTGGAGTGCAGTGGCACAATCTCGGCTCACTGTAACCTCTGCTTCCTGGGTTCAAGCGATTCTCCTGCCTCAGCCCACTGAGTAGCTGGGATTACAGGCGCATGCCACCACGCCCGGCTAAATTTTGGATTTTTAGTAGACAGGGTTTCACTGTGTTGGTCAGGCTGGTCATGAACTCCTGACCTCATGATTCGCCTGCCTCAGCCTCCCGAAGTGCTGGGATTAGAGGTGTGAGCCACCATGCCCAGCCGCTTATATGGATTTTCTAAGATCAGGAGTTATGGTTGACAAGATGTTTCCCAAATCAAATGTGCTAATGACTTACAGATCAAATTTATTATGTTCCCCTCCTTCTTTTTCTGCTCTGCTCCCCGTTATCTCACACACACACACACACACACACACACACACACACACACACACACACACACAAACAGAGCATACCTCAGTGAAAACTATCACTGTCTATTCAGGTCCCCAAGGCACATTCCTGAGTTATGAAGTTTTATCTATTGCACAGTACCTAGCTTATATCTGTCTTATGTATTTCTTTTTCTCCATCATTTACTCTGTGACTATCTTAATTCTGAACTTCATCATCCTTTGCATGACTCAGTGGCCTCCTAATTCACTTTCCTGTTTCTAGTTAACACTCTCTATAATTCATTATCTCCATTACTATTAGAGACACTTTTCTCAAAAATCTAATCAAGTCATCACTCTGCTTCAAGTCTGTGACTTTCCTCACCCTCAAGATCAAGTCCAAACTCCATTATTTGATACTATACTCCAGGTCACCTGGCCTCTAATTTCTAGACTCACTTTTGGTTTCCATTCTGTGTCCCAGTCATAGGAAATTATTTATAGCTCTCCAAACATGCTCAAACCATTTTGTCTTGTTTCTTTGCACATGGTATCCTCATTTTCTAAAACAGCTTATCCTCTCAAATAACTAATTAATTTATATTTATGATTCAGACTCAGCTTAGACACCTGCTTCTCCAGGAAGTTTCCAGCTGATCATGCCCAGCTGGAATCAGTATCCTCCTCTGCACACCTATAGCACTCTGTGTATAATTCTATTATAAATACTTTATAATGTTGATTTTCTTTCATAAGATTGCTGGTTTTATGTCAGCAGAGGCCAAAAAGTTTATATCCTCATTGTTTAGAATAATGTCGGATCCATTTTTGTCAATAAACTTTTGTTGAGTGGAGGAATAAATGAATACACACACACACACACACGCACACGCACATACTCCCCTTTCTCACATATTAAGGCTCTCATAAAGCATTCAATATGTTTTTATTTCCCTAAAGTTTGGATATTGGCTCATTAACGCTAAGAAATGCTGTTCTGATTTTTGTGATTCAAACTGCTAGCGTGTCATTCAGATTAAGTAAAGTTATAAGCAGTAATAAACAATCTCTAATCTTAGAGGTCATATGGCCTCAATTCATTACATGGGCCCCAGGCAAGACAAGCCTACCATGTGCCTAGAATCCTGGAACATTTATAATATTTGATGACCAGCACAACTTTAGATATAAAGACCTTTAATTTGTTTTATCACATTTAAAACTTTACATTTGTGAGAAAAAAATACACTGCTTAACATCACAGGTTGATTTTTAAAAAGCAACTTCTAGATGAATATGAATTTGTTTGATTTTTCTTCTCCTTCCATATCAGCATGTGAAGCCCTGACTCTCTGAGCCTCTAAATCTTAAACACTCACCCTGACCTCCATGCGTCCCATCACCAAGGGAATCCTTCCTTCCTCTCCCTGCTGTCCTTGCCCTGGCCTTCATCTCTTCGTGTCTGGAATATAGCACTAGCTTGCTGACTCTTCTGTCTCCCCTCCTTCATTCTGCTCCTACACATTGCAGCCTTGAATAATCCCATTAAAATATCCTTAGGGTTTCAGTGTTGCACCAGAGGTTGCATAATAAAATATTAAGCCTATAGCTTATCACCCAAGGCCTGTTATAATTTGTTCTCCACCTCCACTGTGACCTCATTCTCTCATTATCTCCATGTGAAAGTCTTTGGCTCATGCAAAGAGCACCTCCTTGAGCCTTCGCTTTCTTATCTGTACTGGTTTAATAATGACCGTCCCTATCTCATAGGCTTGTCATGAAGACTGAATAAAACAATATATAAAAAGCCCTGATCACACAGTCCTGACATAGTCAGCCCTTGATATTATTGTGACACACTGTTAAAAATACATTTTACCCCTTTCTGGCACTCCCATTAGAAATTCCTTGTTAATTAGCAGTGCCTGTGCAGTATTCCAATATCATTATTGTTTAGGATTCTCTGAGAATAAAGAGTTTACTAACAACACACAGATGCCAATCATTCCTACTGAAAAAATAAATAAATGGCTATAACCAAGTTCTTTGCAATAAATTATTCCAGTTCTTATCCAAATGATGGCATGCTTTTCTAGTCCTTAGTCTTGCTAGGTTTCACTTTGACTACCAACAGTTAAGCATCCCCTCAAAGGTGTTATTATCCTGAAGATCAAACAATCTGCCTTTTTAGCTGCTAGAGAGTCCCCTCATGGGCTAGCTCCATTACACCTTTGACATAAGAAATTGCAAAAATCTTTGGTTACCTCTGGGGCGGGATGGTGTATTATAAAACTATGCTTTGTAGTATTAAGGGTGGTCAGAGGATGTCACACCCAGCCACTGGTGTACCTGCTAAGAACATGGATGGAGGCTGGTATACTTGTTGATTCCTTATAAATGCACCCTGATTTAAATTTCTGGAAATTGGGTTGTAAAAATGATTACTGTATAAAGAGTACTGGACTAGGAGTCCGAAAACCTGGCTTCTGAGATCTGTGTAGAACTAACGGTGTGATCCTTTAGCATCAGTTTATTTCTTGGTAGAATATGAATAAAGTAATATCTGTTTCCTTAGAAGACTGTTGTAAAATAACAAATCATGTTTGTGAAAGTGTTTTGTTAAAACTGATAATTTTATTTCTGCATTAAATTTACACATATAAAATGCAAGACAATATGCAAATAACCTAAGAATAACTTTTGGTACATTTATGGTATTTGCTGAAAATATTATTTTTTTTAAAAAAACCTAATTCGGTTCCTAAGAGGTAACTGCTACACATACTTAGAATCAACTGCAACTAGTAATGAGAAGATTTTTTTTTTTGCTATTGTTTTTCATTATTTATGGTATTCACATTCCTAAAGAGAAGGAAAGTATGTATAAGAAGATTTTATATAAAGAAAGAAATTTGAGAAATAGGACTATCTGGGGGGTCAAAAACCCCCAAAGTTGAATTTTTACCTTTTAATATTGAAAACTGGCATGTTAGGTAAAAGTCAGAATTATTGGACTTATATTTGTATTACCAGAACAAAGAAGGTAAAGGCTTAGCTACTCTTTGGAGGGAAGTCACTGGTTAGTATCCGGCTAGTTTGGTCAAAATAATGACAAAAACAGCAGCAGCATCTCCTGCTTCAATTCTTACTTCTCAGTAAGATCAGAGCAATGATCATTTTGCTGGGGGAAAAATTGACCCAGAAATTATAAGACTTGCCCCAAATCTTTTCACTGAGCCAAACTATAAAACAAGTTATACCTGGCTCTAAACCCTGTGTTCCTTTTAAAGAACCACCTGATAAAGCTGGTTGTGAGAAAAACTGTGACTTCAATCAAGAAGGCGAAGACAAAAATAGAAAGTTTACTATAAGATGTAGCCTTCTTTCTTTTACTTTTGCTCCTTGCACGGAATGTCTGATGGCCTTAAGCCCATGTTGTTATTAATAACTCAATCACTGCTAAGGTTTTTTAGTGAAAAGTGAAAGAGCTATGCCCAACCTCAGTAGAAGAAGCCAAGTTTTGCAAATGGAGCCCAGTTTACATGTTCCGAAATTGTATTTTGATTAACAGAAATATATGGCAAGATGTTGAAAAATAACTTTTAATTATAACACAGTGAGTGTCTCAAGGACACGAAAGACACTGATGTTTTCAGTCTGATCCACCCTCAACCCCCTGCTTCATGGAAACTTGCATTCTGATTATATTGATCTGTGCTTTTAATTTAATTCTGATTACATTTATTGCCATCTGTGCTTTTAATGATTAAGCTTTGGCTGGTGCCTTAAAAGGGGCCATAGCTCTCTGCTATTATTTAGAACAGCATGTTATATATGGCTTTAAAATTTGGGTTTTCACGTTACCCTGAGGAGAAGGGACTCAAGGGTACCTCATATTAAAATGGAAAATCTTTTCGAAGTTTCCCACCATCAGCAGCTGCCTGTGGGCTCTAAAATGTACTCTGACTGCCCTCTCCTGGTTGGATGTAAGAATAGCAAGAAGAGCAGTTAGGAACATTGCTTTTTAACAATTCATTGCATGCTCTTTGATGAATCTGAATTTAATAGAAATGGAAATTACCTAGTGATCAAAAGAGGAAAACAATGGTGCAGAAGAATTCTCAGATGTGACTCTGCAGTGCCAACATAAATCTTAACAGATTCCATGAAAAAGCACCCCAATGTTGGACTAAAGTCTTACTTTAGGACCATTTGGTCAGTAGGGTTGTCCCACAGTTATCTATTATGAGTGGCCAGATCTCATGCAAGTTCTGGATGGGTTTGGTTTCAGCCTCATAAACTGTAGGTCAGAACCCAGTGGAAGCTGGGGGGCATCAATGTTGCATTTGTTTTAATTCATTTATGTATTTTGTAGCCTGGTGCCCTTTGGGGTGCCTCAGTGGCAGATAAAGAGACTGATATCGGGCTGAAGTGCAAAAACAGAGGTAGCTGGAAATCCATGGAAAATGTTCTGTTTTTTCTTGTAAAACACTCCAGAATTTCTCCAGCATTCATCTACTAAATTCATGGCTGTGATAAAACCTAAAATATATGTATCTACTCAACTCCTTGCGTCTGGTTCAGAATTCTGATGTTTAAAAATGCTTTGGATATTTCCCGGCCTTTTGGACCAGACTTCCTGGGTTTGAAATGCATCTGTGCTCCAAGCTGTGTTACCTTCCATAAGTCCCTTAATCTCTGTGTCACCTTCCATAAATCCCTTAATCTCTGTGTCTTCAGTTTCCACATCTGTAAAATGGTGATCATGAAAGCATGTGTTAGATTATTGTGAAGATTAAATGTGATACATTTAAAATTCTTAGATAAGCAACTAACACAGAATAAATGCTCAGTAAATGATAGGTGCTTATGTTATTCTATAGTCAAAAGAGGGGTAGGATCAGTAACTTGTTAAAACCTCCATTTAGCAGAGGAACCATAAAAACGTTCCTTGCCACCAACATATCTAATGTCTAATAGAGATTCGATGTGTCTAGTAGAATTACATTGACCTCAAAACACTCTATAGATCTTTGTTCCTCTCCTGAGATCTACTGTATATACCTTCTTACCTAATTGTGACCCACACAACACACAAATGGAGATTTTTTTTTTCTGTCGCTGTTTTGAAGTAGAAGAAATTCTTCCTTTAAAATATCTTCAGGCCAAGTATCCAATGAATAGCTCAAAATGTCAGAAGTGACTTGAATTTTTATAGGTTAATGGGAAATTTTCTGAAAGGGATTATATAGCTATTCCTTTTATCCAATGATGGACAGGAAGAAACACTTCACTATTCAGATGGTAGGGAAAACACAAATTCACAATGGCCAGGCAATGGTAAGTACCCCTTGAGTACTCCACTCACTACGGAGCTCCAACAGGCGCTTGCCTTCCATTTAGCATCATTCCAGCGGTTCCGACTCAAGAAGACTGGGCACATAATTATACTATATCAGATACGCACCTTTTCTCTTAAATCTGTTAGCAAAAATGGAAAAGGAATAGGAATTTCTGACCATTCTTTATTTCAGAAATAAAGAGATAGTTGTGAACTAGAATGTTGCCAGATTAGAATACCAGGTCACAGAATACCTGGCAGCAGATTAGTGGATTATGAGAGTAAATTGGCACAGAGAAAGGAAGGTAAACTTAAAAATAGGACCTGCTACCTCTAAGTGTCTGTGAATAAACTGCTATATGCTTCTGAAACAAAGCATTAGAATTCTCAGACTACAGTGATATAGCCAAGACCGTTGGACAAACTCTTCCAGGGCAGTTGGGAAAACTTCAGCATTCATAGTCCTTAAGTTAAAAAAAAATAGTATGTACGTAAAGAAATAATGAGAAATAGTTGAGCAGGTGCAATTTGGTTTAAAGTGGCCTCAAGTCTCATAGGACAAAGCACATACTCCTCAGCGTGACACAGAAGGGTCTTCATAATGGGCTCTTGCTAACAACTGTAGAGTCATCCCTACATCCATCACCATCTGACCCTCCACGCTACAGCTGCATCGAACTACTTTCCTTCCTGAACCCATCATCTCTTTTTCTTTTGAGCCTTTCTGAGTCATTCTGCCTGGAATGCCCTTTCCTTATTTTCTTGAATGACTCTAATTTATCCATCAGATCTCATACATGTCATTCCTTGCTCCAAGACCTAGTTAATTAGCCTTTCCCTGTGCTTCCAATAGCATCTTATGTTTATATCTAAAATTAACTTGCTCTATGTTAATTGTATGTTTATCTGTAAGTCTCTCTCCTTAGGGACAGTTGTTGGGTCTTATTCACCATTATGGTCCCATCTCTTGTACAATGCCTAGCCCAAAATATATTCTCAATGTATATTTTGAACAATTGAAAGGATTCCCTTACTTTCTCTAAGAATCATGCAGAACTGAACTTCCACTTGAGAAGTTCTCTGGTGATTTCACTTTAGTGGTGTGGTAAGCTTTGGATATTGCTTTAATGAAATGTTAAAGAGTCTAAAAGCTCTCTGGTCAACCACCAACCTAGAACTCTTTTCTTTTTTTAAAAAATTCTCACCAGTGTGTAATTTATCATTATTTGTATACATCAGCTGCCCCAAAGCAAGCTGACATTTAGCTTTAAATACAAACTGGTGGTATACTAAAGCATATTATATTCCAAAAACATTTGTGCCAAATATATGATTGCTGAATTTAGAGCAATAGACAATATGAGGAGCTTTGACTCATATCGTTCTTGAAACTTCATGGGGGTCTTTCACATTCATTGTCCCATTAAACTCTCGCAATGGCCCCTTCCAAGTGGGTATTGTATTTTCCCATCTTAGAGAAGAAGGATATTATGATTGCTTTGTAGTTTTCCCAGGCTTATCCAGTAAATAAGTGGGTGCCAGAGTTGACAGCCCTAAACTTGGATCTTCCATCTGAACTCCAGACTTGTATATCCAACTACCTTCTCAACATGGATGTGTAAGGAATCTCAAACTTACAAACAAACTTGACATGTTTGTTACAGTTTGAATTGTGTCCCCCAGAAAGGTATATGGAAGTCCAAACTCATGGGACACAGGAATGACCTTATTTGTAAATAGAATCTTTGCAGATGCAATTAAGTTAAAATGCAGTCATTAGGATGAGCCCTAATCCA
This sequence comes from Homo sapiens, assembly GCF_000001405.40. Classification (NCBI taxonomy): domain Eukaryota; kingdom Metazoa; phylum Chordata; class Mammalia; order Primates; family Hominidae; genus Homo; species Homo sapiens. The sequence continues at coordinate 119,260,969 of NC_000008.11, read as the reverse complement.
ATTTGACTGGTGTCTACATAAGAAGAAGAGACAGAGACATGCAGAGAGAGTGCCAGGTGACAATTGAGGCAGAGATTGGAGTGATGCAGCTGCAAGCCAAGAAATGCCAAGCATTGCAGGCCACTCCAGAAGCTAAGAGGTGAGAGAGGGTTCTATAAGAGTCTCAGAGGGAGCAAGATCCTGTTGACACCTTGATTTTAGACTTCTACCCTCCAGAACTGTGAGAAAGTATATTTCTGTTGTCATAAGGTACGAGATTGCGGTGTTCTGTTAAGGCAACCCTAAAAAAACAAATGCAATGTTCAAAACTTAATGCCCAATTCTCTTCCAAACCATGTTCTTTATGTGCCAAGTGACCCCCAAGTGCAGAAGGAGCTGAGGAATCAAAGAACAAGGCAGACAAATCCAGTTTGTCAGTAGAGGATGATTTACTGGGAATGTTATGAACAGAGGTGTACTCTTGGACAGTGGTAAGACAGGTAGATCTCCACATCATGACTCCCCAGACCTAGGGCTTGTGTACTATAGAGAAAGGGCGTACATGCTCAAGAGACACTTAAAGACAACCTTCCAGAAGAGGCAAGAATGCTATGTGAATCATAGCCTATAGTTTGTGTGATAACATCAAGTTGGTTTTGATCTAGAATAGAATTTATGGAGAATAATATGGACAGTAAAAAAAGTAGGAATCAGGAGCCATTTCCAGAACTGGGGCAACTCAAATGTCAATATGGTGGATTAGTATCCAAGATGGGGTCACCTTTGCCTGCACACACCTCCTGCCATAGTCTCTTGTAAAGCAGTAAATGGTAACTTCATCCTTGGTCTTAATATCTTGTTTTCTCTTTTGCTCACACTCCATACTCAATCTATCAGTGCATTCAATTAGCTTTACCTTCACAACATATCTACACTCTAAGCACTTACCACCACCTCCACTGCTGACACTGAGGTCTCACCCATCATCATCTCTCACCTGGTCTATTTCAGTAGCCGCTTCATGAGGGTCCCTGTTCCTCCTTTTGTTCTCCTACCATCTACTGTCAACCCAGCAGCCAGCACTGTCCTGTTAAAACATGTCAGATTATACCACACCTTTGCTCAAAACTCTGAAATGGCTCCCCGTATCTCTCAGAAAAATGTAGGGTCCTATCATCTGATGTCAACGTTTTATGTGAGCTGCATCCAACAGCATAGCTTCCTGCCTCATCTCACACCACTCCTTCTCCTACTCACTTCTTTCCAGATACACTACCTTCTTTGCTAAACTTGATCACATTACCATGCTCTCAAGTCAGTCCTTCTAAAGGGTTCTTCCTTTTCCTAGATACCTACATGACTCCCTCCCTCAACTTCAGAATTCAGTTCCTTGCTTCCAAGTTAGGCTTTCCTTTTCTAGCTTATTTAAAATTGCAACTCCCCCTTCCCTGGCATGTCCACAATCTTTACCTTACTTTGCTTTTTTCATTAGCACTCATGAGTATGTAATACTTCATGTATGTACTTTGCAATTTTGTCTTGCCTCTCTCCTTACACCAAAATGGAAGCCCTATGAAGACAGGGACATAATTTTCTTCACTGTCTGCCTCTGGAGCATATAGAACACATAGCACACATAGGAGTTCAATAAATATTTGCTGAATGAAGTGGATGAGTGAAAGATCTCTTAAATAACAGTCTCCCACTTGTTCCATTGTACCCAAATGAGAAAAAATATATAGTGCAAATGACTGATATGGTTTGGATGTGTGTCCCCTCCAAATCTCATATTGAAATCTGATCCCCACTGTTAGAGGTGGGGCCTAGTGGGAGGTGTTTAGGTCATGGGGGTGGATCCCTCATGAATGGCTTGGTGCCATCCCCTCGGTGGTGAGTGAGTTCTCACTCTATTAGTCACTATTACAGCTGGTTGTTTAAAGAGATTGGCACCTTCTCTCTCTCTCTCTCCTCCCCCTCTCATCTTGTGATACATCTGCTGGCCATTTGCCTTCCACCATGATTGTAAGCCTCCTGAGGCCCTCACCAGAAGTAGATGCTGGCACCATGCTTCTTGTACAGTCTGCAGAACTGTGAGCCAAATAAACCTCTTTTCTTTATAAATTAGCCAGATATTTCTTTAGAGCAATGCAAAATGGATTAACACAATGACGAAAGTACTCAGCTTTTTTAAAATGAGCAAGTATGCTCAATATTAATTTGCACTCCCCCAAATTACCCCACATGACATAGTTTAACAATTTAAATATCCATGTTTGATTTACCTGAAATGACCAACAGATTCAAAAGTGGAAGAGATTAAAAAAAACGGAAGGAAAGGAGGAGGACTTTTATCCAGACAAGAGTGTTATTAAAACATGAACAAATACCACAGGTAAATTTAGGACCGAATGGTTCCAGATAGTGTGCACTTATCTGAAGGAGACTCATAGTAGTTTGTGGGAATCTCTTACATTATTCCTCGAGTTTGTTTTAGCAAGTCATTTGGATTCTTTTTTCTAAATTTGGAAACCAAATCTACTCAAATCCCTTTGGACTAAAAAAATATTATGGAACCTTAGTAAATTTTGCAATGATACTCTATGTAGAATAAAATAGTATTCTTTTGGGTTAATGGCAAGCACATTTATACATTTATGTTAAGTTTTATAGTTACAGTCAGTGGAACTGATAAAATAAAAAGCACAAATACTTTAATGGTAAATATCATCATCCTAATTCCACTCTACAGGGGAATGTCAACATGGAGGTGAACACTCTGGCCAATGTGATGATTCAGGCCTTTGAAAGTACGGAGGGAACGACACATTAAATTACAAATAAACAACAAAATCTAACGATTGGCTATACTGATGCCCTACAGAAGGATAATGAGCAATGGAGGTCCTTAACAAATAGTGAAAGCTAAATATAACAGCCAAGGGGCTTATTCTGTAGTTTATAAAGAGGACCAGTCTTTTGCAGTCAAAGAGCAACACAGCTAAAGAGCCCACTCAAGATCTGACAGGTTTATTGAACTTCAAAGATAGTAGAATGCTCTGCCAAGGCAAATATGTAATGCTAAATTCAGCACCCTAGTAGGGAAAGCCTAGGAAAACATGAGATGGGACATTTGAATGAATACTCTCAAATATTGAGGCTCTCTAGAATCCCCTAAACATTTAGAGCTGCAGAGGTGCCGCTGCTCCCTCCTTTAATCTCTCCCTATTAATTGCTAGCACTTTCCCCACATAGTGGCCTATCCCTCAGGAGTCAGCAGAAGGCTCTCTTTAGGATATGTCCTCACCGTTCTCCTGGCTGCCAGGCTGATAACTACAGTTAATCCTCAGATATCCCAGCTGAATTCATGCAGGATATGTTAAAGTATAAGGAGATTATACCCAAAGCAGTTGCAAAAGTTAACTAGCATGTATTAGTAGGAGCCAGAGGAGTACCAATGAGATTGGATTTTAAGGATGCTTGATCAAGCAAAGCGGAACATAGGACTAGATAAGAAAGAATTCTTTAATCCCAGCAGTTGAGGTAACTGAATTAGAAAAGAATACAGTGCAAGAAGGGATTGGAAAACTCAGCAAAGTTGGCATGTTGGGATAATATATACATTTTTTAATTTTTATTTTTAAAATTTTATTATACTTTAAGTTTTAGGGTACATGTGCACAACGTGCAGGTTTGTTACATATGTATACATGTGTCATGTTGGTGTGCCACACCCATTAACTCGTCATTTAGCATTAGGTATATCACCTAATGCTATCCCGCCCCCTTCCTCCCACACCACAACAGGCCCCGGTGTGTGATGTTCCCCTTCCTGTGTCCATGTGTTCTCATTGTTCAATTCCCACCTATGAGTGAGAACATACGGCGTTTGGTTTTTTGTCCTTGCAATAGTTTGCTGAGAATGATGGTTTCCAGCTTCATCCATGTCCCTACAAAGGACATGAACTCATCCTTTTTTATGGCTGCATAGTATTCCATGGTGTATATGTGCCACATTTTCTGAATCCAGTCTATCATTGATGGACATTTGGGTTGGTTCCAAGTCTTTGCTATTGTGAATAGTGCCACAATAAACATACGTGTGCATGTGTCTTTATAGCAGCATGATTTATAATCCTTTGGGTATATACCCAGTAATGGGATGGCTGGGTCAAATGGTATTTCTAGTTCTAGATCCCTGAGGAATTGCCACATTTTCTTCCACAATGGTTGAACTAGTTTACAGTCCCACCAACAGTGTAAAAGTGTTCCTATTTCTCCACATCCTCTCCAGCACCTGTTGTTTCCTGACTTTTTAATGATCTCCATTCTAACTGGTGTGAGATGGTATCTCATTGTGGTTTTGATTTGCATTTCTCTGATGGCCAGTGATGATGAGCATTTTTTCATGTGTTTTTTGGCTGCATAAATGTCTTCTTTTGAGAAGTGTCTATTCATATCCTTTGCCCACTTTTTGATGGGGTTGTTTTTTTCTTGTAAATTTGTTTGAGTTCATTGTAGATTCTGGATATTAGCCCTTTGTCAGATGAGTAGATTGCAAAAATTTTCTCCCATTCTGTAGGTTGCCCGTTCACTCTGATGGTAGTTTCTTTTGCTGTGCAGAAGCTCTTTAGTTTAATTAGATCCCATTTGTCAATTTTGGCTTTTGTTGCCATTGCTTTTGGTGTTTTAGACATGAAGTCCTTGCCCATGCCTATGTCCTGAATGGTATTGCCTAGGTTTTCTTCTAGGGTTTTAGGTCTAACATGTAAGTCTTTAATCCATCTTGAATTAATTTTTGTATAAGGTGTAAGGAAGGGATCCAGTTTCAGCTTTCTACATATGGCTAGCCAGTTTTCCCAGCACCATTTATTAAACAGGGAATCCTTTCCCCATTTCTCGTTTTTGTCAGCTTTGTCAAAGATCAGATAGTTGTAGATATGCGGCATTATTGCTGAGGGCTCTGTTCTGTTCCATTCGTCTGTATCTCTGTCTTGGTGCCAGTACTTTGCTGTTTTGGTTACTGTAGCCTTGTAGTATAGTTTGAAGTCAGGTAGTGTGATGCCTCCAGCTTTATTCTTTTGGCTTAGGATTGACTTGGCAATGCGGGCTCCTTTTTGGTTCCATATGAACTTGAAAGTAGTTTTTTCCAATTCTGTGAAGAAAGTCATTGGTAGCTTGATGGGGATGGTATTGAATCTGTAAATTACCTTGGGCAGTATGGCCATTTTCACAATATTGATTCTTCCTACCCAGGAGCATGAAATGTTCTTCCATTTGTTTGTATCCTCTTTTATTTCATTGAGCAGTGGTTTGTAGTTCTCCTTGAAGAGGTCCTTCACATCCCTTGTAAGTTGGATTCCTAGGTATTTTATTCTCTTTGAAGCAATTGTGAATGGGAGTTCACTCATGATTTGGCTCTCTGTTTGTCTGTTATTGGTGTATAGGAATGCTTGTGATTTTTGCACATTGATTTTGTATCCTGAGACTTTGCTGAAGTTGCTTATCAGCTTAAGGAGATTTTTGGGCTGAGACGATGGGGTTTTCTAGATATACAATCATGTCATCTGCAAACAGGGACAATTTGACTCCTTCTTTTCCTAATTAATGCCCTTTATTTCCTTCTCCTGCCTGATTGCCCTGGCCAGAACTTCCAACACTATGTTGAATAGGAGTGGTGAGAGAGGGCATCCCTGTCTTGTGCCAGTTTTCAAAGGGAATGCTTCCAGTTTTTGCCCATTCAGTATGATTTTGGCTGTGGGTTTGTCATAGACAGCTCTCATTATTTTGAGACACGTCCCATCAATACCTAATTTATTGAGAGTTTTTAGCATGAAGGGTTGTTGAATTTTGTCAAAGGCCTTTTCTGCATCTGTTGAGATAATCATGTGGTTTTTGTCTTTGGTTCTGTTTATATGCTGGATTACGTTTATTGATTTGCATATGTTGAACCAGCCTTGCATCCCAGGGATGAAGCCCACTTGATTATGGTGGATAAGCTTTTTGATGTGCTGCTGGATTTGGTTTGCCAGTATTTAATTGAGGATTTTTGCATCAATGTTCATCAAGGATATTGGTCTAAAATTCTCTTTTTTGGTTGTGTCTCTGCCCGGCTTTGGTATCAGGATGATGCTGGCCTCATAAAATGAGTTAGGGAGGATTCCCTCTTTTTCAGAAGGAACTATTCTTGGAATAGTTTCAGAAGGAATGGTACCAGCTCCTCCTTGTACCTCTGGTAGAATTCAGCTGTGAATCCATCTGGTCCTGGACTTTTTTTGGTTGGTAAGCTATTATTGCCTCAATTTCAGAGCTTGTTATTGGTCTATTCAGAGATTGAACTTCTTCCTGGTTTAGTCTTGGGAGGGTGTATGTGTCGAGGGATTTATCCATTTCTTCTAGATTTTCTAGTTTATTTGTGTAGAGGTGTTTGTAGTATTCTCTCATGGTAGTTTGTATTTGTGTGGGATCGGTGGTGATATCCCCTTTGTCATTTTTTATTGCGCCTATTTGATTCTTCCCTCTTTTCTTCTTTATTAGTCTTGCTAGCGGTCTATCAATTTTGTTGATCTTTTCAAAAAACCAGCTCCTGGATTCATTGATTTTTTGAAAGTTTTTTTTGTGTCTCTATTTCCTTCAGTTCTGCTCTGATCTTAGTTATTTCTTGCCTTCTGCTAGCTTTTGAATGTGTTTGCTCCTGCTTCTCTAGTTCTTTTAATTATGGTGTTAGGGTGTCAATTTTAGATCTTTCCTGCTTTCTCTTGTGGGCATTTAGTGCTATAAATTTCCCTCTGCTTTGAATGTGTCGGGATAATATATTATGTGAAGGAACAATACTCTCTAAAAGATTTTATTTTATAGGAAGTCATAGAGGACACATAATTTACCAATGCTCTCAGGAAGGCTCTGGTGAGAGGAATCAAGATCATCCTAATATCAGTGATGGATCCCCTACAAAGACCAGGAATGATGGTATAAAAGGTATTAACAGAGCCTGCCTCATCAATAATGAAGATAAGACCCCAAGATAAGAGTCTAGATGGTAAACCTTAACCACCCACATCCAGGGGGCTGCACATTCTAGGAGAGGTAGTCATAGAGCCTTGACCCACAGGGATTTATGCAGATGTTTACTAGAACATGGCATTCTTAGGGGCAAGAACAAATGGACAGTGAATGAGGTACTGCTTATTACACACAATAAAAGAGGCAAGAATAGATGAGCAGGAAGCTTTTGGCAAGGGATCACATTTTCTTGGTCCGTTCACAAATCTGAAGCAGTTGGAAGACCAGGAAACTATTGACTGACGAGGTGGATGGTTTGCCAGAAAAAACCCTGCAACCCTAGAGCAATTGCATACTATGATGATTCCCTTGGTCTTTCCCCCAAAGAGATGTATGACAACTTATTCAAGTGATTGATATTGGGTCAAGGGGAATTATAAGACATTTTGAAGCTTTTGGACACAGGGACTGAGTTGACATTCATATATGAAGGCCCAAAACATCAATATCATTTCACTGTTAGATTGGGTAGAAAGTTAATAAATAGAACCCTGGTCAAAGTCCATCTTATGATAAACTTACTGAGTTTGTAAACTAAGCTTTGTCATCTCCCTGGTCCCTAAATGTATAATTGGTTTTACCATACTTGGCAATTGGTGTAAACCTTGTATTGAATTTCTAGTCTGTATATTAAGAACTATCATATTGGGGAAGCCCAAGTAAAAGTTTCTGAAACTGTGCAGCCCCTCAGCCAATGTACTAAATAAAAAAAAAATTACATTTCATGGGAAGGGGGTTGACAGAGAATAGTGCCATCACTAAGGATATTAATGATGCAGGGAAGTTTGTCTTTAATATATCTCTGTTTAATTCAACAGTATGGCCCTTGCAGGAATCAGAAGCATCCTGGAGATTGACCATAGATAGAATACCACAAGCTCAACCAACTGGTGATCTTGACTACAGCTCTGATGCCAGATATGAGGTATGTTATAATTCCCTAATTCAGATTGAAAGTATAACTATTAAATTTAAAATAAAAAACAAAGAAGACTAAGTCGGGGCAACTTAGTTATCCCACATTGGAAAAGTACATAATATCATATTGTGGTATGGTGAAGGAATTTGTTCTATCTTAGTCAGAAAAGAGCATCAGAAACAGTTTACTACATGGATCAAACAGCACTAAACGTATTGTTCCCTCTGTACTTTCAAGTATTGTTTCCTCTGTACTTACAAAGGCCTGAATCATCATATTGGCCACATCTGACGTTGACAGATTTGTACTGGGACTGGCATAATTCTCCTGTTGTATGTCATAATCTGAAGACCACCTGGATATAACTGTAAAACATGATATTGGTTCATTACATCAATAACATCAGGATGAGCAAGGGCAGAATGAAGAGCTTGGTAAAATGTGCATTCCAGAGGGCATGAGATGAACCCTCTGAAGATTCAAGCACCTGCTCTTTCTGTAAAAATTTTAGGCATCTACTTGTCAGGGGCATATTGGGACCTCCGCTCCAAAGAAAAAGGTAAATGGTTGCATTTTGCTTTCTTAATTCCACAATGGAAGTACCATGGTTTGCAGGTCTCACTGGGTTTTCTAAGGTAATATGTTTCATAGGAATGTCCCTTTGGTTCATACATGGTTTGACATAAAAGGGAATCATCTTTGAGTGGTGTCTGGAACAGGAAAGAGCTGTGCAGCAGATCCAGGCTGTGACACAGCAGCTTGTCTTGGTGACTTCACTTTACCATAAGAAAATGCCACAGAACTGGGTGGCTTAAATAACAGAAATTTATTTCCTCACAGTTCTGGAGGCTAGAAGTCCCAAATCTATTTCTGGCAGAGTCAATTCCTATTAGGACCTCTTCCTGGCTTGCAGATGGCCATCCTCTTGCTCTGCCCTCACATGACAGAGTCAGAGAGAGTTGCTTTTATAATGGGTCCACCAGTCCTATGGATTAGGGCCCAACCTTTATAAAATAATTTATCTTTGTCTTCTGAAGATCCTGTCTCCAAATACAATTACGGTGGAAATTAGGGCTTCAACATATGAATTCAGGTGGAGGTGTGTGTAAAAATAGAATCACAATTTAGGCCCTAAATTGTTGGTTCTGCAGCAAGGTCATCCCATTTGAAGTGGAGAATTAAATGCCTATTAGGAATAGCTTCTACATGCCATTGGGCCCTGGTAGAGACAGAACACTGGACCATGGGATACCAAGTGACCAGCCACCCAGAGCTGCTCAATTGAGCTAGGTTTTGTTGGGCTACAATCAAGTCATAAATTTGGGTGAGCACAGTAGTTTATTATAAGTGGAGACATTACTTTAGGGTGGAAGGCATGAGTAAGTTGCATGAGCAGTTAGCTCAGACTTGCTTGTCAGCCATCACCTTTCCCTCTAGCCCACACCTTTGCCTTTTATGGGGGTTTCCTTATGTGGGTACAAGCTGAAAATGCATGATAGCTCCATTAGAGTCATATCCAGGGGTGGTTTTGAAGAAAGTGGTGAGGAAAATATCTTAAAAATAAGTGGAGCTTAATCATCACCTCCCCTTGTTTTTTGGAGCATTTTTTAATTGATGTGAAATTCACATATAAAATTAACCATTTTAAAGTGTACAATTCTGTAGCATTTAGTACATTTACAATGTTGTGCAACCATCACCTCTACCTACATCTTAGTTTCATCACCCTGAGAGGAAATTCAATATCCATTAAGCAGTCACTCTTCAATCCCTCCTCCTTCCAGCCCCTGGCAATTACTGATCTGCTTTCTGTCTATATAGATTTATTGATTCTGTATATTTCATATAAATAAAATCATACAATGTTTGACCTTTTGTGTATGTCTTCTTTGACTTAGCATAATGTTTTCTAGGTTCAGCTATGTTGTCGCATGTATCAGTACTTCATTTTTTATGGCTGAATAATACTCCGTGTTACGGATATACCACATTTGTTCATCCATTCATCCATTGATGGGATTTGGATTGTTTCCCCCTTTCAGGTATTGTGAATGGCCATTTGTGTATAGTATTTGCTTTATTTGCTTGAGTATCTTTTTTAAATTCTTTGGAAAACATACCTAGGAGTGGAATTACTGGGTCATATATAATTATATTGTTTGCCTGCCAAAATATTTGGAGGAACTGTCAGATTATTTTCCACGGCAGCTGCACCATCTTACATCTTATGAGCAATGTACAAGGCTTCCAACTTCTTTTCTTTAAAAAATTATAGCTAACCATCTTAGTGGGTGGTGAAGTGGTAATTATTGTTTTACTTTGCGTTTTCCTGGTAGCTAATGTTGCTGAGTATCTATTCATGTGCTTTTTAGCTGTTTGTATATCTTCTTTGGAGAAATGTCCATTCAAGTTTTTTGCCAATTTTTAAATTGAGTTGTTTGACTGTTTCTTGTTGAGTTGTAACAATTCTTTTTTCTTTATTATTATACTTTAAGTTTTAGGGTACATGTGCACATTGTGCAGGTTAGTTACATATGTATACATGTGCCATGCTGGTGCGCTGCACCCACTAACTCGTCATCTAGCATTAGGTATATCTCCCAATGCTATCCCTCCCCCCACCCCACAACAGTCCCTAGAGTGTGATGTTCCCCTTCTTGTGTCCATGTGATCTCATTGTTCAATTCCCACCTAAGAGTGAGAATATGCGGTGTTTGGTTTTTTGTTCTTGCGATAGTTTACTGAGAATGATGATTTCCAATTTCATCCATATCGCTACAAAGGACATGAACTCATCATTTTTTATGGCTGCATAGTATTCCATGGTGTATATGTGCCACATTTTCTTAATCCAGTCTATCGCTGCTATAAAGACACATGCACACGTATGTTTATTGTGGCATTATTCACAATAGCAAAGACTTGGAACCAACCCAAATGTCCAACAATGAGAGACTGGATTAAGAATTATGTATTCTGGATACTGGACCCTTATCAGATGTATTTGCAAATGTTTCCCATTGTGTAAGTTTTTACTTTCTTTGCAGTGTCCTTTGATGTAAAAATAGTTTAAACTTTTGATGGAGACCAATTTATCTGTTTTTTCTTTGATTGCTTATGCTTTTAGTGTCATACCTGAGAATCCATGATCAAATTCAAGGTCATTGGGATTTACCCCTATGTTTTCTGAGTTTATCTGATGACACTTTTGTGGAATAAAAGTGCTCCGATGTGAGAATATATACAGTCATGTGCAGTGGGCTTATGGAGTGCTTGCTCCAGAAGCATGAAATCACACTCAACTTAGCATCTAACCAGGAGATAGCCCCATGACTGTGGTCATTGACCATATCACATAATTCATGATCCAGGATCAACCAGCCTGATAGTGTTGGAATAGCCTGCTAAAAGCACATTTGAAGCACCAGCACAGAGGCAATACCCATGACAGTGGGGTGCCATTTTCCTGAATGCCACATGCACATTGAATTTGAATTTGAAACTTCTATAGAGTATTGTGTTCCCAAAAGGAAAAACTAATCGGCCTGGGAAAAGAGAGATGAAAACAGGAGTGGCCTCATTTACCATCACTCCCAGTGACTCACTATGGATTTTGTGCTTCCCATCCTTACAGTTTGGGGTTCTGCTTGATTACCATTCTGATCTCCAAAGGAGGCTTATTCTTATCTGGGGCAGAGCAAGGGTTTTATTGAACTACAAGCTGTGGCTGCTGTTGAGGCATTTTGGAGTCTTTAAGCACCAAGCGGGCAGGAAGGAGTTGCCCTTTTTGCAGGGGTAATTTATCCTGATAAAAAGGTATGTAGGGCTGTTATTACACAATAGAAATAGGAATATGTATGAAACTCAGGTGATCCACATGGGCACCTTTGTGGTAATTCCTTGTCCAATTATGACTGTGGATGGACAAGTGCAGTGACCCCCACCTGAAAAAGTTACTGTTGTCTTGGTTTCAGACCCTTCAAGAATGAGTGTGTGGGTCACACCACCAGATAATTCACCCAGACCTGCAAAGGTAGGTGATAGCTGCTAAGACAATTCAGAATGGATGGTTGGAGAGAGAGATGAATACCAGTTGTGGCCCCAAGACCAACTGCAGTGATGTGGCTGAGTTTGACCCACTAACCTTTCTTTTTTAAAAGTCTTACCCTCAGGATGAGAGGCCCACTGAGGAGTAGCTCCCAGGATATGCATGGAGAAGTGGATTGATTTGGTACAAGGGGTGAAAAGTGGCAGTTATGAAGTGTGCTATTTAGATCTCCAAAAGATAACCATCCACAGGGAGTGCAGTTATCTGACAGCACCAGTTGCAGATACCCTCAGGATCTTCCTTCAGTGTCCACACCAATGAGCTGAGGCCATTCATTCTGGGCAGTCCACAGGCAATGACTGCACATGGTGTTGGTATCAGGGCTCATCGTTTCCAGCTAGTGTGAGACTCCTCCTCTATGGGCAGTCTTGGTGTTGGAGCTCACTGCTAAATTGGTTGAGACTTTCTCAGAATGAGCACAGTCTGAGGCTCTTCCTACCTAATCTTACTTCTCCTTTCATGTGAGTCAAACCTATATCAGGGGCAGAAATATTTTTTTTCCTGCTTGTGCTCTCTCTCCTCTTTATATTTTATAGGCATTATCTCCAACAAACATCTCGTACTTTGAACTGCATCTTGGCTTCTTCTTTCCAAAGGACCTCCTCTCCCAGACTTGCATCATCATCACTGGTAGATGATAACTTAGGCTTGAATAAATTAAGTGGCTCACCTCAGGTCCCACAAATGTTAAATGGACTATTTTTTCACAATACTTATTCTCATACTGAATAATATCCATGAAATCACGCAATTGATGTGCAAGTTATAATTCCCTAATTCACATTGAAAGTATAACTAACTATTAAATTTAAAATAAAAAACAAGACTAAGTCTGGTCAACTTAGTTATCCCACACTGGAAAAGTACATAATATCACATTTTTTTTTTGTTGAGAATTTGTTTGTTCTATGAAAGCATATTTGGCCAAGAGTTAATTTTTGAGATTTAGTCAATGTAGTCATTCTGAAGAAATGGAGTACCTATCGTCTTACTGAGAAACCAATTTCAATGCTTATGGCTGCCAGCCTGTGTTAGACACATCCATCAAAACAGCAAAGGAGATAGTCCAGTTTTATGCCCTCCAAGCCAATATTCTATTCCTATGGCCTCTAAAATGGAGTATGTGTACTTAAAGAAATATGCAAGATAATACACAGAGTGACAAAGGAAATATTTTAACTATTTTGTGAACATAAAATTAAACTTTTACTAATAGGTTGGTGCAAAAGGAATTGCAGCTTTTGCCATTACATTCAATAGCAAAAACCACAATTACTTTTGAACCAACCAAATACTTAAAATAGGCGGACACCAGTTCATATATTCCACATGCATAAACTATGTATGCTCAAAAATGGAGACAACTGTTAAAACCTGCTGTCTAAAATTAACAAAACACAAGCCTTCCATTCTAGTGGAGAAGAGGACAAATATAATAAATTAATGCTATATGCATATACACTATACATAAAGTATGTCCTAAGAGCTATGGAGAAAAATGTAGAAAAGGAGAACAGGGAGTGCTAGTGTGAGATTCAAGATTAAATGTGGTTCTGAGGTAGGACCTCACTGTAAAGGTGATGACTAAGCAAAGACCCAAAGAGGGTGAGAAAGCCAGCTCTGTAGGTAACTTGAGAAAAAAGTGCTCCAGAGAGAGGAACTAGGATTGTCCTTTTGCTAGGGGCACAGCCTAATAAAAGTATAACTAACGTCCTTTTTTGTTACAAAGCTGGACATTCAAAACATTAAACATATTATAACCAATTTTTGCCAGAGGTTGCAAGTGTTTTTTGTGAAAAATCAGACCTTGGCGATGACCTTGAGCAGTAGGATATAAATAACTCCCACAAGCTTAATGTTCCAATAATGGAACACTAGGCATAGATAGGTTAAAGATCATTGCTATCCCCATACTCTGGACCCCTGCCTGATGAATACATTAAGCTGACACCTGAGACACTGATTCACCAATTAACAAACTTCAGGCATGTTGTTAATGATAGAACCTTCATGACAGTGATCCAGAGTTCCAGATTCTAGAGTATTCAGAGGTGGAAATTCATAGTCCATGCTCAAGATCGAATGGCATCTCTCAGACTGGAAGACCTTTCTGAAGTCAGTTCCAGACATCCCTGGAAGGCTGGATAATTTGGGAAAAGGCTGACTCAATGTAAGGTAATACAGCAGACCAAAGCCCCCATAGTTCATGCCAGAAGTGACAAAGCGGAAAAACACTCAGGTAGACAAGCACTCAGGGACCGTTCTAGAGGCAAGTGGCCTAACCTTTTCTCCATCATGCAGGTTTGGCTTAAATTCTTACAGCTAAAATCATGAGTCCTTGGTTATGACAAAAATGTTCTAAGATATGACACTTACAATAACTATGATGTTAAACATTCTGCTAAAACTTCTCTGGGTGAAGAAAAGATCACATTTTTGGATATAGATATAAAATCTGGGTGAACTGAGGCAAACAGAAATTAAGAGTCTGCACTTCGGAGTCAGACTGTTGGGGTTTAAGTCCCAGCTTTCTCACCTGCTAGGCAGGCAGCACTGGGTGTTTCTTAAGGTTTTTTAGTCTCCAAGCCTTTAAAATGGGATAAGAGTATACACCTCATAGGGTTGTTATGATGAGAAATAAATGAATATGTGAAAAAAATGCCTGAAACATATAAAACATGGTATAAATGAATGCTTTTTAAATAAAACAATTCTTTTTAGCATGGATAGTGGTTTTTTTTGTGTGTGTGTGAGACAGGGTCTCACTCTGTCACCCAGGTTGGAGCCTCAACATCCTGGGCTAAAGCAATCCTCCCACCTCAGTTTCCCAAGTAGCTGGGACTAGAGGCACGTGCCACATGCACCCAGCTAATTTTTAAATTATTTTGTAGAGATGAGGTCTTGCTATATTGCCCAGGTTGGTCCTGAATTCCTAGTGTCAAGTGATCCTTCTGCCTCGGCTTCCCAAAGTATTGGGAATACTGGCATAAGTCATCACACTCGGCAAAACAGAATTCTCATTTAAACTTCCTTTGCAACGTTACTTCCAAAGACTTGCCTCTTTCACCTTCATCAAAGAAAAAAGACTTACTGACAATTCCTGAGAGACTTTTACACAGAAATGTTTAAAACAGAACTTTTTATACATTATAATTCTATAAGCTCTGCCAAATTTATATCAAACCTTTAACTGAATTTCAAAGTGAATGGTGTAAAAGATGACCACAAAGATTATCAAATGAATACTTTATTAGAGACATAACACGTATAAAATAAATTTCTTTTCATCATGGAGTTACCAGATTTTAAAACCAACCAACACTTTCTCATTTTTACAGCTAAGACATGTTAAATTCTTAAATGCCATAATTTTTGTTCAACTGCTTTGTCATTCAACTCACAAGTCTAGAATGTGATTAAGCTACAAATCTAAGTATTCACAGATGTGTCTTAGGCTTGGTTTGTAACAATCTAGAAGCAATCTGTTTACAAAAGTGCCACCAAAGCATTTTAAAGAAACCAATTTAATGCCACCAAACATAAGCCTGCTATACCTGGGAAACAAAAAATCTCACACCTAAATTCTAGCAGAGTAAACGATTCCAACTAGAATGTACTGTATATCCATATGGCACATTTATGACTTTGTAATATGTAATTCATAATACAGGTTTAGGTGTGTGGTATGGAGCTAGGAAAACCAAAGTAGTAGGATATTATAGAAAAGATCTGATGTTAAGTATAAAGTCATATGCCTGATTTCCTCAAACCTTTTGTTTTTCCTCATGTCTTCTGTCTTTATATTTTTATCACAAACCAAGATCTAACAGGGTTCTTTCTAGAGGATTATTAGATAAGTAACACTTGATCATTAAGCACGGATCATGCCACTCATTCATGGTTGTTCTATGTTCCATGAACTCTAATAGCCCAACTTATACATGGCACTCCAAGGGGATGCTTCAGCCAGAAAGTAAAGGGCTGAAAAAGTAGAACAATACAAAAGCCCTCGTGTGGTGGGAACTGTGGCCTCACTCTTACTTGTCCTTCCATTCAAAACAGTTTGGCACCTTTCCATGACGAGGATCTCTACAGGTAGGTTAAAATACTTTTCTGTGCTATTCAGCCAGAAATAGTTTTTGTGCTGGATATGATTTTAAAACAGATTTTGTCTGTCACCAGTGCAAAAACATTACAGATGTCTGGGCTAATACAAAAACACATAAGAATCTACAACTTTATATTTAATACTCTATTCAAATTTAACTCAAAGTAATGCAAAATAATTAGAAGTAAAAACTTAATTCTTCTGAGAGCTCTATTTGGAAAAGCTTCACATATCCACACACAAATATGGGTATATTCATGCACAGGGCAAACAACTGTATTCTGAAGCATAAATAAACTCAAAGTAAGACATCAGTAGCTAGATACCAGTTCCAGTATTGGTTAATGGTCTCTGGGGATCCCATTTTAAGCACTCTCAGATGAGGATCTTGCTCAGTTGTTAGACTATCATTAGTTTGATTAAGCAACTGAAGTTTACTTCATAAATTACTTTTTCCTATATCCAGGACTCTGCCTGAGAAATTTTATACATTCCTCCAAAGGTAAGTATTCTCCAAAGGTAAGTATTTGACTATTAACACAAAGGCAATGTGATTATTGCATAATGACACTAAATATTATGTGGCTTTTCTGTTAGGTTTATAAGTTTTCAATGATCAGTTCAAGAAAATGCAGATCATATATAACTAAGGTTTTACACCAGTGGTTGACAAACTATGGCCCACAGGCTAAACCCAGCCTCCCCTTGTTTTTATAAATAAGTTTTATTAGAACATAACCACACTCATTCATTTCTGTATTGTGTATAGCTGCTTTCACGCTATACTAGCAGAACTGAATAGTTGTGACAGAGACTGTATGGACCGTGAAGCATAAATATTTACCATCTGGCCCATTCTAAAAAAAGTGTGCCAATTCCTGGTTTACACTAAAATATAGAGTTTAGTGGGAAGCCTATTTGAAATGTGTTTTTTTTAGGGGCTGTAATTACCAATTAAAATTAAGGTTCAGGTGACTCAGCAACCAAACAAAAGGGATACTAATTTTTTATGAACAATATATTTGTATTTTATGGACATAAAAGGAAACTTTCAGAAAGAAAAGGAGGAAAATAAAGGGGGAAAGGGAAAAAGGGGAGAGATGTAAAATAAAAGGCCATTTCTTTAATATCATAATAAAATTAACATTCCATCCATGAAATAAACCAGAACTTGAGCTTAGAGTCTCTCTCTACTAAACACATTACTTTTGGAATGTTTTTGCATCTGGACAAAATGGTATCCAAATTGATCAGACATATAAAGTAGACAAGTGAAACTAACATACGACTGCCAGTTTCTAAGGAGTGTTACGGTCGCCATCTTCGTAAAGCCAGACCCAAACTGCAACCATAACAAGCTGTCGTCATAAAGGCAAAAATCTAAGAAAAAAGAAACAAAAATTCACATCAGATTTACAACACCGACTTATAAACAGTGTCCTAAAGAACAACCATATGAAGTTTGACCAACAATCTACCTAAAGATACTTCGACACTTACAAAAATATTTTACATTGTTTTTTTTTTTTTGATGATTTGTACAACTGTTTTATTCCCTCATACAATTACCCTCCCCCCTTCCTTTAAACATTTTAGCTCCTAATAATTTTCTCATTTGTGGACAACTTTACACTGAACATTTGTTCAATCTGTTCACATTCTGGGCTCACTTAAGTATTTGTGAATCCCTAAGCACTGTATTTAAAAATTCAGCATGAAGTTCTGTTCATGTAGTGGCTTCACAGCCAAGGAAGCCAGCAACTATCAGAACCTGAGGATGCATCAAATAATTTCTATGATGATGGAAGGTAACTTTAAAACTCAACTAAGACAAGTGGAAATGAATTATCAGGTTGGCTTGCTCTTGTATGGGAGACAGTCCTGTGTACAAATCTGCACTCTACTTGGAATTAATGAGAATTTCTTCAGCACCAACTGTGTGTATATCACTATACTTGGTACATATAAACAAACAGTAGATAATGTCCTCACCCTTTTGGGGCTTATGATCCATAGAAGACTAAAAGACAAAGCAAAAGCAGTTCAACATGATAAATGTTTGATAAATGTTGTGGGTTTAGCACAGGGATTCTTAACCAGGAAACCAGTTCTGGGAAGGAATACCAGATTCACCTATAGACCATTTTCACAGTTTACTATTCTGCTTTTCTTTCCACCCTTCTTCTGCTGATTTTTTCTCTGATACATTTCTAATCTAGACATTGTTTTCTGAATGACAGCAATAGCTTTTGATACCTATTTTTTGATACCTATTATTTGATACCTATTATTAGGGAAAAGGAATTTTCCTCTCTAATTTCCCAAATGGATGGCTAATACATTTTAGTTACAATAAAACTCAAACTAGAGATTTACTTAGACTGGAGTGAGCATATGGATGAAATGGGATGTAATGTTGAACTTGAAGCATGTAGAGGTTTACTGAGACAGCTTCACTTAGAAAGGGAAGGACAACAGGGACAAAGTCACAAAAGAGAAGCAGCCAGAACAGAACTACATTATGGAGAACACGGAAAACTAGGCCCTTAGGACAAAGGTGACAAATTAAAGACCTCAGACAACCATCACGTATTTCAGCAGCTACTATTCTTGTGAAAGTAGGTTCTAGGGTGACTGTCAATAGATTTGGGGCTACTTCAATGATCCAAGATACAAGAATCTAGCCTGCACCGTTAAAATGAAGGGACTGGAAGTAAGAAACACATAAAGGCAAATACAATGGGAATTGATGACTAATAGCATAGGAAAGTCCCTGAACTTTGCTTTGTAAAGCTGTTAAAACCAAGGGTTTTCTAATGTGGATCACAAGGATTCTATCATCCTCAGGGATGATATGGGTGGGTAGAGGCAGCTTTATGAAAAGAGAATGAGCATCATTCAAGGCCCTCTTCCTCCACTTCAACTAGAGCACTTACACTTTTATCTTCTAGATTTATTGGGGTTTTAGGTAAGAATTGATTAAATAAAACCTTTATTTCTTTTATAAGCAAGTGTTAAAGTCATGAATCTACACTATAAACCTTTCAAAGCTAAAACCATGACTCCTTTTTGTTGTAATCCCACCTTCAGCCTAATTCATTGCAGGCACTCAATAAATTTTGACAAATCCTACCAGAGACTTGGGAAACTTACAATAGGTCTTGAAATCATTTGTCTTGTACCCCTCAAAACTCACTCTAGACATGTATTATCTAACATGATAGCCACTAGGCACATGTGATTATTAAAATTAAATAACACTAAAAATTCAAGTTCCTTAGTCATACTAGTTATCTTTCTCTCCCCCGACCAGAGTCTTGGTCTGTCGCTCAGACTGCTCTGCTCACTGCAACCTCCGCCTCCTGAGTAGGTAGCACTACAGGCACAAGCCACCAGGCCTGGCCAATTCTTTATTCTGTTTTTTTTCCTTTTTCAGAGACAAGGTTTTGCTATGTTGACCAGGCTGGTCTCAAACTCTTGGCCTCAAGCAGTCCTCCCACCTCGGCCTACCAATGTGCTGGGATTACAGGCATGAGCTATGATTCCTTGGCCTAGTTAATTTTCAACTGCTCAATAGCCACATGAAGCCAGTGGCCACCATTTTGGACAGCACTTACATGAAATATTCCTGTCATTATAGAAAGTTCTACTAGACAGTGCTGCTCCAGACAGATTTCAATGACTATATGAGTACTGGGTTATTTATAGGCTACCTGGGGAACATAATAAAACATTAGGGTCACTAACTTGCCATATACTTATATTAAATATCACAATATTTCAGAAACTAATTTGGACTTCTGACATCTTAACAATGATCTCTAACAACAAAAATAATATATTATTTCCTCAAATTATCTACACAAAATGACAAATTCACTCCAGTATACGAATTAAAGATGATTTAAAAAATTTAATAAATACCCCAAGGAATATATTTCATCTGCCTATCATCTACTGCAATGGCTGGCATATTTGCCTCCCTTTCTCACCTGCACTTTCCTTAATGGCAGGAACTGCAACTTATTCACCCCATCCTCAACACCCAGCAAAATTACTTGATAAATGGTAGGCCCACAGTAACTATTCATTCAATAGAAATAAATTGCAAGCAGCTATTGAATACTAAAGAACAAAACTGGAAATCTCCTTTACCATCTCTGAAAGTTATCAGAAGCAAAAAACACAACTCTTTTTGCAAAGTAGACACTGCTGTGCAAAGCCAAGCAGTCCTACTGGCTTGCTATGATCTTACATGAACATCAACCTCTTCGTGCTACAGTTTAATCATCCACAACACTGGGGGTGATCATGGCACTTTGCTTACAAGGTTATTGTACAGATAAATAGCTATTACATATTTAATGCCAATGGCTAGCATTGAAGAAAACTATTGTTGCCTGAGGAGTTTCTTGGAGGCCTTGACAGTGGAGCGGAAGTGCTGGTGAATGGTACTCATTGAATATGAATACTTACTGAGGCTGCTACGTTTATGTTATACTGGTTATCACTCAGGAGTGGCTGCCCGGTTATGGTTGTATTGCAATGCAAATCATGCAGGGATGTGGCTGCTGCTTCCAATAAAAAGGCTCCAAAATAGAAGACAAATACTGTAAAATGGTAGGCAAAATCCTAAAAGAGGAGAGAAAAGACATCTGCAATTAAAAAAAAATATTTTTCTGTTCCTTATTTTAAATAATGAAGTTTAGGTTTAGCAAGATCAAAACATTTAATTAAACAATCTTAACTATATTCACTGTTAAGCTTAGCTGCTTTAGAAATGTTAGACTATCAGAACCCAAGCGAAAATCAACTGACCCATCTTAATTGGCACATTGGTAAACCTTTCCATATACTGAATTTTATAATATGTAATTTTATTTTTTTATTATTATACTTTAAGTTTTAGGGTACATGTGCACAATGTGCAGGTTAGTTACATATGTATACATGTGCCATGCTAGTGTGCTGCACTCATTAACTCATCATTTAGCATTAGGTATATCTCCTAATGCTATCCCTCCCCACAACAGTCCCCAGAGTGTGATGTTCCCCTTCCTGTGTCCATGTGTTCTCATTGTTCAATTCCCACCTATGAGTGAGAATATGTGGTGTTTGGTTTTTTGTTCTTGCGATAGTTTACTGAGAATGATGATTTCCAATTTCATCCATGTCCCTACAAAGGCCATGAACTCATCATTTTTTATGGCTGCATAGTATTCCATGGTGTATATGTGCCACATTTTCTTAATCCAGTCTATCATTGTTGGACATTTGGGTTGGTTCCAAGTCTTTGCTACTGTGAATAATGCCGCAATAAACATACATGTGCATGTGTCTTTATAGCAGCATGATCTGTAGTCCTTTGGGACCCAGTAATGGGATGGCTGGGTCAAATGGTATTTCTAGTTCTAGATCCCTGAGGAATCGCCACACTGACTTCCACAATGGTTGAACTAGTTTACAGTCCCACCAACAGTGTAAAGGTGTTCCTATTTCTCCACATCCTCTCCAGCACCTGTTGTTTCCTGACTTTTTAATGATTGCCATTCTAACTGGTATGAGATGATATCTCATTGTGGTTTTGATTTGCATTTCTCTGATGGTCAGTGATGGTGAGCATTTTTTCATGTGTTTTTTGGCTGCATAAATGTCTTCTTTTGAGAAGTGTCTGTTCATATCCTTCACCCACTTTTTGATGGGGTTGTTTTTTTTTCTTGTAAATTTGTTTGAGTTCATTGTAGATTCTGGATATTAGACCTTTGTCAGATGAGTAGGTTGTGAAAATTTTCTCCCATTTTGTAGGTTGCCTGTTCACTCTGATGATAGTTTCTTTTGCTGTGCAGAAGCTCTTTAGTTTAATTAGCTCCCATTTGTCAATTTTGGCTTGTGTTGCCATTGCTTTTGGTGTTTTAGACATGAAGTCCTTGCCCATGCCTATGTCCTGAATGGTAATGCCTAGGTTTTCTTCTAGGGTTTTTATGGTTTTAGGTCTAAGGTTTAAGTCTTTAATCCATCTTGAATTAATTTTTGTATAAGGTGTAAGGAAGGGATCCAGTTTCAGCTTTCTACATATGGCTAGCCAGTTTTCCCAGCACCATTTATTAAATAGGGATTCCTTTCCCCATTGCTTGTTTTTCTCAGGTTTGTCAAAGATCAGATAGTTGTAGATATGTGGCGTTATTTCTGAGGGCTCTGTTCTGTTCCATTGATCTATATCTCTGTTTTGGTCCCAGTACCATGCTGTTTTGGTTACTGTAGCCTTGTAGTATAGTTTGAAGTCAGGTAGTGTGATGCCTCCAGCTTTGTTCTTTTGGCTTAGGATTGACTTGGCGATGCGGGCTCTTTTTCGGTTCCTATGAACTTTAAAGTAGTTTTTTCCAATTCTGTGAAGAAAGTCATTGGTAGCTTGATGGGGATGGCATTGAATCTATAAATTACCTTGGGCAGTATGGCCATTTTCATGATATTGGTTCTTCCTACCCATGAGCATGGAATGTTCTTCCATTTCTTTGTTTCATTTCAGTGAGCAGTGGTTTGTAGTTCTTGAAGAGGTCCTTCATGTCCCTTGTAAGTTGGATTCCTAGGTATTTTATTCTCTTTGAAGCAATTGTGAATGGGAGGTCACTCATGATTTGGCTCCCTGTTTGTATGTTATTGGTATATAAGAATGCTTGTGATTTTTGTACATTGGTTTTGTATCCTGAGACTTTGCTGAAGTTGCTTATCAGCTTAAGGAGATTCTGGGCTGAGACAATGGGGTTTTCTAGATATACAATCATGTCATCTGCAAACAGGGACAATATGACTTCCTCTTTTCCTAACTGAATACCTTTTATTTCCTTCTGCCTGATGGCCCTGGCCAGAACTTCCAACACTATGTTGAATAGGAATGGTGAGAGAGGGCATCCCTGTCTTGTGCCAGTTTTCAAAGGGAATGCTTCCAGTTTTTGCCCATTCAGTATGATATTGGCTGTGGGTTTGTCATAGATAGCTCTTACTATTTTGAAATACGTCCCATCAGTACCTAATTTCTTGAGAGTTTTTAGCATGAAGGGTTGTTGAATTTTGTCAAAGGCTTTTTCTGCATCTATTGAGATAATCATGTGGTTTTTGTCTTTGGCTCTGTTTATATGCTGGATTACATTTATTGATTTGCATGTATTTAACCAGCCTTGCATCCCAGGGATGAAGCCCACTTGATCATGGTGGATAAGCTTTTTGATGTGCTGCTGGATTCGTTTTGCCAGTATTTTATTGACGATTTTTGCATCAATGTTCATCAAGGATATTGGTCTAAAATTCTCTTTTTTGGTTGTCTCTCTGCCCGGCTTTGGTATCAGAATGATGCTGGCCTCATAAAATGAGTTAGGGAGGATTCCCTCTTTTTCTATTGATTGGAATAGTTGCAGAAGGAATGGTACCAGTTCCTCCTTGTACCTCTGGTAGAATTCAGCTGTGAATCCATCTGGTCCTGGACTCTTTTTGGTTGGTAAACTATTGATTATTGCCACAATTTCAGCTCCTGTTATTGGTCTATTCAGAGATTCAACTTCTTCCTGGTTTAGTCTTGGGAGAGTGTATGTGTCGAGGAATGTATCCATTTCTTCTAGATTTTCTAGTTTATTTGTGTAGAGGTGTTTGTAGTATTCTCTGATGGCAGTTTGTATTTCTGTGGATCGGTGCTGATATCCCCTTTGTCATTTTTTATTGTGTCTATTTGATTCTTCTTTTTTTCTTTATTAGTCTTGCTAGCGGTCTATCAATTTTGTTGATCCTTTCAAAAATCCAGCTCCTGGATTCACTGATTTTTTGAAGGGTTTTTTGTGTCTCTATTTCCTTCAGTTCTGCTCTGATTTTAGTTATTTCTTGCCTTCTGCTAGCTTTTGAATGTGTTTGCTCTTGCTTTTCTAGTTCTTTTAATTGTGATGTTAGGGTGTCAATTTTGGATCTTTCCTGCTTTCTCTTGTGGGCATTTAGTGTTATAAATTTCCCTCTACACACTGCTTTGAATGGGTCCCAGAGATTCTGCTATGTTGTGTCTTTGTTCTCGTTGGTTTCAAAGAACATCTTTATTTCTGCCTTCATTTCGTTATGTACCCAGTAGTCATTCAGGAGCAGGTTGTTCAGTTTCCATGTAGTTGAGCGGTTTTGAGTGAGATTCTTAATCCTGAGTTCTAGTTTGATTGCACTGTGGTCTGAGAGAGTTTGTTATAATTTCTGTTCTTTTACATTTGCTGAGGAGAGCTTTACTTCCAACTATGTGGTCAATTTTGGAATAGGTGTGGTGTGGTGCTGAAAAAAATGTATATTCTGTTGATTTGGGGTGGAGAGTTCTGTAGGTGTCTATTAGGTCCACTTGGTGCAGAGCTGAGTTCAATTCCTGGGTATCCTTGTTGACTTTCTATCTCATTGATCTCTCTAATGTTGACAGTGGGGTGTTAAAGTCTCCCATTATTAATGTGTGGGAGTCTAAGTCTCTTTGTAGGTCACTCAGGACTTGCTTTATGAATCTGGGTGCTCCTGTATTGGGTGCATATATATTTAGGATAGTTAGCTCTTCTTGTTGAATTGATCCCTTTACCATTATGTAATGGCCTTCTTTGTCTCTTTTGATCTTTGTTGGTTTAAAGTCTGTTTTATCAGAGACTAGGATTGCAACCCCTGCCTTTTTTTGTTTTCCATTTGCTTGGTAGATCTTCCTCCATCCTTTTATTTTGAGCCTATGTGTGTCTCTGCATGTGAGATGGGTTTCCTGAATACAGCACACTGATGGGTCTTGACTCTTTATCCAATTTGCCAGTCTGTGTCTTTTAATTGGAGAATTTAGTCCATTTACATTTAAAGTTAATATTGTTATGTGTGAATTTGATCCTGTCATTATGATGTTAGCTGGTGATTTTGCTCGTTAGTTGATGCAGTTTCTTCCTAGTCTTGATGGTCTTTACATTTTGGCATGATTTTGCAGCGGCTGGTACCGGTTGTTCCTTTCCATGTTTAGTGCTTCCTTCAGGAGCTCTTTTAGGGCAGGCCTGGTGGTGACAAAACCTCTCAGCATTTGCTTGTCTGTAAAGTATTTTATTTCTCCTTCACTTAGGAAGCTTAGTTTGGCTGGATATGAAATTCTGGGTTGAAAATTCTTTAAGAATGTTGAATATTGGCCCCCACTCTCTTCTGGCTTGTAGGGTTTCTGCCAAGAGACCCGCTGTTAGTCTGATGGGCTTCCCTTTGAGGGTAACCCGACCTTTCTCTCTGGCTGCCCTTAACATTTTTTCCTTCATTTCAACTTTGGTGAATCTGGCAATTATGTGTCTTGGAGTTGCTCTTCTCGAGGAGTATCTTTGTGGCATTCTCTGTATTTCCTGAATCTGAATGTTGGCCTGCCTTGCTAGATTGGGGAAGTTCTCCTGGATAATATCCTGTAGTGTTTTCCAACTTGGTTCCATTCTCCCCATCACTTTCAGGTACCCCAATCAGACGTAGATTTGGTCTTTTCACATAGTCCCATATTTCTTGGAGGCTTTGCTCATTTCTTTTTATTCTTTTTTCTCTAAACTTCCCTTCTCGCTTCATTTCATCTTCTATTGCTGATACCCTTTCTTCCAGTTGATCGCATTCGCTCCTGAGGCTTCTGCATTCTTCACATAGTTCTCGAGCCTTGGTTTTCAGCTCCATCAGCTCCTTTAAGCACTTCTCTGTATTGGTTATTCTAGTTATACATTCTTCTAAATTTTTTTCAAAGTTTTCAACTTCTTTGCCTTTGGTTTGAATGTCCTCCTGTAGCTCAGAGTAATTTGATCGTCTGAAGCCTTCTTCTCTCAGCTCGTCAAAGTCATTCTCCATCCAGCTTTGTTCCGTTGCTGGTGAGGAACTGCGTTCCTTTGGAGGAGGAGAGGTGCTCTGTGTTTTAGAGTTTCCAGTTTTTATGTTCTGTTTTTTCCCCATCTTTGTGGTTTTATCTACTTTTGGTCTTTGATGATGGTGATGTACAGATGGGTTTTCGGTGTGGATGTCCTTTCTGTTTGTTAGTTTTCCTTCTAACAGACAGGACCCTCAGCTGCAGGTCTGTTGGAATACCCTGCCGTGTGAATTGTGAGTGTGCCCCTGCTGGGGGGTGCCTCCCAGTTAGGCTGTTCCGGGGTCAGGGGTCAGGGACCCACTTGAGGAGGCAGTCTGCCAGGTCTCAGATGTTCAGCTGCATGCTGGGAGAACCACTGCTCTCTTCAAAGCTGTCAGACAGGGACATTTAAGTCTGCAGAGGTTACTGCTGTCTTTTTGTTTGTCTGTGCCCTGCCCCCAGAGGTGGAGCCTACAGAGGCAGGCAGGCCTTCTTGAGCTGTGGTGGGCTCCACCCAGTTCGAGCTTCCGGGCTGCTTTGTTTACCTAAGCAAGCCTGGGCAATGGCGGGCGCCCCTCCCCCAGCCTTGTTGCCGCCTTGCAGTTTGATCTCAGACTGCTGTGCTAGTAATCAGCGAGATTCCGTGGGCATAGGACCCTCCCAGCCAGGTGTGGGATACAATCTCGTGGTGCGCCGTTTTTTAAGCCGGTCTGAAAAGTGCAATATTCGGGTGGGAGTGACCCGATTTTCCCGGTGCGTCCGTCACCCCTTTCTTTGACTCGGAAAGGGAACTCTCTGACCCCTTGCGCTTCCCAAGTGAGGCAATGCCTCGCCCTGCTTCGGCTCGCGCACGGTGCGCGCACCCACTGGCCTGTGCCCACTGTCTGGCACTCCCTAGTGAGATGAACCCGGTACCTCAGATGGAAATGCAGAAATCATCCGTCTTCTGCGTCACTCACGCTGGGAGCTGTAGACTGGAGCTGTTCCTATTCGGCCATCTTGGCTCCTCCCCTTGGTTTGCCAGTATTTTATTGAGGATTTTTGCATCAATGTTCATCAAGGATATTGGTCTAAAATTCTCTTTTTTGGTTGTGTCTCTTCCCGGCTTTGGTATCAGGATGATGCTAGCCTCATAAAATGAGTTAGGGAGGATTCTCTCTTTTTCTATTGATAGGAATAGTTTCAGAAGGAATGGTACCAGTTCCTCCTTGTACCTCTGGTAGAATTCGGCTGTGAATCCATCTGGTCCTGGACTCTTTTTGGTTGGTAAGCTATTGATTATTGCCACAATTTCAGAGCCTGTTATTGGTCTATTCAGAGATTCAACTTATTCCTGGTTTAGTCTTGGGAGGGTGTATGTGTCGAGGAATTTATCCATTTCTTCTAGATTTTCTAGTTTATTTGCATAGAGGTGTTTGTAGTATTCTCTGATGGTAGTTTGTATTTCTGTGGATCAGTGCTGCTATCCCCTTCGTCATTTTTTATTGCGTCTATTTGATTCTTCTCTCTTTTCTTCTTTATTAGTCTTGCTAGCAGTCTATCAATTTTGTTGATCCTTTCAAAAAACCAGCTCCTGGATTCATTAATTTTTTAGAGGGTTTTTTGTGTCTCTATTTCCTTCAGTTCTGCTCTGATTTTAGTTATTTCTTGCCTTCTGCTAGCTTTTGAATGTGTTTGTTTGCTCTTGCTTTTCTAGTTCTTTTAATTGTGATGTTAGGGTGTCAATTTTGGATCTTTCCTGCTTTCTCTTGTGGGCATTTAGTGTTATAAATTTCCCTCTACACACTGCTTTGAATGTGTCCCAGAGATTCTGGTATGCTGTGTCTTTGTTCTCATTGGTTTCAAAGAACATCTTTATTTCTACCTTCATTTTGTTATGTACCCAACCACCCCAAATCAACAGAATATACATTTTTTCAGCACCACACCTATTCCAAAATTGACCACATAGTTGGAAGTAAAGCTCTCCTCAGCAAATGTAAAAGATCAGAAATTATAACAAACTGTCTCTCAGCCCACAGTGCAATCAAACTAGAACTCAGGATTAAGAAACTCACTCAAAACTGCTCAGCTACATGGAAACTGAACAACCTGCTCCTAATAATATGTAATTTTAATTTGGATTAAGATGCCATAGAGATCAATGTTAATTAGGATAATATAAAAAAGCCATAACATATGCTGTCTTTAAAATTCAAGTAAAATAGCATTTAAATAACATCTTTTTATTATGGTTATGATATGTATTCATACACATTATGTAATTTTATTTTTGAGCAGTTATTTTTATCATTAGAGATTTTCCACTGAAAGATACAGAAGACTAATAGAATTCAATAACATATATTCATATATTTCATTAAAAACTACTAACATATATACTTCCACCAAAAGTATAAGAACTCGTTTATTAGGCTTCTTTGTATGTTGCTGACATTCATGTGAAGCATAACACTATTACAGTTCATATTGTCTTACCTGAATTAATATACCATCAACACATCACTGTTTATTTTTAATAGCTCCCACATATCAGGTACCTTATGTGCATTATTACTCATCCTTATAACCATCATTTATTATCTCCATTTTACAAAGAATTTCTTCTTTCTTTTCAGTTAAATGACTGTTGACTGTTTGAAGCCAGACAAATATTAACTTTTGGAGGAAGAAAAACATGTAGTGTGTCTAGTCCCAAAGTCCAGTTTCTTTAGTTTTCAAAAAAAATTATTTTAATTGAGAAAAATACATATTTATCGTGTACATGTTTTTAAATATTTATACATTGTGGAATATTTATACATTGTGGGATGGCTAAGTGGAGCTAATTTATATATACATAAATATATAAAAAAATATATAAAACCTCCCAAAATTATCTTTTTTTTGTGGTGAGAACATCTAAAATATTTTTTAGCATTTTTCAAGAATATAATACACTGTTATTAACTATAGTTGCCATGCTGTACAATAGATCTCTTGAACTCATTTCTCCTAACTGAAATTCTGTATCCTTTGACCAACATTTCCCCAGTCCCCCATCACCCCATACCCTGGTAATCACCATTCTATTCTCTACTTCTGTGAATTCAACTGTTCAAGATTTCACATATAAGTGAGATCATGCGGTATTGGTCTTTCCGTGCCTGGCTTATTTCACATAACACAATGTTCATCTATATTGCAAATGACAGGATTTCTGCCTTTTTAAAGGCAATTAGTATTGTGAATATATACTGCATTTTCTTTATCCATTCATCTACTGGCCTTTAGGTTGATTCCATGTCTTGGCGTTTTGAATAATGGTGTATTGAAAATGAGAATGCAGATATCTCACTGATGTCATTTCCTTTGGATATATACCCAGGCGTGGGATTGCTAGATCATATGGTAGTTCTATTTTTAACTTTTTGAGGAACTTCCACACTGTTCTCTATAACGACTGCACTAATTTACATTCCTACCAACAGTGTGCAAGGGTTCCCTTTGAAGTCTACGTTCTTTCCTATCAAACCTATTATTGATTTCTATTACCGTTATAGCAATATTACAAAGGAGAGCATTGCACTGCTTTTGTAAATGCCCATACAGCAAATCATACTGTTTATAGAAATTGTTCTCATATCTGGCTGGGCACAGTGGCTCACGCCTGTAATCCCAGCACTTTGGGAGGTCAAGGCGGGCGGATCATGAGGTCAGGAGAGAGAGACCATCCTGGCTAACACAGTGAAACCCTGTCTCTACTAAAAATACAAAAAGATTAGCTGGGTGTGGTGGCGGGCGCCTGTGGTCCCAGCTACTTGGGAGGCTGAGGCAGGAGAATGGTGTGAACCTGGGAGGTGGAGCTTGCAGTGAGCCAAGACTGCATCAGTGCACTCCAGCCTGGACAACAGAGCAAGACTCTGCCTCAAAACAAACAAAAAATAAAAAAAAAAACTGTTCTCACATCTAAAATACTCTGCTAGGACAAATTTAACTAACCATGGGTAAGAACTACAAAGGTGTGCTTTCTATTAAATAACTCTCATTTGTAAACTGATTCACAAATGCCTTCAAAAGATTTAAGAAAAGTGTTACATACTGGCCACACGTTTGTAGGAGAGATGCTCAAATACATGTGGTTATTCAACAAATATTAGCTGATGAAGGTCAAACCCCAAATTCAAATGTCACCATTTTTAATGGCTAAATGAAATGATGCTAGATCTTAGTAAGAAAAATTAAGAGAAAATTTGTCTGAGATCATTAGGCACTCATTTAACTTACTGAGGTGAATCATCAGAAATAGTTTATCTTTAAATAAAGAGATTTGGTGACAGGACCTGCAACTCTTCGTGTGATCTGATCCCTTAATTTCTCTACCATTACATACCTTTTTCAATGTCACCCACATTCACCTCATTTTGGTCCCTAGGAAGCATTTTATAGCTCAAGGATGCTACTCTTTACACATGGTATTGTCTCTGCCAGAAAGGATTCTGCCCACAAGCAATTACTGCTTGCCCCTTCCCGCCCCCCCAATCCTGCCAATTTTGCTTCTTCCTCCCTCCTTTTCAGAAGTATCTGAATTAAATTGTGGTTTCAAGGCTTTCCTGTCCAATCCTATTTCTTCCCCTTTCATCTTTTATAGGTGTTAATTCCCAACACACTTCTCGCGCTTCTCACTCCATATGCTTGGGTCATCCTATCCAGCCAGGGTCATATATACTCTTGGTGTTAGGAGAAAGTACATAGTGTGGAATTTATGGCAATGCCAATGTGAAAATCACTGGAGGTTCCTGGAGTTTTAGAGCCTCTAGTAACCTGCACTGGAGAGTGACAAGTGTTTGAAAAGTAGCTCCTGGTACTAGACCTGGTAGAGAAGAAACACTTGACACCAGTGGCCAGGCATCCAGAACTGCTTATTTTGGGTTGGGTTCCATGGAAGCCACTAACTCAAAAAATCAGGTGGGTCAGCAGCTGTCTCCTTGTGATGGGAAGGGCACATATGATATTGACCTGAGCAAGACCAGTTAACAAGAGGTAACTGCAAGAGCAGGTAGCCTAGGCTCTCATGTTACCCACCAGAGTGGAACTGCTGTCCTTCCTCAGTTCGTACCTATGGCCACAGGGAAGAGTGGTTTCCTTATGCCCACGTGAAGGAGAAAAAAACCCTGAGCTTTGTTTTTGGAAGAGTTGGCTCCTATGTGGTTGCAAGGTTGAAAGGGACAGCAGCTGTATTGTATGTGCATTATAGCCACATTCAGAGTTGGCTTTGAAAGACAGTGGTTAGGGACTATTTTCCCAATGGGTAGAGCTGAGTGATGATGCATGTTACACACTTTGCTCAGAAAGAA
This sequence comes from Homo sapiens, assembly GCF_000001405.40. Taxonomy (NCBI): domain Eukaryota; kingdom Metazoa; phylum Chordata; class Mammalia; order Primates; family Hominidae; genus Homo; species Homo sapiens. The sequence continues at coordinate 119,229,622 of NC_000008.11, read as the reverse complement.
AAGTGGCCCATAGCTGGGTGCAGTGGCTCGTGTCTGTAATCCCAGCACTTTGGGAGGCCGATGTGGTGGATCACTTGAGGTCAGGAGTTTGAGACCAGCCTAGCCAACATGGCAAAAGCCCATCTCTACTAAAAATACAAAAATTAGCTGGGCATGGTGGTGCATGCCTGTAATCCCAGTTACTCGGAAGGCTAAGGCAGAAGAATCGCTTGAATCCAGGAGGCAGAGGTTGCAATGAGCAGAGATCCTGCCACTGCACTCCAGCCTGGGCAATAGAGCAAGACTCTGTCTCAAAAAAAAAAAAAAAAAGAGGCCCACAGTGAGAATATACATAGACTGATGATCAATAGCAAATAGACTACTGTACTTGTCAGGGCCATGGGATAAAACATTTCAAAGCTTCAGGGACAAGGAAGGGATACGGGATTAGGCATACTATGTGGAGATCTTTCTGTCACTTGGTAATGCTTACCAGAAGCATCACTTTAGAATGCTACGTAGCCAAAAGGACCCTTCGAGTTGATGTTAGCAATCCTTTGGCATCAACCATCCCATACCTGGCATTATGGGCACATAAACAGAGTACCCATGGTCAGAGAAAGTGGCCATGGAAAGGCCCAAGAGTATGGCCTCCTTATTGCCAAAGCTGATCTACCCACTGCTTCCTCTGAATGTTGAACTGCCAGCAACAGAGACCAACTCTGAGCTCCTGATAAGGGATTATCCTCAAGGGGACCAACCACTTACCTGTAGTAAATGAATGAAAACTGAGCTTCTACCTTCCTGGAGGGCAAAATATTTCACTCTCACAAAAACACACACCCATAATGGTTATTCTCACTAAAATACAATTAATTACCTAGGGCATCGAGGATTTATGAATTTGCTTTTATGACTCTCTGAGCTTGAGCCACCAGCTATACCCAAGGATTTACAGACTGCATTCACTCAGTCTCTGATCAAGGAAACCACTTCTCAACAAAGCAGGAGTGGAAATGGGTGCCTACCCATGGGCTGCATCATGTACTGCACCACCTAGAAGCTGCTGGCCTGGCCTGATAGCACAAAGGAATGGCTGGCTGAAGGCACAGCTTGGAGGCACTAGTCTGTGAGGATGGGGGTCATCCTTTAGGATGCAGTAGATACACTGAAGAAGAGCTTCCTACATGTTATTGTGTCCCCATTGGAAGAATGGAAACTTAGGGGTAAAAGCAAGAGTTTCTCCACTTGTCATCGCTTCTAATAACCTGATGAAATCCTTTATGATTTATGTTCCCACAGCTCTAGGTTTTTCATGGTCAGGGGTCCTTGTCCCCAAAGGGACAAGGACAGAGGATACAGCAATGGTCCCATTGAGCTACAAGCTATGGCTACTCTCTGGCCACTTTGGACTCTTTTGTCCAGGGACAAAAAGGCAGGAAGAGGAGTTACCATCTTGACAAAGGTAGTTGCCACTAAACTTCAAGAGAAGGCAGAGCTGCTGGAAGTCAGGATGGCAGTAAGGAGCATGTATTGCCCTCGTGTATGTGCCATAAGAGGGCGAAAGGAATTATATGTAGACCTCAGGTGATCTACTTGAGGTCTTCTTGGAAGTCTCTCTGCCAATTGTGACTAAAAACAAACAAGTGTAGCAATACTGGCCTGAAGCAGATGTGGTTGCCAGGGGCCCTGACTCTCTCAGGAATGAGATTTGGATTCACCAACAGGAAACCACTGAGACCACCAGACAGGAAAGCTGAGAAGAGGAATGTAAAATGGTCAGTGGAAGAAGATGAGTACCAGTTGGCCTTGAGACCAACTCCAGTGAACGGAGATGTCATGTATCCCTCTAACCTCTCTCCTTTAAGTCTTTCTTCAGGAAGAAAGGCACATGGGAACCCCAGAGGAGTGACTCCCAGATGTATATGGAGAAATGGATCTGCAGTATGAGAGGAGAGTGGAGCATCTAATTGTGCACTGCACACATTTTCCATCAAGAAGGAACTTGATGTTTAGCTGTGAGGGGTGCAGGTAGCTGACAGCCTCCAGCTTCAGTGGATTTGCGATCTGCTACAATGCATGAGCCAAGGCCACATTCTTCCTGGATATCCCCCAACCCCACTAATGACAGCACAGTGGAGGTACTAGTGCTTGGCCACTTGTGCCCAACACAAAACTCTCAAAGGACAGGCTGTGTTCTGAAGTTTTGTATGGATTTGGTCAAGACTTTGTAGAGCGTATCATTCTGGGTTTTCTTCCTGATCTTACTTCCTCTTTTATTTTCTTTTACAAGTGTTATCTCCCCTTTCCCTTAAACAATAACAACAACAACAAAATGCACAAAAAGCCCAAACCAAAACTCTTGTACTTCTCAATCCATCTTAGAATCTACTTCCCAGTGAAGCTGAGATGACACATATGTTGTTTTGGCATGCTAGGCTTTTCCTTTTTGGCTACTAACATAACATTAATTAATGCATTAATTTTGTAACAATTTACTTACATTGTCTACTACAACAAACTCTTTGACAGCAACTGCTAGATCTGTCTTTTTTCACAATTGTATTCCCAGGGCCTAGTATAGGGCCAACTACTCAGTAACTATTCCCAACCCCTGGTGGACTGTACCTATATTTGTATTTGGCCATCCTGAGTGTACTATTCCAATTTGTGCCAGGTGTGGGATGTGTGTTAAGAAGGTCTTCCACAAGCCTCACTCATTGCATTTGACAGCCCAGATCATTTCTGCTAAGTCAGTGGTTCTCAAATGTTAGCCTGCATCAGAACCACCTGGAGAGCTTGTTTAAACACAAGACAGCTGAGTCCTACTCCCAGAGTTTCTGACTTAGCAGGTCAGGGTGGAACCTGATAATGTCCATTTCTGACACGTTTCCAGATGCTGCTGCTCTTCTGGCCAGGACCACCATTTGTAAATCTCTGCCCTAGGCCCCTGGCCTCCACTTATTAGCAGATGAACCCAGCCTCTTTCTTAATTGCCTTCACTTTCTTAATTGCCTTCATGTGCTCTTGCTGTTTCACCCATCTTATCAATGCTCACACACCCCAGAGCACTGCCCACTATGTGTTTGCCTTTTCCCTGGGCAACCTCAGCCTCAGGCATAGCTTCCACCCCACCCCCCGCCCGCAAGTGACTATATCTCACATTCTTGTCTTAAGCCCATGTTTGCTCTTCGTTTCAGGGTCAAACTTCCATCTACTAGTTAAAAAAAAAAAGGGGGGGAAAGGATTCCCTATTGAATAAATGGTTCTGGGAAAACTGGCTAGCCATAAGTAGAAAGCTGAAACTGGATCCCTTCCTTACACCTTATACAAAAATTAATTCAAGATGGATTGAAGACTTAAATGTTAGACCTAAAACCATAAAAACCCTAGAAGAAAACCTAGGCAATACCATTCAGGACATAGGCATGGGCAAGGACTTCATGTCTAAAACACCAAAAGCAATGGCAACACAAGCCAAAATTGACAAATGGGATCTAATTAAACTAAAAAGCTTCTGCACAGCAAAAGAAACTACCATCAGAGTGAACAGGCAACCTACAGAATGGGAGAAAATTTTTTACAGAATGGGAGAAAATTTTTGCAATCTACTCATCTGACAAAGGGCTAACATCCAGAATCTACAATGAACTCAAACAAATTCACAAGAAAAAAACAACCCCATCAAAAAGTGGGTGAAGGATATGAACAGACACTTCTCAAAAGAAGACATTTATGCAGCCAACAGACACATGAAAAAATGCTCACCATCACTGACCATCAGAGAAATGCAAATCAAAACCACAATGAGATACCATCTCACACCAGTTAGAATGGCAATCATTAAAAAGTCAGGAAACAACAGGTGCTGGAGAGGATGTGGAGAAATAGGAACACTTTTACACTGTTGGTGGGAATGTAAACTAGTTCAACCATTGTGGAAGTCAGTGTGGCGATTCCTCAGGGATCTAGAACTAGGAATACCATTTGACCCAGCCATCCCATTACTGGGTATATACCCAAAGGATTATAAAACATGCTGCTATAAAGACACATGCACACGTATGTTTATTGCGGCACTATTCACAATAGCAAAGACTTGGAACCAACCGAAATGTCCAACAATGAGGCTGGATTAAGAAAATGTGGCACATATACACCATGGAATACTATGCAGCCATAAAAAATGAGTTCATGTCCTTTGCATGGACATGGATGAAGCTGGAAACCATCATTCTCAGCAAACTATCACAAGGACAAAAAACCAAACAAACACTGCATGTTCTCACTCATAGATGGGAATTGAACAATGAGAACACATGGACACAGGAAGGGGAACATCACACACCGGGGCCTGTTGTGGGGTGGGGGGAGTGGGGAGGGATAGCATTAGGAGATATACCTGATGTTAAATGATGAGTTAATGGGTGCAGCACACCAACCTGGCACATGTATACATATGTAACTAACCTGCACGTTGTGCACATGTACCCTAAAACCTAAAGTATAAAAAAAGTTGGAGTGAGAAAATACTATCTGCAAGTTTATGTAGTAAAACTCTACAAAGTTAATCTTAAAAAAAAAAGCTGCATCGTCTATAGGGGGATCCTCGTTTACATTAACAGCAGCAAGAAAAATGGATGACAACCACTTTGAACCTCAGTTTTCTCATTTGTAAAAATGAGAACAAGAATACTTATCACCCATAAAGAATTGTCATTAAGGTCAAATAAGCAAATGAATATGGGGCCAGAAAATATAGCTGACAAAATGTAAGATACTAAGCAGTGGATGGAGCTGGAGGCCGTTATTCTAAATGAAGTAACTCACTTATTATTTGAAAACCAAATATTGTATGTTCTCAGTTGTAAGTGGGAACCAAGCCATGGGCATGCAAAGGCATACAGAGTGGTATAATGGACATTGGAGACTCAGGAGTGGGTGGGGAGAGGAGAAGGAGGGATAAAAAAACTACATGTTGGGTACAATGTATACTACTCGGGGGGCTGTTACACTAACATCTCAGATTTCACCACTATGCAATTCATTCATGTAATAAAAAACCACATGTACCCTAAAAGCTATTGAAATAAAAAAAATCTTAAAAAAACCAATATATTAAGTGATGTCCATAATAGGCAAATGATCAAATGTGTGCCAGTTATACTTTGGGGGAATAAAGGGAAACATGTTTAATTGCATAGGATTTTTAAATAGCTCTATTTTTCTAAAATGTATCTTTCCTTAGTACCCTTCCCCTACAAAGGGGACTATATAAATTTAGAATCTTCTGTTTAAAGTTCCACAAAAATGGTATTTTTTCCTCTCCAGAAAAAAAATACAGAAAAGCTGTTTCAAAACCAAAATCTCCTTATTTTCCCAGAATAGAATGAGGCAAGTATTTAGTACTTTATATCTGTTATTAGATAGTATATTTTTATTTCACTATTTATATAAAAGCTAGAAAGCTCAGGAAAAACTGCTGAAGCTATCTATCATGAATGTAATTTTCTTAGTCAATAAAACCCAGAAGAAATAGTAAACTCAATATCCTACAACAAATACATCTAGAAAATAAGTTCTTTATCAAAATGCATTCTTGCTTCCTTCAAGTATGGTCTAAAGTGGTAAACTATTATCACAGGAGAAAACAACTATTTTTGAGCCATTAATGTCTGACAGTTCCAGAATGCAACAATTAAAAATTGTTACCAACTTGTGACAATTCCATTATATACATGGCTAAAAAGTTTTCCTGGGAGAGTGTACAAAATATGTTACCAAACCTATCAAAAGCAAGCCATGCAATAAAAAATGACTGAATAATAATAATAAAAAAAAGACCCACACACAAAAGAAGAAAAAAAGAGAAGCCCTTTCGAAATAGGGAAAACATTTCATAAATTCCTTGAAGACAAGATTTGGCTCTTAGAAAGCATGCCTACCATACAATCAACGCTGTGCATTGCTATTACCATCTTTTGCCTCAGTAACAGCTACTGAGCTAAAAGACTACTCCAGCTAAAAGACCACAGGTAACCTTTGCAGCTGACCTATGAAACAAAGATTTCCAATTTCAGCTGTCACTTTCATAGAGTAGCACAATTAAAACAACAGAAACGCTTAACATTTAATTTTCTGAACATCAGATATAATGCTACAAATGGGTGGGAAATGCAAACTTGGGAAAACAAATAAATTAATAAGGACATGAATGACTGTACTCAATACCAAATATATTATTCTCATTTTACAGAGGAAGAAACTAAAATCGAGAGAGGTTAATAATTGTGCCCGAGGCTACACAGCTACTAAGCAAACCAGATCTATGCTCAAAGCCCATGCAGGACTGTAACCACGGTACTCCACTTCCTTCTTAGCTTTATACTAAGCTATGCCATTTGCCCCAGGGCTGGCTTAAAGGCCAGCCACATTCCCTACACTTCACCACTAATAACATTTAGGATTACAGTTCCTCTTATGCCCTATAAATAAAACAAGAACAGATATTTAACATCTGCACTAAAGCTGTGGAATAACATGCTGTTATACTTGAAAGGAATATATATAAAGCCTGACTGAAGGTCTGATGTAAGCTTCTAAACACCAAAGTATGATCATAACCTAATGGGGGTTCTTCCTGAACTTCCCTGAAGCACTGTGATCCTCTGAGTCATTCTAAAACAGTCTTAGAGAATAAATGGCTGCAAGCATGAAAGACAAGCTCTATATACTAAACAAAAAGTTGATCTAATTTAATGGTGTCATAATTTTAAAAATTGTGTTGATTGCAAATTTTTTTTTTTTTTTTTTTGAGAGACAAGGTCTTGCTCTGTCTCCTTGGCTGGAGTGCACTGGTGTGATCATGGCTCACTGCAGCCTCGACTTCCTGGGCTCAAGTGATCCTCCTGCCTCAACTTCCTGAGTAGCTGGGACTACAGGAGTGCAACACCATGTCCAGATATTTTTTGTAGTTTTTGTAGAGACAGGGTTACACCATGTTTCCCAGGCTGGCCTTGAGCTCCTGGTCTCAAGTGATCCTCCTGCCTCAGCTTCCCAAAGTCCTGGGACTATAGGCATGAGCCACTGCACTTGGTCACAAATTCTTTTTTTTTTTTTTTTTGAGATGGAGTCTTGCTCTGTCACCCAGGCTGGAGTACAGTGGCACAATCTAGGCTCACTGCCTCCCGGGTTCAAGTAATTCTTCTGCCTCTGCCTCCCAACCAGCTGGGACTACAGGCACACCCCATCATGCCCGGGGTAATTTTTGTATTTTTAGTAGAGACGGGGTGTCACCATGTTGGCCAGGCTGGTCTTGAACTCCTGACCTCATGATTCATCTGCCTCGGCCTCCCAAAGTGCTGGGATTACAGGCATGAGCTACCACGCCCGGCCACAAATTCATTTTTAAAAACTCACCAATTCTTTTTAATTTGGGACAGACGTTTATTATCAATATGAAACATGCCCTTTTCTAAGTATTTGTTTTCTGAAAAAAAAATACATATTTAAATATCTGGGGCAGAAATTAATGGAAAATTTCAAGATGCGACAATGTTTAGTTCCCAAAGGCATTTGTTCAATTGTTTGATAATTGTAATGCAATTCATTTGCCGTATGAAATGAAACAGTTTTTGAGTAAGAGTTATCTAAGTTGTAGGAGTAACAATTATTTCTCAGCTCTATCAACACAGAGATTTCGCAAACTGGGGCCCTGTTGTCCATCAAGGCAGCCACACACCACCGCAGCACCACAGCAGTCTCTGTGGTTGGACCGCTTCTCTCCCATTAGGGGCAACAGAACTGGGACTCTGGCATTTCAGAACAGAATAGGATACAGGTTTCTCCCATCTTCCTGCAATAGACTTAAAATAAAAAGTCCTTACCAGGAAGTTCCAGTTAGCATCAATTTGAGCCACCATGCCAGAGAGGAACATGCCCAGAAAGAGGAGCGAAAAGAAAAACGCTGTCACGGACACAAACATGACCCATCCTTGTAGTAGAGGTAGAGGAACATTGGAGGAGGCAACCAAAATCCAGACAAGACCCCCGAACAGCTGAAAGAGAAAAAGAGGGTAATTGGTTTGCTTAAAAGATACCTTTCACACAACAGAATTAAACATGCTTGTATTACCCTCAGCATTGCCTTCATTTTCCTCCCAGACCCCTGCACATATTCCAGCAACCCCATCCCTTCGATTTTCCCCTTATTATGTAAGATGCCTTCTTTCCTCAGGTGCAAGATCAATCCTCCTGCTTGGAGAACTGATCCAACTCCACACCTGTATCTTCAGGTTGGACTCGCTTCTTCAACCCATGTACATGTCCAGTATTCCTTCATCATTGACAAATACCTTCCTTTGACTTTACTGATTCTCTGACTACCACCTTTTCAATGAAGGTATTTTTTCAGTCAACCATTTTAACAAATTCATCTTTGCTTGGTCTCCAATTCCTCTCCTTGAAGTTGCTCTTCACATCACTATAAACCAGCTTTTGATCTCATTGCTTCTTAGAGAGTTAGTAAAAAAAATGGATAGAATAATAGTTGCAGCTGTTGTATATGGCGGTAAACAATAAAAACTACCATCATTTATTGAGTATTATGTGTTCGACATAGGAATAAGTACTTCACATATCTATGGATCTAAGTATCAATAAATACCTACTACATTTCAGGCACTATGCCAGGTGCTGGGAATCAAATGGTAAACAGGTTACACTTGGTTTCTGTCACCACAGAACTCACAGTCTATTAGAGGAAAGAGACAAGTAAGCAAGCGATTAAAAAGCTGCTTCATAAATGTCACAATTGGGCAAATACTGGGCACTGCAGGTCCACACAGCAAGGGCTATAAATCCAGATTTGAAAATACTTCCTAGAAGCAACAATCCAAAGCACAGGGCTATGGGGTAAAGCAGAGGGAGGAAAGGGGGGTTCCATGGCAGGAGCTGAGAGTAGCCCCGCATAGGTGAAGAACAAAGCTCAGCAAGACAGGAGGGGCATGTGCTGGTGGGGAACGGAGAGAACTGTACTGGAGACTGAGCGAGGAGGTGCTGAAGCTCGGGCCAAGGAACTGAACTTCACCTAAGGGCGATGACAAAGCCAAGATCATCTTGAGCAGAAACTAGCATGGTCAAGATTTGCCTTTAGAAATTTCTCTCTGGCTAGAATGTGAGAATGGACTGGGGAGGAAAGGGTGGATGGTGAGGCAGCACATCTCTGTGTTTCTCAGCTCTATCAACACAGAGATTTCACAAACATTGGGTAACACAGGAGACTGTTAGACCAACAGAGTGTAAGAATCAGAACACTGAGGACAGAGAGAAAGGAATGGATTAGAGTGAAATTTAGAAGTAGACATGATAATAGTTGGTAACTGATCAGATGTGGGACACAACAGAAAAAGGACAGATAAGGAAAATACCCAGATTTCTGGAATGGGCCTCTAGGCTTGAGAGAACACCGCAGGAGAAATGGTGTGAAGATGAGTTTTATGCATCTATCACCATTGGTCTCCTCCATACTACCATGCCTGGCATTCCAAGCCATTTGTGATCTGACATGTCTTTTTCATCCTTGTCTCTTGCCACTATGCCCCTCACATTTTGTATTAGGGGGAGAAAAAAAATCCACAGTTCCAAGACAAAGATCTTTCACATCAGAGTGGCCTGTTACTTGCATGCCGTGAATGTCATTCCCTCCCTATGTGTACTTGAGATTCTCCCACTCACATCTAATCTTGAGCACATCATTTACAACATTTTTCCTGAGATCCACCCCTGCTCAGTTATGCCTCCCTCCTCTGGGCAACCTCCCTACTGGGCTTTGTTACATCAGTGAGATACACTGTAATTAAATCCCTTTGGCTCTCCATCTGCACTACCAGGCCTTCTTGGCAGCATACTGCTTTATATGTCTCTGCATCCCAAGCCATTTATTAATCTACACAGTAATCCTTTCCTAACCATCAGTCAGGTACTATGCTAGATTTGGCAGCACAAAACCTTAGGCTACATACCTGCCCTGAAGACACCTCAAGCAAGTGAGAATCAATCTCTCTCTCTCTCTCTCTGTCTCTCTCTCTCACACACACACACACACACACACACACACACACACCCAGGGAGAGTGATAGAGCACGCTCTTAAATTATTTGCTTAGTAAACAAGCTAGTGCTCATGTGAGAACAGTTGGAGCTCCAAATATTAAAAATCAATACTCATCTGTACATTGCATTTCAGTATCTAGATATCCAAATTACTCCACAAGTCACTGAAAGTTAAAAACACAAGTTTTAATTCAAGCTTCAAGAAAAGGCCCAATCATATAATTTGTTACTACTTTGAAGAAACATTTTTGAAAGCATAAATGATCACTTGATCAATGATAATCAAATCACCAGTCTAAAAAAATGTATAGTTGTGGTGTATACCTCAACTCCTAAAGTCAAATAAAAAATTAACAATTGATCCAGAAAGTGTTATGAAATAAATCTAATGAATATCAGTGCATCTTAAACATTTAACCACCACCTTATCAGTGCCTATAAAAGAAAAAACTTGTTCCTAATATTATTTACCTTTACATACTATTAAATAAATATCTGAAGGCGATATAAGTATGTCTTCAGTGGATCAATCTTTCCTTTTTTTCCACTTTCTTCTTTCTGGTAGTCTTTTCTTACTCTCCCACAAAGAATAACCTACATAACTTTAAATACAGTTTAAGAAATATACATTAAGTATCTCTTCTGAGTTATTTCCTGAGAACCTATGTGCAAATATAAAGGATAATAAAAAGCAATTGGCCACTGTTTGTTAGGGACAGGCAGAGCCAAATAGATAAACATAATGAGTTAGGGATGATGATACATTCACACCTCTAAAGAGGAGGCTATATGATCCTTTGGAATTCAACACAGCATTTACTAAACCCAGACTGGACCTCAAACAGGCCAGCCCCGAACCTACTGCTAGGTACTATAGAAGAACACTCAAGAAAAAACAAAAAAGGCAAGGTTCCATCTCCAGGAGCTTGAAATAAGGAAGAAATAGACACTATTAAACTGATTCAGGAGCAGATTGCGGTGGGTGCTATAAAAAGAGCTCAACACAGTGTGTTCTGAGAGGCTGGGAGGGGAGAGGAGAGAAGAAATATAATGGGAAGAATCTGGAAAGGTAGGCAGGGGAGGCAGGCTTCAGAGTAAGCTTTCAAGACAGACCAAGGCTTTGACAGCAGAGGCTATACTGTAAAATAGTATAGACTAACCGTTCTTATCGTACTCAAAATTACAGCCCTTCAAACACCTCAAAGGCTTGGAAGGGAAACTAAATGCTGCATGAACAGGAGTCAGATTCACCTCCTCACTTGTGGGGTATGTGCTGCATGGAAAGGGGAGAGGGAAGGAGTGTAGGAATGCCCCCTCTCTCTCACTCAAGTAAATACATATGATACATCCCTAGAGCTGAGATTCTGTGAAATCCAGGCTCGCTTTGGAAGAGAGAGGATGGGCCAGAGAACATAATTGAGCCCACTTTGGAGGGCCACCATCCTCATTTTGAGACTGTCATACTGGTGTATGGATCACTCTGGCCTTGACACAGTTATTATTCCCTACTTTGTGATTTCCTTTTGACAAAAGCTACTTTTCTTCTTGAGCTTCCCAACTTGGCTCCAACTTAAACTTGGCTCCAGTTTTTTTAAGTTAAAAAACTGAACTTAAAAAATTGAGATGACCAATGCTCAGTATATTCACTTCCTCTAATTCCGGGCATTAGTGAGCTTAGAGTGTTTGCAAAACGGTGTAATTATCAGCATTCCTGTTCAGTAGAGACGACTCTGGAGGTGGCCATATTTTTAGAAGTAAAAAGCAGAACACAAAAATGGTTAAATCTGACAGAGAACAGATGATAAATACAGTAGCAACTGCAGAGTACACACTGTGAAGAAAGGTATTCGGAACTATTATATGTTTCGCCCACGTTATTCTCATCGTCTTGGATCTGAATCCATATTCTGACCCCTTCCCTGCCACTGCCTTCCACTGCTTTCTAGTGTTCTAAAAAATCCAATAATTATGTATAAAATAGCCAAAGGCACCTCAATTTGAAATTTCTTTAAGAAACTAAGTCAGTGCTTATGACGTCAAACCTCAAGCTCTAACAAAAAGACTACCTTTGCTTCCAGGCAATACAAAGGTAAAAACCTCCTAGGAGTAGGTATCAGCATCTCCCGGTGACTCAGTCACCTTTTATCTTCTTAACCCAACTTTAGGTGTACTGGGTACATACCAGAAGTACTCAAATATATTCTGAGTTGCAGTTATTAAATTGCTACACATTCCTAAAACAACTGATCTTCTTTCTGGTTTAACACATGTTTGTTATGTTTGCTTGGTCTCTGCAGACCAGAAAGGTATGACTTGGCTGAAACCCTACCATAAGAAAACCACGGAAGTATTTATCCACAAATCACACTAAACTGAATCCTCAGGGTTTGATGTGAAGACATGTTTTCACTAGAAACTGTGGAATGGGAAAAATACATAGTCCCACGGGAAAACATGCTCTTGAGCAAGTAGCAACTCTTGCAATTCTGGGTGCATGAATTACAGATTCTTAACTCATCTCCTGTTTGGACGGTCTTATGTTCCCAAAGGGTTCCTTTTGCAAATGCCCTTTTTCTTTTCAAATGTCACTTATTTCCTAATTACCTGCTTTTAAACATACCCTCTGACAGCTAAAAATTTTTTCAAACCAATTTGACACCTCCATCTTAGTATACCCACAAAGTAAACCGGCTAATTTCTACTGTGACCTATTTTCAATTAATGTTTGGAATGAGAACAGGAAAAGGTAAGTGAATTTGAAAGGATAAAGGCTGGCTAAACTACCCATAAGGGAAAACACTATTTAGAACTTTCCGTATTAAGCTCCCTCCTTCTAATTCTATTATCTATATATTGGATAATTCATTATTCTACTGCAGTGAGAATGAACACCCAGCAAACATAGAGGAAAAGCAAAAAAATATTTGTCTTCCAGTCTGGCTTGTAGAGTTAGAGTAAGAAGTTGAAGCTAATGGTGATAGCAGAAATAGTACTTAACATTTACTGAGCTCTTATGTTATAAGCACCGTTATAAGGGTTTTATTTGTGCCAATTTAATCCTCACAGACCTTGAGAGACAACATTATTATTCCTACTTTATAGGTAAGTTAATTGAGGTACAAATCCATTCATAACTTGTTCCTAGTTATATAGTTAATAAGTGTTAGACCTGAAATTTGAACTTGGCAATTGGCTTCCAGAACTTATGATTTTAACATTCTGCTATTCTGCCCCTCTCATGGTTTAGTGTTCATTCTAAAGCAGGGTTTCTACCCATATTCCATATGATTTCCTAAAATCATATAAAATTGGGTGGACAAGTACATATGCATTTTTCTGAGGACACAGTCCACACCTTTCATCAGAATCACAAAGGGGTATGTGGCCCCCCCACCCAGAAGTTCAGAACACTTTATCTACTTGTAACCCCTTCTATTTTAATGGATGTTTACTTATGGGGTGCTGCACAGGAAACATCATGGTTATAGAAGTGTTCAGTATATTCAGAAATTTATCAGCTAGAAAAAAAAAGATTATCTACAATTAGCTATATTTTACATACAATTCGCATTTTGAAAGATTTCCTTAAACTAGAAACATACTTAGCCAACACATACAATATAACTGGTAGATGTATTTACAAAGCAGCCCACACAAGTATGGATTCATTCACAATGCGACTGTAGATCACTGGTACCACTACAAGGCATACTGCTGCCCCCCTCCCCAAGCTCATCATCTTCCCTGTAATGCTTCTTTTCCTACCACCCTCTCTTTGCATTCCAGCCTCTACCCCTCATCCCCTGAGCATAGAGAAATGATCACACTTGACCATGTTTCTGCCTAGCATGCTGCCAGTAAAAATTCTGCTGCATAACTAAACTCCAGTTACCATGTTTTCCAGAAAGACTTCCCTGGCCAGGTGCCATCCCTCGGTGCTTCCACGGTTACTGACGCGTGTATTCTCCACAGCAATTACAACTGGATCAAAATCATGGATCTACATGCCCATTTCACCCACTAGACTGTGACGTCAGAGTCGGTGACATTGCCTTCAACATCTCCGTATGCTCATTACCCAGGGTGGTGCTTTCTACAGAAGGTCCTCAATCCATCCTCCTTGAAATGAATGGAAACCAACCGGCATGTGTAATGAATGGTTCCAAAAGAGAATGCTCTAGGAGTGCAGCTTGGGATGCTAGGAACACACTCCGGTCTGGAGCCCAGCTCACTCCCTGGTTCATGGTGGATGTCCAAAAATAGGCATGAAAACGAGTGAAGCGAGAATATGTACTTCTCAATTCTCAAGTTATTATTGGTGACACCCACCACCTAGTACCAGATCTCAGGAGGCTGAGATGGAAAGTTATGGGAAACTTTGTACCTCTTGCCAGTTGAATTCATGACACCCAATTTTAAATCTTTTTTCGGCCCCAAATTTGCCCACATGACCTATTTCTATTGTAACTGCCACTGGAACTTTTGACCAGGGTAAATCTTGTGCCTTCTTCCAGTGCCTCCTGCTCCCCTCATCAGTCCCCATCTGTCCTCTAACCATGCTGACTTCTGTCCAAACTGCTTCTGGACTGGCCCTGGCATAGACCTGCATTAGAGATGCAAGGCAGCAAGGTGTTTATTTATTTAGTTAGTTAGGAAAACAGAACAAATTCTGGGATGTAATGAGAAATGACATACACATAAGAGGCTTATGACCAAAATACGTTAATACTCATTGCAAAAGAAGTTCTACTTTTTAGCTTTACATTTGAAGGCTTTAAAAATATGTCTGAGAGTGCTATAGAGAGTTATACTTTCTTCCTCCCCATGTGACCTAAACCTCCAATTCAGCTGCTTAAATAGCTGACACCGACCCTAAAATGGAAAGCTCATATTACAGAGGAGAAATATGTTCTGGTTCTTTTTATTCTTCTTTATAATAATTCCTCTCGATTTTGAAAATTCCCTTTTCATGTTTGCAGGTAACTAGTTATCACTTTTAGTTTAAAGCTGTTCCTGCGTGCCAATGCCCTGATATTGGCCAGACCCGTATAAATCACTGCCTCTTTCCTTTCTTTTTACCTTCCTCCTTCTCATAGCTATTATACAGAAGTTGAGATTGTTATATATGTTGTCTATAAAAGGATATGGTACTCTTATATAAAATAGAACACTTAGGAAATTCAAGTTAAAGTGCAGAAACCTGGAGAAGAATTATGGCAGTTTACATGTTGGGCAAGATTTAAGAGGGCATCTACTCCCAAGCTGCCCTTCTCCACTCCAGCCAATGTCTCCAGACTATTTTCACATACTGCTCAGTTTGTACTATAGAACAAACAAGTAGCATTTGTTAAGTACTGCATGTGCATGATACTGGGTATGCCAACCTGGTTCCTGTCCTTTGTCATTACAGGGTCATTTCTATTCAGCCATATCACTGCAAATACACCATGTCCACAGCTCCTACCACCACGTACAACATTTCTATCAGGCTCTACAAAACAAATCTCTTCTCTATGACTTTTTCCTTTGGAGCTCAAGGTGAATCTTTTCAGCTACTTGGTTTAAAGTTTTCCATATTTCAGTTCTTCGTATTTTTTTTTAAAGGACTGCCAGTCGGAGCAAATGATTGTTGATAATAATCTCTGGCAGGGGCATTGGTTTATTTTCCCTTATGAAACTTTAAAGGTTATTTATTTATTCATTTATTATTTTGGGGATGTAGTTTCGCTCTTATTTCCCAGGCTGGAGGGTGATGGTGCGATCTTGGCTCACTGCAACTCTGCCTCCCAGGTTCAAGCAATTCTCCTGCCACGGCCTCCCAAGTAGCTGGGATTACAGTCATGTGCCACCACACCTGGCTAATTTTGTATTTTTAGTAGAGATGGGGGTTTCACCATGTTGGTCAGGCTGGTCTTGAACTCCTGACCTCAGGTGATCCACCTGCTTCAGCCTCCCAAAGTGCTAGGATTACAGGCATGAGCCACTGCACCCGGCCTAAAGATTCTTTTAATGTGGATGAAGATTTTTAATCCAGAGGCAAAGGAAAAAAAATACCTACAGTTTTAAAACCCATTTAGGGGACAACTATGTCCATGGACAGCTCCCTCTTGCACACTGCAAATAAGCAATGTCCCTTCACAGTCAACATTTTCCAGGCAATAAACTCTATACATCAGAACATATACATGTTACTAGTCCAAAGTCAAAGCTCTCAGTTGAAAATAACCTGAAGTCCCTTTCATAGATTTATCTGCATGACTGAACCTGCCTCCCCTAAAGTCCCTCCCTCACAATCATCCTTTCATTAACATTTGTTTTTCTGGCATAATTCCTCTGAGTTACATCTTATATTTAAGTTTAGTCTAGGTATCACTTTGGGGCAAGTCAAACTTTACATACTTAATTGACTTCCCAAACCTCAAACCTCTCTCTCTCCTTCTCCATCCTTCTTTCATTGGTTCTATTTCAGGTTCTTTTCATCCCTTATCTAAACTATTGCAATAAGCCCCCTAACTGCTCTTCCTGCCTTCAGTCCCTTTGTTTTACAACCAAACTTCATCACTCAAAGGTTTCTAAGACACAAGCTGGATCAAGTTTCTCTCTGTCCTTCACAGCTTTCCATCAGACAATAAATCCAATGCCTTGGCCTAGCATTTCTCAGCAAACCAGAACCTGAGTCCTACCTGCTGTTTTTCCTTTTTCTGCCACGGCCCACCAAAATCTCACAACTGACAGAACGTTCTTGCCATTGTCCTTCTTGTCTCTGTGTTTGTACGTGTCCTTGTTTCTACCTGGAATTCTCTTTCCCATTTTCTAATGAACCATGGCTCATTATTGAAGGCTAACCTCAAATGTCCCCACCTCATTAAAGCTGCCTGTTCTGACCTCTCCAGAAGTCAGATGTACTCTATCCTGCTGTTCCACAATACTTTTTATAAACCTATATTAGCACTTCATACACAGCATGGTAATTCTTTCTTGACTTTATATTCCACCAAACAGTAATTTCTTTTAAGGGCAGGAGCCATGTTAGTTACTCTATTTTCAGGGCATAAAAGAAGGCTTGATGCATAGTATGTTCTTAATTATAAGCTGAGTAAATGAAAATTACTATGGCATCCAAAACACTGCAGTTAGAAGCATGTGAATAAGAATCCTAGAGTATCTCCCACAAAGATAAATGTGAATGAATAACTTGGGGAATATAAGTAGTTTCTTAAACACTAAAACTGCAAAATAAAACACAATGAATTCAATGATTATCTGTATTCTTTTTCGTGATTAATACTATTAAAAATTCAATTTTTCTTGTGCATTTTACAAGATAAGCTCATTGAGAGCAGGGATCCTAAATATCTTGTTCAGCCCAATAGTGCAGATGATCCCATGTTATTTTTTAAAGTAGATAGACCCACCTGGAAAATGTTTTAGCTGCAGTTCACTTCCCATACTTAATTCTTTCTTCCCTGAATGGTAGTTACTTTTGTGACTATACTCTCAACTAGGTTATAGGTCTTTCTGGTGAGGAAGGGTTTAAACATCTTTGTTCCCAGAGGAGTGCCTTGCACATAGTAGGTATTCAGTAAATACCCGATGAGTGATTTTTATAAAATATTCACTCAAAAAACTGTGAGATTTTGAAAGTGCGAATTTTGAAGGTGATGGCTTCCATTCTAAGCTAAAAGGCTTAGCTTTGCAATATTAACTTAGTATTAAACTCTGTGGCAAGCATACATTGGTAAGTATTGCTAAGCCCAAAACCAAAGAGCTGACAATTAGGTATCCAGGAGTGGAACACACCTTATCTCCCTATCTCAAAAAAAAAAAAAAAAAAATCACTATGCACGTGAGATTGTAATATTCTCCACTTAAGAAGCCAGTGCTATAATGCTTTTCCTGGTGCTCGTAGGCTGGCACTATTTATATATTTTGTAATATCTCCCAACAAATGGCTTATATCTGACAGGCTGTGAATAGAATACGTTAAGGGGAATTGGGAATGAATACTTTGAGCCAAGTTAAATGGTTAGTGTGAGAACCAAACTCCAAGAGCATGGTGTCAATAGCGTAGTCAACTGTTGATAGCCCAGTCCTCCTTTGTCAGGTACAATTTTCACATGTTAAGTTTCAGAAGGCAATGGGACAGAAATGAAGAACTCTTAAAGACAAACGAATTTGAACAGAAGGTCAAAATTAAAATGGAGTTTGAGGATATCCAGAAACACCGGCAGAGGTTAAAATAATGGGTCCCCAGAATGGAGATCACTTAGCATTTAGGACAGTGCCTGGGAAATTCTCACATTTACTTTACAGGTTGAGGAATTTCTGAGGAGGAGCCATGGGAGATGGCCAATTTTAAAAGAATCAGAAAATTAGATGGAAATTGAGACATCTAGGAGCTAAGTTGCTTCAAAAGTGTTCACTTAGCTTCTATCTGTACATCCACTCAAGATGAGTATTCTAAATGGAGGGGTAACAAGCCAGCTTTGATCTCTGCTCTCTTAAAGCATGTAAACCAATATCTCTAAACAGTCCTAAAGGATGAGAGCCGAGGAGCTATAGTTTGACTCTAGTGTGGTCTCTTGTTTTGTTTCTCTAACGTCACCAGTTTCATTGGAACATTTTGGTCATTTTTCAATGGGGTGGGGGAGATTGATATTCAAGTAAAGGAGATAAAGGGGGCCTAAAATGTAAACTTATTGAGTTGGCCATAAAAAGAGAGAAGCAAACTAATAAGCTTTTGGAAGTGATGCTGTTCTACGTAGCCAAGAGTGTGAGACATGTTTCAGGATGTAAGAAGCCAGAGGAAATGAGATAAGAGGATTAGATTGGACACTTCTGTGAGTCTGGAATCCCTCCTAGGTTGGGGAGTGGTGGCAGTTTTAGCGGATAGAGAGAATTCACATCTCTGAAAGCAGAGCTGTCTTCTCTAGGCTCTGAATATTAGAATCACCAGGGAAGCTTTAAAAAATAACTAGTGAACTCTGGCACTCCCCCAGAGATTCTGATTTAATTAGTCTGGGCTGGTAACAGTTATTTTAAAAAGCTGTTCAAGTTATTAAGTACAGCAAGAATTGAGAACTAACCTCTGGGCTAGATTTAAAAAAGATATAATGGGGAGGGGGAGGGGGAAATTGACTAAGTCACTTTCTATTCTTTTCCCCCAGAATTAGGCCTTGTTTCCTAAAAGTCTGACATGACTACAGGTTCTTGAGATGGTATTTGATTAGAGGGCATATGGATAAGCCTTCTTTGCATATACACATGTATATATATTTACATATACACATACATGTATCTTTACATACATACATACATATATTTGAATAAACATTAGAAAAATATAACCAGAATATCAAATTTGAAATTTCATGTATATTATTGCTTAAGAAAAGACAAAAGTACTGAAGTTTAGAAAGTATTTCAATGAACTGTCTGTAAATTCTAGTACAGGTGGAATGCGGATATGGCAAAAACTTCTCAAAGAGGTAGGCAAAAAACTGGAGCTTGCAGAACATGGAATAAAGTAGCCGAGAACCTAAGAAATCGTTCTTTGCAGATCTTCCAGTTCTAAACGTGTCTCCCTCCCACAGCAAGGCAGCCAGCCCAATGCCATCGTCTCTCCGCTCTTCCCACATGGATGCCTGCACCTCATCCCAAGCACTCAGATGCTTCTGAACCAGGCTCAAACTCAAACCAGCCTCGCAGTCAGGATCCCATTACTGATGTCATAGCCTGCAACTCACTCACGTCTCCTCTTTCAGATTCAAATCCGGGCTAAACTTAACTTAGGGTGGTGTGGCTACCTGAGCATAATAGAACAGTGCTCACAAGGTGATCCAGCTCCACAAGCACAAAAGTGAAACCAAAGCGACCCAAATAAAGGTTATGCAAGCTCAAAGGCCAGGGTGAGGGGAGAGATGAAAATCCTAAACCGAGCAAACAATACCAGCCTGCCGGAAAGGCACTAACTCGCTAACATTTCACTTTTTATTTGCCATTCTCAGGCATGATGCAACCTCAGGTTGCCCAATTTATATTTGCACATTATCTACTTGTCCACAAGGAGCTTCGAAAGTTTCCAACTCCATAAAATTCCATTTAAAAAGTTCAAGTGCTACCTAAAAAGGCTGCACGACAGGCAGGTAACCCCACCTTTACTTGGGCCCAACAAAGTGTGCTAAAAAGGTTTGGAGTTGCGTAAGGAGGCCAGGAAGTGAGAAGGTGCAAAGGCAGGCAGAGAAGAACTCGAGAGCCACGTTTCCATCTTTCCCCCACCATTGTCACACCCACTGGATTAGAAACTGCCCAGGGCATGGCACATAACTCACCTTTCTCCTTGCCCTGCCTCCTGCCCAGCTCCTCTTTCCAATCCAAAGGCCACTAATGATGGCAAGGGTGAGTGGGGAAAAAGCATGTTCAAGTCCTCAGCCCTCTTCCTCTTCCTGTTGCCTCCCGCCCCCACTTTCCACAGCGTGGCAGCCACCAGGTCACCCAGTCATCGGCTACACCTTTGCACCACCCAACAAAATGGCAGGTTAGCAACAGGCGAGGCCGAGAGCCAGGAGCTCGCTCCGGCCAAGCGCGGCCCCTGGCCATGCCCTGGGTTTCTAAAGGCGCCTCTGAGCCCCAACACCTTTCTTTCCTCCACGTCCCCAATGTTCGGCCCTGCCGGGCCGCCTACTCGCCCTCCCCAGGCAATTTCCGTCGCCCGCGGGGGAGCAGGTGCCCGCGTAACAGGTGCTAGGAGGGAGGGCCCGGGCGGCGGCGCGGGGCACCGAGAGGACCCCGGGAGGGAGCGCAGGACAAAGCCACGTCGAAGGGAAGGAGGCCGGGGGCGGACGCAGAGGAAGACAGCCCGGGGGACAAGGATGCCGCCGCCTGTCCTCGCTCCCCGCGCGACCCTCGCTCCGGCGGCCCCACTTACAATCTCCAGGCAGACGAAGGCGCCCGAGTAGGTCCGCAGGATGTCGGGGCCGGCGGGCAGGGTGACCCGGGGCGGCGGGAAGGACACGGCGGGGTTCGGGGGCGGCGGGACTGACGCTCCGCCGGCCGACATGCTGCCGCTGCCGCTGCTGCGTCTCCGCGCGCCGCCGCCGCCTCCCGCCTCCGCCTCCCGGGCTCCTGCCGCCGCCGCCGCCGCCGCTCAGCTCCGCGGGCTCCGGGCGCGCCGCGCGGGAGGAGGCGTGGCCGTGGGGCTCCTCGAGCCCCGCCCCGTCACGTGGGCCCAGGTGAGCGCCGCTCCGCCCTGGCGCCCGAGCCGCTCGCGATCACGTGCACAGGTGCGGCTATTGCAGCCGCCAGGCGCGGTCCTCCCAGCTCCGCCGACCTCACCTCCTGCTCCGCTGGCCAGCGCCAGCGCTCCGCGGGCGTCTCCATGCGCACCCCCATACCCCTGATCGCTATTTTTACCTTCTAGCCCTCCCCTTAGTTTGCACCTGTGCTCTCCACCTGTCTTCTCCCCAGCTCTCACAGCGCGCCCTCGCCCACTGTGCTCAGTTTGACAGATACACAGGTCTTGGTGCTGTGACTCAGAAGGTAAAATCGAGGTCACCAGTCACACTTAAAAAGTGGGGTGCTTATGTTTTAAATGGGACTCGAGTGGGATTTTTTTAAACGCCACTAGGGCAGCGTCGCGCGTGGGAGTCGGATGAGTCAGCTGCAGCAGCCACTGGCGCGGGGTCCCTGCAGGTCACCGGAGGTGTCCTCGTCCGTGAAACGGGGATGTGAAATCCACCGGCATAGATGCTCACATTAGATCATATAACATGAAAAGAGTTGAGCGCACAGTAAGCTCCTTAAATGCTAGCTGATATGATGAGAGCTCTTTTCCTTACACAGGCGCCTATCACTGCTCAGTGGACACACGATGTTGCATGGGTTATATTTTTTTAAGTAGAACTTTTAATTATTGATTTCACTGGTATAAAACTAATTGCTTATTGCCTTTTAATGGCTTAAGGGGATTTTTTTTTTAAGTCTATGTATGGTTCGAATTTCCTGCTCTAGTTTATCCCCATTTATCTCCATTTTATCGTTGGTTTTAACGTCAACATTTTGTAAGTTCAACAGAGGAGATGAGCTTAATTTTCTCGTCTACTAAAGATGAGCAAATCTACCAAATCTACATGCATCAGCACACACAGGTAGACCACGTTGGAAAAAAACATTGGCTAATCTCATCAGACATTCTCCAAGTTGAATCCTGACCTTGCCTGTCAGGTTCAGTCTCTGAGGAACTGTATTTAGCACTATGCTCTGCTCAGCAGATTCTAGTTACTCTACTTCTCTATTATTTTAATAAGTGAAACTCATAGGTGTGGTTGTGGCATCCGGGTAAAAACCACAAAACAGGGTGTGGGTGAAACCTTCTGTATATCCCTCCTCTCCCCACCTCTTAGTCACCACTTTCTGATATTTAATGTGTGGTGTTTATTTAATAGGAAATTTTAAGTTTTCTGCATGGATTTGTTTGATCGATGAGCCCTGTCTGTATTCAGACTCTGGCACGGGATGATCTTTCTGTTTTATTTTCTGCCTAAGAATTCTCAGTAAGCACTTAAAAAATGTTCAAAGGAAAGACTTCAAAGAAGTAATCATGGAGATGATCAGCAACTACGCTATGCCCAAAATATTTTAGTGAGTGAATTTAATACGTCCTTGGAGTTTCTAGAAGGGCTAATGATTCAGAAGAGCCTCAAGTGAGCTTATTTTAGCATTGCCACCTAGGAGAACACTTTCAACTGGGTCTCTTACTGCACCCTCCTTGCTGTACTGCATATCCTCAGCCATCTTTGCTTTGCCTCTCCTTCCTGCTTCCACAGTGACCAGTGGCATGAAAAAGGTTGTCAATGAGCGCTCTGTTATTGTAACATATTATCTGCTTGAAAAAGAACACTTTTTTTTTTTTTCGAGACAGAGTCTTACTCTGTCTCCTAGGCTGAAGTGCAATAGTGTGGTCTTGGCTCACTGCAATCTCTGCCTCCTGGGATCAAGCAATTCTCCTGCCTCAGCCTCCTGAGTAGCTGGGAATACAGGCACCTGCCACCACACCGGGCTAATTTTAGTATTTTTAGTAGAGACAGGGTTTCACTATGTTGGCCAGGCTGGTCTCGAACTCCTGACCTGGTGATCCACCCACCTCAGCCTCCCAAAGTGCTGGGATTACAGGTGTGAGCCACTGTGCCTGGCTGAAAGAGAACTCTTTTCTAGAACACTTTTTTCTCTTATGATCGCTACCAACACCTGTTTGTTCTTGATAATACCAGTTTCCTTCTAGTGAAGGCAACACCTCTAAAATCAAAGGAAGAAAACGCACTTAGCTCCACTCCACCCCACTCCTCTGCCTCTTCCTCCAGGACACTAACCATGAGCTCTTAACAGTTTCAACTTTCTGCTCTTTTCCCAACCTGTTCCGGTGGTTCCTGACTTCCAGCATAACTTTAACCCTGCTCATAGACTTCCTTTGGACTCCATTTTTATGGAATGTCAACATTCATGTTGTTATATTTTTAATGATCTTGACTCAAAACGACTTGCTACAGTCAATAAATTCTCACCTTATTATTGGGAATTTTTATGCTTCCATTCTCTTGGACACTGACATTCTGATGACTGTCTCCTATTGGTTTCTCTCTTTCATCCCCAATTCTTTGGCCTCCAGCCTTACCATCCCTTGCATTCTCTCATTGGCCCCATTCTAGCTTTTCTAGCTTCCCCTTCCAGCCTGTGCTTATGGGAAGGCATTTTCGTGATGCTCGTATTGATCCCACATTTCTTCCCATCTTGTACTTGACTCTAAACTTACTCTCACCGTTCCTTATTCTTCAGCTAGAGTTCAACCCACAATCTACATCTGCCCTCTCTGAATCATTCATCACACTGCCCAGGGTTGCTGAAAGAAGGTCATAATGAAGACTCTTGGTTCCACTACTAATTCATGTGATCTAATCCCCTAAAAGGTCATTTTCCTTTTACCTCCCCCCGCCTCCCCCACTGCCACCCCCATGCCTGGCAATATTTCTCTCAGTTCTTATCCCATAGCTTCTTTTGTTTTACCTGTCCTTGTGCCTGTCACAAGTAGGCTTATGTTCAGCGAATGAAAACAAATCTAGACTGTTCCACCCTTCCATAGTTTCTTTTAGCTTACAAGAAGTTTTAGGACATCTAGCCAGTAATACTTGTTTCACACTGCCATCAATCCAGTTATCCAAGACAAACACCTGGGTGTTTCCCTTGGTACCTCCTTCTCATGACACATATTTAATCAGTCACCAGGTTCTGGCAGTTCTACCATTTTATTTTCTAGAATATATGCACTTTCCATTCCACTGTTCTGACTCACTATCCCTCTCACAGTGAATGCTCTTCTCAGAAGGAATATGCTTCTGACAGTGAATTTCCCTCTCTTATATTCTCTGCACTGCTATCTGAATGATCTCTCAACAGAAAATTTATCAGTCACCCCTCTACTTAAAACGCCTCCAATTCCTTACTTTTCTCAGGATCAATTACAGATGCCCTGGAGTGCATTCAAGGTATTTCTGGCAAGTGGCTTCTGATGAGCCCTCCCACCTCACCAGCCTTGTTGATCCACCTACATCTTCAATACCTCCTGCCTCCAACCTTTACACATTCTCCTCTCTTTTGCAGGATATCCTTTCTTCTTACCACTCCCATATCCTCAACCTATTTTCTGTATATTTTGGGTCACAGGGACAGATATTTCTGGCAGCCTTTCTCTGCCCATTCAAGATTATGTAGGGCCCCCTGTCACCCAGTGTGTTTCTATAACCTGCTGTGCATAATCCACACAGAGAACGTATATCATTGAATTGAAATTGTGTTTTTACTTGTCTCCTATTGCTTGCTAGTGTTGTGTAACAGGGTATTAAATCAAAAAGTTCAGTGGAGGCACCAGGAGATGGTAGATATCAGATACCAACATGAGCTGTGAATCAGACCACCAGAAGTTTTAAAGTGGCCCGACTGTGATCTCCTTAGACAATCTATAAACCCACAATTCTATCAAGAATATGAAAAGCTCAGGAGTTACAGGATTTGGAAAGATTTCTTTTTTGGCAGTGGAGTGGGGAGGCACCGTGCTGGGAATCACACTTCACTCTTCCCCTCCTCCATCCCCTTCTTCCCCACTGGAGGAAACAGCTGAGTTTTATTCACATTATATAATAGAAACTCAAGTAAAATCAGCTGACGAAGTGAACACTGCATCTAAATTTCTATGCTTCATCGTTGTTCCTATGCTACTTCATGTTTCATAAGAAGTGTTTCTTTTCCTAGGCAAAGTTGAGCCCCATCTCAGCTTTTTATCATTTCCCCTTTGTATTTTTCTTAGGAAATTCATTCTTAATTTTCTTTTCTGTCTCCTCAATGTTCAATTTTTGCTTTATACACAGCCTTTCTCTTTGAATATGCATGCTTCCCTTATCATCAAAAACAGCAACAAGTAATTCCAGTCCAAAATACAATAACCAGGACTAGATTAACCTTCCTTGCACAAAACAGCTGAAATCCCAGAGGAAATATATGAAACAATAGTTTCAGACATTGTACTTCAGGTAACACAGAACAGTGATCCACTGGAGATGGGAAAAAATGAGGTGAGCCCTGCGATTTCCCCAGCTTGGGGAGAGTTTTCAGAGCACAGGGAGGGGAGACACTGGTGGAAGCTAGCAGTCTCCATGAGATGAGGTGGTGAAGCTGGGAATTTGAGGAGGCCAACCAAGCTAGAGTTCACAGAGTACTGGGGAGAAAAGAGCTGCATACAGATAAACACTGGGAGGCCAGCAAAGGTCCCCTTTATTAAATCTTCAATTGAGTGCTGATTAGCACATGAAGGTGACTAACTTACCCAAGGCCAGGGCAGAAACATTCCAAAGGAGCAGTGGAATAATCCCAGGAATTCATGCAGGACCAGGAATAGTTCACATTTCCACCATTCAGAGTGGAAAATCTCCTAATTAATGGAGCACTGGATAGAATATTCTGAAGAGTATTGCCTCAGTACTGGGGCAAAGTCAACCTTAGACAAAAAACAAAAAACAAACAAAAAAGAGGCAGCTTTCATTCTGCTTTACAAAGCTTTATAAAAAGCATCAGAAGGATCAAAAAATTCAAATGAACCACAGAACAATGCTCAAGAATATTATAGGAATACAAAAATGTCCAGCAATCAAGATAAGGTTCACAGTGTCTGACATCCAATTACAAATTGCCAGGCATACGAAGAAGCAGGAAATATGATACATAGTGAGGATATAATCATTCATTACAAGCAGACTCAGAAATCACATAGTCGATTGTGAAAAGAATTGTAAAAAGAACATTAAGACAGTTGTTATGAATGTATTTTATGTTGAAAAATAGAGTAAATATAGAGTACATCATGTAGAAACACAGAAGACATTTTAAAAAATCCAAACAACTTCTAGATATGAAGACTACAATGTCTGAGATGAAAGATAACCTGCAGAGGATTAACAGGTTAGACACTGCAGAAGAAAATTAGTTACCTTGAAGATATAGAAATAGAAACTATTTAAAATGAAACACACAGAGGAAAAAATAGCTGAAAAAATGAACAGAGCATTAGCCAGCAGTATAACATTAAGTGGTTTGTTTTTGTTTTAGTTTTTGTTTTTGTTTTTGTTTGAGATGGAGTCTCACTCTGTTGCCCAGGCTGCATGCAGTACAGTGGTGCAATCTCAGCTCACTGCAACCTCTACCTCCCAGGTTCAAGAAATTCTCCTGCCTCAGCCTCCCGAGTAGCGGGGATTACAGGTGCCCACCACCACGCCTAGCTAATTTTTGTGTTTCTAGTAGAAATGGGGTTTCACCATAATGGCCAGGTTGATCTGAAACTCCTGACCTCAAGTGATCCACCCGCCTCGGCCTCCCAAAGTGCTGGAATTACAGGCATGAGCCACTGTGCTGGGCCAAGTGTTTTAATATATTTGTAATTAGAGTCTCAGAAGGAGAAGGGAGGAAGACACAGGAAAAATATGGCCAAGAGATTTCAAAATTGTTGTAATTTATACCCAGAGATTGAATTAACTCAATGAATCTTAAGAATTGAAAACATGAAATCAAAACCAAGGCACATCATAATCAAATTGCCTATAAGAAATAATAAAGAGAAAATCTTTAAGTATACCACAAAAAAAGACACATTACATACAGAGTGATGAAGATAAGAATAGTAACAGACTTCTTATAGGAAACAATTTAGGCAAGCAGAGAGTAGACCATCTTTAAGCTGCTAAAAGAAAATAAACACTGTGACCTTAATTTTATACACAGGAAAAATGTCCTTTAAAATCAAAATGAAATATAGACTTTTTCAGATCCAGAGAAGCAGAACAAATTTGATAGCAGCAGATAATGTGCTGTAGGAAATGATAAAGTCTTTCAGGCAGACATAAATTGATGCCAGTTGGAAATTTGCATCAACACAAAGAAATAGAATGCCACAAAGTGTGAATATTTGGATAAATACAAGACATTTTATAAATTTAAAAAATTTGAATTATTGTCATTGATTAAAGCAAAAATTATTAGTGTGTTTAACATTTATAATATATGTAAAAATAGAATATATGATGACAACAACACCAAGGTCTTGAGAGGGAAATGCCACATGTAGTGTTCTAAAATTTTTATACTCCATTTGAAGTGGCGTAATAGTATGTTAGGTTAGACTGTGGAAAATTAAAGATGCATACCATAAACCCTAAATAAATTACAAAACAAGAAATAAAGAGTTATAGCTAATAAGTCAACAAAGGAGATATAAAGGAATCACGGGAGATATAAAATTAATCCAAAAGAAGTCATGCAAAGATGAAAAAGGAAGCAAAGAATATATGAAACAAAGTAGGAAGATAGTAAAATGAGACCAATAATTAAATGCAAATTCCCTTCAAATCTTCAATTTAAAGGCAGAGATGATCAGATTTGACAAAAAGCAAGACACAACTATACACTATCTATAGAAAAACTTACTTTAAATATAAAGACAAATATATTAAAAGAGAAAGGAGGTAAATAGGTATCCCATGAAAAAAATAAGCAAAAGAAAGCCCAAGGGGCTATATTAATATCAGGCTAAATGGGTTTTAATGCCAGAAAGTTATCAAAGATAAAGAATGTTATTGCATAATGATAAAAGGGTCAATTTATCAAGAGGGCTTAAAATTCCCAAATGTTAATACACCTTATAACAATGTTAACAATAGATGGTGCAAAATAATGAGATGCAAGGAAAAGTACAGAAATCCACAATTACAATTAGAAATCTCATTGGTTCTTTTTCATAATTGATAAAAAAAAAAGTAGAATATCAGTGACATTATAGAAGACTTGATCAACACTATCAAACCACTCCCTGTCTTCAGCCTGGCTCCCCAGAGGCAGACCCTGAGATATGGATTAATGTGCAAGTGATTGATTAAAGAAGTACTCTTGTGCTGAGTCTGAAAAAACAAACAAACATACAAAAACGGTAAGTAAAGCAGGACAAGGGAGAGGAAGCCAGGCAAGAGTATGACCTCAGGCAAAAGTCAGCCTAATCCAGCAGAAAAACTGGAATGTAAGTTACGACTCAGTGTTGCACAATCTGATGCAAGGCTTTCTTATGTCTTCATGTCTTTGCCTATCTATCACTGTCAAAGGCTAAGGAGGAAAGGGAAGGAGGAGCATAGACTCCAAACTCTTCCAGTTTTTTGCACATGCAGGCAATGCACCTCCAGGAGCTCAAGGTTGTCTTCCAAAAATGAGCCCTAGGTGTTGACAATGGAATCCACACCAAAGTGGGAAGACAGGTGCACAGAAATGGTGTAAAGGGATTTGAAGGAATCTGGGAAAGCAATGACACTATCTGCTTCTCTCCCTAATCTACGCTCCTAACTCTGATTTCTCTCTCAAACTTCAGACCTCTACTTCTATTGTCTGTTGGAATGCACATCTACTTTAAGCTCAGCATATGATACAGATTGGCTCTGTCTCTACCCAAATCTCATCTTCAGTTGTAGCTCCCATAATTCCCATGTGTTGTAGGAGGGGCCCAGTGGGAGGTAATTGAGTCATAGGGGTGGGTCTTTCCCATGCTGTTCTTGTGATAGTAAGTCTCATGAGATCTGATGGTTTTATAAAGGGGAGTTCCCCTCAAGCTCTCTTCCCTGCCACCACGTAAGATGTCCCTTTGCTCCTCCTTCGTCTTCTGCCATGATTGTGAGGCCTCCCCAGCCATGTGGAACTGTGAGTCAATTAAACCTCTTTCCTTTATAAATTACCCGGTCTCGGGTACGTCTTTATTAGCAGCATGAGAACAGACTAATACAATGTATCTTATAGGCAATTTTATCTTTCTCTACGAAACTTCACCTTTTACTTTTTTTTCTTCCTTCTGTTCTTGCTATTACCATATTCCCAGTTATTCAGCTTTTAATTTCATTTTACAAAACTACCTTTCTTCTATTGTACTTCCATATCCAGCGTTCATATCTTTGCAATCTTGCTTCTTTGATAACTCATATATCTGTCCTATGCATTTATTCCTATGACTTAATGCCCTATTACCTCTTCTTTTTTTTTTTTTTTTGAATATCTGATTTCATTGAGTCTAGTCCTTTTATCTGCTGGTAAATTTTAAATAGTTCTGGGACATTGACTTTATCAAAGCACAGCCTAGACATGTCATTTTCCTTCCTAATAGCTTTCGATGGCTGCCCATTGAGTCCTAAGTAAATGAGAAACTGGACAACTTGTTATGCCTCATAACTCTGCACATTCTGATCTCTGTGCTTTTGTTCATCCCTCCATTTGTCCAGACTCCCTCCTTAAACTTTTGAATATCCAAATTTGATCTGTGCTTTAAGATCCTGCCTGAAAAGGACCTCTTTCAAAAGGCCCTCTGTTGTTTTCCCTTTTGATCTTTCTATCTTTCCAACACTTTTCACATTCTATCTTACATAATGGTCATTCATTAGCTCACACTCTCACACACACATATGTGTGTGTATATATATATATAATATCAATACACATATATACATGCAAACTCACACATATACATATATATGTAGGTATAATGAATTAAAGTGATTATACACAGACATACATAGTATATAGACATACATATATATAGACATATATAAATACACAGGGGCTCAACTTTGCCCAGGGAAAGAAACACTATACAGACATATATATACACATATATACATGGGCCATAGGTGCTCATAATGGACCTCATGAGTTTGGCTCACATGAGTTTGCATGTATATATGTGTATATATAGACAGACATATGTATATGTCTGTCTGTGTATAATCACTTTAATCCATTATAACCTTCTGTTTTCTATTGAGAATTTTTTTAAAATTTCTGTTGAGAATTTTAGGGGTTTTTTTAGAAACAGGATTTCACTCTGTCATCCAGGCTGGAGTGTGGTAGCATGATCATGGTTTACTGCAGTCTTAAACTCCTGTGGCCAAGCTATCCTCCTGCCTTAGCCATCTGAGTAGCTGGGACTATAGGCGTGTGCCACCATGCCTGGCTAATTTTTAAATTTTTTGTAGAAACAGGATCTTGCTATGTTGCACAGGCTGGTCTCAAACTTCTGGCATCAAGTGATCCTCCTGCCTTGGCCTCCCAAAGTGCTGAGATTACAGGTGTGGGCCACTGTGTCTGGCCTGTGGAGGATTATGTTTGTGATCTTCCTTTGTATGCCCTATTGTCCCCTACTCTCTCCACCATTTAGGTGGAGAGAGTTTTACACATATTAACTTACTTTTTCATTCAGCAAATTTATTTTGTGGTTATTGTGTGACAGATCTGTGCCAGGCACTAGAGATACAGTGGTGCACACAATAGGCAGAGGCCTAATTGTCATCAGGCTTATAGTGTAGTGGGAGACGTAGTTATCAGTGAAATCAATATTTATTTAAAATTACAGTAAATGTTGTAAAGGGCAAGGATGTTTTTTATCAGTCAGAGTTCTAAGCTGCAAGCAATAGAAACTGAATCTGGCTGATTTAAACAGAAATATAATTTATTTTAAAGACATGTAGTATTAGTTCAGGCACTTGGCAGGAAGGTTGAGAAACCAAGCTCAGAAAGTGGACAGGAATAAGGTCAGATACATGGCCAAACTCATGGCCAAAATTAAGTTACAGAAACAGTCTAGTGAGAACATTACACTCAACTTCACCCATCACCAAAATCTGTGCCTTGCACTTCTTACATTGCCAGAACTGGATCAAGGATTCCACCATCAGTACCAATGCCATTACTATCTCTGTGGATCCCTTAAAACTGGATGTCGGTGCAGCCACTGTCACCTCCTTGAGAATAAATGCTCTTCTGTCCATGCTTCATTGGGTTGCCAGCATCTCATTTAAAGCTGGAAGCACGTGCATCTGACTTGGTAAACCCAGCTCATGCATCTGTAATCTAGCTGAAAAGAAAGACGGGAACATAGGCATCTACTTTTAGACCTCCATCGCCAGAGTTGGGGTCTACTTCTCACCATAACATATACTTTGGAAAATTGGCCAAATAATGGCTTGGCCCTTATGCTGGGCAGCCTAAAAGGTCTTGTCAAAGGTTTTCCTTATATGGAGAGCATATGAGTGAATGACAGAATCTTCACCTAATGTGGGAAGTTGGGGAAACCTTTGGTGAGTAAGTGACTCAAAGTGCTCCTGAGGATGAATAAAAACTAGACTGCTGAAGAGTGGAGGAGGAAGGGGCATTATAAATGAAGAGAAGAGCATATGTGAAGGCTCTTATTCAAGAAGGAGCTAGGTGGTGAAAAACTGAGTGAAATCTATGTATTTTGGATGAAGCCAAGGAGTTAAATGAAGCTTTGGTCCTCCAGAGCCTTATGGTTCATGCTTCAGATTATGAACTTAATCCTAAGAACTCTAAAAGAACTTGATCATTTGAGTCCAGGAGTTCAAGGCTGCGGTGAGTTATGACAGTGAGACGGGAGTGCTGGGAAGGGAAGAGTGTGGTCCCTTTAAATGATAGGGAAGTGGGGAAAGGAAGTGCTGGGTGGAGGAGGGCGGTCCCTGGCTAGGGCTCCACCCCCATGGAGCTAGGTGAGGACAGGCACTTCTGCCTTCCTGCCACACCCCAATCCTGGACCTATAAAAACCCAAGACCCTAGCAAAGCAGAGACACAAGGTTGTGAGGAGCACATCAGCTGAAGAAGGTGCAAGCAGTTGGTTTTGGAGAGGATGTCCAGAGGAGAACATTGGCAGAAGAGCACACCGACAGGCACCTGCACGCCAGCAGGCCATCGACCGGTGGGACGAGGTGGAGTTTCACCAGGCAGTTGGCTACCGAGCTGCCCAACTCCAGGGAAAACCATCTCCCTTCTGGCTCCCCCATCAGCGGAGAGCTACTTCCACTCAATGAAACTTTGCACTCATTCTCCAAGTCCACATGTGATCTGATTCTTCCAGTACACCAAGGCGAGAAC
Organism: Homo sapiens; assembly: GCF_000001405.40. NCBI lineage: Eukaryota > Metazoa > Chordata > Mammalia > Primates > Hominidae > Homo > Homo sapiens. The sequence continues at coordinate 119,197,027 of NC_000008.11, read as the reverse complement.
CCAGGATACAGAAAGCCCTCCATCCTTGCGACAAGGTAGAGGGTCTAATTGAGCTGGTTAACACAAGCCACCTATAGATGGCAAACTAAAAGAGCACCCTGTAACGCATGCCCACTGGGGTTTCAGGAGCTGTAAACATTCACCCCAGACACTGCCATGGTTGGAGCCCCACAGCCTGCCCATCTGTATGCTCCCCTAGAGGTTTCAGCAGCGGGGCACTGAAGAAACGAGCCACAGCCCCATCGCATGCCCTATGAGGGGGACAAAGGAACCTTTCCCATTTTAATAGCACTACTGTACTCCAGCCTGGGCAGCAGAGAGAGACCCCAATCTCTTTAAACATGTTTTTAAAAATAATTTATTCACTCTCAACCCTGCTTAGCAAAATAATTGAGCACTCACTAAATATTTATTACTACAGGACTCAAGTGATTCCTCATATATCCTGTTCCCCCACACATGAATAGCCAACTTCATTATCAACATTCCCCACCAGAGTGGTACATTTGTTACAAATGATGAACCTATATTCACATATCATCATCCAAACTCAATAATTTACATAAGGGTTCACTCTTGGTATAGTACATTCTATCAGTTTAGACTTATGTATTTATCATTATAGTATCAGAGGAGTGACCTTATGAAGCCCACACTTTAAAGAGGTAACTCAGGGTGCTACATAAAGAATAAATTGGTACACAAATGTTGAAACCAGCAACTAAATTGGAAAGTAGTATGGAGAGGGGGTAAATTTACAAACTTTGGAGAAAAGACTTGCTTAGCTTGAACGAATTATTTAACCTTCCTAAGGCGCATTCCTCATCCATAAAATGGGGTTTATTTTCCTGTCTTTATCCACCTTTGAGGTTATTGTGAGGCAAAATGAATTAGAGGATGTGATTTCAATTGTAGAATGCTCACAAATAAGATGTCATAATAAATATTTAGTGAGTACTCAGTTATTTTGGTAAGTATGGCTGAGGGTGAACACATTATTTTAAAAAAAATTTTTTAAGAGATGGAGTCTCCCTCTGTTGCCCAGGCTGGAGTACAGTAGTGCTATCATAGCTCACTGCAGAGTTGAACTCCTGGGCTCAAGTGATCCTCCTGCCTCGGCCTCCCAAGTAGCTGGGACTACAGGTGTATGCCACCATACCAGGATAATAAAAATTATTAAACTTGTGGGGAAATATTCTAGTTTCAAATTTTACAGAACACTATGTATTCTAATGAGTTCCTTGTTATTATATTTTAATCACATTTTTGTAGACAGGCAGTGCTATTCTGCAGATTACAGAGGACTTATCCCAGTACCTAACTCATAGTAAGCACTCAATAAATGCTAACCATCATTACTAATAATGTACACATCATAAAAATTATTCCTGAAATATACATTATGTTGCCTCTTCATTTTGGTAATTGTTTAAATTTATCCAACAGAAAATGACTTTGGAATCTATAAAATAAAGAAATGCATTGGTGTTTACAACGGCAAGAGGGAACAGGTGTTGCCATTACTTTTACAGAGGAAATCACATTTCAGATGGCCAATTTCACACTTAGCATTGTCTCACCAGAAGAGAGAAATAAATCTTTCCCCAGTGAATTTGTTCTATCAATGTTTTTCAAGCCTTAGACATAACCACATTTGGCCTAACTACAAAATTTTCCAAGGATAGATACGGCCTATTTAGCTAATTTTCCTTTAACTATATCACACATGAGGGCATAACCGTTGGAAACATCATAGCAGAGATCAGTAACTTGTTGGACCTTTATTCTTTTTTAAAAAAAAGACTTCATTTTTAAGAGCAGTTTTAGTTTTACAGCAAAAGTGAGTGGAAGGTACAGAGATTTCTCCTATACCCCGTTCCCCCTGACATGAATAGCCAACTCCATTATCAACATTCCCCACCAGAGTCGTTACATTTGTTACAAATGATGAACCTGTATTCACACATCATTATCACCCAAAGTCCATAGTTTGCATAAGGGTTCACTCTTGGTTTTGTACATTGTATGAGTTTGGACATATGTATTTACCATTATAGTATCAGACATAGTAGTTTCACTGCCCTAAAAATCCTCTGTGCTCCACCCATTCACTCTTTTTTTCTCCTGCTCCCAACTACTGATTTTTTTTTGTCTCCATAGTTTTGCCTTTTCTAGAACATCATAAAGAGTTATACAGTATGTTGCCTTTTCACATTAGCTTCTTTCACTTAATAATAAGCATTTGTTTCCTTCATGTCTTTTCATGACTTAGTTCATTTCTTTCTATCATTGAATAACATTCCCTTGTCTAACTTGTGGTTTTTAAGGAGACAGATGCCTAAAAAATATGATTTTTAAGGTGAGAAGAATAATTTGCCAAAAAGACAGGTAAAATGACCAACATATAGCATGTGTCATACAACCTTTTACCCCTATACCCATGACAGACATCAGTAATCAATTGTAGCATACTTTTCCTTGAAGCAGTTGACACTGGGGAAAAATGTCTGTTATCCCTGTCTTGGGTGTTTTTAAAGTGTGAAGAACTGTTCTGGTGGCAATGAGGGGTTCTACAAGACAGAGGAAAAGACAGCAGAAGACCTATTTGTCTTGGCTTCTTTTTTTTTTTTAAAAAAGAAAACTACTTGAACTGTCATCTAATATAGATTATTCTGTGTTGATTAACTCATCAATTACATTCCAAGAATCTCTTGAGGAATCCGGGGTATATGTGTCAATGAAAAAGAAGGAGAAACTTGTCCAAGAATGATCCCCTGCAGACTGACCTCCCAGAAAAGGAGCTGACTTTGTGCAAACTCTGTGCTAGCTGGTTATGTCCCAGTTCTCAGGGTGATCAATCCTAGTTGAATGCAAGGCTTGAGCTCCAACCCTCGATCATGCCAGGGGAAGACTGATGTGTCTCCAACCATAAACCCTGATGGTGCAATTCCTACTGCTAGTTTGATATATCAAATAACTGAAACTACGAGGCTTAGACCTCAATGCCCAGGACAGAGACTCTTGTTTCTTACTACACATGAATAATAAACAAGCAGGATACAGTTGGAGCCAAGTGTCTGCCACATCATAGCAGATAATCTCACAAAGGAAGGGGAAACAATGGTTCTCTAATCATGTAGCATGATTAAAACTTCACAGCTCAAAATTTGGGGTCATCTGACTCTTACGCATGGTTATGCTACAACTAGGAACCTATCGATCTGCTGCTAATTCTATTTCCAATAGTTTTTATCAATGAAAGCTATTCTAGCAACACCCCCCCCCTTTCTCTCTTTCTGTGTGTGTGTGTGTATGTGTGTGTGTGTGTGAACATTGATCCTAGTATTCAGGAATGTTAATTATATCTCAGTGTAAATTATTTTAATCCAGTTTCTTTCTTTTTAAATGCGGATCACATATTGAGGGTTAGAGAGCTTTGAATAGAGAGAAAAGAAGTAATTTCAGAAGAACAGAATTGTGTTTGAAGTGATGCAAGATAAATGTGGAAATCAGTGTACCTGCTTCAAAATGCTTCTCCCTTGTCCATGTCTAATACCCAAATGATAAAACATGCTGAACTACTCAGTTGAATAATTTTTCTGTGGTTTCACCATCTGTCTACTTTTTTGTACATTCTGCTTTTGTTGGGTTTTCTAAATTCTCATCTCAACAGCTCCTAGCCAGAGCCTTGACTTCTCTCTCACTGGCTTCTTCAGAATACCAGTGCACTGATCTCACATCTGTTTGGGTTTTCTTCTGCAGACTCATCTCTTATCAGTTTCCTCTGCTCCAACAGCAGTCAGAGCTTAAGTGCCACCCTCTAAACATAGAATCTACCCACCATGGCTCAGTTCCCCATGATGGCCTCTATCCAGTGATGTGTTGGTAAATGTTTAACAACCACTGGGGGTAGAGGGGAGCTCTAAATTCTAGCACCTGCTGATTCTGTGGTGTGAATATTTCTGCCATTGTCAATTTCAAGCTACTGATGTGAAGTCACTGAGGGTGGAATTACAAAGAGGTGTGCAGTAGTACATACACTCTACAGAAATGACAGGTGTAGGTAAGCTCCAGGGAAAAATTCAAAATTGTTGAGTTTGAATATTTATTACTTTATAATTTATCTACTTGTAAATGTATATAATTTAAATTTTAATGATGGCTATAAATTTTGTCATAGGCAGCTTTCAAGTTTACTTAAAAATTTGACAGCTCTCATGAGTTGGTACAGGCTGACCCCAGCACACCATTCTCTCTATTTGTCTGGGAAGGGGAAGAGAAGTGGGCAAGTCAAGGGAAGAAAAGGCCCAGAAAATGAATGATTATGGATTCCCCCAGACTGAAATTGATAACTGATAACACTATCCATACTCTGTCTCTCTCTCTCTCTCTCTCACACACACACACACACACACACTTATGCTCACAGAGAAATCAGAGGCAGAAAGAGTCACATTTTGCAGCCCTGTCTTGAAACTCCTAGTTCTACTCTCTTCCAGTTGCATGCCCTGTCCATCGAGACACTGGTGGTTGTTGAAGTGAAGCAGAATGTGAAAATATTCTTTATCTGTCTTTCTCAAGTCCCACCGCAAACTGGAGCTGTATAGGCTTCCTTGATATTTTGATTCCATGAATGGATTCTGTCACTAATGACCTGAATGGAATTTGCTATAATTTCACATTTTTAAAACAAATTTGTGTTAAAATATATTTTCTCTGAATTAATATTAAAATTTATTAAAATGATTCTGCTATGACTTTCTTTTGTTTCCAAGTAATCTCTTCTCCCATGTTCAACTGGGTGTTTTCTTAAGAGATCAGGAAACATTGTATTAAAAGAGGCCAGGATTGCTAGAATGCTAACTTTAAACCATAATAATAAACAAATATACTTATCTTCTTTGTGTAAACTTTCCCTGCAGTCTTTATATATATTGTCTTTAGCTGTCTTTGGGATTTTTTAAACTGGTTTACAGTCAGTATAATCATTAGAAAGCAGACTTCTTTTTAATTAAACATTTTTCATTGCAATAATTAGTCTGCTGTGTACTCATTAAGTGGAATTATCTATCATTTTCTTCTAAACATTGCATTTGTTTCATGGCCTTAAACTATCTCAGGGCTCCTCCCACACTGTGTACTCATTAACCTTCTCTGTTCAAATGGATCCTCATTTGAACGTTAATGAGCTCAATCTCTTTCTGTTTTTCTTTTGTGTGTGTGTGTGTGTGTGTGTGTGTGTGGAATAACCAATATTATCCAAAGAAGCAGATCCACTCATCTTTTTGTTTATATGACAGTTTGGCTCCAGTGTTTTATAGAAACTGGTTTTTCAACTGTTGTCACTAGCAGATATCAAAATACTAACTGTATACAATTGAGAATTTTCAATTGCACACAGTTGGCATTTTTTGATATCCACCAGGGAAAACATTGAAAAACCAGTTTCTATGAAATTCTGGAGCTAAATTTTATATATAGGGTAAATATTTATATGTTTATATCTATCTAATCAGTTCTATAGTTTATATATACAAACTTATATACTACTAACAAAATGCATGCATTATATGATATATATGATATACATTAGTTATATCTTTATATATACTGATATGACAGTTATATAATACTTGTGTCTACATATAAAAACTGCTATGGCAATATGCTATGGAAGTTAATTCAGCTATTACATCAGACTTCCTGGGCTTGAGTTCTAGTTCCACTGCTTATCAGTTGCGCGGCTTTGGGCATGTAGCTTTACCTCTTTGTGCTGCATTTTCTTTTCTTGTGAAGTAGGAATAATAGCACTTTTCTCTTTAAGTCATATCGAGTATTAGTTAGCATGTAATCAGGGAAGTAAAACCTCCTGAGTGTTATGGAATAAAGCATGCATTGCAGGAATTCAACCTTACACAACCATGGGAAGAATCTGGGGAAATAAAGTTCTGAAAAGCATTGGAAGAAACTTGTGAACCAGCCCTGGCATGGTGAATGGGTGGGAGGTTTCCAGAAGCGAGGTACATCCAGCTGCCGTAGAAGCCCATGAAGTGATGGTGGTTGGCTCTTTGCCGCTGCTGCCTCTCTGAGTTCTCAGTAAAACACCTCGAGGTATGCCTGTGTTAGGGTCCAGAGAAACTACAGGATGTCCTGTTAAATTTGAATTTCAGATAAACAACAAATTTATTCCATGGAATAAATATTGCATGGAATATACTCACGCTTTAAAAAATGCTACTTATCTGAAATTCAAATTTAGCTGAATATTCCTGTATTTTTATTGCTAAATCTAGCAACCCTGGCCTGTGGTAACTTTTGGTCAGCAAGTCCAGCAGTTTGGACAAAGAACCAGGCATGGAGCAGGAAAAATCAAGAATAGGCCAGTTTGCTTGTTGAGCATGTATTTTCCCCTTCTGGTTATAGGACTTTGCATTTCCTTTAACGAGTCCCATTTACCCAATCTCAGTCTGTGTAGTTTGGGTAGGAAAAATTCTGTTGTCACCTCCAAGGGTAAGAACATGGTGGAGCCCTGACCAGTTTTCATATTCTATTCATGATCCAGATCCATCCTGAGAGATTAAATTCTGAGGTTCTTGTCCTGTTGGAATGTTTGGGAAAGATAAACTCTTTCCCACCATCACCTTTGCAACTGTCCCTCACCACCTCAAATCAACAATGACCAGAGTGTAATGGCTATCCCTTCACTTCCACCTCACCAAATCTCACTCAGATTTGCCCGTGGCTGAACTTAAACTGGAACTATATGGGTAAAGGAATCTGGGAAGTGAAGACCCAGCTCAGCTAAATTGACCAGTGCAAAATCACATATTGCATCGTAAAAGAAACAATACATGTAAAATCTTAGAGAAGCATCTACACACAAGATACATCCATAAAACTGTCCTTCTTTAATGTTGCTGCTGGCTTTTTTGTTTTTGTGGTTTTAGCAATTCTGCCAGATGGAACCTTTGCCTGAGAAGGTCATGGGATTTAACAAAGAGTTGTAAGAGGTAGGAGGTGTAGCATATGGTTAAGCTGGCAACTAAGAGAGTTTCTTTACAGCCGCAAAAGACAATTTTGCCTTATGAGTACAAAATAGAACTCTCCTGGGGGCAATGAACAGTTTCTTCCAGACAGGAACAACCCAGTGAACTGTTACCCAGTCCAGTGTGGTAACAGTGCACGCTTGTGTAGATGCAGGTACCTTTGGTCCTGTCATCGTGATTGGTTTGTAATTCTTGCTGGGTACTTCAAAGGCAGTTTGTGCCTTTTAGCCCCTTCAGTAGTGCAGACAGAAATGTTTGAAAATGGGCTGTGAATAGGTCATGCAGTACTGTTTTAGATACATCATATCACTCTAGGTATGATATTCTCGGGCAGCTGTGGAAGAGTCTTGGTCTGGTGATCTGTTTTCAGATTCCTGCTGTGCACCTTACAACCTATGCCCCTGCAGAACCATTCAGTAGCCACTATTTCTTCTCATTGTACCAGCAGAGCAATTTTGCCTTTGGGGAAATACCTTTCTCCTATCCATGCATTCATTAATGCTCCTTAGCCAAGAGGTGACCATATGACCCAAGTTAGGCCAATCATATCTGTGCTCTTGGGTCTATGAATCCCAAGCAGAAAGATAAAAAACAGCAACAACAAAAAGCAGGATTTGATTTGCATCACCTGTGAAGCTGTGAATAACGAATAGCACATCTAAGTTTTGCCACTTAGATTGTTGCTACCAGTGTGGACCAGCAGCCTCAGCACCACCTGTATGCTTGTTAGAGATGAAGCATCACTGGTCTCACCTCAAACCTACTGAATCAGAGTTTGCCTTTAACCAAGACCCCAGGTAATTCCTATGCATGATTATAAGGCATCTCTTGCAAATGTTTGCCTGGTGCATATGTTTTATTTCTGACTTCTCAAATATCTACCTATTTACCTGCATTAGGATAGGCTCTTACATGTGCATCATGGAATGAGTGGTACCTTGACCCCTTCTGTTAGTCTAGGTCAGTGCCAGCAGACATTGGGAATATTTATAAAGTCAGTGTTTTCTGGCTTCCTACTTATTCATTAGCCTTCTTCTTCTTCTCTCTCCTCCTCATTCTTTCATGTCCACCCCCACCTATTATTTACTACATCTAATTCCTGTAAAGTTCAACACAGTCTCCCTTTCAACTGCACCTCAACATGATGTAAGCTGGTAACAACCTCAGAAGTTATCCTTTGAGGTGAACATCGGTGGTTTGCTTGTTGAGCATGTATTTTCCCCTTCTGGTTATAGGACTTTGCATTTCCTTTAACGAGTCCCATTTCCCTAATCTCAGTCTGTGTAGTTTGGGTAGGAAAAATTCTGTTGTTGCCTCCAAGGGTAAGAACATAGTGGAGCCCTGACCAGTTTTCATATTCTATTCATGATCCAGATCCATCCTGAGAGATTAAATTCTGAGGTTCCTGTGCTGTAGCAATGTTTGGGAAAGATAAACTCTTTCCACTGGATTGGTGCTCTAAGGATTTCTTGAACCTAGATATGCCAGAGACCATCTTGTAGAGCTAGACTTTCTGGAGAGAAAAGCCAAACTGAAGATAACAGAATCTGTAATGAGAAGAGAAACTGTACCATGATAAATTCATTTGAGCTCCTGGATCCAGTTTTCAGTTCAACAGCTCAATAAATTTTCTTGTTTGAGCTGGCTTAGGTTGGACACATATGAAAGACAAGGTAAGGCCAAAACCAAGGCCTAAGGGATTTGACCTGTAAAGAAACAATGAGCCACTTTATATTTCGACAATTTATTGCTCATACAGTATAGAGAACAAAAAGAAGAGTGTCATAGTTGCTAGCCAAAAAAGATGGATGGCTTATGGCACAGATTGTGGTGATATTTTCATAGGTGTACACTTATCCCTAGCCTCATCAAGTTGTATATGCTAATTATGTAGACTTTTGTGTGTTAAAAACTAATAAAAATAAAATTTATGATTTAAAAAAGCAAAAATTCAGATGAATCACTAGGTGTGAGATATCCTGTTTCTGAGAAATTAATTCTAGATGCCAGCTAAGAAATTTTATATTCTACACCTCTATTCTGAGGATGATACGGAAGCCCACACTTCATCAGAAACCCAAGGAGACAAGTAGCAGGAATCGGAAGGCAAGTGTTAGATAGCCTCATAGTTGTTTCTATTCTGTCGTGTTCCTGGAGAATAGTAAGTTCTTCTGCTGAGACTCAGAAAAGCTGTGGTCTGACCCTTGTTTGAATGGATACATGCAAGGCATCCAGTGGAGCAAGATAGAGCTCCCTTTACAGGTCCTGAGTGATACATCTTCTATATTGGGCATTTGTCCTTTTTGCCATAGTACAGGAACCTCCTTCCTGAGTTTGGGGAATTTCCCCACCTGAGATAGACACCCCTTCCCGCAGATAGAAACTAAAATGCTTAGAAACTCACTTTCTACTCACTTTGTAGTCCCCTTTGCAGTTTGGATTAAGCATGTTACTTTGGATCCACCTATCAGATGTGCCCGCTTCAGATATTGACTCAGAAGCTAGTAATGAGATGAAGATGAGACCATTTGTGCTCTGCAGAAAAAATACCCAACTTGCAGTGGCAGCTGCTCCAGTGACAGCTTTCATTATGTATGCAGCAGGTAAATAGAGTGTTTCTATTCATTGCAAATGGGGTCCTTAATTGATACATCCTCAAAGAAAATTTCTGCTACTTACCTGCTACCTACCACTTTCCACTTGCCATTTATATAACTAAGGCATCCATTCATCCATTGTCAAGCCATCTTTACATGAATTTTTTTTTGAGACATCATCTTTCTCTGTCACTCAGCCTCAAGTGTGGTGGCAGGAACATGGCTCACTGCAGCCTCAAACTCCTGGGGTCAAGTAATCCTCCCATCTCAGCCTCCTGAGTAGCAGGGACCACAGGTGCACACCATATGCCTGATTTTTAATTTTTTTGTAGAGATGGGATCTTACCATGTTGCCCAGGCTGGTCTAAAACTCCTCCCCATTCAGCCTCCCAAACTGTTGGGATTACAGGTGTGGGCCACTGTGCCTGGCCTTATATGTGAGTTGATTATCAAATTTTTCAAGATGTAAATAAATGCATCTAATTATGGCATTTCAGGTTTCATGTTAGATAATGGCGTGTGATTAAAAATGATACACATTCATTGAAGAGAATATGAAAAATGTATTAGAGTAGAAAATAATCATCCATAATCCTATCTGTTGATAGTTTTATATTTTCCTTCTAGTCATCTTTCTATGTGTATTTGCACAGCCACGGTAATAGATCTGAACATCCTTTTTCTTTCCTCTTTTATGAGATATTTTAAGCATTTCCTGTGCTATTTTTTTAAAAAATGAATGAGATTACCTACTGTGTTTTCAGTTTTGCACTCTTATAAATACCTCTTATGTTGAATATCTTTGTTCATAAAACATTATTTTCTGTGTCTCAGGTGAATTTGTTAGCATAGATTCCCAAAAGTGATATTATCAAGTAAAAAGATGTAAAACTGTCTTGACACACGTATCAAATTGCTTTCCAAAGTGTCAGTCATGGGTGCGAATGCCAGTTTCACTGCATGATAACTTGTATTACATGATGCCATTTAAAAGAATTGCTATAATAACTCAATAGTCAAAATGGTATTTTAAATAGATAAATGGGCAAAGGATAAGAAAAGATTATTCACAAAATAATGACTCAAATGTCAAATAAATAGATGGAAAGTATTCAACATTACTAAGAATAAAAAAATTTTGGTAATGATTTCTAGAACCATTTACATTTCCTGGTTGCATCTGCCTGGGAGAAAGTCTGATAGAGTTTTAAAATAATTAAAGATGGGATGTATTTAGGCCCACATCGATCTGCGTTTTTCCCCATCTTCTTCCAATGGCCCTGTGAGATGTGGATTTGCTGTTTACTTGTTAATGTCTCACTGAATACAGTATGTCTGATGTAAGTGGGACAGGATTTTCACAGCAAGAGATGTATTCTTCCAGATCACATTTAACTTTCTTGGAGAGTGATGTCTCATCTCAACTGTCCTTGTCAGTGCAGCAGCCCAGCATTCTTGTTGGTGGTGTTTGTTATTTTAAAATGTCTTCCTTTTCTCTTTGTATTGGGCTATTACCAAGTTTTCTTCCTGATGCATATTTGTTAGGTTGCTTGTTTCTTAATGTGTGTACTTTTACCCCTTATATTGTACATTTAAAAATTCTGTTTTCACATACATCAAGCTTCTGAAGTTATCAAACTTCCTGTTTTGAATGTATACTCCTGTTTATCTTGGACACCCTTAGCAGACTACAGTTCTGTTTAAAGCAGAGGTCACACACTGGCTCATCATGGGCCATATCTGAATTGTTGACATGTTTGTCAATAATATTTGAACTCAAAAATAAGTCACCAATGTTTAAAAATTGTGAAGTTTTATTTATAAGTTTAGATTGCAACTTCCTCTTATGATCTGGGAACACTGGGCCCACATTTGTGCATCAGGAATGGGCTGAACATAAGTAATGGCTGCTTCGGTCCAGCATAGTCATAGGTTCTTCTCTTTCCTGTAGGCCCTGGCCAGACCATTTCCTTGTTTATATCTCTTTGCCGAGAGGCAATATGGCTTCATTCCTGAGAAGCATGTGCTCTCAGTCAAACTTCCTGGATGCGACACCCATCTCTACATATTTGCTAACTCTGTGTCCGTGGTGATTTCCTGTACCTTTGTGTGCCTCAATGCTCTACCTGTCTTGTAAGGTTAAGAGTACCTACCTCATAAGATTGTTGTGAGGGTTAAATAAGCTTATGAATATAAAGTGCTTAGACTGGTGCCTGCATATAATATGTGCTCAATACACTGTGGGTGTTATTATTAACCATCTGAACCTTGTAGGCATTGAGTTGGTAGCCCCTGTTTTAAAATCTCTAAGTTTGGTTTGAGAATCTCCCATAGATGCTATACCTTCAAAGCTGTCAGGTTTCCTCATGAGAAATGTCATTTTTTCATAGTAACATCTCATTGAGAAGGATAGTTTCCCTCACTACAACACACCAATGCACACACACATGCACACGCATGCAACCACACCAGGTGTCGGGGTGGATAGTATTCAAATGCTGTGAGATTTAGAGATCTCCGAGTAATGTCTCCTCAGCAAGATACACACTGCTACTCCTTGAGTTGTGAGCAACACAAGGGTAGAACATGTGTTCTTTGTTTCTTCCTTCTCATATCAGTTGAAGAGTGGTAATGTCAACATCCAGGGTTAATTCCTTTTCATTCTCTAGATTCCATTTCCCCTCAAACCTTTCCCCGTCAACTCTCATTCCCACCAGCATTCTTCTCTCTCTTTTCCTTTCACCTCCTATTATCTCATTCCATTTAGTACAAATCTTGCCAGATGACTTTTTTTGCAGCTAGACATTTTAATTTTTATAATATTTGTTCTTTTGGCTTTTAACAATATTTCTTACTTCAATAGCTTTTTGGAGTTCAAGTGGTTTTTTGTTACATGGATGAATTATATGGTGGTGAATTCTGAGATTTTAATGCACCTATCACCCAAGTAGTGTACATTGTATATAATGTGTAGTTTTCAATCCCTAGCCCCCTCCCCAAACTCCCTCTTCTGAGTCTCTAAAGTCCATTACATCATTCTGTATGCCTTTGCTTACTCATTGCAGTTAGACTTTTTAAAATGAGAGGTCTACATTCATTGTATTCAACGACTTCCTTTTTATTTTAGCAACAAACAACATAATTTGGCTTCTATAACTCCTCTCTCAACTCAAATTGAAATTGTTTATGTTGAAGTAATTAATGACTGCTGGGTGCTATCTAATCAAATGCTACCCTTTTTTCTTTTCTTTTTAATATAGCAGCTTTATTGAGATATAATTTATATATCACACATTTCATTCACTGAAGTGTACAATGCAATGGTGTTTATTATATTCACAGTGTGTAACCATCAACACAATCAATTTTAGAATATTTTCATCACCCCAAAAAGAAATTGCATATTTGTTAGCAATCACTTCTCATTTCCCCCCCATTTTTCTGCCCAGCCCTGGAAAACCACTAATGCATATTCTGTCTCTACAGTTTATCTATTCTGGACATTTCATATACGTGGAATTGTATAATATTGCTTTTGTGAATGGAGTGCTTTTCATTTAGCATAATAGAGGTATCCAATTGTTCAGCATGGTTTATTGAAAAAACTATACTTTTCCCATTGAATTTTCTTAACACCTGTATCAAAAATAAATTTAAGATAGATAGGCAGATAAAGAGATGAAGTGAGGAAAGGAGGGAGAAAAGAAGGGAGGGACAAAGAGAGGACTGAAGAGAGGGAAAGAGGGAAGGAAGGAGGAACAGAGGGGGATGGAGGAAAAGAAAGAGGAAGAGAGAAAGCAATGGAGAAGAGAGAGAGAGAGAGAAATAGAATCAGTTTATTCTGCTTTATTAATCAATGGTTTATTCTTATAACATCCTACTGTCTTGGTTTTTTAAACTTGATTGTAAGTCTTGAAATGATGAGGGTTAAGACCTTCAACTTTTTTCTCCTTTTTCAAATTGCTTTTCTTAGTGTTTTGAATTTCCATACAAATTTTAAAATCAGCTTGTCATATTCTACATAAAAGCCTGCTAAGAATTTGACATTTTATTTCACTGACATCTTAAATACATTAATTGTTCCAAATTATAAACATGGCATATTTCTACTTTTATTTAAGTCTAACTTAATTTCTTTCAGCAATGTTTTGTAATTACCAGTATAGAGGGCATGCACATGCATTGTTAAATTTATTCCTATGTATTTAATTTTTTGATATTATTATAAATTATGATGTTTTTAATTTCGATTTTCAATTGCTCACTTCTGGCATGTAGAAATATAACTAATTTTAGATTTTTGACCCTGTAATCTGTGATCTTTCTAAATACATATATTAGCTCTAATAGCTTCTTTTTCCAGGTTTCTTAGGATTTTTTGTAGGCATTATCAGGTCTACACATACAGTCTATTTTATTTCTTCCTTTCCAACCTGTATGTCTTTTACTTGTTTTATTGTTATATCACACTGGCTAGGACTTCCAATAGAAAGTCCATTTGAAGAGGTGAGAGTAGAAATTCTTTTGAGATCTTCAAAGAGAGAATATCAACTTTCAATCATAGAATATGATGTTAGCTGTAGTTTTTTCATAGATGGCCTTTATCATATTGAGAGATTTGCCTTCTACTTCTAATTTGCTAAGAGTTTTTATCAAAAATGTATGTACGATCTTTTCAAATGCTTATTCTGCACTTAGTGAGATGATCATATTGGTTTTTACCCTATTATGCTATTAATATAGTTAATTATACTGTTTGATCTTTTAGAGTAAACCAAGCTTACACTTGTGACATAAAACACATTTGATCAGTGTTGTGGGAAGTCAGGGACCCCAAATGGAGGGACTGGCTGAAGCCATGGCAGAAGAACATAAATTTTGAAGATTTCATGGACATTTATTAGTTTCCCAAATTAATACTTCTATAATTTCTTATGCCTGTCTTTACTGCAATCTCTGAACATAAATTGTGAGGATTTCATGGACACTTATCACTTCCCCAATCAATACTCTTGTGATTTCCTATGGCTGTCTTTACTTTAATCTCTTAATCCCATCATCTTCATAAGCTGAGAATAAATGTTGCCTCAGGACCCTGTGATGATTTCATTAACTGCACAAATTGTTTAAACAATATGAAATCTGGGCACCTTGAAAAAAGAACAGGATAACAGCAATCTTCAGGGAACAAGGGAGATAACCTTAAAGTCTGGCTGCCTGTGGGCCAGGTGGAACAGAGCCATATTTCTCTTCTTTCAAAAGCAAATAGGAGAAATATCACTGAATTCTTTTTCTCAGCAAGGAACGGCCCTGAGAAAGAGAATGCGTTCCCAAGGAGAGGTCTCTGAAATGGCTGCTTTGGGAACGTCTGTCTTTTACAGTTGTAGATAAGGGATGAAATAAGCCCGGGCTCCTGTAGCGCTCCCAGGCTTATTAGGACGAGGAAATTCCCGCCTAATAAATTTTGGTCAGACTGGTTGTCTGCTCTCAAACCCTGTCTTCTGATAAAATGTTAACAATGACAATGTGTGCCCGAAACTTCATTAGCAATTTTAATTTTGCCCTGGTCCTGTGATCTCACCCTGCCTCCATTTGCCTTGTGATATTCTATCTTGTGAAGCATGTGATCTCTGTGACCCACACTCTATTCGTACACTCCCTCCCCTTTTGAAAATTGCTAATAAAAACTTGGTTTTGCAGCTTGGGGCGTATCACGGAACCTGCTGACATGTGATGTCTGCCCTGGACACCCAGCTTTAAAATCTCTCTTCTGTGCTCTTTCCCTTTATTTCTCAGACTGGCCGACACTTAGAGAAAATAGAAAAGGACCCACGTGAAATATCAGGGGCTGAATTTCCCCCGATAGATCGGGTGCAGGATACTCTTTATATATTATATTACTGAATTGTATTTGCTAATATAACATAAAGGAGTTTTGCTCCTATTTTCACTAGAAAGAGTTTTTGGTACAGTAGTCCCTCCTTATCCATGGAGGACTTGTTCTAAGATTCCCAGTGGATTCCTGAAACTGCAGATAGCACCAAACCCTATATAATAGACTATGTTTTTCCCTACACATACATGCCAATGATGAAGTTCAGTTCATAAATTCACCACCGTAAGAAATTAACAGTAACTAAAAATGGAACAATTGTAACAACATACTGTAATAAAAGTTATATGAATATGTCCTATTTCTCTCTCTCTCTCTCAAAATATCTTATTGTACTGGTCTCACCTTCTTTTTTCATGCAATGGTATGAGATGACACAATGCCTAAGTAATGAGATGAAGTGAGGTGAATGATAAAGGCGTTGTGATTTAGTGTTAGGCTACTATTGACCTTCTGACAATAAGGCAGATGAAGGATCATCCACTTGATGTGTGACAGCAAAACTAGCATGAACTTCTTTTTCCTTCTTCACAATTTCACTGGGAGAAGATTCATTCATACAGTAGCTTAGCAACCTCGCATATTTTTTTCTTTCCATATTAAACCAAGACCTTTCACCTTTTCACTTAAAGGAAGCACTTTATGGCTTCTCTTTGGCAAACAAAAAATTGCCAGCATCATTACTCTTGCATTTTGGGACCATTATTAAGTAAAATGAGGGTTACTTGAGCACACGCACTGCAATACCACAACTGCCTGACAACCCAGATGGCTACTAAGTGACTAACAGTATACAGGATGGAGACACTGGGCAAAGGGCTATGTCACATCCAGGGAGGATGGAGCTGGATGTTGCAGGGTTTCATCATACTAAGAATGGCACACAATTTAAAACCTGTGAATTGTTTATTTCTGGAATTTTCTATTAAATATTTTCAGACTGCAGTTGACTGTGGGTAACTGACTCCTCAGAAAGCAAAATTGAAAATAAGGGAGGACAACTGTAGTTTTCTCTTTTTGCAGTGTCATCGATAACAATGTAATTTTGGCCCTATTAAATGGCTTGGGAAATGTTTATCCTTAATTTTCTGAGAGATTTCTTGTAGGATTGGTATTATTTTCTCCTAAGTGTTTGACAGAATTTCCTGGTGAAGCCATTCAGACCCAAAACTTTCTTTGTGGGAATATTCTCAATGACAAAATTTTAAAATATAAAGAAATTTTAAAATATATCAATTTCATCAGTGTTTCAAATTTATTGTCATGAAGTTATTCATAATGTTTTTCTATTATACTTTTAATCCCTTTGGGGTCTGTGGAGACATATTCTCTTTTATTCCTGATATTTGTAATTTGTACCTTTTCTTTTTTTTCCTTGTTCAATCAATATAAAAATGCATTATTTCACTGATCTTTTAACATCTTTGGGTTTTACGTGTTTTCTCTATTATTTGTCTGTTGTATGTTTCACTGGTTTTTGTTCTTCTAATCTTTATTATTTTCTTCCTCTTAAATACTTTATTTTTTTCTAATTGTCGAGCTATTGAATGTCTTAATTATTATTGAAGTGTGGTTCCTGGACTAGCAACATCAGCACCACCTTGCTAGTAATGTAAAATTTTTAGCCCTAATCCAGACTTACTGAATTTAAAAATCTAGATTTAAGGCTCAGCTATCTGTTTTAACAAGTTCTCAAGGTACTTCCGGCACATGCTAAAGTCTGAGAACCATTGTACTGGAGCAATTCTTTTCAAACTTTCATGTGCATATGAATCACCTGGAGATCTTGTTTAAATATGTTTTCTGATTCAGTAGTCCGAATAGTGTCTGACGTTCTAAAGCTTTGATAAGCTCCTTGGCACTGCTACTGCTGCTGTTTTTCTGACCACACTTTGAATAACAAGGAACTACAGATCTAACTTATCAGCCAAGGAATCTTATGGCACAAGAATGTTTATTTTTTAAGTAACTGCAAAATGATAAGCAGACTCATTCTGGAATTTCTGCATTGAGGCTCTTATTACTGAATACACTATTCACAAAAAATATATATTTTAGCTGGAAAGGGTATAGGAATTTCTCTAAATTTCTAAATCCAAATTTCAAGAAGGAGAAACTTATTATAATTAGTAATAAAAATATAATATCATTTGCTGAGAATATTTATTATGTGCTGGACACTCTGGCTATTATCCCTTTAATCCTCACAATCTCTCTAGGAGATCAGAATCATTGTTTTCCCTTTTTTATATTTCTTATTTTAATCTCTCCAACTGAAACGCAGATTACATTAGTTGTCTGATGCTATCCAGCTAGTAATTGGCAAGGCTTTTTCTTAAATCCATTTCTGTCAAATTCAAATCCCCATACTACAATTTCTGTGCTTGTTCTTCAGCTTTTAGTATTTTCATTTGAATACAACTTTAATAACACACACATACACACAAAATTAAACTTACTATGTATTGGATTACCATGATTAATATAATAAATCTGAGTTAAGCATGGGTTACAAGTTCATGCCACCTGGCACAGGGCCTGTACTCTGAATCCATTTCAATCAGTTTTAAATAACAGCCTCTTTACCAGTCTTCTGTTGCTTAAAAAAAGTCATGTACTAACACAGGCATTGTATTATTTTCTTTAGGTTAACTTAGAAAAGCCGTACTTTTATTTTACTTAGAGGGAGGAGGTCTATCTTGGCAAATAAAGGGAGAACTGTGAAGTGACTGGCAAAAAGTGGGAGCACTTCATATATCGGGGCTAAAGCTACACCATCGCTATTTCAAAGTCATAGCTCCTTGATTGGGAAATTGGAGTGGCTGGATTGGGAAATCAGTGAGGAGTTCCAGGGAGGGAAGATGGGTTACATGGTATATGTGCATTGTGGTTTTCTTAATCCCTCTCTCTTGTTTGCTTGCTTTCTCTCTCTCTCTCTCTCAATCTCTGCCTCTCTGTCAACAAATGCAAGGAAACTCTTTTCTGGCATTAATTACTCTGTGGCCTGAAGCATGAGATTTGATCATTCATATCTTACCTTGGATCAGGAAATACATTATTATTAGTTAAAATTTATCTAAATAAAAAATAGCAAACTATCTTTATGATCTGTAGTTTTGGCCGTTACATACTGAATTTTAAAAATATGGTAACTGCCACTGGAAAAACTCTTTCCTTATAAAACTTATTCAAACCCCGCTTTCTGTCTATCTCAGACTCTTTCATCAATACAGTGATCACCAGTACGAATGGCCCTAGGTGAAGGATAGCCTAGATAGTTTATCTCCTAAAGTTTTTGTTTTGTTTTGTTTTGGTTTTAACATAATGGAATCGCTCTCTTTCTCTCTCTCTCCTTTAGTAAACGTTAGCCATGTTCCTGCCTGGAGGTAAAAGGTAGGCTAAATGCCCATTCAGGAATCTCATAGTCTTGTAATTTTCTGACAATATGCTTAAACCAAATTTACCCACAAATGTATTTTTTACTGTCTGTATTCAATTTGTTAAAAAAAAAAAAGTAGATCTAATTTGATCCTAAGTCTTTAATAAAAACAGAGAGCATGAGTACTTCATCATGCATCTCTTTATGACTTAATTTGGAAAAATAAGTCAATATTTAAAAAAATACTAAATGGTAGAGATAAGGAAAACAGAGCAGCTTCTAAAGATTTCTCTCGGTAAAGGATATGATAAAAATGACTGGCAGGCTTTGGATTGGAGAGTGTGACAGGTGCTTCGGAACTGGGAAGAGACTGAGTCCTGCCAGGGCTATATTTGGCAAATAGGCGGTTTAGGGGACAAAATGGAGCTTAGACACTACAGCCAGGTGAGCAGTTCTCAGCTGGCCCCAAACCAAAGAAGAAGTGTATCCAGGTGGGTAGGCAGGAATCAGGAGGCTACAGACACCCAAGCGCAAAGTAACATGAGGACTCCCAAGTGGAGAGGGCAGGCAGCCATAAACTGAGAATGCCACTGGGAGGGAAAGGCAGAGCCAGCCAGCGAACTAGAAACTCGGCAAGCTGTGTGAACACGGGTGCCAACAATGAAAGACCTTGATAACAGAGACCCAGCCCTGTTTATGATGTAGTGGTAAAGGCATGAGCCGAAGAATCTGACCTCAATTCCCTCCCCCATCATGCTCTGTGACCCAAAGCAGGTTTCTATGGCTCAGCTTCTAGCCCATGCCCTAGTGCCTGGCACAGAGAAAAAAGAAATGAATCACCATGAAGCTCAATTTCTCTCACATGCAGAATAGGGATTTTTACCTACCTTGCAGGGTTTCCCTAAGGATCACAATGAATGTAGCAAAGTTATCTGAAAATACCTAACATGCCTTGTAACAGGTGCTCCATAAATAGTACTTTCCTTTCTCCGTTTCAACAACTGTCTTCCTTATTCACTATCAGCTGGGGCAGGGAATGAAGACAACAGGTAAAAGGGTGTGACTCACGCACTTTGAAAGGGAAGTGAGAAGCAGGAGAGAAGGGCTCACACTAACCCAGGGGTTAGGCAATCACCTGGGAGATGTGGTCTATTGAAATTGTAGGCATCTTTTAGAAACAGCTTCCAGCTAAAAATTCCTGTTGGGATCAATATTGTGCCATATTTTTGATTTTGAAATAAAATAACTTACTGTTTTGAAAAATCCTTGTCAGTTTCTGTTTGTGATCTCTTGACCTTCTTTTCATTGATGGGGTTTCTGCTAGAAGGAGATGGAACACTGGTGGGAGGTGTGTACACGTGTGTGACAGCAAGTAAGGAGAGAGAGAAGAATCATTTTAAAGCTGTGTTCGCAAAGCAGGTATACTGTTTTTACTTAGATAATACGTTATCTGGGACAGGATGTCAAGGGTAGGGGGTGATAACTTTCCTCTACAAAAATTAAATTATGGGCTGGGCACTGTGGCTCACGCCTGTAATCCCAGCACTTTGCGAGGCCACGGTGGGTGGATCACGAGGTCAGGAGTTCGAGACCAGCCTGCCCAACATGGTGAAAGCCTGTCTCTCCTGAAAACACAAAAATTAACCGGGTGTGGTGGCACACTCCTATAATCCCACCTTCTCGGGAGGCTGAGGCAGGAGAATCAGTTGAACCTGGGAGGCGGAGGTTGCAGTGAGCCGAGATCGCGCCACTACGCTCCAGCCTGGGCAACAGGAGTGAAACTCCGTCTCAGAAACACACACACACACACACACACGCACACACACACAATAAACTTATGATCATACATTCCTGTGGTTTTAAGTCTTGGTGATCCCACATCCCCTCCTTGTCACACCGGTGATCTAAGAATAAAATCCAAACTCCTTAATAAGACAGAAAAACTTTCTGTATCTAACCCACACATTCGGTGTAGCTTCATCAGCTCTTCTCTATTCCTCACACACTAGACTGAAGCCAAAATAAATGATTTGAGGTTCTAATTGTGTCCCACATTCTCTCTCGATCTTTGTAAATGGCATGCATCCTATCTGCAATGTTTTTCTCTATGCACCCTATTTACCCTCAAACTCCTACTTCTATTTTACATCCAAGTTTGGAAGTTGCTTCTTCCAGGAAGTCTCTGCTGAATCTCCTATGGCTGACCCAAGTGCCTTCCTCACCATGTACTTCTGTAGTACCCTGTGCTTATTTATAAATATGCAGCAAAAAATTACACTGTGCATTCATTATCTAGGTAGTAATCTTTATTTCACAGAAAATTCTGGATGTGTGAGAGACAAGAACTTTCTAGCCAACCCTGTATCCCAAGCACTTAAAAGGTAATCACTATTTAATAAATATTTGTTAAGTAAATGAAGGAACAGACTGACTTTGGATGGGATAAAAAATGCCCAGAAAACAAAAAAAATGACCAAAAGCAATTTTGGTGCTAATAAAGCAATAAAGCATATCCTGGAGCAGTAGTAACTTCCAAATAAAAATAATTTGAAGTTGCATGGAATGTCAAGGAAAGCCTTTATTAGGTAGCAGTGTATCATTATAAAATCAGACTTCTATGAGCATGTACATATATGTGTGTATGCTTCCGTATAAACCTATTGGCATTATGAAAACAATGACTAAAATTACTCAGAATGATAGAGGCTTTCATGAAGCTCAAATGAGATAATGTAATGAAACATTAGCATTGTTACTGGCACATAATAAGCAGCCAATAAATGGTAGGTAATTATATCATTACTGTTATTATTTACGTCAGTTAAAAGCTCAGTTTCCTGAATCCTGTACTGCCCCATCCATTTCACTTATATTCTGGTGTTGTGTATATGAAGTGACAACATTGCCAAAGAAAATGTCAGAACTCTTCTATCCAATTTTATCTCCACTCATTCATGATCCAGTTTGAAGCTAAGAGTGTGATACTCTGTTGGGCTATTGAAAAACTGTTTTCCATTGTTACTGGAAGAAGCTGCACTCCTGACACTGTGATTGTTTGAGAATGTGAAAGAACAGATCTGCCACATGGATGGTACAGTGCATTGCATTTGAAACCTTCACAACTTTTCTCAAGGCCCTTAACCACTACCCTCCCACTTGTTTTTTCTAATATATTTTCTGCATCCACCCTGCCTCCCATCCCAGTGCCTGAGACTTTCTTCCTGAAGGCCCCTCATTTAATGCAAGCTCTGTATTTCACCCCGGGCCGGTTTTCCAGACATAAAACTTTATCAGAAAACCTTGTCCTTTGCATCTCAGATTTCACCTTTTCTTAGTTCTTTTCCCATTAGGGTCTAAATTTGCCTAAGTCTCTCCTATCTTCGAAAATAAAAACAGGTGGGGCACGGTGGCTCATGCCTGCAATCTCAGCACTTTGGGAGGCCAAGGTGGATGGATCATTTGAGCCCAGAAGTTTGAGACCAGCCTGAGCAACAGGGTGAGACCCTGTCTCTATAGAAAATTTAAAAAATTAGCCAGGCGTGGTGGTGTGCACCCGTAGTCCCAGCTACCTGGGAGGGTGAGGTGGGAGGATCACCTGAGCCCCAGGGAGGGTTAAGGTTGCAGTGAGCCATGATTGCACCACTGCACTCCAGCCTGGGCAACAGAGAGAGACCCTGTCTCAAAAACAAAACAAAACAAAAACAAACAAGCAAACAGAAAACACCAATCTCTCTCTCTTTCTGGCTATTAACATGATTTTTTTTCTTTTCATTGCTGCACACTTCCAGAAAAAGAGGCTTGTATTTCCAATTGTGATTTTGTCATCTCTTCTCTTCTTCATCTATTTCAGTCTGACTTCCTGTCCTGCTATTCCACTCCACTGCTCCTGTTAAGGTTTATCACTAAATCTAACGGTTAAAAAAAAAGTTCACTGTAGTCTACCTCGGCAGTATTTAATTTATTTCCATGACTCCCTTCTTTCCTATCTTTCTGGCTGCTCCTTTTTAACATTCCTTGAATTTTGGTGTTCCATGGTTTTATTCTTGAGCCTCAACTTTTTTTTCAGTCTATGCTCCCTAAGAAAGCTTATCTGTTTGCACAATTTTGACAGCCTCTGCCATGCATGCAGATAGTTTCCCAATTTATATTTCCAGCTGAGCTTGTTTCCTGAACTCGCATATATCTAATTGCCTACTAAATATATCCATTTGGGTGCTTATGGGCATCTCAAACTCAAACTGTCCAAAGCCAACTTCATATTTTCTCATAATTTTGCTCCTTTTCCTGTATTACATATCTTGGTGGATAACGCTATTACTGACTCAGTAGATAAAGTTAGAAACCCTGCTCTTTTAATGCAACATATATTCACTAAGTCTCTATAATATGTCAGTTGTAGAATTCAGAATTATAAAGAAATAGTCATCGTTTCTCAGAAGCTGGAACTCTAGTTGGGGAGATGTGCTTACTAGCCCCATCTAATCCATGTTGGAATATCACTGAATTTGTCTCTTTACTATCTCTCAGTCAGTTATCTCCTCTTCAATCCTGGTGAGTGACCTATTTTTAGATAAACTCTTTGCCATCTTTACCCTGTAGAAAAACTTAATAACTGTTTTTTCCCTTCTATTGATATTCTTCCTTCCAATGTATTATTCTTTCTGCTCTCAGTGGGAAGTACTTAGTACTCTCTACCCTTGATATACCCCCTTACTCTGTTTCTCATACTCTGAAATCTTAATGATCTCAGACCCTCATCTACATAGGAACCTCATCTCTTGTTCAGAAAGGATTTGAGTCTGCCATAATCTCCTGGGCTTTGATTCATATTGCTAACACCCTCCCTAGTCAGTGTTTTCCCTTTGACTCAATCTATTGTTGGTCCCATCTTGGACCTATCTTTTCATTTTATTCTTTTCTGTGGGATATATCCCGTGATCTGGATAATGAAATTTACTTCTGTTGACTCCATTCCCAAAGAACCATATTATCCTTTGCTGACATCATATCAAAATTTCAGGATCAGGTTTTGAGGGGAAAATGATCCTATGAGAGTCAAATCTAGACATATTGTGTTGTGAATTGATGGCAAAGTTCATATACCTGCAAAAACTTTGTTCATGATTCCAGGGTAGACTCTTCACTCTAGCAGGTGCCTTTGATACCTACATCACCATGCTTTGGCTCATTTCTATACCAGTCACAGATGCTGGGAGAGGTTCTCTGCCAGTTCAAACTCCCTAGCTTGTTCTGATATCCTTTGACATCATGTCCCAGGGCCTTCTAATCCTGAGGGGTGTTCTCAGCCTGCACAAATGCCTCCCCGTAAATGTGAGGGAGTGAATACTCACAGACTCAACTCTCAACCATCAAGATCTTGCTTCTGGATGATAAACTCTCCAGCCTCCCATCTTGCAGGTTCTTAAGGGGTCATAGCAAAAACTAGTCTATTCATCCACAGCAGTAATTTCGAAACACATTTATATTGATTTTTTCTTCTTCACCATCTCATTTTCCCTACTCCTTACCTTCTGCTTCTTGAGATTACTACCAAATAAAACAATGCTTTGAAGTATTTGTCCAAGGCTCTTGTCTTGTGGGAAATTCAAATGAAGACATTTATACATTTAAGATCATGTAATGAATCTACATGATTAATGACTCTATACATCTAAGCAACATTTTGTTCAGTTACCTGTTCTGGACTTAGGAACATCTTAGGTTCCAGATGTATAATAACAATAATGGTGACTAATAATGTTATATCTGAAAGATAAGAGTAGTATGGATCCAAATCATACTCAGTTTTAGCCCCTTATTTCAGTCGTTTACCAAGAGGTCCTCATGAGGCTTTTGCTTAGTAGTATTTTTAGATGAGTAAAAAGCCAGTTTTTCAGGTTAGAGTTAATATATACTATTAACTTGAACTGATAGCATTGTTACCCACTAGATAACTATGACAGAAATCCTAATACAAGTGGAAATCATTTTCTGATACCACATTTAATTAGTTTTAAATATATTTCAAAAGGATTTTTTGGAAGTGAAATGAATATACCCAGGGGCCAGGGACTAGACTGCACAGAATCCAAGACCCCCTCAGTTCTAGGATAAATAATGGCAACCGGCCTTTAGCCAGTCTTCCTACCCTGTCTTGTCCTCCTCTAATCCTTTTTTTCCAACATGGTGAACAGAGAGAGCTTTCTGAAACATAGAACCCATCAAATCATCCCCCTGCTTTCAGACTTTCAATGGCTGGCTTCTCATTCCCATAGGATGAAGTCTACTTAGCATAACTTATGATGTTCTTTATGAGCTATTCCATGCATACCCCAACAGCCTCCTCTTTTACCTTATCTCCACCATTATTTTTACTCTAACTTCAACCCAGGAAACACTTTTCCTAAGTCTTTAAATATGCCACGCTCTCCTTTTCTTGAACCTTTGCACAGGCTCTAACATCTGCCTTGCTAATATCCTTCCTTTTTCTTCATTTGGTTCATCTCGGTTAAGGTTGTTATATCCTCCCAAATTACTTTGCTCAGCCCCCAAGACTGGATCTTCATTTGTCCTCTAACAACAACCCATTAACTTCTTTTCTTGAAATTAATTAGCTTTCACCCTTTGTGTAATAGGCTGAATAATGGTTCCCAAAGATATCCAGGCATTAATTTCTGGAACCTGCGAATGTTACCCTTGCATGGCAAAAGAGACGTTGCAGATATAATTAAATTAAGGACCTTGAGGTGAGAAGATTAAACTGGATTATCCAAGTGGGTCCTAAATGCAATCATAAGCATTCATATAGGAGAAAGAGAGAGGATATTTGACACATAGAAGAAGGCAATGTGACCATTGAAACAAAATCCAATGCTGCTGACTTTAAAGACAAATGAGGAGGTCCACAAGCCAAGCAATGCAAGCATTTCAGCTCTAGAAGCTGGAAAAGTCAAGGAAAGATACTCCCCACTAGATCCTACAGAGGGAGCTTGACCCTGCCTATACATTGATTTTGCCCAGTGAAACTAATCTTGGACTTTTGACCTCCAGAACTGTGAGAAAATTAATGAGTGTGTTGTAAACCACTAAGTTTGTGATGATTTGTTACAATAACCAAAGGAAACTAGTTACTGTAACAAATCATCACCCAAAACACTTATGACCCAGTCATTTGGGTTCCATGAGGAGAGATTTTCCTTGAACACTTCTGGCCTCTTGCCCCACCCGTATCCCTTTGAGCTTAGTGTATGGGTAGATGCTATTCCCTGCCATAACACCCTTTACTTACCCCTCTCCCTGACAGCATCCCTGCCTCATTACCTGGATCATCAGCTTTGTGAGGACAGGGTTCACCTTTGTCTTACTCATTTTGGCATCCTTAACTTTTTGCCTGGGGCATGACATTATAATGAATTGTATGAAATTCAACATATTAGACTACTATGACTTGAATGTGTCCTCCAAAGTTCATATGTTGAAAACTTAATTCCAAATGCAAAAAGTGTTGAGAGTTGTGTGATAGTTAATACTGAGTATGATCTTGATTGAAGGATGCAATATGGATCCTGGGTGTGTCTGTGAGGGTGTTGTCAAAGGAGATTAACATTTGAGTCAGTGGGCTGGGGAAGGCAGACCCACCCTTAACTGGGTGGGCACCATCTAATCAGCCGCCATATATAAAGCAGGCAGAAAAAACTCGAAGTGACGAGATGGGCCTAGCCTGCCAGCCTACATCTTTCTCTAATGCTGGATGCTTCTTGCCCTCTAGTATCGGACTCCAAGTTCTTCAGTTTTGGGACTCAGACTGGCTCTCCTTGCTCGTCAGCTTGCAGATAGCTGATTGTGGGACCCTGTGATCACGTAAGTTAATCCTCTAAGAGAACCTTGACTAATACAGGGTGGGATCTTTAAGAGGTGATTAGGTCATGAGAGTTCTTCCCGCATGAATGAATTGATGCCATTATTCTGGAGGTGGGTTAGTTATTGAGGGAGTGGACTGGAGTAGACTGATAAAAGGATGAGTATGGCCCTCTTCCCTCCCTCTCTCTCACCAGCAATATGATACCTTTTGCTAAGTATGACACAGCAAGAAGACTTTCCCCAGGTAGGCCCTTGGATCTTGGATTTCTCAGCCTCTAGAACTGTGAGCCAAACAAAAATCTATTGTTTATAAATGATCCAGTCTCAGGTATTCTATTTTAGCAGCACAAAATGGACTAAGACATAAATCACTGGCAATTTTATAATATTGAACCTAACAGTTCTCAACAAAGGTGCATTAAATATACATATCTAAGGAGAAGAGTATTTTAAATGTCAGGGACTTACCTTGAACCCAATTTTCACCTCCTGCAGTTCTCTAATCAGAAACAGATCACGTGTATGAGGAAGTTCCACTGCTAGAAGCCATTTTTCCTGCAACTTCTTGCCCTGTGAATAAAATAGACACACCTGGATTGTGAACAAAGACAGACTTATAAAAAGGAAGTAGGAGTATGCATCTCATCCTATAAAGTGTTTTTCTAGAATTATTTCATTAATCCTGCCAATGGCCCTGAAAGTATATGCTATTTTTATTCTCATTTTACAGATCAGGAAATCAAGACACAGAGGTTTAAGTAGCTTGCCCAGGGTTGTGTTTCTGGCTAGTGACAGTGATGAGATTCAAGCTCAGTGTGACTTCAAACCCATTGCCTTTGAAAACAGTAGTCTTGGTAGAGGCATTAGCAGCCCGAGGTAACATGAAAAACTAGTGTGTGTGTGTCTGTCTGTCTGTGTCATATGGAAGTCTCTGAGGTATAGGATACTAGCTAGGGAGGGTCCGTGTCTTGAAATTCATGAAAGGAATTCCTAGAGCAGCTGAACACAGCAAGCCTCACTTTTTATGAAAAGTACATGGTTCTGCTGATAACTATTTATCCTGCAAAGTAGTAAGTTATGTTTTCTGGAAGCATAGGAGCTGAAAAGTATTGCCAGAACACTGATATTTTACAAGGCCTGTATGTTTAAACAGTTCATGAAGGTCATGGGAAACAAAAGGCAAAGAGAATGGGTCTGTTTGAAAATAAAATAACTGTATACCAAGCTTGTTTGGGGTACTAATACATTATTAAGGTAGAACTAACACATTTAAATTATTATCCTATCATTGTAAATAAGATTTTAGATCCTATTTGTATTGCGAACAATTTCCTAAAATCCATTACTTGGCCAAATCAAACACGTTTTGGTGAAAATATGATAGGTGAGTTTTGAATAATAAAGTTGGTGGCTGTATCTCTGCCTTTCTTGCAACTTGAATGCACTAATTGAGGACTCAAGGTTTTTGTTACAATGGATGCTGTTGACATAGCCTTTTGAGATAGCATGCATGATGCTGGTACATTTCTCACTGTAAATGTTTTAAGATATAAATTTCTAAGATATTTTACTCTGGTGTATTTAGTTGAGCTTGAAAATACCAAGAGACCAAGTTTACATGGCAAATGAAAGATGCCGAAAGTTAAGGGAATGGGCTCTGTCTGATCTCAAGTGGCATGCTTTATCATGGAGCAATATCCCTTTTATTATTGAGGGAAGCAATGATGTTCAGGCTTTCCTTGCAATGCTCACTTGCAATTTTCTTTCTTAACACTCCAGAAATGAGATAGATGGTGAGGGGCACTCAGGATCCACTTTTCCCATAGGTATAACACTGTGCAAGTTAAATGGAACTTTTGATTCAATTTAGTCAAAAGTGGTACTTGTTGAAAGCCAGCTATTTACAAGGCACGTTGATAGTCACTGCACATAACTAAAGCTGCTGATAGATTACTACAATTTAACCTATTCTTCTGGAGTGCATCAAAAGTAGAAAGGATGAACATTTATACTTGGAGTTTGTGATTGTAAGTGGAGCTTATTCAGAGGAGTCCATGATCATGGAATCATTAGAATGAGTGAATTGGTAAATATTTATTGCATAGCCATTCTGTGCCTTTCTTTAAACACAAGCCCCAGATAATTAATTCAGTGATATTCAGCATATAGTTATAGGGCTCCTGTCATGTACAAGGCATACAGCCTCAGGTCAACTCAGTTTCCAGTGCTGGATATTTTCTCTTTTACACTCTCTTCTCTCTTTTCTCCACCTTCCTGTGTGCCCAGGAAGCTGGTCTGTATAAGTGCCACATAAAGGACTCCTTTCCTTTTTGGCTGTATGTATGATTGTTGACCACCAGCAGGAGACTGAAATGGGGAATACAGTAAAGTCAGGATATTTATTACTGACTTCTTCTCTGGGAGGTTGCTGCAGGCTGTCTGAGCCCCCTGAACAAATTTTACTGCTCCTTTTAGGTAGCCCTCTCTATACTGTTTCTAAATTCCGGTATCTTCTCCCTCCTTTGTCCACTTTAGGCATTAGGGTTGGCCTATTATGGTTAGCCCTGAGATACTGCAGTTTTCTTTGTGGTTTCTCTTACACTGCCCACACCTTGTAAATGGTACCTTTATTAATCTGTCCTTAAATGTTGTCACATGTGTGCCATCTGTGTCCTACTGACATCCAAATTGTACATTTCCTAAACTACCAGGTGAAGTGGAGCTTTCTGCTCACCTACAATAAACATCTGTTTAGTTAAGCCTTGTTAAATTAAGTTTAGCCCAAAGCTGCCTCCTTTCATATTTTAAGCTCAGCCTGAAGTTTTCTCTGAACATAGTAAACTGAAATCTAACTGGATGTATACATGAACTATCTACTCTGGTGCCAATCACCAAGTTTTGGCCAGTTAAAGGTGGCCAACTGTTGAAACTGTGTCCAAATAAGTCAAATGCCAAGCTGCAACCAATCCATGTTTGTGTACCTCCCTTCCATTTTCTGTACGTCACTTTCCCTTTTTTGTCCATGTATCTTCTTCCACCATGTGGCTGCATGCACTGAAGTCTCTATGAGCCTACTCCAGCTCAGAAGGCTTCCTGATTGTGAAACATTCTTTGCTCAATTAAGCTCTGTTAAATTTAATTTACCTGAGATTTTCTTTTAACAGCCTCTGTAGTTTGGAGGTTAATTTGCAATGTAGCTGTACTTACTTAATACAGACATAACCCAGCTGAAATAGTGTGTAAAGACTTTAAAAATATAAATCTAAAGGATTAGAGGAAACCATACCAAGTAGTACAGATTTCTTTAAAGTAAACGAATACATTTTGGAAGAATGAAGTGTGTAAATAGGCTGAATACTTGAAGGGTGATCAGAATTTGATATACTTGGATGCAGAAGAACCTGCAACAGAGATAACCTTCCTCAATAGCTCTTTGAAGAGTTAGGACTTAGACACTAGGCATTGGGAGATGTTCCTCCTGACCCCTCCAGAGGGGTTCTGCTCTGTATGCTGAAGGGTCATGGCTCTCCTGCAGGTATGCCTAGATACATATCCAGGAAACATTTTTTTTTCTTCCTTCTCTATTGTTTACCTTTAAAGGGAGAATGGAAGCTTATTAGAATATAAAGCAGACTCAAATGGAGAAACTAAACATTTGCCAGAAGTTTGATCTGAGTCAGTTTAATTCAGTTGGATATTTGCACAATTTACAAACTACTAAAGCAAAAACACTGGGTTTTGAATTACCTTAGACATGGCTTATTATTATTTTTTGCTTTGTTCACAACACGTAGTTCAGACCTTCACATGAAGTGAAGGTTCAGTAAACATTTATTGAATGAATAAGCAAGTTAATGAGGTATAAAAGCACAGATTTTTATATGATTACAGATTTCATTTTTAGGTAAATGTACTAGAATTTATCCAGGTAAATTACAAGTGTCCATAAGGTAATCACCTTGGGTAGGCATGGGAAATAAACCAAAACAATGCCACTGGTGTTCAAAGTATCTTTCATATACCTCTTTCAGAGCCAGCCACACATTCCTTAGAGAATGACACATCTTAATCTTCTAAGAAAAGATTTAATTTTGTTGATACTGTTAAATGTCATACAGTGTCACTTTTTGTATGTAGGGTAAGTGATCAAGCTAGATATATATATATATATATATATATATATATACACACACACACATAATGTATAATATATGTATAGTATGTATAATATATATTATGTAACATACAGATTTAAAACAAAGTGTAAGTTTAAAGTAATGATAGCTTTTTCCCTGATAAGACTTAAATATACTTAGAAGTAATCAAATTGCAAATATACTGATTCTAGAAATATTCTGAGCAATGCCAACATTGGAAAAAAATTAGTATGTAGCTTCCCCAGGTGATTACTCTAAAGGATAACAATCTTTTGAATTTTTAATTTCTAGCCTATTGAATAAGTGGTATTGTGCAGTTCCTGGTACTTGATAAGGATTCAGTAAAAATTAGTTGAATGAAATGAAAGAAATTTGTCCACAGGCTAGAGCTTAAACTCCATGAGAATAGAATTTTGGTCTTGTTAACCTCTAGTCTCAATACTGTCTAGCATGGTACCTTTCATAAAATAAGTGTTCAGGTAAGAACAGCTTGTAAACCAAAAATAAAATTCTAAGCCCCCAAACTAACTGAATGGACCCCCTCTCAGCCAAGAGGACTCCAAAGAAACCTAAAGAATTAGTTCAGGCTACGACAGGAAGAGTGGGTTGGACATGCTTCATTATACCCTCTCCCTTTTGGAGTTTAGACACTACTGACCAGCCCTAACATTAAAATAGAGATCCTGGGGGAGGAGCCAAGATGGCCGAATAGGAACAGCTCCGGTCTACAGCTCTCAGCGTGAGCGACGCAGAAGATGGGTGATTTCTGCATTTCCATCTGAGGTACCGGGTTCATCTCACTAGGGAGGGCCAGACAGTGGGCGCAGGCCAGTGGGTGCGCGCACCGTGCGCGAGCCGAAGCAGGGCGAGGCATTGCCTCACTCGGGAAGCGCAAGGGGTCAGGGAGTTCCCTTTCCGAGTCAAAGAAAGGGGTGACGGACGCACCTGGAAAATCGGGTCACTCCCACCCAAATATTGCGCTTTTCAGACCGGCTTAAAAAACGGCGAACCACGAGATTATATCCCACACCTGGCTCGGAGGGTCCTACGCCCATGGAATCTCACTGACTGCTAGCACAGCAGTCTGAGATCAAACTGCAAGGCAGCGAGGCTGGGGGAGGGGCGCCCGCCATTGCCCAGGCTTGCTTAGGTAAACAAAGCAGCTGGGAAGCTCGAACTGGGTGGAGCCCACCACAGCTCAAGGAGGCCTGCCTGCCTCTGTAGGCTCCACCTCTGGGGGCAGGGCACAGACAAACAAAAAGACAGCAGTAACCTCTGCAGACTTAAGTGTCCCTGTCTGACAGCTTTGAAGAGAGCAGTGGTTCTCCCAGCACGCAGCTGGAGATCTGAGAACCGGCAGACTGCCTCCCTGACCCCTGACCCCCGAGCAGCCTAACTGGGAGGCACTCCCCAGCAGGGGCACACTTACACCTCACACGGCAGGGTACTCCAACAGACCTGCAGCTGAGGGTCCTGTCTGTTAGAAGGAAAACTAACAAACAGAAAGGACATCCACACCAAAAACCCATCTGTACATCACCATCATCAAAGACCAAAAGTAGATAAAACCACAAAGATGGGGAAAAAACAGAACAGAAAAACTGGAAACTCTAAAACGCAGAGAGCCTCTCCTCCTCCGAAGGAACGCAGTTCCTCACCAGCAACGGAACAAAGCTGGATGGAGAATGACTTTGACGAGCTGAGAGAAGAAGGCTTCAGACGATCAAATTACTCTGAGCTACGGGAGGACATTCAAACCAAAGGCAAAGAAGTTGAAAACTTTGGAAAAAATTTAGAAGAATGTATAACTAGAATAACCAATACAGAGAAGTGCTTAAAGGAGCTGATGGAGCTGAAAACCAAGGCTCGAGAACTACGTGAAGAATGCAGAAGCCTCAGGAGCCGATGCGATCAACTGGAAGAAAGGGTATCAGCAATGGAAGATGAAATGAATGAAATGAAGCGAGAAGGGAAGTTTAGAGAAAAAAGAATAAAAAGAAATGAGCAAAGCCTCCAAGAAATATGGGACTATGTGAAAAGACCAAATCTACGTCTGATTGGTGTACCTGAAAGTGATGGGGAGAATGGAACCAAGTTGGAAAACACTCTGCAGGATATTATCCAGGAGAACTTCCCCAATCTAGCAAGGCAGGCCAACGTTCAGATTCAGGAAATACAGAGAACGCCACAAAGATACTCCCCAAGAAGAGCAACTCCAAGACACATAATTGTCAGATTCACCAAAGTTGAAATGAAGGAAAAAATGTTAAGGGCAGCCAGAGAGAAAGGTCGGGTTACCCTCAAAGGGAAGCCCATCAGACTAACAGCGGGTCTCTCGGCAGAAACCCTACAAGCCAAAAGAGAGTGGGGGCCAATATTCAACATTCTTAAAGAAAAGAATTTTCAACCCAGAATTTCATATCCAGCCAAATTAAGCTTCATAAGTGAAGGAGCAATAAAATACTTCACAGACAAGCAAATGCTGAGAGATTTTGTCACCACTAGGCCTGCCCTAAAAGAGCTCCTGAAGGAAGTGCTAAACATGGAAAGGAACAACCGATACCAGCCACTGCAAAATCATGCCAAAATGTAAAGACCATCGAGACTAGGAAGAAACTGCATCAACTAACGAGCAAAATCACCAGCTAACATCATAATGACAGGATCAAATTCACACATAACAATATTAACTTTAAATGTAAATGGACTAAATTCTCCAATTAAAAGACACAGACTGGCAAATTGGATAAAGAGTCAAGACCCATCAGTGTGCTGTATTCAGGAAACCCAGCTCACGTGCAGAGACACACATAGGCTCAAAATAAAAGGATGGAGGAAGATCTACCAAGCCAATGGAAAACAAAAAAAGGAAGGGGTTGCAATCCTAGTCTCTGATAAAACAGACTTTAAAACAACAAAGATCAAAAGAGACAAAGAAGGCCATTACATAATGGTAAAGGGATCAATTCAACAAGAAGAGCTAACTATCCTAAATATATATGCACCCAATACAGGAGCACCCAGATTCATAAAGCAAGTCCTGAGTGACCTACAAAGAGACTTAGACTCCCACACATTAATAATGGGAGACTTTAACACCCCACTGTCAACATTAGACAGATCAACGAGACAGAAAGTCAACAGGGATACCCAGGAATTGAACTCAGCTCTGCACCAAGTGGACCTAATAGACATCTACAGAACTCTCCACCTCAAATCAACACAATATACATTTTTTTCAGCACCACACCACACCTATTCCAAAATTGACCACATACTTGGAAGTAAAGCTCTCCTCAGCAAATGTAAAAGAACAGAAATTATAACAAACTATCTCTCAGACCACAGTGCAATCAAACTAGAACTCAGGATTAAGAATTTCACTCAAAACCGCTCAACTACATGGAAACTGAACAACCTGCTCCTGAATGACTACTGGGTACATAACGAAATGAAGGCAGAAATAAAGATGTTCTTTGAAACCAACGAGAACAAAGACACAACATACCAGAATCTCTGGGATGCATTCAAAGCAGTGTGTAGAGGGAAATTTATAGCACTAAATGCCCACAAGAGAAAGCAGGAAAGATCCAAAATTGACACCCTAACATCACAATTAAAAGAACTAGAAAAGCAAGAGCAAACACATTCAAAAGCTAGCAGAAGGCAAGAAATAACTAAAATCAGAGCAGAACTGAAGGAAATAGAGACACAAAAAACCCTTCAAAAAATTAATGAATCCAGGAGCTGGTTTTTTGAAAGGATCAACAAAATTGATAGACCACTAGCAAGACTAATAAAGAAAAAAAGAGAGAAGAATCAAATAGACACAATAAAAAATGATAAAGGGGATATCACCACCGATCCCACAGAAATACAAACTACCATCAGAGAATACTACAAACACCTCTACGCAAATAAACTAGAAAATCTAGAAGAAATGGATAAATTCCTCGACACATACACTCTCCCAAGACTAAACCAGGAAGAAGTTGAATCTCTGAATAGACCAATAACAGGAGCTGAAATTGTGGCAATTATCAATAGTTTACCAACCAAAAAGAGTCCAGGACCAGATGGATTCACAGCCGAATTCTACCAGAGGTACAAGGAGGAACTGGTACCATTCCTTCTGAAACTATTCCAATCAATAGAAAAAGAGGGAATCCTCCCTAACTCATTTTATGAGGCCAGCATCATTCTGATACCAAAGCCGGGCAGAGACACAACCAAAAAAGAGAATTTTAGACCAATATCCTTGATGAACATTGATGCAAAAATCCTCAATAAATTACTGGCAAAACGAATCCAGCAGCACATCAAAAAGCTTATCCACCATGATCAAGTGGGCTTCATCCCTGGGATGCAAGGCTGGTTCAATATACGCAAATCAATAAATGTAATCCAGCATATAAACAGAACCAAAGACAAAAACCACATGGTTATCTCAATAGATGCAGAAAAGGCCTTTGACAAAATTCAACAACCCTTCATGCTAAAAACTCTCAATAAATTAGGTATTGATGGGACATATTTCAAAATAATAAGAGCTATCTATGACAAACCCACAGCCAATATCATACTGAATGGGCAAAAACTGGAAGCATTCCCTTTGAAAACTGGCACAAGACAGGGATGCCCTCTCTCACCATTCCTATTCAACATAGTGTTGGAAGTTCTGGCCAGGGCAATTAGGCAGGAGAAGGAAATAAAGGGCATTCAATTAGGAAAAGAGGAAGTCAAATTGTCCCTGTTTGCAGATGACATGATTGTATATCTAGAAAACCCCATTGTCTCAGCCCAAAATCTCCTTAAGCTGATAAGCAACTTCAGCAAAGTCTCAGGATACAAAATCAATGTACAAAAATCACAAGCATTCTTATACACCAACAACAGACAAACAGAGAGCCAAATCATGAGTGAACTCCCATTCAAAATTCCTTCAAAGAGAATAAAATACCTAGGAATCCAACTTACAAGGGGTGTGAAGGACCTCTTCAAGGAGAACTACAAACCACTGCTCAAGGAAATAAAAGAGGATACAAACAAATGGAAGAACATTCCATGCTCATGGGTAGGAAGAATCAATATCGTGAAAATGGCCATACTGCCCAAGGTAATTTACAGATTCAATGCCATCCCCATCAAGTTACCAATGACTTTCTTCACAGAATTGGAAAAAACTACTTTAAAGTTCATATGGAACCAAAAAAGAGCCCACATCACCAAGTCAATCCTAAGCCAAAAGAACAAAGCTGGAGGCATCACACTACCTGACTTCAAACTATACTACAAGGCTACAGTAACCAAAACAGCATGGTACTGGTACCAAAACAGAGATATAGATCAATGGAACAGAACAGAGCCCTCAGGAATAACACCACATATCTACAACTATCTGATCTTTGACAAACCTGAGAAAAACAAGCAATGGGGAAAGGATTCCCTATTTAATAAATGGTGCTGGTAAAACTGGCTAGCCATATGTAGAAAGCTGAAACTGGAGCCCTTCCCTACACCTTATAGAAAAATCAATTCAAGATGGATTAAAGATTTAAACGTTAGACCTAAAACCATAAAAACCCTAGAAGAAAACCTAGGCATTACCATTCAGGACATAGGCATGGGCAAGGACTTCATGTCCAAAACACCAAAAGCAATGGCAACAAAAGCCAAAATTGACAAATGGGATCTAATTAAACTAAAAAGCTTCTGCACAGCAAAAGAAACTACCATCAGAGTGAACAGGCAACCTACAAAATGGGAGAAAATTTTCGCAACCTACTCATCTGACAAAGGGCTAATATCCAGAATCTACAATGAACTCAAACAAATTTACAAGAAAAAAACAAACAACCCCATCAAAAAGTGGGCAAAGGACATGAACAGACACTTCTCAAAAGAAGACATTTATGCAGCCAAAAAACACATGAAAAAATGCTCATCATCACTGGCCATCAGAGAAATGCAAATCAAAACCACAATGAGATACCATCTCACACCAGTTAGAATGGCAATCATTAAAAAGTCAGGAAACAACAGGTGCTGGAGAGGATGTGGAGAAATAGGAACACTTTTACACTGTTGGTGGGACTGTAAACTAGTTCAACCATTGTGGAAGTCAGTGTGGCGATTCCTCAGGGATCTAGAACTAGAAATACCATTTGACCCAGCCATCCCATTACTGGGTATATACCCAAAGGTCTATAAATCATGCTGCTATAAAGACACATGCACACGTATGTTTATTGCAGCATTATTCACAATAGCAAAGACTTGGAACCAACCCAAATGTCCAACAATGATAGACTGGATTAAGAAAATGTGGCACATATACACCATGGAATACTATGCAGCCATAAAAAATGATGAGTTCGTGTCCTTTGTAGGGACATGGATGAAATTGGAAATCATCATTCTCAGTAAACTATCGCAAGAACAAAAAACCAAACACCGCATATTCTCACTCATAGGTGGGAATTGAACAATGCGATCACATGGACACAGGAAGCGGAATATCACACTCTGGGGACTGTTGTGGGGTGGGGGGAGGTGGGAGGGATAGCATTGGGAGATATACCTAATGCTAGATGACGAGTTAGTGGGTGCAGCGCACCAGCATGGCACATGTATACATATGTAACTAACCTGCACAATGTGCACATGTACCCTAAAACTTAAAGTATAATAAAAAAAAAAAATAGAGATCCTAAGACTGACAAAGTAGACTATTTGTAGCAATAAGCTATCAAATTCCAATCTGACTCTAGTAGAGCATCACATGATAGCAGGCCATGAAGGAAATTGAAGTATTTTGCCCCAAAATATATTTCTTTGACATATTTTGAAATGCCCTGCAAAGCTGTGTCTTGTGGGGGAAATTTATATTCTATCAAGAATCCTTTTCCCTTTCCGGGTCTTTTTCTGAGGAGATTAGTGGAGACTCTAACACCGGTTAAAGGTCTGAATAGGAAACATTTGCCATCTACTGCCTCTAACAGTTGTTACTTATGACACTTCATCTACGTAATAAGAACCTCGGTCTCCACAACTTCTTATTTTAATCCAGCCACTCTATTGATTCCATGCTTTTACATAATAACTTAAATTTTTCAACCAATTGCCAGTCAGAAAATCTTTCAATCTGCCTATGACCTGAACCCCCATCTCCACCCACCACCCCCTCTTTGAGTTGTCCTACCTTTCTGGATTGTACCAATATATACCTCACATGTATTAATTAATGTCTCAGGTTTCCCTAAAACATATAAAAAACCAAGCCATAACCCAATAATCTTGGGCACATATTCTCAGGACATCCTGAGGCTGTGTTACAGGTCATAATCCTTAACCTTGGCAAAATAAATCTCTAAATTGATTGACACCTGTCTCAGATACTTTTATATAATCTATCAAAAATTGTTACATTTTGGATTAAATAAGAAAATTTATACCAAAAAGTTTTGCAGAATGTTTACGAACTCAATATATGTTAGTTAGGGTATTTTATTAGGGCCTTCCAGTTTAAAGTGATGTTGGTTGCAGATGGCAGTTTGCCTGGCTAAATGTTAGGCAGAGATCAGAAATACGTAATAAAAATATTGGAAAGGTAAAATGAAAATTTGGTCAATATAATGTTGTTCAATATAATTTGAGAAGTTCTCTGTTAAAATAGAATAGACCTGAGTTCAAGAATAAAAATCAATATTGTTCTTACATCAGAATCACTTCATTTGCATATTACTGTTCACATGAGCCATGTTTTTCCATCTAAAAACACTTTTAATACCCAAGTTAACTCTTGATTGGAATTCTAGGCTTGGAAATTAGATAGAAACAAATTTTCTAATTTCATTTCAGTTTTCTAGACCATGACCTTTTACAACTTTATTATAAAGTAAATATTGAACAAACATGAAATGCAGTATCAAAGACAAATTAATTTTATTGGATGTCTGTGCTTAGATCATTCGGCACATTTCTGGATTTATTTCCCAGGTCTCAGCCAAATTTATACATGGAGAAGAATAGAAAAGAAAAGACATCTTCTCCAGCTTGAAGTCTTAGCATGGGAGCAGGGAGGAATGGGACTAGCGTGTGTGCTCCCGAGCCTGGTAGATGGACTCAAATCCTGCCTTGGCCAGTTATTCACTTTCAGGCTAGTTCCATCATCAACAATAGGGGAGTGATATTAGCTACTTTATCAACCTGTTGTCAGAGTTGGCCTGTAATCTATGCCAAAAACTCACCATACTTGGTTGTCATATCACAAAATTATAGTGGAATCAATTCAAAGTTTTAAACTGAGGAATGCATCAAAGTACATCCACCATACTGTTTGAGGGAAGGAACACATCTTTATACACCTAGAGCCAGGTATAAGACTACACATATTGGGTGTGTGTTAAATGTAATGAAATAAAAAGAAGGGCTTCAAATGTTTTCTGTGGATACAAAGTAAGTATCCTTTCATTGTTCATGTACTGTATGTGTAGCCATCTCTTGCCAATTCATACTTGGAATGCAGTGGCATTTGACATGGACCCAAGATCCAGGAATCCTCCAATAGCTGGCTAACACCTACATGGATTCAAGAAGGCATTATGTCAAAGGGATATTCTTGGAAAAAGTCATTCTGTTTATTTTTAAAATACTTTCTGCCAAATCCCAATAGAGTCTTCTTACCATACAATGCCATGAGAAAGCGTTTAACATGGACTATAGTCAGCAGGACAGCTGTTCTACTTGGCCCCATTTCTCTAGGTCTACACCCTAATCTCAACTTTCCATTTTAACACTATGTGGTGAGTAAAATAGATCCCAAAGAAAAGAAAGGAGAGAATTTATGTATTTATACTTCTTATACTAATAATCCAATAATATGGCCTGAATTGTTCTTGGACTTGATCCCTGCAAAGGAATAAATCTCCTTAGTGGAGTTGGAGGGTAAAGATGAGCCCTGGAAACCACTTTTTCCTCACAATTGTCCCCTGAATCTTATCTGCACCAGCCCCACTGCAATTTCCATTTTCATTTACATATATTTGGGTTTATCAGTTCCAACTTGGTTCTTGCTAGCATTATCATCCTAAAGCAGTTATTCATCATCCCTGAATATGAATTTGTTTATCTGGGAATGGAGATCTCTTACTTCAGGATTGTTCTGGGGGAAGGAAAGAAAAGATTATAGAAGAAATTTCTGAAAACTGGCCAGTATTCAGAAAGTGTTAATTCTCCTAACAAAGCTTTTGTCAGATTCGTTTGTTTTTTCTCTCCATCGGTCACCTTAATCTTAAGAAAACTTTGACATATTTCTTTATGCCAATGCAACAGAAAGAGAGGGTTTAATGTTTTGACAAAGTTTTCTTTTTTTTTTTTGGATTTTATTTATTTATTTATTTATTATACTTTAAGTTTTAGGGTACATGTGCACATTGTGCAGGTTAGTTACATATGTATACATGTGCCATGCTGGTGCACTGAAATCTAAAAAGATGGTAACACTAATCTGTATTTAGCAATTTAAGACATTAAAAACATTGAGAATTAAAAAAAAAAAAAGAAAAAAAGAAAACTTTGACATAAACAAAATCCAGGGGGACAATGGAGAGATATAGGAAAACAAAAAGACCAAAAAAGATAATATGCCAAATGAATATTTATCCCAGTGAATGAGTATTGCCTGCTCATCCAGCAATTCTCACCTCCTTCCTCTAGAAAATGATGTTTCTCCCACACTTAATGGTCTAAGGATGAGTAAAGAACTCCAAAGTGACACCACTTACTGTTTGATGTTTGTTGACTGGTCTAGGTATAAACCCTTCACTTAAACTGACCAAATTAGAGAACTTCTCCCTAATTTTTTAATTTAGGAAAAGAGACATCAGGGGTCAGTCATTTTCTTGTGATTACTCTAAATGACTGAAGATGGAGTTGCCAGATTCTCTATTTCCTGCTGGTGGGGAAAATCTTTCCTAAGAAAATGAGGCCAACATATAGAGAGAAGACATGAAGTATGTTCTGGAGACAACGGGGTTTCAATTGCAAATTGGACCCTGGGGTGTATTTGCTATTTTTGTGGTTACAGATCTTCAAATCAATGTCTATTCTTTGGCTCAACCAGTTTCTCATTGACTTGCTGTAGTTTTCAATTAGAAATAAACTTCACTTAGGAAAGCCTTAAAAAATTTAAGAATCCATAAAACCCCACTCCAGGGACAACAGAAGACCCAAGGATCCTGAAGTTGGGGTTGATTGAAGAGTGGGTGTTGTCCTTACCTAGCTCTAAGTGGAACTAAATTGAAAGGGATTGAAGTGAGGGGCAAAGGAGAAGTTGGGAACTAAGAGGTCATACAAAGGAAGCTTCTGACCCTTATAAACCAGTCCTAAACAACAAAAATAACAACACAAAAAAGGGACTCAAAAGCCAGAGTCTTCAACCATATGTAACCGAAATGGAGTAAACCAGATAGGAAGGGAAGTTAAAAGGCAGTATCTATCATATCAGTGCTGACATTCAGGTACTGATGCCCAGATGCCAGTGCCCAAAGGATGCCTATGACTCCACTTGCAGAAGGGAAGGATGCTGTTCAGTGGGTGGTATGGAACTGGTTAGAATGTTTTCACACCCAGACAGTGAGTTCAATAATAGAGTATTCAAATGACAGTGTTTTAATTCTTTATTTACATCATCTCTTGGTACAATGTAGATACTTTTTGTTTATGTATAGGGCTCCCGAGTAAAGGAAAAACATATCTAGTGAAGTTGTATTCTCACATTTAGAACACTAGGCACAAAAAAAATCCAAATTTATGAGACCGTCATGTTTCAACACTGAATGATTCTTTATTCTATAAAAGATTTACCACAGTATTTCTTTAATCTAGTAGTAACCTCCTTTCAATATAACTAAATATGAGTCAATTTGTATGTAAAATTTCAGGACATATCTGTATATGAAGAAAGACAAACCAATAAGCACAAATAAAATGTCCAAATATTTAATATCACAAATTTTAGCTTGCTGTAGATGATATATAAAAGTTCAAAGGTTGCACATAAACCCATCTTATTCCAAATGTGTCATATTTACTTTATTTTAATGGTTCTCAGATGTTCTCTATATATTTATTTATTCACGCCTACAATCAAGATGAAAAGGTTGTAGGCTCTTTAGAGGGTCTTTACAACTCAACATCCAAGGTCATAAATTCACTAATACCACAGCAAGGACTAGTGTATGGAAAATAATAACCATTATCTCTTAGATGAGTTGAGTCTTTTACAACAGAAAGCACTTTTCCATTTATTATATTATATGAGCCTTATAGCAATCCTTTGAAGCAGGTATTATTATAGACTTTGTAAGGATGATAAAATTGAACCTGGGACATTAAATGACTTGCCCAAGGTTATACATGGGAATAGTACATGGGGGAGCCAAGCTCCGTATCCTAGTCTTGTGAATATTTTGCTTTCCAGTACAATAACAGCTGCTTCAGAGAAAAACACCTTATCTATCCTTGAATGAGCTGTCTGAGATATCTTATAAATGATGGTAACAAATTCCTCTAAGGCAGTTTCCTGTTTTCCAAGCATGATACTGCATAATTGGCCCAGGATTGAACTTCTTGAAAATTGTTCAGAAATCAAAGCCCAAAATGCATTTAGGCAGTTTCTCAATTACTTGGTACCAAACTTTTTTTGGATCTGATCCTGTTGTCATATAAGTGACAGACATGCCCCAATTCCTATCTGTTAAATTAACTACTGCTATTTGTGTTAAACAGATTTAGAAAAATATGTTTATTCTAAAACCAGCTAAAGCATATACTAAAGTGGAGTAGAACTTTCAGTTGTTAATTTTGCATAAATAAGTCAGGGAAGAATTTTTAAAAATTGAAGCTGTATTTAAAAACTTGGATATTTTATTGCTTTTTAAAAGAGCTTGTCATCGAGAATATATAATTTTGTGAGTCTGAGAAATATATAGTCATTATTTTTATAGTGGTATGTTTGCTTTATTGAGCAAATCCCAGGCTAATAGTCCATTAGAGACTAAGGATAATCACACAGTATAATGAGATTTTTTTTCCCATTTATGGATAGATTTTGGAAAGAACAAAATATATATGGCCTTGTTAGAAATAAAACACTTTTTTCTAGATTAATCAAAAATATTATGGAAAGGTAGAATGTGCTTATAATATCAGGCAAAATAAAATTAGAAGGTAGAAAAATAATTGACTAGCTAGGTTAATAATTCATTTAAAAAGGAATCTCTAATCAACCAACTCCATCACAGCACTCTTCTTGCCCAAATGGGAAGTTTTAATTATGTATGAAAACACAGTTGTATCATGGAATAAATAGTATTTCACTTAACACTCTCTCTTTACAAGGAAGCACTCAATCAATTCACATTAGAACATTTTGAGGGGACAGAACATTCAGCTGTCATTATCAATCTTTAAAATTGATAACTCAATCATATTAATGTTGGTGACATCCAGAGAGTCCCTTAGTGGTATGTCCAGGCTTCAGCTAATTTGAATCCATGGAAAGATAAAGGTTTGCCTGAATAATCTTGTTGCAGTAGCTGTTTCCATCGTAAAATCATTATCTTCAGTCAAAGTATATATGCACAAGACATTTGATTCATTACTTCATTTTAAATGTACTTACAGGACCAATATTACAGAAAAAATGTCATGTATCAAAAAGCCCTCTTGAAATGACTGCCGTTTTTGCTTACAGTGTTGCAATATGCAGCCAGTTTTTCAAATAAATGCCATATTAGCAGGACAATTATTTACATCCTCATTTTATAGTAGGAATCCCTAAGCCTTTCACGTATTGTGGCAGACACTATGTCATATAATTAAGTCAATAAAACATTATACCTGTGCATGCTGAAAGCATAGGTAGTTATAACAATTTCTTCACAGACATTTGGCTCATCTTCATGGCCTTAGGGAGGGTGTCTCTGAAATGAAACCAACCAGCTTTGGCACTTGATCTGGACTTGGAATGAAATTTGTGTGGGTTGGTTCCAAATGTTATCAAAGTTGCCTAGCTACCACATTTCAGTAGAGGAGAAACTGAGAATTTTGACAGCATTTGGCCACATAGCAAATTACCACGGCCTCTCTTGACAGCATGGGGGAAGGGAGTTTTCCAT
Source organism: Homo sapiens (assembly GCF_000001405.40). Classification (NCBI taxonomy): domain Eukaryota; kingdom Metazoa; phylum Chordata; class Mammalia; order Primates; family Hominidae; genus Homo; species Homo sapiens. Next base: position 119,152,914 of record NC_000008.11, on the reverse strand, counting down.
TTTCAACTAACATATCTCTTTTGACTAAGACCGACTCCGGGACAAATGCTAAGGTAAATAGTTCTCCGTTACTCCCAATTCACATCAGTATTTAGTAGCTTTTAGGCTAAAGTATGGACCAGGAGTGAATTAAAAAGTCAGTGAACACAGGTAGGTCAATTAAGGTCAGGAGTTTGAGACCAGCCTGAAAAACATGGTGAAACCCTGTTTCTACTAAAAATACAAAATTAGTAGGGTATGGTGGTACATGCTATAATCCCAGCTGTTTGGGAGGCTGAGGCAGGAGAATCACTTGAACCCAGGAGGCGGAGGTTGCAGTGAGCTGAGACTGCACCATTGCACTCCAGCCTGGGCAACAAGAGCGAAACTCTGTCTCAAAAAAATAAATATAACTATAAAAAGTCAGTGAACAAATATTTTCGAGCCTTGATGTGCCAGGATAGCACAGAGGACTATAATACAAGGGTATGGAAAGCCTGACCTGAGGGAATGGTGGTGGTGAGGAAACTTGATGTTCCAGGATAGCACAGAGGACTATGATACAAGGGTATGGAAAGCCTGACCTGAGGGAATGGTGATGGTGAGGAAAACTTCCTCAAGGAGGAGGTCATTAACCTGGGACACAAAGAGTGTGTTGGCACAGAAAAGAAAAAGAGCTTTGTAGGCAGGAGCAACTGCCTGTATGAACATTCAAGAAAAGGAGCATACTACGCTCAGAGCCTCCAGAAAGCTTAATAGGGCTGAAAAGAAGATGTATTAGTCTGTTCTTACACTGCTTATAAAGACATACCTGAGACTGGGCAATTTATAAAGGAAAGAGGTTTAACGGACTCACAGTTCCACATGGCTGGGGAGGCCTCACAGTCACGGTGGAAGGCAAAGAAAAAGCAAAGCCGTGTCTTACGTGATGGTAGGCAGGAGAGTGTGCACAGGGAACTCCCATTTATAAAGCAATCAGATCTCGTGAAACTTATTCACTACCACTAGAACAGTATGGTGGAAAACACCCTCATTATTTAACGATCTCCACCTGGCCCTGCCCTTGACATGTGGGGATTATTACAACTCAAGGTGAGGTTTGGGTGGAGACACAGCCAAACCATATCAGAAGACAATTGTATAAGAGGAGCAAAAAGTAAATTGCAGTCAATTCAAGCAAAGTCTTAAAAGAAATATTAGGAATTTTTGACTTTATCCTAAAGATAAGGGGAATATTTTAAAGCAATTTAGTAGAGAGCCTTTATAATCACAATGATGGTTTTAAAGAGGTCCTATGGACCTCTTTAAAGAATCAGTGGTGACCTGAAAGGCAACATTAGATGCAGGAGGCCAGTTCGAAGGATATTATATTTTCATTATATTGTGACAGACAGAAGATGATGGAGACATGTATTTGCGTGTTGCCACTAGAGATGGAGAGAAGAAGACGGGTTTGAGAGAGATTTTAGAGGTAGAGTTGGCAGGACTGGGTGACTGTGTGAGATGATAAAAGGAAGGTAATATTAAGAATGAATATACAGTCTCATGAATGTCCATGAGAAATGAATAAGGAGCAAGAATTCTTCCTTGGGAAAGCAAAATTTTAGGTGCTTGTGAGAAATTCAAATGAAAATGCAGTCAGATCTGTAGGTCCAGGGACTCAGACATAGGTTTGGACTGCAGACAAATAGGTAATGAAAAGTAGGAGAATGTTAGTGATTACCTAGGAAGAGAGTGGACAGAGGATACTATACCAAGCCCCAAGGAACTCCTACATCCAATTGCTATTTGGATGAGTGTGACCCAGTAATAGAAACTAGTTTGATCAGAGAAAAAGAAGAAAAACATGAAAAAGCAGAGGCAGGCCAGGCATGGTGGCTCACTCCTGTAATCCCAGCACTTTGGGAAGCCGAGACAGGCAGATCATGAGGTCAAGAGATCGAGACCATCCTGGCTAACACAGTGAAACTCCGTCTCTACTAAAAATACAAAAAATTAGCCAGGCATGGTGGCATGTGCCTGTAGTCCAGGCTACTCGGGAGGCTGAGGCAGGAGAATCGCTTCAACCTGGGATGCGGAGGTTGCAGTGAGCCAAGATCGTGCCACTGCACTCCAGCCTGGGTGACAGACCGAGACTCTGTCTCAGAAAAAAACAAAACAAAACAAAAAAAAAAACAAAAGCAGAGGCATCAGGGAAGCCAGATGAAATGACTAGTTCAAGAAAAATAAATCCTGTTGGATGAGATAAAACAAGGACTTAAGAATATACTTTAGTAATGTTTACTTTTAAAATTATACTTTTTAGTAATGTTTACATTGTTAGTCACCTGACAAGAACTATGTTAGTAAATGGTAGGAGTAGGTTAGGATAGGCAGGAGAGGTGAGGAATCACAGAGTGAAGATAGAAAACTATCTGTGAAATTTTGCTTTAGAAAGGGAAAGAGTTAGGGTGGTAACTGAAAGAAGAGTTAGGTTTGAAGGAAAATACATAAATATACATATATACATACATGTAAACAACAGACGCACATAACTGATGATGATGAGGAGAGATAATTATTAATAAACATGATAGCTTCCTAAAAAGGTCATCAAAATAATGGGAAAAAATTTGGAGTTGATTTGAGGATTTTTGTACTTTCCAAGACTGAGAATTGAGGCTCTGTTCATTGATGGCTTCTGTGTTTCTCTGAATTTGGGGAATTTCTTTAGCTCATCTGCTGAGAAGGAGGGACGATGAAGAAAAATTAGAGGTTTGAAAATTGCAGAAGAAGAATTATTGTAAGAAGGATGTCTTAGTCCATTCGTGCTACTATACCCGAAACTGGGTAACTTCTTTTTCTTTTTCTTTTTTTTCTTTTTTTTTGAGACAGAGTCTCACTCTGTTGCCCAAGCTGGAGTGCAGTGGCATGATCTTGGCTCACTGCAACCTCTGCTTCCTGGGTTCAAGCAATTCTCCTTCCCCAGCCTCCTGAGCAGCTGGGATTACAGGCACGCACCACCATACCCGGCTAATTTTTGTATTTTTAGTAGAGACGGGGTTTCACCATGTTGGTCAGGCTGGTCTCGAACTCCTGACCTCGTGATCCACCCGCCTCAGACTCCCAAAGTGCTGGGATTACAGGCAAGAGCCACCGTGCCCGGCCCGAGACTGGGTAATTTCTAAAGAACAGAAATTCATTTTCTTACAGTTCTGGAGGCTAAAGAGTCCAGTATAAGACCATGGCATTTGGTGTCTGGTGAGAGCATTCTTGCTGTATACTCATATGACAGAAGGGACAAACATTCTGTCCTTCCATGGTGGAAGAGTGGGATGGCAAGAAAGGGCTAGGAAGCTCTCTAAAGCCTCTTTTCTAAGGGCATTAATCCCATTCATGAGAGCTCTGCTCTCATGACCTAATTACCTCCTAAAAGTTCCATCTTTTCATACTATCACACTGATGATTAAGTTTCAAAATATGATTTTGGGGGACACATTCAGACCATAGCAAAGGGGCAGTGCACAATGACTAGCATTGTACTGGGGCAGCATTAACTTCAGATCCATACTTAGGGCTCAGTTGAGAGTGTTGAACATAAATTCATAGTGGTATCAATTTTTCCAATAATAGGGCTTTCCCCAGCAGTACTCAACAACCCGGTGCCATTACAGAGGAGATGGATAGCTCAATTCTTGACTATTGGTTGGCCGTTTGCCATGTAGGAAAACAAAAGGACAACAGAGCAAGGGAGTTTTGGATACTGACCAAAATTCTTGGTGGAACTACAGGGCTGGAACCTTAAGTGTGACAAAGCTTTATTGGGTTTTCTGTAGTCTTTAATGAGCCAAATCCACTCTGTGCTTCATGCTGAGAAAACGTCCTCTCTAGAGAGATACCAAGTAGCACTTATTGCCTCGTTCCTAGTATCTTATCTGACTCCTCTTTCTTTTTGTAATGGCATTCCTTGCTAAGGTGATAGCATAGGCTCCAGCAGTGGACTTTGGAAAGAGAAGAGGGACTGTACCTTTAAATCTTTTCTTGTTCTTTCTTCATTTAGCCTTGAGCTTCTTGTGTGGCTCAATATTAACTTCTTTCTTAAGGTAATTTGTTTCCTAGAAGGTTGTTTCATATGCAGATGAATTCCTATACTGTAGACCTATGGATGCATTGGTCTTTATGATAAAAATTCTGTAAGGAAAATCTAGATTTCCTACATACAACTTCCTGTGTACCCACCAATCAGGAGAATCAGCACTTCCTTCATATGGCCAGCTTTTCCCAAGCAAATCTAAACAGTCCCCCAGAAGCTGACACCAATCCCAAGCAAATGTGATGGTGGAAACCATTATTATATACTTTTTTCCTAAAACTTGAGCTTTTTTCTGTTATCACAACTAGTGTTCTTTATCTTGAGTGAGCTCTGGTTTGCACAGGCTCTTGCTGATTTATGGCTTGAGGCTGATTGATTCATCCAGATCTGTGGTGGTGCTATACTTGTGTTTAGAGCTGTTGCTCAGTTCATTTTACTGGTTCATTTATGGGTAAAATAGTAGAATTTAGGTGAGAAAGAAACCACTTCCCTTTTTCTCCCTCTAAAATGATGTCCTCAAGTCTCTCTTTTTAGATTATCTATAAAGAGAATATAGAGAGGGGAAAGTTTCATGGGTAAATGAGTAAGTGAATCACTTTTGGTGTTTGAAGAAATTTTAGCTCATGGTGATTCTACCAATAATACTAAACTCATGACTTAAACAAGAAAGCCTTGAAACTATTACTCTCAAGACTTAAACAAGAAAATCATGATATTTCAATGTAATTTCTATGTAGGGAGGCTTACCTACTGTTCTAATAAGTATAATTTATTCTAATAGAAAATGCACAATTTCTCATTACTGATCCCATAAGAAGGTAATAGTTACTCTATTGCCTAGATAAGAGGAAGAGTCTTGACCAAGAATGGCAGGAAAAATAGCCAATATTTTTCCTCTCTTACTCTCAGAATTTTTTTTGTTAAGTCTATTCAAAGTTCCTGTCTGAGTTTCATAATTCATGTTATTTAGTAATTTCAAGTACCCACATTATGAAGTATATGAAACATATGCAGCATAAGTCTCCTTTGCAATGGAAGAATTACAGCTAAGAAATGTAGAAAGAATGGTAAAATTAGAGAAATCAGAATTTTATAATTTCTCATCAGGTAGAAGAGAGGCCTTTAAGGCTCATGTTTGATTTTTGCCAGTTCCCCTGAGCCTTTGGTTCTTGCAGAATCTTAGGACCAGTAAGAACTTGGGCTCTGTAGCAGGTACTAATTTAACACTTATTTTGTTTTAGTCATGGCTCTAGGTACTACAAACAGACATGTGTGCAGGGCACCTAGCCTCTGCTTCATGGACCTTATAATCTTATGGAACATACCAAAAATAGTACAGAGGCAAATAAGCAAATGGTTATAAGTTGTAAAAATGACAGAGTGATCAGGGTAGTGCATCCCATTCTCAGTAGAGTGATCAGGAAAGGCATCTCTGAGAAGGTGACATGTAAATGATGCAGTAACAGGGAGAAAATTTGGTGGGAGAGAGAGGGTGTTTCTGTGGAGCCCTGGGAAGGGCCTTGTCTTGTTCACAGAATCCATGTGAATAAAGCCAGCAGCATATCAACAGAGAGGCAGAAAATAAACCTGAAATGACAGGCAAAGAAAGGTCATGAAGGATATTACAGGCCCAGTTTGGAAATTTGAATTCTCTTCCAAGTGCAGTAGAAAATCATTGCCAGGCTTTGAAACAGGTAAGTGACCCCAATGTATATTTTAAGTATACAGACAGTCCTTAACTTATGATGGTTCAACTTACAATGGTTCAACTTAGGATTTTCAAGTTTACAGTTGTGCAAAAGAAATAAACATCCCAAAGAAACTGTACATTGAGTACAATCATTCTTTTTTCACTTTCAGTAGCATATTCAATAAATAACATGAGATATTTAACACTTTATTGCATAATGGGCTTTGTGTTAGATGATTTTGCCCAGCTGTAGGCTAATGTAAGTGTTTGGAGCATGTTTAAGGTACACTAGGCTAAACTATAATGTTTGGTGGGTTAGGTGTGTTAAATTCACTTTTAACTTATATTTTCAACTTATGATGGGTTTATCAGAACATAACCCCATCGTCAGTTGAGGAACATTTGTACTTTTAACACTGTGTGGATTTAAAATGGGCAAGAGTGGAGGGTACATGGTTAGGAGGCTATTGATTCAGAAAAGGAACACTGGTAGTTTGGTCTAAGGTGGTATGAGTGGCGATGGAGAGAAGGACATAGATTCCAGATATTCAAGGTAAGATAAAGAGGTCTTGATGGCAATTAGCACAAGGGAATGGAGAGGAGAAAGTGGGACTCATGACAGAATCCTAGGCTTTTGGCTTAGGCAGATGGGATGACCATGCCATTTACAGAGAAGAGGAGAGGACAGGAGGAGAAAGGAGGACTGGTTTGAGAAAAAAGAAAATGAGCTATTATTTTTGGACATGTTAAATCTGAGATGTCTATGAGATAATCAAGTGTAGATACGCTATCCCAGAGTGAGAATGAATAAATGTTATTTATTATTTATAAGAATCTTAATAACCTTAGTAAATAAAATTATTTTGCTTGGAGTATTTCCTTAGCAACTCTTCATTGAAGACCTAAGATAATTATCAGTGACTATTCAAAGATTTGCTGCTTCTATTTTGGCTAGGTATTTTATCACAAATTCAGTATTAAATAATATCAAAATCTATTGTCTAGAAAAACCACAAAAACAGAAAAATATGAATATGAAGCTCTGAGTGGCCCAATTGAAATGAAGAGCTCACTTCCTTCAGTCAATAAACTAGTGCAAATTTGGGCTAGGCACGGTGGCTCATGCCTGTAATTCCAGCACTTTGGGAGGCCAAGCTGGGAGGATCACTGAGGTCAGGAGTTTGAGACCAGCCTGGCCAACATGGCAAAACTCCATCTCTACTAAAAATACAAAAATTAGTGGGGTGTGGTGGCTCACTCCTGTAATTCCAGCTACTCAGGAGGCTGAGACATGAGAATCACTTGAACCTGGGAGGTGGAGGTTGCAGTGAGCTAAGATCATGCCACTGCACTCCAGGCTGGACAACAGAGTGTGACCCTGTCTCAAAAAAAGAAAGAAGACAGTGCAATTTCAAAAGCCAATGGTAAGCCAAAGCTCACCAGTTTTTATCTTAGTTACATAAAAGGGAAATATAACACACTTGGATTGAGTTAAAGTGTTTGCTTTAGGTTCCAAATTACTTTAGTGGCAACATTTTTGAAGAAGCAAAAGATAGAATAACTTTCCTTCATGTCCTGAAACATTTACTGTAAATTAGTATGAAAACAGATATTAATTCACACTGTGGCTTAAAAATATAGGTACAAAACCCCAAGGTGAACTAATTCAAAGTTATTGTTCCCTCAGTAATTATAAAGTGCTTGTGTTCAACTGACATTTCTAGCATGACTAGCCTAGAATGTGGTACTACAAGACTGAAATGACTACTGTAGGGATTGCCCCTGAGAACTGGATGATTTGAAGGTTTGCATTTTTTTGTTGTTTCAGTGGTATAAGGCATTGAAATTTCTTATTGCTTTTTCAAATAAAGAGATAAATAAAACTAAAACATAGTATTTAACTATATGTGTTACCTTGTAAGATCAAGCTTTTAGTTTGAGATATGGGTTAGTTCACATACTATTCCCTGCTATTCCTAGCAGAGTGCTAAGCATATATGAGAAACTCCCTTTGTATTTTTTAAATTGAACTTTCCTGGATCTGGTCATGTGTAAGTCGGGTGACCACCTGTTCCAACTTGTGCAGGATTGAGGGAGTTTTCAGGATATAAGACCTCACCTTTAAAACTGGTACATTCTTGGGCAAACCTGAATGAGCTGTTCATCCTATAAATAAGTTCAGTTTAATTATGGTCCTTGAGTAGGGGAAAGTGTTGCCTTGACATATGTGTATTATTTAAATTTTTAAGTTTCACTGAACACCATATAATAAGTGAATCTGTTGATTTTCAGATAAAAAATAAATATTTAAAAATAGCTAATAGATTTTTTTTTCCTTTTAAAAGTATGTTCCAAGCTGGACTGTGTCTTATCATTTTTATATGCTTGGTATCTCAGAATAATGTGCATATTAACTAGAAAAACCACACACATAATAGGTACTTTACACATATTAACAGGATGGTGATTTGTCAAGAAAATACAGAAGAAGAGCAATACTCACAATATAAGGGCTTTCTTTCCTTCTTTTTGGGACTTTAATTCTTAAATTTACAGGAAAATAAAAATTCCTAAAATATATGCTTTATAAAAGTATTTTGGTGAGAAAAATACATGAGAAATATTTAGTCACAAAACTAACTGATGCAGAAAATCACATAAGCCAAATGCAATAGGTTAGTAATAAAAATATTTTCTTAATCAGAGTGTGTATTGATATAACACAGGCTTATTTTAAGCTATTGTTTCCCTTTTTTATCTTTAATGAAATAGCTGTTCATTAATGTATTTTTCAGTGTTCAACAGATGTTAACATTACACATGTAGGTTTTTGTGAAACTAAAATTAAACATTTGCTTTCTGTTCCTTTTCATTAATATTTTTAAAATGAAATAAAACTAATCAAACCAGTTAGTCTACATTCTTGGTAAAGCATTACTTGTTTCTTGACACAAGGAAGTAAAAATACATAATGTATATATAAAGAGGGTTGGATCAAAGCCATGTACTTTACTGTGTGTGTTATCATTTGAGACCAAAGATTAGAAAACTCCCTCTCTCATCCTACAAATTCTTTTTCAGCCATGCAGTTGATTCAGTGAAGCAGATGCTAGTAACATCTATGAACACAGGTATTTAGTGTACATTGGAAAGAGGAGCAATGCAGAAATGTTAGTGGGTCAACCTTTACATCATTTAAGAGTTAGAATAGATTAAAGTAGATGTAAAAAAGAATTAAATGCAGAAAACTGAGGGAAGAGGCACATGGTGTTGCATGCAGGTAGAAAGGAAAGCTTTTGGTTCTGCTTAGCCTTGTCTAACAGTGGTTGGACCAACAAGGCAACTTTCTCACCATATCAATTACATTCTAAGTTTAAAAAAAATTGAACAAGTTTAATATTAGCTGATATCCTCAGATTATTGGAAATACTTGTACCAATTGTAGGTGCTCATTTTAAAACAAATGTATATTTGCTAGTAATTGTTCATGCCTACCTCCTGACACACATGCAAGTATACATCCTTTTTACTCCCCCTTTTAAAATGTATTTTATTATTATTTTTAACTTTTATTTTAGGTTCAGGGGTAGATGTGCAGCTTTGTTAAATAGATAAATTGCATCTTGCAGGTGTTTGGTGTACAGGTTATTTTGTCAGCTAGGTAATCAGCATAGTACTGGATAGGTTATTTTTCAATCCTCACCCTCTTCCCACCCTCCACCCTCAAGTAGGCCATGGTATCAATTGTCCCTTTCTTTATATCCATGTGTACTCGATGTTTAGCTCTCACTTATAAGTGAGAACGTGCAGTATTTGGTTTTGTGTTCCTGTGTTAGTTCGTTTAGGACAATGGTCTCCAGCTCTATCCATATTGCTGCAAAAGACATGATCTCATTCTTTTTTTGTGGCTGCATAGTATTTCATGTTGTATATGTATCACATTTTCTTTGTCCAGGCTACCGTTGATGGAATTTCATGTCTTTGATATTGTGAATAGTGCTACAATGAACATACACGTGCATGTGTCTTTATGGTAGAATGTTTTATATTTCTTTGGATGTATACCCAAAAATGGGATTGCTGGGTTGAATGGAAATTCTATTTTAAGTTATTTCAGAAATATCCAAACTGCTTTCCACAGTTGCTCAACTAATTTATGTTCCTATTTGCAGTGTATAAGCATTCCCTTTTCTCCAAAACCTCACCAGCATCTGTTTTTTTATTTTTTAATAATAGCCATACTGACTGGTGTGAGATCATATTTCATTGTGGTTTTTATTTGCATTTCTCTAATGATTAGTGATGTTGAGCATTTTCTCATATCTTTGTTGGCTGTGTATATGTCTTCTTTTGAAAAGTGCCTGTTCATGTCCTTGGCCCAATTTTTAATAGGGTTGTTTTTTGCTTCTGAATTTGTTTGAGTTCCTTACAGATTCTGGATATTAGGCCTTTGTTAGATGCATAGTTTGCAAATATTTTCTCCCATTCTGTAGGTTGTCTGTTTACTGTGTTGATAGTTTCTTTTGCTGGCAGAAGCTGTTTAATTTAATTAGGTCCCATTTGTCAATTTTTCTTTCTGTTGCAATTGTTTTTGGTGCCTTTGTCAAGAAACCTTTCCTTGGTCCTAAGTCCAGAATGCTATTCCCTAGGCTATCTTCAGGGTTCTTTTAGTTTTAGGGTTTGAATTTAAATCTTTAATCCGTGTTGAATTGATTTTTATATGTGGTGTAAAGAAGGGGTCCAGTTTCAGCCTTTTGCATGTGGCTACCCGGTTATTCCAGCACCATTTATTGGATAGGGAATTCTTTCCTCATTACTTGTTTTTGTCAACTTTGTCGAAGATAAGATGATTGTAGGTGTGCAGCATTATTTCTGGGCTCTCTATTCTGTTCCAGCAGTCTATGTTTCTGTTTTTGTATGAGTGTCATGTTGTTTTGGTTACTGTAGCCTTGTAGTATAGTTTGAAGTCAGGTAGCTTGATGCCCCCAGCTCTGTTCTTTTTGTTTAGGATTGCTTTGGCTATTCAGACATTTTTTTCTTGTTCCATATGTATTTTAAATTAGATTTTCTACTTCTGTGAAGAATGTCATTGGTAGTTTGATAAGAATAGCATTGAAGCTATAAATTGCTTTGGGAAATGTGTCCATTTTAACAATATTGATACTTCCTATCCATGAGTATGGAACTTTTTTCCACTTGCTTGTATAATCTCTGATTTCTTTGAGTAGTGTTTTGTAATTCTTGTTGTAGTGATCTTTCACCTCCCTGTTTAGCTATATTCCTAGGTGTTTTATTATTTCTGTGGCTGGCTCTCAGCTTGGATGTTTTTGGTGTATAGGAATGCTCCTGATTTTTGTACATTGATTTTGTAATACTGAAACTTTGCTGAAGTTGTTTATCAGATCATGAAGATTTTGGGCAGAGACTATGGGACTTTCTAGATATAGAATCATATTATCTGCAAACAAGGTAGTTTGACTTCCTATCTTCCTATTTGAATGCGTTTAATTTCTTTCTCTTGCCTGAATGCCCTGGCCAGAACTTCCAGTACTATATTGAAAAGGTGTGGTGAACTCCTATTCAACATAGTATTGGAAGTTCTGGCCAGGGCAATTAGGCAAGAGAAAGAAATAAACAGTATTCAAATAAGAAGAGGGGAAGTCAAATTATCTTAATTTGCAGATGACATAATTCTATATCTAGAAAACCCTACAATCTCAGCCTAAAAGCTTCTTAAGCTGATAAGCAACTTCAGCAAAGTCTCAGGATACAAAATCAATGTGAAAAAATCACTAGCATTTTTATACACCAACAACAGGCAAGCAGAGAACCAAATCATGACTGAACTCCCATTCACAATTGCTACAAAGAATAAAATACCTAGGAATACAGCTAACAAGGGAAGTGGAGGACCTCTTCAAGGACAGCTACAAACCACTGCTCAAGGAAATCAGAGAGGACACAGACAAGTGGAAAAGCATTTCATATTCATGGATAGGAAGAATCAATATCGTGAAAATGGTCATACTGCCCAAAGTAATTTATAGATTCAATGCTATTCCCATTAAACTACCATTAACATTCTTCACAGAATTTTTTTTTAATATTTTACAGTTCAAATGGAACAAAAAAGAGCCCATATAACCAAGACAATCCTGAGCAAAAAGAGCAAAGCTGGAGGTGACGGCATCACACTACCTGACTTCAAATATACAACAGGGCTATGGTAACGAAAACAGCATGGTACTGGTATGAAAACAGGCACATAGACCAATGCAACAGACAGAGAATTCAGAAATAAGACTGTGCACCTACAACCATCTGGTCCTCAACAAACCTGGCAAAAATGATCAATGGGGGAAAGTATTCCCTATTTAATAAATGGTGCTAGGAGAACTGGCTAGCCATAAGCAGAAAATTGAAACTGGACTCTTTCCTGACAGCTTATACAAAAATTAACTCAAGGTGGGTTACAGACATAAATGTAAAACCCCAAACTCTAAAAACCCTAGAAGAAAATCTAGGCAATACCATTCAGGACATAGGCACTGGCAATGATTTAATGATGAAAACGCCAAAAGCAATTGCAACAAAAGCAAAAATTGACAAATGGGACCTAATTAAACTAAAGAGTTTCTGCACGGCAAAAAAAGAAAAAAAAAAGAAACCTATCAATAATCAAAGTGAAGAAACAACCTACAGAATGAGAGAAAATTTTTGCAATGTATCCATCTGACAAAAGTCTAATATCCAGAGTCTATAAGGAAGTTAAGCAGATTTACAAGAAAAAAAATCAACCCCACTAAAAAGTGGGCAAAGGACATGAACAGACACTTCTCAAAAGAAGACATTCATGTGGCCAACCAACATGTGAAAAAAAGCTCAACATCACTAATCATTGAAGAAATGCAAATCAAAATCACAATGAGGTACCATCTCACACCATTCAAAATGGCTGCTAAAAAGTAAAAAACATGCTGGTGAGGTTGTGCAGAAAAGGGAACACTTATGCATTGCTGCTGAGAATGTATATTAGTTCAACCATTGCAGAAAGCTATTTGGCAATTTCTAAAAGAACTCAAAACAGAATTATTTGACCCAGCAATTCCATTATTGGATATATACCCAAAGGAATACAAATCATTCTACCACAAAGACACATGCACACATATGTCCATCACAGCACAATTCACAATAGCAAAGATATAGAATCAACCTAAATGCCCTTCAGTGGTAGACTGGATAAAGAAAATATGGTACAGATATACCATGGAATACTATGCAGCCGTAAAAAGGAACAAGATCATGTCCTTTGCAGGGATATGGATGGAGCTTGAAACCGTTATCCTCAGCAAACAAATGCAGGAACAGAAAACCAAATTTGGTTTTTCAGAAAGCACTGATAAACCGCTAGCAAGACTAATCAAGAAAAACAAGAGAGATGAAATATAAATGCTAATATTAGGAAAGGCAGACAATGACTGCATCTCTTCCAGAATAAAAAATGATAAGAAAGGGAATACACTGAAAAAATTTTTGGCAATACATTTGAAAAGTTAGATAAAATTAACTTTTTTTTTTGAAAAATATAACATCAAAACTAATGTAAAAATAAACAGATAATTTGAAGAACTCATCTATAATGAAGATATTTAATAATAAATTTGTAAGTAAAAACCTTCCCACAGGGAAAGTTCTGGCCCATTTGGTGGGAGAATTTGGTAAACTTAATGAAATACATATGGAAGAAACAGAACGAATATTATAAAAATTCTTCCAGATAATAGAGGAGGAAGGAACACTTCCTAACCTGTTTTCTGAGGCCAGCAAAACCTTGACATGTAAACTTGACATGCAACATTGAAAGAAAGGAATTTCCTCATTCTGATGACAGTTAATATTATACTTAATCATGAAATATTGAGTGCTTTCCCCTTAAAATGAGGATCAAAGAAAGGTTGCCTGGTCTTGCCACTACTATTCAACATTACTTTGGAAGCCCTAGCAAGAGCACTAAGGGAAGAAATAGAAATTAAAGGCATACAGATTAGAAAAGAAGGAATAAAACTTTTGATTCACAGATGATGCTTTGAACATAGAAAATCCTAAGGGATATTTAGAATATAGAAGGGACATATACATCTACTAGCACTAACTAAATTTAGCAAGGATACAGGATACAAAATCAAGATAAAAATCATTTTATATTTTTATATATTAGTAATGAACAGTTGTAAAATGTAATTTATAAAATATATGTTTTACTATAGAGTTAAAAAATGCAAAATATTTCCAGATAAATCTAAGAAATATGCCCAAGACTGCTATAATGTAAACTATGAAACACTGACAAAAAGTAAAAGTCTAAATAAATACATTAAGGAGTCAATTCTTCTCAAATTGACTAATAAATGGATTCAATATAATCCCAGTCAAAATTCCAGCAAGGTTTCTTTTTGTTGTTGTTGTTGTTAAAAATGACAATCTAATTTTAAATACATATGGAAATTAAAAGGACTTAAAATTGATAAACTTTAAAAGAAAAATAAAGTTGGAAGACATACACTAGCTGATTTTAGACTTACTATGAAGCTACAGTAATTAAGATAGTGTGATACTGCTTTAAGGATGGACAAAGAGATAATGGAACAAAATAGAAAATCCAGAAATAGATCCACATATACATCTGATTTTCAGTAAAAGTGCTAATACAAATAATAAGGAAAGGCTTTTATGAAAATAAGTGATGTTGGGAAAATTAGACACTTCTATTTGGTAAAATGACTCTTAACTTCTACGTAACATCATTTTGAGATTGATCATAGTTTCAGGTGTAAAAGCTAAAACTATAAAGTTTTTAGAAGACATAAGAGACTATTATTACTACCTTGTGATAGGCAAAGATTCCTTAGAGAGGACATCTGAAGCACTAATAATTAAAAAAAGGATAAATCACATTTCATCGAAATTTTAAATTTTGGCTTTTCAAAGTCACTACTAAAGAAATTTAAGAAAAGTAAGGTATTGGGAGAAAATATCTATATAACATATACCTGACAAGTAACTTGTATGCAGAATATGTAAAGAATTCCTAAAATTTAGTAATTAAAAAAATCCAATTTCAAAACGTGGGCAAAAGTTTTAAACACACATTTCACAAAAGGCACAAAAATGGCCAAAAAGCACATGAAAAGATGTTTAACATTATTAGCCATCGAGGAAATGCAAATTAAAACAAAAAAGATAAATAACTCACATGCGTTAGAATGACTAAATTAAAATGATTGACAACCCCAAATATTTGCAAGGATAAACAGCAAGCTGGAACTCACATACATTGCTAATGGAAGTCTAAAATGGAACAAACCACTTTAGATAATGTTTAAGATATTTCTAATAAAGTAAAATATACTTTACAGATGTACTGCTGATGGGTTACCAGTCATGTGCTTAGGTGTTTACCCAAGAGAAATGAAAACATATGAAGCTTGTAAAAATGTTCAGAGAAGATTTTCTCATAATAGCCCCAAATTGAAAACAACCCAGATATCTATCAGAAGGGGAACAGATAAACAAACTGTGATACTACTTAGCAACGTAAACTACTGATACACATAACTAAATGGATAACTCTCCAAAAACTAATGCTGATCAAAGCAAGCAGGACAGAAGAGTACATTCTAGGTGGTTTCATTTCTATAAAGTACTAGAGCAGGCAAAACGAGTCCACAGTGCTAGAAATCAAAACAGGGTTTTCCGTAGGTTGGAGATATTGATTGGAAAGGGTCATGAGGAAAGTTGCTGGGTAAATAAAACTACGCTATATCTTGACAAGCATGGTAGATACACAGATTGCACACTGGCCAAAGATCATTGAACTGCATTCCTAAAATAGGTATATTTTAATGTATATTAATCTAACCTCAATAAGCAAATAAAAATTATAACACAAACTAAGTACACACAGCATTATTCTAGTTTTATTTTAACAAGGTCACTTAATAAATAGGGCAATCACATAAATGTCAGGTCTATAAGAGTAATTTTTGATAACCTATGTTCTCATTTTATATTTATTTTATATCTGTACATTATATTATTTATTACATTAAATTATATTAAATTTACTTATTTATACCATGCAGTTTATATTTATATATTTTATTATATATAATTTCTATATGATATATATTTATTGTATTAATATATTACTTATAAACTTATGTTTTATTATATTTATATATTATATTTATCCAAATAATGTTTTATTGGAATTGAAAAATAATTTATCATTATAAAAGCTGTTCAATAATTAAGATCATACAGTTATGAATGTCTTGAAGAAATCAAGCCTTGACCTCAGGAAGCATGGCAGAGCTCTGTAGATGTTGGTGATTTCTAGGGTTCCTCACCTTAGTTTTCTATTTTTTCCACTCCATACATACTCAGCCACATTTAATAACCCTCATCCTCCCACCACCACTACCTGGAGCTACAACTCTCACTATCTTTTTCCATGGAACTAATCCCTCTCCTGAGATTTACTCTTTCATATCTATCTGCCTCCTGGGTATCTCCAACCGAATGGCAGGTATCTCAAACTCAACAATTTCTTACTAGAAATAATTAATAAACCACTTCCCGAAATCTTTGTGCATTTTTTAGGACGCACAGTTGCTCACTGCTTACACCAAGGAGGTAAGGATTGGCCTCGTTTCCCCCTTTACCATCACTGTACATCTAAAGGGTGTAAAGTTCCCGCAGTTCAGTCTCCCAAATAGCTGTCACACGTGGCCCGGCCGTCACACACGGCCCCAGGTGGGCCTCTTATTAGCTCAAGCCCCACCAATGTCAGTCATCTGCTGCCTTATTTCCGTGCCTCCTCCTCAACCTCTACAATATTTGAATTTGGGCCAGCTACTGATGTGTCCTTATCAAATGCAGCTTAGCTTCCACAAAAGGGTAAGGAGCAGTGAAATAGTGTGGATACTAGAATCAGATGGGTACTATCTATGTTGAGATGACACTCTCTGCTTTGATATGTAAGCTTGGATAGCTTATTAACTTCCACTTCCCCATCTATACAAGGAGGAAATGATAACACATCATTAAAGTATGTTAGGAGTCTTAAATTAGATGGTCAATGAAAAGTGCTCCACCTGGCACCTGGCTTATTTGAAGAGACCAAGAAATTATATCGATTCATTTTATATAAAAAGAAACTTACTATATATTATATCAATATACATATGTATCTATAATTATATTTAATACCTCAATGTTATTTTCTCCTCAAGATGGCATGCAAAGCTGTCACTGCCAGCTATCGCCATTATTTGGCTTGTGGGTTAGTCACCTTCAGAACTTGATTTCCATTTTGTATCAGGAGATACTGAGTTTTCATTTCATAAAGGGTAATGGATAGATCCGCCATGCTTTACCTTTTCCTGTGATAGAATCTTCTATTTTCCATCTGCTATTCCTAATTTTAGCTTGATTCTGTGAA
The DNA here is from genome assembly GCF_000001405.40 of Homo sapiens. NCBI lineage: Eukaryota > Metazoa > Chordata > Mammalia > Primates > Hominidae > Homo > Homo sapiens. Next base: position 119,135,667 of record NC_000008.11, on the reverse strand, counting down.
ATTCTTTAGCCTATCTGAAATCCTGGAATAAGAGCAACTTGCCATTTTCTGCTTACTAAGTCATTTCTGTCCATTCTATGCAATACAAAAAGCGTATCTGAAGTTAAAAAGAATTACTCATCAGTGGCATACACTGTAGTGTATATACTACAGAGCCACACCCAATGAAACTTCCTTGTCTTCCTGTAACAGGTGGTACAACCTAATTTCTGACTGAATGGTCTGTACTGATGTGTATTTAACAACTTCTGGCCAGGAATTTCTGTTCCTCCTTCCTTTTCTTCCTTTCTTCCTTCCTTTTCTGTAGTCATATGAGGAGCTGTTTAAACTATAAAGGTGACATTGCTTTCCATTTATTTTATAGTACCTACAGAATTAGGCTGCTTCCAGCCTGGAGTGGTGGCTCACACCTGTAATCCCAGCACTTTGGGAGGTCAAGGCAGGAGGATCACTTGAGGTCAGGAGTTCGAGACCAGCTGGGCCAACATGGTGAAACCCTTTCTCTACTAATAATACAAAAAGTAGCTGGGCATGGTGGTGCATGCCTGTAATCCCAGCTACTCAGGAGGCTGAGGCAGGAGAATCGCTTGAACCCGGGAGGCAGAGGTTGCAGTGAGTGAGATTGCCCCACTGCTCTCCAGCCTGGGTGACAGAGTGTAACCGTGTCTCAAAAAAAAAAAAAAAAAAAAAGAAAGAAAAGAAAAGAATTAGGCTGTTTTCTTCTCTGTAAAATGTGGATAAAATTGTATTTACCTACTAGAGCGTTGTGAAAATTAAATAAATTAATACATGTAAAGCACATAGTTCCTAACACATACTTAGGACTCAGTAAATTTTTATCTATATTATTTTATTATTGCCATTATTATTACTATTGCATTCTTAGCATTTAAACTATGACAATGTCGATATGGCATCAAAATGAGCACATGCACACATATATTTATATCCATATTTATACATACATAACACATATGTAAAATATAGAGGGATTTTAATTTCTTTTGATATGGTTTTAATTTCCCATATATGTAACTGTTTCTTGTTATATTTTTAACAAATGAAGGGACTTCTACACTGCTTCACCTATTCAGTTTTATTCCATTCAACTAATATTTGTTGGGTTGACCATTATGTGTTAGACACTTTTGTGTTGTATTGAGCATAAAGTGTCAAACAGTATTAATACTCCCTGCTCTTGTGGGGCTTACAGTCTAGTAGAGAACACAGATATTAAACTAGAGATAACAAGTTAGATTAATGTTATGCTTGGGAAAATATTTGTTACTGCAGGAAAGTACAACTGTCATCTCTTATTAGTTTCTAGGCAATAATACAGTTAATTATTTAATAATTCATTTTGATAACAGTTTATCAGACTATATAGCCTAACCACATAAACTTTTGCACTTCTTGCCTTAGTCGTTTTAAAAATAGAACCACTTGATCATTGGACTTTTTGTGGTAATCAGATATCTAATAGCTTGGAATAACAGAATGAAGATTTTGAATCCAGTTATTCACAAAATCAGAATGTACAGAGTTAATGTAGAGAACATAGGCACAAATTTGCCATCATTTAAAAATGCACTGGAGTTATCAGTGCACTTGGTGAATGAATACATGAATTAATGAGCAGAATAGAAGTTTAATTCTGAATGTAAAACACTGAAATATATTTAATTTTAGATTTATCAAAGATTGACTTTATAACCTTTGCCAAGTCATATTTTATCTTTTTTATGAGGGTTTTGGTCTTTTAAAGCAGAAAATAATTAGAAGTGAAACTGTACTTTAGAGTTTACAAACTACACCAACTATTCTGAATGAAAGGAAGTAATAAATGTAAAAAATAATATTACAAAATTTTATACATTTCAGTTTTATTTGACATTTTAAGTAGCTGTAATGCCGAATATTACAGAAATAAACAAGCCTTAGATATCGTAATGTATATTGCGTTCTTCAAAGGAACTGTAATCCTCTTCAGGGCATAGACTTTCTTATTGACCTATTTATTTAATGACTCTATAAATATCTTTGGAAGGAATGAAGTGTTTTTGTTTATAATTGATTGAATAGCTAATGAAGAATTTTTTCCTAATATACCTATTTATATGTCCACGCATATATTCATCTGTTTAGCCAGGCAGCCAGCTATAGGTTTTGAGTTTGTCCAAGGATGACAGTCATTCTTTCAAATAGCCTTTTTTGAGTATCTTCTTTCTATGTGCAATGGTAGGCTAGATGTGGCAAAAGAGATGAAGATAAACAAGGCTGGTTTCTGGCTTCAAGTGAGTCACGATTATTATCTAAAGGAAATTCTCTAAATATCGTAAATTGTGTTAGTCATCTGTTTGCTCCAAGGCACTAAATTTTTATGGCTGAAACATCTTAGTCCATGTAATTTGGAAGTACTATAGAATATAATATGGGCCAACATTTTTCAAAGTAATTTTAAATCTTTACATTGAAATTCTTTTATAGTTGAAATTTCAGAATTTAAATATTAGTACTGTATTCATCTGAAATTTCTATATTGAAATTTTCTTTTTCTTTATTTTTCTCATTCTCAGTCTCCTTGTTACATAATCAAGTATATAAATGTAGGTATAACTTTCTATTATTAAATCGTAAACTAACAACTCTTTTTCTTCTTCATACTATATACTTTGTACCTTACACTGTAGATCTATATGTGTATAGCATGTATGCAAATGTATTATATATACGCACATATGAAATAGTATATACTTTGACATTAAACATGAGGCTGCCTCTGTATGCAGGGCAAAGTGTGATACACAAAAACGACTAAGAGCTAACGAGAGAGAGAGAGAAAATTAAATTTTCTGAGGATCTAAAATAGCTGGCAAATAGCACTGCTTAGAAAGCCGACAAACTTTACCACAGGTGGCTTTAACTTTTTACTTATCGACTCCAGCTTATACACAATGCCTCTTGGCAAATAACGGCACCAAAATGTTGTAACCAGCCATTGAGGCATTCAAGCAATAACAGGAAGAGATAAATGGCAACTCAACAGGAAGAAAGCAAAAAGAAAAAAAGAATATTAAAATTCAGATGCAAAATTCTGAAAGTGTAGATACCTGGGATCAGTGAAAAACTCCAAATGCTTTGTAAGTCCTCAGGGCTTTCTTATTTTATAATATGATACAATAATTCATATTCATAATAATCATGTCACCAAACAAAAATGTTTTTCTATTTGATATAGTATTTTGAAGAAGTGAGTGCAATGTAATTCAGTTTATTAAATTTTCCTCCAAAACCATTTAAGAATTTGGTCACTGAATAGGGAAATTTTCATCAATCTAGACATCTTTCTGTGAAATGCTTTATTTTCTAATAACTTTGGATGTATAAGGCAGTCACTCACTTTTCCTGGGGTCTAACCCTATGCATTTATTTCTTTCTGGATCTTCTCTGTTTAACTTGCCTTCTCTTAGTAATGAAATTTCCTTAAATGCAGTGTGGTATGAATATAGCAAAAGTATGAATATAGAGAAAGATTTGTCTTTACTATGTAGTGGGGTATCACATTAACGTTGCCATACTTTGTCATCTTTAGCGATAACGTTCTTAGAAATTCTTACCACAAATGTATTTTCAAAGTTACTCCACAGCTAAGAATATGAGTGTATCATAAAATTGTCTCCTTTCAGTGGACAATTCCATTTACTCACTTAAGATTTTTTTGTTAGTGCATCCAATTTCCCAGAAAGACTCTTTATAACATTTCTTGGCTGTTGATATCATCGGTCCTTTTGGAATTCTGAAATTTAAAAGCATATGACTTTATAAGTCTTAAAAAAAGTTACTGTTTGTTTTTCATCTATTTTAATTATTTAGGCAATCACCAAGATTGATTGTAATTTGGTTTTCAATCTAGATTTAGAAGCTTATTGCTTATGGCTTTTAATTTTCTTTGTTTCTAATTCTTTTTTGTTTTCTTCCCTATAATTTACATTAATTTGTTCTTCTTTTGTTAACCTCAGTTTTTCTTCCCCACAGAATGCAGTCTTGGATGAATGCCCGTCAGGGTTTCCTGGCCTTCTTAAGCTAAGAGATGTCTAAAGCCCCAAAGGCTGAAGTCTAAACTAGCATAAAAGAGTTATACAAGGGCCAGGCGCGGTGGCTCATGCCTGTAATCCCAGCACTTTGGGAGGCCGACGTGAGCGAATCACGAGGTTAGGAGTTCAAGACCAGCCTGGCCAACATGGTGAAACCCTGTCTCTAATGAAAATACAAAAAGTTAGCTGGGCTTAGTGGCAGGCACCTGTAATCCCAGCTACTCTGGAGTCTGAGGCAGGACAATCACTTGAACCCAGGAGGCGGAGGTTGCAGTGAGCTGAGATCGGACCACTGCACTACAGCCCAGGTGACAGAGTGAGACTCTGTCTCAGGAAAAAAAAAAAAAAAAAAAGTCATAAAGGAATGCAGAAGATTCTAGATTTTATACTATCCATCAGAGAAAGGAATGGTAATAAAGTTTTTTTTTCTTTATGCACTAAATTACGAGCCTATCTTTCTGAGTTATTCCTACACTCTCCTAGTGCAGATGGCTTCCACTGTGTATGAAGGAAGAGTGTCTATGACAGCTCCAGTTTCCATCACCTTTATTGTTTGTAATCCCAGAGGAAGAAAGATACATAATCTCTTCTGTCATCCATATATTAAACCTTCCAAGAAAACGATTGGCCATGTGCTTGAGTAACATGCTCATTCTTGAATCAATCACAGTGATTGGTGAAAATAGTTTATCTGATGGGCCAGCCTAGAGCATGTCCCTGCCCATAAAAAAGAGAGGCAGAACAACGGGTTTGCAGCCTCATCACAGCCGCGTGGAAGAACGTGTTGAACGAGAAAAATCAATGTCCGTTGTAAGGAATAGGCCAGGGCACTATCTGAGTGTAGACCTGGCTTTAAATAATAAAAACAGAAATTCTACTTTTAAAATGTGTGTACTTGTGCCAAATGCCCATTGCCTAGGCGCGTAACTTTGCACTAAATGTCGTTCTTTTCTAAGTGGAACATGATAAATTGTCACCCTGAATGTAGACTGACTTTTTTAAAAATGTAAGTCTTTTGATAGTGACTAACAATTACAACTAACAACATATAAACAAGGTACATGAAAATGAAGACCTCATAAGAGCAGAAACATGTTAACAGTAGTGAAATCTATTTTAAAATCCATTAGAAAAGCTTCAATAGGTACCAGTAATGAGTTTTAAAGCACCTAGGTCAGAAACATTAAACAAGCTGCTAGATTACCCCGCAAGATCCATTAATCATTTATGTTGCCTGCAAAACTGATCTGTTAAAATGGACTGAGCATGCAGTAGAGGAGGTGCTGACCTGTGAAATGTTCAGACATGAGGACCACACAGATATTAACCACCAGTGACAGCTCCGATAAGAAGCTGAAGGCTGTTGATACTAGAGGAAGAAAAAATTAGGAAAAATGACTGAGTAATCTGGCCAGATAAATGTTTCTCTACTTAACTGTTTTTGCTTTGTACCAAGCAAAAACAGCCAGGTGCTCCACACAAAACACCACTAGAAGCACTCTTCCCAGCCCTTTAAATCGGATTTGCTGGTTTCACCAACATGCGTCATCATTTGGTAAACCACCATGACCATCGCACTGGATACTGACATCGCGGGATACCACACCTGTGGTATGCCTGCAGGCTTCAGCTATCGCTCATTGAGGCATGTGCTAAGGGTCAAATATGTATGATCCCGAACCTCTTTATGCCAGTTCAGGTATGCCTATAATAAAATAATTAAATATTAATAAAGCAAAGTTATATTTATCATAAAAGTGTTGTTTCTGTGAAAATTAAGTTGGATCCATTGTAAAATCTTGATAAATATCGTTTTCAAAAAAATGCTGTGGAATTAGGTGAGTTTACCACTTACTTAAGGTGGTCATGCTAGCTGTCTTCCTTACCATCTCAGAGACTTTCCACTCCACTTTTTACCCTGTATATCTTCTGATGTTCCCCTCAACTTCACCTTTCTCCTTTTCCTGCTCTCTTCTGTTATTCAGGAGGCTGAACTATAAAAATTAACTCATCAATAGACTCCCTTGCTATCAGGTTCTGACTTGTTTTGGCCAATGAGGAACAATGGCAGGAGACTAAAGGAAGGGACGTTTTGAATGTTTATTTTCTGACTCCCTCCCAGTGGGGTCACAGTGGGCTGGCTGTACCCGTGACCAAAGTTCTTATTTTCCATCAGGTAGCATCCGTTCTCTGGCTTCCAGTAATTGCCCCCTGTCTTTTCTTTTCAGGCCTATAAGTGTTAATGGTGCTCAATTTTTACCAGCTCTAGCGCTCTAGTGCACTACATTATCTCTGTGTTTCTTTATACTTTGTCCATCCATGTTTTTGTTTCTAGCACCCTCCCCACCCCCCCACCCCCCGTTTTTTTTTGAGATGGCATCTTGCTCTGTCACCCAGGCTGGTACGCAGTGCCGTGATCTCGGCTCACTGCAACCTCTGCCTCCCGGATTCAAGTGATTCTCCTGCCTTAGCCTCCCAAGTAGCTGGGATTATAGGCACCAGTCACCATGCCCGGCTAATTTTTGTATTTTTAGTAGAGACGGGGTTCCACCATGTTGGCCAGGATGGTCTCGAACTCCTGACCTCAGGTGATCCACCCACCTCGGCCTCCCAAAGTGCTGGGGTTACAGGCATCAACCACCGTGCTCGGCCTAGTCCCTCTTTTAAACTTGCTATGACTTACTCATTTTGAGTCTATCAGCTGTTCCTACCTGCAACCTCACTGATTTAGCGAAGGAGTTGAAAGTGTATCTGCTGTCATGAGATAGCCCTGGATGCCTGTATTGACTCTATAATTTCCTTTTCTAAATGGAGGATGTAGAGCATCTAAGGTAACTTATCAAACTCCAATTTTTTATTCATAAAAATATGGATAATAATAAATTTGACTCCACAAGCATACAATCTGTTCCTACTCCTATAGGAAGAATGAATTATTTATAGCTTTTTTTTTTTGCTTAGTTCAGTGTCTGGCACATACTAAGCACTTATTAAATTTTGGTGAATGAATAAATTAATTTGTGAATGAATGACAATATTTTCTTATACAGATGTACTTCCTGGCAAATGTTTCAGTCAGTGATCCAATCATTCCTCTATGGCATTTAGGAAAAATTTTCCTTAGGCAAGAACCAGATTTGTCCCATGTTGAGAACTTTCATTAATGTCTCTTCCCATTGGGTAAGCTCAAACTCTAAAATAAATCATGTAAAATTTAAATGAGCTAAAATAAAATGGTGCATAATGAGTCATGAAGATATACATTACTTTGGCTTTAGAGCCATGTGGGCTAAAATTAAAATATATATATATTTTAATATATATATAAATATATACAAATATATATACTTGTATTAACTTTGTGTGTGTGTGTGTGTGTGTGTATATATATATGATTTCCTAGTTAAGGTTAATACAAATATATATATTTGTGTGTATATATATAACACACACAAATATGTATGTGTATATATACACATTTATAAAATATATACATATATATAAATAAATATATATTTATCAAAGATAAATATAGAAGAAATATATTTCTCTGATAAATATCAGAGAAAAATAGATAAGAATAAGCCAAGCAGAGCTGAAAGGCAATTGAGAGAGTACTGAAATTGGAGTTAGTTTTGCTCCATTAGAAGATGGCAAATAGTTAAAACTGAGATATTACAAGACATTGAAGAAAAGGTCTAATAAAACCTCTCAGTTAAATAAAGTGATTTGGGGCAAAGATTGGATGAACAATGTAGACTTCCCACCTACAGTTCCAGAGAGTCTCAAAGAAATAGCCACTGACTTGAGAAAGAGGGGATGAAAGTGGGGAGGGGCAGGAGGCGCTGAGCATGCATGCAACACACAGGGTCTGAGAACTCTTCCTATCCAAGAACTTTGTGAGTGGTTGCTGGTACATGGAGCCAAAATTTAGGATCCCAAACCTACTTTTTTTTTTTTGAGAGAGAGAGTCTCACTCTGTCACCCACGCTGGAGTGCAATGGCGTGATCTCGGCTCACTGCAACCTCTGCCTCCCAGTTTTAAGCGATTCTCCTGCCTCAGCCTCCCGAGTAGCTGGGATTACAGGCACCCACCACCATGCCTGGCTAATTTTTGTATTTTTAGTAGAGACGGGGTTTCACCATGTTGGCCAAGCTGGTCTCGAACTCCTGACCTTAGGTGATCCACCCGCCTCGGCCTCCCAAAGTGCTGGGATTACAGGCACCAGCCACTGTGCCCAGCCCGAAGCCTGCTAATTTTTGAAGAGATTACATTGCTAAAGAAACCACAACTCTGGTCTAAAAAATCCTTTGATTTCATGAGATCTAAAACAATCCTTAGGTGCCAAACCTTTGAAGAAAAAGAGCTAGGCTTCAAAGGCTATTACAGCTCCAGAAGAAGACACGGTCTCTAACATCCGCACCAGCTGTGGCCAAGGAGAATAAAGGACAAGGAGGACCTTCCATGTACACAGAACCAGGGGTAGTAGAGAACACTGGTCAAAGGCATTCCTCCCAGGCAGCACAGTAATGATGGCAAGACAGCAGTGTACAAGAACACACATGCACTTATTCTGGCAGCCTGAACAACCTTATGTTCTCAAATTGGCTAATGGCACTGCACTGTCAAATTGCCAGGTATAGTGTCTCACTTTAACAAAAATATCTTGCTTTAAATAATAAACACAAGCCTTTTTCAACTCAAAAATGTCAACTTGATAAAAAATAAATAGATAATAAGATCACCATGGACATTATAACAATTTGAAATACCTCATGGAAGTGTCTTCTTGGAAAATTGTAATTGCTAGTCTCTCATTTGGGAAATTCCAGTAATTGTCAAGACACTCAGGGAAAGTGAAATTTCAGTGAATATGAAAATGATCATGAGTCAATAGGATTGATTTTTAGCCAGTGATTATATCTTCTTGTTCTTACCTTTGTTTGGTTTCTGTGTGAACCACTAAACACAGCCTTGTTTATTGGATTGAGATATTCAGACCAGTGTGCCTGGGAGGTTCAAAGCAAAGGAAAGCACGGCCTGTCTTTCTCTACTACCAGTTTTACTTAAAGGCCAGATGGACACATTATTTTATATTAAAATAAACACACTATAATGTGGAATAGATTGAAACATTTAGATAAATTTTTAAGATGAGATATGAAACTGCAAATAAATTTATTTTTGCAGCATTGACATACTTCAGCTTCCCTGGGCTGAATCACTTGGCAAGAACAAGTTTGCATGCCTAAGTTAACTGTGAAACTGGGAGGTGAGAGAGAACAGAAGGAAAAAAGAAGTGTAGGAGGAATTTTACAATTAAACAAGATGGATATTGGTGCCTTATGATATTTATATCCAAGATCCCACCGATCTTAGGCCACTGGGTAGAAGAACAAGATTGAGGCCTAGGACTTGTAAGATTGAATGCTCCAAGTAATTGTGATGTATCATGTTACCTGGGCAGGATGAAGGTAGAGTAATGGCATACCTTTGCCCTTTGTGTCTTTTCATTTATTTTCCTTTCTTCCATTCAGCCATTCAGTTCAATGCAAAGTCAACATAATTCAGAATACTAGTATTCCATTCAAAGACATATCAATGTTTAGATAGATGAACAGGTAGGTAGATAGATGGAAAAGAGAGAAAAAGAGACACAGAGAAAGAGAGCAATTCCATGAGTTAATGGAATCTTTACTCACACCTTGTCTTACCCCTACTCCTGCCACACAAAACCAAGACTGAGCACAAGACCAAGTGTAGCACAAGACCAAGATGGAGCAACTTGGGGACAATCACAGGAAATTTTGTCACAGCCAGCAAGGGACACTGTATTTATCCCTGGAACTGGTAAAGTGGGAGGATGAGAGTTTGGAATTGCAGGTGATCATCATTCCCATTATGGGATGAGGGACTACAGAAAAGAGCCAAACAAAGACAACAGGAACTTAGAGAAGGCAGAGCCCTTCAGGCCCCGCATCAAGATGCATTCCAATCCCACTGCAGTCCTGTGTTTCCCAGTTTCCTTTCCTGCTTCCATTAGTCTGAGTTGGGTTTCTGTCTCTTGCCATTAAAAAATTCTGGAGCTGCCGTACTATAGGAGAGCAACAAGCCTAGAAATGGTGGTGCAGAGGGAAAGGGGGGAAACTTGTTTCTAGAGTAACCATTACCTGTGCAAATGACCTTTTCCTTGATTGAGCTGACAGTGACTGAAAATAAAATGTCGAGTCGTGCCTCATGTGTAGCGATTTGATTAAAACGTAAATAAATCCACAACAACCAACTTACTGGAAGTTCTTTTTGGATAGCATAAAATATAATTGCATAAATATCCACTTTGCAAGCATGATGCCTGTGGTGCCAAAGAATGTCAGGGTATTGTTGCTGGAAATGTTTCAAAAATGGTTTTCAGAGATAAGGATTGGCAATTACAGGAGCGTCCTCAGAGACCTGAGATGCTAAGATGTGGACTGCACTCTTGAATTAACATCTGGCACTGTTTGCCTTAGCAATTTAGAGAGTTCCTAAAGTTAGAAATCATATCTTAGACCTTTTTGTAGCTGTCAAAACCAGCTCTGCAGACTCATCAGCTCTCCTTTCACCTGTAAATAAACCTATTTACTTGCAGGTATTTTATAAAAAGTCCCTACAACCAACTCTATTGTCTTAGAGAACTTCTCTTGGCTCTATTCTCTATTTCTTATTAAAAATCGCCTGTTCAATGCTAGGTTCATGTTGCATTGCATAACATCTGGTTTCTACTATTCTTCTCAGCTTTTTACTCTTGACGCTTTATTAGGACTGTCTGTATTCTGCTTGCTGTTTTTTTGAGACAGTCTCACTCCATCACCCAAGCTAGAGTGCAATGGTGCCATCTTGGCTCACTGCAATCTCCATCTCCAGGGTTCAAGCAATTCTTGTGCCTCAGCCTCCTAAGTAGCTGGGATTACAGGCACTTGCCACCATTCCTGGCTTTTTGTTTGTTTGTTTGTTTGTTATTTTAGTAGAGACAGAGTTTTGCCATGTTGGCCAGGCTGGTCTCAAACTCCTGACCTCAAGTGATCTGCCAGCCTCAGCCTCCCAAAGTAATGGGATTACAGGTGTGAGCCACCATGCCTGGCCTACTTGCTGTTTTTGAACCTTTTCCAGTTTATCTTACCCTGGTCTCCAGAATCCCTCCATCAGCCTTCATTTGCTGAAGAAGTGAGTTCAGTCCCTTTCTTTGTGCTATATATATTTGTTTGCTCCTCTAATTCCATGTCTATCTGGCTTCACCATGTTCAGAGCCTCAGGAGTCTGAATTTTATAGACAACAACAACTGGATGCTTTACCCACTGGTTTCCTGCTGGGATTGACCAATGGGAAGCACCTGTAGGAGAACAAAGGAACAGTAGGAGATGCAAGTGAGCTGATGACCTCTTGGCTTCCCTCCCTGACTGGCAGCATGTTGTTTTCCCACCTCCTAGGCCACAGTTCCTCTCAGGGAGCTCTTGTATGTGGCTCTCTGCAGGTTTGGTAAACGGTCCTCACATCGGCCCTACAGTCTCTGCTGTAACTGCTCTGCATGTTTATCACCCCTTGATGGTTTCCCTTAACCTTGGCTACACCTTTGTAAAAAATTCCCTTTGCCACTCTTCTCAATTACTCCATTTACAGTGCCATCTTTCCCATCCGGATGCTGACTAAAGTATCCCTGTTCCCTGATTGGTACATTGCACATTATAGGACCGGTAGACACCTAGAGACCTTGAGTTCTATTCATGGGTTCATCATGTATAAGCTGGTTATAGGGCAAATATGTATTCATTACTCATTACATCCTGGACACTTTGCCTTGGACTTCGTGCCACAATGATGAATGTGGCATGATCCCTGTCTTCAACAGAAAATACTATGAAAGAAACATGTAGAGCTTCACTGAGAGAGATCCCCAAGGGACTTCGGGAAGCTGAGTTATGTGAACTGTATTTTATCAAATGAATGAAAAGTTAGTCAGCAGATACTATCGTCTGAATGTCTGTGTCAGCTCAAAATCCATATTTTGAAATCCTAACCCCCAGTGTGAAGGCATTAGAAGGTGAGGCCCTTGGGAGGTGACTAGGTTACCAGGAAGAATGGCGTGAACCCGGGAGGCGAAGCTTGCAGTGAGCCGAGATCGCGCCACTGCGCTCCAGCTTGGGCGACAGAGCGATATTCCGTCTCAAAAAAAAAAAAAACCTCGAAGAGCTCCTTTTTTCTCACACTTCCTGCCGTGTGTAGACACAGTTAGAAGACAGCTCTCTTTAAAACAGCAACTGGGCCCTCACCAGACACCGTATCTTCTGGCTCCTGGGTCTTGGAATTCTCACCCTCCAGAACTGTGAGAGCTAAATTTCTGTTGTTTGTAAGACATATAGTGTCTGCAACTCTGTTATAGAAGCCTGAATGGACTACGACAGCAAGCAACAGGGAACAATACATAAAGGAGGCAACACACACAAATCAGAGAGACAAACCTGTCATAGAAACTGCTAGTATATGTGTCTATTTGCAGGTATGTCCCTGGAAGGAAGTAGCAAATGGCAGGAGGTGAAAATGCAAGCAAAGGCCATATTATAAAGAATGCATATTCATTTATCAAATATCTAGGTTTCACAGCATGTCATGTTGTGAAGTTGTGTCTTTAATCTGCAGGTCTACAAGACTAAAGAGCTAGGATTGGAGGCAATACTTCTGTGACTGTATAACTGCAAAAGTTAGAAAAATGGTTGGCATCATGAAGTCCTATTCTATTCTAAAAATTAGATAAAAGCAGCACATCCTATTATTTGCAAGTAACAAGGATGTGCTAAAGCAGTAGCAAGAGAGGAAAATAGCACTCATTTAAAACTGATGTAGAGTAACTTCTCTAGTCTAGAACAATATTTCTACAGCAGAGGGACATGAATGCTTTTAGAATCCCAGAAAAAGGACTTGAGGTCCCACCACTGTGGACCCCTGAGATGATGCTTCCCTCCAGCAGCATTCTCAATGTCCTTTAAGAAGACTCCATGTTATCCATCTTTCCATCACACTCCCTCTCAGGATAACATCACTCCAGCCCAGGGTACCCGAATGTGTCATCTTCCCCCTCTCTGTCAGAGCAGTTGTTTCTCAAGGTTCTTTTTAGGAGCTTTATCATGTTTGACTTTAAGTGTTTTCAACCAGATCCCCATGGAACACTCTATCTCTATTAGAATCATTTTCTTTATGTGAGTGTATATTTTTCCTTGCCTTCTGAGGGATAGAAATAAGAATGGTCTTCAAAATTCTTGAAATGTCTATTTGTTTCTTTTGAAGAATGGATGAAATGTTTCTAAGTTGCAAACATATTCATAACCAATGGAGGTGTTGTGTAACAGTAATGTTTTTATAGTCTTTTTTCTTCCCCACACATCCAGGAATAGACGTGTTGTACATACAGATGACAAGCTTATAAAAGTTGAGTTTTGAGAAGTCACATAGAACACATGTAGCAAAGCCATAGCAGAAACTCTGGACCTTCCAAATATGCCCATCATCACAGGGTGAAACAGAGAAGTGCAGTGATTAGGAATGCAAGCACTGGACTGGACTGCTGCATTGAAATCTCAGCAGGGTGGCCTGAGGGATATTATTCAGTGTCTGTGCCTCAATTTCCTTATAGGTAAATTGAAGATAATTATAGTATGTGTCACAGACTAAAACATGTGAAATGCTTAGCACAATGCTGAAATTACAGCATTATATTTATAACAATAATAGTTATGACTATGTTCTGACTCACATGCCCAGCCACCATTCTTGGTCTTGCTGTTTTAACTCTCCTTTATGAGCAAGCTTCTTGAAAATCTTTTCTATGTACACTATCTCTACTTCTTTCAGCCCATTTCCTCTCCAAGCCTATTCTACTTTGTTTTTGTTTTCCATTCTGGTACTGACAAACACAATAGATAGTTTTTTGGGTTTTTGTTTTTTTTTTTTTTTTTTTTTTTGGTTTGTTTGTTTGTTTTTGCGATGGAGTCTCACTTTGTCGCCCAGGCGGGAGTGCAGTGGCACAATCTCAGCTCACTGCAACCTCTGCCTTCCGGATTCAAGCAATTCTCCTGCCTCAGCCTCCTGAGTAGGTGGGATTCCAGGCATGCACCACCACACCCAGCTACTTTTTGTATTTTTAGTAGAGACGGAGTTTCCATGTTGGCCAGGCTGGTCTTGAACTCCTGACATCAGGTGATCCTCCCGCCTCGGCTTCCCAAAGTGCTGGGATTACAGGCATGAGCCACCACACTGGCCTCCAATAGATACTTTTTAATTGCTGTTTTTACTTGAACTTTCAGAGACATTCAATACAGTTGTCTGTTTCTTTGTTTTCAAACATTTCTGATTCTATTACTACTTCTCTGACCACTCTTTGTCAGTCTTCCTTAAGAGACTCTCCTTGTTCCTTCTCCTCAACCTTCAAATATTAGGATAATTTGTATCTCAGTCCTGGGATATCTGCTCTCCTCACTCAACATCTTTACTCCAAGCAACTTCACCTGCTTCTGTAGTGTTAAATCCCATCTATATGTCCATTATTCCTATGGTACTCTGTGGCCAGGACTGCCCCAGGGAAGAGCTTAAAAGAACATAAATGAGAAATGTCCAGGTTTTATGACAAGAGTCTCAGATAAATTGAGATTGCAAAATTGCTGGCACGGAAGAATTTCAAATCTTGGAACCTGGTCTTTGGGCACATAGGATATGCCTTTGTTGAGTTGCAAAATTATTGCCTTACATAGCAGCATAATTTGGTTCTGACAAGGCCTTTTAAAAAGGAGATTTTCATGTGTCTGTTGGCTGCATAAATGTCTTCTTTTGAGAAATGTCTGTTCATATCCTTTGCCCACATTTTGATGGGGTTGTTGTTTGTTTTTTTCTTGCAAGTTTGTTTGAGTTTTTTGTAGATTCTGGATATTAGCCCTTTGTCAGATGAGTAGATTGCAAAAATTTTCTCCCATTCTGTAGGTTGCCTGTTCAATCTGATGGTAGTTCCTTTTGCTGTGCAGAAGCTCTTTAGTTTAATTAGATCCCATCTATCAATTTTGGCTTTTGTTGCCATTGCTTTTGGTGTTTTAGACATGAACTCCTTATCCATGCCTATGTCTTGAATGGTATTGCCTAGGTTTTCTTCTAGGGTTTTTATGGTTTTAGGTCTAACATGTAAGTCTTTAATCCATCTTGAATTAATTTTTGTATAAGGTGTAAGGAAGGGATCCAGTTTCAGCTTTCTACATATGGCTATCCAGTTTTCCCAGTACCATTTATAAAAAAATGCTCATCATCACTTGTCATCAAAGAAATGCAAATCAAAACCACAGTGAGATACCATCTCACACCAGTTAGAATGGCGATCATTAAAAAGTCAGGAAACAACAGATGCTGGAGAGGATGTGGAGAAATAGGAACACTTACACTGTTGGTGGGACTGTAAACTAGTTCAACCATTGTGGAAGACAGTGTGGCAATTCCTCGAGGATCTAGAACTAGAAATACCATTTGACCCAGCCATCCTATTACTGGGTATATACCCAAAGGATTATAAATCATGCTGCTATAAAGACACATGCACAAGTATGTTTATTGCAGCACTATTCACAATAGCAACGACTTGGAACCAACCCAAATGTCCATCAATGATAGACTGGATTAAGAAAATGTGGCACATATACACCATGGAATACTATGCAGCCATAAAAAATGATGAGTTCATGTCCTTTGTAGGGACATGGATGAAGCTGGAAACCATCATTCTCAGTAAACTATCACAAGAACAGAAAACCAAACACCGCATATTCTCACTCATAGGTGGGAATTGAACAAAGAGAACACATGGACACAGGAAGGGGAACATCACACCCCAGGGCCTGTCGTGGGGTGGGGGGAGGGGGAAGGGATAGCATTAGGAGTTATACCTAATGTAAATGATGAGTTAATGGGTGCAGCACACCAACATGGCACATGTATACATATGTAACAAACCTGCACATTGTGCACATGTACCCTAGAACTGAAAGTATAATAAAAAATAAATAAAATAAATAAAAATAAATAAAAATAAAAAGGAGAAGATTTGATTGTTCAGGGATTCTCAGATGTAGTGTACTTCTCACCCCATATGAGGTTGCTGAGTATTACCACTGTCTTGAGTGAATTCTATTGAAGAATAGCAGGGAAACTTGCTCAGATGTATAATTTGGTAGGTATCACTGTTGAGTAATTAAGAAAATATCTATGAGTCTTGTGTCTTTGAATTCATCTCTGATTTCTTTGATCTAGGTCTGAGACATTTTTTGCATGTGAGCTGGATAGTAAAAATGATTAAATAGCTTATGTGAGAGGAGAGGAAACAAGGCTAACACAGCACTCCTCTGTCAGAGTGCACTAATGTTAAGCCTGGTACATGATGGTAAAAGAGTCAAAGACTTATTAGGAACATTCGGCTATTGAGGGAAAAAGGGAAATTTATCCTGATGGATCCTAAAGGAGGCAGATTAAAGACTAACCCTTTCTTATTGCCCCAGAATGGTTGGAGGGCAGAAAGGCAGGACACTAAGAAAGAAAAAGCAGAAGCAGACAGCAGTAGCCCAGTTATTCCTGGAGTAAATCAATAAATCAAAGGGGCGGTAGTACATGGAATTGCTGATCACCAGGGCAATGGGGCCTTGGGCAGAAAATACAATGTCCTCCACCATCTTTAAGAAAGATGTAACTGAATAAACGTAATATTTCTGAGGAAAGCCCTGGAAGATCTTGGATACAGTATATGATCAAATATGTCAACAGCTGAAAGATTTGATTCCCTGAGACTTCTAAAATTAGTGGGTGCCCCAGGTTCTTCTTCTGTCAATGAATAGAGTATGTTTCACATTATCCTTTGCCACAACCAGCAGTGTCAGCTTAGGTCTTCTAGTAGGAGAATGATGTGAAGCATCTAAGACTGAAATAGACAGTCTACCTGCTTTCTTTTGGGAAAAATATCTCCAGCAGCTGGGTGATATGGTTTGGCTCTTTTTCTCCACCCAAATCTCATGTTGAGCTGTAATCCTTAATGTTGCAGTGTGGGGTGGCCTGGTGGGGATTGGTCATGGAGGTGGATTTCTCCCTTGCTGTTCTCATGACAGTGAGTGAGTCTCATGAGAACTGGTTGTTTATAATTGCATACCACTTCCCCTTTCACTCTCTCTCTCCCACTCCACCATGTGAAGAAGGTGCTTGCTTCCCCTTCACACTTCTGCCATGATTGTAAGTTTTCTGAGGCCTCCCCAGCCATCTTTTCTGTATAGCTGTGGAACTGCTGTACAGGAAGATTAAACATCTTTTCTTCACAAATTACTCAGTCTCATGTAGTTTTTTTTTTTTTTTTTTTTTTTTTGCAGTGTCAGAATGGATTAATACAGAGAATTGGTACCAGGTAAGTGGGGCATTGCTATAAAGATCTCTGAAAATGTTGAAGCAACTTTGGAATTGGGTAATGGGCAGAGGTTGGAACAGTTTGGAGGGATCAGAAGAAGATGGGAAAATGAGGGGAAGTTTGGAACTTCCTAGAGACTTGTTGAATGCTTGTGATCAAAATGCTGATAGTGATGTGGACAGTGAAGTCCCAGCTGAGGAGGTCTTAGATGGAGATGAGGAACTTATTGGGAACTGGAGCAACGGTCACTTTTGCTATGCTTTAGCAAAGAGACTGGTGGCATTCTGCCTCTGCTCTAGAGATCTGTGAAACTTTGAACTTTAGGGAGATGATTTAGCGTATCTGGTGAAAGAATGTATCTTGGCTAAAATGGGCCAAGGTATAGCTCAGGCCACTGCTTCAGAGGGTGCAAGCCCCAAGCCTTGGCAGCTTCCACATGGTTTTGGGCCTGTAGGTGTGCAGAAGGCGAGAGTTGAGTTTTGGGGGCCTATTCCTAGATTTCAGAGGATTTATAGAAATGCCTGGATGTCCAGGCAGAAATCTGCACAGGGGTGGAGCCCTCATGGAGAACTTCTACTAAGGGACTGCAGAGGGGAAATGTGGGGTTGGAGCCCCAACACAGAGTCCTCACTAGGGCACTGCCTAGTGGAGCTCTGAGAAGAGGGCCACCATCCTCCAGACCCCAGAATGGTAGATTCACTGATAGCTTGTACCATGTGCCTGGAAAAGCCACAGGCACTTAACACCAGCCTGTGAAAGTAGCTGCAAGGCCTGTACCCTGCAGAGACACAGAGGTGGAGTCTTGGGAGCTCACTCCTTGCATCAGCATGATCTGAATGTGAGACATGGAGTCGGAGATTATTTTGGAGCTTTAAGATTTAATGACTGCCCTGCTGGGTTTTGGACTCACATGGGGCCTGTAACCCCTTTGTTTTGGCCAATTTCTCCTTTTTGGAATGGTAGCATGTACCCAATGCCTATACCCCCATTGTATCTTGGCAGTAACTAACTTGATTTTGATTATACAGGCTCATAGGCAGAAGGGAGTTGCATTGTTTCAGAAAAGACTTTGGACTTGGACTTTTGAGTTAATGCTGGAATTAGTTAAGATTCTGGCAGACTGTTGGGAAGGCATGATTGGTTTTGAAATGTGAGAAGGACATGAGATTTGGGAGGGGCCAGGGGCAGAATGATATGGCTTGGCTCTGTGTCCCCACCCAAATCTCATGTTGAACTGTAATCCCTAATGTTGGGGAAGGGAACTAGTGGGAGGTGATTGGATCATGGGGACAGATTTCCTTGCTGCTGTTCCCACGATAGTGAGTGAGTTCTCAGGAGATCTGATTGTTTAAAAGTATGTGTCACTTCCCCTTTTTCTTTCTCTCTCCTGCTGCACCATGTGAAGACAGTGCTTGCTTCCCCTTTGCTCTCCTGCTGTGATTGTTAAGTTTCCTGAAGCTTCCCCAACCATGCTTCCTGTAAAGCCTATAAAACTGTGAGTCAATTTAACCTCTTTGCTTCATAAATTACTCAGTCTCAGGTAGTTCTTTATAGCAGTGTAAGAGCCAGCTGATACACTGGGACACCAGTTAAAACAGCACTTTGTCCAGTTTTGGTGAATTGAGGTAGGATTTATTGAGCTTCATGGGAAGGAGATTCAGTAGATTAAAGGTTCCCTCCAAGATCCACTAGAATAAGAGCACATAAACCTAAATGAGAGTGAGTTAACTTTTAGTGATCTAAGCACAAAACAGATGAATTTGCCTTTTACCCTTGATTATTGGATGTCAAAGGAAAAAGCCATGTTAAGAGTAAGGAAGCTGTGAATCTATAATCCCAATGGGTATGTGGTAATTACACTTCTGCAAAATGTGAGGATATTCTTCAACAACTATGGCTTGTAATTCTTAGGAATTAAGGTACCAGACAGATTGTTATTGCAGGTATGTTTCAGAATCCCAGCATGCAAATTTAGCAGTGATTGCTAGCAATTTAAACATAAATATTGCCAGTGAAATAAATTTTGCATACCAGAGCCCAGATATTAAGTATTTTTATGTCCATTTGTAACTGAGAATTTGTGGTAATAAAAAAGGCACATCCTTTGCCTCATATATAAATTCACCTTGCAAATATCTAGATAATTCATAGGGCCATGAAAAGGTGAGGCCAAAATATTAGTGCGCATTGAGCTATTGAATTTTCTGAAATATAAGGACAGAGGAAACTTAAAACATTTTTGAAGAGAAGCAGTTGTATAATGCCCCATCCCATCCCTGATGAGATAGATAATCTAAGGAAAGAAGTGGTAAAGTATTTTCTCTTCTGCACTTTCAAATATGAAGACACAACCATATTTATTTACTCCCTGACATCCTTTACTTACTCTTTTTATAAAATCTCTCTATTCTGAAGGATTTAGGGTTAGGAAACCCAGAAGGAATATTTTTCAGCCTTTTTCAGAAACTGTCCCTTTTTGATATTTCATTCTAGTGTCTCAAATGCATTTTTAAAATATATCAATTTATTTCCTTTTTTATGTCAAATATAGAGATCAAAACTGGCAATAGCTACTTGTGTTTTTTAATTTTGTTCTTTAGTCTTTAGGTCCTTTAGGTATTTTCCCCTAAAGTTTAGAGAAAAAACAATGTACTTCTTCTGTGAAAAAGAAAGTATAGTGTCTGTAAGTTCCATACAATAATCCTTCATCAATCGCACAGTTTACATCCCTGAAAATGGACTGACCAAAGTCAGCAAAATCAAAGATCATACAAAACAGAGAATTTGGGGAAAAGTATTTTTAAACATAAACATTTCCAGAAAGTATCCACTTCTAAAACACATCTATTTCTCCTGGTAAGCTTTCTCTAGAATCACCTTCTCTGAGTTTATTCAGGAAATAGCCATGTGAAGTTGTCATCTACTAGGGAACGGTCAACCAAAATTTTATAGTATGTAGACAACACTTCTTAGTAAAAATATTAACCTAGACCTTGTTGGATTTAAATGGAATGTGTTTTGAAGTTATAGCTCCCCTTACTTCATTTGATCAAGACTTCAAAAGTACTTCTGTACCTTCCTGGATTTTTTTACACATCATAACAGGGGTTATGAGTACCCTTCCTAAGCCTAGCATTCCATCAACACATCAATAGGTGGATTGAATTGTAGACAGTTAGCATCTCCAACACCTCTCCCAAAGGGCTGTCAACTACATTTACACAAAGAGGAAGGATTAACATTGATAAATTAATCAGTTTAGTCGTTCTAAAGTAAAAAAAAAGTAGGTCAAAGTGCTATATAGCTTTAAAATTGTATAAACACCCATTAGTCTGCATTATCTCCCAGCTGCAGTCATCAACATGGTGATTAATTTGGAATTGCTGTGCTCACATTTTAATGCATTATAAAATGACTGACTCACTTCTCCCTTTCTCCCTACCCCTCCTTATTTCATTATGAAAGTGATAATCTATGCCAAATCTGAGTTTCACTGAATGTCAAGTGTAGATCACTAGGGAAAACTAAGTCAAAAGAACATTTGCCACTTGCCAACGCTCATTCATGCACAACCACAAGGATTCATTCTATCTTGGGAGGAAATGGTGTGGGTATTTACAATGACATGGGAACACCTTGTTCACATCATAATGAGTAAGACAAAATGGGCATGTTAATGTATTTGAACAGATGTGTCAATGTTATTCTTCAAGAAAGGGTGATGCAGTTCTACAATTTTTTTTGCCTTATTTCAGTATATTTTTGAGAGCTATGATGCTGCAACATAACATACGTATAAAAATAGGGTAGATTAATATAATCCTGACAATTGAATCTTGAGCCTCAATGCCATAGGCTTGATAGTCAGTGAATCTGAAGGCTAAAGATCTGATCTGTCTTCTTCTCTATTGTGTCTCTACCACTTATCAGGGTGCTGCCTAAAGCATATCAGATACTCCATAAACATTTTTGATGAGTTAATGAGTTAACAAACTCTACTAGTCATCTAAGCTATAGCCTTTCTAATTGTTCACCGTGTAGGCATCATGCATTTGAGCTCCGATTTTGACTTCATTCTCCCACTGGCACTGGGCCCCTGCTCTGAACCCTCTCAAGGGTGCCTTACCAACCATCTCCCTTTTAAAGACTTCCTCCTCTGGGGGTTGAACCCTGTCTACCATGCACCACCTTCTAATAGACTAGTTATGTTTGAGATGTTGCAGTTGGCTTTGAATACAATTCGTTCTCCACATTTGTCTCTTGTGTTTCACCAACAAAATTTAAACGTATTGAGTATGGAGCATATGATCTAGGTCTTGAGGTTTGTGTAGTCCTATTTATTCACCTTTGTGTCTATAGTAAGGACAGTTATTCCCTTTCCTATTTGTCTTTTCTTTAAGACTCTGCTCTTGGTGCTCCAGCTTGTGTCAGCACCAGACTTCCCAGAGTTATAAACAGCAGAAGAAAAGGAAGGAACGGAAATCAGAGAAAAGTATATTTTAGGTCACTATAAGAAAAACTTTTAAATAGGCTTACCAGATTACCAAAAATGTTCAAATATGAACTGCATGACTATGTATTAGGGAAACAGCAAAATAAAGTCTTATGTTCATAAAAAGATCCATATGTACAATATCTGTGGCCAGTGGCTCCTTTCCTTCAATCCCACGTGAAAGGACATGTCAGATGTCCCCCCAACACATGAATTTTAAAGGATTTGGCTATATTATGAAGGCCTTACAACCCCAAGGAGATACAAGTTAATTATTTCATTTTTAAGTAGAAAATAGTTAATTTTATGTGATCACCATAGGTTCAGATAAATTGCATCCTATAAAAAGGTATAGATAGTTTTAGAATCAATCATATCCAGTGATGGACTTCAGGTCTAATTCTAACAAGCAGTACAACTTTTGGCAAATTTGTTCACCTTTCCTCACATAAAAATTTTATCTATAAATAAGTATAAAAAATTTATTGTGCTGTACACACACACACTTAGTATATGCATATATATGTTGTATGTATAGTATATATATGATAGACATATATTCACATAGGTAAGTTTTAATATGTGTTAAAATATGTTTTCTTTTCAACATGAGTCTGGCAGTAGATGTAGTTGGTAGTAATGGCTAAGTTTTTTTGCATTCATGTAACTTATTTTGCTGGTACTCCGTTAAATACCTCCTTACATTGCTTCTTTTATTCATCACATTATGTGGGGAAGAACTATGTAGATTAGAAAAACAAAGTTTAGAGCACTTAAGATATTCTCCTAATATGAACAACTAGTAAGAAGCACAGTTGGTGTGACCTTCAGGCAGTTGCAAAATTTCTAAGTGATGCTGTCAAACCAGTACTACCCTGGAAGGAATCACACTGTCATTTTCCTATCATTGATAATACCTGAGAAAATTTAGTCTCAATATGTTGATGCTGTGAGTGATGCTGTTTAGTTTACTTTTACCATTTCACAAGTATCTTGTTGCCTCAAAGGATACAATCCAAAGACCTGGAAATTGTTTGATTAAGGACAATTAGAGCTGCTCATATTTGGGTAACACAGATCTAAGCAGGATGAAATGCACTGTTTAAAATGCCAGCAGTGTTTGTGAGTGAGTTGTCCAAAGTGCAATCAGCGTTTGCTATATCTTTCTATAACAAGGGTGTACAACTTTCTACTATGTTTGCGCAGTGACTCACTTCTCTAGTGAATTCTTTTATGAGGAAAATAATTACATGCTTATTTTTGCTTGGGGCAAATCTTGATTTTTTTTTAATTATACTTTAAGTTCTGAGATACGTGTGGAGAATGTGCAGGTTTGTTACATAGGTATACATGTGCCATGGTGGTTTGCTGCACCCATCAACCTGTCATCTACATTAGGTATTTCTCCTAATGTTATCCCTCCCCTAGCCCCCCACCCACCTAAGAGGCCCAGTGTGTGATGTTCCCCTCCCTGTGTCCATGTGTTCTCATTGTTCAACTCCCACTTATGAGTGAGATCATGCAGTGTTTGGTTTTCTGTTCCTGTGTTAGTTTGCTAAGAATGATGGTTTCCAGCTTCATCCATGTCCCTGCAAAAGACAAGAATTCATCCTCTTTTATAGCTGCATAGTATTCCAAGGTGTATATGTGCCACATTTCCTTTATCCAGTCTATCATTGATGGGCATTTGGGTTGGTTCCAAGTCTTTGCTATTTTGAAAAGTGCTGCAATAAACATGCATTTGCTTGTGTCTTTATAGTAGAATGATTTATAATCCTTTGGGTATATACCCAGTAATGGGATTGCTGGGTCAAATGGTATTTCTGGTTCTAGATCCTTGAGGAATCACTGCACTGTCTTCCACAATGGTTGAACTAATTTACACTCCCACTGACAGTGTAAAAGCATTCCTATTTCTCCACATCCTCTCCAGCATCTGTTGTTTCCTGACTTTTTAATGATTGCCATTGTAACTGGTGTGAGATGTTATCTCATTGTGGTTTGATTTGCATTTCTCTAATAACCAGTGATGATGAGCTTTTTTTCGTCTGTCTGTTGACCACATAAATGTCTTCTTTTAGGAAGTGTCTATTCATATCACCCACTTATTGATGGGGTTTTTCTCTTGTAAATTTAAGTTCCTTGTAGATCCTGGATATTAGCCCTTTGTCAGATGGATAGATTGCAAAAATTTTCTCCCATTCTGTAGGTTGCCTGTTCACTCTAATGATAGTTTCTTTTGCTGTGCAGAAGCTCTTTAGTTTAATTAGACCCCATTGGTTAATTCTGGCTTCTGTTCCATTACTTTTGGTGTTTTAGTAATGAAGTCTTTGCCCATGCCTATGTCTTGAATGGTATTGCCTAGGTTTTCTTCTAGGGTTTTTATGGTTTTAGGTCTTACATTTAAGTCTTTAATCCATCTTGAGTTAATTTTTGTATAAGGTGTAAAAAAGGGGTCCAATTTCATTTTTCTGCATATGGCTAACCAGTTTTCCCAACACATTTTTAAAATAGGGAATCCTTTCCCCATTGCTCATTTCTGTCAGATTTGTCAAAGATCAGATGGTTTTAATTGTGTAGCGTTATTTCTGAGGCCTCTGTTCTGTTCCATTAGTCTATATACCTGTTTTGGTACAAATACCATGCTGTTTTGGTTACTGAAAACTTGTAGTATAGTTTGAATTCAGGTAACGTGATGCCTCCAGTTTTGTCCTTTTTGCTTAGGATTGTCTTGGCTATACGGGCTATTTTTTGGTTCCATATGAAATTTAAAGTAGTTTTTTCTAATTCTGTGAAGAAAGTCAGTGGTAGCTTGATGGGAATAGCATTGAATCTACAAACTACTTTGGGCAGTATGGCCATTTTCACGATATTGATTCTTCCATTCATGAGCATGGAATATTTTTCCATTTGTTTGTGTCCTCTCTGATTTCCTTGAACCATGGTTTGTAGTTCTTGAAGAGGTCCTTCACATCCCTGTAAGTTGGATTCTTAGGTATTTTATTCTCTTTGTAGCAATTGTGAATGGAAGTTCACTCATGATTTGGCTCTCTGTTTGTCTATTATTGGTGTATTGGAATGCTTGTGATTTTTGCACATTGATTTTGTATCCTGAGACTTTGCTGAAGTTGTTTATCAGCTTAAGGAGATTTTGGGCTGAGACCATGGGGTTTTCTAAATACACAATTATGTCATCTGCAAACAGAGACAATTTGAGGTCCTCTCTTCCTATTTGAATGCCCTTTATTTCTTTCTTTTGCTTGATTGCTCTGGCCCGAACTTCCAATACTATGTTGAATAGGAGTGGTGAGAAAGGGCATCCTTGTCTTGTGCCCATTTTCAAAGGGAATGGTTCTAGCTTTTGCCTATTCAGTATGATATTGGCTGTGAGTTTGTCATAAATAGTTTTATTATTTTGAGAAATGTTCTATCACTAAATAGTTTATTGAGAGTTTTTAGCATAAAGGGGTGTTGAATTTTATCAAAGGCATTTTCTGCATCTATTGAGATAATCATGTGGTTTTTGTCATTGGTTCTGTTTATGTGATGGATTATGTTTATTGGTTTGCATATGTTGAACTAGCCTTGCATCCCAGGGATGACACCGACTTGATCATGGTGGATAGGCTTTCTGATGCTGGATTCGGTTTGCCAATATTGTATTGAGGATATTCACTTCAATGTTCATTAAGGATATTGGCCTGAAATTTTTGTTGTTGTTGTTTCTCTGCCAGGTTTTGGTATCAGGATGATGCTGGCCTCATAAAATGAGTTAGGAAGGAGTCCCTCTTTTTCTATTGTCTGGAATAGTTTCTGAAGGAATGTCACCAGCTCCTTTTTGTACCTCTGGTAGAATTCAGCTATGAATCTGTCTAGTCTTGAGCTTTTTTTTGGTTGGTAGGCTCTTAATTACTGCCTCAATTTCAGAACTTGTTATCAGATATAACAGACATTTACAGAACTTTCCACCCCAAATCAACAGAATATACATTCTTCTCAACACCACATTGCACTTACTCTAAAACTGACCACATAATTGGAAGTAAAACACTCCTCAGCAAATGCAAACTAATGGAAATCATAACAAACAGTCTCTCAGACCACAGCGCAATCAAGTTAGAACTCAGGGTTAAAAAACTCACTCAAAACCACACAACTACATGGAAACTGAACAACCTGCTCCTGAATGACTGACTATTGGTTGAATAACAAAATTAGGGCAGAAATAAATAAGTTCTTTGAAACCAATGAGAACAAATACACAACATACCAGAATCTCTGAGACACAGCTAAAGCAGTGTTTAGAGGGAAATTTATAGCACTAAATGCCAACAGGAGAAAGCAGGAAATATCTAATATCAACACCCTAACATCAAAATTAAAAGAACTAGAGAAGTGAGAGCAAGCAAATTCAAAAGCTAGAAGAAGACAAGAAATAACTATGATCAGCGCAGAACTGAAGGAGATAGAGACATGAAAAACCCATCAAAAAGTCCAGGAATTGAGGAGCTGGTATTTTGAAAAGACTAACAAAATTGATTTTTATGTATCTGCTTTGATTGCCCTATAACTCTAGTTATCTGCAGAATTGTACTGTGGCTGCCGTAAGTCACCTCCTCAACACTAATGCCTATGTGGACGTTTGTGAATTGAAAAACAAAACAGTGAACACTAAATTTGTAAGGCAAGTTGCTGTATCCAGCATCTCTGTTAATTAATCCTCATCTTTAACTTTGGAATGTAGTACAGATAAGTTGTTTGAGCCCCTGCTATCACAAGACCATTGTGGATGAACTTCCATTCAATACATGAGCAATGCACAGAAATTGGAGAAGACACTGCATTGGCAGTTTCAATCAGCAGGCTAATGGCATTCATTTATATGTGAGCTGATTTTGGTAAATTGCTTAGCTTCCTTGGGCCTCAGTAGTATCACTGGGAAGTGGCAGTAAAAATGACTGTTTTTCGTCCTTCACAGAGTTTATCAGAATCAAATGAAAATTGATATGTGAAGGCATTTTTTAAAGCACAACGTGCTTCACAAATTTGAGTTTTTGTAGTAATTTTAATTAAGTGTGTGGTGTCTTCAAAATTTCTTTCAGGCAAGGTTGCAGGATATAACTTATTTGTTGAAGTTCTGTTATCTCTCTTGGAAGCATCACAGACAACATGAGTCATTGAGAGAACTATTATTATAACATTCACAGTAAATAATAATAGCACTAACAGTGCACACAATAAATACTCATACTTTGGGGGCTTAGAACAAATCAGAACATGGATCCTTAACATGAAGTTGCCCGTAGGCAACATTTGCTGCATGTCTCTCCTTCCTCTCTTCTTACATATGAGCTTTATTTTCCTACAGGTGTTTCTAGGTTTTCATTCCTCATGATCTGGGATGGCTTTCTATCCAAGGATACTGGCGTTTGATGTCCTACTTTGTAATTTTTATTAAGCTTTTCTGCCTTTAAAGTGTCATGTACTATCATCTCAAAAGAGTTTAACTAGTAACCTGATAAATGTCAAACATATAACAAATTCCTATTATTAAGCTGAATTGAATATGGTATTAATGGGATATCTTGACTTTCATGTCATCATATCCTAATGACATTCTATTTGGTTAGAACCTTCTGAACCTTCCTCCAGAAGTAAGAAATGAAATGATCACAACTTTAGCTAGAAGACTTTTGACCTCAAATCTTTAATTTTAATTAATTTTTAACCCACTTAAAATTTGGGTTAAAAATTAATTAGTTGCCAACATATTAAAATATGAGCTTATGTTACAAAGTCCCAGCTTTCTGACTTCTCTTGAAATATCAGCACATTTAGCAAGATTGGGTCCTCCCTAGCACCAGCAGCAGCCACTGAGGAGCAGCTGGCTCCTTTGGAAGGGCAAGCTGTGCTCAGTGCACTAGGGTCCCCACGTGTTCCACTTCATTTAGGTAAGTCATCTGCCTGGCCCCTGTAGGATCTGAGTTTATGGCCCTTGTTGAACCCACAGAAATAACCTAATTAAGTCCTATCTCATAACCAGTTAGTCACGGGTGAAATCATGAACAGATGGTTTAAGGTGAACATATGTTGTTGATCTGTTTCTCTTACTTCATTAACCATTTTGCCAGCATTTGAAACAGTCTAATCATATGTCAGAAACCATAACTGGAGTAGAAGTTTATAGGGTGATAATCTAGAGTATCTTTGAACTGTTTATTTTTAAATTCCAAGTGAAAGCTGCTTTGAGGTTTGATCTACAGTTCAAGGTAGAATTTTACCAGCTCAGTAAATGTGAGTTCTAAGCATGTTCCGAATTCTGTGCCTCACACATTTCTGTGATGCCAGAGTATTAGAAGGGACATCTCCAGTAGGATTTCTATGACATATATTTATGAAGAGTAAAAGGCCTCCCATGAAATGTCACCATTAGTGATATGTTAGAGGCAAGGATGAGGGGGCCTGGAGATGATGTTGGTAGCACTTTGAAGCTTCCAGAATTTTCTTAAGGCTTCACAAACTCCTTCCCTCATTCCCTATGCCTAAGGTGAATAAAATTGATGCAGGTAAACCTAAGATAAATAAAAATGAAGTTAAGTTAATAGCAGTGGGCAATTTAGCAAGAGAACTATAACCAGTATTGTTTGTGAACAATTCCCCATTTTTTTCTTTTGATTTCAAGAGCTCCATTTTTCTTAAATCAAAGTGTGACTATATAGGGGCCTGAGATTAAGGTGTGAGCCTACAGAAAGGGGTTCAAAGCACCTACTTGGTATATGTTAGTGAAATCGATAGATCAGAAGCACAAAAAGAGTATTTATCATTCCACATGGTCTGAAACAAGACACAAAGCTAGAAGTCCCCCATATAAAGGTTTGGGGTTAAAGCATTTCTATGTCTGTGCCAACAAGGAGAACTTCCAAGTATAGCCATGGCCATAGGGTGTGACTGGTAAAAGATCTGGGCATCTTGGATTCAAAGATCTTATCATTGCTCACAGAAAGCCCTTGTACATGTCTGGCTTTGGGCCAGGGCAGGTTAGCCTAACCATCAACAACCTTCCTAATCATCACCAGTAAACTGGGAAATTATCCACTGGGATAGACACAGAGTGCTCTAGGGAGAGATGGTAGAGCAAATACCAAGAGAACAACTCATTTGACATATAGACAACCAACTATCTCGTGCACAATTAGTAATTAAAATTCTCTCTCAAGACCCATGTAACCTGGCGAGTTATTGGGTCAATAATATACCATGTGTGAAAATATGAAAATCATCACAAAAGAGCATGATGATGGAGGCTCCATACCTCAGTTTAGCATTTTCTAGCTATGTTGACTCAGATCAAATGTAGTACAATCAGGAAAAAAAGGATGGATAACAATAACTGTAATGACGGTCACAGGAAAATAGCAAATACGTAGGATGAGGGAAGTTACTTTTTCTTCTTGATGAACTCACAGACAAAGTACATGGTAAGATGGCACTCTGTGTCATTCCATCTGCCAGAGCTCAGCATCTCCACACAGTCCTCATGACCATAGGGGTCGCTGGGTTCCCCCTCATTCCAGTTGCTATAGTTCTGCAGTGGAGTGTTGTCTGTGAACATGTACTGTCCCTCCCTTTCAAGGTCATTCACGCCAATGAACACCCGAAAGAAGCCACTCTTGGCAACATAGTCAGCGATGAGTGTGTTGGCAGCTTCATCCTTGGGCATGGCTAGCATTCCACCCCGAATCCTGCAGTGGGTTAGGGATTCCCTGTAGTTCTTCTCTTCCTGCACGATGTAGTAGAATTTCTCTTCAGTTTCCCTAATCCCTGCTATCACTGCAGGGAGAGAAAAAGGAGTATCATTACGTATCTCAAAAAGATAAAAG
Source organism: Homo sapiens (assembly GCF_000001405.40). Classification (NCBI taxonomy): domain Eukaryota; kingdom Metazoa; phylum Chordata; class Mammalia; order Primates; family Hominidae; genus Homo; species Homo sapiens. The sequence goes on along the minus strand of NC_000008.11, from coordinate 119,105,749 downwards.
GCAACAAAATTATATGATATTGCCAGATTTACATTTATTTATTCAATATTCAAGAATTATTTTTCAAAGCCCTATTATGAGGTAGTCACAGATTTAATTACCCCCACCTCTAGTTAGCAAATAGAGAACACATATCTACCGTTTGTTCTCCCTTCCTTTTCTCCTCAACTTCTCACACACCTGGCCAGCACAAAGTTGACAAAGACATGTTACATGAACTTTCAGCCAGCCCATCTCATACTATATTTCCCAACATAGTTTATGCTTTAGCTATACTGGTGGCTACATGAGCAGGCCCTTTTCTCTTATACTTCCAAGCCTTTTATGCCTAGAAAGTCTTTTCTACCTGGTAAACTTCTACTCATCCCTTTAGATCTCAGTGGAAATATTTTCCCCTATAAGAAGTCTTTCCAATGCCCTTGGATAGACATGGCAGTCACTCTCCCGAGTTTCCATTGCCCCTTTCACTTCCTCCTTCTAGCACTCAACACATTTTAGTCTCATCGTTTGCCTGCATTTCTCTCCTACTTACCTGTGAATGTCTTAAGGACAATGACCATGTCTTTGACACTCTTTGGCTTCAGTGCCTGGAATACTTATGGGAATGGTAAATGCTTATTGAAATGATGCAGGAATAATACAGATGTTTGTCCACATTGGACCAAATTCCTGGGCTGTGAACATGTACATGAATTGGGATTGTCCATATTTCATCCCAGGTACAAGAGGAAGACTGAGCTACTGAGTTAGCTTCAGGACAGAACTGGAGACTGAGAATCACCCTTCTCTCATAATATGGCATGTATGTTTTGGGTGTCAGCGGCCTCTACATAGGCATTTTAGGATCCATAACTTTAATTCACAAATAAATCTATGACCACTAAAATGTTCAGAACTATTGCTCTATGTTCTCCCTGTATGATCTGGCTTATTCATGACAGTCTAAGTCATATCAGAGACAGAATCTTCAGTACAGATTACAACCAAAGTTATAATTAGTGTGGTTAGTTAATATCAAGTATTTCCTTTGCCTCTAGTGTTACAAGATGAGGATGAACACGAGACAGCATCTATGTGATTCCAACAATGTACAGCAAATATTGCTGAGTTACAATAAATGAAAGTATAAGAAAAAGAAACCAATTTTAACTGTAATTATAATAGTTACCTTATTAATACTGTCTCAGAAAATACATAAGCCCTTTCCACTTCAAGGGCTTTTCTGATAACTAGCATTAAAAAATGGACAAGGGATAACAAAAATGACCAGTATTGGAAGTTGGAAAACAGATAAACACATTATGTTTGTATTGTGGATAGAGGAGTCAGAGAAGCTTGTACTACATTCCTGCTCTACTGCTCATTAGGTCTGTATCTATGGGCAAGGTACTTCCTCTAAGCTTTAGTTATCATAGTAACTACATACTACATAAACAATTATGTAAACTCAGTGAGATAATGCTAGTAGTTGTGCACTATTCCATGCACTCAAGAAAGCAGTTATTGTTATTATTACCTCTATTTTCTGAGATGCTAGTTCTGTGTGACTCTTACTGTCTCTTTTTATTCTTACAGCATAGCTTGCCACACTCTGCTCTTTTCTCCATTCCCCTCACCTAAGAAAGTCTTTCTCTTCCCATAAGCAATGCACATACATATAAATATATGTAGCAGACTTGAGGTGTCCTAGGGGAGTCTTAGTGGATAATTAGCAATTTGGGAGACCCTTAAACTGGTGACACTATCTCAATAGCCCTTTGTCCAACTCAAGATATTTCCATCTAAGAGTACTGGAATTGTAGTGTTGATGGAGATCTATCAATAGATACATAACACAAAAGAGAATATGCTCACCATTCTTGACAAACTTCATAGATGTCTTGAGCCGAGCAATACTAATATCCAGTTGTCCAACAAATTTCCGGTATCTTCCACAATCACAGACAGTACCTTTTAAATGACAAAAACTGTGAATTCATGTTGAAGTACCTGCAGACCAGTGGAAAGGAACATTTGCTCTCTTTCCAATATTCACTATCTTTTTCTAGTCTGGTTCTATATATCTGTGAATGGCTATACTTTAAATCTTTTATTTAAAATAAGGTTTCCAATTTACATTATTTATAGAATTTCAGAAAATATCTTGTAAATGTTTTGAATGAACTATAAGACAATTCTAAACTAGATTATTAAAAAGAAGAATATATATGACAACCACTGCATACACATTTTGGACCATTTGGCATTTTTTTTTTGTTGAACACAGAATGTGTCTGCCCAATCTCAGAATAAAATTTTTACAGCTTTCTTGAAACATATTTCCTGCCAGTGTTCTCTTGTGTTATTGCATTATTCAATAGATGACACAGTTTTTCTAAGACAGAAGAAACTTTTCATGATTAAATCAAATGTTAATTCTAATTATCCATTTAAAATACAGCTTGCATGTTTCAAGGACAAAGTTTGAATCATATAAATAGATTCAACTGAAGTTTGTAAAAGCCAGTTGCCCAGTTTGTGGATTAACTATGATTTTAATGTGTCTTTCATTCTTCTTTGCTCACCTAACTTTTCAACAACCTGCAAATATTGCTGTGACAGAGAGGGAATTACAAGGAAACCGATGTAAAATTCAAATGATTCTCTTTTTCTATTTAATGGCTGTTATACACAAACATTTCAATTTTTTTCCTTTGGTAGCTTGAAAATTAAAAATAATTTTATTAGCCAAAGGAAAAAAATCTATGGCCTTATGTATCCATATTCATATGAAATATGAAGAATGTCAAAAAGTTCTTAGAATTGTCTTCACCATACCTCTGTGGATAGAAACAATTGAAATTACCAAAGTACAATCTACTTTCTTTCCCTGTGTAAAGCACTGGGAATAAAGCTCCAGGACAATAACCCTAGAGAATCTCCGTGGCCATGGAAAGCATGTACTGTAACCAGGGGCCTGTCTGCATCTGGTCAGGCTGCTGCTGCACTCTGATGGCCAGTATTTGGTTGAGATGCTAGTGAAAGGCAAGGCATGGCATGCTGAGGCAGGGCTTACTGCCAGAGTTTTCTCTTGGCCCAGAAGAATTAGGCTGCTTCCTGATGGGCTGGGCTTTCTTCTCATAGTAAGCATGGCAGGGATGAAACGTGTCATCATCCCTGTCCCCAAGGCTTGGAAAGTCACCAGCAGGGAGACAGGAAAGTCCCCTTCTTCCCTTTCTTCTAGCCTGAGGAAAATAAGGTTAAGCATACTAAAAGGACTCTTGCTTTTCATTTGAAATATATTTATTTTTGAGATGAATAAACTTGGAATCATGCTAGAAATCAAAGAGAACATTGAACATATCGTACCTGCTTTGCCTTTTTCTCCAGGTATTCCAAGCAAACCTTTTTCCCCTTTGTCACCTGAAAAAAAACAATAGCAACCAAAATAAAATAAAATTAAAATAAAAGAAGAAAGGAAAAAAGGAAGGAAGGAAGGAAGGGAATGAAGGAAGGAAAAGAAGGAAGGAGGGAGGGAGGGAGGGAGGGAGGGAGGGAGGAAGGAGTGAATTTACATCTAGAGTCAAAGCAGTTTAAATTGTATTTGCAATATCTACAGCTAGTATCTCTAATATCTCTTGGTTTTTATAAATAATGTGATTTTCAATTGGCTACACAGGTGCAACTAATTAAATGAGTCATAATTTATTTAGATTGAATATAGAATTCCAGCAGGGTTTGTAAGAAGAATTTGAATTTGTGTAACCTGTCCTATTAACATTTTTTTTAATAACATGGCCTTCTGAACAAGGCTAATACAATTCTCAGCATGTTTTCAATTTTAAAACTACCATTGTTATGTGAATCTCGATCAATTTGTTAGCACACTGTAGTGTCTTTGTACTTATTATGCCCCAAGTTATTCCAAGTGGCTTTGCCCTTGGATTTCCAAAACAAAACAAAACAAAACAAAAAAACACATGTATTGTGCTTTTTCAACTTAATTAGACAAATATTTACTATTTGCTTACTCTATGAAAACCAAAAGGCTGGGTGCTTTGAAAGGATATACAGAAACATAAGATTCAACCTATGACTTGAAGGAGTTTACAATTTTTAGAAGTGAAGTGATGTATGCAAATACTAATAATACAAAGTCATGTCAAATATATTATACTGAAATAGCAACCTTGGTACTTTCCCTCTCTGTACTTCTTTATATGTAACCATTTTCTCACTCACAGGTATCCACAAAATAATTCTCAGAGAAGCAGGATTTTTAAAGCAGAGAGAAAGAATAAAACACGTTAATTTTTTTTCAACTTCAAAATAAGCTCTTGAAGCCCACATCAGACACAATAATTGAAAGCAAAAGCTTTTGATTTTCAGGAAGAAATGTTTGGCTGAGGTTCTTGAGAATCAAAAGGGAAGACCCTGACAGATTAAAATAGAGTTTATGCTTCAATAGTGATCTGGAAAAAAAGAAAAAGAACTCACGAGGGATGAATGCAGGATGAAGGTCACCTAGGCTAGGTATATGGAGCTTACCCTCACAGGAATGTGGTGTGGTCAGAGAATTAGTTATACGGCCCAAGGGGACAATGCAAAAGGGAATGGAGTTGGTATTAAGGTTCTGCCAAGCCTCACCGTTCACCAGCAACAGAGAAAAAGTGGAAGCCACTCTAAAACCTGTAGGGCGCCCCATGTTGCATGCGCTGAGGACACCCATTGGCTTTTCTCATCATTGTCTGATGTGTTTCTTTAAAAGTTCCTTACATAGTTACTTTTGATCATTCAGAAGAAGGCATGCCTGCTGGGGCCCCAAGGATTTGTTGAGCCTTTCTAAACTGAGCCATGTGGACACATTTCTTTAGAGTTGATGCCAGTCATTCACGTGCTCCCCAAACAGAAGGTGGGGGTCCTTGAAGTCCAGAATACAGTTTACATGTGCAGGAGGAAGGCTTGGAACTTGTACTTGGATGAAATGAGACAACGGTGAAATCTATACCAATGGAACGTGATACATGTTGTGAGAGAGACATTGAACAGAGAGATAACATAGTCTGAGAGGAAGGCAGAAGAGATAGTGCTTCAAGTGGAAGGGTAAAGGAAAGTTTAGCATTTGAGCTTCGCTATGAAAAGCTTCAGCAACTGAATGAAAGTGGGCACAAGGTCAGGTTCAAGGTACAGCAGAGGATATAGTTGGGATAAAGGCATGAGCATATGTCGAGCACCCTGCTCAGTAATATCAATCTGCTCACACCTTAGTTATATCCTGCAAATTCCTTATTTCTCTTACCTGTAAGTTGGAAAAAATAAGAATAGATTTTGAGATATTCATGGAAGAAAGGGAATATACATTTTACTAAGTACCAGTCAATCACCAAGTACTATTCGGGATACCTTACACATATTATCACATTAAATCTCATGAACTAAGTGTTATAATTATCTTTATCCTACAACTTGAAGAAATTGAGGATCAGAGAGGCAAAATAACTTGCTCGAGGACATCTAGCCATTAAATGGCAGTGCTGATATTCCAGCCCAACCATTTCTAACCCCCCTTTCATGGTGCTTCCCAGTGAGTTAACCAATGGTTTAATGAAAAAAAGCAAGGTGTTTGAAAAATGTTATCAAAATTTGCAAAGAATAGCAGTCCTCATCACCATCAAAAACATTATGCACTTAAAAGATTGTATGATTATGGGTTTAATGTTTTGATTTTTTAAAACATTATATTTTCTTTGCATGTGAATCCCTTTTAATTCAACACAGATGGAACGTTGATTCCAGTTATGCTATGATCCTAGTTCTGGGCTAAGCTTTAAAATGGACATAAAAGAAGCATAAATCAAGTGCCTTGGGAAAATGACGGGCTTTTAAGGAAAGCAAAACACACATAAGAGAACAAAGAGATGAGATACTATCATGTACTAACAGAGGGAAGCAAATGAAAAGCCTGGTAGAAATTCAGAAAAAGAAAAGATGGTGTGGATCAGAGTGGAGAAGGCTTCACTGAAGCAGTAGCCCTTAGCTAGAACTTAATAATATAGAAAACAGTTTCTTGAATTGCTATGTGGTCTTTTTTTCTGAGAAGACATAAACTCTGTGACTAGTTTTCAGTATTTTGACATGAATTCTTTTCATTTCATGACAAATGGGAACACCAAAGCAGTGTGGTGCAATGAAAGATGATGAAAGCTCCCCAAAACCAGGGTTTGAATCCTGGCTTTGCCACTTACTGGCTACACATGGACAGGTTACTTAATTTCTCTAAGCCTCCTTTTCTTTATCTTAAAAGTAGAAATAATTAGTACCTAAAATTATGAGATCATTAAGGAGAATAAATTAGGTATAGTAATATTTTCTTATAATCGGATCAGCACTGGGCTTGACTCACATAGAATGCTCAACCAATGTTAACTTCTGTTTCCTGAATCTGAGTTATGGTAAAGGAATGCATGCCAAGTACTTAGCCAGCTTATGGAAGATTTGAGCTTACAATGTCTATTTCCCCAAAACAAATTATGATTTAAAGTCATCCACAAAAACTGATTTTGGCCAATGAGTGGGAACATGTCTGTAATAACTGTCTAAAAGTTGAATTAGAGGTCACATTCAAACAAACAAACAAAAAAATCATAATGCTTTCAGCGTAAATGGATTATTGACCTTAAATAAAAACATTTATTTTGCTATGAGATGGAATTTACCTATACTAAATCACTATTATTTCTTATTCCTAAAATGAAATATTGACATCCAGGAAGCTACCCTATCCATGCAAGTGACAACATTAAGGCCAGCCTAGAAAGTTGAGATTAATCTGAGTCAGTAAAATATTCAGAAAGACAATCACCAAAATGAGGACAATAAATTTCAAAGTACAGATTAAAAATGAAATTAATCCGAGTGAGACGGAACATTGCATCTCCATTTAAAAAGATTCCAGGACATGCTCATAAATTTGATGGCATATCTCTGGAGAGGAAGAAAATCTTAATAGCTAATGGTGGAAATTGATATTAAGGAAAAGTGGTACTTATAGGAATATGGAGTAGTAAAGAGAAACAAGTTGTAAGAAATAATATGTTTTATTATGCAGTTTTTCATGTTTAATGCAACAAACATCTAGCAAGTGTCTATAATATATAATAGGCATTAAGATAAAATGGTTAAATACTAGGGTCCCAACAGAGCTTATTTTATTTAAACAAACAAATCCAGTGAACCTTTCATTCATTTGTTCTCCCAAGAAGTTCAGGTCTATGAGGGGAAACAGATAAGCTAATCAGATATGACAGTGAGTACAGTGATACAGGTATGTATTAGGTGCTATGTACCTGAGCCTTAAAGGAGGAATTAGCATGAAGGAAATAAGGTTAGTTAATCCTATCATTTCAAGACTGGTACTTTTTCAACATCTCTGGAAGTTCATCCACTTTGGGGCTCAGCTAATCGTACTAAAAACTCTTGAGCCTTTCTTGTCTTCGTCATCTACTATGCTCCCACCTTACATAGTCTTATTTTATTCAAGGGTTAAGACTGTGCTTAAGATCCTTAGCTTTAACTCTTCTAGATGGTATCCCATCAAGACTTACACATCTAAATCTAGGGAAGTGCAAAATCTAGAATGACCATTAAAAAATGAAGTTCACTGCTCTCAAAAATATAGCCTAAGAAACAATAACTTTAATCTGGGGAGTTATTGTTTACTGGGTACAGAGCTTCAGTTCTGGAAGTTGAAAAGAGTTCTGGAGGTGGAGGGAGGTGATATTTGCACAGCAATGTGAAAGTACTTAGTGCCATTGAACTGTACACTTAAAAATAGTTAAGATGGCTAAGGTTATGTTGTGTATGTTTCACTGCAATTAAAAAATGTTACTTATCTAAAAAAAAAAAGTTCTTCAATTCTGGACTTATTCATGGCAGCGACTTACCCTCTCCCTCCACTTCTGCTACCTCTGCAGAGCAATACGAGCAATACATGAGATCTTAATCACATTTAGCATAGCTGCATCTCAGAAATTTTGAAGTCCAACATCCCACTTTCCTGCTATACCTTTCTGTCTTTAACCAGTGGTTTAACGAAGTTGATACAGATAGGGACAGATCCATGATGCATTTTATCTGAAGCTTATACAGTTTGAAGGGACTTCTTTAAAAAAAGATACAAAATTAAAAATGGAAAAGTGGTTGTAAAAATGAATATGTATCATAAGAAATAAAAACAAATCACTAAATTTTAAAAGTAGGTCAATTGCACATTACAAAATTCACTAAACATTATAATATTTTCGTCAATGAATGAATTATTGTGCCTTGAAAGTGCTTTTTTTCATAATAATTAGCTATGTATGTTTGGCTGCATTCATATTGCTGTTTTATCTGTCCACAAATTTCTAATATCATTTTTAAGAATGATAGAGGGATAACGTAGTCAGATAATACTCTTTCGCTTAGCACAGTTAACCAAAAATTATTTTATTAAACTTTGCTTACTGAAAAAAAAACACAAAGAAAAGTTTGTCAACACAAAGATTCAGCTTGATGACTTTTTACAGAATAAAATACCTGTGTAAACAATACCTAGATCCTCAAGAAGCCACTTTTGTGTCATCTACAGATTATTACAGCCCTCCTTTCTAAAGATCACCATACTGACTTAGAACTGTGTTACAAGTTTTCAAGCTATAAATTTTTCATGTTGTTGAAATTTCTATAAATAGAACCATTTGGCATATAGTTTTTTTCTGTATAGAATATTTTCCCCAATACTGTGTCCATATATTCATTCATTTTTTGCATATTGAGATAGTATATTTATTTCCATGGTATAGTGAAGCAAAGTATAAGAGTTTCAGTTGTTCTGCATCCTTACCAACACTAGATATTGTCAGTCATTTTTATTTTAGCCATTTTGGTTAGTATGCAGTACTATCATAGTTTAGTCAAATATGTTCTTTTGTTAAGTGACTATTCTTTTGACCTTTTTTATTTCTTTGGGTTATCAGTTATTTTTCTTAGTGATTTGTATAATCTCTTTATATGTTTTACATGTAAGCCCTTTATTGAATACAAAGGTAGCACATAGCCAATTCTGTGGTTTCCTTTTTTGTTCTCTGAGAAGTATCTTTTAATGAATAGAAGTTCTTTATTTTATTTTATTTTATTTTTGAGATGCAGTCTCACTCTGTCGCCCAAGCTGGAGGGCAGTGGTGTGATCTTTGCTCACTGCAATCTCCGCCTCCCTGGTTCAAGTGATTCTCCCACCTCAGGCTCCCAAGTAGCTGGGATTACAGGCATGTGTCACCACACCCAGCTAATTTTGCATTTTTAGTAGAGATGGGGTTTCGCCATGCTGGCTAGGCTGGTCTCGAATTCCCGATCTCAGGTGACCTACATGCCTTGGCTTCCCAAAGTGCTGGGAGTACAGGCGTCAGCTACTGTACCTGGCCAGAAGTTCTTTATTTTGATAGACTTCAATTTGTTAGTTTTTCTTACATGGTTAGTCTTTGTCATATCCTGTTTAAAAACGTGTTGGCTACCCTAGGATCAAAAATATAGACTTCTATATTAACTTCCAGAGGCATTATTGCTTCACCTTTCAAATTTAGGTCTCTCAGATTTGGGTTTACCACCAAATTTAGATCTATAAACCATTGATTTTAGGTACAGTGTTAAGTATGGGATCGAGATTATTATTTTTATACATGAATAGCCAATAACTCAGTACTATATATTGATTAGCTTGTGAATTCTATTACAAAATAGTGTCAACTTTGCATAAATCAAGTTTGGTAGTGTGTTTCTGGACTCTTCCCTTAATTCATTTGTCTATCTCTTCATGAAATTACACTATTCTAATGGTTTAGTTTCCTAATAAATGTATAAACTCAAACTCAGTAATTTAAGTCTTCTACCTTTGTTTTATTTTTCATTTTTTCAAAATTGTCTTGGGTATTTTTGGTCATTTTCATTTACACATATATTTTGAATTGGCTTATCAATTTCTAAAAGAACACTTCTGGGATTTATTTGTTTGTTTTGCTTTGTTTTTTGTTTTGAGATAGAATCTCACTCTGTTGCCCAGGTTGGAGTGCAGTGCTGGGATCTCAGCTCACTGCAACCTCTACCTCCCAGGCTCAAGCAATTCTCCCACCTCAGTCTTCCAAGTAGCTAGGATTACAGGCATGCACTACCATGCCAGGCTAATTTTTGTATGTTTAGTAGAGACGGGGTTTCATCATGTGGCTAGGCTGGTCTCAAACTCCAGACCTCAGGTGATCCATCCACCTCGGCCCCCCGAAGTGCTAGGATTAAAAGCATGAGCCACCGTGCCTGGCCCACTTCTGGGATTTTGACTGAGGTAGCATTGAGTCGATGGATCAATCTGGGAAAGAACTGGCATATTAACAATATTGAGTCTCTCAACCCAGTAACATAGTTTTACCTTCATTACCTTAGATATTCTTTAATTTCTTGTCCATTATGTGTAGTTTATTGTGGAGGGCTTATAACTTTTGTTGGATTTATTTTTACATATTTACTTATTTTGACACTATTATAAATGGTCTCTTTTTAAATTGTTTCTATGTGGAAACAAAATTGATTTTTGTATGTCAAGCCATCTGAAAAACTTATCAATACAAATAGATTATCTATAGATTATTTTGTACTAGGTATGCAATCATGTTCTCCACAAATAACGCTCATATTCCTTTATTTTCAATTATTATGATTTTTATTTTTCTTCCATTTTTTGCTGTGATTAGAACCTCATGCATAATGTTGATTAGAATTGCTGATAGAGGGCTGTGCTAATTTCATTCCCAGTCTCAGGAGATAAAGTGTTCAGTATTTTATTATGGAGTATCATTTTTAAGTAGATTTTTGTTGTTGTTGGTATTCCTTTTCAAATTATGTTTCCTTCTATTTCTAATTTGCTAACAGTTTTTAAAAACATGAATAGGTATAGGTTTAATTAAGTGTTTTCTGGAGTAGTATTTCTGGAGTTCTAACTGGGAATATGGGGGCATTTCCTGGGCCATTCCTCTTTGACAGGCCTTGCATATCAATCCAGTTTCAGCAACTTTCTGCTCAAGCCTCTTAGCCACTTAGGGCTGCCCCACTTATGAACTGGTGGATGACTTGGGAGGAAGGTAGTACAGAATTCATCACTTGCCTTAGTATGATTCCCTTCTCCTCCAGATCATGGCCCCTAAAGTTCTGTTCATTTTGGTTGCACTGTCATACCTTCAGATATGTATTTAAATATTTTTTTGGACCCAGCTAGTCGTACTTAGCAGAAGGATTAATGTAAGACAGGCAAATCCTCATGGCCTGTAGCAGAAGTCTGAATTTTGTCTTTATTAGTAGTAGTGTCAGATTTTTCTTTCACCATTACAACTTGTTATTGGTGTTATATGTAAATTAATAATATTGTCAATTTTGAGACTATACCTCTATAAAGTAGTTTTCATATATAAGCTGTTAGATTTGGAAACTTTTTTTTCCACAGACTAGCTCTGGCCCTGTATATTTCAAACATTGCTTCTTTTCCACAGCCCACACATTTCGTGGGCTGGATGCCCCGGGACTCATTGATATGATGATCCGACCTCTGACTCAGCACTTTTGCATCCTGGCTTTGGATAGAGCTACATAGTAAGTGGTAGGAGTATTCTTGGAAACTATTTCTGCATTGGAATTGCTAGCAATAAGTATACATGGAAGTCACATCAAATTACATAAAGATATCTCATTAACTCCAAACTAAATGTTTCTCCCTCAAGCTCCTCTTAGCTAGCTCCCAAGATTCTTGTATCCACTCCAAAACTGCCCAGTACAAGAAGGATGTTGAGGGAAACTGGAGCAGGAGAGAGAAATCTTAACCTGTGCATTTTCAATGGGGAAATATCACTTAAGGACGCACAAATTAGTTTTTAGGAGGTGGAATTGTACTCTTTTAAAAATATATAAAGCACAAACATACACAGAATACCTAAACAAATATATCATCCATGGGTGGTATTAAAAATTCATGGGGAAAGGCAATTAGAAAAGAAATATGTCTTAAAAGCCTTGTTAGGGGAGTAGTATCTTTAAAAAATGTTAAGAAGCACTATTTTAATCATTTGAGGTGAATCTGTCTTACTTTACAAATTTTATCGAGGTATATGGCCATGTGAACCCATTGCTGTGGCTTTTATCAGCATCTTGGGAAGGACTGAAACACATGAGGACTCTTCATGGTAAAACCATCACAGACACACACTGCAGCAGGACTTCTGAACCATGGGAAGCTCATATTGCTCTTCCCCAGCTATTAAGGATTTCAACCACAAGGAAATACACAATATAACCCACCAGATCTGAGACACCCATAGCAATTTCTCTTCAGTGGCACTGCCCTTCATCCCTGCCTCCGAATGCAGGCTGAAGGGAATTTCTCAAATGAGTGAGTTGGAAAGTGGAGAAAGAGGGAGTACTGAGCCACAGGATGAGAAGAGAGAGGCCACAGCCTAAGCTCAGACCACAGTCTGTCAACCTGCCTGCAGGGACATACTGCTGGACAAGTGAGCCACATGCTTAATTATGCAGCTGCTCAAGCATTTACAAAAAGATGGAGGGTACATCAAGGCTACAGAAATTATATTACCCATGGGATTAAGCTTCCCCTAATCTTTTTTGTACAAGCATCTCTTGCATCTCTCTCTAGTGCCTTTTGCCTATTTCCATAATGTTACTATTCTTCAAGACCTAGGTCTGTTCTTTCGCATATCAGTCTTGCTGCTTACTCTCCAACATGAGTCCTGGAGTAGTCATGTTATTCAGTATTATAATTCTTTTTTTTTTCTTTGAGATGGAATCTCACTCTATCTCCCAAGCTGGAGTGCAGTGACATGATCTTGGCTCAATGCAAACTCCGCCTCCCAGGTTCAAGCGATTCTTGTACCTTAGCCTCCCCAGTAGTGGGGATTACAGGCGTGCACCACCACACCCAGTTAATTTTTGTATTTTTAGTAGAGATGGGGTTTTGCTATCTTGGCCAGGCTTGTCTCAAACTCCTGACCTCAGGTGATCCACCCATCTCAGCCCCCTAAAGTGTTGGGATTACAGGTGTGAGCCACTGCATCCGGCCTCTAATTCTTTTTAAGAAAGTTCTATCTTCCTGAATAGTCTATGAATGTCTTGCAATAAAATTTTATGTTCATTCAGTTTTGTATCTCTAAGTAAAACAATGCTTGCTTAAATTACTGAATATCAGGAGCAATTAGAACCTGCTACCATTGTGGGGCTTTCTGAGAGGAGGACAGGGAAGGAATGCTTAGACAATACAGAGGAGACTATCTCTGTTTTCTAATATTCAGGCTTTAATGATGTATAAGATCAGGGCCAGGTGTGATGGCTCATGCCTGTAATCCCAGCATATTGGGAGGCCAAGGCGGGCAGATCACCTGAGGTCAGAAGATCGAGACCATCTTGGCTAGCACAGAGAAACCCCTGTCTCTACTAAAAATACAAAAAATCAGCTGGGCGTGGTGGTGGGCATCTGTAGTCCCAGCTACTCGGGTGGCTGATGCAGGAGAATTGCTTGAACCCGGGAGGCAGAGGTTGCAGTAAGCCGAGATCCCACCACTGCACTCCAGCCTGGGTGACAGAGCAAGACTCCATCTCAAAAAAAAAAAAAAAAAAAAATTAGGACAAGACTGAAAACAAGTGGGTATCCACATATATGCTCCAAGTTTCTATCCTGTTAATAGATCATAGGCACAGAATTTTTGGTTAATCCACTCAGATTAAAAAAGAAAATTTTACTGTCCTCTGCCTATTTTGTATTTTATTAATAATCATGTATCATTTTGATCATAGCAAGGATTTGTAGCCAACAAGTAGATCCCAGGAGATAATTCAACATAAAGACTATCAGACCTTGATGCTTGATTCTGTTTCTGCCATCTTGTTTCATTTTATTCTAGGTATTTCTTTTTTTGAGCTGTGAGATATATTGCTTATATATGGAAGAAAGAGACAAACTATGAAGACAGACAGAATTATTAATTTAAAAGAAGGAAAAGGAGATATTTTCATGATACAAAACCTTAAAATGATTAAGGGTATCCTCAATTTTCTTTCTTTCTTTCTTTCTTTCTTTCTTTCTTTCTTTCTCTCTCTCTCTCTCTCTCTCTCTTTCTTTCTTTCTTTCTTTCGAGACAGGGTCTTACTGTGTCACCCAGGCTGGATTGCAGTGGTGTGATCATGGTTCACTGCAGACTCAAACTTATGGGCTCAAACGATCCTCCTACCTCAGCCTCCTATGTAGCTGGGACTATAGGTATGTGCCACCATGCCCAGCTAATTCATTTTTTTTTTTTTTTTGGTAGAGATTGGGTCTTGCTGTGTTGTGCAGGCTGGTTTTGAATTCTTGGCTTCAAGGTATCCTCCCACCTCGGTCTCTGAGTGTTGGGATTACTGGTGTGAGCCATCGTACCCGGCCTCAATTTGCTTTGAATTGCTACTGGAGAATAGTAAGATGCAACTTACCCTTCTTCCCAATGGGCCCAGTCTTGCCAATATTGCCCTGATCTCCCATATCACCCAGTTCTCCTTTAATTCCTGAAAAGCAAACATGTTATCTTTTTATCATAAGGTTTTATCTTCCCTTGAAATGTGGCTAATGTGATATTCACTTGAAAGAAATACCAACAAGTATATTCTTCTACCAGTGATATCTAATATATATCCCATGCTATATTGTCTAGTTTAACAGACTTATAATGTATGTATTAAAATTAAAATGTGAGTGAGTATGAATATATACTACGGACATGATGATATTAAAATACTTGCTGATGTAGTATTTCTAGAATGACTATGGCAGAGGATGTTTAAAAGAAAGGTTAGAGAAGGGCCAGGTGAAAGTATTCTTGACTCGATTCTGGTTTTGTTCTTCTTTAGCTCTATTTTGTCTTCCTTCTGGAATTCTATTTCTTCTCTCTTTTAAAACAAGATTTAACAATTGTGCCACTTAAAAACAGGGCGGGGAACATGCAGTCATAAAACCTAATGATCAAAGAAACATCAGACATGGTCCTGCTGAGTTTTCATTCAAAAAACTATGGTTAGGAATCACTGAGCTCTTCCAATGCTATTTCTTTTTATAAAAGTCTAAAAAATATTTGCCAATTAAAAATCTTTATTTTGTAAGAATAATCTTGTAATCGACATGCATATGTATACATAGGTTTAAGTCAGCATTTCCCAAATTGAGGTCTCACAGGTCTGTGAGTCTCTCTTTCTTTTAAACTATTCAAGATTTTAAAATAAGTGGTCTAGGGCAGCCCTCTTGTAGCAGTTGGCAAGAAATATTTCAAGTGTTCAGAAGGTGCACACATACACATCACAACCTAGAAGTTATATTTTGGTGAGGCCAACTCCCAACTTTGTGAGTGAAGACACTTCCTAATCATATCTGTGTTACTCTCTTCATCTTTGATTCCACTCCTCCCGTACCCCACCATTTCTCCAGTGTGTTATTCTTTTGTATATAACAAAGGAGGGAATTAAAGAAATAAAGAGATCTTGGGGAAAGGTGAATAGATCAATGAATCAGGTAGCCCTTTTTGTTTCTTTTTATCTTCCTCCTTAAGCTCTATGCCAGCTTAAAAAAAAAATGCTGCTTAGCAGTGGCTTTAGAAGGGAGACACAGCTATGAACACAGCACTATAACACATCGTTTCTTAAATATTCTCAGACAGTGCTTTTCCCTGGGGCTCCCAGTGTCCCACACCAGCCAGCCCTAAAGAATGCAACTTGAGAAACATATGAGAGTCTTGTTGACAGGTAATCTCAGAGGGGCATTCAGATGGCGAGTTAATTCATGTGTGAAATATATTTCAGGCATTGTTGGGGCAGAGGGCATTATGAAAGCTGCTAATTTCCAGGGCAAGGGCCAGGAGAGATAGAAGAACAATTATGATATTAAAATGTCAGTTTCACATCATTTTAGTTACCTTTCGGCCCCATGCGTCCCACTTTGCCATGCTTTCCCTCTTCTCCTGGATCTCCTTTTTCACCATCATCTCCTTTTGAAACAGAAAATGAGATAGAGTGAAGCATCTCAAACAGTAACATGAGCACATTCTCCCAGGGTAAGGTGGACATGGTTACAATCTTTCCCTCAGCTCAGCGCTTGCCTCACAATCCAGCTGTGAGTATGGATGTATGTTCACATGCACTTGACAATCAGGTGAAAGGAAGAAACTTCCAGTATATTTTTTACTTTTCTCCACATCCAACTCTATGTTTGAAGAAATATTCTTGTTGCTGAATTGTGATGTTTGGCCTGACAAATCTTTATTCTTGCTGTAGAATCTAGCAAATTCTGGATGGACAATAAACATAAAATTTACACAAACACACACGCACACACACACACACAGAGGCACACATAACTTATTACTCTCTGACTGCATGCTTGAGAACTCCAAAATTGTAGGCATGACCTAGGAAGCTAAGAATAGGAGACTAGGAATGGAGAAGCCACAAAGCAGTTTTCCATGAGTGGCAACTGTCTTAATCATAGGCAACTGTAGCTCCAGCACCTTGAAGAATTAAAGATTGAATGAATGGTTTAATGAACAATGCCCAGACTGAGAATCAGGAGTCTTGGATTTTAATGCCATGTTAGTCACTGATGGTTTGAACAAATCTTCAACAGGCCGGTGATTGAGTTTATTGGCTTTGGACTAGGAGAGATTTGACTGAAGTCTCAGCTCCACCACTCACTATCTGGAGAAATTTGAGTACAGAACTTCCCTCTCTGAGTCTCACTTTTCTCTCCAGCAAATTGATCTGATAACACCTACTGGAGTGGGCTTTCAGGAAGTTCAAATGAGACAACAGACATAGAACACCTGGGATACAATCAGTGCTTAGCAATGATGGCTGCTGTTTTTCTTTCCTTTATGCTTCCTTTCCTAAATGTGGGGATAGTATCTGCTCTCCAGGCCTCACTCAGTTGTTTTCGGATCAACAAGGTGAGCACGTGAATGTGCTTTGAAAACAAAGAACACAACACACACGATATTATGACCAGATACCTGCATTATCACCACAGCAATCTCAGGGCATGAAAGAGCCCTGTCCATCAGCAGATGAAAGGAGGAAAATCAAAACCTTCTAAAGACAAAAATGAAGTTCTTGGGATGAGACAGTTTGAGCGAGAGTAACTTGTGATGTTCATTGATTTATCCAGGAAAAAACACGACCAGAGATTGTCTCTTTTTATTTTTTTCTGAGTGCAGAATGTTGAAATTTTAAGTGAAAGCAAGGACAATGTATGGAAGAGTTGGATTTCCAGGTGTGAGATTGATCAAACATTGAAATACTTTACAAGGGAAGCTATAGATGCCTCCTAGGATGGCTTTCAGAAAAGAATGCACAGGTGATATCTGTGGTCAGACCAGAGGTAAGAATTGAGTGAACTAGATGAAATTTTTTTCTTCTTCTTTCTTTCTTTTCTTTCTCTTTCTTTTTTCTTTCTCTCTCTCTTTCCCTCCCTCCCTCCTTCCCTTCCTTTCCTTCCCACTCTCCTTCCTTCCCACTATTCCTTCCTTCTCTCTCTTTTTCTCTCTTTCTGACAGTGTCTTTCTCTGTCACCCAGGCTGGAGTGCAGTGGTGTGAACACAGTTCATTGCAGCCTTAACCTCCTGGACTCAAGTGATCCTCCTGTAGATTACATTTTTCTAGCTAAAGTTAACAGTGAATGTCTATTGAGCAATTATAAAGTCAGCCAAGCACAAGCTAAGGACTTGACATCTAGTCATCATAGCAATTCTAGGAGATGGAAACTCGTATTGCTCTATTTCATGAATGAAAAAAAAATGAGACTATGTGGTTAAGTTGCTTGCCTATTGTCATAGAGCTTTTAGTAGTCAAATGAGGATTCCACAACATGTACGTTTCTATCCCTCTAGATTCATCATGGTATACCGTTGTCCCTTTTGGTCTAGGTTCTGTGACTCTTAGCAGATGGTGGATTTTACAGAATTTGGCACCGTGCCAAATTTTTCAGGGCAAAAAGGGGGGTTGCAGAAAGAAATATAGTTTTTGTTTCCTTTTAGGCAAGAAAGATAGTGGGAGAAAAGAAAAAAAACAGCTTATTACTTAATGACTTTATTCACAGGAAATGTATCCTTGGGATGGGGTAGCATAACTGAGACACCACTTTGCCATTCACTGAGGGACTTTGGGAAGTCCTTTAACTTATCTGAGCTTTTTTCCATGCATTCATAGAATAGACAAAAATTACACTTTTTTTCCAGAGGGTGTTTAGCAAAGGTAAAGCTAGAAAAGTATTTTCCTTCAGGGAGTCCTTTCTAATACTCCCAGACTGGGCTAAATTCTCCCTCTAATTACCTTTGTTGCTTAAAAATAACACTTTATACCAAATGTGTCGGTGTATTTCCACTTATCTCTTACATTTCCCTGTGACCCAAAGCATGGTGGGATCATAAGTGATTTTTTCTAGCATCTCCAGAATTTAGCACAGTGCCTGGCTCTGGTGTTTAATAAATGTAGTTGAACTGAATACACTTTGTGTGAACCATAAGACATTCTACAAATATAATAGCAGTATTTATCAAATAGTTTGTGCCAAAAATGTTCTTAGCACTTGACATACAATCTATCATTTGATCCCCACAGCAAGCTTTGAGATGGATACTATCCTTTGCTCCATTTTACAGAAAAGGAAATGGGGTCACAGAGAGGTTAAGTAACATCCAAGGTCACATAACTCATAAGTGGTAAAGCCAGGATTCAAACAGGGGCATTTGTCCTCCTAGCCCATGTTCTGAACAAGCTGGATGATTTAGAACAAATTCCTGCCTTAGCATTTCTGGGTCTTGGATTCCTCTTCTGTACAATGAGACTAATGATGCGCGTCCTGCTCATGAAAAGGCAAGATAAAAACAAGCATATATGTGAAGCCCTTTGAGAATCAAAATGCCACACAGATGTGAATTATTGGTGCCATTATTCTTTCTCCTTCCTTCTTCCCCTTCTATAAGCTTTCCCATTTGTTTTCAAGCAAATGTCTAACCAGAGGCAGCCGGGTGAGTGACTTAGTGATCTACTGCTCCCTGGTGGCTCTTGATGGAGATCTGGGAGGGTGAAATAGGATTATTTATTATCCTTCAACCCATGTGACTGCATCCCAGCCTGGTGGCCAAGCAGGCTTCTGGCACAGATGAAGTAAACAACTTGAGCCCTAGCCTTCAGCATGGGTCCTGGGTTTGTTTGATCTTTGGTACTTACTTTAATGAGAACTGAAGGGAGATGTAAAAGCAAGCTTTGGATAGGGACCCCCCCCACCTCCCCGCCGACCTGGCTCACAGTTGTTTGTTTTTGTATTTACTGGATGAGTAGGACAATTTACACTATTTTACTTCATTTAGAAATAGCCACTTGTATTTGAAAATTAAGTGAAAAGCTATAAACTGAAATAAGCTAATTTCAATTTTACAAAAATTATTTGCTTTGCTCACACCCACTCCCCAAGCCACCAGCAGAATTCCAACACAGCACACATTTGACCGCATTTTCTTAGATAGGACTTTTCCCCCTGCCCAATTAGCAAAATGTCTTTTAAAATTGAATTCTAGTTGGAATCCAGGCCAGTACCCTTTACTCAAAGGAAATACTTATTAAAAAGTAGTGAATTATTTTGGAGATGCTAAAATTAATTAATTAAAATCCTTTTCCCTTTGTCAAAACAATCTTATAGACTGGGGAGTTGTTGTTAGTAACCTTTCTCCTGATCAGCCTTAGAATTGAATGGGATAGACTGGGCATGGTGGATGACGCCTGTAATCTCAGCACTTTGGGAGGCCGAGGCGGGTGGATTGTTTGAAGTCAGGAGTTCAAGACCAGCCTGACCAACATGGTGAAACCCTGTCTCTACTAAGAATACAAAAATTAGCTGGGCCTGGTGGCAGGTGCCTGTAATCCCAGTTACTCAGGAGGCTGAGGCAGGAGATCGCTTGAACTCGGGAGGCAGAGGTTGCAGTTTGTGCCACTGCACCCCAGCCTGGTGATAGAGCGAGACTGCATCTCAACAGCAACAACAACAACAACAACAAAAAAAAAAAAAAAAAAAAAAAGAAGAAGAAGAAAGAAGAAGAAAGAAAAAATAAAGAATTGAATGGGATAGCTGGTATGTTGTGATTTCTTAACAAGGCAAGAACTCCTGCCTAAAATATATCCTTCCCACTCCTACTTACATCTTCTTCCCATCTATGCCAATTGCATCCTCATTCTTGGAAATTTCAGTAGTCATCAATTATGCCCCATACCTCTTACATACATGACATGTACCAGTAGAGTCATAAAACAAACCACTCCCTAGTACTTTTACTTCCCCAACCTCAACCTCATCACTTCACTGAAATCTTCAGGCCTCATTGGGACCTGCTATTGTTAGCCTTCTCCCCATTCATCCATTTTATCATTCCCTTGGTGCCTTCACCTACCCAACCTGCCTACTCCTGGCTATCCTGAATTCTTTCAAGTCAGCCACTTCTGCACAGCTTTCCCTAAGGCAAAGAGAGTGCACTGCCTTGGTTAAGAGTACTCTGAAACAAGCCATTTCATTTCTTCCAATCTCAGTTTTCTCATCCAAAATGGAGAGAATAATCCCAACCTCATAGGATTGCTGTGGATTAATGGAGACAGTGGATGAAAAGTGTTCAACACCATGCCTGTCTCATTTGGTAAACTCATCAGTGTCTGCTTTAATGAGAATAGAAGTAGATAAGTGATTATTTCTTAGTATTCACTACCTCAATCTCTATTATATAATCATTACTTACTCTTTTACTTGGCTGTGTTTTTTTTACCCTTTATTGTAAAACTTTTCACATAATTAAAGATAAAAACCCATTACTGAGATTTACCAATTAGCACATTGTCATTGCTTCATGTATTTATTTTTGCTATATTTTTTAAAAAAGTAAATTATAGACATGAACATATCTCCCTTAAGTACTTCAGTAAGTGTTTTTAAAGGGTAAGAACAAACTCCTATATAAACATATTATCATTATATCAATCTTGCTTTTTAAAGGGCTGTAGGCATTTGAAAAAGTCACCTTGATAGAGTTCTGTGATCTTGTTCATCTCAAGCCCACACTGCTGTGCTATATACAATCTCATACAAGGAAGAAATGAGTAGTTAGAAGAGAAGTAGACATTCAGAGGAGTAAGCCTAAGTCCTTTGAAAACAAATCATGACAAATAATTCCATTTTCTCTTCTGAAAGAACTGATAGATCAAGAAACTGACTTGGACAGAGTGGTTGGAAGAAGAAAAATTTCCACTGGTGATTCACAGAAGGGAGTAATTCCTGGAAAGGTGGGATGACGTATTGATGAAGCCCAGGGGAGGGTCCTGACCTTGCATATTCAGGCGTCAAATCTTAATCACATTGCTTATCAGCTCTGTGAACTTAGCTATGATATTTAAACTCTCAGTGCTCCCATTTTCTTATCTATAATTGGAAATAACTAGAGTGCTTACCTGTTCTAGAGTCTCCCATCCTGGGGGTGGCTCCCTCACTCTGAGACCCATACTACTTTGATTCACTTTAATAGCTTTGTGATGGAAATTTAGGGGAAGCTTTCTTTGTATGTCTTTTAATAAAAACATAAAAAGCAAGCAAGCATGGATTTTGAATGAAGACTAATTTGTAGACATTATACGTTTGCAACCATCATTGTCATGAGGCAGGTTATCTGTGGAAAAGGGAGGCCCAGACCCTGGCAACGTTGCTCTGAAAGCTCAGTACAATGGACAAAATAGGAATTTTATAGTCACACATACTTAGGCTCAACTCCTGAATTTACTATATAACAGCTATTTAATCTTATACTAAATAATTTATACTTACATTTTAACGTAATATACTGAATTTAATAAATTATTTAATTTTAATTAATTTTATTAAGTAATTTGTCAAATTATTTGATAAATTATTTAAACTTACATTAAATCTTATACTAAATAATTAACCTTCCTGCTTTAGTTTCCTATCCGGGAAAATGGGGATGATGACCCTTTTCTCATGGAGTTACCTAAAGATTAAGTAAGATTATGGGTAAAATTCATCAAAGAGCTGCTTGCATGGAATGTGCTCTCACTGATGCATAAATATTGCAAGCATACTGAGCATTTTTTGCTTTCATTTTCTTGGTATCCACTCCCTGGGCTTCAGTTAACAGCTCCACAGTTTTCTGCAGGAAATCACACTTACTCATTCTCAATCCATATGGTTTAGACCGTATCCACAGTAATTCATTCAGCAATTCACATGTGACCCAATAAGAGCCCACAAGTCTCATTTTGAGGATTTTATTTAGAACTTTCAAAAATGGAGACTTGCTCTTTCTGCAGGAGTCTCAGAGAGGATAGACTATCATTGAAGAATCCGAATCTATTTTGACACCATTAAGAGAGAACCCACATTACAGTCATTACAGGGGAAAGCAGAATGGTGTGAAGACTCATCCCAGAACACGTGACTTGAGCAGCTGGACCTAACTCAGATTGAATCCCTTCCTGTTACATGGGTCTATGAATTCCCCTGCTTTTCTCTGTGTGTTTGGTTGACGAGTGTAAGTTTGGTTTGTGTTGACCTCTTTCACTTGCAAACACAAGTTTCTTTACTAGTACAAACACTAGATAATGATTATGAGAGGTTCCTTCCCAGGAAGAGGTCAAAGCCTCAGGAGAAGATGGACAAAGAAGCAGATAATTACTGTGAGAAATGCTGACAGTCGCTGCTGTGGGAGCACAAAGGAGGAAACACCTAACCCTACCTGCCCACACTTCAAACTCTCCACTATTCTTTGTCAGAAAGAAGTAAATAGGATCCTTTAGACTGAGCTCCACCAGAATAAACTTACACTGTAAGGTAAATACAAAGAAAATAAGCTAAAATACAAATTGTCCTTATATGAGGGCAGGCTGGTGCTAAAATGTCTTCGCCAATGAAATATTATGTGGATTTTTGTCTTCTGTTGAACTTCTTGTACCTCGTCAGTTCAGCTCATGTGCTACCTCCTCTCCCAAGGAGTCCTCTCAGTACAGATTTTCCTGCCTCCATCTCCGTCTTCAATGGTCAGAACTAAACTAACTCCCTGGAGGGAAATCCCCTCTCACTTTATAGTGTCCTATTGCATTGTGTCATAGGTGATAAGACAGGTCAGGGATGATAGACTGTATTCCTAGCACTTGGCACAGAGTCTGAGAAGCAGTAAATAGGTGATTGCTCAATAATTGTTTTCAAAATAAAAGGAGTAACATCCTTAAAGACAAGGTAGATAAATGTGAGCTTAATGACAATACAGTCAAATGAGTTTGTAATTGATTGAAATGTCTTTCTCAATAATGGCTGATTAATGGATTGACTCCAGCCTGCTGGGAGGTCTGTGCTGATGGCCAATAATCTCATAAGGCAGCCCAGGTGGCAAATACACACACCACTGCCTCTACTGCTTCTGTCCACTCCATATTCTTCTTTCTTCTTCTAATTTACCTTTGTCTCTCAATATTACAGTCATGCTCTAATTTCCAAGGCTCAGTACCCGAATCAGCTTCCTCACTCTCATCTTGATTCTTATCATATGTTCACTCTCTCTTTCTTTTTCCTCCCATCCCTGCTGCTGTTATTTTACATCTTCCTGTCTTTATGCTGTAACCATATTCCTTACAGGTGATTCCTAACGATTTTCATTGATGTATCTCAAGTGCCTAGAATAGTGTCTGTTCAATAAATTGTTCTTGAAATATTGGTTTCCTTGAATCTGAACTTCACTTTTCCCAACTATCTTGCAAATTAATCTTTATTAAATCATATTTCCACCATTCTACTATCCAATTCAAAATGTTTCAACAGTTCTGTGTTTATAGGCCACTTCAAAGTAATTAGTCTAGTATGTGAACCTTCACAGGCTGGCATCAGTGGAACTTTCCCATATTATTTTCTGACATTCTGATAAATGGCTCATTTAATTTATATACACTCATTACAACCCAGGAGTTTCTCTGCTGCACAACCTTCTATTCCTGTCCAACCTGTTCATTCATTGTTCATCAAAATGTCTTTCAGTTCCTGCCTCCATCGAAAAACATTTTTTTCATTTTCAATTAATCTGTTTAGAGAAGAATCTAAAAGTCATAAAAGGAAAGATAGACATATATAGCATATGAGAAATTCAAAGAGATATAAATACGCAAAGTTTATAAACGAATGATAAGGGAGAAAAACACTAAGGCATAAAAAATTAGTAATATTTTTAATATGCAAAGAGCTTTTGAAAATTGATTTGCAAAAAGGACAATAAAATAAAAATATCTAAAAATATAAGCAATAAATAATAGATGAAAATGTCCAGATTATTAGAGAAATATATGTATGTATAAGTCTGTATCATATTTCATCATCAGATTCACATCCAAAGATGCTGTAAATGCAGATAGCTGAATGTTATCATTCATTGTTCTTGGCTATGTAAATTGCTACAACATTTCTGGAAAATAATAGTCAATAATGATTAAAATAAAGAACATGCATACCCTAATTTGCCTTAGGCAACCTATTTTATAGGAGTAACAGTAAAAACAAATGGATAAATAAGAATGTTTGTAGTGGCAAAAACAAAAACTGTAAACAAACAAAATGTATCATCATGGGACCGATTAAAAATAAAAGGATTACAGTAACATTACCATGATTAAAATTATATTCAAAATACAATATTATACTGATACTAAAAATAAGGAGTTAGCAAAAGCTCTTGGATATAGAGTGAGCTCCATGTTACATATAGAAAGTCTCTTAGGGAGTATTATATTTGTGTATGTATGACATCATTTAGAGAAGGAAGGAATAAATTAGAGAAAAGTATTAATACTAAGCTATTAATGATGTCTACGGGGGAGAAGAGGGTTCAGAGAGGGAAGGGTGATGGTAAAAAGAGATATCATTAGCTTTTTCTTTACATCTTCATTTTATACATCCTTACATAGGTTACATGTTACAACAAGCACAGAACCCTCTTGCAACATAAAACATAAATAATAAATGATGTAAATGGAACTATGGCTCTTTATCTCTTTATAAATCCTACCCACAAGTCCTGTCTCAAGTTAAATTCTAATTTCTCTGAATTTATTGATGGAGTTATATCCTTGATAATTCACCATCTGGTTCCTTGTTACTATTTTCTAATTGTTGCCTTGGAGTATTATTTAAATAATGCAATATTATTTAACTGTTTGTATTAATGTCAAATATTTAATTAAAGTGTAAGTTCCTTGTGATAAGAACAGATATTCTACACTTTGCTCTTGACTGTTGTCCAAAAACTCACAATTTTCTTACTTGTTTGTTCGTTGGCCAATTTTTACTGCATTTCTACTAGCTACCAAGCTGTGTTGTGTCCTAGCGATACAGGATTACCTTGGACAAGATATGATCTATGCCCAGAAGTTTGATGGGGTGGGAGGAGACACTGAACGCAGTCTTTCAAATGAGTAGGTTACAACTGGCATCCAACAAAGCAAGGCTTTGGAAAGATCAATGACACAGGAGTCAGGAGACTTGGCTTTTAACTCATCCTGTGTTGCTTTCTCCCCAAATGACAAGATAAAATATCGAAGGAGAAAACAAAATGAATAGTTTTCATTTTCAATATTAACATGCTAAACAAATGCAAGGAAACACAATATGTAAGGAAATTAATTTATCTAATAAAAATATCAATGTCAATATGGATAATCACTAACATTTATGGGGTGCTTACTAGAGTCCAAGCCAGGTCATTGATGGGTGTGATTATTATCTCAACTCACCCCTTAATTGTGCCCTATCAATTCCAGGGACCCATGAACTTCATTTCCCCTTCAGCTAGTTCCTCTGCAACCTAGCAAAGAAAACAACTGGGGATTTCAAGTATCCTACAGTCTCTCCTATCTGAATTACAAAGTATCTTTTTTTGTCGTTTTCAAGCTTATTTGGCTTAAAAAGAACGATCACTTGGAGCCTGCAATTATTTTGCAGTCATTGCATGTCTGAGTAAGTGGGTGGGGGTGGGAGGGTGGGAACTAACACTGTACTTAATGAAAAATGCAACATTAAGTTTTGTTAGGCAGGTTTCCTTCAGCCTTCACATATCATTCATTATTAAAATGCATTCTCAGTCAGGCCCATAGAAACAAAAACAAAGAGAAATCCCATCAATTCAGGACTAAGTGGCATGCTTCTGCAATGCAATGCAGTTGTTAAGAGCATAGGATCTGGGATCAAAGCGCTTGGTTCAAGTCCAGGCTCCATCACTGAAAGGGTATGGGACTTTAGCAACCCATTTAAATTCTTTAAGCCTCAGTTTGCTCATCAGCAAGTCAGAATAATGAAGTGCCTCCCTCACAGGGTTGCTGTGAGCAGTAAATGTGGTCATGCACATGAAGAGCTTAGAAGAGTGCTTAGAAGGTAGTGAGAGCTCCAGAATATTACATTATTACATTATGCCAGTAGCATCCAAGGGGCCATGAGGAATTTCTAGTCACTAGAAATGAAAGAGGTACAAGGAAGAGGACAAGGGGGAAGGAAGCCTTTATGAGACCTTACCCTGTCATGCAGATTTGCAACATCCTGGTTGGTGTGTGTGTGTGTGTGTGTGTGTGTGTGTGTGTGTGTGTGTGTGTGTGTGTGTACGTTTTCCCAGAGCAGATTTATGCTTTTGGCATCTAAACATTTACAACACTCTGTATATGTAACATACAATATTCTCTCTCAAACTCATTTCAGTACAAAGTGAGTTAGAAACAAATTTAAGGAGAAAGTGTAGTATTGTTATTAAATGTAGTTATTAGGTTGGTGTT
Organism: Homo sapiens; assembly: GCF_000001405.40. Lineage (NCBI taxonomy): Eukaryota > Metazoa > Chordata > Mammalia > Primates > Hominidae > Homo > Homo sapiens. The sequence continues at coordinate 119,078,821 of NC_000008.11, read as the reverse complement.
AAAGTAATTGCAGTTTTTGCCATTACCTTTGATAACTGTATTATTATGTATACCAACATCTCAGTCTATGAACATCTCAGGTATCTGTGAGAACTGTAGTATCCTCTTTGATAATCATCAATCACTAAATGAGACAAAATATAAAAACTGTAAGTCAAGATGATGGGCTACGTGATTAGTTTTTCTAGAAAAATAATGCCTCAGAAATATTTATGATATCTATTTCCAACTGCCTGCTGGAATTTTCCATTGATGTTCACATGTAACTCAAACACAATTAAGAACTCGTAATCTCCCAATTTTACTTCTGAAGTACCTCTCTATTGCACCCCATTCTCTCTATTCCAACAGCCCTAATTCAACTCTTGTCTTTCATTTATGTCCCACTAAGACCTTCTCATATCCTTCAGTCTATCTTCAACCCTGCTAAGAGATTTCTCTGCCTAAGAAGCAAATCTAATGTTGTTCTACTCAAAGACTTCCACTGGCTCCTCTGGTTTAAACTATCATTTGGTTGACTGGATCAGATACAAACAATCTCACAACTTCTGCAAAATAACTATGAAAATTATGTGGAAAAGAAAACCCACTGTTCAATTAAAATTAGGTTAGCAGATGACATGGTTTGATGTGTGTCCTCTCCAAATCTCATGCTGAAATGTAATCCCCCTTGTTGGAGGTGGGGCCTGGTAGGTTGTGTTTGGGTCATGTAGGAGGATCTCTCATGCATGACTTGGTGCTCCTCTTGTGGTAATGAGTGGGTTCTCACTCTCAGTTTACACAGGATCTGGTTATTTGAAAGAGTGTGACACTATCGTCCTTTCTTTTGCTCTTCTGCCATGATTGTATATTTCCTGAGGCCCTCACCAGAAGCAGATGGTGGCACCAAACTTTTTGTACAGTCTGCAGAAACATGAACAAAATAAACCTCTTCTTTATAAACTACCCAGTTTAAGGTATTCCTTCATATTATGGCAACATAAAATGGATTAATGCAGCAGACAAGTATAATAAGTTATTATTTATGTGGAAGCCATTGGTGCTAAAATAAAAAAAAGAATAATTCTGTGTTCTACCTTATTAAAATGTCAATCCTATCCACTGAAAAGGGGGCAGGATAACACTTAGTTAGTTCCTCCTCCATTGAACATCCTTTGCTCTAAGACTCAGAGTCTTTACTAACCAGAAAACTGAGTCAATAACTTTGTTGCACTGGTGGTGTTTTTTGATGCTATAGAATTCCATGCTCTACCCTCTCCACTGCCCAGTCATTTTTCTACATTTCTAAAATTAAGACCAGAAAGGATATAGAAGAGGTAATGATATGACCCATTTTAGGAGATTATCTTCCCATTAATAAAGCCCTGTGGGCAGATGCTGGGACACCTTGGCAGTTGAGAATGCTGGACATTTTAGTTTTGCATACACTCTTCTGTTCAGAGTTAAAATATTACAGAATCAAAAAGAGGGAGCAGAAAAAAATTTAACATTGGTGTGGCTAGGCCACATTAGAATAATACCAACATGGTATTGTCTCCCAAATCATGGAGAGGCAAAAAAAAAAAAAAAAAAAAAAAATCATTCTCTACCCAGGCTAATCAAAATTTCGAGCTCATTTTAATTGGAAAAGTAAAATGTCATCTTAAGTGTGCTCCAATTGAGGAAAGCAGGTCATATCCCTTGCCTTTGTACATTTTATGTGAGCTTTATTTCAGAGTATTTGGTCTGTGGCTGTGGTCTAGCACTGGCTTTGCCCCAGAATCATTGGTGACATTGTCCAGCTTTGCCATTCAAGTGAAGCATGGTGCTAGGGTGACACTGATAAATTGGTTCCAGAGACTTTCCTTTATGGTGTATCAAAGTCCCCCCAACCCACGCACATTTCTTTGGGAGCTTTCACTTTTGTCTAGAGTATATTTTCACACTTGCTGCCACACTGCATCCCTCAACTTCCCATTGGACATATGGGCCTCTTTCTTTTGGTTGTCCTGTCGTTTGGTCACCCAGTATGTGGTCTGATGAGAGAAAGATGACTTTTTCACAACTTTTGGCTCTGACTGGCAAAATCTTTTTCTAAATCCTGTTTCATTTCAGGCCAGGCAGAACCACACTATCAAAACTATTTTTGACTGCACTCAATGCTACAATGTCTTGCACATACACTTATCCCTGGGCAGCATCAAATAAATGACCTTCAAAATCTATAAGCTCTTGAATGCAGATAATAATAAGAGTTATCTGTTTAAAGAATTTTGTGTTGGCTGGGCATGGTGGCTCACGCCTGTAATCCCAAAACTTTGGGAGGCCTAGGCGGGTGGATCACCTGAGGTCAGGAGTTCAAGACCAGCCTGGCCAACATGGTGAAACCCCATCTCTACTAAAAATACAAAAAATTAGCTGGATGTGGTGGCAGGTGTCTGTAATCCCAGCTACTCAGGAGGCTGAGGCAGGAGAATTGCTTGTACCTGGGAGGCAGAGGTTGCAGTAAGCAGAGATCATGCCATTGCTCTCCAGCCTGGGCAACAAGAGCAAAACTCCGTCTCAAAAAAAAAAAAAAAAGAATTTTGTGTCCTCAGCACATCTATCCTGTCTTATTAAGATATGGCTGATTGGCTGGATGTGGTGGCTCACTCCTGTAATCCCAGCACTTTGGGAGGCCGAGGCAGGCGGATCACGAGGCCAGGAGATCAAGACTGTCCTGGCTAACATGGTGAAACCCCGTCTCTACTTAAAAAAAAAAAAAAAAAAAAAAAATTAGCCGGGCGTGGTGGTGGGTGCCTGTGGTCCCAGCTACTCGGGAGGCTGAGGCAGGAGAATGGCATGAACCCAGGAGGCGGAGCTTGCAGTGAGCCGAGATCGCACCACTGCACTCCAGCCTAGGTGACAGAGCGAGACTCTGTCTCACAAAAAAAAAAAAAAAAAAAAAAAAGATATGGCTGATCATTCTTGAGATGAGATGACATCATCTCATTTAACAGAGCTCAGTTTCTCTCATCAGTTGGGTTGATTAGGGTCCTCTCTTCATAGTTAGGGAGGTAGAATGGGGGGCACAGGGTTTCTCCTCAGATAACTCACAACTGTGTGGTCAAATCGCATGCAAGAGCAGTAGCAGTGTGCTTTAGTTTCCTTCTCCTTAAAATAAGAGTGATGATCCTTATAGGTGTCAGTTGAGCCTAAATAGAATAATGGATTAACCTTTGTAAATTCTAAAGAATGACTCCTGTTCATATAATTTGTTTAACAGATACAAGTGTCTTCCAGTGATCACAAGAGACCTAAACTCATGCTTCCAAGAACTGTTGAATCAAGAACAATAGCAGTAAATAATTTGAAAAGAAACCCCACATTAGTTAGGCGCTACTTTACTTGAATCTCTGAGTGTCAGATTTTTACTGTGTATATGTACAATTCTTTTCTAAAAGAGCAGAGAAAGCTATAAAATATAATTTAAAGAATTGTATTAAATGATAGGCTATTGCACATCCAATGCATAATGCAAAAAAACAGACACACTGGTTATGGGTTGAAATATCATGAAGAAATGTGAAGAGTCTAACCACTCCATGCTAACAGAGTTACCAAGTTTCTACAAGTAGAATTTTATAAATATAAGCAAGAGACGTAAGAGAGAAAGAGAGAATTTGTGCCTGGCCTATATATCATCAATGACCCAAGGCCAGTAGAATAGCCTGCCTGTATGGCATAGACAGTAGCTAAAGGAAAAGTTTCTTAAAGGAAGAAGGAAGAACGATAAACAGGAAACACAATCTCATTCTCCCTTGGGTTTTGCTCTCCCATGGTTTGCTCTTATTTACAGAGCCCCTGAGACTACTTCAAGTGCTAAGAGCTTTACGCGGCTTAACTCATTTTTCCTCACCACATCCCTATGAAGAAGTCACACTATTATCATCCTCATGTTACTGATGAGAAATCTGAGGTTCAGTTTTCTGTGTTTTCACTCATGCAATCCCCATGACAACCCTAGGCGTATTTACCACTGTTATTTCCATTTTACTAATAAGGAACGCCAGGCTCAGTTGGAGAGCTACAGAAAGGAAGCAATATCAGCGAAGAGAAGAGGTGGTCTCAAGTTTGTGAGCTCTTGACAAATAAAAGTTGACTTTGGAGTAAGACTGAAAACAGGCAGAAAATTGTGATAAGTAGGAGAAAGGAGCAGTCTTTCCCTGGTATGTTTCTATTTGGGGAGCTGACTTCACAATCTATGAGCCTTTCTTTAGGAATGGGGGAGAGAGCTGTTGGTAACAAACAGTAGTGGAGACTAGTGAAAGAAATGATAGGTAAGCTATATACTAGACATGTCTCAATTTTCAAAATAAGCATTTGAGGTGGGCAATATGATCTCCATTGTATTTTTAAATTTTTTTAATTTTTAATTTTTGTGGGTGCATAGTAGGTGTATACATTTATGGGGTGCATGAGATATTTTGGTACAGGCATGCAATGTGTAACAATGACATCATGGAAAACTGGGTATACTCAAGCATTTATCCTTTGTGTTACAATGTAATTATACTCTTTTAGTTATTTACAAATGTACAATTAATTTATTACTGGCTATAGTTCCCCTGTTGTCCTATCAAATATTAGGTCTTATTCATTCTTTCTATTATTTTTGTACCCATTAATTGTCTCTAGGTCCCCCCACTCCCCTTCCTAGCCTCTGTTAATCATCTTTCTATTCTCTATCTCCATGAGTTCAGTGTTTTGGCCATTTTATGGATGAAGACATTTAAGCTTAAGATCGTATAGCTAGGTAAGTGGCAGAGCTCAGATTCAAAACTATATATATACACGTATATATATGTGTGTATATATATACGTGTATATATATGTGTATATGTGTATATATGTGTATATATGTACGTTTTATATATACACATATATACATATATAAAAGTCTATGATATATACATATAAAAGCCCATGATCTTCACATACATATAAATGCATATTACTATGATCTCTACTAGTGATTAATACATATCCAAATTATTATGTAAGAGAGTTGGAGAGAGACATGGCTTATTAAATTCATACTAAAATGAAACAAATCATTTTTTATCATTACCATTTAGTACTACTTCCTGATTCATCTTTACCTACACTTTTATTGACTGGAATTTTATTCTTCCTTTCATGACCTAAACTTGAAATGCCTTCTTAGTATCTACCTAAAGGAAAAGAGAGATGAAAAATTGTTCTAAGTATCGATACACTGAAATATAAAAGTTAAAAAAAAACAAACCACTGAAAATATTGGTCTGTCCTTATGCATAAAATACATATTAAAACACATAATGAAAGAATCTAGTGAATTAATACAATTAATAAAAAGTTTTGGGAAAACACCTAGTTGTTTACCCTTTCTGATAGTTACCAGAAAAGAATCAGCAACTTAACTTGCATCAAGGTGACTGAGCTAGAATAGTTCTGTGTCATGTTTATACATTGATCTCATGAACTCCTTTTCTAATGTTAACTTATAAAACCAACTAATCATTTTATGCTTAATGAGAAAGATATAAGGTGAGGAAAATGATGTAACATGGAAGAATGGAACAATGCCTGCTCCAAAAATCTGGAATCTGATTTCTAGTTCTAGTCCTGCTGCCTATTAGCAGCTGCATGACCTAGAACAAGTTATTTTACCTCTCTGGGCCTCAGTTTTCACAAAAAGTAAAAGTAACTGGAGTTAAACCAAATTATCCCTGAGGGTGACCTTACAGGTAGTAAGACTTCCAGTTTGAGTATGAAAAATATCTGGACTTTCCTGGGCATATCTGTCTATCCGTTTGGGGAAGTCACAAAATGTCCTATTTGTGTTGGGGGCTGAGAAGTATCTTGGGAAATAATTCAAGTTGTGTCAATTGCTGGGATCCAGAGCCATGTCCAGTAAAATAGTGGATGGCCAAATAGAAATCTATTTTTCAGTTGCTAAGAGGTCTTCTGAGAAAGGAATTATCCCAGAGGATAGGGGTGAGTGCTGTAAGGCTTTACTCATGGCATAGCCTCTCTCATCAGAGTGGAGCAGCAACCGGGCAGAGCTTGTATTGTCTGACACTCAGGTGTGTGCTCTGGAGTTCCACAGGGACCAAGGGGGCTTTAAGTAAAGAGACTGAAGTAGACATTTCCTCTGGCCCCATAAAACACTGAGGTGCCATCAACACTGTGTAGGGGCCTCTCTGGCTTGCTAGTGGTTTTAGCAGGTTGATTGGAACATAGGGCCCAACTAGAACTTAACTGGGTTTTAATTTCCTCTTCTGGCTCTGTGGCCTTGAGCTAGTGACTTAATAATTCTTACCTCAATTCCTTCATCTGTTCAATGGGAATGATAAAGTCTTTTTTTCTCAAAAGTCCATTGAGATAATAAAGTATTTTTCCTCAAAGTTCACTGAGATAATAAAACCTTTTTGCTCAAAGTCCATTGAAATAATTAAATTTAAACATGGTTGTCAAGCACTCACACAGTGCTGGGTGAATGGCAGCTACTCAGTGTGTGCTCAGCTACTCAATGTGTGCTCAGCTACTCAATGTGTGCTAGCAATCTTGCTCCTGTCACCCCATTGGATGTGGTGATTAGAGTCATGCTGAAAGGGAAAGAGCTTTGCTCTGCCTTGTGGTTTGATCACAGACCACATGTGTGGAGGAGTCATGATGGTTACCCATGGGAATCACAGTGTCCTCAGAAGCGTCAGAAAGGCTTCCTTAGTGAAGGAGGCAGCAGTGTGTTAGTGGCTAGGCAGAGACAGAGGCACCTGGGAAGCAGAGGCACTGTTGTAATTAGGAGAAAAGCAGTGGCCCCTGGCAGGGAGGTTCTTAGGTTGTTGGAGAAGTGGCACAATGGCCATGGCCCCCAGGAGTAGTCCTTTTTTGGGAGCATGTGCAACGGTTTTTAGCAACTTCAGGACATACTTAGAGGATATTTTGAAATAGTTGTGTTAATAGATTAATACCTCAAATTAAAATGTTGGGGGTCTTTCATGGAAAATTTGGGTAGATTCATTTAATCAAAAATATGTATTGAGCACCCACTATGTGTCGGGAGCTCTTCTAGGTTTAGAAAACCATGCTCAGCAAGAAGGACTGGTATCCTTGTCCATTCGGGAAGCTTGCACTCCAGGACTGATTCTACATGCATCAATACACAAGATATTTTCACTTAGTAATAAGCCTGTGAAAATAAAACACCATGGGAACTATGACAAAGAGTACAGGGGTAGGTAGGCATGGCCTTGCTGCACAGATGGCATTTGAGCTAAGACCTCCATGAGGAGAAGGAACTATCCTTGGGAAGATCTGGGTAAGTGTGGGCCAGGCAGAGGAGCCATCAAGAGCCAACGTCCTGAGTCAGGAAGGAGAGCCAAGACCAGCATGCCCATTGAAAAGCAAAAGTGAAAAGAGCAGTTTGAAATGATATGGGAGAAGCTGAGAGAAGCCAGTTGGAAACAAGACCTTGTAGGTCACACACACAAAAATGTCATTGAAAAGGCCCTACTAAAAAGCTAGCAAACATCAAAATAAGCAATAGGGTAAAATAACATTATTTCCAAACAAATTAATGAAGTAATGAAGTTGATTATCAAAGAGGAGATATGCCATCATTTTCAGCATATTTTAGTACCCAAGACAATGCCGGGCTGTGAGGTTTCGTGATGTCATGTTCTTTGACTTTGCCCTGTACATTTTTTTAATCACCAAAATGTGACTGGGGGACTGTATTTTCTAACCTGATATATAACTAGTATAAACTAGTGGATGTCATGAAATGACACTGGACTTGGAGCCAGAAGGCCCAGGGTCAAGTTCAAGTTGCAAGATTCCACCTGCTGAAAGAACTCGGGCACTTCCCTTGGCCCCGCTGGAATTGTTTCCTTAGGTCTAAGTTTAAAGAAATTGGTACCACATAGGGAAATTGTGGAAATTAAACAAGACAATGATTTTAAAGGTCCTTGAAAATTGTAAAGCATCATCCACATTTATTGGTTAAAATCATTTTTTAACATGTTTTGTTTAAAACTTGTCTCTCTTTTGCTTTGTGTCCATTTATTTTTCTTTTAAATTTTTTATGAATACATAATAGCTGTACATATTTTATCGCTGTTATTTTCAAGGGAGACCACTAGAGGTCAGAATTTCACATAAATTGTTTAAAGAAACCACCAAGATGGGGGAAGAGGGAGAAAAAAAGAGAGAGAAAGGGAGAGAGGGAGAGAGAGAGAGAAGGGGTGGGGGGAGAGAGAGAGAGAGAGGGAGAGGGAGAGAGAGATGGAGGGAGGGAGGGAAGGAGGGGGGAGAGAGAGAGAGGGAGGGAAGGAGGGGGAAGGAGAGAGAGAGAGAGAGAGAGAGAGAGAGAGCGAGGGAGAACATTTCATTTTCCTGTTAGGTAACATAAATGATAAGTTTAAGGCATAGAAAGAAAAATAATGATGGCTTGCAACAGAGTCATTTTGATAACTTATTCTCAAAATTGTTACTTAACAGACTTAGATAGGGAGAGAAGGAAAAGATAAAATAGAATTTGTTAAAATTTCTATTGATGATGTCTGTACAGCTTAAAGTTCACATTGGTTATCATAATTCTTAAAAGAGGTCTGTGATGAAGGCTCATTTTGCAAATGAAGACACTGAAGTGTAACAGATGTAACAACATGCTGAAGATAATCAGATTGACTCCAGTGCCTTTCTTTCCACTAAACCATGTCTGGGAAATAAGACTTTAAAAATAATATCTGTATATTGGTCAATATATTCTATGACTGGTTAGCATTACTGGGTTTTCACAAATGCCATTCTGCAATTCTAAATAATTCATTTAGTTTTCACTCTCCCAGATGAATTTAGGGAAAATTCATTTCACTGTTTCCCAGAGTATCTAGAAACTTCTGAGCACTGTGCTGCAGTGCTAGTAAATACAGTAATGAGATGATTAGCCATGAAGAAAAGTATTAAGACTAGCTTGATCTTAGGGGAAAAATATTGAAAAAACAGTAATAACGCAGACCTTTAAAACACTTACTTAACCATCATACTATTCTTTTTAATTTTGTAGAGGTAAATATACATATCTGCCTTATTTTGGAGTGGGGAGGGGTTGTCACAGTATTCATGAAGGAACAAGGTAGAGTAGATGGCAGTTTACATATATATATATATATATATATATATATATATTTTTTTTTTTTTTTTTTTTTTTTTGAGATGGGGTCTCACTCTGTTGTCCAGGCTGGAGTGAAGTGGCATGATCATGGCCCATGCAGGCTCAACTGTCTGGACTTAAGCAATTCTCCTGCCTCAGACGTCCAAGTAACTGGGACTACAGGTGTGCACCACCACACCTGGCTAATTTTTAAAAAATTATTTTAATTTTTTGTAGAGATGGGGTCTCTTTATGTCACCCAGGCTGGTCTCAAACTCTTGGACTCAAGTGATCCACCTGCCTTGGCCTCCCAAAGTGTTAGGATTGCAGGCAACACACCTGGCCCACTGTTCATATCTTAAGAGAAGGTATCATGTCTTGGTTTCTGGTGTACCCATATCATCTAGCATGGTGCCTAGAGCACAGGAAAGGCAGTGATGAATATACTCATGTTGCTTTAGGTGCATTTAGGTGTGTAGGAAATTTTCAAAGAAAAAGCATAAATTGGTGCCGGCCTCAAGAGTTTGTAATAGAATACAAAGCTTGGTATGTAGATGCGAGAGCTAGGACAGGTTACTTATCTTAGCTTCCAACCCCTAGCATCTAACATGATGCCTGGATCTTAGTAGGTATTCAGTACATTCCAGGATCATGGATTTCTTTATTAAGAACAAAATTTATTAAATTTTATTAAGAATTTATTTTATTAAGAATTTTATTAAGAATAAAATTTTATTAAAAATAAAATTTGGAGTCCATGTGATACAGTTTCCAGGCTCTGGATGAAGAAGAGGAAATCACACCCAAGAACATAACAGACTTAGTTCTAGAACCCACGGTTCTAGAACACCGCTTCCCAAGTCCCTCTCCCCAGGATCACTCACTTCATTTTGTCACACTCTGGCTTGTAATTATCTCATAATGTCTGCAGATGCTCAGGAGGAAAGTTAATGAGATTTCCACTGTTTGAAGTTTTAACAGGGTTTCTAATGGGAAAATGGGAAGGGAGAAGTTTTCTATTAGGTAAAAAATAGTGCTATTCTCAAATGGATTCTCCCATTTGCAGGGACAAGGAAAACTTTAATTTTCAATGCCCCCATGACACCCCAGGAATAATCTAAAGTTTCCTATACTCTAAGGAAACTTCAGTAACGGTTTTAAGCAAATACTTTATTTCTAATCAAAACTTTCTTTCTGAACATTTGCCCTCGCATTATTCATTTATTCACCCAAGAAATTATTTGGAAGCTCTAAGCTCTCATTGTTCCTCACAGCATTTATTTTATCGTATCAAAGGTTAAAACTTGGATTGCAATCTTAGAGGAAAATTAATTCAGTGATTAAGAAAAATGCACTTTAAGCAATACACATTTAAATAACTGACAGGCATGGGGCAATGTATTTCTGAATTTTGTTTTTTGGAAAAACACTTTTTTCTACTTAAAATTTTAGGCAGCTGCAATTCTTCTACCCTATAGCCTGGAGAAACAGCATGAATTACTAATAAGGGAGCACCAATCTGCAGTGCAGTGACCACTTTCAGAACAAAAGGGTGAAAGCTAAAACCAGAAAAATAGATTTTTTAAAATCTACTGGTTGCTTAAAGCATATTTGGACCTTGGCTGTACTTGAGAACATTTTGCAATATTCTACCATCCTTGAGCAGAAGGCATTTGGCCCCAGAGACTACACTTCCAAATAAAGAAATGTTCATTTATATACTACCTTCAATGCTTGACAAAATGTTTCCATCCTCTACGTTGGAACTCAGGATCCCATTAACTTATGAAATATATATTTAAGATTTAAGTTTTATGTTACTGACCTTTTGCTTAAACAGCTTTACCAGCATCAGTATTAGAAAGGAGGAGAGTACAAACAGTGCAATAATAGAGGTGCTTTTAAGGAAGGAAAGGGCTTCTGGAGACTCATGCCTGGATTGTGCATCTGCCCCGGAGCAGAATGGAACAGGGAATTTCCCCCTGCCCTGGGTAAGTTCCCTCAGATCTCCGTCCTGGGTTTCCCCTTCCCAACATCCTCTTACCTAACATCAAAGGAGAGCTTTAAATAAGTAACAGACCAGATCTGGAAAATCCTGATTTTCCAAAATAGAAGGAAAATGGGAGGAAACTAGGGAGGAGAGAAGAGAAAGTCATTGAAATCTAGGAAGGGGTTCAGAGATGAGGGAAGATATCATATTTATTATACATGAAAATTGTGGTTTTCTTTCCTCACCTTTGGGTCCTGGTGAAATTGTGTGTGTGGCACAGACTTCAGCGGTAGGACGGCTATCAATATCCAGACCCAGACTCTGAATTTGCAAAAGAAATAGTACCAGGAGGATAAATTGGTTTCTTCGAAGCAAGGATGCAAAGCCATTCATTGCTGTGGTTCCTCAGAAAAGGGTCTCCCAGAAATGCCAAATAAACAGCTTTATTTTAAATAAAACCTCCTGCTTTGGGGAAGAAGGGGAAGTATTTGGAACACACATTCCAAAAAGGGCTACAGAGACAGGAAGGAAGCATACCCTAGGTTGTTTATTTTCTCAGTGCTCCAAATGGACCATACATTGTCCAGACTGTTTATTTTCAAGTGACAACAGTTTATTGAAAATTATCTCTGAACTCCAGTGTGCATGTCAGTAGAAACATCCCCAAGAACAAAGAAGATAGAGATGCCTTCTGCTGAGTACTTGAGCTGACAATTTAATAGGCTATATTGCATTTAAACGCTGAGTTTCAGAAAGGTTGTGAACCAGAGAGGTCTTCAGTTAGCAACATGTTATGCAAACACCGTGCATGGCTTTGAGCTTTTCATAAGGTGATATTTATTACCTGCTTGTGCCTGTTGAACACTAATGCTTCCAATGCCCTCCATGACCTTCTTACTCTTGCTACCAAGATTATTCTCTTGTGATTAAATTCAAAAGGAAAGAACAACCAGCTTTTCTGTGAAGCAACTTGGTGATAAGTATTAGGAATATTAAAATGTTTATTACCTTTGGCCTAGTTTATAGCTTTTAGCCTTTCTGGTACACTATCTCAAGGAAATATTCTGAAATGTGGGCAAAGCTTCATTTGAAGGGATGTGGCAGAAAGGCGAAAGGCCTTCAATTGCCTAACAACGTGTTAACAGTGGGCAAATTACGGTAAAATATATGAGAGTGTATGACATGACAATTTTATTAAAATGGTGTTTTCAGCAAGTCTTTTACAAAATAAGGGGGAAAAGCTTGTGGTATTATGTTTCATAAAAAGCTCAACAGATTTAGATGTAGAGTATGTAGATCAGATACAGATATAGATACAGAGATCAGGATCTCTATCTATTCCACAAACCTATAACCTGTACAAATAGTATGGGCATAGTAAGATATTGGAAGATTGGAACCAGAATCACATATATTGGAGAGGCCCCTTACCTTCTCCATTCTTGAACAGCATCTCAACTAAGAGTTAGGTGAAAGGGATTTTGGACCTGCTTTCCTTGAAATTGGAAAAGAAGGACCTTACAGATCCTGATACAGACTGACTGCTGAAAAAATATCCCTAAGAGATGTCGTTACAAGTAACCATCAATCCAAGAAATACAGGTGCATTAGTTTCCTAGGGCTGCCATAACAAAGCACCACAAACTGAGTGGCTTACACCAGCGGCCGGGTGGCTAAAACCAGTGCCAACCCTTTTGGCACCAGGGACCAGTTTGGTGGAAGACAATTTTTCTATGGGGAAGATGGGGAAATACTTTCAGGATGATTCAGGCAGGCACATTACTTTTTCTTTTTCTTTTCTTTTTTCTTTTTTTTTTTTGAGATGGAGTCTCGCTGTTGCCCAGGCTGGAGTACAGTCGCATGATCTGGGCTCACTGCAACCTCTGCCTCCCAGGTTCAAGCGATTCTCGTGCCTCAGCCTCCTGAGTAGCTGAGATTACAGGTGTACACCACTGCACCTGGCTAATTTTTTGTATTTTTAGTATGGTTGGGGTTTCACCAGGTTGGCCAGGCTGGTCTCCAACTCTTGATCTCAAATGATCCATCCACCTTGGCCTCCATAAGTGCTGGGATCGCAGGTGTGAGCCACCATGCCTGGCCTCAAGCACATTACATTTATTGTACACTTTATTTTTATTATTTACATTGTATTATATAATGAAATAATTATACAACTCACTATAATGTAGAATCAGTGGGAGACCTGAGCTTGTTTTACTACAACTAGATGCTCCCATCTGGGGATGATGGGAGACAGTGGCAGATCATCAGGCATTAGATTCTCCTAAATATCAGGCAACCTAAATCCCCACATGCACAATTCACAATAGGGTTTGTGCTCCTATGAGAATCTAATGCCGCTGCTGATCTGACAGGAGGTGGGAACTAAGGCAGTAATGTGACTGATGTGGGGGCAGCTGTAAATAGAGATGAAACTTCGCAGGCTCACCCACCGCACACCTCCTGCTGTACAGCCGTGCTCCTAACAGGCCACAAACCGATACCAGTTCGTGGCCTGGGGACTGGGGACCCCTGGCTTAAACAGCAGAAATTTGCTTTGAGGTATTGGGGATCAGAACTTCAACACATGAATTTTGAGGTGGGAGGAACACAATTGAATACATCACAACAGGCCTATAGTATAACTGACTGATTTTTTCATAAGCAGTACAGGGAAGGAAACTAGCACTGATTGAATAGTCATTATATACAGGCTGAGAGCTAGTCTCAACTTGCGTTTATCTCATTTAGTCTCAAAATAGTCCTGTGGATTAGATAGTAGTCCTTTCATTTTGCAAACAAAGTAGCTGAGGCTCAAAGAAATTAAGCAGTTTGAGTAAGGTCATCCATTGAAAAAGTGACCAAAAAAAAAAAATCAAATACAAATTATTTCCCAAAATCCTGCTTTTAAAATACTATTTGGTTTCCATAAAGATGAACATTCTCAAGCATTGAGGATGCATTAATTTTTCACAAACACTTAAAATGTCCAAAGTGGATGCATTTGTCAGGTTAACAGTGATAGAAAAATACTGAGAATTGAATGATGTTAGAAACCTAACATTTTACATGTGTCATAGCCAGATATGTGACATAGAGCAAATCACATAATGTCAATTGCCACTAGGCATGTAAAATGAGTTTGGACTTCATATTTAACATTGTTTCTAAATTCTATGATTCTAAGAAAATTGATACTCTTTAAATTGTTTAGACTACCCTAAGTCTACTTCACTATTTGTTTATTTTCAAACATTTCCTGGCATACAATAAGAATAGAATCATTGCATTTATATATAGAAATTAACTGGTAACCATTTCAAACAAACAATAGTCCTTAAAAAATTTTCTTGGCATATTCTGCCCCCCTCCTTTTTTTACTCAATAAAGCATATAAATACATTCCTATATAATGTGTACTATACTACATCAAAATTTAAATTGCTACAGAGAATTCACATATTTTATATAAAACATTATTTAATTTTAAAATGGGAAAGATGATTGAATACATAAAGTGGTTAAATTATGTTAAGTATATTGTCTTTAGTGTGCAAAAAAATAGTGCTTCCCAGAAAGGTTTCTACTGACATTTAAAAGGGTTCAGTCTTGTTTATTCAGAAAATGAAGTCACTGAGAACAACAAGCCAACACTGTTTTTGCCTTAAAACGTGGTTTTAAAATAGACAACAAGCCAATCAAGTTTACAGATGGCATAATAGTGGAAGAGATTAATGGTAAATCTAAAAAGAAAAGAATTAGTAGCTAGTTTATAAAACTGTCTTCATAGTTCTACTTTTTTCTGACTGCTTTTATCTTTCATTTCCCAAGATATTGGAATTCCAGGCTTAGCTTTGTGTTTGTCCAAATATGACATGTCATTAAAGTAAATAACAAGTGATATTTGCCTCGTTATTCCTCTACTCTTTTCTTTTTTTTTTTTGTGAATTGAATTGTGGCCTTAAAAAATATATATATATATCCACATCTAACCCAGGAACTTGTGAACATGACCTTACGTGACAAAAGGGTCTTTGCAAACATAATTAAGCTAAGAGTCTCAAGATGAGATCATCCTAGATTATCTGGGTGGACCCTAAATCCAGTGACAAGTGTCCTTAGAAGAGACACCCAAAGGAGGGAGACAGAGATGAAAGGAGAAGGCCAGGTGAAGACTGAGGCAGAAATGAGAGTTACGCAACAAGAAACTAAAGAATGGGCTTGCAGCCACCATAAACTGTCAAAGGCAAGGAGTGCTTCTCCCCTACAGCCTGCAGAGCAGAGTTCTCTACTACCTACAGCTTGATTTTGTACTTGTGGCCTTGAGAAGTATGAGATAATAAAGGTCCGTTGTATTAAGGCACCAAGTTTGGGGTAACTTGTTATGGCAGCCCTAAGAAACTAACACACCATTCTTGTGCTCTTCATCCACAGTAACTGGAAGAAATGACACATCAAAACATTTGCTCAGTGCCTGACAGAGACCCAGCAACATCTGTTCTTGTGCATTTTAATGATCATGCCTCCAGCTTCCTGATATTTTCCTGGAAGGAAAATAAATTCCAGGATACGAAAAAAGCATATCCTAAGGCAGAAGTATTTTACTAGTTAAAACAGCATAACAGTACAATGACAACCTCATCTCCAGAAGGGATTTCTTGACAAATTGATATAACTCAACTTTGGACTTGGTTTCAGCTTTGTCCATTCAAATAAGTAATTAGTGGATTAAAGTCCTCTCTTGTGAGTTAATTTAACTTTATACAGTTTGTAAAAAATGAAAATTAGTAGAATGACTTTTAAAATAATGCATTTAGAAAGTAACATGCAAACACATAATAATTTCTTTTTTACATTTCAAATTTCATATTTTAAAACCGCATTTAAAAAATCAAGGCTAGGCACAGTGGCTCTCATCTGTAATCCCAGCACTTTGGGAGGCCGAGGTGGGTGGATTGCTTGAGGTTAAGAGTTCAAGACCAGCCTGGCCAACATGGTGAAACCCCGTCTCTACTAAAAATACAAAAATTAGCCAGGCATAGTGACACATGCTTGTAGTACCAGCTACTCAGGAGGTTGAGGCAGGAGAATCACTTGAACCCGGGGGGCGGAGGTCGCAGTGAGCCAAGATCATGCCACTACACTGCAGCCTGAGCAACAGAGTGAGACTCCGTCTAAAAAGAAAAAAAAAAAAATCAAATATTCAACCTGGGAAAGCTGACTTTTTTAAAAAAAGTCAAATGGTTTTAACAGGCTTATGAGACAAAATCAGAAGCCTCCCACTGTTTGTTCTCCACTCTTGAGTCTTGTTCCTATAAGAATACTATTTTAATTATTTTAGTGCTTCTTAATTTATCTCCTTTGTATTTTTGAGTAACACACTGATACTCTGGTTTTTATTTTTTTTCAGTTTAGATACTCATTGACTTCTAAATATGGAAGATGGAGATGTCTCTCTCATTCCTAGGTCTACATCTTCCACACATATTTTCCTTCTTTTAATCCTAGTAACTTAATATTATAATTTTAATACAATAATGTTTATAATATAATGGGCCTGTAACAATTATTCACAGCAGGGACACATAGTACATTATGATTACATTGTGTTTCATGTACTAATTTTGTTTCTCTCTAGGTTTAATAATTGTGGTGTTGGTTTTTTTGCATAGCTTTCTATGTACCAAACCCATCATAACTACCAATTATTTGAGATTTGTCAGTTTTGTAGAAATGTAAAGTCTTCTATTAGTTTCCTTTACTTTTCTTAGAAATTTCTTTGGGAACCCTCAAACTTATTGCTCCATTAAGATTGGAAGGCTTGTCAGCAAGCTGTTATCCTAAGAGTTAACTTGACTATTTTCTAGGAATTGGTATTATTATTACACAATTCCTTTTCTGATATCTGCGTCTTTTTTTTTCTTGGTTTCATCCTTCATTTTAATATAGTATGTCTTCTAGTAGTTTCCTGAAAGAGAGTGGACTTCAGATAAATTTTTGAGACATTGTAAGTCTAAAAATATAGTAATTGTACCTTCAAATTATGTGATATTTTGGCTGGGTATGGGATTCCAGTATGAAAATAATTTTTACCCTGAGGTATAAAGATATTCTATTTTCTTTTAGCTTTTAGTGTTGCTGCTGAGAAATTTGATGTTGTTCACATTTTCTACACTTTCTATAGAATATGTTTTCTCTCTCTTTAGAAGCTTTTAAGAGTTTTTTTTTTTTTCAATACCAGCTATTCTGAAATTTCAATGATATGGCCTTAATGTGGACCTTTTAGCATTTACTGTATTGGCTAACTGTAGGTCCTTTAAGTCTGGAAATAATTGTCCATCAGTATTATAAATTTTCTTGTGTTGGCTCCTGATAATTTCCATACCTCCACCTCTCTGTTCCCATCTCTGTCTCTCAAGACCATTTCTCAATGGGATATTGGATCTTTTGGATTAGTCTTCTAATTTCTGGTGTATTTCTCCACTCATGTCTTTCAACTCTTTTGTTGAATGTGTGTTTTACATTGAACCATTATAAATTATTTATAAATACACACATCCTTTATAGTTATAAAAATTCATTTCATTCAACGAATGTTTATTGAGCACCTATTATATCTCAGTCTTTCTAATTTTTCTTCCTTTATAGCTTTTGTCTTACTTTTATTAGCTCTCTAAATCTATCCATTATAGTTTTTTAAGAATCTCTTTTGTTCCTTGGATTGTCACTATTTAGTCTAAATTCCTTGTGCTTCTGTTTGATTTAATTTATATATTTCTTGTTATTGACTTTAATAAAACATCTGGATATCCTACACTGATCCATTCATAGTTAGGAGGCACTAACTTGGTATTTGGAAGCTCTGCATATGCAAGTGGAGTTAGTTGACTAATGACAGTATCTACTGTATTATAGGGCAAAGAGGTAATGACTTGCCTAATTTGTGGGAGCCTCTCATTCTCATTACCTGCATCTCTGCTTTTTAAACTGTAAGATTTATTTAGCATACTCCAATCCCTTGTTTAAGGGGATGTGTATATTACCAGTAGCATTCTGATTAAGAAAGGGATTTAAGAAACTCACTGTTCTTACTTTCTTTTAGTCTTCTGTAGCTCACTATCACCTCAGCTATGGCTGATATCCCTAGATGTCCACGGGTTAAAATCTCAGTCTTGTACTCAGATATACCAGGTATAGTCCTCTAGCAACACATAATAGGTTTGGAAATCAATAGCCGTAATTGCTCATTTGAAAGACTTTCCCAGTATTCCTTTTCAGCCTCATTTTGCCTCCATTCAAAACACATAGTATATGGTATCTTCTGAATTTCTGGTGTATTATCAACTTACATCTTTCTGTTGTTTCCAATGATAGATAGTTTTCACAATTCTCTGTTCTGTTAAGACAGTGACCATTTGTCTAATACTTTTGCTAGCTTCCAAAACACTTTTTGGTTGCTCCTCTTATTTTCTTACAGTCATTGTGGGTTTTTAAAAATTTTATTACTGCTATTTTGGTGACATTGTGGAGGGAGCAGAGAATAAACATGTAGATTTAATCTTCCATATGGACCCAGGTGTTCCAAAAATTACTTCAAAAATAATTTCAAGCAACTTCTGTGGGTAGGTGTGCTGAGATGAGGCTCAACGGCATATTCTTCCCCTTAAAAATTAGTCATGAAAAGGAAGTTTCAGCCATGACTATGTGAAGAAGTCAGAACACCCTTTCTACAAACATCTATGAAACTAGATAAAGTTATCAAAATAATCATTTCAGGGCTTTTTTCTTTTGATTTGTTCAAAATTATGGGGTACATTTGCAATTTTGATACATGAATGGATTGAGTAGTGGTCATGTTAGGACTTTCACGGTATCCATCACCCAAATAACATACACTGTACCCACTAACTAAGCATTTGTTCTTGAAAAGATACCCCAGCTTTGTGCAACAACAGTAAAAGTATGAGGCCTTCATGTATGGAAAAAACTCCACCTCTCTCCTCATGGCAGTTGGTGAGAATTGCAGTTTTATCAGCACAGGGACAGCAAGAAAATCCACCAACTTTGCTTTCACAGAGATAGGCTCAATATGGAGGGAGATATGCAAACAAAGTACTGATTAATGTAATCAACTAGTAAGCCCAGAAATACATTCTCACATTAATGGTTCATTGATTGTTAACAGAGGTACCAAGACAACTAAATGTTCGGGGGTCTTTTCAACAAATGATGCTGGAAAAATTAGGTAGCTACAACATGCAAAGAAATGAAATTGGAACCTATCTCACAGTATACACAAAAATTTACTGAAATGTATCAAAGGCTTACATATAAAAGATAAAACTATAAAACTTCTTGAAAAAAACATAAGAGAAGACCTCTGCAACCTTGGGTTATGTAGAAGTTTCTTAGTACACCAAAAGAACAATTCATAAAAGATTGATGAATTATACTGCATCAAAATTTAAAGCATTTGTGCTTCAAAAAATACCATTAAGAAAGTAAACAGAAAAGTCACAGACTGGAAAAAACATTTACAAATCATATATCCAATAAAGAATTTGTGCTTGGCTAAATGATAATACAATCAAATTAAAAATGGGCAAAATTTTTAAATGGACATTCAGCAAAGAAGGCAAATAGCTAATGCATACACAAAAAGGTGCTTACAATTTTTATTCATTAGATTTCAATGAGATATCACTATATATAGGTAAGACTGGCCATAATAATAATAATAAATGTGACAATACTGTTTGCTGAAATGCGGTAAATTGAAGCCCTCATTCATTTTTGGTATGGATGTAAAATGTACAGTCACTTTTGAAAACAGTTGGTCAGCTTCTTAAAAAGTTAAATATAAACTTAAAGCATAATCCAGCAATTAAATTCCTAGATATCTACTTGGGAGAAATCAAGACATGTGTCCACACAAACACTTCTTCATAAATGTTCATAACAGCATCATTCATAATTGCCAGAAATTGAAAAAATACAAACATCCACAAGCAGTGAGTAAACAGAATGTTGTGTATCTATACAATGGAATGCTATTCAACGATAAAAGTAACAAACTACTGATACATGCAACATAGATGGCACTGCATCTCCAAATTATGGTAAATAAAAAAAGAAAAATCAGACACAAATGGATACATAATATGTGACTCCTTTTATATGAAATTTCTAGAAAAGGAGAACCCTCTACACATAGAAAGCAGATGTGTGGTTGCCTGGGGCTGAGAGTGGGAGCAGGGATTTTTTGAAAATGGACACAATGGGACTGTTGAAGTGATGGCTGTATTATAAATCTACAGTAAAGTGATGACTGCACAACTATATAAGCATACTAAAAAATCCAACTCTTCACTTACAATTAATTTTATGACATATAATTTATACCTCCATAAAAGTGTAAAAAAAACCCTCAAACCTATCATGAAAACTGCATTCCAAAAGTCTTGGAATAGTTATAATTCTCGAGTAGTGTTTTTAAGACTGGAAATAGTCAAGTAGACAAATTGTATTTTGACTCTATTTTGGAGAGAAGTCCTTGTAGATTCAGGAAGTTAGTAATCTTAAGATTGTTTCTAGCTCTATATGCCCTGATATAATGTCTTGGCAGTTGAGGCTTTTGCAGTCAAAGTAATTCATAGAAAACAACCAGATAAAAGAAAAATATTAATATAGATACAACTAAATTTTTCATTTAAATATACCTAATTATAAAGTTAATTACAAAAATTAATTGCATTAAAGAGCTCAAGTACCCTACACCTTTTTTACTTATTAAGAAATCAATATCCTTTTCTGGTCCTAATGGAGCTGGAGGCAAGTTCTTAATTTTCATTATTGTTGTTCTGTGATTAATTATATACCACAATGTCTGGAATAATATTGGATGAATTAGAATGAATAATTGTATAGGCATATAATGATGGGAATTTGAGCTTGAATGATAGATATGTGTAATGAAAGTGCATTTATTCATCTACTCATTCAACAACTATATAGTACTATTTATCAGCTATTGTGATAAAACAGGGAATTATAACAGTGAATAAGACACAATTTTTCCTTAAGAAATTTATCTTCATCTAGTTGAGGGGACAGAGAAGTACAATAGTAGTTGTCATTAGTGTGGAAAATATTCTGATGGAGATAAATACTGGCATGTAATTGTTATAGGGACCCTGAGGAGAGGCACCTGATCTAGGTTGGATCAGGAAATGTTTCTTTCAGGATGTGTTTCCTAAGCAAGTGTATTAGTCTGTTTTCACACTGCTATAAATAAATACCTAAGACTGGGTAATTTATAAAGGAAAGAGGTTTAATTAACTTACAGTTCCACATGGCTTGGGAGACCTCAGGAAACTTACAATCATGGTGGAAGGTGAAGGAGAAGCAAGTACTTTCTTCACAAGGAGGCATGAGAAAGAAGAGCAAGTGAAGGAAGAACTGTCAAACACTTATAAAACCATCAGATCTTGTGAAAACTCACTCACTATGATGAGAACAGCATGGAGGAAACCGCCCTCATGATCCAGTCACCTCCCTCCCTCAACACGTGGGGATTACAATTTGAGATGAGATTTGGGTGGCAACACAGAGCCAAACCATATCAGCAGGATTTTAGAAAACTTGTCAGTTATCCAAGTAAAGTGGGAGAGGAATAAAAGAAGAATATTCCATATAGACAGAATAGCACATTTAAGTCTTAGTTGAGAGAATGATGTGTTTGAGGAACTGAAAGTATAATTGATTGAGCATAGAGGTTGGAACTTGATGGGATAAATAAGGCTTAACCTAGAGTTAAGGACTAGATCCTGAAGGGCATTATACATGCTGCTGAGGAGTTTGGAACTATCATAAGGGCAATCGTGGCCCGTGAAGATTTTTTTTTAAAAAGAATGCCAATATTAGAAATAAAATGGAGGATATGAGAAATGTGACAGAGGTACAACTTCATTGGCTTCATGTAATAGAAACCCAGTAACAGTGGCTTACTGACTTTATGAAATGAGGTGTTTTGTTTTGTTTGTTTGTTCAGATAATAAGGAATATGGACACAGATAATCATGACATAGTAGCACCGTGTTACTGCCAGCAACCATGACTTCTCCCTTCTGGCTTTACTATTTTTTGCATGGAGCTTTTCTCCTTGTACTCACAAAAGGGCTGCTACAATTCAGACATTGCATCTACATTCTAGGCATGAAGGGAAAGGTTGTGGATCAAGAGCTGATGAAACAAGACAGTTAAGTTAATCAATTTTTAAGGAGTTTTTCCCAGAAAACTTTTGGGGTAAAATCCACTTTCATCTCGTTGTCCAGAACTATGTCCTATGCTAGCAGCAAGGGAAACTAAGAGATTAAACATTTTTAATTAGGTAAATCAAGGCTATGGAAGCAAGAATAGATATTGAGTAGGCAACCTGTAGTGCTTGACTTTTTAAGGGTACCCTGGACATTATCAGCAACAATGGGGTTACAGAGAAGCAAATCAATTCGAGGTATTAACACAAGTGGAAGTGACAAGATCTATTGATTCTTTGGAAATTGAGGGTAAAGAAGAGGAAGAAATCAGGATGATTCCCAGGTTCCTGCCTTAAACAATTGGATGCGGTGTCATTTACTGAAACAAAGAATGCAAATTGTGAGGAGAAGTAGATGAATTGAATCTTGGATACGTGGAGTTGGTGTCTGTTGGCTCAAAAAAATTCCAGCCAGAGGTACAGATTAGAAAGTCATCTACATATCAGTCGTAATTAAAGTCATTGGAGTGAATGAGAGCTCAAAAAATAGAAACTGAGAAGAAAAAAACAGTCAAGGTATTTTAAAGACAGAATGAATAGGATTTGGTAAAGTGTCAACTCTGAAGAGGAAGCATGTTCAGATTTTATAACTGGAAGATTCTTCGATGTTTTGGCAGTGCAAAAAGGAAATTGATACTTAATAGCACTTTTTTCTCTTTTTGACAAGGCATTTTTATTCTTTGTAGTCAGCTCTAACACATGATCAATTTTAAATTGCTTTATGCTCTCTAAGACAAATAGCTGATTAAATTGAATATGTGTAATAGAAACTGTTAAACCTGAGTTGTGACTTGACATTTTTGAGGCATGGAGCCAGCTTTCAATGCCATCACAAATTTTGCTCCTGGGATGAGTATTTACTTATTCTGTATCTAAGCTCACCATTTTGCAAATGTGGAGACTGTGACCCATGCTAACCTTGTGGGGACAGGTCAAATAAAGGTTTACAGTACATGGGCTCCTGAGAAATAGGAAAATAAAGATTGAGTTACTAAAGAGCACGCTTTTCTCTCTCATTGCTATACACAGAGGTCAGAGATGAGTGTTCTTCAGGGTCATTGCCACTTCCTGTTCTTCCTTTACCCCTTGCTTCTGAGAAGCCTCAATCAGTAGGGTTTCCACACACTGAACAGTGAGTGGTTGACCTATTGTATTTGTTTGATACTCAACACAGAGAAGTTAAGAAAGGCTATCAGGCATTTGCTGAACTGATAAAACAGAATACAATCCATTCCTGGGAAAATGTTTTCTGCTTTTATGGAGATAAATATTTATTTCAACTCTACTGAAAAGCATGTGCCTAATAAATAATCTGTTTCTTTTTTAATGGTTTGTTTATGTTTTAGATAATTCACATCACAGATTTGGGTCGCTTACATCATATAAAATTCTCAAAATGTATTTTCATAAATTACTTTCGAGAAGATCTAAACTTAATCATCAAGAAAATAGCCTTCATTTTCTATGTTCCTATAAATGACTAAAATTTCTACTTCATAACATTCATAGATATTGCAGTCTTTTATACACATAATTACTTTTTATGTGAAAGGATTCAAAAGCTTATAAGGAAGGGCATGTCACAATTTATACAACATTGAGGAACACTTTTGTTTAAAAACAATAATTTTGTTGCAAACATTTTTAAAAACATGTTAATTCCAGAGGCATCATTCCAGAATACATCACAGAAAATGGAAGCAAGAATCTAGGGACAGGACCCAGTAAGAATGATGTGAGTGATTTCAGATGCCATAAGGATATATAACTAGGTTTATGTTTTAGTATTGTACCGCCGAGCTCAACTCAAAATTGGTTTTGTGTTCCGTTCTTCTAACCAATCCCAGCCCCACGGCATCTCTGCTAAGTGACTCTTTATCTCTTACATGCTTCCTAAATGAATATCATCATCACTTATCTTTTAAAATACAAACGTCTTTATATGACCTGTTTGCAATCTGATTATTGCAATCTGAAGAATTCCCCTGGCAAATAATGACATTTACAAGTTGCATTCCTAAAATACAGTAGTCTCCTCTTATCTGCAGTTTCACTTTCAATGGTTTCAGTTCAACAGTAGTCTGAAAATATTAAATGGAAAATTCCAGAAATAAGCAATTCATAGGTTTTTAAATTGGGTGCCATCTGAGTAGCATGATGAAATCTCATATCATCCTACTCTATTCTGCCTGGGACATGAATCCCTCCTTTGTCCAGCCTATCCATTCTGACTAGCTACCTGGTCGTTAGTCACTTAGTAGTCATCTTGGAGATGAGAGATACTGTTGTAATATTGCAGAGCTTGTGTCCAAGTAACGCTTATTGTACTAAATCATGGCTCCAAAGTACAAGAATAGTGATGCTGACATGTTGTTTTAATTGTTCCATTTTATTATTAGTTGCTGTTAAGCTCTTACTGTGCCTAATTTATAAATTAAATTTTATCATAGCTATGTATGTATAGAAAAAAACATAGTATATATAGGGTTCAATACTATCCACGGTTTCAAGTATCCAATTGGAATGTATCCCCCGTGGATAAAGAAGGGAATACTGTAAATTATTTGAAGTCAACAGACTAAATCAAGAACTGAAGGAAAGAATGAAGATTATTTTGTAAGTTTAACTGTGTGCAAGCTATCATATTAGAGATCTTTAGAAATAAGCCCCCCCCACCTTTTTTTTTAATTGCCTACAATCCTGAGAGGCACTGTTACCATCTGGAGACACAAATGGAGAATGGACTTTAGAAGAGTTTAGTAACTGACTTCATGTTTCAGAGGAAAGTAGTGAAGTGAGGATTTAAACCCTGATTGTTCACTGCACAGCACCTGCTAAGAACTATTGCTCACTAACTCAAATGCAATCCTTCACACTGTGTATGTTAGGAAATGTGGAAGCCAGGTGCCAGACACCTTCGGGTACTCAAGTGTTCCTGCTTTGAGGAGTAATAATGCTCTTTCATCCTTAAATGAAACAGCCTTGAGCTTCTGCCTTGCAAACTTTGCTAGCGTATTGCCCTTACTAAGATTGCTGAGAATTCCTGAAGACTTATTTCCTATTCACTGCTGCTCATCTCTTTTTAGCATCTTGACCCTCTCTTCCTGCAGCTCATTTCACCTCTCCAACCTGCTCTCACCCACAGATAGAACATAGTCCCCCCTTTTACGGTTTCCCTGAAGCATCCCAATATAAAGCAGTTTTATGCAGCATTTTTCCACTGAAGTGTTGAGGATAACAGAGTTATTATTGTAGAGCACATCAAATCAAACCACTTAAAATTGAGTAGGAGGCATTCCTGCTCATCAGAATTCTCTAGCCAGTATCACACTAGGAATTTCCTCTTTGCCGTCTTCGCTCAGGACTTTCCTCCTCCACGTTTTTCTCTGGAATTTTATGCCTTCCCCTCTCTTCTTGGTTCCCAGATTCCCTTCCTCTCCGGCTCTCTTTGGCTGCCAAAGAAACTCTAAAATCTTTTTGTTGTTTTATTTTCACTTTGCAGAGATTTTAGCTCTCTTGCTTGTTTGCCTTCAACTAAATTTGTTAATAAGTTCTAAAATAAAATACTTTTTCCTTAAGACAAATATTGCCACCAGCAACAAGTCTTTCAGTTAGAATGTAATAATTCTTATTTTTCTCTTCCCTGAAGATAGAATGGCACAGAAACAACATCACCAACTAGCCTTGGGAGAGGGCGGGCTTGCTTGACTGTTAATAATTTATTCCACAGATATTATTTTTATCTGAGGATCTCATTCTTCTGTGAGTCAATGGAGACATGGGGAACTTTAAGAGGACATAATGAATTTGTATAACTAACAAATGCCACAACTGGAAATTGAATTCAGATCTTAGAAATTAAGGCCAGTAATGATAGCTATGGTAGCTTTAAAAATTCAATGAGATAATGCCTTGGGTAATGGCAGGAGTTGTCATTTTAAGTCCTAAAATACTTAACTGGCTGAAAGGACCTGTAATAACTCTTCCCCAGCAACACTGTCTTGGTGGCATTAACGTGATCTTTGTGAGAGGTCAGTATATGCAAAGACTTGGTGCTGCTACCATTTTTCATAATTTGGCTACTGCCTGACCTCCTATAAAAAATGCATGTGTTTTGCAAACTCAAGCTAAAATTACAGAATGTTGCTAAAACCCTATTGGCTAAAATGCTTTACAATCACCATGACAAATGAATTTTGCTTAAGAATGAGAAACTTCGATATTTTTAATAATCTTGTAGATGGTAATATTTACAGAAATTTTGCCATCCTGGTGTATTTTCTATCACCAGGTACTCAGGGGCTAATAAAGTTACCCCAGAAAGGTCATTCATTTTACTATCTTGGCTATCTCTTTTGACATTTGGTATGCCATAATAAAACTTTTAGCATTCTCATTTTTTTAAATATGAAAAAAGTGAGACAGAGTGTTTAAGTGATTTGCCTCATATCGCACAGCAATTGAGGTGCAGAGCTAGGATTCAAGCCCCAAAGCCTGAATCTAAGCTGAGTCTGAGCATCTCTCTCTACCCTCTGTTACTAGATTCAGAATCTTTAACTTTATCGCTTGCCACATTCCTTCAACGTGTTAAAAACTGTGTATGTTATACATTTAAGAAACTGAAAATTTAAATGTCATCACCCTTCAAAATGAATCACAGTCTCTATTAATATGGTATGAGCTTTTCATTGTTTTTATTTTCTTTCCTCATGCCGTGGTTAAGTTTCACAATCTTTTATCTACTGCGTATTCATTGATTCATTCATGCGTTAATGAGCATTCTGTGAACAGTGATTCAGCCCCATCTGTGTGCCAGGCGCTCTTGCTTGTGATCAAGTCTCAGACTTACACTTTGGTCCCCCAGGCAGGATATTTTTGTTGCTGTTTAAACATTGGTAACATTTTCAATAGATAAATTATCTCCATCTTCTTCATAAAAACCTTCACTTTAAAAATACAGTAACTGAGGCTCAGGAAGGTTAAAAGATTTGCCCTCAGCCAGATTGTTGGGAATCATAGGGACTTGAATTTAGATTTTCTAATTTGCTATATTGGTGATTTTATCACTAAAAAAGGAAGTTAGTTGTAATCCAAATATCACATGAAACAGTAATCTAGGAAAAGCAATAAGTGGGTACATTATTTATAATTCATGCTTTTATTTATTCAATTTTGAAAATTGATTACATTCTTAAATTTTATTTTATTACACAACTTTCATGTCCATTTTTTTTTAAATCTCACACCTCTAACTTGGAAACTAGTTTTAGTCAATAGTTCTATAAGACATCCCTGTTTCACTTAAATACTTAGCTTTAGAAAGAGGATAGAAGTAAGGACTAATTCATTTAAAAAAATCAGTCACTTTTCTCTTTTGCTCTAGTACATCCTGAGCTGGAGTATTAATAGTTTAGCCTTCTCGTTGGTGGTAAGACTTCGCAGAATTTTTTAGATGTATGAAAAATCAATTGGCTTAATTAAATAGGGAGCAGTGTAGGAGTTATGGACAGATCACAGCTACTTAACTTACACAGGCAATGAGCATATGAACTTGGCCTCCTCAGGCCCATTCTATAAACATGTCAGTAATTTTAGGACAGAATCACTGACATATATTTCCACAGTGGCAGACTTCCTTTGCATCAGTAACCAAGATGTGGATTGATTTATCTGCCTTTTTATCTCCAAAAATATACATTTTTTCCACATGAGTTGTACTTAGAATGATATATTCATTCAATTTTGTGTTGTCTTAAAAGATAACAGCTTTACTAAAGTAGAATAAATTACCAAGCCATAAAATATAGAACTTTTTTCCCAAGAAAGAATATCCATCCAGATATTTAATCAGACTATAAGTGTGTATATGCTGTTTCTCATAGTCTTTATCTGGTGATTTATAAGATTCTCTTGAAATAGAAAATCTCTTTACTGACCCACTTCTGAAGAAATCATATCACTTTAAGGCTGCCATAAGTTGATTTCAATAGGTAGCTGTGGGTTTAAAATTAAACCAAAATTTTGTAGGCCAAATGAACCTTATTTATTTTTTTCCTTGACATTCAGGAACCTACTAAAGTGAAAAGTCAGTTATTTTCTGTTTGGTTACTATGGATATTCTTAAAAGTTATAAATTACAAGAGCCTTTCAATTAAGGGCTTTATCTTCGATAATCTCATACAAAATAAAGTAGGTGAAACTTATGAAGTACTAGGGAACATTCATGTTGCAAGTACTTTACATGTATGAACTAAATTCTCACATAAAGCCAAGTAGGGACTATTATTACCAGGAAAGAGTTGCTTTGAAGTTAGGTGACTTGTCCAAGGTTTCATGGCTAATGATGGTGTCCTGGAACATGAGAACAGGCAATCAACTTCAGTCTGAACTTCAGCCTCAAAGCCATATTAACTCTCCTCCTAATAGCTTGTTCAGCCATAGCAATACTGTATTCCCCCCAAAATAGGGAAAATTGAATTTTTAGATAATTGAATTCCCTCATCATTAATGGAGACAGACAGTAGTGATAGAAGTTATAGTATGATTTATAGTATGATTCATTTGCAGGTGAAATCAGGTAAGATGACTTAATGTTCCTCTTTCAGAACCAATAATGTAGCCTATAATAAGTGTTAAAAGAAAATACCAGCCAGGCGAGGTGGCTCACGCCTGTAATCCCAGCACTTTGGGAGGCCAAGGCAAGTGGATCACGAGGTCAGGAGATTGAGACAATCCTGGCTAACACGGTGAAACCTCGTCTCTACTAAAAATACAAAAAATTAGCCGGGTGTGGTGGTGGGCGCCTATAGTCCCAGCTACTTAGGAGGCTGGGGCAGGAGAATGGCGTGAACCCTGGAGGCGAAGCCTGCAGTGAGCCCAGATTGCGCCACGGCACTCCAGCCTAGGCGATGGAGCGAGACTCCATCTCAAAAAAAAAAAAAAAAAAAAAAAAAAAAAAAGAAAAGAAAATACCTATGCTTCATCAGGAATTTAGGTGAACCTACTGTATGTTATGAATGTACCTAATCCCTAGTGGTAATACAGTGAATAAGACTTAATGTTTGAGTTTGAGAATTTCTCTCTGTTAAAAACCAATGTAAAGGCAGCTAGAGAGAAAGATCAAGTCATGTACAGAGGGAAACCCGTTAGGATAGCAGCAGACCTCTCAGTAGAAGCTTTACAAGTCAGAAGAGATTGGGGGACTATTTTTAGCATGCTTAAATAAAAGAAATTCCAACCAAGAATTTCATATTCTGGAAAACTAAGCTTCATAAGGGAAGGAGAAATAAAATCCTTCTCAGACAAACAAATGCTGAGGGAATACATTTCAACAAGACCAGCCTTATAAGAGGTCCTTAAGGGAGTGCTAAACATGGAACCAAAGGAACTGTACCTGCTACCACAAAAACACACTTAAACCCATAGCCCACAAGCACTATAAAGCAATCACATAATCAAGCCTGCATAACAACCAGCTGACAACATGGCAGGATTGAGATCTCACATATCAATATTAATCCTGAATGTAAATGGGCTAAATGCCCCATTTAAAAGCTATAGAGTGGCAAGCTGGATAAAAAGAGAAGCCCCAACCCTCTGCTGTCTTCAAGAGACCCATCTTACATGTAACAACACCCACAGGCTCCAAGTCGGGGGATGGATTAAGATCTACCATAAAAACAGAAAACAGAAAAGAGCAGGAGTCACTATTCTTATAACAGATAAAACAGATTTTAAACCAATGAAAATTAAGAAGGACAAAAAAAGGATATTACATAATAATAAAAGATAAAATCCAAAAAGAAAACTTAACCATCCTAAATATGTACATCCAACATTGGAGCACCCAGATTCATAATACAAGTTCTTCACCTATAAAAAGACTTAGACAACCACACAATAACAGTGGGAGGCGTCAATGTCCCACTGACAATGTTAGATTATCAAGTCATAAAACTGACAAATTCTGGATTTAAACTTGACACTTGACCAACTGGAATGAATAGACATCTACAGAACACTCTGTAAAAAAGAATAAAATTATGTCCTGTGCGGCAACATGGATGGAGCTGTAGATTATAATTCTAAGCGAGTTAATGCAGGAACAGAAAACCAAATCCACATGTTGTCATTTATAAGTGGGAGCTAAACATTGATCAGGCACAGACATAAACATGGGAACAATAGACACTGCAGACTGCTAGAGGCGGGGAAGGAGGAAGTGGGGCATGGATTGAAAAATTACCTATTGGGTACTAGGCTTAATACCTGAATGCAATATATCCAGGTAACAAACCTGCACATGTACTTTCTGTATCTAAAATAAAAGCTGGAAAAAGATAATTTAAAAAACCCCCAACTTTTCAAATACTCTTATGCTATTCTTCTGCTTTAGTAAATAAGTATGTTAAATAATAATTTTTTTCTTTGATGATTGAGTACCCAAGGATTGGGGGTTATCATATAGACTGATGGTTCTTATTCTACAGTAGCATACATATATATAGAGAGAGAAAGATTAAATTTTTTCAAACTCTAGAATTTATCTTGAAAATCAGATTTGTCTAACAACTGAGATAAGCCTGTTTTTCTTATAATTCTCTCAGGTTTTTTTTTAATAAGAGAGGGCATTTCAGACTTTCCATTTATTTGCTTTATTACTGAGAGCTATGTTTTTACTAATTGGTTTTTACTATAATTACCTGCATTTACATATTAAATATAGGTTAGTTCTAAAAGGAGACAAACATGAATAGATTACTATTATGAGCCTGAAAGTGAAAAGTCTAAATTGTATTTTCATCTTTAGTCTTTGTGCCTTTCTACTTCCTGACCCATAAAATACAATCAAAGCTTCCTTGTCAGTGCACCAAATGCAATAAAAACCCTCCTAACTTGGTCTGGAAGGCTAATGGCTAGATTGACACAGCATATGTTGTAACATACTATTGGTTACTGAGTACACATAGAGGCTTGAGACAGCTGGCCATGGCCACACTTTTGGCTTGGAGTTGCGCCCTGAACTTCCACAGTTGAAATGAGTCCATGATTTTCTGGCTGCTTGATCCATTACCCATGTGGCAAGAGAGTTAAAGTGGTAAACCAGTTTCACCAAAGCTCAGATGTACTCAAATTGTTTACCTTCTACAGATACAAATACGCTTTTATTTGAGGGTGGCTGCTCCTTTATGATAATGATGTATTATTTCTTTTGAGATGGTACCCTTTAACATCTGTTGGTTTATATTCCAAAAAATACATTTTTGAATAGAGTTCAAGGTAGAAGTGCTGAATTACTTAAGAGAGTTGTCAGCATTTAGGGATTTTGCAAGGGTATGTTTTTCCTAAGGCCTCATCACATTCTTAGCTGAGTTCTTGAAAATTCATGCTGGTTACTTCACATTAAATCTAAAGGTGAGATAGAAAATTCTGTTGTTCAGTGTATATTAGGACCACCGACTAGCCTATGAGACCGTAGGAAGATAGTTTATGGGTCATGATCATGTTTAGATAAAATTTGATTCCTAAATAGGCAACACCATGCTGGAATCCATTTTTTGTTTGTTTGTGTGCAAGCAGATACACAAAGTAAACATCACATGAAAATCAAGAAAGACTAAAATAAAGATTATAATCATTTGGAATTCCAGGGCTTATTTTTTTCACATTTGGAAGAATTCTGATGGCTCCAGCTTCAACTCAGAGATTAAATGTGTGGAGTGAAACACTTGAACTTTCTATAGTTTCTTTAAGAGGCACTGCTAAAAGGATGGGTTAGCTACCATAAAATATGGGTAAAGCATCTGTTGAAATAAGATGCAGCCAATATTTATCTGGATGATAAATTCATGTCAAGAATTTCAATTTACTGTACATTTATGGACTTATGATACCTACCATTAATCATAGTCTTACTGCAAGAGTCCATTATAATCTGTATAGAGCCACCAATGAAGCAAAAGCAAGGATAAAATAAAAAGAGGTTGCTAGGATGAAGGTTGCAGATTCTAAACAAAGATGAGTGACACACGTTGAGTAGGATAAATCTACAAATAGCCTAGAGCCAGACATCAGACATTATTTGAAATGACAAACTTCACATTAACTAAAAGAGAAAAAAAAAGATCACAAATGGAGACAGACAGTGGTGCTAAAAGTTATACAACTGCATGATTCATTTCCAGAAGAAATCAATGTTGAGATGACTTTTTTCCTCCTTCAGAACCAATAATGAGCCTCCTATAATTAGGTAATCTTTCTCTGTCCTATCAAAACAAACTGTTAAGCCACAGCGAGGCCACTGACACATCTACCCCTCAACCAAAGCTATAGAATTTTAATCTAAGTACAATGCAAAGATGCATGAGTCAATCTACCGTAAATTTTCAGCAAATAGTATGTGTCATTGGAAATAACTTCTGCTTTTCCAAAGACCGTAGATTTATTCTGTAGGAGTTTTAGAAACAAGCAACAATAATTTTAGCTAAAGCAATTCCCCACGTTCACTAAACCATAACTGTCTGAAACTAGTTATTTCTAGAATTACACAGAACCAAAATAGCAAACATGTAAACAGAGGGCTATGGGTTAGAATTCATCAAATGAGGGAGAAAAAAAGTTTTGAATTTTAAGGTATAAAATATCACATCTGCTTACTATTTATAGAAGCCTAATTTTAATGCACAATTCAAACACTAATTAAAAACATTCTCTATAAGTAGAAAATCAACTTGTTATGTGTGCAGAAAGAATAATACAATCAACCTTCCCTAGATATCAGTTTTCTCTCCATATAAGCAGTCAAAAAGTAATTGACCTTTGGACTTATTAAAATTCAGCAATCAACACTAGAAAAATGAAGCTACGCCTATTCATGTCATCAAGTAAAGTTATACCATATCTAATCCCATTGTTTCAGCTTTCTCTATTGTCAGTATGAGCTGCTGTGCTGTGGGCTGAACCAGTTGGGGAGAAAGCCACATTCAGCCAATTGGTCATGCCACATTTTTCTATTTTACCCATTCCACACCTATATGCAGAGTCTTGGTTTGCCACTGAACTGATAAAATAGAACATGAGACATATAAGTGACATTTGTCTGAGCCAGGACACTGGAATGAAGAGATGGACCCTCTTTGTTCCCACCTTATTTTGTTACATTGTATTAATGCCGGAGGTCAATCCCAGGAGGAGATAATTCTTTACGTTACTTATTTCTCATCCCTTCTGAAATTTCTGAGGAAATACTTGTATCATCAAGAATTTGGGAGTAATTAGTGGATTAATAGGTAATACATATTCCAAGGGAAGGAAAAAATTGTGGAAATTTATTAATAAGAACATGGGAGTCTAAAATTAGAACTGGAAAGAAAGAGATAGTCTAATTCATTCCCTTTATTTTATAGATGACAGAAAAGATAGAGCCCAGAGAAATATACCAACTCGCCTTAAGACACACTTTGCTAAGAACTGCACTTGCATCTCAACTCTCAGTTGTGGTTTCTTTTTTTTTTTTTTGGAGACAGTCTCACTCTGTCATCCATGCTGGTGCGATCTCGGCTCACTGCATCCTCTGCCTCCTGGGTTCAAGTGATTCTCCTGCCTCATTTCCCCGAGTAGCTAGGATTACAGACGTGAGCCACCACGCCTGGCTAATTTTCATATTTTTAGTACAGATGAGGTTTCATCATGTTGGCCAGGCTGGTTTCGAACTCCTGGCCTGAAACGATCCATGCCCCCGCCCTCCCGCTGGCCTCCCAAAGTGCTGGGATTACAGGCATAAGCCACCATGCCCGCCCAGTTATGTTTTTTTCAATTACAGCATCACTTTACTACTCTTTCATATATTTTCATTTTGTTTGTTAAAAACGAGCAAAAATAAAAACAGAGCCACAATTCTTATTGAATACACCTTGCAAAACTACACTTGTGTCTTCAGTCTTTTGGGCCAAAGCTAGCTCATCTTTGGTCCATTCCACATGGTCTTACTCATTTTCAAGTACATAGTGTTACCCGCCCACTTTTCAAAATCCCAACTTTTGTGACAGAGTTTGTATATTTTCTTATAGGAAGACAAGTTTTAGAATACATTTTCTGATTCTTGGCAAGTAAAATGTGGATCTTGGCATTCAACATGAAACGTGTGTGTTAATTAGGGTGACCATATATAAACCTCCAAACCAGCACATTTTTGAAAGTAAATGAGGACACTATTGATTATTACAAAAGCACAACAGGTGTAAACCTGAAATACTCCTGACAACAGGACACGTGGTCTCTCTAGCTTCAGTGCTTCCAACAGCCTAATGGTAAATATGTTCCCTGTACCTTCAGGCATTCCTGTCTGTTTTGTAGGTTTTATTTATTTATTTTTTATAGTTTTGTTTTGTTTTGTTTTACCCTGGTCTAAAAGGCACTATGATATAGTAGAGAGGTAAAAAGAACAAGAAAGAAAAAAATCTGGTTGTCCATGTCCTACTTCTAACTGTAAGGCCTTCAGCAAGTCATTGTCCTCTCCTGGACTCGGTATTTGCATCCATTAAAGGAGAGTGTTGGACTAAAACAACATTAAGCTTTCTTCCATCACGGCCTTGGAATTCCGTGCTGTCCATATACATGAATCTGCATGTATTCATATGCATATATAAAACATACATTCCAACTATAAGAAAAAAATAAAATTTTAATAAGTATGAAATGAGAAAATAACCACATTTTAAGTCGGGAATGTACTGTTGGTGATGTTAACTTTAAAAAGAAAGCAAAATTGTTTATGTATATTGAAAGTCACACCAGAGACATAATATTATGGCAACTTGGTAGTTCAGTGACAGACAGGAAATGATTTTTCATGTGTGTTTTTCAAGAAACTCTACAGTTTTGGATACTGGTGGCTTTGGTGTTTTAACAGGGTCTCTCATGTGGCAAAGTCACAATAGACGCTGTCTGGTTGCTCTTGGTTACAGGGACTTTTCCTATTTGACTCAGCTTCAATTTTTAGGCAAATTCTCTGGCTTCCTGCTATTGTTTCTTAGTGTCTACAAATCCTTGCAATGTTTTATGTGTCTTCTGAAAGGAAAGACTGGGCAATAAAAGAGAGTTACATAGCCCATGTAACTTTAGAGGTGTGAATTATTAAAAACATAAAAGGAGGTGGATAAGAAACAGAAACAGAATTCATCATAAATCCTAGATCCTTATCTAGTTTAATAAATCTTCCCTTTTAAATTATAAATGATATGCCTTATCTGCTTTCTGCATGTGTCACAGGCACAATTTGGGGTGGTGTTTTGTCTTTCCATATTGCTTGTTTGAACTCTTAACATTTCCAAAGTTCCTCAAGTCATCTGGCTGAGCCTGGGAGACAAACACAAACAGAGATGGTTTTTTTTCTCCTTCTGTGGTGACTCTGTTGTAAATTTCAGAAGCAGGATTGCTTCTTCATTTGATTCCTGTGACACATTCTTACCCAAGCTGCAATAAAAGGAACAGGTAATAAAAAGAGCTAATTGAGTTATGAGCTTGCTAATGTTCTAGGATTTTTATATACATAATCTCAACTAATCCTCAAAGCAATATTTAGAAGACAGGTATAATTATTTCCATTACATAGATGAAGAGACTGAGGTTTTGAAAGATGAATCACTCAGCCAAGTTTGCACAGCTAGTAAGTGGCAGAGTCAGAATTCAAACCCGAATGTATCTGAAATCTAACTCCTACTGGCACATCCATTTACTGTGTTTGGTCCTCATTCTCTCTGAGAGCAGCAAAAAGGGGATGTGTGCTGGGCTCATTTCACAGATGAGGAATTAATGTGGAGAGAGGATCACCCAGTGTTACAAAGCCAGGAAGTGGCAGCACGAGCATTCGAACCCCTTGTCTTTGGGCTGCTACCTTAGTGCAAAATCTCTAAAAACACGGCTATTTACAAATAAATAAATAAATAAATAAATAAATTAAGTTAAATAAAAGCTTAGAGAAACAAAAATTAAAACATAATACATTATAAAGTACAACTGCTGCATTAATCACAAATGCCAGAGACACATTTAACAATTGCTTCGGCTGGGTGCAGTGGCTCATGGTTGTAATCCCAGCACTTTGGGAGGCCGAAACGGGAAGATTACCTGAGGTCAGGAGTTCGAGACCAGCCTGGCCAACATGGTGAAACCCCGTCTCTACTAAAAATACAAAAATTAGCTGGGCATGGTGGTGCATTCCTGTAATCCCAGCTTCTCGGGGGGCTGAAACAGGGGAATTGCTTGAACCTGAGAGGCAGAGGTTGTAGTGAGCGGAGATTGTGCCACTGCACTCCAGCGTGGGAGACAGGGAAAGACTCCGTCTCGAAAAAACCAAAAAAAACCAAAAACAATTGCTTCCCCCTACCTCCTGCCTATTTCATATCCCAATCTATATCTGGCCAGTCTGAATCTGTGACAATCCCAGTAAATTAAAATGGATAATAGGAACCAAACCTGTATGGCTCTGTTTTATCATTCACCACTCTAGATTGACATGCCTGTTTTTCTGATTAAATTCTGGTGTTCCTTAATTACAGAAACTATTTCTTCTAAGTCTTTCCATAAAGCACTCACTAAAGGTTTGTTGAATCAAAGCAGAGGGTATTTTTACTAAGTCGTGTAACAATAATATTTATTTAGTCTTTAATCTCTAAGATATGTCAGGTATCCTCTAAGTACTTTAGGCATATTAAATAATTTAATCCTAACAACAGTATTATGGCATAAGTATTTACCCCAATTTCATAAGCACACAAAATGAGGTGCAAAAAATTCAAGTAGTATATTGGGGTCATGTTTTAATAAGGGCCAAGACTAGAATTTGAACCCAGGAAGGACAGTTTATAAAATGAATATTTCAAACTTACTAGTGCTTAGCAATTCTGTTCAGTAGTACTTTTTGTCTATATCTACTTCATAGAAATATTTTAAATGCATTCCAATATCATTTTGCTACTAAATCAACATGCTAGAGGAAATGTTGTTATTTGTTTTGTTTTTAAAAAGAACTTCAGGTAAGGTTTTTCTTCCAGAATCAAATGGTACCATTAGGGATCATGCCAGAAAAAAAAAATACTGCTTCAACAGATTCTCTGCTGAGCATCTAACCACAAGAGCCAGCATTAGGCAGTACATGCAGCACTAGCTTTGGAGGAGGCGAAGCTAGGTTTGAGACTGAGCTCCACCACGTTTTAGGTCAAATTCCCCAGAAGTAGACCCTTAGACAAGGATTTGTGTGCTCCTTTGGCATAGTGTCAAAGTAAAAGTGAAGTTTCACCCAAGTTATGTCCAGGCACACTAACTAAAATCCCCTGTGATTGGGACTCACTCTGCATTAATTATTCTCCATGTGCCTTGTTCTTTTTTTCCTAAGGGATTGTCCTCTTTAGATCTCATCATAGTCTCACTTGCCCTATGGCTTCTAGTTTGTTTGACAAATAGAAGAACAGCACCAGATGGAGATGGGGTAGGGAGAGAAGTCAAGGTTTTCCCACTACACTAACCCTGTGGGGCTACAGTTTTGAAGTGGCTCCTTCCCCTGTCAATGGCCACAGCTCTGATCCTTCCCTTCTGTTGATAGCTGGTGGTGCTTTACTGTCTCTTGTTGGTTCCTTTATTCCTGCCCACATCTGTCTGTAAATGGTCCTTTCATTAAACTTTATTTTCTCAAAGCCTTGATTGTATGTCTTCCTGCAAAGGACCCAACTAATACATCTCATATCTATATGGATAGTTTCATTATGGATTTCAACAGAGAGGAGAGCACAGTATATCCATTTTACTATAGCCTTCCCATTTACCTTTTCCTCCTCTCCCTACATGCCACAAATCTAGGAGGGATGGGCTGTCCACTTATATTTATAATATATGTATCTCTTGCATCATATCTTAATTTCATTTCTTATGGTTTAGAATACAGTTCAATTTTCAATCTTCCACCTTAATGTGCCAATGAGATACTAAAGAATTGAGAAAATCCATTTCTCTCTCAAGAATGTCTCCTCTTAAGACCATAGCCTTGATAGGTCACGAAAAACAAAAATAAGACAATAACTAATTTAAGACTCAAATTAAAGTCGTATGTCATTGTTGTGGTTGGTAACTGCCTTTTTTTGCCTGCACGTTATTTCTCATGACTTCAAGTTACAGAGAAACATAATTTACCTGAGAGAAAGGAGAATACATCTGTTTAATAATTTAATATTATCTGTACTAATTGGGCTAGAGATAGAAGATTCTTTACGGGGTCCACTAACCTAACCTCTTATTTTACAGATACAGATGTGAGTAAAAGGGTAACATTCTTGGGATAAGCAGAATAATAACCCCCAAAGATGCCCATGCCCTAATCTCCAGAACTTGTCACTATGTTAGATTACACACCCAAGGGAAATTAAGAATTCAGGTGGAACTAAAGTAGCAACTTGAATCTACTTCCCTTAAAAAGGGAGATTATCCCGGATTGTCTACAAGACCCAATATAATCACCAGAGTCCTTAAAAGTAGAAGAGAGGCAGAATAAAGAGAGAGAAAGATGGCACCATGAGAAGGACTTGGTCAGATGTTGCTGACTTTGAAGATGAAGAAACGGACATGCAAGCCTTCTAGAAACCAGACAAGGCAAGGAAATGGAATGTCCCCCAGAACCTTCAGAACAGAGACTCATTGACACCATGATTTTAGCCTAGTGATACCCATCTTTGGATTTTTTATCTCCTAAATTGTAATTGTTGCCATTATATGGTAATTTGTTACAGTAGCAAAAAGAAACTAATACCATTCCACACCAAATGTCCTTATGTCTTCAGAGTTTCAATCCATAATTATCTATTGAGCATCTTCTATGAGCCACGCACTATGCCCAACACTGGCACAGTGTTGTCAACAAGAAATCAGACAGATGTAGTTCCTCCCCTCTTAGGTCTTACAGTCTGGTGGAGGAAGACAGAGTTAAATAAGCATTAACTTTAAAGTAGGGGAAGTGCATTAAGCTATGGGTCACCTAGCAGGCTGAGTGAACAGGACGGACTGGGAACGGTTTCTGGAGGAGCAGCTATTTCATATTGAA
The DNA here is from genome assembly GCF_000001405.40 of Homo sapiens. Taxonomy (NCBI): domain Eukaryota; kingdom Metazoa; phylum Chordata; class Mammalia; order Primates; family Hominidae; genus Homo; species Homo sapiens. Next base: position 119,039,271 of record NC_000008.11, on the reverse strand, counting down.
AACTGCAGGGTAAGTAGTGAATCAACCCTGGGTTTGTGGGTGGGATTGGGAATTGAAGCATGAGGGACTAAAGCGGAAGAAAGAGCATGTTCCAGAATAAAAAGGAAAGCTCTAGAGCACCCCCAAATGAAGGTTCTGCATGGATGGAATGAAGGCTTAAGAGAGAACATGGTGAGAGATGGGGCTGTTGAATGTGAGCAGGGGGATTCATGCTACAGACTGTGAGCCCTGATCTTGTAGAAACAGAATTTGATGGTACCATTTAATGCTAATAGTAAGACAATTACTAGTATACATATTTAGTCATTCATATTGTAATTCTATGTATAATAGTAATTAGGTGGTCATGGAAATTGGCAAAAAATTTCAAAAAAAGGCTAATGTGACTGGAGCCAAGTGGGAGAAGGGAAGAGAGAGGCATTAGAGGGGGCTGTAAGACTAGGCAGAGTCTGATGAAGGTGGGAAACTGCTCTACCATCCACGGGTGTTGAGTAAACACTGAAAACAGGTTCACTTGTGAATGAAATACTGGCAATTGTTCCAAAAGAGGGAACTTCACAAATGAATGACAGTGATAGATTCACAGGTGTTAGTTACATTACCATTTAGATACTACATCTGTTGGTTTAAATACATTTCTAAAACAAGTTCAAATGCCAACTTATATAGAAGAATGGGGAGCAGAGTAAATGCATATCAACTTTTGTGTTTTGTTCAGTTGCTTTTTTAGTGTGTTTGAGAGAAACACCATGTAGTACTAAGATTAAATTTCCACATCCCAAGGATAAGAAAGTTTAAAAGAAGACTGTTTGTTCACACTATGGTCTTCCCTTTTTCCAAAATTACAATAAATTCCTTAAACCATTCATTTAAATTCACTGTCCCATCCTTTGACTTTAACCAGCATGCAATTTTTGATATTCTTAAGGGAATGGGCTAAAGCAAGGAAAGTAAATATTTTACCAAGTATCAGTGAATTTACTGTGTATATAATCCCATTACATTCTCCCAGTAGTCTCAAGAAGTTGAATAATGCTCAAGGTTATCATGCTAGAAACGGCAAAGCTGTGATTTGAGCCCAGGTTGATCTCATATCAAAGCCCAAGTTTATTCTATCTTACTATGTTGATTTTCATGCTCTGTGTTCAGCAACAGCAAATAGCGAGAATCAACTTTCTTGCTGCTTCTCCAAAGTGTAAGGATGTATCAGGCACAGCCTAGAGAAGGAAAGAAGAATGTTGAACTCCTGAATAAATTCAGCCTCTATTTATTGAGCCTCTATTATGTGTCAAACTCTGTGTTTGTGAATAGCATGATGCAAGAGATAGGGTCCAAGCCCTTTAGGCAGTTAGACAACAAAAGTTTATATTTAATATAATCATTCAAGAAAAAAGTACAATTAGATGGAATTATTGCTTTTATAGAATGAATGTCAACCAGATCTAAAGCAAACTTTAATGAATAATAGCCTAGATTTACACGAACAAAAGAAGAGAAGGCACCACAAAGTAAGTGCATAGGATGCACAGGTGCTAGAGATTATCAACTTAGGGTTCAGAAAACTTGGTGGAGAGCAGAAATGGAAACCTCCCATAGACTAGAAGGTCATTTAAATATCTGGAATTTCTCTCATCACTCATGTTCTTTATGTGGGTAAAACTCACATACCTGAGACTGAGCATAGGAGAACCCATTAGAAAAGCAGAGCTAAGTATGGCTTCAGCTCTAGGGCTGGGATCTCATGAAGACACAAGAGTCCAGTCATTCTCCAGAAGGAAATTTCCCATGTTTTGTGTCATACTATCAGTGCTGAATAACTTGTTAATGATGAAGACACTGGCATAGACAGGAAAAAAAAAATATCAAGTTTAGAAATAAACTTTTTTCTGGCATATACTTATTTATTCTTACATGTATTTAGTAACTATGAATGAATTTCATATGTGTCAGGCACTGTTCTGTGTTCCGTAAAAGTGTGATGAATAAGTTAGACATGGTCCTTCATATCAGACAGCTTACAAAATAGAATAATTAGAAAATGGACAAAATATTATAGTATCAAAAGAAAGTATAGATTCTGATCTTAGAGATGTATGAAGATTGTATGGGTCCTTCTCTGGTTTGGGATGGGTCATTCTTGAAATCAGAATGATAGACATAATCTCTGTGTTGGGATCCTTTGGATTTTTTGCCCCTTCAGCTCTGCTCTTCACACTTTTTAACCATCCTCTTTGCCTTGGGAAGCTGACCAATACGAAACTCATCAAAAGGCATGTGCTCTGGCTTCTGCTTGGTTTTAGCCAACGGGAAGCCCCAACAACATTGATGTCTGAGCCCTCTACCTACAGCTACTGCTTCTCTCCAGGTGACCTTCTCACATGGCTCCTTTTGAGGTTCAGTATTTGCTCCCTCCTCTCTCCATTATAGCTTGAGGTGGTAACAGTTCAGTTACTATTTTCTAGCTCCAGGTTATTCCTCTATTCCTTGGGTTTCCCCTGTGTCTGCCTGCATCTTTTTAAATAGTCCCTTTGTAAATGACTCTTCCTTAAATGGTCTTAATTTGAGTGTATCTTCTGTTTCCTGTTTGGACCCTGACTAAAATAACCCCTTTGTTGTATCCCAAGTTTCTATCCTTAATTTACTTATTCTGCTAACATTGATAAATACCATACCCTCAACCAGCTGTAAAGGAAGGTACACAGATAGATGTAATATAATATTAATACATGCCTAATAAACACTGTCACATACTCTTAGAACTTATATCTGTCAAAATGTTCAATATACTTACTATTGGATTCGGCAATTGCATAACAATAATTTACACTGTTTCTTACAATATATATTATAATGAGACAGAGAAATCACTGGTTAAATATATTATGGCACATCTAAACAACTGAGTGGCATGCAGATGCCAGAAAGATCTGTGCATGATCATTGAAAAGTCTCCAAGATATACTAAGTGAAAAATCAAAGTACTCAACAGTACGTTTTGTACCTGTTTGTGTAAAAGAAATAATATACATATAATTAAGTCTGTACATAAAATTTGTTTTTTTAAATTTCTTCTTGGATAAACAGGAAAAGAAATTTTGAAATGGATATTCTTGGGGAGAGATGCTAGAGAAAGAAGATTGTTCTCATTCTTTTAACACTCTGTGTCTGTTTTGTTTTTTAAAACCGTGTGCTTGAATTAATTTTATTAAATATAAAAACATAAACAAATAGAGATGTAATCTTATACCCCTATTTTGCTTAGCCTAATAGAGGAGGTCTGATTTCCAAAATAGTGGTCATTCAGAGGAAGTAAAAAAACTCCCTAAAACAAATATAAGAAACAACACTGGTACCTTAAACAGCATAACTTGAGAAACTTGAAATGGGAACATCTTATTCCACTTATTTCACATGAAAATCTATTGAAACTGACTTCAAAAGCCGAACCACACATCCTTGATAGCTACCAGGGTCCTGTTAACATAACCGCTGCTTGTTTCTTATTATTTTAAAAATACAATTATAACTGGAAGGCCCAAAACCATGTAATTGTCAACTAACTTTTGGAAAATGCAAATGGTTTGCCCAGAGTTTAAAGGAAGGCCACTCCTACCTTCTCTGAACTCTGTGGTGGTCTTTGGATGCAAAATGACTGAGTTGGGGCAATCCTCAAAGATGAACCAAAGAAGAAAATTGTCTTTTCAGGAAAGGTTTTCTGTGGACATCAAAGGTCTCTGAGAAGGGATCTGTATAACACTATTTCTTTTTCCCAGAATTTATTGGCATCCTTCCAAGGTTTTTCACTGGAAATTAGCATCTTCATGTATCCAGATAGGATTGATATCTAAGCTCAGCAGGGTCAGCCATTTTTGGGCAAAGTATATTAATATGCTGTTCATGCCTCAGGCATTATTTTATTAGGTTAGCACAGTTTCATATGTCTTCTTCCTACATCGGCTTTTCACAAATAATCATAGATAGCAGATATTCCTGAAAGTACATAAAAGAATGGCTGATGCACGTATAAAGCCATCTTGAGCTCAGATTTCCTCCAGAAGAATTCAAATCCTAAGCTTTATAATATCTGAGAGAAACTTTTAGTGCACAAACATATTGCATTAATTATTTTTCATTCTGTTTGCAAATTGATGCAGCATGTGTGGCTGTTGTTACGATGTGTGCTGTAAAGAGGCTAAACATTCAAGGTAGAAGAAAGTGTTGTATAGATGGTCTTGCCCAATGAACAGGGAATATTACCCTATTAGTATTGCCGCTAACTCAGAATACTCGTCTTTGCTATTTTTGGACATATGATTAGTTGCCGTTTACTAAACTTCAGGCAGGCATTAGACTAAATACCTATATTATTGCATTTAAACTTTGTGACAACCCTATGAAATAAAGATTTTGATTCCCATTTACAGATGAGAAATGGAGGTTCAGGAATATTATCTGGAATCACACAGCTAGTAAGTGTCAGAATCAGTATTCTGACTTCAACATTTATGTCTTTTCTTCTAAGTCCCAAGAGTAAGACTAACATCATAGTTTTGTTTGTTTTTTGAGATGGAGTCTCACTCTGTCACCCAGGCTGGAGTGCAGTGGCGCGGTCTTGGCTCACTGCAACCTCCGCCTCCTGGGTTCAAGCAATTCTCTGCCTCAGCCTCCCAAATAGCTGGATTATAGGCATCCGCCACCACACTTGGCTAATTTTTGTATTTTTAGTAGAGATGAGGTTTCACTATCTTGGCCAGTCTGATCTTGAACTCCTGACCTTGTGATCCACCCGCCTTGGCCTCCCAAAGTACTGTGATTACAGGCGTGAGCCACCGCACCTGGCCTTTTTTTTTTTTTTTAAATACTGTAAGTTCTGGGATACATGCGCAGAATGTGCAGGTTTGTTACGTAGGTATACATGTGCTGGTTTGTTACATAGGTATACATGTGCCATGGTGGTTGGCTGCACCCATCAACCTGTCATCTACATTAGGAATTTCTCCAAATGCTATCCCTCCCCACCCCCCATCCTCCAATAGGTCCCAGTGTGTGATGTTCCCCTCCCTGTGTCCATGTGTTCTCATTGTTCAACTCCCACTTATGAGTGAGAACATGTGGTGTTTGGTTTTCTGTTCCTGTGTTAGTTTGCTGAGAATAATGGTTTCCAGCTTCATCCATTTCCCTGCAAAGGACATGAACTCATCCTTTTTTATGTCTGGATAGTATACCATTGTGTACATGTGCCACATTTTCTTTATCTAGTCTATTTATTGATGGGCATTTGGGTTGGTTCCAAGTCTTTGCTATTGTGAACAGTGCTGCAATAAACATACATGTGCATGTGTCTTTATAGTAAAGTGATTTATAAACCTTTGGGTATATATCCAATAATAGGATTGCTGGGTCAGATGGTATTTCTGCTTCTAGATCTTTGAGGAAATGCCACACTGTCTTCCACAATGGTCGAACTAATTTACACTCCCACCAACAGTATAAAAGCATTCCTATTTCTCCAGAACCTCTCCAGCATCTGTTATTTCCTGACTTTTTAAATGATCACCATTCTAACTGGCATGAAATGGTATCTCATTGTGGTTTTACTTTTGTATTTTTCTAATGACCAGTGATGATGAGGTTTTTTTCATGTTTGTTGGCTGCATAAATGTCTTTTTTGAGAAGTGTCTGTTAATAACCTTGGCCCACTTTTTGATGGGATTGTTTTTTCTTGTAAATTTGTTTAAGTTTCTTGTAGATTCTAGATATTAGCCCTTTGTCAGATGGATAGATTGCAAAATTTTTCTCCCGTTCTATAGGTTGCCTTTTCACCTGATGATAGTTTCCTTTCCTGTGCAGAAGCTCTTTAGTTTAATAAGATCCCATTTGTCAATTTTGGCTGTTGTTGCCATTGCTTTGGTGTTATAGTCATGAAGTCTTTGCCCATGCCTACGTCCTTAATGGTATTGCCTAGCTTTTCTTCTAGGGCTTTTATGACCAAAGCAGTCACTTAAAAAAAAAATTATCTGAAGAAAGTGAATTACTAAAAAGCCCTAGTAACTTGCCTGTGGCTGAAATCAGCCAGCAGTTACAACCCCAATGTAAAAGACCAAAGTTAGAAAGTGCTGTTACGTTCAGCCCCATGCCCTCCACACCCCCATTTGCAGCTTGAAAAGACCCTAAGTGGGTTTTCTTTTCCAAATCTTTACTTAGAAAGGCTTTCACTCTATCATATTTGCACAGCCTAACTACAGCGTAAAAAAGAGATGGAAAAATTCGAGAGAGCACATCAAAAAAAGCCCGTTTCTGAATTATTTTAAAATGCAGACAATGGCCAGGAAGACCTCTGGTTTGTTTTGGTTTGGTTTGGCTTTATTTTGAGATGGAGTCTCACTCTGCCGCCCAGGCTCCGGTGCAGAGGCGCGATCTCAGCTCACTGCAAGCTCCGCCTCCCAGGTTCATGCCATTCTCCTGCCTCAGCCTCCCAGGTAGCTGGGACTACAGGCGCCCGCCAGCACGGCTGGCTAATTTTTTTGTGTTTTTAGTAGAGATGGGGTTTCACCGTGTTAGCCAGGGTGGTCTCAATCTCCTGACCTCGTGATCCGACCTCCTGGGCCTCCCAACGTGCTGGGATTACAGGCATGAGCCACCGCGCGGGGCAGAAGGCCTTTGTTTATGAGAGAACAAGATCTTCCTTCTCCACAGAGATGGTCCTCATTCCTCCTCTTGTAAAGAGATGGGCAATAATCTAAACAACTCCTTAGGCTGAGTACAAAACCATGGCCTGTAGAATTTCCAGTGGGCCTTTAACGAATATATGAATTGAACCAAAGATCACACTGATTGGGTGACTGTTTTCCTTTTGGTGATGTGACTGTCCTCTCAGTACACTGTGTGGATCTGTCACCATATCCCTTTGCACTCAGAATCACTACCAGAATGAACACTTCGTAATGCACAAAAACCGTAGAATAGCAAAGTTTGAAGGGGCTACACAGGTCTTTAATTTCAACTTCTCCAATTACTTCTGCATTAGCAACCCACCCCTCAACTTATATTTTACAGATAAGGGTGATGTGACTATTGACTCACCAATAAATAAGTTAGGAGTGTAAAAGACTGTAAACCAGATTCACGGATTTCCAATACTCTGTTCTTTGCACAAAATAAGATGACCTCAAATTGAGTCCTGACTAACCTCTTGACAGTGAGTAATCAAACTCTGAAAGCCTCAATTTTCCCGTCTGTAAAATGGGGAGAATACTGGTATTTACCTCACAGGTTTTTTGGTGAAGCTTAAATGAAATTATGCCTGTGAAGAGCTTAGTGCAATGCTTGCTACACAAAAAGTACCAAATTAATTTTAGTTACTATTTTATTAAGGCACTATTTTCCAAATTAAGGTCTCATTCTTTAAGATGTGACATTAAGTTACATTTATTTCTACAAATTTTCATTGCAAGTTGAATTAAGGTCAAGTAAAACTTAATAGAAATCTATAAATAATTATTCCTTCCATTTATCCTCCTTTGAACTAATTATTAAATTTAACACAATCAGAAAAGAATTATGGATAACCAGGATAGAGGTTTGCACTAAGATATAGGGGAATGGGAAAGTATTCTGGAAATGGTCTTGTCTTTCACCCTACTTACTATGCTCTTTCAGCTGCATGTTCCTTGCCAATCATCAGCATCACAATTCACTAACTGATTTACTTAAGTCAGAAACACAATTCTGTTTTCATGACACTATCTTATTTGGTAATTAACTTCTACTTGTTCTTCAAGACTCAGCCCAGGTTCTACCACCTGCCAGGTGGCTTCCTCTGTGTCCAACACCACCCTATTCTCATTTCCCTTATCTCATTACCTTGAATTCTACATACTTCTATGATCATATGTTATTGTGAATATTTTACTTGTCTCTTTCCTCCTGTAATTGTCATTTTCTTGGCCAGAGGGTTGATGTGTTCTTCTTATTGGTAACTCCATGTCTACCCAATACCTGACAGATAGGGTGTACACGACAGATTTAACAAATGCAAACCTCCCTGACTCTTGTGACTGAGAATCATTCACTGCCACATGATATTTCATTTGGTCTATGTACTTCAGAGACGGAACTTTGTAGAAAGCTCCATGTACCCTTAGAGGAAGGATAGGTTTTTATAACCATAAAACAGCATTTGTACAACCACAATTCCAGAGACGTTTAATCTGGTTTGGAATATGATGTAACACTGGCATCACTCTACATCTTTTCTTTCAAAGAATATGTTGGACCTTTAGATATGGTTTCCATCTGAGATGATTAGAGTCCAACAGAGTGTGATACTGTTAGATAATGTCTATCCCTCCATCAGAGTCATCAGTGGGATTTTGAAATCTTCATATAAAATACAGGATGGATAATTATAAGTATTTTTGCACATAATATCTCAGAATTTTAAGGGGCAGGGTAGTAATTGTCTTTAATATAAGACATGCCTTCCCATGATCATCGTTTTATGGAAAGTTATTAATGGATGGAACCACATTTTCTTAAAAATTTTCAAAACAATATGTGTCAAGTGTTATTCTAAGCTCACTGCATGCATTGACTCATTTAATCTTCCCAACAATGTCAGTGAAGTGACTGCTGTTATGACCTCCATCTTAGTGATGAAAACTGAGGCATGTGGAGGATAGGCAACCTGTTTATATTCACATGATGAGTCAGTAGTAGAACCAGGATTCACACTTCAGAGCAAGCCACTGCAAAGTACTAACACACTTTTAGTAGAGACGGGGTTTCACCATATTGGCCAGGCTGGTCTTGAACTCCTGACCTCAAGTGATCTGCCCACCTCAGTCTCCCACAGTGCTGAGATTACAGCATGAATCATCATGCCCAGCCACACCAACACACTTTTATACTGTGGACTAAAGTATATTTTTAATTTAAAAACATTTGTTATATTACAAATATTGAAATATTAGTGATATACTATTAAATATTGAAAATTATCTATGGCTTAAAATTATATTCTTATTGGAGTAAAAACATAATGCCCCAATCTACATACCTGATATTCCTATAAAAGTCTTTTACAATTGATGACCACAATTAAGATATTTCCATAGTACCCAACCACGTGGCTTTACTCTTTTACACCTTTAACAATCTCTAGTCTGCACTGTAACAAAGAGGGAGATATGTGGCTCCAGGCAACTAATAATCTGCAGGGGACTTCGGCTTTACAGGGACAGGCCAAAGGAGGATGAGTAGGGACATTTTCCTACTCTATCCCTATTCCTGCAAACTACATACATATATAGTTAAGGAGACACTTTTAGAATTTCTTGAGACATAATAACAGTAGGCTTCCTGGTCAACCCATGCTGCTAACTATGGTTTTATATAGGCTTGTTTAGAGCTAAAGGGACCACAAAGATTTCCCATCAATTAACAAGGGCATGGAGAATGCTTAAAGTAGTAGAAACACCATTTGTCTTATACTTATTCTTTATTCTTGACTTCAAGTCACTTTATGTAGAACTATTTGTGTTTTCAATGAGATTAAAAGTTCCTTGAAACTAGGGAACAGGTCCCTATTTCTTTTCCATTGCCCTCAGGATGGTTATAACCCAAAGCACATGAATTAGACCCAATGAGAGGTACTTTATTAGGTGATATACCCACCTTTGCGAGGCAAAACTGCTCCATCTAAACGTGAGTGTGATGGACAAGATGACTCCAATAGGTTTCTTTACACTTATTGTTTTGTGTGTGTGTGTGTCTGTATATAATCACATAGTCCTTATTATCATAATACCTACGGTCCTGACTCCTATTATCTCCTATTTTCATATAGCATAATACCCATGTCTTGAAAGACAAAGAAATAGTGAATGGAGATCCAGATTCAGAGACTGAAGACTTGATTGTCCAGATTGCTGATCGTCTCCCAGATGATTGTGCTGGCTTCAGCTTTTGCCTTTTTATAATCTAATATCCACGAAGAAGTCAGAATGGCCTTTGCAAAACGAAAATCTGATGATGTTACTCCCGCACTAATTAAGTTCCTCCTGCTTCAACTCTCACATACCCTTGCATAAAGTCTAAAGGCTTAATACAGGTTAGAAATCCCTTTGGGAACCCTGTGCTCTGAACCACTGTGGCATGACTCCCCGCAGCTAGTGAGGTGCCCCTGTTACATGTTGCACATTCCCTGCGAGAGGACTTACCCCATTGACTGTCTTTGCTCAGTGCTGTAACAGTCATCTCCCTAATGACTGTAGATTTTGTGAGAGCTGGAGCCACATTTCCCTTTATTCATCTTTGAATTACTTGCATCTAGCACCATTAACATGTAGTAGATGCTCAACACATAATTGTTGAATAAAGTAATGAATAAATGAACAAATACCATTAATTACTAGTTACCACTGTTAACTAGCCATAGTGATTTTTATTCTTGTCAGCAAGGGAAAATAATGTTTACCTACCTAAGATGACATGACCACCTATTAATTAACCTTTGAAACAGCCTTCACATAGATTATGGAGCATTTTCATTTTAGAAAACATATAATAACCCTTTACAGGATATGGCTTGACTGTGTCCCCACCCAAATCTCAACTTGAATTGTATCTCCCAGAATTCCCATATGTTGTGGGAGGGACTCAGGGGGAGGTGATTGAATGATGGTAGCTGATCTTTCCCGTGCTATTCTCCTGATAGTGAATAAGTCTCACGAGATCTGATGGGTTTATCAGGGGTTTCCTCTTTGGCTTCTTCCTTATTTTCTCTTGCTGCTACCATGTAAGAAGTACCTTTCACCTCCCACCATGATTCTGAGGCCTCCCCAGCCATATGGAACTGTTAAGTCCAATTCAACCTCTTTTTATTCCCAGTCTCGGGTATGTCTTTATAAGCAGCATGTAAATGAACTAATACATTATATTTATGTGTCTTTTACACTTGACATTCACTTTTCCCAAAAGTCTGTCCTTTATACTCCTGTGCAATTTCAATGTAATATATGATATGTATCAAATCTTTCCTTAGCTATTTATCTAGCAGTTATTCATTTAATATGCCAGACACACTTCTAAGATGCCAAGAAACAAAGATGTATAAGACAAGGCTCCTTCTCCTGAGGACCTTGTACTAAATGGGGGAGACAAGTAGGTGAATACAATAACCCTTATATCTGCTAAGAACTGAGTACATGCTTTGTGAATTTTGAGTGCATTCTCTCATTTAATCCTCACACAGATCCTTGACACAGATCCTTCAAGGTAAGCTGAGAAAATTAAGGGTGAAATTAGGCAATAAGGCTACTACACTAATGTGAACTGAGTTATGATTTAAACCCAGAACTTTCCAATTCCAGAGTTCAATGAACCACATTATAATACAAGTTGTTAAGTGTTTTAGCCAAAATTTGAATAGAAGAGGCAAGGTAGCATCGAGGAGAGAGGGAGTAATTCTTCCATAGCCAAAGAAACGAACATCTGAAGGTGTTAGTGCACTCAAAGACATAAGTCAGAGGAAGGTTCATAGAAAAGAAGATATTTTAACTGTGCAGAGAAGTTAAACTCACAAAACAATTGGTCAAGGTCCCAGAGCAATGCAAAAGCCTGAGAAGATGAGTTCAAAATAATTAGCTGTTGCTGGAGAATTAGCTACATATAAGGAAGTGGCAAAAGAAAAAATTGTTGTCCCTCTGAAAAGCAAATGTGTACTTTGTCTTATTGGCTGTGGAATTTTAAGGAGGAAACTGATGACTGGATTTGAATTTGCATAAAAGATCACTAGCTATTTACAAAGGATTATTTGGAAGGAAGAAAGAAAAATAAATAAATAAAGACATAATCCAGATGACAGCATACAAGGATCTGAACTAGGGAAATATCATTGAGACTAGAGAGGGGTCATGAATATGAAATATATATAAAAGAAAAACTTAATAAAATGTATGAATTAAATGTGGGCATCAGTCTAGGAGAAGTCCAAGGTTATATCTTTTGATATAGGTTAAATCTGTTGAATTTATCTCCATGCACCATTTTATTTTCCCAGGTGTCTTGAGTGACTAAGGAATAACACAACTGATTGGGCACTTACTATATGATAGACATTGTTTTAAGCAATCACAACAAACCATGTGATATATATATACTATTGTTATTCCTGTTTTATAGCAGTGGAAAGTGAAGCACAGGAAGATTAAATAATTTTTCCAAGGATATCAAGCATTCATCCCAAGGTGTGACAGTCAACCCAGACTCCCTTTAGGACCACAGCATATTTCCCTAATATCTGGCTGTGCTCCTGCCTTCAGCCCCCAGCAATCAGCCTCATTAGAAGTCACATTGCCCAAAGTCATGCTCCCCTTCCCAGGGGCAGCCTACAGCCAAAAATTGATAGATGCAAGTTTGCAAAGGTATGGCTTTCTCTCTCCAGCTTCAGGCAACTCTGAAAGTTTATCCCAGCTTCAGCTTCAGACATCCTCATAAGATTGGCTTTGTTGGATGTTCCCACGGCCAACTTCCCTTTTTGCCCAAACCTGATTTCTTCCCTAACCCCCACAGGTGTTGATCTCAACAGCACTATTTAGTAAACATCCTACAAACTATTCCCATTTTCAGAGTCTGTTCTCTGAGAATCCCATCCTTAAGAGCCACCAAATGGCAGAGCTACCATTTGAATCCAGATGTACTGATTGTATAGAGCTAAAACCATGGTTGTTTTTGTTTTTGTTTTGAGATAGGATCTTGCTCTGCAGCCTCAACCTCCTGAACTCAAGCAATTCTCCTGTCTGAGCCTCCCAAGTAGCTGGGATTGTAGGCACGTGCCACCATAATTGGGTAGTTAATTTTTATTTTTATTTTATTTTTTAGTGGAGATGAGGTCTTGCTATGTTGCCCAGGCTGGTCTCAAACTCCCGGCCTCAAGCAATCCTCTGGTCTTGGTCTCCCAAAGTGCTAGGATTACAGGCATGAGCCACCATGACTGGCTTTGTCACGATTTTAAACACTTTTCTATGTAGCTTCCCAAAATCAAAGAACTTAGGGCAATGCCCAGTACTGCAAAAATTATTCATAAAAGGACAAATTATGACTCCTACTTTTTGTATTAATTCATGATACAGGATAGTCATTCAATAAAAATGTACTTAAAATGAAAAGAACTGAGAAAATGTTGAACCAGTTACTGTGAAAGTCAAGGGAGGAGAAAGTTTCAAGAAACAGAAACTAGTCAATCACATCAGGTATTGAGAAAAGATAAAATAGAAGAAAACTAAAAAGAGTTCAACGGCTTTGGTGATAGGAAGACATGAGCAATCCAAGTGAGTTGTTGATGTGACATGATGCAGGCATAAACTAAATTGCTGTGTTATAGTGAGAATCTAGAGATGAGGTGTGATTGTAAATTATGCCATCAATAATCCTGGCTTTCAAGAAAGCTCAAATGGAGTCTTGATGTTTTCTAACATTGCCTATTTGTCAAGGTAAAATTGGGGCTATACCTGCTGCATGTACACAGAGAACCTAGAGCAATATGGTTGCAATAAATCCTTAGCAAACATCTAAACCCATTTACAGAATATCTTCTCCTTTCTCAAGAACTGGAGGTTCCCAAAAGGGAATTCTCAAATCCCACACTGTGATGTGGTCAAGCCTCGCGCTTAGTCACTTTGTGCCTGGTGTCCACACTGAAAATTTTTTGAAGACCAAGGTTTTTCTTAAAGCTTGCCCTGCCATTACACTATGAAGAACACCAGGAACTGTTTCAGGTAAGAAGTTCCTGACCTAAGGCCACAGGGGTGGGTGGCCCAGGGGAATTAACCACAGAGAGTGTTTCCCACGAACCCACAGAGCACAGAATCCATTTCTGAAATACTGGTGCTCCTCTGTGCTTGTTTATTCTTAGCAGAGTGCAGTACCAAGCGTTATGTAATAGAGGCAATAGCAGCTAAGGCTTTAAAAAATAATCTCTGCGGTAAGTCTAAAAGCAAATGTTGAAGACTGGAACATTTCAGATTTTCCACTCAGTGGATTGAATTGCCAGATTCTTCAGTATCCCTTTCTTTCCATTTAGTTTTAGAAAGCAAAGATCAAATGCATGAACTTGCAGTCAATTTCAACATTCTGGAAGGAATAGACTGTAGATTTGAGCTAGAGGCCAAGCTCTGAAAAACGGTACTGTGTAGACACAAATATGTGTTACTGGAATTATATGAAAGTCTTACAGAAAGTGGGATCTTTTTGTTAGTTATGATAATCCATGTAAATTCCCAGCTCATTGTAACTGGGTGGAGGGAATTACAGGTCTATTATCTTGCCCGGATCTCTTCTGGTTTAAAAAAAGAGTCATACGAGAACTAAATCAATAAATCCTAAATCCCCTTTCAATTGCCTTTGAACCATTTATAGCAGATGTAACTTTTATTCTGCAAAACTTGGAAGCAAGGAACATCATATTATTCTCTTTCTGTAAGTCAGATGACTTCTCCTGAGGCCTTCATGTTTCTGGCAAAAGTGAAAAAAATGTATCCAGTCTTTAATATGGCACTTCCTCTTGGGTATTATATAAGAAGAGTAGACATGTCATGTCATCTGAACATTCAATGAAGGGTCCTCTGCCCACTGCCCTCAAAGGCAGGTGGCTGCACACTGTCATAGATGTGTGGTGTGTGTGTGTGTGTGTATGTGTGCATATATGTGCATACATGTATGCATATGTATGTGTGTGTTTGTGTGTTGGTTGGGGGTGATTCTACCATGAGGACTGGGTCTTGAAAATCAGTGTTCAGCATCCCAAGATGCTCCATGAACCCCCATTCTCATCTGAGGTCATATACATAACTTATGCCTTATAAGGGGACTCACTATAAGAAAACTACTGAAATCTCATCAGTTCCTGTCACTAGGAAATCTCTAAAAATAATTTTAAAGTACGTTTTTTTCCTATTTTATTCCACTTCCACTTTTCACAATCCTTAAAGCCTTTCTTCAAAAACGGCAAGAGCGAAGGCCTCAAGGAATGTTCTATGAATGGTACCCATCAACTTTGTCTTTCTTCAAGGTACCCATCTAGGTACTCATCAACTTTGTCTTTCACCAAAAGCATACTGCCACCTCCTACCCAACCAGAGGAGTGGAAACACAAAATTTAAGGCACTTTTTCTGAATGAAAGACTGAAAAACTGAGAACACTGCAAATTTAATATCTAAACTGTACCCTATACTCTTTACCTCCCAGCCCTTATTACATTGGCATGTAAACATGTATCTGCCAAATGGAACTATCTAGAAGGAATATACATGCGTATGAGGTTTTGATTTGCAGTGCCTGTCTCTGGACAAAAGCAGCTGGTGTACAGGACTACCATGCACCCTTCTAAAACCAAAACACGTGCTTTTGCACCATTAAAAATCCTGCTTTTGCCCATTAAAAAAATCTATTCCTCTGATTTCAAATGATGGCATACAATTGTAGCTTTCATAGAATGCATTGTCAGCAAATAAGTTGATTGAAAAATAGAGAATGAATGTTGTTTTTAGCTGAAACATTTAATGATGGAGATTAAAAACTATAACAGAAACAATGCCATTGTTCTGTTTTACTTACTGTTATTCACTCTTTCAACATAACTAAAATTTAAAATCAGAATATTTTTTAAATGTCAAGGAAAGCACCAAGAAAGAACTAATATGAATAGTTACTGTGGTTAATGTGTTTAGAAACTAGAGGTTAAAATAAGTCTTTGGAACAAAGTTTTAGTTCTGTTGATTTCATTTCTCTTTCAATAGCTTGTACCTCTCTGCCTTTTTTTCCATATTAAAAGTATTCTATGCCAGGCTCTGTGCTTCTCTCTAAAGTTTCTCTTGAAATTGTCACTCTCAAAAATATCTGTATAAGGGATACCATACATTTATTATTCTACAAATGAGATACATACATGAAACAAATAGACATAAATCCTTTTATTCTTGGACTATATATTGGGGGAATGAATAAAGGATGAACAATAAATAGTAAATATAATAAATAAGTAAATTTTGTGGAATATAAAACAGTGATACAAGCTACAGAAAAGAATAGACAAGCATAAGTAAAATCAGAAAGCAGGCAGTGACGGACAATGTGTAATGTTAAATACAGTGGCCAGCGTAAGCTTGATTGAGAAGATAATATTTAAGCAAAGGCTTGAAGCAAGAGAGATATAAACCATGTGTATATCTGGGATAGACCAGGAATTACCACAGTTGCTTCCAGTGGAGTAAGTAAGCAGTGCAAAGACTCTCCAACAGGAGGTGTTTGTTGAGTAAGAGGAAGATCAAGGAGCTCAGACTGAGCCACAGAAAGACTAATAGGAAATGATGTCAGAGAGGATGGAAAACTGGGGTATGGAGGGCCTTGGGCAGATTTTCAAGATCTTGGCATTTACTTTCAGTGAGATGACAGCTACTGGAGGGTTTTTAACAGAAGAACCTGATCTGGCTTACATTTTAAAAGGATTACTGTGACTACTGAGCTGGGGAGGCAGCCAGTGGAGGGGACTGGGTATTATGCAAGAAGAGTAGAGGTTAGGAGGCTCCTGCAACAATCCAGGTGAGAGGTGAGTGCCCTTCATACAACAGTGGTAGAAGAGAAGGTGGGAAAAAGTCACTGGTCACTTTCTAGATCTATTTTGAAAAAAACAGGTCAAAATAATTTCCTGGGAGATTGGATGTGGGGTGTGAAAAAAATAAGTAGTCTTTCCTAACATCATTATAAGACAAAAATGATTAGCTCTCCTTTTTTTATCTTCCTTACTTTGGGCAGTTTCTCCTGCTTAGTATCGAGGTCATCTTTATGTAATGTTAACATACATTTCCCCTACCTTTTAAAAAATCTTTGGTGCTTCATTCATCACAGATTTATCAAGAAATAAACAAAGGATTGAGGCACAAATACTTGACTATGGGAGTGGCCTGTCTCCTTAAGAGAGGGTGCTCAGTCTCTTTGTTTTCTATTTTGCCCTCCTTAAATGATCTGGCCTGTGTTTAAATTATCACAGAACACATAGAATCCAGACTCTTTTCACAATTTATGTAGCTGATTTAATATACTTTTGATAGTTCTATAACAGTCCTGACAGTTACAGCTTTCATTTTTTTTCTAAAATATCAAGATATTGTATTTTGACATTGCTGGCAGAGAGGCTAGAGGAATCTTGGCATTTGAGTAAGAGGATTGCTAGAGGAAAGGCTACTGACTATAAAATGGTCTTGACAATTTTTTCCCTAAAGCCAGCTTTATGGGTAATAATTATGTTGTCTAACAAGTGTAGAGATGGCTTTTCTGTTGACCTGTTTCATATACATTCACTTACATGTAATCATTACAGAAAATCTGTGAATGATGTTGGCTGCATTGTACAGAGGAGCATATTGTCACAAGGAGCTTCACTAATTTCCCCCATGTCATACCACTGATAAATGACAGAGCCAAGCTCAAAATTGGTTTCAGATTTTGACTCTGGTCATCTTTTTACTACGAGGGCCAGGCTTGTTTCTTCTTGTTGGAGTTGATGGATCTAGAAAAAGACATTGAACCATAGAAGAACATTCCTCTATTTAACAGTGCTGCCAAGGATGGCTCTTCCCAAGAGCAAAAAGTGGTGTTGCTCAGTAAGTTCATAGGACTCTAAGGCCTTAACCCAAGATGCACACTCATTCAGGATGAAACACTGTCTATTCCATTCCTCTCCCCAGAAAGCCTTTGGCCTCTACCAGCTCCAGCAGTAGTAATTCCTGCCAGCTCCTACTGCACTGATTGTAGAGGACATGCATTCTCTGCTCCTAAACTGCATGAGACAGTCCCTGTCTTGGGCATAATTGTTGCTGTAGTTCATCTGCAGGGAGTCAAGTTCTATGATGAATGAGAGGACCTGTTTATGAAGTCTGCAGTGCTACACAGCCCTTTAAGAAATGTTTAAGTCATGTTAGCATAAATTTGGAAATAATTTGATACATGCCTTTTCACATGCTAGAAGAATAAACAATCACCATCTGCCTTTCCACAAAATAATATAAATGGAGCTAACATTATAGATTTAAATTGAGGCTGCTTCTAAAATTAGGGAAATAGAAGACACAAAATTTGCTCTCTCAGAATTTTATTGGTTTTTCAATTAACATTGAATGTTTGCTCCTTAAAATGTTGCTTACTGGATCACAAATGAAGTGTGTCAGTGAATAATAACTGACATCAATTTCTATATTCCATATATCATCTATAATGTTGAAATGACTGATAATGAGCAAGTCCTATATGTTTAATCACTCTTCAACTAAAGTAACATCATTAGAATATTGTACAGCATGAAATTCATGTGTATTTTTAATGATTCTAACATACATAAAATCCATTTTTAGATAAATTTAAATATAGCATAATAAAAGGGGTTATTTTCTTAAGAAGAACTAGGCATGTTGTAAATAATCACATTTAATTTAGCACAATTTTAGGAACTGATTCAACACTGACAAGCTTTTAGCCTTCAGGACATTTCAAGAGACTTATAATAAAAAAGTAAGTGGAATCTTTACTGTCACACTGATATTTGTGTCCATGATAATACCAGGTAACCATAGAAATTATTTGCTCAGTTAGCTACTTCCTGTCTTATCCTTATTGAATACATCTTCAGTGTACTAAGTTCATCCACAACTGGCGGGATACTACTAAGCTTGACTCTTAATCAGAACCTTAAAATTTAATCCCAGTACTCAGCAACCTTATGTACTAAGTGTCTGTGTACATCTACTAGGCAACCACAGTTACGAAACAAACCTGGAAACCAATTCTTTAGTTTTTGGAAAAGGCAAAAACCTCCAAAATGTTTATTTGAATAGGGAATATTTTATTGATGTATTCTAAGCACCTAAAACAGTACCTGGTAAACAGTTGGGCTCAAAATAAATATTTATTTAACGGTGGTTAAATGAATAGATGTTCTATTTTTCTTACCACCATTTCAATCATTTCAGCAAATGTGAGTGCCTTCCCTATGCTAAGCAATATACTAGGCCCTAGGGAACGTAGAATGAGGCAGAGCAGCAGAAACCCAGTTCACAACCTTGAATGTCTAGGGACTTGGTAGGCCAGGATAAAATGAGGGGAAAAAGGAAGGCCAGGCTATGAATAAGTCCTGTGTGATCATAGATGAGAAAGCTACTGCCTGCTCAGGGAAATCAGACAGAACTTCAAAGAGGAGACGATGCATGATCTGGACCTTGTGTGAGAGAAATATTGAGAAGTGAATGAAATGCCCCAGAATCAAATGTAAACTTGTATACTTTTTTTCTTCAAAAGTAAATTCTTGTTACTTTCATGAAGCCAGATGACATCACATTGAAATTTTAACTAGGCTGTTTAGCTTTATTAATTGTTTATTGGTATAGGCCTTCAAGTGAACAATATTTATTAAATGCTAGATGCTGTGCTTGATACTGGGTGTACATCATCATATGAGACGGCAATTCCTGCCCTAGTGGATTGACACTGTCGTGAGAAGGGCATGCATTAAAAATGCAATTGCTGTGGAATCTGGTTAGAGTAAGGAGTGGGGGAGGTTCAGCGGTGTGTCATGGATGTATAGAGCAGAGGCCTCTTACCTGGTCTGTGGGCTAGGAAGACCTCACACAGGAAAAGACTTTGAGGTTGAAACTTGGCAGATGACTGTGGACAATCGGGGAAAAATGGAAGTGGGGTGGTGGGGGCATGATGTGGAAACAAGGAAAGGACATTCCAGGAAGACGGAAGACCATGGGTGAAACCACCCACTCCCATAGGCTCCAAAGACGGATTTCTTGAGCATCTTCAAAATGTTTGGCTTCAAGAGCACATGGAATACAGATTTTCCTTCACTATCCCTCCCTTCCCTTCCTCCTGGGTCCCTTCAATACGGACTGCACTGACAGGCAACAGAGAACATAGGCTTCCAGTTTTCCGGTATTCTCCTCCCACTGACCCTGAATTTGCAAGCCACAGGTTTCTTGGAACTGTGAATATTGTTTCAACTCAAGCTAAAACTGGAGATGTGTTTTGAGTCACAGTGTGCAAGCATATTTATACCATCTGTTTATGACACTTACAGGTGGACACTATGATTCATTACACATACAACATGCTAAACATAGAAGCTTAGAAAATCCTGAGCTCTGGGAGTTGTTGGATGCGGGTAACTGCAGAAGGGGAAGATAGTAGGCATCTTTTCTTAGAATTTTATAGCTTTTTCAAACAAAATCCTTATCTTGACAAAAAGGCTTCGAGCATATGAAAATGGGAATGGAAGAAAGAGGGTAACAAAAGATTGTATACCACTGTGACCAGTTATGGAAGATTTCCCTGGGTACTGGGGGGATGTGTATGCCCATGTATGCACACATTAAATAATCGGAAAAGATTTACTACCTATGGAATCAGAATCACATAATCTCCATGCTAAAGGGAAGAATTTGGTTCTGAGACAATTACTTCTTTACTTCCAGTAATGTTTCTACATGATTTGGACTTTACAGTTTGTATTATACTCTTCATAGACAGGTAATTCCATAAATTAAAAAATCATATTAGGATCATCTGATTACACATCAACCTAAAAATCAAGTCACAAGACATATCCATTTTTTGTTTTCAGAAACTATTCCCCTATACATAAGTTAGGATTTCCATTGGCAAAAGTCAAAGCAGGCATCAGTTTATTTTGTATAGCTTAGCCAAATGTGCAAACTTTTAACAGCCCTGTAAATAGCAATAACTCTTAAAGTAGTTTCAATAAGCAAGCATCTCAAAGCCAAGCTGTCTGATGGGAACCTTTCCCCTTGGGGTAGTAGAAACATCCAAAAGAGTACAGGAAGAAAGAACTCACTGCTGTATTCAATTAGTTGAGAAACCATCAAAGTAAATAAGGCAATACCTTTAAGAACACACAGAAAAAGGAGTCAGTGAAGTAGAACAGATTAGAAGAAAAAGGAGAAGTCTGTTTTAGCTACCAAGTGACCCTAGGGGCGAAAGAATAATTTCTTCTTCAGGACACTTTTAGTAAAGGTCTCCCACTAAGATGGCGCAGTGCAAACAATTTCTTTTCATGTCTGTAGGGAACTAATGAAGTTTGCAGGAAATACAGGCAGAGTTTAATTCCAAACAAAGTACAGCAGGTCAGCTACTAGGAGCAACTTTAGAAATCTTTTGTCCCCTCCTAGAATAATAATGTTTTTGAAAATTCCCGATGGCTATGGGGTAAGTCCTTTACGTTTTAGAAATAAGACATAGCCCAGAGGAAAACTCATGAATTCGATGCCAAGTTTTGCCCTCCCTCAAGGTGGCTTTCACAGAATTCTCAGACTTCTTAAACAGCTAATAACACTTATCTCAGGAAGTTATTTTTAGCTATACATTGTTTAATAATTATTTATTGAGTCCTACTATGGGCCAGGATTTGTGTCATGCTGAACAATTAGGTTACCCAGATACATGAGGTTTGTGACTTCAAGATTAAGAGTAAGAAAAACACCAATAGATATTTATACAATTAATTATTTAAAATCACAGTGGTATGCATAGTGATGTAGGAGCTCCGAAGGGGTAACTCTGTCTGGAAGAAGTGATATATGACAGCAATTTCCAAAACACAGCTCTCAATAAGAGGTTAGTCAGTATGCTGTGTTCCTCAATCACATGTACTTGTGGAAGACATGGCTAGTCAACCCTTGCACTCATTCCCACAGAGCTGGTTTCAGCCTCAGAATCCTTCTCGACACAATTCTTCAAGCACCATCAATAAGTAAGAGCTGGTATGGAACCTACTTACTATCTGGCTCTCTAAAAATGCAAGGAGTTGTCATTACTATAGTCTTGAAAACAATTACCTGCTTAAATTGCTGATCACCAAAGGGTATCATTTTCTTGGTAGGTATTGCCTTATAATTAACAGTTCCTAAACTCACTCTCCAAACTCAGCAGTAGAGTGTAGTGGTTAAGCTCACAGTTTCTGGAACCACATGCCCTGGATTCAGATATCGAATCTACTAATCCCTAGCAATATATCCTCGGATACGTCACTTAGTCATTCTATGCTTCAGTTTCCTCATTTGTAAAAGTCCCAGTTTCCCATATGAAAAAAAGCTCATCATCAATGGTCATTAGAGAAGTGCAAATCAAAACCACAATGAGATAGCATTTCATGCTAGTTAGAATGGCCATTATTAAAAAATCAGGAAACAGCCAGGTGCGTGGCTCACCCCTGTTATCCCAGCACTTCAGGAGCCCGAGGCAGGTGGATCACAAGATCAAGAGATCAGACCATCCTGGCCAACATGGTGAAACTCCATCTCTACAAAAAATACAAGAATTAGCTGGGCGTGGTGGTGGGTACCTGTAGTCCCAGATACTCAGAAGGCTGAGGCAGGAGAATTGCTTCAACCCAGGAGGCGGCAGTTGCAGTGAGCTGAGATTGTGCCACTGCACTCCAGCCTGGTGACAGAGCAAGACTCTGTCTCAAACAAACAAACAAAACAACCAACCAAAGAAACAAAAAATCAGGAAACAACAGATGCTGGCAAGGCTGTGGAGAAATAGAAATGCTTTTACACTGTTGGTGGGAGTGTATTAGTTCAACGATTGTGGAAGACAGTGTGGTAATTCTTAAGGATCTAGTACCGAAAACACCATTTGACCCAGCAATCCCATTACTGGGTATATACTCAAAGGATTATAAATCATTGTACTATAAAGACACATGCACACATATGTTTATTGCAGCCCTATTTACAAGAGCGAAGACTTGGAACCAACCCAAATGCCTATCAGTGATAGACTGGACAAAGAAAATGTGGCACATACATACCATGGAATGCTATGCAGCCATAAAAAGGATGAGTTCATGTCCTTTGCAGGGAAGTGGATGAAGCTGGAAGCCATCATTCTAGCCAACTAACACAGGAACAGAAAACCAAACACTGCATGTTCTTACTTATAAGCGGAAGGTGAACAATGAGAACACGTGGACACAGGGAGGGGAATATCACACACTGGGGCCTGTCAGGGGTTTGGGGGCAAGGGAAGGGAGAGCATTAGGACAAATACCTAATGCATGTGGGGCTTAAAACTTAGATGACAGGTTGATAGGTGCACGTGTATATCTGTGTAACAATCCTGCATGTTCTGCACATGTATCCCAGAACTTAAAGTAAAAAATAAAAATAAAAAGCCCAGTTTCCTCATTTGTAAAAGGTAGAATGATAGCATACCTATTGTCATAAGTTGGTTGTGAGGATTCAATCACTACCTGGTACACAATATATATTCTAGGGTTAGTTGCTGTTACTACCTTTATTAGAACCAGCATAACCAATATATAAAGCAAAGCTTGGCCATTTTCTAGTACAGCATGTAAGGAACTTGGAAGTCACCACTCTGTCCTAACAAGAAGTTATAACCTAAGGAAACTGAAGAAAACCACTCTCTTCTCAGGTACAGGACAAACTACTGCCCCTGAAATTGGAGAGACAGACATAGGAATACAGAAACTTACAACTTACTGAGGCAGAAACTTTCACAGGAACCAGCACAGTAGAAAATGCTAAATTCCAACATATTGTTGAAGTCTCAGTGTGAACAAGTTTGAAGGTCAAAAACTCCAACAGGACCCAGTTATTGCAGGGTTGCAATATATTTTGTGTTTTACATCATAGTGTATATGGAAGAAAATCCCCTCATGTTTCTAGCACAGGGAGGGGAAAAGAAACTATTTTGAAATACACCAGAGAATTCTGTTCTTCCTAACAAGATCTGCCTTCAGCAGAAACTATTCAACCAAAGCCTAATCTGTGGAGGTTTTGTCAGAGCCTAAGTGATGTGGCAGAAGAGAATCACCAAACTCCAGCCCACACCAGCCATCCTGTCCTACCTAATGGGCAGACAGTGGGAGGGACTTGAGAAACATATATGAAATTCAGTCTAGAGACACAGGCTCATCAAAAGACCGAGACCTACTCAGAAGCCTACACAATGCTTCACCTCCCCACCATATCACCACATTACTAAAGGCCTACTAAGAGCAATTTCTTTTACCCAATACATCATGCCCTGCAATCAAGAAAAAATTAGAAGGCATACTAAAAGACAAAAACATACTTTGAAGAAACAGTTAAAACATCTAAACCAGACTCAGATATGGCAGGGATATTGAAGTTATCAGATTGGAATTCTTTAATAAAAACTATGGTTAATATGCTAAGGGCCCTAATGGTTAAACTAAGCAACATACAGGAAGAGTTGTGCAACGTAAGTGGAGAGATGGAAATTCTAAGAAAGAATTAAAAATAAGTGTAACATGAAATGTTGTAACATAAATGAAGAATGCCTTTGGTGGACTTATTAATGGACTGGACACAGTAGAGGGAAAAAAATCTGCGTTTCAGGCTATCTCAATAGATATTTCCAAAATGGAAAAGCAAAGAGAATAAAAGCAAAAAAGAAGCAAACAAAAACAGAGCAGAATATACAAGAATTGTGAGACAACTACAAAAGGTGTAACACATCTCTAATGGATATACCCAAAGGATAAGAAAGAGAGAAAAGAACAGAGAAAATATTTGATAATTTCCCCCAAATTATTATCAGACATGAAACTACAGATTTAGGAAGCTCAGAGAAACCAAGGAGGATAAATGTCAAGCAGACAAACAAAAACTACATCTAGGATGTTGTATTCAAACTTCAGACAATAAAAGATGAAGAAAAATTTTGATGAAGCCAGAAAAACAAAAAGAAAACTGGCTTACCTACAGAAGATAAGAATTATATCCAGCTTCTCCTCAGAAATCATGCAAACAAAGAAAGAGTAAAGTGTTTAGTGTTGAGGGGAAAAGACCTACCAATCTAGAATGCTGTACCCTGCGAAATTATTCTGCAAAAGTGAAGGAGAAATAAAGACTTTCTCAAACGAACAAAAAAATTGAAGGAATTTGATGCCGGTAGAGCAACCTTGCAAGAAATGTTAAAAGAAATTCTTTAAAGAAAAGGTAAATGAAGTAGGTCAGAAACTTAATTCTACATAAAGGAATAGCATCAGAAAAAGAATAAGTGAGGATAAAACATAAACTTTAATTTTTCTTATTCTTAATTGATCTTATGGATAACAGTCATGCAGAATATAATAGCAGCAATGTATTTGAATGTGTGTGTATATGTGTCTGTGTGAGTGTGTTTGTGTGTGAGTGATATTAATGAGAGCAATAATACAAAAAAGGAAGGGAGAAATTAGAACTATTTTGTTATGATAAGGTATTTGCACTACGTGTGAAACAATACATTATTGCTTTAAAATGGGCTTGGATTAGTTGTAAGTGTACATTACAAACTTTAGGCATAAAGATACATAAAGATTAAAAGTAAATAGATGGAGAAAGATATATCATGCTAATACTAATCAAAATAAAGCAGGAGTAGCTACATGAATTCCAGACAAACAAGACTTTAAAGCAGGGAGAGTAATTAGGAAAAAGGAGGGGCATTACGTAATGAAGAACTGATCAGTTTTTAAAGACATAACAATACTTAATATGTATATGCCTAACAACACTGCCACAAAATACTTGATGCAATAAAACATCAAGAAGAAATTGATTAATCCACTGTTATGGTTGAAGACTTCAACACCACCTTATCAGAAATGAACAGATAAAGGAAGCAGAAAATCAGTAAGGATATAGTATAAGGACATTGAGTTGAACTCAACCACACTATCAATCAACTGAATATAATTGAAATCTAGAGACTATTTCATCCAAAAAGAACAGAATACACATTCTTCTCAAGCTCACTTGGAACATTCACCAAGATAAACTTCATTCTGTGCCATAAAATACACTTTACCACATTTAAAGAGCAGAAATCATACAATGTCTGCTTTCAGACCACAGTGGAATGAAACTAGAAATCAATAGAAAGATAACTGAAAAAAATCCAAAATATATGGAGACTAAACAACGCACTTCTAAATAACATATGGGTCAAAGAAGAGATACCTATAGAGATTTAAAAATATTTTAAATTAAATGAAAATAAAAATACAACTTGTCAAAATTCAATTCATGGAATGCCACAAAAGCAGTGCTTAGAAGGAAAATAATAGTATTGAATGCACTTAATAGAAAAGAAGAAAGATCTAAACTCAATCATCTAAGCTTCCACCTTAGAAAACTAGAAAAAAAAAAGAGCAGCAAAATAAATCTAGAGTTAACAGAAGAAACATTAGATCAGAAATTAACAAAATTGAAAACAAGATATTAATAGGGAAATCATCACAACCAAAAGTTGAGACTTTGAATAGATAAATACAATCAATAAGCCTCTAGCTAGCCTAACTATGAAGAATGAGAAAGGACACAAATTACTAATATCAGAAATGAAAAAGGAACATCACTACAGATCCAATGGATATTAAAAGGAAAGAAAATAATACTACAAAAATTTGTTCCTACATATTTGATAACCTAGATAAAATGAATGAATTCCTTGAAAAACACAATCTGCCAAAACTCACACAAGAAGAAATAAACAATCTGAATAGTCCTATATCTATTATATAAATTGAATTAATAATTAATAACCTTCCAAGACACAAAACACTAGGACCAGAAGGTTTCACTAGTGAATTCTATCAAATATATCAGGAAGAAATAATACCAAAATTCTCTAAAAACTCTTACAGAAAATTAAAGCAGAGGGAACATTTTCTAACTCATTATATAAGGCTAGCATTACCCTAACACTAAAACCAGACCAAGACCTTACAAGAAAAAAAACTACAGACCAGTGTCGCTCATGAACATATATGCAAAAATCTTCAATAAAATATTAACAAGCTGGATCCAACAATGTATAAAAAGAATGATACACCATAACCGTGTTGAGTTTATCCCAGGTATGCAAGGCTGTTTCAACATTCAAAAATTAGTTAATGTAATCCATCACAATAACAGGATAAAGAATAAAAATTATGTGATTATATCAGTAGATGCAGGGAATGTATCTGACAAAATCCAGCACCCGTTAATGATTAAAAAACACTTTCAGTAAACTAAGAATAGAACTGAACTACTTCAACTGATAGAAAATATCTATTTAAAAAGCCTACTGCTAACTTCGTACTTACTGGTGAGAAACTCTAAGCTTTCCTGCTAAAATCAAGAATAAGGCAAGGATATCCTCTCTCACTACCTCTTTTCAATATCATACTGAAAAGAAGTCCTAGATAATGCAACAAGACAAGAACAGGAAAAAATAAAAGACATACTGTAGAGAAGAAAGAAATAAAACTGCCTTTGTTTGCAGATGTCCTGATCATTAATGTAGAAACTCTGAAAAGTATGCCAATATAACACTTCAGAAACTAATGAACAATTGTAACTAGGTTGCAAGGATATGAGGTAAATGCACAAAAGTCAATCAGTTTTCTATATGCCAGCAAGAAACAAGTGAAATTTCAAATTAAAAATGCAATATAACATTAGCACCCAAAAGCACAAAATACTTAGATATAAGTCTAACAAAATATGTGCAACATTTGTATAAAGAAAACCACAAAACTCTTGTGAAAGAAATTAATATACTAAATAATATTCCATGATCATGGATTGGAAAACTCAGTAGTGTCAAGTCTCTTCTTTCTAACTTGATCTATGGATTTGATCCAATCTCAATCAAATCCCACCCAGCAAGTTATTTTGTGATATTAATAAATATAAGTTTATATGGAGAGGCAAATGACCAAGTATAGTCAACACAATATTGAAGGAAAGCAGAATTGGAGGACTGGCATTACCTGACCCAAGGACTTATTCTAAAGCTACACTACTCAAAACAGTGTAGTGCTGGCAAAAGAATAGACAAATAGATCGGTGGATCAGAACAGAGAGCCCAAAAATAGACCCATATAAATATGGCCAACTGATCTATGACAAATTTTCAAAAGCAATACAATGGAGAAAATATTCTTTTCAACAAAGTGCTGGAACAACTGGACATTCATATGCCAATAAATAAATCTAGACACAGACTTTACAACCTTCACAAAAATTAACTCAAAATGAATCACAGACCTAATTGTAAAATGTAGACTATAAAACTTCAAGAGAAGAAAATCTAGATGACTTCAGGTTTGGTGATGATCTTTTTGCTACAACACCAAAGCCAAAATCCATGAAAGAGAAAATTGATAAGCTGAACTTCATTAAAATGAACAATTCCTGCTCTACAAAAGACACTAGCAAGAGAATTGAAAGAGAATCACACACTGAGAGAAAGACGTAAGACATATCTTATAAGGACTGTTATCCAAAATATACAAAGAACTCTTAAAATTCAACAATAAGAAAGCTAACAACCCAATTAAAAAGTGGGCCACAGACATTAACAGACACCTCACTAAAGATGCGCAGATGGCAAATTACCATATGAAAAGGTGTTCTACTTCATATGTCATCAAATAAATGGAAATTAAACCAACAATAAGTTACCTTTACAAACCCATTTGAATGGATGAAATCCAGAACACTGGCATCAAATGCTGGCAAGAATGTGGAGCAACAGGAACTTGCATCCATTGCTTGTGAGAATGCAAAATAGTATAACTACTTTGGAAACAGTTTGTCAGTGTCATACAAATATAAACATACTCTTACCATAAAATCTAGTAATTGTGTTCCTTGATATTTAACTAATAGAGTTTGTATATCTATACAAAAACTTGCACACAGATGTTTATAGCACCTTTCTTCATGATTGCCAAAACTTAAAAGCAACCAAGATGTTATTCAGTAGGTAAATGGATAAGTAAATTGTAGTATGTCCAAACAATGAACTATTATTTTGTGCCAAAAAATTAGCTATCAAGACATTAAAAGACATGGAGGAAACTAAAATGCATATTACTGAAAAAAGCTCATCAGAAAAGGCTACATACTGTAGTATCCCAACTATTTGACACTCCGGAATGGGCAAAACGCTGAAGATAGTAAAAAGATCAGTGGCTGCCAGGGGTTAGGAGGGAGGGAGGGCTAAATACGTAGAACACAGATGATTTTTAAGTCAGGGGAACTATTCTGCATGATACTGTGATTGTGGATAGATGTCATCATACATTATTCTGAACCCACAGAATGTACAATGCTCAGTATGAACCATGGTATAAACTACGGACTTTGGGTAATAATGATGTGTCAATGTTCATAAATTGTAGCAAATGCACCACTCTTTTTGATAGCGGGAGAGACTGTGCATGGGATGTGGGGGCAGAAGTTCGACAGGAAATTTCTATACTTTCCACTTTATTTTGCTGTGAACCAAAAATTTATCTAAAACATAAAGTCTATTTTTTTTTAAAAAAAAGAGCTGAGCTTTCAATTGCGGGTAAGTTGTTACACTCTTTTATTATAACTATTGGGAGCCAAAGTATAATCTTCTTGAAGTGATTTCAATCCTTAATCTATAGATGAGCAGATCAAAGGTGATTTACCCAGTCTCCCAAAGGAATAAAGCAGGAATTAAAAAATCAGACTGCCATTTATGCTCTGCCCAACAAATCTGTCACTTCTATACATTTGTCTTAGTTCGTTTTCTTTTGCTGTTACAGATTACCCGAGACTGGATGATTTATGAAGAAATTTATTTCTTACAGCTCTGGAGGCTGGGAAGTCCAAAAAGCATGGCACTGGCATCTGCTTGGCTTCTGGTGAGGGCCTTGTGCTGTGTCATTACGTGGCAGAGAAGCAGAAAAGGAAGCAAGCACCTAAGAAAGAGACCAAGCAGAAGAGCCTTGTCTTATAACAACCAGCTCTCATGGGGAGGTGAAAGAGAGAGAGAGAGAACTTAGTCTGGAGAGAAAGGCATTAGTACCTCTTAACAACCAAATCGCCTCTCACAGGCACCACTTCCAAAGCTGCCACATTGAGGATCAAGGTTCAACATAAGTGTTGGTGGAAACACACCACATTCCAACCATAGCAAAGCTCTATTCTAACTTCCCACAAAATTCATCCTTAAGGGGAGGTGATATACATAGAATGGTATGGGCCAGTGGTCTCTTCCTCCTTTCCTCACCTGTGTTGGGTTTTATAGAAGTGAATCTAAAAGGTGAACTTTATGGGTGAATGGTAGCTGAAGCATGTATCAGTACGAAAGGCACTGCCCGCCTAACAGAGAAAACTGGAACAATGTATGTGTTTGTGTTTAAGAATTCTAAGTTGGTATTAAATGAATTTGCTAATAATAATGCTCAGGAAAAAAAGGAAGAAAGAAGGAATTGCTATTGGGTGCCTGTTATGTGCCAGGCACTGTGCTAGATAACGTTTTCCTTCACACATTTTCACTTAATTGTAACAACAATTCAAGAGGGGGTAGTTACCCCTATTTTATATGGGAGGAACAGCGGCTCAAAAGGTTTACTTTTAATGGCAAAAACCGTAATTACTTTTGCACCAACCAACCTAGTAACTTTCTCAAGATTACAGACATGCATGGCCAGGATGAGTTATCTAGGTATGTCAGAGTGTTAGTCATCACACACGATTGCTTTAATGTATTCCATGAGGGACCCACCAGGGTCATGAGCAACTCTGGGAGCCCAGGTTCTGGGAAATCATCCCACTGGTTATTCTCTAGGAGCATCTCCCTGAAGAGATGCGAACTTTTGAGTTGTCGGGGATCCAAACCTTAAGCACAAGCCAAATCCCGATGGCAAAAAAAAAAATAAAAAGTAAAAATAAACCCTCATGATGATGATTCTGTCAACTTAGACCTTCTCTGGCTCTATAGTATCACATTTACTAAATTACTTATTTTCATGGGAATCACAAATGAATACTACCCCAGATCATTATGGAAACTGGGAATCTAAGGAGAGGAATGGTATTCTGGGACTTTCCAGCATTCACCATCATCTAAGTTCCCAGATTAGCTCCTTTCCCATTCCTTTTCACTTACTGCTTACAATTAATTAGAGCCACACATAAAAATGTCTTTACAGAAAGTTCTCAGTTTGAAAAAATTATGGCATTACACAATTCCTTAGAATTCAGTTGTGTGGGTCTTGAACTGGAATTTTCCAGTGGATCTATATTTCCAAGTTAGCTCCCCAAACTCTCTGACCTATAATGTAGCTGAAACTTACTTAATGTCATAACAGTAAAATGGTAAAATGTAAATAATCAAGTTAAATAATAATTTTTTTGTACTTAGTAAAATTATAATAAATATAGTAATAATTGCAACCTTGTGTCAGGCTCAGGGTTAATGTAGATTATCTCATTATATCTCATGAAAACCTATGAAGATATTTAATTCCCATTTTTATAAATGAGAAAACCTCCCTGATTCCCTGAGCCAGATTAAGTAATCAATCTAAAGGCACATAATTAGTGAATTGTCAGGATTTGAACTGATTTCTGGTACATATTGGATATGCTGATTACTCAGCCTTTTTAAAAATTTTGATGTAATAAACTACTGGTATGGGAAACAGGAGATTCAATTTCACTCTAAGTTCTATTACTAACATACTTTGGGCAAGTCCTTTGACTTCCCTGCGCTTAATTACTTCACTAGTAAGTTGAAAGTTTGGACAATTGGTCTTAAATTTCAGGCCAACTGGGCTCCCAAGTTGTAAATCATTCATCACTTCCAAAAGCAGCTCATTTCCATTGTTCCATGATTAAACTTTTTAGAAAGCTACTTTTACTTAGTCAACCAAAATGGGTAAATCCCAATAATTTCTAAACGTTTTCCTCCTAGAACCTTACAGAAGAACCTTCCCTATCCGTCTATCCAATCAGTAAATTTGTCATGTAGTGCCAGCACTGGGAAATTGAAAGAGATTATAGTAAAATTGATGGAAATAAAATGAGACAACTACAGTTAAATATTTATTGATTTAATGTAGGTTCTATCCAAAGTCCAGTAGAACATAGAGGAATTCCCTATCTGTTTCTGGGATTTATTAGTTATGGTATGCCAGGCTATATCAAAGTAGAAATAAAGCCTGATATCTCAGTGACTTAACACAAAGTTTTTCAGTCTAACGTGGTTTGGCGATATTCCTAGGGAACTGTTTTCCAAGTCATGAACCAGTAAACAGCTGTTTCCAGCTTATAGTTTTGCCATCTTTGAGTCCTCCACTTCCAGCTTGCATAGGTATAACTAGAGGAAGAATGGAAAATTCTGTATACAGTTTTAAGACTAGAGTTTTATACATTGTTTATATCACCACTGCCTACATTTGCCTGGCTAGAACTCAGTCATATTGACCTAGTTACATAAAATTATGATTAGAAAATATCCTCTTGCAATATTTCCAGAAATCAGGGATTTTTTTGTGAACAAATTACCTTATATTTCCTATAAGAACTCAGGAGAATTTACCCAGTGGAGATGCAAATTAGTTGAAAAACGAACAGGAGTTATACAGGTGATACATCTGATGGAGATAAAAAAAAATGGGTAAAGATGATGATAGGCAATATCCATGCAGTAGGAATATCCAGGGAATATCTGGATGGAGGCATTTGGGACAGATGAAAATCCTGGGCAAAGATCCAGACAGGGCCCAGGATCCAGAAAGAACATGGCATTTACAGAGACCAATATTAATTACACCAACAGCTATTGGGACCATACCATGTGTCAGCCCCTTTGTTAAGTGCTGTAAGTATTTTGGTAATGGTATTTAAAATAGATTCTTAGTGAGTGTTTCCCACAAAACAGTTTCAGGGACAAATTTATAGTGAAGGTAGTTTATTTAGAAAGTGATTTCAGAAAGCAGAAGAGATGAACAGGGGAAAATGAAACAGGAAAGGAAAGTAAGACAAAACAAGGTTGCATTATTAATTTGATCCCTGACACAGGCAATGGTTGTTTGAGCCTAAGAGCTTGTGGAAGTTTATGATATGTGTCTCATAAGTGGAGCAAGAAAACTTGAAGTTTCCAATACTTCCTATTCTCACACTACTCAGGTCCACTTACACCATTAGTCTGATTCATCACAACATTCCCTCCTGAGCACCTGGACCCTGTGAGCATAAAGAAGCCAGAAATATAAATACCCAGTAAGAGACATCTGAGTCAGAGACAGAGGGTAGAAAATGAACTCCACAAAGATTTAGGGCACTGTCACATTAATGAATGTTTTAGTGTTCACATAGGATACTGATGATAGCTTTAAAAGCACTGCTGCACACCACAGACCCAGTGAGGGATATTCCTAAATGAGAATGGTGGGGAAAATCCTCCTAGTGGACAGAGCTGTTATATGAATAGGAATCCTTGTGATTAAGAGATCCCCATGCCAATAAAATGCTTGAGCTACCCAACTACTTTATATAACTCAGCTTTCCTTCTACCTGCACCTCATCACAATCCACCCCATGTGATAGCCTTTATATGTTACTGCATGCCAAAGATTATCACCACCAAATTTCCACAAGTGATAAAATTTTAGCCCTTTCTGATCTATGAGTAATCTAGCTTTAAAATCCCATCACAGAGGTCTGTTTTATATTAACACTCTTTAGAAACTAGTTTTTCACATTTCTTTGAAAATTGGGCCTTAGTCAAGGATTACATAAAGGTAATTTATTTGGGAAGTAATCACATGGATCAGTGAAGGTTCATAAAACATCTCTGAACTATTGGTCCAGGATTCTGTCTCCCACACATCAAGGTCGTCCCATGCATATGAACATCCTACCATTTCAGGCTGCCCACTTGTGATAGTGAGAGGCTTCCTCAGCGTGCACCATGCTTTGATGACAGAGAAGCCCTGGGGAAAGAAAAACTGTGTAGCTTGAGGACAAACTGAGGCATTTTCAGAATGTACCTGAGTGAAGCTTGTTGAATTCAATACAGAACTGGTTATAGCAATGTGACTGTGATTAAAATAAGAGGTTTATTCCTGCTCTCAATGGGTTAGAGTTAGGTTGAGTATATGTCATGGTTTGCTCAGTAAATCCTAGGGTTATTATTTCTATTCCCAATTTCTCTTTCAAAAGGTTGAGAATATTTGACACAGCACAGAGGTGGTGATATTGTGCAATGTGGAAAGGAATTGAGTGAAATTAAGCTGGACACTTAAAAGACCTGAACCCAAGGATCTTTTTATGTGATGAAAAAATATTTTAGATTTTATCCTTTAGCAGATGTCATTGACGGATTTTGAGCATGGAAATAACATGATCATACCTGCATGTTAGAATAATAAAAGTTTGTAGGCAGCAAAAGGTGCCAGAGAACTAGTAGTATAAAGACCAATAAATAGGATCATTTTTAGCAAAGAGGTGAAAGATGATAGGAAACATTCAGGCAGTAGGAATATACAGAGAATAATCTCTTGAAAGCTATTTTGGAGGAAGAGTCAATGGCCTGGGTTTGAGTTTGAAAGCAAAAGTATAAGAAATAGAGGAATCTAGGATTACTCCCAGGTGAGCAATTGGGTGACCTACTACAAGTTAGAAACAGATTAGAAAAATGTTGCCTGGTGTGGGTGAAGCATGAGATATACAATGCTCACTTGGCTATGTAGAGTTTGAAGATGGGTTGGATATCTGGAGATATATATATATCTCTGCATTGATATTCTCAATTCTTGATTGATATATTCAAGCATATATTTGGTGATATATATGCTTGAATATATCAATCAAGAATTGAGAATATCAATGCGGAGTTCAAGGGAGAGACCTGGGCTGGGTAGCATGAGAATTAATAGCATATAGCCATTATGAGGAGAGAAAAATAAACAATGGCGTCAGAAAGACTGTTCCTGAATCATGGGCTTCTCTCAGGGGCA
This sequence comes from Homo sapiens, assembly GCF_000001405.40. Taxonomy (NCBI): domain Eukaryota; kingdom Metazoa; phylum Chordata; class Mammalia; order Primates; family Hominidae; genus Homo; species Homo sapiens. Next base: position 119,004,391 of record NC_000008.11, on the reverse strand, counting down.
GCTCTTAGCCACTTAGGAAAAAAGGAGAAGATTGAAAGTGAAGTAACACAAGTCTATGACACTAGAAATAATGGCATGTGATTCCCAGGATCATTGTTATTAGGTTATTTTTTCCCCTTGACCTGATAGTTGGAATAGCTAAAATAGATGGTTGGGATCCACGCTCAACTAGTAATAACTAATTTGGAGGAAACTATTTCCCCAGGGGTCAAAGCAGGTCTCCACATTTAGATTTTTCTGTAAATAATAATAGCTATCAATTTTGATTGCTTACTATGAAAAGCATTGGTTGAGCCTAGAGCTTCTCCAAAAGTATGCTACTTGTTCTGGATGGGTTATAGTTAGGTTAAGCATATGTCCTGGTTTTCCCAGTAAGTCCTAGGGTTATTATTTCTATTCCCAATTTCTCTTTAAAAGTTGTCTGCATAATCAACTGTATGGTCCTTCTAGGTATAAATGCACTGGGATATTGAGCCCTTCAAGAGGCTAGGCAATTTAGTATAGTTGGGGGCCCCAAACTAGTTTTCTCTGGACCTTATCAACTTGCGTCAATGTGCAAAGCAAATATTATACTTTTCCATGTGTAGTAAGATGTAAAAATCAAGAGAATCTGGGAAATCTGCTGGTATAATTATTCCAATTTTAGAGATAAGGTTATGGGTTAAGCGGTGCAACCAAAATCAAACAGGAAGTGGGATCAGATCTCTCTTACTATGAAGCTTGTAATCCTTTCATAATTCCACTCTGCTTTCCAAGCATCCTTCTAGAAGGGGCCCATCCCATTAATTCATCCTCTGAGCCCCATGCCAATCAAATGCTTGAACTACCCAACTTTACATAACTCAACTTTTCTTCTACCTGCAACTTAGTGATGTCTACCACAGCCTTCTTCTGTTTATGCTGAAATCATTTTGTGATGATGACATCAGAAAGTGTTCACTTTTCAAGACTACATCAAAAATAGATGTCCATCTTCTTAACTTTTCTAAACAATCATGCCATTTGGGGGCCAAACCAACTACTTCAGCAGAACCTAAAAACCGGCAAACTAGAACTTGGCATAAAGTATACTTCATTTTGCAGACGATTTCCATCCACATAGTTTCTGACATTGCATCTTCAAATCAGATTGAAATACAGCTTTCTTATTGAGTACACTCTTAAATTTCTCTGACATAAAAGATGTATGAAAAGTAGTTGAAAAACATAGTCAAATAAAGACTTATACATGTCTGTTATAACTGTCACATTTTTAAAAATTGGCAATGCAAAGAGTTTCTCCTAAATATTTACCCATACCTTTCTGTTCCTAAATAGTTACACATGCATTTCAAAACTAGTTATGATATTCAGCCAGAATATTTCTCTTTCTAAAGTGCAAGTTCAATTGGAACTAAGCCAATGGAGAAAAAACTTAAATATGATTACGTAAAGAATTCTCCTACCCTAATTTGTCCAAGGTTACTCAGTTACCAACAGGCAGAGTAGGAAATAAAGTCAGGTTTAGATTATTTCAAAAACCCAAGATTTGAAATTATGCTCCCAGCTGTCTTCAGTGATATATGCTATGCAGGTAATACCTTTTGATCACCTATTTTAGCAAAGCTTTTCCCAAGAACCATGCAATCCTGTTTTCTAGCTAGCCTGGGTAAACCCTACTCATCCTTCTAATTAGATTCTTTTGTAAAACAATTTAATTGACCATATATGAACTTGTAGTGGCTAGAAGGCATTTAGTCATTGGAATAGAACACCCAAGTATTGTAAATGAAATGCCATCATTCAGAAAATTTGGCCTAGATTATCCTACTTATTCTAGTTCATTAAGTAATTGGTTGTAATATGTTTTAACAGTTGGGTCCTGGCCCCGAATCCAGAGTTGTTCAATTTCTTTTGAGGGCAAATATTATTTAACACTTTAATGGAAGAATAATTCATTCATTCATAGAATTTAAAAATTTTAAAGTTTCTTCTAGTAAAATGAAACCTAGCTTTTAATAATCCAAACGTGTTTTTATATATTTCATTAGGGAATGTTTAAATTAAGTGGTATTAGTGTGATAAAAACATTTCAAGAAACTATACTACCACATTTATGATGTTTTATTAATACTACTACTATTTTCTAAATATTTTTCTATTACACTTTTGAAGCATATTTTAAATGAAAGTTATCCATAGAAATAACAATATATAACTCATAAAGTATACAAATGTATACACTAAAAATTATATACACACATATACAATTATGGCAAATATGTAATTGAGTATTGATGTTTATGAAGTAGGACTGTAAACTAACTAGACAGATTGCTTTCTAGGCAATGCATAAATATAAGCCCAATTTCATGATAAGCCTTGGTTTTTAAGACACAGAAATAGAGCTAAGCTCATATTTGTGAATGGGGGGCTAAATTCTAACATGAAAGTAATTGACAAATTGAATATGGTTTTGATTTTTGATTGCCAAAGCTCAGCTAGTCAGGCTGTGGTATCACATATTGTAAATCATAAACTTTAAGACTATAGAGGAATTACAGATTATTCTTTTTGAGTTTATATTTTTAAAGCTGAAAGTGGTTCTCTCTGATTCATACTTGAAATTTGTAAATAAATACCTACAATATATTGCTAACTTTTACTTTTAGAATTACTGGGGGTTTTTTGTTTGTTTGTTTGTTTTACTGTTTTGGCTGGTGTCTGGTAAAAGTGGAATCGAGAACCAGGTTTGATATCAGGGAAATTCAATGAATCCATAAGCCTTGGAGGGCCTACTAATCAAGTAGCACTGTCTAATTACCAAGTTTTTATTGAGCATGCACTTTTATAAGCCTATTATAGTTGCCACATCACTGCTGCCACAAAGTTGCATCATGGTGCTTGGCCCATTACTTTGCATCACTACTGGCTCCCCTCCCCATGTGACAGTTATGGCCAGAGACAGGGTTTCTTGCTAGGCAGTAGCTAAATCATGAAGCTTCTCTTCTCCTTCACCCTCCTCCAATTTATATAATGTCACTATTGGGATTTAGCATCTAGGCAAAATTTAACCTCCCTTGCTTCAGAACACCATTTTCTTGATCACCAGCCAAAATACCAGCCTTTTGTTTTTATTCTCCTTACTGTGCCATCTTCAGAGTTGATATTTTCTTTCTCTTTTCAATCTTCTACTCCTTATCGCTTTCTCAAATTTTTCCACTATGACACTAAAATTCAAAATGCAATGATTAGCATCCTCAATATCATCACCTAATAATGCCTCCTATGTATTCTGACTTAAGTTTCGATTCTCCCCAAAGGCCAACTGCACCCCTGAAGCTCACTCATATGAAAAGGTTGGAGAAGGAGCAGGGTTTTACTGATCGTCCCAGTAATGTCCAGACCATAACTCCTCTGCCCTTTTGTTAATACCTTTTCTCCTAAGTGAATTTCATATGAACTGATTGTGGTCCCATCACTGCCTCTGCATTTATGGTTGACTTTATCATCAGGCCCACTGTCTTCCTCTCTACCACATTTCCTGCAATCACCCTCAGCAGATTCAATATTTTCACCTATCAATTACCTTGGCCTCTAAGTTCCTTGACTTCTTTTCCCCTGCTTTGTCTCAATCATTTACGTATATGAAACTTGTTCTCCCTAATAACTGGCCCATTTTTAAAATATCACATTATTCCAGTTTACATACTATTAATATACCCAATTAAGAAATTTCCTGACCTCCATTCCCTTTTGCTATCACTTTTCTTTTCTTTAAATATTCATCACCCTCTCACATCTTTATTGTGCTTCTTTTCCTGCTTAGACTCCATGTTCAGATGTATAATCACTCCCTTGCAAGCACTCTTAACTTTACTTCTCTCCCCTCTCACTCTGCCATTATTGCCTGGTGACACTCAAGCCTGATTAAGCTCCTCTGTGCACTTGGTCTGTGCCTGTATCTGAGAGGCTCCAGGATGGTAGGAGAAAAGCACACAACTGTGCTGATGGGCACTTCATTTCAAAGTCATGACTACAAGTCTCAAATTGGCACTCCACAATGCCATATAATCCTATCACACTTCTCTAGGAAACTCATTTCCCCATTCTCCTCTGTACCACCTTTTTCTGATGTCCGACTTTTCTTCCCCTCTCACTCTCAGCTGAAAACATTGCAAGATAGTTCCCAGAAAAATAATCAGGAAAGAATGACCTCATCTTCTATGCTGGCTCCTCCTTTTATCTGAATCTGCACACTCTGCCTTTCTCCCTGTTATAATGGAATAGGTGTCCTGCTCTCATGTAAGACCATCCCCTTCACTGCTGCTTTAGGAAATCAGCACTATGCTCTTTCTTTTTTGCAACATTATTTATTATTTTCTTCCTCTCTATGAGATCATTTCTATTTGCATACAAATATGCCTTCATATCACCTATCATTTAAAAATACCCCATGCCTCTTCAGCTATCATTTCAATATCTGCTCTCTTTACAAAAAAACTCTTTAAAGAATTCTCTGTATTCATTGCTTCCACTTCCTGCCATTCTATTCTGTCTTAACCTCACTGTAATTGAACTGTTGTTAACTGAAATTACTTTTATCAGCATTGCCAACATTTTATATCTTCCCAAAGCAAATGGTCAATATTTTGTCCTACCTTGCACAAAATTTCAGTAGGATTCAACAAATCTGACCACTTCCTTCTCTTAAATAACTTCATTTTCTAGGCTTTTGAGACCATGTTTATGTGCTTCTTTTTTCCATCTTGAGGAAAACTCTTTCTCAGTCTCCTTTGCTGGCTCTTTTTTTTTTTTTATTGAGATGGAGTCTTGCTCTGTTGCCCAGGCTGGAGTGCAGTGGCATGATCTCGGCTCACTGCAACCTCCGCCTCCTGGGTTCAAGCAATTCTCCTGCCTCAGCCTCCTGAGTAGCTGGGATTACAGGCACCCACGACCATGCCTGGCTAATTTTTGTATTTTCAGTAGAGATGGGGTTTCACCATGTTGACCAGGCTGGTCTCAAACTCCTGACCTCAGGTGATCCATCCACCTCAGCCTCCCAAAGTGCTGGGATTACAGGCGATTGCTCTTCTTTATCAGACCTCTAACTCTAGGACATCCTAGGGCTTAGTCCTCAGCCATTTCCCATTCACTAGCTTCTCTTTTCCTAAGGCCATTTTATCCATTTTAATGGCTCCAAATGTCACTCACACACCATTCTTCCTAGTAATTAGAAATTAATAACAAATAAATAAATGAATGTATTTATAATAAATAAATGTGACCTTTTTAATAGTCTTAGCTATACCTTGCATATCTCATACTGTGTGACCTTGGACACATTTATTTGTCTCTATTGGTAACATTACTTTGTGCCTGGGGTTCTTATGAAAATTAGGTGATAATATACATAGAGTACTTAGCACAGTGCCTGGAGAATAGGGGGCATCCAATAAATGCTAACACAGTAAAAATCTTAGTTGTAATAGCGATGGGCTATTAATTAGAATGATGAAATCAAGTCAAGCATATCCAAGTTAATTTTTTTTTTTTTTTTTTTTTTGAGACGGAGTCTCGTTCTGTCACCCAGGCTGGAGTGCAGTGGCACGATCTTGGCTCACTGCAACCTCTGCCTCCCGGGTTCACGCTCTTCTCCTGCCTCAGCCTCTCAAATAGATGGGACTACAGGTGCCTGCCACCACGCCTGGCTAATTTTTTTTTTTTTTGTATTTTTCAGTAGAGACGGGGTTTCTCCATATTAGCCAGGATGGTCTTGATCTCCTGACCTCGTGATCCACCTGCCTCGGCCTCCAAACGAGCTGGGATTACAGGCGTGAGCCACCATGCCTGGCCAAGTTCTTAAATTTTTACCACAAGATCACATGCACAAGATGGTAAAAAATCACTTGGCTTTTATGAACTTCTATTCATGCGCTATCTCAGCAAAATGCCTAAGTGATCATGCTTTTTATTTGGTCAAGGTGATGGTTTCATGGCTCTACCATACATGTCCCAAATAACTCCATTTCCTCAACTTTAGATAGGAATAGAGCCAATTGAAGAAAAGCTTAGAATGAATGTTTCCTATTAAATTCATACATAGAGTTTAAGTTTATCCACATTGGGAATAATTGAAATATTTACTGTCTCTGGGAAATATGTCATGGGTAAAAGGCAAATTTAACTTCTTTCTTCTAAATTCACACCAATTTTAGAGGAATATAAAATCTTTATATTTTTTTCTCATTTCATTTTTAAGTCAACCTTGCGAGTTAGCAGAAAGAATATAATTTTTATTTTATAGATGAAAATACTGAGGTTAATTTGCTGTTCAAAATCACATCACTTTAATTTGATAAACTTGTGCCTGAAACCCAGGTCTTGATTGATCATATGTTGAACATTCCAGTGCTATTTTTCAATGCTGCCACCTTAATGGAGTACAAGATGAATTTATTTTATCATATGAAATAGAACAGGTTGTTTCCACTTGTTAACACTAATACCTTTATTTTACTGCTCTCTAAAACATTTCCCTTAACATCCCTCTAACTGAGAAGCTCCAGGTGCATGCCTTAATCTACTGTATATAACTTTACATGCCATGAAACACAGCCATTTAACTCTTGTGAATTTCTAGTAATGCAGAAGACACCCAAACACTCACCAGTTATTAAACATGACCAATAATGGAGGAAGAGCTATAGCAAAAGACCAGCCTACAAAGAGATTTCTTTATAAGGCAGTCAGTAGAGAATAGCCTTCAGAATCAGTTGCAGCTGGGTCTAGACTCTGTTTTCATCACAATTTTGCTATGTCACTTGAGGCATAAATACTTTGAATCTGTTTCTCATTGAAAAATGAGGACAGTAAAGTGTAATTCAAGGGTCAGCATGAGGATTAAAGTGCTTATTAAGTATTTGTGAACAAAACTAAACTCAAAATGAATTAAAGATGTAAAAGTAAGATATGAAACTTTAGAACTTCTATGAAAAAACACAGGGGAAAAGCTTCAAAACATTGGTCTTGAAAATGATTTATTGGATATGACATCAAAAGCACAGGTAACAAAAGCAAGAATAGACAAGTGGAACCACATCAAACTAAACAGCCTCTGCACAGGGAACGAAACAATCAACAGAGTGAAAATATGACCTAAGTAATTGTAGGAAATATTTGTAAACCATATATTTGGTAAGAGGTTATTATTAAATGTATATAAGGAACTCATGTGATTCAATAGCAAAACAAAACAAAAGCTGAGGAAAACAAAAATCTGATTTTAAAATGGGCAAAGGATTTAAATAGAAATATATCCAAAGAAGGTGATATGGTTTGGATGTGTGTCTTCTTCAAATCTCATGTTGAAATGTGATCTCCAGTGTGGGAGGTAGGCCTGGAAAGAGGCGTTTGTCATGGGGGTGGATCCCGCATGAATGGCTTGATGCCACCCCTGTGGTAATGAGTGAGTTCTCACTCTGATAGTTCACGTGAGAGCTGATTGTTTTAGAGTGTGGTACCTCCCCCAATCCTTACTCTTTCTCTTGCTCTGCTCTTGTCATGACACGCCTGCTCCCACTTTACCTACTACCATGAACCAAAGCTCCCTGAAGCCTCACTAGAAGCTGAGCAGATGCTGGTGCCATGTTTTCTGTACAGCCTGGAGAACCATGAGCCGATTAAACCTCTTTTCTCATAAATTACCCAGTTCCAGGTATTTCACTGTGGTAACACAAATAGACTAGCACAGAAAGCATACAGATAGATGGCCAACAGGTATATGAAAAGATGCCCAACGTCACTAATAATCAAATAAATGTAAACCGGAACCACAATGAGATATCACCTCACACCTTTTAGAATAGCTCTTATTTTTTAAAAAAAGACAAGTGTTGGCAAAGATGCAGAGAAATTAAAACTCTTATATACTGTTGGTGAGAATGTAAAATGATGTAGCCACTGTAAAAAGCAGAACGAGCGTTCCTCAAAAAATTAAAAATAGAACTATCATATGATCCAATGATCCTAGTTCTAGGTATTTATCCAAAATGATTTAAATCAAGATCTCAAAGTGATATGCGCCGTCCCATGTTTATTGTAGCATTATTTACAATAGCCAAGAAATCTCTATCATGGTTGTGTGAATAAAGGAAATGTTGTATGTACACACAATGGAAAACTATTCAGCCTTAGCCAAAGGAAACTATCATGTGTAACAACATGGATGACCCTTGAGGACACTATGCTAACTGAAATAAGCCAAACAAGAACAAACACAGCATGATCCTTTTTTATGTGAGTTATCTAAAACAGTCAAATTAAGCAGAGAGTAGAACACTGGTTGCCAGGGGTTTTGGGAGAGGGGACTGAGAAGGTGCTGTTCAACAGGTGCAAAGTTTCAACTATGCAAGATGAATAAGTTCTAGAAACTGTCTGTGCAACATTGTACCTGCAGTCAACAATACTGTACTGTACCTCTAAAAACTTGTTCAGGGGGTATATCTCACATTAAATATTCTTACCACAATTAAAAAAAACAGAAAGAAAAGAAAGAGAGCTACCTATATCCAAGTTTGATCATTAAAATATCTATTTGCTTTCCTGGATTTTGCACCATTTGATTCTTAAATATTCCTTCTTGCTATAGCATTACATAGCAATATGAAAATTCCCTAAATACAGTAGCATCTAGGATTCATACCTTGTGTTACTCTACCAAACTATTTTTGAAGGGGTGGGCTATATCCCACCCCTGAAACCTCCTGCTAAGACTCTGGTAGAAAACAAATTGTTTCATGCACCAGGAGCCCAGAGTTATTTTGGGCCTGCCACTTACCAGCAATGTGGTCTTGTGTGGGTCATTTAACATCTCTGGTATTTTCTTTTGTTATCTATAAGTCTATGAGGCTGGGCTAAATAATCTGCCAGACTGTTCCTGCCGCAATATTCTCTGATTCAACATATGAACTGATAACAAGGATTTCCAAATTAAAACAAATTCAGTGTTGCATCCAATTCGGAATGCACTGACGTGATGTTACCAGATTTAGCATATCTGTGGAGAGAGGGAAAAAATACAGAGTTTACTGGCAGCCTGGGTGAGTCAAAAGGCCAAGCTATTTTTGGTAAAGACCACTAAACTGTCTCAGGCACTTATATGCATTTTCTTAGCAATAGGGCAAAGCACCCTGCTCAAATTCCAGGGAAAGACCTACACCTTTGCTGCAAATCAATAGTGAAAGAAATATACTTTATCAAATAAAGACAATACACACTGAATACTGGCTGGGTAGTATTTATGTTAGGCTTCTAAGTTTGCTGATTGGTAAGGTTTTCAAGTGACCTAATTATTAGATAAGACTTGTAGCTTAAGGAGGGACTTAAATAATAAAGCAGCATTATTTAACTCCTTTTTTTCCCCTTTTGCCCACATTGAATTGAATTAACACATCCTTAATAAGTATTAATAGTTACCTTGTGAAGGGTCCCTTTGTCAGTGCTATGAGATAAAGTGAACTCATGTATATTAAATTTGGAAAACAACTTTTCAAACTAAAGTCAGATCAGTGGGTCTTTCTAGTGTATGTGCATAATTAAAATAAATACATAACTTTTATTTCATCCCCGATGTTACTGTCACATCAAAACTACTGAAATTTGAGTGAGTTCAGCTCTACTAGAGATGGATAACTCTGAGACCCTCTGTGTGTGTGTTGAGGAGGCAGCAAAAAGTAGCATCAACAAGTAAGGACTCCAGAGACAAAGACTCGAATCCCAGTTCTGCCTCCTCATGGCTCTCACTGGCTCTACCTTGGACAAGGGATATAACCTCTGGCCGACTTTGTTTCCTTGTCTGAACAATGGTGATCATAACTGCACCTAATGTGAGTATTAAACATACACGTGAAGCATTCTAGCTAGTGGCTGACACATAGCACTAAGTAAACACTATTAGTATTATTTACTTATTACTAAAATAAACTTTGAATTACAGTTTTGTGTAATTGTATATTTGGTAACTTTATGTATATGTAAATTGGCTCTTTCAGGTTCCACAGTGTAGAAATTTACCCATCTCTCATTTGTTTTGCCACTTAAGATCCATTTTTGCCATTTAAGAGCTATCTTTCCACTTCACAGGTAAACTGTTACATGATTTGCCTCCACCTCCACTAAATGTGAACCTTTGTAAACATAGGGGCTTGGTCAAGGCATCTTCCAGCTACAAGAGGACTGAAAAGTGGAGGCCACACTTAGAAAGCAGATGGGAGGAATGTAAAAAGAGAATCCAAGCTATTGTATTCAGACCTTAATCAAGGTACCCCTAAAACCCTATTCTTGAAATGTTTATTCATGTGGGACAATATGTTCTCCATTTTGATAGAGCTAGCTTAAGATGATGATCACCTGACACTGGCTAAAAGCAAGTCCTAGCTATTAGACACATTAAAAATGCAACTCCCTTGGTCTACTGAATCAATATTCAGGAGTGAACCTGAGGAATTCTTCATCTTTAACCAGGGCCCCAGTGCTTCTCCTATAAACCCCTATTATAGTGTGAATTAAGTACCCCAAAATTCATATGTTGAAGTCCCAACCCCCAGTATCTCAGAATGTGACTATATTTGGAGATGGGGTTTTTAAATAGGTATTTAAGGCTAAATGAGATCACTAACATGCGCCCTCATTTAATATGACCAGTGTCTTTATAGGAAGAGACAATTAGGACACAGACACACATAGAAGAAAGACCATGGCTGGGTGTGGTGGCTCACGCCTGTAATCTCATCACTTTGGGAGGCCAAGGCGGGTGGCTCACCTTATGTCAGGAGTTTGAGACCAGCCTGGCCACCATGTAAAAACTCCATCTCTACTAAAAATACAAAAATTAGCCGGGTGTGATGGTGGGCACCTGTAGTCCCAGCTACTCAGGAAGCTGAGGCAGGAGAATCACTTGAACCTGGGAGGTGGACATTGCAGTGAGCCGAGATGGAGCTATCACACTCCAGCCTGGGCAACAAGAGTGAAACTCTGGCTCAAAACAAAACAAAATGAAACATAAACAAACAAACAAAAAACAAGAAGAAGAAAGATCATGTGAGAAAACAGAAAAGACATCTATGTACAAGCCAAAGAGAAAGGCCTTGGGAAAAAAAATCCTGCTGACATCTTGCTCTTGTACTTCCAGCCCCCAGAACTGTGAGAAAATAAATACCTGTTGTTTAAGCCACCCAATCTGTGGTACTTTGTTAAGGACACCCTAGGAAACTAATGTAACCAGCTCTTATAAACAATTCTAGTACTCCTCATCTTATACTAACATCTGTTTTGCAAACTTTTAAGCAAGCAATCCTACAGCTTTTGTTTAAACCTCCCTGCAAAGGGAACTCACGAAATTCCATTATGGCCCATTCCATTGTAGAGCTGCTGTTTCTCTGTGAGAAGATATTCCTTACCTTGTGCTGAAATTTATATTATCTTAACAATTAAGGTTCATAATGATAATACTGGGACATTCTGAAAACCTAGAGTGCTTCCAGAATAATCAAAGTAAACATTTTACACACTGAAAGCTTAATATTATGTATATTGTTTATGGTATAATGTTTGATGTGAATATTCTACCTTTTAATTAATTTGGGATGTATGATAAATATTATGTGATTATAACCAGAATATTCAATTTACTGATCTTTCTGGTTAAAGGGTAGTTTATCATAGTTTCTAAAGGTAGAATGAGATAAAAATATCTACGGTGTTTTCTTCACCCAGGGATTTTGAACTTCTGAGGTATAAACACCAAATGATGATAAAATCTTAATAGATTTGGCTTCCCTGTCCTTTTTAAGGTCGAGTTCTTTATCTGGAGAAGTAATATTTGTTGCATACAGATTTCTGTCTGCCCATCGCAAGCTTCCTCTTCCTATAAACTTATAGGCAACACTTCTGTTAGGAAGTAAGATTTTAAAAATATCTTCTACCATGTCCTGCCAACCATTTTACTGAAACAATGATTATTTTGGACAGGCACTGTCTAGTGGAGTTGTTTAAACTGATTCAATTACCTGTATAAATGACCCCTAAAGCTTTTCCATTGAAGAGAGGATGTTTCTCACACTGAAGAGCACACTGACAGGTTAAAATTTTTAAAAAGATCCTTTCACTTCAACTGACTCTATTGAAATTCATATTAAAAATAATAATAGTGAAGGCTAATATTTATAGACTGCTGTGATTCCGATATAGACCTTTACATGTATTTCCTCATTTACTATAATTATTAATTGATGTAGGCTGTATTTTCTATTTGCATTTTACAAATGAGACTCAGAGAAGTTTAATGACTCAAAAATCACACTCTTATGTAAGTAGCAGAATCAAATTTCTTATCAACTCTAGCTTTAAAATCATGCTGTCAATTACTGTGTGCCTCCTACAAGAAGAATGTACAGTCCAAGGAAAGAAAGATTTGTCCTCTAGGCAACAACTGTAAACCATCTGTAAAACAAGAATAATAATACCTGTCTCTTGAAGTGTTTTTTAGTAAGGATTGAATATAAATATATTCAATTGAATATAAATATAATTTATCTCAGTACCTGGCCATAATTCTTGACAGTTGTTTCTTAAGTGCTTTATTAATATCAATTTTCTCCTTTCAGCAATATTAGCCACACAGACTCAGGATACTGAATTGGGCCACACAAGAAAATCCAGAAGTAGAAGATACAGTTGCCTCTGTCTTCCCAGAGTTTATGTTCAAGTGGAAAAGCAAAAGATAAGGGTACGAAAAGTTTTCAAAACAATGTATTATGGTGAGTGCATAGACCAGGGGTTTCGGAGCCAGACTCCACTGGTTTGCATTCTGTCTCCACCACTTCCATCCACCATTTGCAAACTCAAACCAATTACTTTCCCTCTGTAGGTTTCAGTGACTTTATCTTCAGAAGGGGAATCTACCTCTTGGGGTTGAATAAAGATTTTAATAGATATTTTTCATAAGTATTCATTTGTACCAGGGAGGATTGTGAGAAATTTCCTGGTCGTATCTCATTCGATCTTCACAGCAACTTGATGAAATGGGTACTAGTTCATTTTATTATTGAGGTAGTTAGGACACAGGGAGGTACATATTGACAAATGTCACATAGCTAGTAAGTGTTGCAGGTAGGATGCTATCTCAGGCAGTGTGGCCTTAAGCCCAGTCTCTTAACTACACAACACTGACCTCCAGATCATAAATGATATATGTGAAATTCCAGAAATATTAAAAATGCCCCCAAATAGTGTATTTATTATATGATTAATAATTTGTCAAAATAAAATTAACTAAAAACTGTTTCCTAGGCTTAAATGAAATAATAAAAGATTTTCCAAATTGTGAGAATAATACTGCCTTTGAGTACAATGAACAGCATTATGGTGTTTTGTTTTTTTTTTCTTTAATTCCCTAAAAGAAAGAGTACTAAGTATATGGAATTGACAGCATTTCCAAACTTTTTATATTCCTGCTCCTTCATGTTCTTTCCAAGGATGACTTTTAACTTGATGACTTTTCCCATTAGCTCTGGGACTCTCAGTTTGCTTTGCCCAACAAAGGTCCACAGATAAATCATACGTGGCTGACATGATTTCCTTGAAGTTCTCAGTGGTCTCATCTGCCTTGATGTGGTTCCTTTCATGGTTTCATATGGCACTTGTGGTACAGGAGTAGGCCTAAGGCCAGCAGGGTCATATTGCACCCATTTGTTTTCTCTTCAAAATGAAGATGGTGTTTAAATGAAAAATTGTGTTCCAGGAACAAATTATTTCCCTTTGAAGCTCTATCCCCTCACATGATATTTGAAGGTTTTGTGGAGAGAAATAATTTGTAATTTTACGTATTACTGTGTGTTAACTTGGTCCTCCCATTTACAGTGAAGAATGGAAAATTCAGGTCCATCTTCCTTTCTTCAGCATTAAGACAGAATCTATTTAGTGGCTTTTAGTTTTTAGAAGTCACTTTCCAAATTGTATCAGCTACACATGAATGTTTACATATATTCAAACAATGTAAGTAAAAATTATATTTCTCCCTTTTCCATTTCGATTTCCTTTCTCTTCCTAAAGGTATATTCTTCTCAGCTTTTAAAATATATTTATATGCATATACATATGTAAGAAAATATGTTGTTTTTATTGGATAATATTAGATAAAATATTTTGAGCTCAGTGACCATACAATCTATCTTGTTCTTTTTAATGACCTCAGATTCTTCAGTAGAGATGTAATACAGTTGGTTGATAAGACTTCAGTTTTTATCTATCTTTTTTCCTCTAGTGATTTGAAATTACGTACCCTATTTCAAAGCCCCAAGTTGTTATTGTTACAGTTCCACAGTATCTACATATATAGTACAGGTTGAGCAAACCAAACCCCAAAATCCAAAATTTGAAATGCTCCAAAATCCAAAACTTTTTGAGAATCAACCTGATGCTCAAAGGAAATGCTCACTGAAACATTTCAGATATTTGGATTTGGGATGTTAAACTGGTAAGCATGATAATAAAATATTTCCAAATCTGAAATCTAAAAGATTTCTGGTCTCAAGCATTTTGGATAAGGGATACTCAACCTATATGTGACATTTATTACTATCTAGAGCTAATCTGTGTATACAGCCTTCCTACACACACACACACATGCAAATTTTTAGTTGCCTTCATCCTTTCACCACAAGCTACTAACACATTGATATAATCTTAAAATTTTCAAGACTATAATTTTATTTGTTCTTCCAAGATTTTGTCTTTGGTATTCTGCAGTTTGAGTAGGTTATGGGTAGGTAGGGGTGTGTGTGTGTGTGTGTGTGTGTGTGTGTGTGTGTGTGTGTGTATTTTGTCTGTCTTTTTTTTAAATCCTGCTTGGTGTTCTCTAAGCTTACTCAATCCATGATTTGGTGTATAACATTAATTTTGGGAAACACTTGAGCATGGTTTTTGCAAGTATTTCTTCTGCTCCATTCTTTCTTTCTGGTATTCCAACTATAGGCATTACACCTTTTGATATTGTCACATAGTTTGGATTTTCTCATCTGTTTGGTTCATTCTTTATTCTCTTTGCATTTCAGTTTAGAAAATTTCTATTATCTATGTTCAAGTTCACTGATCCTGTTCTCAGCTATGTCCACGCTACTAATGAGCCCATCAGAGGCATTCATTATTTCTGTTGCTTTTTGATTTCTAGCATTTACATTTGATTCTTTCTTAGAATATCTCTCTGCTTACATTACTCATCTGTTCTCGTCTGCTATCTTATTTTTCCATTAGTGCCTTTAGCACATTAATTATAGTTATTTTAAATCATTTGCCTGATAATTCTATATCTGTGTCATATCTGAGTCGCATTCTGATGACTGCTTTGTCCCTTCAGAATGTTTTTGTTCATTGGTTGGTTTTGTTTTGTTTTGTTTTGCCTTTTGGCATGCCTTATGATTTTGTTGAAAGGCAGGCATATTGTATTGGGTAATAAAAACTGAGCTAAATGGCCTGTAGTGTGAGGATTTATGTTAATCTGGCTAGGAGTTAGATTATGTTTAATATTTGTTGTAGCTATAGGTGTCAGAGGTTTCTAATTCCTCTAGAGTTTCTGTTGTTGGCTCCCCTGTTGACTTGGGCATTTTTTATGCAGTCCTCAGAGAGTCTGTGTCATGCAGCTTTTCCAGCTATAATCCACTGTTATTATACTTGTCAGTGTGATGGTAAGGTGTGGTGAAGAAGGAACCTCCTATAATCTTCCAATTAGATCTTGGATTTTTAGTCAGTCTGTGACTCAGGGCAGTGACCTTCACAGATGTTTCGCCAGTGATGCCACTTTTTCTCTCGTCTCCTACTCCTTTCCCTGGCTGCCTCATTCCCAGTCTATTTCCTTGAAGCCTTAACTCCTGTTGATGATGTCTTTCCCCTCTTAGGTGAAACAAGAGGGTTGGAAGGGACTAGAGTGGGAAGAATTCCCTGTTTCTGGCTGTGATCAGATTTCAGAATTGCTCTCTGCTAAAGACTTTCACATGGAGACTACGTCTTTGTTAGAGAGAGGAGTTGGACACATTTCTCAATACTTACTCTCCCCTACCCCTGTCTCCACCGCCAGAACCCTAAGGGGATCTTTCCCAGATCCTCATGATGAGAATCTGATAATATTCCTGGAAGCAAAACCCACAAACTTTTAGGAAACCCCTAAGATTGGGGTCCCTAATAGTTTCTTACTCATGCTAGTTCACAGTCAGCCTTCAACAACTTATCAAATTTACC
The DNA here is from genome assembly GCF_000001405.40 of Homo sapiens. NCBI lineage: Eukaryota > Metazoa > Chordata > Mammalia > Primates > Hominidae > Homo > Homo sapiens. Next base: position 118,988,119 of record NC_000008.11, on the reverse strand, counting down.
ATTTAATGGTTCCACCAGTCTATGGCTCCAGCAGCTTCTTTTCCAGGTGAACAGATCTCAGCTCGATCTCTCTGGATGCACCTGTCTCTCCAGATTTTGGGGTGGTTTGCCATGAGCCCCTGGTTCTCTGGTAGAACCAAACATGCGTTGATTTTTAGTTTGTTCAGCTTTTATTGTTCTAAGGACAGGAGTGATGACTTCCACACTCTACCTGTTGGTGCTGAAACCAAAGACTATTTATTATTTTTATAAAAAGTTTTATCAGTTTCTTTGCTTATCATGCTCCTGATAAAACACATCGAAGATTTTTAAATATTTTGGTGAAATATAACTTTAATAAGCTTTTCAGATAGGATTATGGGTAACAAATATCCTAAGTCCAGGAATGTCTACATCTATCTTTATTCTGCCATTCACATGAATGATAGTGGTCTAGACATAAAATTCAAGGCTCAGATTTTTTTTTCTCAACACTTTGAAGATATTGTTTAAATGTTTTCTTGAACTCAGTGTTTTTAATGAGGAGTATGTAATCAGTCTTTCTTTTTTATTTTTTGAGACAGATTATCACCCCGTTTCCCAGGCTGAACTGCAGTGGTGCGATCTCGGCTCACTGCAACCTCAGCCTCCTGGGTTCAAGAGATTTTCATGCCTCAGCCTCCCAAATAGCTGGGATTACAGCCCTGTACCACCACGTCTGGCTAATGTTTGTGTTTTCAGTAGAGACAGGGTTTTGCCCTGTTGGCCAGGCTGGTCTCAAACCCCTGGCCTCAAGTGATCTGCCCACCTCAGCCTCTCAAAGTTCTGGGATTACAGGTGTGAGCCACTGCACCCAGCCTGGTTATCAATCATTCTTGCTCCTTTGTAAGTTGTCTGCTTTTCTCTCCAGAAACTTCTAGAATTTTCTCTTCACATGTGAAGTTCTAAATTTCCACTTACAATATATCGAGGTGTGGGTTTGTTTTTTTTGTTTTCACTCTCCAGGAACAGTTCCGCAAGCATTCCCAAGTGTCTCTCAGAGACGAGACAAAGTATTCGCCTCTCTTCCCCTGTTGCTTTTTCTTTTTTTAAAGGTGAAATTCACATAACATAAAATTAATCTTTTAAAAGTGCATAGTTCAATGGTACTTAGCATACTATATTGTGCAACCATACCCTCCATTTAGTTTTAAAACATTTCAACACCCTAAAAGAAATCCCCTTACCCATTAAAACATCTGTCCCCATTCCTTCCACATCCTATACCTGAAAACTACCAATTTTCTGTGTCTATAAATTTACCTGTTTTAGGTATTTCATGTACATTGAATCATACAATATGTATGGCCTTTTGTGACTGGCTTCTTTCACTTATCATAAGGCTTGGAAGGTTTATCCACAATGTAGAATGCATCAGTACTTCATTCACTTTAATGGAGAAATACTATTTTATTGAGTGTACATAAATATATTTTGTTTATCCATTCATCTGTTTATGGACATTTGAGTTGTTTCTACATTTTGGCTTAGATGTGGGTCTTCTTTTCATTCATCTTTTTGGCATCCAAACATTACTTTCAATTTTATAATCTATTTATTTTCCTTAGCACTGTAAAATAATTTTTATTGTTTCTTTGAATATTTTATTCCATCCATGCTCTTTATGTTCTTTTGGAATTCTAACAGGTTTATTTAGAATGGTTGGACGTTGGTTTTCTTCTGCATTTTCAATCACATTGTTCTCTTTTCCTGAGTACAGAAAATGTCTCAATTCAATTTATAACTCTTCAGTGAATGAACTTTTATGTTTATTCTGCTGCTCAGAGCATCAGATGCATTCTTAAATTTCAAGGGCCAGATTTTGAATTTCCAATCTCTACATCTGTTTCTTTTCTATAGATATAATATTGCTCCATATCTTTACTAGTTATAAACTTTTGTTAAAGTCTTAATTTGTCATTTCTAGTAACTTCATGGTATGTTTGTATTTGCTTTGGTTTTGTTTGGAGTTTTCATTGTATTAATATTGATATTCATCATTAAATTAGATTTCCCCAACTTTTGGTGATTCTTGACCATGGGATCATCATGACTAGAGAGTCTGTCACGGAGCCTTTCTATAAGTGCTGCATTTGTTTACTGCACTCTGGCTCCAAAGATGGTAGTGGAGTAGTTGCCTCTTCTGGTCACTGCTTGGCATAACTGATTGTTGAAAGACGGTGAAAACTTCAGATCGGAACTGCTATAGGTCTCTAGTCAAACCCCTGATATGCACTTCAGGGCCCTTACCTGACAATCTTATTTACCACCACCCAGCTTGGAGTAACTATGAGTCCTCTTCCACCTGGAATGTGTTTGGAGCTATGCTTTTGACTCTAGGTTTCTCTTCCTTCAGGATTTCCTAATAATTTCTAGACCACTGATTTTCTTTATCTCTTTCTTCAGGATTTCCTAATAATTTCTAGACCCCTTTATTTTCTAGAACTGTATGTTATATCTGGGGACCAAGAGAGGGAGAAGGAGGCTTGAGCACATGTTCAATCTGCCCTTTGGACCCAGTGAATGTATATCTTATAACATATGTGGAAAGGAGAGTACATCCTCATAAATCCCTGTTTAAATCACCTTTTTTTTTAAAATAACACATTTACTCAACAACTGCCCTAGGTAAGATTTACACCAGGCTCAGAAGCCGCTTTTTTCTCTCATACTCCTGCACAATAGAAACTAGAACGAAAAATTATGAAATTTCTCAGACCTTCTTACAAAATTAGTGATCATCGCAGAATCATGAAGAAAGAGGTTTTGCAGAATGGTGGGCAATCAAATACTCCTTACCAATTTTTTTTTAAGGAGGACCTGAATTCTTCAAATTATCAAATGACTACCATATTCATTTCCTAGGGCTGCTATAGCAAAGTTCCATGAACTTGGTGGCTTCAAACAACAGAATATTCTCTCACCATTCTGGGAGCTAGACATCCAAAATCAAGGTTTTGGAAGGGCCATGCTCTCTCTGAGGGTACAGGGAACTATTCTCCTGACATGGTTTGGCTCTGTGTCCCCCCCACCCCAAATCTCATCTTGTAGCTCCCATAATTCCATGTGTTGTGTGAGGGACTCCTTGGAAAATGATTGAATTACCAGGGTGGGTCGTTCCCGTGCTGTTCTCGTGATAGTGAATGGGTCTCACGAGATATGATGGTTTTAAAAAATGGGAGTTGCCCTGCACAAGCTCTCTTATCCTGCCACCATCCACGTAAGATGTGACTTGCTCCTCCTTGCCTTCCGCCATGATTATGAGGCTTCTTCAGCCACATGGAACTGTGAGTTCTCTATTAAACCTCTTTTCTTTGTAAATTGCCCAGTCTTGGGTATGTCTTTATCAGCAGCATGAAAACAAACTAATATACCTCCCTTTCCTTTTCCTAGGCTCTGGTGGTTTTTGGCAATTCTTTGTGTTCCTTGGCTTATAGACACATCAGTCCAATCTCTGCCTCTATCATCACACGGTGCTTTCCCTCTGTGACTCTGTGTCCAAATATCCCTCATATCAAAACACGAGCCACAGGATTAGGATCTACATAATCCAGTATGACCCTAATCCAGAATGGCCTCTTCTTCATTTGATTACATCTTTATTTATTTAACTTTTATTTTAGGTTCAGGGGTACATGGGCAGATTTGTTATGTAGGTAAACTCATGTCATGGGGGTGTGTTATATAGATTATTTCATCACTCAGGTACTAAGCCTAGTACGCAATAGTTGTTTTTTATGATCCTCTCCCTTCTCCCACCCTGTACCCTCAAGTAGGCCTCAGGGTCTGTTTTTCCCTTCTTAGTGTCCACGTGTTCTCATTATTTATCTCCCACTTATACGTAAGAACATATAGTATTTGGTTTTCTGTTCCTGTGTTAGTTTGCTTAGGATATGGCCTCCAGCTCCATCCATGTTGCTGCAAAGGACATGATCTCATTTTTTTTTTAATTACTATATGGTATTCCATGATGTATATGTGCCACATTTTCTTTGTCCAGTCTACCACTGATGGACATTTAGGTTGATTCTATGTCTTTGCTATTGTGAATAGTGTTGCAATTAATACATTATGCATGTCTTTATAGTAGAACAATTTATATTCCTTTGAATATATACCCAGTAATGGGATTACCAGATTGAATGGTAATTCTGTTTTAAGGTCTTTGAGGAATCATCAAACTGCTTTCCACAATGGCTGAACTAATTTACATTCCCACCAGCAGTGTTTAAGCATTCCCTTTTCTCTGCAACCTCACCAGCATCTGTTATTTTTTTATTTTTTAACAATAGCCATTCTGACTGGTGTCAGATGGTATCTCATCATGGTTTTGATTTGCATTTACCTTATGATTAGTGTTGTTGAGCATTTTTTCATATGCTTGTTGGCTGCATGTAAGTCTTCTTTTGAAAAGTATCTGTTCATATCCTTTGCCCACTTTTTAATGGGGTTGTTTTTTGCCTGTAAAATTGTTTAAATTCTTTATAGATTCTGGATTGATTACAGCTTTAAGAGCCCTATTTCCAAATAAGGTCCTATTCACAAGTTCCAGGGGTTAGGACTTCAATGTGTCTTCTGAAGGGACACAGTTCAACACATAATAATTATTCTGGATGATTTTATTAAGAGGTATCTATGAGCCTCCATAAAATAAGCCCATGTGGTTGCTGGGAAGCAGACTGGGTTCATGAAGAGTATGTCATGTGATATCTGCTTTAACATATCACACTGACACTGTAAATGTAACTCCTCCCTATCTTCACTAGCCTTCAAAGTCTCATATAAGAATCAAAGAAATATAAACAAAAGGAGTAAAAATCTATACTAGCCTTTGAAATTCGGGAAGGATTTTATGCATTCCAGTAGACACAAGAGTGGATTGAAATAACTGATCAGTTGAGGTGTCAACAAAGGAAAAGCTCATTAGGAGAAAAAATCAAAAGGATCTCACTCTAATTCTGTGGAACACCAAAATACTGCTAAGTTCAGAGCAACGGCTCAGAGCAACAGCAAAGATGTAGGACATCCATTGTAGAACACATCTCCATTCTACCAGCATTTCATGCAAACAGCACCATGATGACACAAGAAGCATCGTGGACTGCATATGTTCAACCCAAGCTGTAACCACATGGCTAGCTGGCTAAATAAATCAGAGGATGGTGTGGTTGGTGCACTGAGATCCACAGCTCCAAGAGCCAGCTCCACCTCTTACTCACCACCTTCATCAAGTAGATATTCAAGGAAGAACACTCACTGGAACATAGATGTACAGAATCCGCAAAGATCTGAGCAAAATATCCTGACCAGGTTCTGGTAATTGTGGAAAAGCTCTCAGGCTCTCAGGCTGTTAACACTGACAACCAGAGGAAGTTGGGTCCAGTTGATGCCACTGTAGCTCATTTAATATGAATCACCAGGAAAAGGATTCAGCTTCCTTCTGAAAAGGAGATCTTCCTGTTTGTGAACAAGACAGTCCCATAGTCCAGCCTAACTATGGGACAGCTTTTCAGAAGGAAAAAGATGAAGATTGATTCTTGTATGTTCTGGCCTACAGCACTTGGAACATTTTGGGCTTCTGAGGGCCATTAGATGTGTAGGTGCACCGTTCCTGTTTGTGTATCTTGTAAACAGCCAGCCATTTTCAGTTATTATACCAGAACCTATTCACATAGATGAACAAGTGCATTTGTACCTGGATTTATTTCATAATATTTTGAAAGATTTGTTTCTTTAGACAAATTATCATGTAGAGTTTCATTTTGAGTTTTTCTTTTTGTGCACTGTCCTCATGGCTTTATTCTTGAGGGAACTTGTTCTTCTGAAAACCATATTTAAGGAAATTATTTCCAGATTGAAGGGAGGTAGGTGTAGCATTAAAGTGAAAGGGAAGGAGATGATACCTTTATTCTGGATTATATGTGAAGCATTAGATAGGTAAGTATTAAAAGAATATAATTAAATCCTTAGCAATCAGAACACTTGCTTCCCCAGATTTTGCCAACTGCCAATCATGTCGGACTGAGCTAGTCTGTTCTTCTTCCTGAAATTACTAAGGTAAATAATTAACAATAAAACTATCTTTTATAAAGTCAAAAAAAAAAAGTAGGGGTGATGCCATGGCAGAGTCATACGGAGAATAGATGTGTCAGGAAACACATAGCTAACTTCAGCTGGCACAAACCCTTCATCACACTAGGAGGACCTCCAGGAAGTCATTGTTTCATGCAAATCCTTCGCAACTCACCAGAGAACTGAGAAAACGGGGTTTAATCAATCTTAAATGTTTTCTTATCCCATCACCTGGGCCTAAAATACATCAATAGCAGGATTCAAACATCTCTGACCATATCAGATTCAATTGCTGAACAAAATTTGTTTTCTCTATTCCATCAGGATAAGCAAAACACTAATCTTTGGATATATAAAGTAACTTTAGTTTCAAATAGGGAAAACAATTCAATGACTTGATGGAAATGCCCCCTGAAGAAATAGAATTACTACAGCAAACAGAAGATAAATTTATAGAATATTTGAATATCTCATTTTTACCCAAGGTTAGAAAATATACCACACAATTTATTTTTAAAAAACCTAGGATAAAATATACATTTTATTAAATTTAAGTATAACCATTGGGAGATAAAAATGTGTATAGTATTCCTAAAAGCATTAAAAGTGTAAAATAACTAGATAAATTGATAAATTTTTTTAAACAAAATAAAAATTGAGAAATAGACATAGGGAAGCAACATAACTGAAAATTAAATTGCAGTAATGTAAAGGATATCACAGAGCTCAGTTTGGTGCCCATGATTCTGCAGATAGTTTTAAAAAGCATGGTGTTTGTTTTCTTGTTTGTTTTAAACCAAGAGTATAGATATGTTTTGTTTGTTGCAGTGTTGGTTTCATTGCTTGCTTTAGTTGAATTTGTCACTTTGAGGCGGAACCCACAGAAGAGCTTAGCCAGGCCCCACCACTCCCTATTGTGTTATAACCACCTGATTTACACTTTTACTCCAACTAACAAGACCCTGTAGGCAAACACTGCTAGGAAATATATATATATATATAGGAAAACTACCACTATAAACATTGCAAAGAAATATATGGTACCTTGAAATAAGTTAGACAAAAAAATGCTCAGGGTCAATATGAAGAAGTAACAAAGTTTGCCCTAGATGTGAAAAACAAACAATCCACCCCCCTGCAAACAAAAACAAAAACAAAAAAACACACATTTGAGCCATAGGAAAATATACAATTTACATAATGGGAAGACCATCTTTTTTCACATATTAAACTACAAATGAAACTTCTACAATCAATATGTCAACTGAATTTTTGAACGTGTCTATAAGTATTTTTAAAGTTTACCATAAATAAAGATTTCATTTCTAAGTATATGGAAAATGGTACTATCTTGAACAACATACTTCAAGAAAGCTAAGACAATACATAAAATCACCTGAGTAGAAGCAAAATTTTATTTAAAAAAATCAATTGCTACTTATAACAACTCTTAATAAACTACAAATATAATGGAACTTCCTTAACTTGATGACAGGTATAAAAAAAATAAGACTACAGCTTAAAGAATGTTTAATGGGGTTGGGGATGTTGGTTCACGCCTGTAATCCTAGCCCTTTGGGAGGAAGAGACCGGCAGATCACCTGAGATCAGGAGTTCGAGACCACCCTGGCCAACATGGTGAAACCTCATCTCTACTAAAAATACAAAAATTAGCCAGCCATGGTGGTGTTCGCCTGTAATTCCCGCTACTTGGGAAGCTGAGGCATGAGAATCTCCAGGAGGTGGAGGTTGCAGTGAGCTGAGATGGCCCCGTTGCAAACCAGCCTGGGCTACAGAGAAAAACTGTCTCAAAAAAAAAAAAAAAAAGAATGTTTTATGGTACTAAAAAGATCTCCCGATGATCTTTATTTCCTGGTGTTCATGCCTTTGAGTAATCCTTAATGGTTGTCTAACCTTATTGACTCATTTCTAATTAATAAAATATGGCAGAAATTATATGACTTCTGAAATTAGGTTGTAAGAAGACTGTGGCTTTTGTCTTGGGCTCTATCTCTCTCTCAGATTACTCACACCGGGGAAGCAAGCTGCCAAGTTCTGAGCAGCCTTATGAAAGACAAGAAACTGAGACCATCAGTCCAACAACCCATGAGGAACAGAAGTCTGCCAACACTCATGTGAGTGAGCTTAAAATTGGACTCTTCAACTTGATCAAATTTTAAGATGTCTGATGGTATGGTCTGGCTGTCAGCTTGACTGCAGCCTCACAGAATTCAAGCTAGAAAGCTATTCCAGACATATTTATTTCTAATAAATTCATTTCTGTCTGTCTGTTCATGCATCCATTCTTGTATATTTATATAGACATGAACAATACTTGAAATGACATTTAACTAATGTAATGATGACAATTTCCAGCTCTTGAACACTGGGATGATGGTTGCCTATTTGTAATTTGTGGAATGATTAAATTCTTTATAACAAGCATATTTACAAAATATTAGTTTTATGTTTACAAACATATCAGAGTAATTTGAAAAAAAACTGAAAACAAATATGCCACAATGTTAGCAGCTAATTCTAGGTGGAAAGTTATTATTATTATTATTATTGTTTACCTTACTGTATTTTAATAATGTCAAAAATTTGTACATCTATAATAGTCACTTTCTATTTATTAAAAGAGGAATTTATGGAATATTGGATGTCATTACACGTAATAAAGTTAAAATAATAAAATAAATGTCCAAAAAGTAGAGAGAACAAATAAAGGTCTGAGTTTACATAAGGGTTTGGTACTTGATTTAAAGTGACAGTTCTAAGTGGTGGAGCTTCAATGAGCTGTTTCATAAATGCTTAAAAAAATAACCATTTGGAAAAAATATCAAATGATCTTACTTTATACCATATAATAAAATGCATTTCAAATAGATTAAAGATTTAAATATAAAGGCAATAAAATAAATCACAAAGCCACTAAAGGAAAATTTGAGTATTTTATATAAACTTTGTGAGCAAATCTTGTAAATTACTTTAACAAAGGCATGAAAACTACTTAAATTTAAAACATCTCTGTGTCAAATAACACCATAAATAAAATCAGAAGATAAGCGACAAACTGGTAAATTAGATTTGTAAAATAAGAATGATAAAATGATTTTCCAAATTCATAGTTTTAAAAATGCCTAAGTGATAGAAAATATGACAGAAAAGTTGAAAGGCATGGATGAGAGGTTTATCTGGTATTTATAAGCATATGGCAAAATGGGCTTTTGTATACTGTTGGTGGGAGGGTAAATTGGTATACCTATTTCAGAAGCAATTTAACACTGTCTATCTAAATTTTATATGCAAATACATACCTTTTGCCTCAGCAATCAGAACATATAAAACTATATAGAATCATATACATATATGTGTATATATATAATGCAAGGTGATTTATGTTCAATAAATAAATTACAGTAATATGAACTTACAGATATATTTTTAAAACTGCATAGAGAACAAAAATGCAAATAGTTATCTTGGAAGAGGTTTTTTAAGGAAAAAAAAAGCAGCTTTTATCCAATGTTTGACAGGCTGTCATTTATTGGATAAGCATTCAACTGTGACTCCCCAGATGGTAAACAAGAATAAGAATGATCTTAGGAAAATATAATCAAAAATGTCCTGGAAATTGAAAATTTTTGAGTTTGATATTTGGGACCTTTTCAAATTTTGGTTGGATATTTGAGACTTCTAATTTGACAAAATGAAGAGGTCCTTCAGTGGTTGAGGAAATGTGACACCATATTGACTTACTGTAATTACCCTATTATAACTTATTTTGATAAAATTGATGTTTTGCGACTTCCCTTGAAATACTTGAATTATGAAATCAGAAGTTAAAAATCATATTCAAATGTGCATTAGAAGGAAAGAAACAATGAACTTGATTTTATCTTTGGCTCTATCCTGTCAACTTATATGAAATTGGTATGAGTCTCCTCCATTCAATCCATTTTGTAATTTGTAAAATCAGTGTGGGTTAATTTTTTTATGTCTTCCTAGTTCTTACGTCTTTCTATTAAGTACCCTAACTAGCGACTGGGGCTTTATGTTTGACCCTGGAAGGATTTGTGCAACCATAAGAGGGCAGCATTCCATTTACACAATATCTTACACAATTTCCTGTAGATGCTCAGTACAATAAAATCACAGGAGTGTGAGACTGGTACAGCACTTGCTAGTATTAACAACCTAAGGGCTATGTTAGGAAAAGTAATTTGTATATATATATATTTTTTTTAGTTGATTATTTATTTATTTATTTATTTATTATTATTATACTTTAAGTTTTAGGGTACATGTGCACAATGTGCAGGTTACATATGTATACATGTGCCATGCTGGTGTGCTGCACCCACTAACTCGTCATCTAGCATTAGGTATAACTCCCGATGCTATCCCTCCCCCCTCCCCCCACCCCACAACAGTCCACAGAGTGTGATGTTCCCCTTCCTGTGTCCATGTGTTCTCATTGTTCAGTTCCCACCTATGAGTGAGAATATGCGGTGTTTGGTTTTTTGTTCTTGCGATAGTTTACTGAGAATGATGATTTCCAATTTCATCCATGTCCCTACAAAGGACATGAACTCATCATTTTTTATGGCTGCATAGTATTCCATGGTGTATATGTGCCACATTTTCTTAATCCAGTCTATCATTGTTGGACATTTGGGTTGGTTCCAAGTCTTTGCTACTGTGAATAATGCCGCAATAAACATACGTGTGCATGTGTCTTTAAAGCAGCATGATTTATAGTCCTTTGGGTATATACCCAGTAATGGGATGGCTGGCTCAAATGGTATTTCTAGTTCTAGATCCCTGAGGAATCGCCACACTGACTTCCACAATGGTTGAACTAGTTTACAGTCCCACCAACAGTGTAAAAGTGTTCCTATTTCTCCACATCCTCTCCAGCACCTGTTGTTTCCTGACTTTTGAATGATCGCCATTCTAACTGGTGTGAGATGGTATCTCATTGTGGTTTTGATTTGCATTTCTCTGATGGCCAGTGATGATGAGCATTTTTTCATGTGTTTTTTGGCTGCATAAATGTCTTCTTTTGAGAAGTGTCTGTTCATGTCCTTCGCCCACTTTTTGATGGGGTTGTTTGTTTTTTTCTTGTAAATTTGTTTGAGTTCATTGTAGATTTTGGATATTAGCCCTTTGTCAGATAAGTAGGTTGTGAAACTTTTCTCCCATTTTGTAGGTTGCCTGTTCACTCTGATGGTAGTTTCTTTTGCTGTGCAGAAGCTCTTTAGTTTAATTAGATCCCATTTGTTAATTTTGGCTTTTGTTGCCATTGCTTTTGGTGTTTTAGACATGAAGTCCTTGCCCATGCCTATGTCCTGAATGGTAATGCCTGGGTTTTCTTCTAGGGTTTTTATGGTTTTAGGTCTAACGTAAAAATATGGAACGCTTCACGAATTTGCGTGTCATCCTTGCACAGGGGCCATGCTAATCTTCTCTGTATCGTTCCAATTTTAGTATATGTGCTGCCGAAGCGAGCACAGTAATTTGTATATTTTAAGTACAAGTATATAAATTTATCTCAACTATAGTCAAAGGAAAGTCACATTACAATTTCTCTGGCTGTCAGGCTTGCATTTATTTAAAACAAGGAGACTACTCTTTAATCCCACCAGTACTGTGGCATATGAAAACACATATGTCAACCCAACTAAGTGAGGACACTCTAGGACTAGGATGCAGGCTTAGAAAGAGTTACTTTTTATGTATTTTGTGTAAACTACAAAGTACATGATTGCAACTAAATGTTCAAAACCAGTGTTATTTCCCACATCAAAACCATATTTCAATAGCTAGAGGTGAAGTGGGAAAATAAAAGAGGATAAGTAGCTATTATAATTGAACATGAATTTATTTGGATACTACCTGGCTGTCAGCACATTTTTAAAGGAGTGAAAGGCTTAGAAACTGTAATTAAGGTATTTCAAACATTTAAAGAAACTGGATATGTATTTTTGAAACAACAAAAGATAATTGATGAAAGATAGATTCTCCTTACAATGAGAGGGAGTCCAAATTTTTTGAATCAGTTTCCCAATTCTTAGCTACTTTATCTACCTTATAAGCTCAACACCTGACAAAGATAGAAGGACCCAGAAGCCTGGTCAGCTCAAGGTCACGGTAAGAAATTCGTGGTTTACAGAATTAACACTACCTTCTTTCCTTCTATTCTTAACAGTGGTTCACCATCACCTGGTCATTCTTCCTCTACTTCAGGGTTGGAACGTTCACTTTTCTCTCTCCTTGACATTCAGTTCTTCCTTCCTTATACAATGTTGAAGTATCTTATCACTCTCTTAGGAAATCACCTCTCTCCTCTAATAGAGAGAAGGCAAGATTAATAGTTTGGAAAAGAAGAATCCAAGCCACTGGAAAACCCAGGAGACCTTACCAGTTATAGGATCTGTCCATGCCTAAAGGACAATCTGTCTCCCTATTGGCCTAAAAGAGTGTCGAAATAATTCATTTGACTCATTTCCAATAACTGAATTTCATCACATTCATTAAAATATACAGTATCTGACAATAATGAAGTGAATGACACAATGAGTTATATGCCTTTTCCCTGAAAAGAACATTTACACAAGAAACTTAGTCACAAAAATTGTCCGTAAGATAACATAGCAGAATTTACAAGTTGAGGGAATTTAGAAATGCTGTGTAAGTTTGCACTTTAACACAAGACCTGAGCAAAGCCATGCCTGAAAACAAACAACAAAAAGTTATTTGATTACAGATGCTTTTCTAATTTCACTCTGACTCCATTTAAATATTTAATATCTATTCTGATGTAGTGTTAGGATGTTAATAAAATGTAAATCGCTTTCATCCTGACCTTCTGTTTTATTGTTTCTCCTCAGCTTTTATTACTGAATCATTATTGCTATGGAAATGTTAACTTCCTGTTTGTATTTCTGAAACCCCGAAGGGCATGGAAGTTGTCCAGTTTAGGCTTTATTAAGTAGCTACTGAGAGAAAAATTTCTGCAGCATTTTTGTTTTGTTTTGTGCAGTTTATCAAATGAAAATCTGCCCTTTAAAAGTAACCTTCCTGGCCAATGCCACATAAATGTCTCCCTTTTTCCCCCAGCAACAAACCATAAACTTTAAGTTTATTTTGATTACTTTGAAAGACCTGCAATTAGTGCGTTTAAACTAATATGACCTCCTTGGAATACCAGATGATAGTAATGGATAAGGTTGGATAACTTTTTCAGATGTGTTTTATTATGGCTGCCACTTCTTCGATAAAACATCATAGTGCAGAGTTGAGTCTTTGGCTTTTCAGATTTGGAATCTTGACTTTATACGTTTACGTAAATTTAAGGAGAAATGCCACTTTATTAATTACCATGGGAGATATTGAGAACAGTGAGAATGAACAACTGTAGTCATCAAAACCCTCATGCCAATACCCCTCCATTTACAGTTGTTCCCAGAACAAGACAATTACAAAACTGAGTTAGGGACACAAAGTTGCTTGATAAGACAGCAGTAAAGGTAACTGAATGTCCTTGAAGGAATTCTTATCTTAATTAAGGGAAAACACACCTCTTCCTTGGGGTAAGAGCACAGTACTTTGGTATACCCTTTTGAATGATTACAGTATAATTATTAGAATAAATCAGCACTCCCCTTTTTCTACTTCTTAAGTGCTTACATTTCTCTTATCATACTTCCTCTGTATTTTAACAAATAGGTCTTCATGTATTGCATGAATAAAATAGTCTTTGCTCCAGGTTTCCTTTTAGTGGTGAAAGAAAACCCAGACAATTAAATATGGTATATAATATTTTATGCGTTAAAATAATACTAAAAATAAAAATAGAGAAGAGTAAAGAGGCAGAAAGCAAGGAAGGAATTGCTGTTATAGATAGCATAGACTAGAAAGGCCTTTTAGAAAGGTGACATTGGAGCAAAAGCCTGAATTAAATGAAAGGCCGACCATAAATGTACATGGGGCAAGAGGGCTCCAAGCAGAGTGAATTACAGTGCAAAAGTCCTGAAATGGGACAGGGCCAGGTGGGTTTGAGGAATAAGAAGAAAGTCAGTACTTCCAGACCAAAGTGAGTATTGGAAGAGTAATTTAAGTTGAGATGGGGATGGTGCAAGCATATTGTGAAAAATTTGGAGTCTATTGTGAGTTAAATATGTAATAGCTGGAAGGTTTGGACTATACGTATGGCATGACCCGACTCATGCTTTAAAGGATTTCTCCAACTGCTACATGAACAAAAAAGAGTAAGAGAATGTAATAGGAACTTCTCAATGATTCCTGTCTCTTGCTACTCATGCTCTTGTTTAATGCCTTCCACTTGAGAGTGAGCAAGATTTATGACTTGCTTATAACCAATAAAATGTGGTAAATGTAATGGGATGTCGCTTCTGTGATTAGGTTGCATAAGACTGTAAATTCTGTCTTGCTAGTAGATTCTTTTGTCTTTTTGACTTGTGTACTTCGATGAAGCAAGAAGCCACAGTGGAGAAATGTACATGGTAAAGAAGTGAGGGTAGCCTCCGACCAACAGCCAAAAAGGAACTGAGACCATTTTGGGCCCACCGCCTTTGAGGAAGTGAATCTTGTGAGCTTAGAAGTGAATCTTTCCCCAGTCATGCCTTCAGATAAAACCTTAGCCCCAGGTCGCACTTTGATTGCAGTCTTATAGAAGACCCTGAGAGAAGCTGTGCCAAGACTCCTGACCCATAGAAGTTACAAGATGATAAATGTATGCTGTTTTAAGCTGCTAATATTGTGGTGAACTATTATGCATTAATACATAACTAAAACGGAATAAAGGCAGAAGCTGAGAGAACAGTTAGGAAGCTCAAGCCATGATTCTGGTGAGAAGTATCAGTTACCTGGTGATATGGTTTTGCTGTGTCCTCACCCAAATCTCATCTTGAATTGAAGTTCCCATAGTCCCCACATGTCATGGGAGGGACCCAATGGGAGGTAATTGAATCATGGGGGTCGTTACCCCCATGCTGCTGTTCTGATAGTGAGTTCTCAAGAGATCTGATGGTTTTAAAAGGGGCTTTTCTCTTTTGCTCAGCACTTCTTGCTGCTGTCATGTGAAGAAAAATACGTTAGCTTCTCTTTCTGCCATAATTGTAAGTTTCTTGAGGCCTCTCTAGCCATGCTGAACTGTGAGTCAATTAAGCCTCTTTCCTTTATAAATTACCCAGTCTCAGGTATGTCTTTATCAGCAGTGTGAGAATGAACTAATACACCTGGAGTAGGGGTACAGTAATGATTATGCTAGAAGGTAGATGGATATTAAAGGCAGAGCTCATAGTTTTGCAGATGTATTGAATATGACCTATGGGAGAAAGTAAGAAGTCAAGGGTAGTTCTGAGCTTCTTAGCCAGAGCAACTCAGGTTACTGGGGAAGACTAGGAGATAATTTTGTGTTTGTTTTAGTTTTTAGGGGGAGGTGAGGGTACAGGTTGGAAATTGGAGGTCTACCTTGGATTGACAAGTTTGAGACTCCTATCAGGCATTCCCAAGTAGTCATTACATTTAGAGTTCAGGTGGAAAGCCCAGGTTGGGTATACAAATTTGGAAATCACATGACTTACTCTCACATTCTCCCTGGGAGATGGTAAGAGCAGGTACCCACAGCCCTAGAGGGCAAAGGAGAAAGAAGAACATGGAAGTAGCTCTCGGAGCCAAGAATGGAGTAAAACAAGAAGTTGCTACAAGTAAGCCCTTAAATTCCATTGCTCAGGGTCTCTGCTTCCTTCTAGAGACCTGGGCTGGTGGAAATGAAGTTACACGAATAAATGAATTGCAGGATCAGAAATTTGGTTACAAGCCCAACATAACTTTTTTTACTCAAGGCACATATGACCATCAAGAGAAAAATTGGAAGTTTCAAATCACACTAGGTGCTAGTTTTTAAGAAAAAGTTTAGGAAGAAGCCACATAGATGTTAGCAGCAAACAAATTCATTCAGTTTGACTCAAACTAATAAGGGGATGAGCTTGGAGTAGGAGAGGGAAGCAGTAAAGTACGAATTAATCTTAAAATGATAGAGGTTAGAAGTCTGGTTGCAGGTGGGAGTGTGGCACAGAGCTGTCAAAAGCTCCCGATACAATGCTGCTGATTCTACTGAAGTAAAAACAGTTTAAGCAAACTGGGATCAAATAGTTAGCAGGTGGTAAAACTGAAATTTTTAGCCAAGTGATCTGACACCACTACACTACTCTCACTATATTATCTTCTGCTACCTCTGAAATCCAACTAGACTCCTTTATGAGGTTGTGTATTAAATATTCCTCACAATGTCCACATAACCAGACTTCAACATTTTTTATGTATAAAGAAAACCAAATTAAAATGGCTGCATAGCATACCCTTGAAAGAGAAAACAGTCATAAAAGGACACTGTGCAATTTGATTTGGAGACAAGGAAAGAAACGGATATAAACAGCCATTACCTACCTAGGGTAGGTCTTCCTAGAACTATTTGGAGCTACCTATTTTATCACTCATGTTCCCGTTAAAAAATTAGGCTATATTGAGGAAGATTTAATAAGCTATTGTTTACAATGGTGTGTGGTACCCTGAGTGTGTTACCACTCCTAATTCCCCCTGCCACCTTCCAAAAACTAAGATGATATGGTTACTGGAACCCAGAAAAGGAGAGTCATGCCTTAAAGCAACCTATGACTTTCAGCATAGAAACTCAATCATCCAGAGGTGACCTTGCAAGGAAGAGTGTAGTCTATGCCAACTAGCATGCCAAGGATGGGGTTGGAGTTTGGGAGTGAAGGATGGTAAGATAGCAAGCCCAGTTTTTTTCTTCTCCTTTTGGTTGCTTGTCTGAAACCCTATCAAGATTAAAATATGGTTTCCCACTCCTACATAATGAGGAGGCCACACTCAAATTAACACTAACCCAACTCCCCCTTCCTTGGCGAAGATTCAGTATACCTAGGGGTTGACCTTAAGTCACGTGTTTTTACTGACAGTGAAAATAGGAAGACTAGTAGACAGAGATAGTCCTAACCTGGCTTGATCTTTGGCCATTACAAAGTCAGGCTCCTTGCAAATTTCAAAGAAAAAGCATGGACTGTAAAATGAAGGGGTTCTGATTCTAATGATTTGAGTGCAAGTCATATTTGTGACAAGTATTATGCTTGTGCTCATTGATCAAGTTGCCTAATCTCTTTGAGCCTCATGTTCCTTATCTATAAAATGGACATAATTATAGTACTTACTCATTACATTATTGGTATGACAAAAAAGTATGAAGTGTATGAAAGGATATTATATCATTCAAAGAGCCACAATGCTTTCTAATGATCTCCCAGAGATACAAAAGCAAAAGCATGTACTTAGTCACACTTGCATTTGAAAAAAAAAAAGAGAAAGAAAAGGCATAAACATATATTGAGATTCCACTATGCATCAGACACTGCTAAATACTTGACAGATATGATCTCATTTGATTCTTTGAACACCACCTAGAAAATAGATGTTAATAGTACCATTTACAGTTAAGTTGATCAAGGAAATCAAATAGTGGAACCTGGATTCAGTTTTAATCTTTTAACCAACCTGTTGACTCTTGCTACTATCAGAGACTGTCAAAGTCAGAAAGGGAGAGACAGAGTAAAGTCTCAAGTGTGTCTGGAACTACAGTCATCGAGAGCCTATTTGTGGAGTCATTGAATGTACCCCCACAGACCTGTGTCCATACAGGCAGTGGCTCTGCTCTCTGATTTGTCCTTCCTCTTTCTTACAATAATTTGCTACTCCTTAAATAGGATTATGGCTACTTATTAAACTCAAGATACATCTGCCATCACCCCTTCCTTAGCTATTTTTAAAAGTTATCCAATAAAAACAATCTTATTTTTAGATGATAGGTAATGCTCATTGAAATTATTAAGAAATTCCTATTTATAACAAAATGATTCTATCCATAACACATTTTAGCAGCTCAGACATCAGAGGATTGCAAATGCAGTCTGTAGCTCACATTCTTCTTTCCACATTGACAGAGAAAAATATTTCCCAAATGCTGAAATGAGGGTGTGGACTTGGTTTGTTGGGGATGACAACATCAGTTGGTTAGTGACCTGCCAATTATTTCTGTGGAATAAAATGCCCTTTGTAAAAAGAAATCATTGATCTAAAACTCTCATAAACCTTTGAAGTGATCAGAGGACACCATTAACTGATTATTTAGATAATTTGCTACAGTGCGTGTAATAAATACAGAAACCCACTCTATCCAACTTGCATAAATGAAGGAATTTATTATAAGGAGCTGAATTTAAAAAAAAAAAAAAAGAAAGAAAGAAACAAGCCAATTATCCAGCATCTGGAAGGAATGGAAAGAGTACAGCTCTGGGTATTGGGTGTACCACAATTAGAATTCACCAGCTCCAAACATCTCACTTATGGGGGACTCTCCATTCCAGATTCTAATTCCCAGGGTCCTGAAGGAAAGATTCAGAAAAAGGCGTAGTATAGATCAGATGTTTACTGCTAACAGTGCCTGGCAGATGTTAGCAACTGAATAAATTGTTGAATGAGTGAATAAATGCACACCCAAACTCTCTGGGCCTTTTATCACTTAATCAAAAATGAGGAGATTGAATTTGATGATCCATGAGTCTCCATTAGTTGCCTATGTTTGCTGCAATAGTATCACACATCTAGTGGCTTAAAGAAACATGAATTTACTATCATTCTGGAAGCCACAAGTTCAAAATAAGTCTTATGGGGCTACAAAGTACTGTCAGTGCTGGTTCCTTCTGGAGACTTCAGGGGAAAATCTGTTCTCTCCTTTATTCGCTTCCAGAGGTTGTTGGCGTTTCTTGGCTCTTGACCCCATATCTCCAAACTCTACTTCCATTGTCACAATTCCTTCTAGTGACTGATCCTCTTGCCTTCCTCTTATAGAGATCCTTGTAATTGAATCGAGCCTGCCAGATAATTCAGGATAATGCCTCTAACTCAAGATCCTTAATGTAATCAATTATGTGAAACCTCTTTTGCTATAAGTTAACACACTCACGGTTTCTGGGTATTGATTGTGGACATCTTTGAGGGAACAGTATTTGTTCAAAACCATCATTCTCAGGAAACTAACAAGAGCAGAAAACCAAACACCACATGTTCTCACTCACAAGTGGGAGTTGAACAATGAGAACACATGGACACTGGGAGGGGAACATGACACACTGGGGCCTGTTGGGGGTAGGGGGCCAGGGAGGGATAGCATTAGGAGTAATACCTAATGCAGATGATGGGTTGATGGGTGCAGTAAACCACCATGGCACATGTATACCTATGTAACAAACCTGCACGTTCTGCACATGTACCAGAATTTAATGTGTGTGTGTATATTATATATACATATACATATACATACATATACGTATATATATACACACATATATATATGTATATATATAAAGACTCCTTTGATTCTGAAATTCTGGGATGCTCCCACTGCTGATGTGGAGCCTAGAGACTATGGAAAGTGCCTGGTCCTGTTGCTGTGGAGCTTACAATCTATTATAAACTTAGTAAAGGAGTTCTATGGCAAATCAGAGTTGCTGAAAGAGAAATTTTGTCAGGTGACTCCTGTCTATTGCATAACCAGATGGTTTAGCATATATGCCATACATTTAGGGATAAGAGCAAAGATTTTAGTTACAGAGTTTCTACTAACTCCACACCCAAATGACATCACTACAAGAAAACACTGTCTAAAGAAATTCCTTACATGGAATTCACACTCAGAGTTCCTAGAAGTGAATCTGAATCAGGCCCAGACTAAAAACCATCAGAGACCCCCAAGAACTGAAAAAAAATTTGTGTCCTACTCTTACTTGTATTTAAAAAAAACCTCTAAACACAAAATATAAATAGCTAAAACAAATATCTAATTTTATTTTGATGATGAATTAAATGCATTTTTGAAATATCTATATTGAATAATTTCATTTAAAGAACTGTCATTTTCTTGTCATGTCCTCTTCTTGCACGAAATGCATTCTTAATCTTCTTATTGGATAATCCAGTCCAATATACCCCTAGGCTGCAGGAACTAACACCATCCTTAATTATCCACCCCAGTATTTCTGTCATGTTGTGATACTTTAGGGTTTTACTAATGCCATTAAAGGGGACTGCTGTGGCATTTTCAATGCTAATATGATTAATGAAAATATGGATTTAACATTTATAATAGCAAGGACCTAAAACAAAATCCCATATGGATCTTAGGTTTCTAAATGTTCCAGCTACTAAACAAAATTTCTTTGTTTACAATTATTTATGTTATTTTCTAATAAAACATATTATTTAACTTCCAATCTGAGCCTCTGAGCAGCCTGAAATAACAATTGATATTGTTTGAGCAATTAATTTATGCCAGTCAGAAGGTACTTTATAAGTATTTAATCTTATACATAATATATAACTTAATTCCAAAATTACTTCAGACATTATTATTGTACTTATTATACAAGTAAGTAAACTAAGGCATAGAACAGCTACAAGTTTACTTTGATTCAGGTGACATAGCAGAGCAGAAATTAATCCAGGGCATTTGTATCCTAAGCATTATACTGTGTCAATTTTCAGTATTACCATACTATGAAGGTGGCATATTAGAGGCAAGAGCTGCCTATGCAGACTTTGGTTTTCTTTCCATTTTTTTCTTTCCATTTCTTTTCTTTTCTGATGGTAAATTTATGATTTCAAATATGCTAATGGTTCTGAACCAGACTTGTACATCAGAATAAATCAAGTGTTTCCAAACACTTTTGCCAGACCCCTACCCTAGAGATTTTAATTTGGCATGCCAAGCCAAGTAGACCCAGTATAGATATAAAATCACCCTGTGTTACTCTAATATGGATTCCTGGGGTAAAACCATTTCCCTGTGTCTTAATAAATACTGAAAGAAGTGCAGAAACTGCATTATTACCTTTAAGGAATTGGAGCAATCTAGGAACTCAAAGTGGTGTTTAAAAAGTTGATCAACAAAAGTATATAATAACTCCAAAAAGACTGTGAATCTAGTCCAGGAGGAAAGACTGATTTACAATAGAAATATGGTACCTGGCTTGACACATCACAGCAGATGCTATGAAATTAGAAAGGCTTAAACGTAAGCCAGCCTCCTGTGATCCTTTGCGGCCCCTTTTCCTGTGTTATGGTATGCCTTGGCATTCAATAAGAAGAAAGACAGGATGAAGTGGAGCTGAAGAGTAAAATTCCAAATTAAGAAACCACAGAAAATACATTATGGTTGGAGTTAAATAGTCCCAGTCATTTAAAAAAAAAAAACATGGAACATTTTCATCCAAGAAAGAGCAGTGGGAATTAATCTACAACTTTTATTCATCTGTATTGTTTTCAATTCTTTAGGCAAGCTCTCATAGTTCTGCAAAAGGATTTGACAGGCTTAAAAGACATGGAGAAAAGATATTTCAAAGGATCAGTGTGCTATGACAAGTTCATACTGTTACTGAAATCTCCTTGCATTACTTCATACAAAATTATGTAAAATAATTCACCCCTTCTGAAAGAATGACTCGTTCCTTCTTTCTGAATGTAATATTCTTTTCGTTGTTGTTACAGTAGGAAAAAAACTTCACAGCTTTCTGTTTTGTTTGTAGTTGTGGAAAAGGCAAAGGAAATTTTTCCAAAAAATGTTAATGTCTGGTTTGTATATAGTTGATTTTTTAAAAAATGAACTAATGTGGTATCCTCTTTTGCTTCCTTCTTGTGACTTTCCATGTATAATCAACAAACAGTAAGTGCTTTATAAGGATCTACTAAATTTTTTTCCATATTCTTGGGACCATTTTAAACTCTATTGTTTCCATTAAAACCCTCCACATGGTATTTTCAGTAAACTTTCATCTCCTAAGATCTGGTCTTTTTCCATTTAACTTAGATTTTTCCCTGATTTGCTTTTAGTTTATAAAACCATTGCCAAATTAGACATGGTTTAAAAAAATGCCACCACTACCTCTCTTGATGTTAAATTAGTATTTCAGTTTAACCCCTCACTAGAAATATCAACAGCCACCCATTCAAATAACAGAATTAATTTTTTGTCATCTAGTCATGGCCTGGAAAGAATAATTAATTTCACTACTCACTCGCCTGACCTGACATTGATTTTCTATTTCCATGATAATGATTCCACAATCAAAAAATATCAATTGAATGCCTGCAATGCAGAAAGCAAAGCACTGTGCCAGGTCCTGAACATGAGATCCATGAATAACTCCCCTTTTCTTCTTTTCTTGTTTTGAAAGACCGTGTTGGAGGCCTACCCAGCAATCACTCTACTTACTTCTTCCCTGCTTTGCACCCACACTTCCTCCAAGCAGACAGACTCTACCATCTCACACGGAGACTGGAATTGCCAGGCACACACTTTCCCAACCTCCTTTGCATTTACAGCATAGGTGTGTGGCTCAGCCCCGGTCACCAGAACCTACCAGGAATCTTGTTGAGACGGGGGTGAGAAATGGGGAAAATGGGGCAAGAAGAGCATGGTTACTCTTTTTGGTAAAGATAATTTTGAGAAAAGTTGCCACCTTTGAGCCTTTTAAAAAATAAAGTGTAAAAAGTACTATGCCAAGAGATTTGACAGTCATCTTGCAACCACTAGGGAAAAACGTAAGAACAAAACCCAACATTCTTAGGTGACAAAAGAAAGGTAGAAAGAGCCTGAGTTCTCTATGATATTTTGAGCTATTGGGATTTCATTTGAGCTTGGAATTTCCCTGCCTCTGTATCTTATAATACAGAGAATTTCCCTGCCTCTGTATCTTATAATAATAGAATAGTCTTAAATAATAGAATAGTCATTGCACTTCTTATCAAATCCACCTTTAGTTGGGTTGTCTGTATTTTGAAGTTGAAAGCATCCCAAGAAAGATATCTGGTTAATCCATTCTCTTCCTTCAACATTCAGCTGAGACATCAATGCCCTATGAAGTCTCTCTCTTTGACCTCCCTACAGCACTGCCACCTTCACCTAGGTGGAACAAGGTGACCCTTTGCTTTCAATTCCCATGGTATCCCAGCTTACACTTATTCTGCTACAAATAACTTAGGTTATCAGACCTGCCTCTCATCCATTAGTTCTAAAACTTACGGAACAGTATCTGGTCGATGTGACCGCTTGTACCATCTGTTGGTGGCAAGCAGAGTTAAATGTCTTTACTTAGAAGTTCAGGGTACAGGGCTGACTTTGTTCACTCCTGGGAAAGACAATTATAATAGTTGAAAATTCAGAAGCAGAGGAGATTCTATGCTACATTATATTGAAATCATCAAAGTATCAATATCCTTCTCAAGATCATAAACACCTTAAATAAACAGGTCATATCTTTCCCTTTTCTTTCATCTTAATTTCTTCAGTGCCCTACAGAAAGTTTACCAGCTTAGTACATAGTAGTTCCTCAAAACTCTTTGTTAAAGTGGACTAATAATACAGAATTTAAATATTAAAGCTCATTGACACCTTAGAGATTCTCTAATATAACCTAATTGTACAGGCAAGATACTGAGGACTGGAGAGTTTATCTAACTTCCTCAATTTGTAAAGGAGGGGCAAAGTTGGAATTACCACCCAGGCCTACTGTCTCCTAATTTAGTGCTCTATATTCTATGAGAAGGGATCGATATATTTGTAATCTTGGGGGATAGAAAGGACATCTGCAAAAATATAATTAAAAGTGCATGCAGATACAAGTGTCAGACATTGTGGCAAGAAGGGAGAAAATATTTTGGATTAGGATGGTCAAGATTGGCTATTAGGTGTGCCAGGCAACAAAATAGTCTGGCTTCCTAGACTTACTACTTTTATCCCCCTGGTGTCAGCTTTGATGTCATTTCCTTAAAGAGGTCCTCCCTGACTTTTTAATAGAAATTTGGAAAACACCTCAGTCCCCATTTATTTGCTCCATAGCACTTTTAACATTTTCACTTTTTCCATCTCCCCACATTAAATTGCACATTGGTGTATGCATTCATTTGTCTTTCTGTTTGTTCAACATGCATCCCCCCAAGGAGGGCAAGGCTCATATCCATTTCGTTGCTCCCTCCATGTCCAGCACCTCACAAAGCTTACAACACATAGTAGGCACTCTGTATCTATCCAGTTATTAATTTGTTCAACAACATTCCAAGTGACAGGGAATACAAAGGTGAAAAAGGCAGACAAAAGCCCTAACCTCTTGGAGCTTATACTCTGTGGAAAGACAGAAAAAAAAGCAATATAACATAAATAAAATACTACATATTTGAGGAATTTTAGAGCTATCAGTTCAAGCATGCTCTGTTGTTTTTATGTGTAGACTATGAAAAGGATATTTCGAACTCTTCTATGCCATTGATGTTTTAATGCATCCTAACTTCAGAGATGTAAAAATATGAATAAATGGGCATCTTAGAATTGATGAAATAGGATATTTCACGTTAGATGATGACAAGTGCTAAAGTAAAATATAAAAGTAGACAGGTTGTGTCGAGAGAGCTCCTTGAGTTGAATGAAGCTGGAATTAGGTATGGAGGGAGAGTGTAATATCAGACAAGTGACTGGTCATAAAGAATAGAAATATTAATCAAGAACCAAGTTTGTATTCACATGTTACGTAGTAACACTAGTGGCAGATATATCCTAACCTCAGCCCTGATAATTATTTGTTGAGTGAACTTGAGCAAGTTACTGAGTCTCATTTCCTAATTTGGAAAATGGGTAATGTATGCGAAATACTAAACTTAATGGATATTCTATAAATGGTAGTTGTTATTACCTTTATCACTTTATTTGGTAACTCCTGAACTGAACTTTAGCTGATTTGTTTGGTTGTTTATTGTAACTGTTAGACTTTCCACCTTGACTTGCCAGACCCCGGCTCCCTTCCCCCTCTGCATGCTTCCATAGCACTCTGTGTTTTTCTTTCACACCCTCAGTTTCAACTTGTCACTAATCTGTCTCCCCAACTAGATTATTAATCCCTTGAACGTGAAAACCCAGATTTACTCATATCCAGTGCCTGGCACTTAGAAGGTTCTTACAATATTTGTTAACTGAATATGAGAATGAATTTGGGTAAGCCAGTCACAGGAAAACAAATATTGAAGATTCCACTCTTATGAGATATCTATAATAGTCAAAATCATAAAAGCAGAGAATACAATAGTGTTTGCTGAGGGCTGAGGGGTGTGGAAAATGGGAAGGTGTTGTTCAATTGGTCTTAAGTTCCCATTATGCTAGATTAATAAATTCTAGAAATTTACTGTATAACACAGTATTTATAATTAACAATACTATAAATTCAAATAAGCTCAAAATTTTTTAAGAGAGTAGATCTCATGTTAAGTGTTCTTGCCACAAAAACAAAAACAAAGAAATGCAAGGAATGGTTGGGAGGTATTGAATATGCCTATTACCTTGATTGTGGTGATGGTATCACAGGTGTTCACATATGTCCAAAGTCATCAAATTGAACAGCTTACATATTTATTGTTCATTGAATATCAATTATACCTCAATAAAGCTGTAAAAAATAATGCATTTGTTGGATAAATGACCTTTCAGGTAAAGGGAATGTTTTCATTAAAGCCTTGGTGATGAATACACTAGACGTTTATCTGTGCACTCAACAAAACTTCCTTTAAACACTAACTGGCAATAGTTTCAGAGGAGAACACTATTCCTCCCTGGAATACACAGGAATAGTCTATAGAATGCATAGGTTGGTACTCGCCTTGGACTTTCCTCATCATACTAGTAAACCTCTACCACAGTCAGTTATTCTTCTCAGTTGGACTTCAACGTGCTGCCCCAGCAGACCGTGGTATGCTGTTTACCTTACAAGATTCTAAAGAGACTGCAAATGTTTCACAACATTTTTGTATGGGTGCCAGAAATTACATCCACCACTGCCCTGTGGGAGTGTTGGCTTTTAGGTCATGCAAAACAACAGGGGGGTGATTGGTTTCCCTGACTCATTTAGACAAGTAGGCCTTGGAGAACATGAGCTCAGCTGTAGGCCCACTAGCTGACATGCCAACTTGCAAAATACTTCTTTGAAAGTGATTTAGCCTCTTTTCATTTCTTAGGAACAGAGTAGGGCATTAAAAAATATCCAAAACCAAAATTCCCATTGAAATCTTAAGGTCTTTCTAAGCAAAAATAACCTTCCTTGACTTTAAAGGTCAAGAACCATTAGAAAGAAATAATAGCTGCCCAAGAATGGTCTCCAATCCAGCCACCCAGGCGCCAAAGCCAACACCACTTTGACGCAGATGGGTAGCTGGCCAGAAAAGGTAGGACTCCAGTGTCAGACTCTCCCTGCTCCTCTGGCCTGAGTGAAAAGAGTAAGAGATGGGTGGAGAGGGAGGCAGGCCAAGAAATCAACAAAGTGCAACATGTCTCATAGCAAAATCAGCGTGGCAGTGTCCCTTAGTGTTGTTGACCAGTTTCTGCACCATGCAGAGAAGGCCAGCGCCTGAATCAGATGAGCCACTTGTATTCTTCCATCTTGGCACCCACCCACAGCTTTCAAATACATCAGGAATAGGAAAGAAAGAGTTCTACTAATAGTCAAACATACCAGTTAGCCTACTGAAGCTTACTGTCAAATAAATAATGGATAATGGTTTGAATTGCATGAAACAGAAACAGCTAACAAAATATGATGAACCATGGGATTTTTGAGAGAATCTAGAGTACAAGTTCCTGCTTTAATTTTGATTCTATCTCTTTCTAACTGTGTGTCTCACCTTGGACTGGTCACTAGTCCTGAGTTTTAGTTTCCTTATCACTATAGTAGGAATATTAATCATATTTTAGTCCATCTACATTTTAGTTATTGGGAAGGTCAAATAATTAAAGGATCAAATAATGTTTTATTGGTTAAAAGCACCATACAAATGTTATATTTTGCTGTATGGCTTAAAATATAAGTTGATAATGCCTACTTAAAGATATCATGACATGACAATATATATGTTTTATGAGTAAGGACATTATTCTTATTTAAACTTTTGGCACAGTTTGGAACAGAAGCAGATTCTGTTTCCAAACAAGTAGCTCTGCAGGGTGGAGGAAGTCCTGGTTCACAGGTGATCCATATTGTCTGGTCCTCTTCCTCCTAATCCTTCTACTGCATGTGAACAGCACAATCTTTTTTTTTTTTTTTTTTTTTTTCACAGAGTCTCACTCTGTTCCCCCAGGCTAGAGTGCAGTGGCACAATCTCGGCTCAGTGCAACCTCCACCCCCCACCGGTTCAAGCGATTCTCCTGCCTCAGCCTCCTGAGTAGCTGGGACTACAGGCGCATGCCACCACACCAGGCTAATTTTTTTGTATTTTTAGTAGAGACGGGGTTTCACTGTGTTAGCCAGGATGGTCTCGATCTCTCGACCTCGTGATCCACCCGCCTCAGCCTCCCAAAGTGCTGGGATTACAGCACAATCGCTTGATCATTCTGCTTTATGAGCAATGGGTATGACCCAGCTAGGTAAAATGAGATTTACAATGGCTCCCTTACACATTGCATAACCTTGCTATCAGGACAAAGTGAAATAAAGTATGCAAAAGTACTTTAAAGAGAATAAGTACAAAAGAAGCTTAGGTCTGATCATGCTCAATAATCTTTTTAGCCTCTACTGCCCGTAAAACAATAGCACCTGGAATTCAAAATTATCCATGCTTTTTCTTAGCCCTTTCCTTCTCTGCAGCTTTAGCACTGGGACTAGGTCCTCTCTCACCATTGCTGCCCAGATTCCCTCTGCTGGAGTCACACATGCTATAGTACCTGTTCTACCACTACCACCAACACCCCCTACCCCCAACTCTTATCCACCTCTGGGTCTTCAGTAGCCTTGTTTCTCCTGCCTGGAATCCATTCCCTTCTCATATCTGCCTCTCAAAGCACTGCTAATGTTTGAAACACCTTCTCTTTCAAGAAGCCTTTCCAAATACCATTTACATCTCCTTTCAAATATATCCTTCGTATCTCTAAACTTCTAAGGACTTCATACCATACTCACATCATTATGCCTTCTGACTTTCTGCATCACTTCTTTACTGAAGCTTTTTAAAATCCATGTGAAAAAGTATAAAACAAGCTTTGATCAAGAGACTAGATAGAAGTCAAGGAAGACACATGAATAGCCAATTTCAGTAGGTTTCACAGTGTCTGGCATGGGGCTGAACACATTGTGGGAACTTGGGGACACATGTCCCAGCTGACATGACTGCCAGGTTTTCAGTTTTGTATACTAGTTTATAGTTTCATGTAGGTAGTAGCTGTAGCATGAACATTCTTTAAAATTATAAAATCTCCTCATGCAATGACCTAATAGCTGTCTCCACACAGCTCAAGGTACAATCACTCTCAAGTAACTCAGCAGTGAATTTGATTGCAAATAGGAGCTAATGTTTGTGGAGAGCTTATGGCTTGCCAGGCATTGCTCTAAGTGCCTTGTATATATTTTCTCCTTGAATACTCAGAACAATCCTAGGAGGTGGATACTATTATTCGGTTCTTTATTGCCTAGAGAAACCGAGGCACAGAGCAATGAAAAGACAAAACTAGCAAATGAATAAGGATTCAAATACAAGAGTCTAGCCTCAGAGCCTGAGCTCTAATCACTGTGCTCTATTGTTTTCAGTCTACAAAGGCCCCAAATGACTTGACCACATTTGCTACTGAACTTCCAGATCTTCATCCTATGCTCTCTAAGCCTTATCTGACACTGGTATTTTTTTTGTTGTTCTTTAAAAAGACCATGAAAAGAAATCCCCTCTTTCACACTTCCCACTGTGCTTGCCTGTTGGAACTTCTGCTTTTGTCTTCCTTTCATCTCCCCACATCTAACAACCACTAAAGAAGGGGCAGAGCTTCCTTCAAATGTAAACTGTGGTAAGTACCAGGTTGTTTGGAAGCCAAGGAGCTACTGAATCAGTCACTGTTTGCTGCTACCTCCAACAAATATCTCTTTGAGATTCTGGAATGACTCAATCTCACATCCCACACCTGCCAGGCAGAATCAGCTGCCTTGAGATCTGAGCTGTTGAGGGTACATAATTTCAAAGGACAAGCCCATTTATATACTTGGTTAGTATAATGATGCACTAGTGAGGAGAAAACCCTCATTTATATAACCCTCATTGAAAATTCAGAATTGGCATCGTGGTCAAGAACCCTGGAAAGATAAATATTGAAATATGACAAATGATGATATAACAATATTATTATTAACCAAGGTACAAACATCTCTTTGAAACTGAGCAGCGAAAGGTCTCATCGTATTCCAAATCAGTTTCCCCACTGGAGCCATAGGCCTTGAACTTTTTGAAATTGAATGCTAAATTTGTGTAAACGTAGATACACTTTTTTTTTCCTGGGCAGAAGACCCATAGTGTTCATGAATTTGAAAGCTTCAGCCGTGAGGCTTTTTCTTGCCGAGGAGGCATTCCTGCCATACACTTACAGGAGTTAGAACAAGTAAGTCATCATTTCTAGATGCAGCCTCTGGTGCCACTGTGCAAAACCCTGTTAAGTGGTCTGGTTTATAAATGCAAGTGTGACTTAAGCTTTAGTGGAACTCCTCCCAGCAGAAGCAGTGTGTCTTTTGAGAGAAGAACCTAAAGCACAGACAACGTCTTTCCTACCCAAACCAAAAGGATGACTTCAACTGTTTTCAAGTTCCACTGCTCTCGCCCCCCTAATTCTCACCAAATGCCATGTGGAGCCTACAGAAATATGAACCCTTAAAGGCCATTTCATGCACCTGAGAAGAAACTGCGGTGATGAAAGTAGGCTGCTTTTTGTTTATGCATTGTTCATATTCCTCTGGAGCCAAGTCCCATTCTTTCTCTCCCACTGTAGTCTGGGCTATTCCCTGCACACAACTCTTTCCTCTGCCTACTCGCTTGCCCTGGATTGCTGTTATTCTATCTGTAATTTATTTCAAAATACTTCAGCACAGGCAGTGTGACCTTATGTATACATTCTTCAGGTTGAGCTACTCTCTCCAGGCAGGCAATTGACTTCACTGGGATTCCCACTTCCCAGGAGAGGAACTAGTATTTCATCAGAAGGTTCCCATTCCAGGGATTCAGCCCTATCCATCTCTCAGCAACACCAGAGGCTTTGTTACCTAGCATAATGGTGGTAAAATGAGCTCCTGTGGGTGAGATTATGGGTATGTGAGGTGCAGGATTGGCTAGAGAATTCATTCTTAATGTACTCTAAGCATTCAGTGATGATTGTCCTGGAGACAATGACCCAGTGTTCCTCCTGCTTCCACTCTAGCCACATTACCTGTTAGCATGTATGTCAAATGACTTCGCTCACATTTAAGACATGCCAATGGCTTCCTACTGTCCATAGATTCAACTGACAAGTCCTTACCCTGACTCTCTAGACACTGCATGGACTGGCCCTGCTCACCTCTCTGGACACATAAGGTATATCTCTCTCCAGTTCCCTTGGCCTTAGCCTCATTGACTTTACTCCCTTGGGCCACCTCATGTGTTCTTTTCTCTACCTCCATTGTCTGATCAAAAGGGGCTTCTTCAGAAAGCCCTTCCCTAAACAGCTCAGCTAAAGTAGGCCTTCATAGCCGTCACCATTACATTATCTTGTGTCATAGACATCACCGCTCTAAAATTGACCTATCACCATCCGAAGAGTTTATTTCTAGGTTTAGTTGGTGACTCTTTCTCTCCAGCTTGACTGTAAGCTTCAGAAGTATGGGGACTTTTGATCTGTATCAGGATACTTAACACAGTGCTTGGCATCAGTATATACTAAGTCAATATTTGCTGAATAAATGTATATGTTTTTGGTGCTGAGACATACTTTCTTTCCTGATTTGTTAATGGTATCCCTTCATTAAATGTTAAGGCACTTCACTCCCCTCTTTGGTTTAATATTTATTTGAAAATGTTCCTTTAGGGTAAGGCGTTTATAGGAAAACCCTTGTTTCAGGAAGGAATTCACTCTTGTAGGCTAGTTTCTCTGAAAACTATCTCATCTGTTTCTAAAAATTTATTTTAGTTCCAGTTGGGGACTTTCCCAAATAGAAGCACCTCATTGACTATTAAGAAAATAGTTTTAAGAGTTTTTATCTAATGAAGACATCTTCATTAGCCAGGTATAGACAAATTACATGGGCATCAGGGAAGTGGGGAGCATTTCTGAATATTAGAGATGATCAAGTTACATCAATAATTTTTGAGGAGAAAACCTGAGTAGGTGTAGAGTATTCTTTAGTACTCTGTTGATATAAACATTTATTTGTTCAGAAGCCATCTGATGAGTAGTTATTTGAAATATGCATCAGTTAACTAAGAATCTGATTTCTTGGGACTGAGTAGGCACTAGATGACTATCTGAGTTTCTGGAAACTCCAGTTGAAGTGACTAGAGTGACTGGAAAAAGTTTATAAGCAAGAGGTTGTATCTCTTCCTTGAGCTGATCAGAACAACAGATCCCTGTTATGGACTGCTGAGGTCATTTTTCCTTATTTCCCAACTTCCCTACCCAGAGGTGTCATCAATTTGACTGTGATTTGCAGTTTAAGAGAGTTTTCTCTTACATGTCTTTAT
The DNA here is from genome assembly GCF_000001405.40 of Homo sapiens. NCBI lineage: Eukaryota > Metazoa > Chordata > Mammalia > Primates > Hominidae > Homo > Homo sapiens. The sequence continues at coordinate 118,956,373 of NC_000008.11, read as the reverse complement.
TTGTATTTATGGCCATGAGCAGGGTGAAGTTCAGAGAATTACACCCTTCAACAGCTTAAATGATCATGTCATTTTGTTATGGACTGAATGTTGTGTTCCTCAAAAATTCAGATGTTGAAATCCTAACCCTCAAGGTGATGCTATTAGGAAAGGGGGCCTTTGGATGGTGATTAGGTCATGCAGGTGGAGTCTTAACAAATACGATTAGTACCCTTATAAAAGAGACCCCAGAGAACTCTCTAACCCTTTCTGCCACGTAAGGTTGCAAGGTAAAGTTGGCAGTCTGCAAACCAGAAGAAGGCCCTCATCAGAACTCAACCATGCTGGTTTCTGGACCTCCAACTTCTAGCCTCCAAAACTGTGAGAAATAAATTTTTGTTGCTTAAATTTGACACCCAGTTTATGATAGTTTGTTGTAATAGTCCAAAGTGATTAAGACACACTCCCATGCTTAAAACTCTCTAGTGCTTTGTATGGTTCTTTGAAGAAAGACTGGAATCACTTCCACCTGCAACCTAGCCACTGTCTACTCACCTCTTCAGTCCCTCCTGGTCCACACAATGCCTTGCTCTCCATGCAGCAACCGTACTGGAATATTTCTAGTTCCTTGAAATCCCACCTTGCTTCCTCCCACTGGGAGACCTACTAACACCCTGTCCTCCTTGCCCAAAGGCTCTCCCTCCCCACCTCTTCACCATGTGTTCATCATTTGTCAATATACGCAGTTTTCAGAGTTCTTGTTAAAAGGTACATGGAGTCAGGTCCTTCTATTGCCACTTATTTCTTTTCATGTGATACACAGTCTTGTTTATATATTTGTGTGATTAAGGCCAATTTTCAAAGAAAGGGCTATGGTAATGAATGGCTAGCAATGCCAGAATCACATTATAGGTGAGTAGTGAACCATAAGTAGCAACTACTTACCCCTAGTCCAACACGTTCAGGCAAACCCTTAAACAACTGGTGACCTCATCAGAAAGTGATGTCATCAGAAAGTGACATCTTTCTTCATCAGAAAGTGAGTCAGCTAGATAACTTTACCTTTACCTTTCTGTACATTATTTTTTAAAAGACATACCCACATATACATTTTAAAACATAGTCTAGATGACCTATAAAGGCAAATAGTTTGTGTCTCAAATATTAATATGGTTAAAATTGTGTTTTTTAAGGAAGAAATTATAAACATTAATAAAATAAGTCAATGGGCTATCTGCTGTTTTTCTCCTCCTTTTTCTCTGTTCCTTTTATAAAATCAGAATAAAACTTCTTTTTAATAACCATGAAATAACAAGGAATTTGTTCTTGTTCTTCAAGTTAATATCCTTTTCTCTGCATAACCAGAACCGGTATTTCCAATTTTCAGGTGAGGAAGTGTAGGCACAAGATGTTTTAGACACTTTTCAGTTAACTTAGAGCTGCATGCCTTGTCTCCCAAATCACCTAAGTCAATTGCTTTCCTGAGTCTCAGGTATTTCCATTATGATGATGATTATAAATGACCATCTGGATCAGAGGCTGTGCTACTGTGCTAAAGAGATAAAGTGTCTTCCCTGTAGGAACTCCTAATATTCAGGCACCATTTCTCTAAGCTTTAGAAGTGGCTGAAATGGGGTTTTGGGGCAGTAGACAGTCACTGGGGGTCAATCCAAAATCTATTCAATGTGGGACCTAATTCAGAAGAGTTTAGGAAAGAAGAGATGAGGAATATCTGATGAGGTGTCCCCTAGAAAGTTAGCGTCACATATATCTGGTGCCTAGAAACAGAAGGTTAAAGTTACGGAACATTCTGCTTAATGTCACCGATGGCCTCTGCCAATGAGGGATCTGTCACAGGAAGATGAATGTAGTCTTCCAGTTACTGTTCAAATGTCCCCTTTTGGGTTCAGTCTGGAATCCCTGGGTCCATTCCAATTAAATCTTAAAATGAACTTCAGCTCAGAGTGTTCAAAGCCTGCAGCCCACAGTAGTGGATTACTTAGAAATACCCTAGGGGATTGGCCAGATTGCTCCAAGAATATAACAGATGAAATGACTGATAATTCATGGTCTCTGTCAGTTTTCTGTCAGTGAGTGATGAATAAAGGGCCCACAGTTAGGCCCTGAGATGCACAATCAATACACAGTCTATTTTGTGATTCTAGATAAATGGTGCCCCAACCTGTCTCCAGCTTACAGCTAATTACCAATCCCCTGAATCCCCAAATTACCACCATCGCTCCTTTGCAGGGAGAGCCAGAATTTGAGCTAAAAGCTTCAGCGAATACCATAGAAAAATAAGTAGTTCCTGCCCTCAGGAGCTTACAATCTAGATTTGCCTTGTGCTCATACAAACGTCCCCATGAGAACCTCAGATGATAATGACACTTAATGAGCACTATGTGCCGGACACTATTTTTAGTGTTTTACATCTTTTATCTAATTCAATCTTTATAATAACCGTTATGATACTTTGAGGTAGATGTGATTATTATCCTCATTATAGGAATAACAAAAAATGGAAACAAAAATAGGTTAGGCAACTAGTCTGAGGTCACAGAGCTAGGAAAAATTGGAGTTGGGGCTCAAATCTAGGTTACAAAGGCCAGTATCTTAGGTATTCCCCTAGAATAATCATAACTATAGGAAATATTTCCTATGGGCCAGGCATTGTGCTGAGTTATTTTACATGCATTACTTTATTTAATGCTCATAATTAGTGATTACCATCATTTATATAATTGTTTTTTAAACGCTCCCATTTGCTTTCTCTTACGTTTCTGCAATATCAGTGTGTTTTTATCTTATAGATGAGGCTCAGGGAGACGTAAACCTTTCCCAGGGTTAACACTGAAGGACTCAGTTATTGATTAGTTTTCTCCAAGGTCTGACACCCACATATTGGCATCATTTTATGTTCTGAGAAAAACACCTTCAAATAATATCCTAGACAAACATTACTCTAACAAAAACAATAATACTGCTATTTATATTGTGTTTCACTACTAACACTTGGATTGACTTGAGTCCCATGGCAAGTCTAAGTGTTGATATCTCAGGTTGCAGATGTCAAAACTACGATTCAAAATACAAGGAGTGATTTGGAGTCATACAATTTTGTCCACACTCACTGAGCTACATTTATTCACTAGTTCACTTAAGAAACCAGCATGCTGTTACATTCTGGCCCTTGAGGGACAAAGCTGAATGACACCCCGTCTTCTGTAATTTGCAGGATGGAACAGTCTGTGGATCCACTTTGAACTCGTGGTGGAAGGATGTCCCTTGGAAGGGGCAGATGCTCTGATCCTGGTAAGCCATCCTTGCTCCCCAGGGGTCCCCTCTCCTGATTCTTCACCTTCCTTCCCTTGAATCTGGTGAAAGGCAGTATTTGCCCTTCTCTGGAGACATATAACTTGAACACTTGGCCCTGATGGGGAAGCAGCTCTGCAGGGACTTTTTCAGCCATCTGTAAACAATTTCAGTGGCAACCCGCGAACTGTAATCCATGAATGGGACCACACTTTACAAGTCATCAAGTCTAACTTCTAGACCAGGGAATTAATGGGGGAGACAGCGAACCCTAGAGCAAAGTGCCAAACTTCTGTCGATAGCTTGAGGCTAGTGGAAAGACCTCGAGGAGGCTACTCCAGAAGTTCAGCGCGTAGGAAGCTCCGATACCAATAGCCCTTTGATGATGGTGGGGTTGGTGAAGGGAACAGTGCTCCGCAAGGTTATCCCTGCCCCAGGCAGTCCAATTTTCACTCTGCAGATTCTCTCTGGCTCTAACTACCCCAGATAACAAGGAGTGAATGCAGAATAGCACGGGCTTTAGGGCCAATCAGACATTAGTTAGAAAAATTCCTACTACATGGTTTATGTAAACTTGAAGATGAATGATTGCGAACTCCCCGAAAAGGGCTCAGACAATGCCATGCATAAAGAGGGGCCCTGTAATTTGAGGTTTCAGAACCCGAAGTGAAGGGGTCAGGCAGCCGGGTACGGCGGAAACTCACAGCTTTCGCCCAGCGAGAGGACAAAGGTCTGGGACACACTCCAACTGCGTCCGGATCTTGGCTGGATCGGACTCTCAGGGTGGAGGAGACACAAGCACAGCAGCTGCCCAGCGTGTGCCCAGCCCTCCCACCGCTGGTCCCGGCTGCCAGGAGGCTGGCCGCTGGCGGGAAGGGGCCGGGAAACCTCAGAGCCCCGCGGAGACAGCAGCCGCCTTGTTCCTCAGCCCGGTGGCTTTTTTTTCCCCTGCTCTCCCAGGGGCCAGACACCACCGCCCCACCCCTCACGCCCCACCTCCCTGGGGGATCCTTTCCGCCCCAGCCCTGAAAGCGTTAACCCTGGAGCTTTCTGCACACCCCCCGACCGCTCCCGCCCAAGCTTCCTAAAAAAGAAAGGTGCAAAGTTTGGTCCAGGATAGAAAAATGACTGATCAAAGGCAGGCGATACTTCCTGTTGCCGGGACGCTATATATAACGTGATGAGCGCACGGGCTGCGGAGACGCACCGGAGCGCTCGCCCAGCCGCCGCCTCCAAGCCCCTGAGGTTTCCGGGGACCACAATGAACAACTTGCTGTGCTGCGCGCTCGTGGTAAGTCCCTGGGCCAGCCGACGGGTGCCCGGCGCCTGGGGAGGCTGCTGCCACCTGGTCTCCCAACCTCCCAGCGGACCGGCGGGGAGAAGGCTCCACTCGCTCCCTCCCAGGAGAGGCTTGGGGTTAGGCTGGAGCAGGAAACCGCTTTCAAGTTATGCCATGCTTCCCCTAGGGTGTCCTTTTACGCTGCAAAGTTCCTGCTGACTTTATGGAAGACAGCAAGAGAGAGACAGACAGCGAGAGAGAGGGAGAGAGAGAGAGAGAGAGAAACTTGTTTGAAAGTTTTAGTCATTAACCTTCTGTCTTCATCTCAGAATATTAACGCCCTCATGTAGTCCATACTATCTTTGCTTAATGAACTTGAACTTTTATTATTAGTGGCAAAGAAGTGGTCCCTTAGATTCAGAGTAAGTTGGAAGAAGACGTTAGTCTTCTTAAAACCATTATAATTAGAATATGACATGATAGATTTTTCTAATGTAAATATTATGTGAAATTTTGAATAATTAGGAGAAAAGATCTCTCACACACACACTTCTTAACTGTGTAATGTTTTAATAAAATTTTATTGTTAAAATTATTTCACTTCTCAACTTCAATATACTGTGGAGAATATTGGCAGTATGTTATGTTCTAAAACATATCTAAAGAATTGAAGTTCACTAAATAGGGCTAAAAATTGTGTTTAAAATGTTATTTGGAAAAGAAAGGAATCTCTGTGACTTAGCTTTTTTTTTAAGCTTAGGTTTTGATCAAGTTAATAAGATTTGCATGTAGGTTTTTCTATGACCAATGACTTATTTTCTCTATGACACTAGAGTGTAGAGTACATCAAGATATGAATCAGACATTTATGCAAGGCTAGGAAAAGCCATATTTAAGCCACATATGTGTTTTGGATGTGTTTGAGTAAATGTTTGAACTTCAACCTCCAACCCACAAATAATGAATAGAAGGCTAGGTAGTCTTCTACTTAGTTCCTAGGATACAGAAACATAAATAAGTAAATAAATAGTAAAGACACTAAAGAACAGGTAAGTTGGATAGGAATCTACCCATAAGTATGTTAAAATATATATGTATGTATGTGTGTGTGTGTATAACTTCATCGCTAGAGATACTATGGAGTGCTTTTAAAAAAGTAAACCTTTATTAAAATATAACACATAGAGAATTGTGCAAGTGGTAAGTGCCTAATGCAGTTTTTCTAAGTGAGCACTTGTGAGCTAGCACACAGATCAAGAAATATATTATCGGCACCTCAAGAGCTTCCATCACTACTGTGTCTATGGCCAGAACAATCAGTATTCTGATTTGAACAACATAGATGAATTTTGCTTGTATTTGAACTTCCTATAAATGGAACTTATTCAATTTTTTGCATTTGACTTCTTTCACTGAAAGTTCTGTTGTGAGATTCATCTCTACTGTAGGATATAGAATAATTTGTCCGTTGTCATTGCTGTATGGTATTCCATTGTATGGACACACCACAATTGATTTAATCATCCTAGTTTTGGGCTAGTATAAATAATGCTGCCGTTAATATGGGGACATTTTTATTCTTCCTAGCCCTTTTTATTTTGTCAAAGATTTAATTAATAACAAACATACTAGCAATGAGTTAAATTTCAGGGTTTCCACTAAATAATATATGTTTCTATTTAGAAGTATCCATAAATTTAAATAGTAAAATATTTTTATATGTGGTCTGTACAGGAAGATAGACAAACATGTAGATAATACTAATTTTAGATGATACAGCATTATCAGAAGATAAGACTTCGTATATGTCTTGAACACAGTAAATACTTTATATAGGAAGAATTTTGCTTCCCCTTTCTTTAGCTTCTGAGACTTACTTTATTTTGAAAATGATTGCAAATGGACACTTTGTATTTACACATAGAGTCCAGATGCCCTTTTGTAAAACCAAGGTGCCACTGTAGGAACTAGAAGCACCACAGATATTTATTTCTTTATAATGGGCATTCCACTGGCACTAGGCATCAGGACAGTGTGAAAAGCAAGATAGACACTATTCCTTTCACCATGGACCCATAGTCTAATGGAGAAAGCAGATATTGGGCAAGTAATTGTGTATATAGAGTTGCAAAGAAAGAAACTACTGGGTGACTTGGGAATATAAAAGATTCTGCCATATAGCACCTTATAAGGGAAGCTGCTAGTGCAGTGTTATCATGTGGACCAAAAATCAAATACCAGTACCACCACTTACCTGAGAAATGACTGTGGCCAAGTTACTTCTTGAGTTTTAGTTTTGTCTTCTATAAAATGATAATAATGATATGCATATATCCAAGATGCCCACATAAAGTTTCTGCTTCATATCAACACTAGCTCCTAGCATGATGCTCACAGATAACTAACTTTAGGACAATCTAGATCCAAGTGAATTATGTAAACGAAGTGCTGATGATACTCAGAGGAGGGAGAGATGGCCATCTACCGTCATCCTGGAGGAGGGGTATGACGTTTCATTGTTGGAGATTTAAAATCAGGCATCTTGGACCAAAGAAGTGAGAGAAGGCAAGATTGTGTAGCAAAATAGAATTCTAGATTCTTTTTGTGAGTGCAAAGGGTATGCTGGTAGGCAAGCAGGGAAGGAGGTAGGGATGGGATGTTGTCATTAGTACTAATGTCATAGACATGGGCTTTCCTGGAATGTTCCTTAATGCAGTTAAGCAGAGGCCTGCTCTGCTTCACTCAGGCTTAGGTTTTAACTGATGGCTGAAACTTCCCATCAAGTAGTATCGGAACCATCCATTGAACTTCTCAAAGCTAAGTTCTGAATTAATGTTATGATACTAGGAGTTGGGGTGGAGAAGTGGGCAGGGAGGGGTAGATTTATTTTTTTCTCAGGAAAAATGTCTGGTCTGTCTGTTTTCCTGTAGAATAATGCCTTTGGGGGCTTTTTGTTGTTTTATTGTTATTTTGGTTTCCTCTCCCTCCCCCTAGTGGTTAAGTTTTTTTTTGTTTGTTTGTTTGTTTTTTTGTTGTTTTGTTTTAAGAGAATGAATACTCTGAAGTTTCTAGGAAAATCTGACATACCCTCAATCCAAAACAGTCCTGATCCCTGTCCGTAGCAACGTTCCTGGCCCGGGTCACCTAGCAACCTCCAGCACAATTTCTAATTTCAATCTAGTTTCAAATTTTACTTAAGCTGAAACTACAGCTGTGAAATTCCACTGATTGAGGAAGTAAGCGTTCTGCACCAGATGGTTTATCCGGTTAGTTCTAGAAGGAGAGCTATGGCAGTGCTGATCAAAAGGAACTAAACACACACTCAGGTATTTTTGCTCTCCTAGCCACTAACTTGCCTGCTGGGTTTTGCTCTTGGCAACCGTCAGCCCCCCACTGCTGGCATGTTCCATTTGTGTGAAAGCTTTTTGTAAAAAGCATTATTTTCTCTAGCATCTCATTAACCGATAGCATTTCCTTTAGTTTGAGTTTCTCCTTTGCAGCCAAAAAAGAAAAAGAAAAAAAAAAGGCTGGGGAATATATTGAAGGGAAACAGTGATCTTACAAAAATTTGTTTGCATTAAAGCCTTGACTGATGATGTCTAGCTGCTCCTTATGTTGCTACAATGGAGCAGAGATGCCAAAATTATCAGGATATTTGTATGGTTTACCCTGTAGGGCAGTAGTTCTCAATTATATCAGATTTCTTTCATGCACTTTTACAATAAATCCTTTGAAACAACCTCCTTGCTCTCCTGAAATGAAATTCAGAGTGCATATATTTTACCTACACATATAATTTTTAAAAATCAATATACTGTCATAACTATATTATAAAGAAGTAATAAAAAGAAAGTAATTTATAATAAAATAGGCTTCACTTGAAGACTTAAAGAAGTAGTGATATGCTGACATCTTTTTGTAAAATTGCCATAAACACACCACTAGGAATAAAGACTGGGGAACACGTGTAATATTGGTGACTCAAAAACATGGTTAGCATTGGCTTTGGTGCTATGATTTTCTGAAATGGTGAACAAATGTTGCTAGAGTTTTAAACAGAACAAATTTTAATAATCTTCTATCAAATTTATCTTGTTAAATTCCTGAAAAATTAAGTTTGTATAACAATTATGCAAAAAGCACTTTGTGTGTGTATATAAAATGGAGTTCTGATCTAGACTCAGATAATAGATTTTTTTACTTAGATTTCTTATATCAGTGGTCAATAGGACATGAATGTGTGTGGGACGTGGGATTATTCTTTATTGTTCAGGATGTCCAGCAGCATACAGTCATTATGACCAGAGAAATGCCCCCACAGATTCCTAGAACTTCTCCTAAGGGATAGCACCACCTCTGTGGCAAAGTATGGGCTCTTTGCAAGCGCAGATTTTCATCTTGTTCATTTGTAGCCCCAAGATCTCCATAATGCATGACAATAAGGTGTGTTTCCTGAGTTAAAGGAGCTATAAAGAGATTTGCTAGGGTGTTGGATCGTCTACTGGCAATTTCCATGGATGTTCCAACAGAATTTAGCTTACTGCCACTGGCAATTTCCATGGATGTTCCAACAGAATTTAGCTTACTGCCAGATAGTTCACTTCTAATGTTGACTTTGATCTCTTTGAAAAGATACACATAACACCCTACCCACCTGACCAATATTTTAAATACATTTATATATTCCTACTATAAAGGTTCATATCAATACCTTCACAAAAGCCCATTCTTAAGCCAGTAACAAAAATGTACCAGATTCATATATTGATATTTGGAGTGCAATCTAAGCCTGGCTGTACCAGTTTTCTGGCCTTCCCATCCAGTTGGGACTGTGTGCTATCTACTGAGTAGAGAATACAGGTATACACAGCTACTGAGTGGAGAACAAATGATGGTGGGTTTGGACATCAAGTGTTCATTTTTGGTTTGATAAATTTTATGTGTTTGTAACATGTCTCAGAGATGTCAAGTAGGCATTTAGATATAAAATATTTTAGAGTGCAGGAGAAGCCTGGGCTGGAGATTTTTTTAAAAAATGTGTCTCAACAGCCTAGAGAAGATTTTTGGAGCCATAGAGATGGATGACTTCACAAGCCAAGAGAGAAGAGTGTGAAGCCGCCCCCAGAGCACAATTCTGATATCGATAGTCTGGTAAACAAAATGCAAATATGAACAGCAGTAGCAGCCATGTTTAGAAAAGAAAACAAAAATCAAAATAAAACTTAGCAACCCACAATAGCAGGAACTAGTGAATCGGAAATCCTAGGAACATCCGTAAACTATCTATGCTAGAAGAAAGAGTGAGGTATGGCCAACTTGAAATAGATACAAGGACGGTGTTTTTATGTGACATGTAATTAGTTTTTGGAACTCACTACCACAGAATATTTTGGGGTAACTAGCAGAGAAAGTCTAAAAAAAGAATCCTTTTAGACAGTTGTAAGGGATAAGAATAGTGTTACAACACATTAGCTAAGAAACTGAGTGGTACCCACTCTCTCTCACATTTACCTGGCCTCTCTAAATGAACGTTCTGAGGCTAGAACAGTCTACAGACACACTAAAATGGTTCTTTCCATCTACAAGTTGGCATAATTTCCGAGGTGCTTGAGTAGTTTTTTTCACCCCAATTTCTCAGAAGCACCTGAATCAGCCACACCATAAATGGATAGAGGATGCAAGAGGAAATGAAATGTAATTCCTAAAGCCCTTCCAAAAAAAGTAATGTGCTGATAATGGCTTTGATTTACCTCTTTATTGTTGTGATTTTTAAAAAAATTCACCTCTCTAGATTTATAGTCTTAATACCTATTAAAATATTTAATTTCCTTGAAGCCATCTTCTTTAAAAATAAAATGAATAGCTTTAAGATTTCTACTCCAATTCAGACTGGACCTTTTCTATAATAGCCTCTTCAATAATCACCAATAAAATAGGAAAATAGGTGTCAAGATGAATTTAGATTCAAGACAAGACAGTGACTCATCTAAGCTTTGTGGCTGCCTTTAGTAAATCCAATTTTCTTCTCTGGTCTTTGATCCAGAAACCTCAGTTCTCTTGCCATGTAATACTACTTTCTTGTTCCAAAAAAATGATTTCTTTTATTCTTAGAAATATGAATATCAGCACTCTATTCCTTAAAAAATTCTCCTGACCATCAATTTGCATCAATTTCACCACCACCACCATCACCAAAAAATGTAATTTAACAATTCAGTTGTGGGTCATGGTGACAATACTTTTGCAATGGCAGTGGTGAGAGGCAAGAGTTTCTCATTCTGAGACACATTCTTCTTGTCTTTAGCCAACATGCATAGAAGTTATGAATGTGTGTATTTTTCATATTTCACTTAGTTAAAAGCCAGGTTCCAAAGTTCTCAGTTGTATTTAGTCTCTGAGCTCCAATGGGTGACACCATTTCTATGGGTCTTACTTCCAGCATCTCTAAAATAGAGGTTAGAATAGGTCATATGTGGAAGGTCTGATGCAGTTTAAAGATTTTGCCATCTGAATTAAACACACACACAATTGTGCATTATTTCCCGCTCAAAACATGCAAATATCAAACAGACTTGTCTATAAAAAACATTATAGGAATGTTTTAAAATATTCTATTTTGTTGCCTTTGTCAAAGTTTATTCTGCCCCATTGGTTCATGTATAAGAAATTCTATTTAAATCAGTGAGACCACAAGATGAAGCAGCTTTTGAAATGTTACCTACCTTTAGATAGTAGGTAGTATGACTTATATATTTTAGAGTCAAAAATTATTCTTTTAAGCCAAAAAAGATTTTCTCATTCTGAGACACATTCTCCTTGTCTTTAGCCAATATGCATAGAAGTTATGAATGTGCATATTTTTCATATCCCATTTAGTTAAAAGCCAGGTTCAAGACATCCCCTCAGGACTTACTGAAGAGATATAATTATGGTCACTTGCAGTCTCCTTAGATGCATTGAGTGGAATTTTCTTTGAATTTGTATTCACAAGGAAGTACTTGACAACTGCACACCATTATTTGGAATACACGTCAAACCTTCAGGCAGAATAAGCATGATAATGGGTAGGTTGGCATGACCATTAACAACTACACTTGAATAATACACCAGGCTGATAGACAGAGACCTCTGCACCCACGCTCTGTTTCCTGTCTCTTCTTTTAATATCCAGTAAAAAATGTAAAAAAAAGAAAAAAAAACTAGATTGTGCTAAAATAAATGCCAATAGAAAGCATGAGCAATGTTTATGAGGATGATGTACTTGTTTGTGCTCTTTGCCAGTTGTTCCCAGTTCTTCTGCCTTCCAGAAGCTTGGTGGGATTGTGTATCCTAGCCTCCTGGTGAGGATGGGGTCGGGGAGAATGTGAATAGTTCTGGCCAGTAACTCATGAGTTAAAATGATGTAAGTCACTTACAAATTAGAGCACTTAATAGTTGATGTATACAGCCCTCCCAAAGTTGTTTGTTTTTTCCCTTTTCCTCCTTGACAGCAAATCAGCAATATTTCAGGTATTGGTTGCTATATCATCCTAGGTCCCGGACAGAGGACAATGGTAAGAGTCTTCAGCAGACCAACTAGGGACTTGACTATGTCTGAGAAATAAACCTGTGCTGTTTTTAAGCCAGTTAGATGGTTGAAGTTGTTTATTGGCATGACATAAGACCCAACCAGCCTTGACTTATTCAGTAGCCAAATCCCAGTTATATCTGATCATTGAGGGTAAGCAACTGCAAAGAACATTTACAAACCCCAAAAGACTAAATCTGTGATTTTAGATTCTTCAACTCCTTCTTCATCAAAGCTATTGTTAGAAGGATTCATGAAGAAGGATCTCTTCTGTCTTCTGCTGCTGAAACTTCGAAAATTCAAAATTTAGATTACATAAAGGGTTAGCTGGGCTGCAGAGTGGGAAGGTCAACAGGCACCAGTAGACTCCAAATCAAACACCCTATTATGTGACAGTAACCAAACAGGGATCATGCTTTTCATTGCTTCCAGTTGACCCTTCGTTTGTAGAAGTTCAGTTATCTTCATCTACAACTTTTACCCATTTAAGCCAAGCCAAAAAGAGGAAGCCATAAAATAGAAAGACGCTAATCATTTTTAGAATAGGTACTGTATTTGGACCTTACATACCATATTTCACTTAATTTTCACAAAAAGCCTATGATGCAGAGATTAGTATCTCTATCTCAGAGATAAGGAAATTGAGGTTCAGAGAAGTTAGGTAACTTTCCCTAATGTTACCCAGCTGAGAAATTTTTCTGCTCTATACTAGTATATATCTATTAGCTGAGTCCAGTAAAAAATACCCATTAATCAGAGGAAAGCCTCTGTGGATACCCTGAACCCAGAGTTTTCCACAGGGATTAAGAATGCCCAGGATGAGGCTCATGAGGGTCAAATCCTTGGGTGAAGTGATTTTAGTATACTTCTCATCCTTTTTTCAGCTCCTCCTTCAGCTTCAGGTGTTTACCATAATTCTTTTCTTTAGCAATTAAATGCTCTTGCCTTAGTGGACATGAGCCCAGATTCCCTAGGTAACAGAACATAAAACAAAAAACTTTCTGTTTTAGTACCTTTTAGAAAGTACAATCCTGGGGATGCAGGAATAAGTGTATGATGAGTAACATAGAAAAGGAAGGAGAACAAATTCAAGGGAGCAAATTACTGAGAAGCTACTGCTTAGTATAAATTACAACTGATTACTCAATCTCATAGGAATAACTACCAGAGAGGTTGTGTAAAGTACTGTATTTTAGGACGAGAGAGGAAGGGAGAAGCATTTATTCACCAGTATGAGTAGATAGGTGGATGGATGGATGGATGAATAGGTGGGTAGGTGGACAGACGGATGGTCAAATAGGTAGGTAGGTAGGAAGGTAGGTAGATGGATAGATAGACAGTAAATCATATTGAGTTTTGTGTTGCAGTTGACCATTTATATGTCAATCTTCTTCATAACTGCAAGCTCCGAGAGGGAAAAGTCAGTTGTTAAAGGCTTAGGTTCAGACGGGATAGGATTTAAATCCCAGCTTGAATGTGTGCTAGCTCTGACACCTTTGAAAAGTCACTCAACTTCTTTGAGATTCGGTTTCTTTATATGTAAAATGGGGATAATCATATCTCATTAGAGATGGTTGCAGGGGATGGAATGATAATAGCATGTGAAGAAAGGGCTGAGTATATAGCCCCATATATAATAATAGAGTATACTAAGCTATTATTTTTTGCCATATCACTCAGGGCTTCCAATATGATGTTTCGCACATCATAGACATGCAGTCAATATCTACAGGTTTAGCTTGAATTCTGTTTTAGTCCATTTCTTCTAGTTTCTATTCCATTTCATCACCACATGGCTTTTCGTATCTAATTTGCACTAGCTGTCCATTGTCATATATTGATTGGGCTTCAATACAGGTCATTAATAACCAAAAGGATTCATAAGGTAATGTGAGCAATGCATTATCTTCAAAGAAAAGCAACTGTAGAAATAAAATGGAATTTAAATATTGATGTTCAAACTTGGACACAGGGTGAGGAACATCACACACGGGGGGGCCTGTCATGGGGTGGGGGGAGGGGGAAGGGATAGCATTAGGAGATATACCTAATGTAAATGACAAGTTAACGAGGGCAGCACACCAACATGGCACATTTATACATATGCAACAAACCTGCATGTTGTGCACATGTACCCTAGAACTTAAAGTATAATTCAAAAATTGATGTTCAAAAATATCAACATACAAAAACATCCTTCCAGTTCTGGGCCAGAATGCCAGGGATTGTAGCTGGAAGACCCTGAGGTAGCGGTGCTACCCTTGTGCTTGTCAGGTGGGCCTGAATGAGATAATTACAATGAAAAATTCGGCCATCCCTGCTGTTGAATTGGCTTTCAAACCTGATGCTAATTCTCAAATCTGATGACTAACAGAAGCCCAAAGGAAGAAATATTAAGATCTGTGAGCCAAAATATGTGCAATTTCCGTATATCTTCTTCAGAAAATTTTAAGCATATGCCTGCATTACAAGTTCTCTTTTCTCAGAGATTTTCTTGTTTTTGTTTTTTGTTTTTTTGCCTTCATTTGTTAATCTGTCAAATATTAATTGTCTATAAAATTCCCCTGAAGAAGCAAAAAACATCATAAGCAAATTCAACCTAACATTTATGATTGATTCCAAACACAAACAAGATATTGCTAATTAATTTAAAAGCCTTCAGACAACTAAAGGAAACTTCTGAAGGGAACAAAAATTACACTGAAAGTTAAATTTTACCTGAAGACAATTCTTCAGCCTCAAGGGAAGCAAAATTGTGTGGAATTTGGCCCAGTGACTCATCTAATAAATCATAATTGTTTGTGCTTCTTTTCCCCTGTTTGCCTAGGAAAAAGGCTAGAAGCAAATCAGGTCTGTATAGATGAACAGATTTAATTCATTTGCCCTTCCTGCCTTACCTAGAGACATAATCCTAGGCCAAACAACTGGCTATTGTGAAAACTATTAAGCAGTGGTAGACTCTCAGGTGGGGAACTGGCAGCAGTAGATAAACTTCTCCCATGAATTGTCTGCTCTTTTCACACATTCACCTTTAAAATGGAAGTTAAGAACAAATGGAACAGTACATACAAAACACCATGTGAGATGAAAGATGCTTTAAAAAATCTCTTCCTTTAGGCAAATTCGGTCATCACTATCATTTTACAGATGAGAAAACTGCAGGCTTTGTGCTTGTCCTTGCAAATGTATCCTTTACATGGTGAATATTTATTTGCATCTGTATAATTCCAATGATCCTAATGATACACAGTAGATAATCAATATGTCTAATGATTTGAAAAAAGATATATTGAATACTTGCCATGTGTAAGACACCATGCTAAGCATTTAAGAAATATGGAGACAAATTATTTTCTGGCTGAGCTTTCTAAACAAAGTCATGGAACTGCCTTGAATCATTTGTTCTACACCAAGAAAATGATGCCAATTGGGAAGATACTGAAACTAATTTTATCAACATGTCCAAGGTGCTTTTTTTCTGGAGACAAGAACAGAGTAGATAATGAACTTAGGGCACAATTTAGGTGTCTTACTTCATACAGAACAAGAACCTTTAAAATGTCTCCAGAAATGAGTCTGATTTGAAATGTCTTCCACTTCCTACCTCCTGTATAATTACTTTGTGTAATAATGTCTCATGATAGTCTGACCCTTATTTCTTACCATGTTTGTGTCCCTTCATTGATTTGAAATATAACAATTGCAGTGAGGTAGGTAAAAATAAGTCTTATTCTTATTGTAGGGGTGGGATCATGGTTACTAAGTAGTGGTGGAGCTCAATTTGGAATTGTGGTATGCATATTCTAAATGCAGGTTTCCAAGCTGAAAGTGCTTTTGTTAATTTATTGACCAAATTGCCAAGCTGTGCACTTTTCAGATCTTACCCATTTAACACCCTTTTCTTTTTTTAATACTTTAAGTTCTAGGGTGCATGTGCACAACGTGCAGGTTTGATACATAGGTATACATGCGCCATGTTGGTTTGCTGCACCCATCAACTCATCATTTACATTAGGTATTTCTCCTAATGCTATCCCTCCCTGCTCCCCCCACCCCACGACAGGCCCTGGTGTGTGATGTTCCCTGCCCTGTGTCCAAGTAATCTCATTGTTCAATTCCCACCTATGAGTGAGAACATGGGGTGTTTTGTTTTCTGTCCTTGTGATAGTTTGCTGAGAATGATGGTTTCCAGCTTCATCCATGTCCCTGCAAAGGACATGAGCTTATCCTTTTTTATGGCTGCATAGTATTCCATAGTGTATATGCACTTAGCACCCTTTTTAAAATTATCTGTGCTATCTCTTTTATTTAATCCTTTGCTTTTTCATCCTAGCTCACCAAATATTTATAAGTCTCAAGGGTTAACACTTTTGTCCTTTTTGGCTTGTACACAATTTCTTTGGGTAATGTCACTCCAGTCTCTCTGCTTCTAGAGCAATTTATGTGCTCATAACCACGAAAGCTGTGTCTTCAGCTGCTTTTCTGTCCTGAGTTCCCAATACATAGTTTTAATTGTCTACCAGACATCATCACTTGAGTCTCATATAGAAGGCAGATAGATGTTCCAAACCAAATTCCTTCTCTTTCTTCATAGTTATTGGCTCTTCCTGCTGTCAGTAATTAATGGCAACACCACATACCTACTGGCTAGAGTTCATGGATGTGCTCTTCGATTGCTTCCTAGCACCACCCCCTCCCAATGCAACCAGCCAACACGTCATACCTATTCTTTCCTCTCATTCTCCATTACCAGTGCCCCTCACAATTTCCAACCTGTTTCTCTATTGAGTCTTTTCTTGCTCTTTCTCCCCTTTTATGCCTCCAATTGTTTTGCAGTGATCTGTGAGTATTTTAAATCAGAATGGGTTTTTGGATGCATGCTTACATTAACTTATTCAACTCCACTTAGTCATATTCTCAGAACATAGCAATTGTTTCAATAAGTGCTTGTTGAATGAATAAATGAATTATTTGAGGAATGGAGGAAAAGGGGAGAGGAGGTATAATATAAATAAAAAATCAAATAAACTGACCTTCACAGGAAGACAGTTTTTGATAACTTTCATAACTCATAGTACCGAGAGATCTTTAGTAAATTCACCATAGTATATATCCTGGATGTTTCCTTTCTTGGCTAAGACGAACTGTAAACTGACATGGTTTTAAAACTGACCAGAAGTTTAGCTAACTCTGGGTAGTCCTCAAATAGTTCTTTGTGGCAAAGATCATGACGAGGGATCACAAAAGGAACTCCCAAACCAAGTGGTTATTTCAGACTTTGTGTGGGCTTCTTTTAATGAATTTCCATAAATGGAAACCCACTGTGTCACTCATGGTTCTGCATACAGAAAGCAGGCCCAGTAGTATGGGATTGGCTGCATTGCATAATGCAAAAATAAACTTGCTGGACCAAGTGTATTCTTTTGTTTTTTAGGAAGATGCATACACCAGTAGAATTCTCTAGTCAAATTAGTTGTGATCTGATAAATTTTCAACTCAGTAGCTTTGGACAAAAGCTAGTCTTAGCACAAAGAAAAGTCAAGGTCAGTTTATCTGGACTTCAGGAAGGCTGTGATTGATCTCCTAACACTGGTGATCTTCTAACTCTATGCCCTTGAGACTGAATGAAAATTAAGCACTTTAGGGCTTACTTTTGGACAATGCGTGAAGGGAATAGCGTAAGGGAAAGCATTTGGTAAATGTTAAAGGATTTGACCAAAAAATTCATTTTATATGGCACATGCTCTAAGTTTGAATTCTGTCTGCACTAATTACTATGATGTGAAACAAGTTAATTACCCTGACTCGTTTTTATAGTTGGTGGAGACGTAATGATAACAATGATTAAACATTCTAAGTAGGTATAAACCAAAATATTATATATATTGTTTATTCTTCCACTGTCTGGCACAGAGTTGCTTTAATACATGTATGCTTGAATGAAATAGACAAAACAGGTCAGGTGTGGTGGCTCACACCTGTAATCCCAGCACTTTGGAAGGCTGAAGCAGGCAGATCACTTGAGCCCAGAGTTCAAGACCAGCCTGGGCAACATAGCGAGACCCCATCTCAATAAAAATAAAATTGAAATAGACAAAATAAAATTCCATGTTCAAAATACTCCTTTTTTTCTTCTTGCATATACCATTATGATACTTTCCTACTTCTTAAATATGGGGAATTATTAGAAATTTGTATATTTGTGACCAACAGCTGAATGATTAATTGCAAAATCAGTTAGCGCATTTAATAAAAATTATATACTTATATCTTAAATATTTTATTTTGACTTAAAACATTTAAGTAAACATTCATTCCTCTGTATTTTGAGATACAACTAAACCCCTTCTTAGAGACAGTGTTTGCTAAGTCTCATGCTGCCTTTCTTACAAAACTCTTTTCTGTAAGTATTACCCATCCATTCAGCTTTGGAACTTAAAGATATTTATGAAACTAATTGATTGAAACTAATTGATCCTTCTAGATGTTTTCCCTGTTTTAACAGTTATCTCACCTATTCCAAATTCTGCAGTAGGTTGTTTTTTCTGTGTTTTATTTGGAGGGTAAGGGAAAGGCTTCATTTTTTTCAAGTCATTCCAAAGCATTCCATTTACTTTTCATAGAAAAATAATTTTTTTCACACTCATGTTTGTTGGTTTACATAATAATTGAATTTCCTAATTATAGTTACAAGTAGCATAAACAGATTCAGAACTGACTTTTGTTAAGCATGCAACTCCACTGGTAGGATCAAACATGAGCTGGCTTGCTAGAGGAAAAGCATAACTGACAAGCTGGGACATCAGGTGATTTTACAGAGGGAATGGAAGGCATGGGTGAATCTGAAGAGGGGAGGTTGGTAAAGAGTTCTGCTATAAAGAGGGGTTCCACAAATAAAACAAGGTGGAACAAGAAGTATGAAGGGGATTAGAGCAAGACTTTTTTTCCAAGTTCACTGGGTAATTAAACTATGAAACCAAAGGATAAGACAATGATAGAGCTAGAAAAGGCATTAGAGAACAGTTAATTCAACTCACCCACCATCTTCACCTTCTACCATTGTCTGCTAGCATTTGATATGTGAGAAAAGATGCTTATGCTTAAAATGGAAAATTCTTTAACATTGCTCAATATTAAAAATGGAAGGCAAGGAGAGGGATAAAGCTAGCTGAGATGAAACCTTAACTTTCCTTTCAAAAAAGAGGAATGGAGGCTTCAGGAAGAAATTCTGGACTGATGAGAAGCACTAGATTAGAAGACTTTCAGATTCTCTTAAAGCATAAGTGGTCTATACAAAATGATAGGTAGCCAGGGAATGGGAGGACAACGAAAGAAAGAACACAGAAAGAAAATCATTTAATTCTTTTTTTAAAAGTCAAGCATAAAACAAAAAATAGAGTAGGCTTTTGTTTTGTTTTGTTTTGTTTTTGTTTTGAGACAGAGTCTCGCTCTGTCGCCAGGCTGGAGTGCAGTGGCGCGATCTCGGAGTACCTTCTTCTACAGACAGCACCTCATCCTTCCTCAGACACACCGATGCATGTGTCCCAGCTTGGGCAGATGCTCATCAAGGGTCTGCATTTTACACAGAAATGAATTTTTAAGGTTTTATTAGGTTTTGAATATTATCAAGTGGCAAAGGAGCTGTATCCAATGTTAAGGTGATCTGTCCTGTGGCATATTTTTCATCGCTTTTCCAGGAAATAAGCAGAAGAAACCGAGAGAAAGGACTGAGATGAAGAGCTCTATTAATCTTGCCCATCCTCTGTCCAGTAACTGAGTCCAGAAATTCTGTGTGGGAATTGGGGCTAACCAAAGATTGAGACCTAAACATCCAATTTTGGCCACACAGAGCCTGTCTTTTTACCAAAGTGGAAAAATCTTCAACTAAAACAGAGGCCCAATTGAACTTGCTGAAAACAAGTTTGTAATTTCTCAAGGCTTTCTCAGTTTTAAAAATATATGTGATTATTCCACGTGATAGCCTTGGAGAAATTACCTTCATTAACATACTCTCTAATTCTTAAGTTGACCTTATTTCTTCATTTCTCTGTGGGTTCCTTTCACCTCAACCTCCCTGTATCTTTAAGAAAGAGCAACAAATTTCTGAAGCATGGTTTTGGGAAACCAACAATATCATGTCCAAATACCTAGAAAAATATAAAATGCATCAGTGTTCTTGGTCATATCTGTATTTATACGGCTTCTTCTAATGAAGATCACAGGCACCATCTGTGGAGTTTTCCCATCCTATTCTCATCATTTTTTGGCAAGGGAGAAGAGTCCGTGTTGATGAACAAATGGGCACACCTGAACCATGTTGAAATGGGAAAGGGAGACCAGTGGGAAGTTCTGCTGGGGAAAACTTCAGGACTCCTACCTACCAGGATGTGACTCACTTAGCAGTGGCACTCAAGATAAAGGAATCCCTCTGGATCTCTAAGCCAGGCCTCTTGAAAGCAAACACAACTCTCAAAAGTGGCTTTCCAGGAAACTGAATGTGAACAGCAAGAGAAAACAGTATTTCTCATTACTTTCACATGTTTTTGCAAGTTGAATCAGGAAATCCTCATTTTATAATATTGAGAATTGATTACACTATAGGAGCCCTGAATTATGTATCATATATAATTCTCCTATATATATTATAGGAGAATTAATTATAGAAGCCCTGAAAGTTGTCCCATTATATATTCAAATGACAAACTAGCAACAAAGTCAGACATGTCATCTTGCTTTCTTGCATTACTTTGATCATTATTTGTAATTACTTGCTGTAATTATTTCTTCACTTATTATTGTCTGCGTGCTCACTCAAGTATGAACTTGAAGGCAAGGACCATTTGCGTTTTATGTATGCCACATGCTAAGTTCCCTCCATGATGCCTGGTACATAGTGGATGCTCAAGGAGTGTGTGTTGAATGAAGAAATAGGTTCCATCTATTTCTGAAAGATTCAGAACAAACCAGAGCTGCCACTCACTACTGGTCCATTTCTGTAATCTAGTGTCAACCCACTCCACCTGAGACAATTAAAAGCCCCAGGAAAATTCAAGAAGATGCTTTCACTAGAAACTCTCAGGTCAAGGGAATGTCCTGAAAAGACCACTGAAGCAGCTCTGAGCTTGCAGTGAATTTTGCTTATTGTTGGTTGGGAGTTCCTTGCATTACAGCACTCACTGTCTTTGAAAATTGTCTCTGTGAAGAGGTCAATGACCGGATGAGATGTTTCATTCTTCTCTTCTGGTTTATCAACTCATATTAGGTCAAATCAGCCCAAACACTTGCCATGTTCCCATAAGAAGTGAATGAAGTTACTTCAGTTAAAATGTTCAAATGCTTATGAAAAAGGCCATTCTTTATCTTTGCCACCCCTAATTCAAAAGGGTGTGCTGTTTCCCTAGCTTGGCATGCCTTTTCCAGGTCAGGGGGTTCCTGTGAGATTTCCTGAATTCTGCAAAGAGAGTTTGGAAAAAATTATTGTTTGGTTTACCACCTCCCCAAGGCCTGAAAATAGTCAGTGTTGATCTCTGTACCAAAAACAAACAAACCACCCCCTACACACAAAAAACACAGTTTCTTCTGAGCGTGTGATTCCTGTAATTAGTGTGAAGAACTACTTCAGTGCTCCCTGGAAGACCTTTGGGGATCTAAAATACAAGACAGAATACCCAGTTGAAACTCTCCTTCCAAGTGGCACCCTTGCCCATGAAATCCTCTTTCCCCTACTGCACAGGCCTCTTCCTGCCATTATGTATGGAAACTTCTGATCCCTGCCTGCTCCCTGAAATTTATCCCAGTACACCTGAAGAGATGTGGTCAGTTAATTTACTTAATATTGTTTTTAGATGTCATTCACCTATGAGAGTCAAGACTGCTGGTCAATATGATGTTTAGAGAAAATATCAACCTTACATTCGAGGAATCTTTTCGGTGAACTGCAAGCTTATGGCAACAGGGGACATGTCTGACTCACCAGCATATTCCTGGTGCTTGACACCTAGTAGGCATTCAACCTATATCTGTTGCATGAATGAGTAATAGGAATGATTGTTGTAATCATATACCTTCGCATATCACCAACTCTTCAGTATTTTCTTGGAATCCAAAAGTCTTAGAATAGGAAAACTGAAAGAGGTATCCTTTAGTCCCCAATATGAGCACCGTGCTTAGAAATGTTAATCTCCCTATTTTCCCCTCCATGTTTCCAGGCTTCTTTACCTGCTCTCTCTCCTTTTTTAAAACAATACTTGCGTAGTTTATTATAATGTATTATTTTTACTCCTCTAATTGGATTAACTCCATAAGGGCAGAATTTCTTGCCTATTTTATTCAGAATTGTATCCCAAGTGCCCAGAACAAAGTCTGGCACATACTAAGGGCTCAGTTAATTATTTGTCAAATGAATAAATTAAGAGATGATTATTTAGTATGCATCCCAGGCGTCAGAAACACTGCAGGTGTTTTAAATCCCCAGGCCCAATCCCACATCCCCACATCGGTGGAATAAGAATACTTAAGGATATGAATCCCAGGAATCTATATTTTTAACAGGTGATTTGTGTAGCTGTTCTGAGAATTACCAGTTAATCCAACTCACTCACCTAGAGATAATCCTGCAACCCAAGACGACAAAGTGTCTTTCAAGTCACATGGTAATTCAGCAGTGCATCTAAGTGTTATAGTTCTATTTTGATGGGCTTTCTACTCCAGTCATCTTTGAGCCTGGATTTTAGTTAATATGTTCACTGCTATCTGCATTCCTGGTCTTTGAGATTAAGCTCCCGGAGGCAAAAATTATGGCTTCCAAGCTTACTTTGTGGCAAATCTCATTAGGCTTAAGGTAATACAGGACTTTGAGTCAAATGATACTGTTGCACATAAGAACAAACCTATTTTCATGCTAAGATGATGCCACTGTGTTCCTTTCTCCTTCTAGTTTCTGGACATCTCCATTAAGTGGACCACCCAGGAAACGTTTCCTCCAAAGTACCTTCATTATGACGAAGAAACCTCTCATCAGCTGTTGTGTGACAAATGTCCTCCTGGTACCTACCTAAAACAACACTGTACAGCAAAGTGGAAGACCGTGTGCGCCCCTTGCCCTGACCACTACTACACAGACAGCTGGCACA
The DNA here is from genome assembly GCF_000001405.40 of Homo sapiens. Lineage (NCBI taxonomy): Eukaryota > Metazoa > Chordata > Mammalia > Primates > Hominidae > Homo > Homo sapiens. The sequence continues at coordinate 118,933,104 of NC_000008.11, read as the reverse complement.
CCAGTGACGAGTGTCTATACTGCAGCCCCGTGTGCAAGGAGCTGCAGTACGTCAAGCAGGAGTGCAATCGCACCCACAACCGCGTGTGCGAATGCAAGGAAGGGCGCTACCTTGAGATAGAGTTCTGCTTGAAACATAGGAGCTGCCCTCCTGGATTTGGAGTGGTGCAAGCTGGTACGTGTCAATGTGCAGCAAAATTAATTAGGATCATGCAAAGTCAGATAGTTGTGACAGTTTAGGAGAACACTTTTGTTCTGATGACATTATAGGATAGCAAATTGCAAAGGTAATGAAACCTGCCAGGTAGGTACTATGTGTCTGGAGTGCTTCCAAAGGACCATTGCTCAGAGGAATACTTTGCCACTACAGGGCAATTTAATGACAAATCTCAAATGCAGCAAATTATTCTCTCATGAGATGCATGATGGTTTTTTTTTTTTTTTAAAGAAACAAACTCAAGTTGCACTATTGATAGTTGATCTATACCTCTATATTTCACTTCAGCATGGACACCTTCAAACTGCAGCACTTTTTGACAAACATCAGAAATGTTAATTTATACCAAGAGAGTAATTATGCTCATATTAATGAGACTCTGGAGTGCTAACAATAAGCAGTTATAATTAATTATGTAAAAAATGAGAATGGTGAGGGGAATTGCATTTCATTATTAAAAACAAGGCTAGTTCTTCCTTTAGCATGGGAGCTGAGTGTTTGGGAGGGTAAGGACTATAGCAGAATCTCTTCAATGAGCTTATTCTTTATCTTAGACAAAACAGATTGTCAAGCCAAGAGCAAGCACTTGCCTATAAACCAAGTGCTTTCTCTTTTGCATTTTGAACAGCATTGGTCAGGGCTCATGTGTATTGAATCTTTTAAACCAGTAACCCACGTTTTTTTCTGCCACATTTGCGAAGCTTCAGTGCAGCCTATAACTTTTCATAGCTTGAGAAAATTAAGAGTATCCACTTACTTAGATGGAAGAAGTAATCAGTATAGATTCTGATGACTCAGTTTGAAGCAGTGTTTCTCAACTGAAGCCCTGCTGATATTTTAAGAAATATCTGGATTCCTAGGCTGGACTCCTTTTTGTGGGCAGCTGTCCTGCGCATTGTAGAATTTTGGCAGCACCCCTGGACTCTAGCCACTAGATACCAATAGCAGTCCTTCCCCCATGTGACAGCCAAAAATGTCTTCAGACACTGTCAAATGTCGTCAGGTGGCAAAATCACTCCTGGTTGAGAACAGGGTCATCAATGCTAAGTATCTGTAACTATTTTAACTCTCAAAACTTGTGATATACAAAGTCTAAATTATTAGACGACCAATACTTTAGGTTTAAAGGCATACAAATGAAACATTCAAAAATCAAAATCTATTCTGTTTCTCAAATAGTGAATCTTATAAAATTAATCACAGAAGATGCAAATTGCATCAGAGTCCCTTAAAATTCCTCTTCGTATGAGTATTTGAGGGAGGAATTGGTGATAGTTCCTACTTTCTATTGGATGGTACTTTGAGACTCAAAAGCTAAGCTAAGTTGTGTGTGTGTCAGGGTGCGGGGTGTGGAATCCCATCAGATAAAAGCAAATCCATGTAATTCATTCAGTAAGTTGTATATGTAGAAAAATGAAAAGTGGGCTATGCAGCTTGGAAACTAGAAAATTTTGAAAAATAATGGAAATCACAAGGATCTTTCTTAAATAAGTAAGAAAATCTGTTTGTAGAATGAAGCAAGCAGGCAGCCAGAAGACTCAGAACAAAAGTACACATTTTACTCTGTGTACACTGGCAGCACAGTGGGATTTATTTACCTCTCCCTCCCTAAAAACCCACACAGCAGTTCCTCTTGGGAAATAAGAGGTTTCCAGCCCAAAGAGAAGGAAAGACTATGTGGTGTTACTCTAAAAAGTATTTAATAACCGTTTTGTTGTTGCTGTTGCTGTTTTGAAATCAGATTGTCTCCTCTCCATATTTTATTTACTTCATTCTGTTAATTCCTGTGGAATTACTTAGAGCAAGCATGGTGAATTCTCAACTGTAAAGCCAAATTTCTCCATCATTATAATTTCACATTTTGCCTGGCAGGTTATAATTTTTATATTTCCACTGATAGTAATAAGGTAAAATCATTACTTAGATGGATAGATCTTTTTCATAAAAAGTACCATCAGTTATAGAGGGAAGTCATGTTCATGTTCAGGAAGGTCATTAGATAAAGCTTCTGAATATATTATGAAACATTAGTTCTGTCATTCTTAGATTCTTTTTGTTAAATAACTTTAAAAGCTAACTTACCTAAAAGAAATATCTGACACATATGAACTTCTCATTAGGATGCAGGAGAAGACCCAAGCCACAGATATGTATCTGAAGAATGAACAAGATTCTTAGGCCCGGCACGGTGGCTCACATCTGTAATCTCAAGAGTTTGAGAGGTCAAGGCGGGCAGATCACCTGAGGTCAGGAGTTCAAGACCAGCCTGGCCAACATGATGAAACCCTGCCTCTACTAAAAATACAAAAATTAGCAGGGCATGGTGGTGCATGCCTGCAACCCTAGCTACTCAGGAGGCTGAGACAGGAGAATCTCTTGAACCCTGGAGGCGGAGGTTGTGGTGAGCTGAGATCCCTCTACTGCACTCCAGCCTGGGTGACAGAGATGAGACTCCGTCCCTGCCGCCGCCCCCGCCTTCCCCCCAAAAAAGATTCTTCTTCATGCAGAACATACGGCAGTCAACAAAGGGAGACCTGGGTCCAGGTGTCCAAGTCACTTATTTCGAGTAAATTAGCAATGAAAGAATGCCATGGAATCCCTGCCCAAATACCTCTGCTTATGATATTGTAGAATTTGATATAGAGTTGTATCCCATTTAAGGAGTAGGATGTAGTAGGAAAGTACTAAAAACAAACACACAAACAGAAAACCCTCTTTGCTTTGTAAGGTGGTTCCTAAGATAATGTCAGTGCAATGCTGGAAATAATATTTAATATGTGAAGGTTTTAGGCTGTGTTTTCCCCTCCTGTTCTTTTTTTCTGCCAGCCCTTTGTCATTTTTGCAGGTCAATGAATCATGTAGAAAGAGACAGGAGATGAAACTAGAACCAGTCCATTTTGCCCCTTTTTTTATTTTCTGGTTTTGGTAAAAGATACAATGAGGTAGGAGGTTGAGATTTATAAATGAAGTTTAATAAGTTTCTGTAGCTTTGATTTTTCTCTTTCATATTTGTTATCTTGCATAAGCCAGAATTGGCCTGTAAAATCTACATTTGGATATTGAAGTCTAAATCTGTTCAACTAGCTTACACTAGATGGAGATATTTTCATATTCAGATACACTGGAATGTATGATCTAGCCATGCGTAATATAGTCAAGTGTTTGAAGGTATTTATTTTTAATAGCGTCTTTAGTTGTGGACTGGTTCAAGTTTTTCTGCCAATGATTTCTTCAAATTTATCAAATATTTTTCCATCATGAAGTAAAATGCCCTTGCAGTCACCCTTCCTGAAGTTTTAACGACTCTGCTGTTTTAAACAGTTTAAGCAAATGGTATATCATCTTCCGTTTACTATGTAGCTTAACTGCAGGCTTACGCTTTTGAGTCAGCGGCCAACTTTATTGCCACCTTCAAAAGTTTATTATAATGTTGTAAATTTTTACTTCTCAAGGTTAGCATACTTAGGAGTTGCTTCACAATTAGGATTCAGGAAAGAAAGAACTTCAGTAGGAACTGATTGGAATTTAATGATGCAGCATTCAATGGGTACTAATTTCAAAGAATGATATTACAGCAGACACACAGCAGTTATCTTGATTTTCTAGGAATAATTGTATGAAGAATATGGCTGACAACACGGCCTTACTGCCACTCAGCGGAGGCTGGACTAATGAACACCCTACCCTTCTTTCCTTTCCTCTCACATTTCATGAGCGTTTTGTAGGTAACGAGAAAATTGACTTGCATTTGCATTACAAGGAGGAGAAACTGCCAAAGGGGATGATGGTGGAAGTTTTGTTCTGTCTAATGAAGTGAAAAATGAAAATGCTAGAGTTTTGTGCAACATAATAGTAGCAGTAAAAACCAAGTGAAAAGTCTTTCCAAAACTGTGTTAAGAGGGCATCTGCTGGGAAACGATTTGAGGAGAAGGTACTAAATTGCTTGGTATTTTCTGTAGGAACCCCAGAGCGAAATACAGTTTGCAAAAGATGTCCAGATGGGTTCTTCTCAAATGAGACGTCATCTAAAGCACCCTGTAGAAAACACACAAATTGCAGTGTCTTTGGTCTCCTGCTAACTCAGAAAGGAAATGCAACACACGACAACATATGTTCCGGAAACAGTGAATCAACTCAAAAATGTGGAATAGGTAATTACATTCCAAAATACGTCTTTGTACGATTTTGTAGTATCATCTCTCTCTCTGAGTTGAACACAAGGCCTCCAGCCACATTCTTGGTCAAACTTACATTTTCCCTTTCTTGAATCTTAACCAGCTAAGGCTACTCTCGATGCATTACTGCTAAAGCTACCACTCAGAATCTCTCAAAAACTCATCTTCTCACAGATAACACCTCAAAGCTTGATTTTCTCTCCTTTCACACTGAAATCAAATCTTGCCCATAGGCAAAGGGCAGTGTCAAGTTTGCCACTGAGATGAAATTAGGAGAGTCCAAACTGTAGAATTCAAGTTGTGTGTTATTACTTTCAAGAATGTCTGTATTATTAACTAAAGTATAAATTGGCAACTAAGAAGCAAAGTGATATAAACATGATGACAAATTAGGCCAGGCATGGTGGCTTACTCCTATAATCCCAACATTTTGGGGGGCCAAGGTAGGCAGATCACTTGAGGTCAGGATTTCAAGACCAGCCTGACCAACATGGTGAAACCTTGTCTCTACTAAAAATACAAAAATTAGCTGGGCATGGTAGCAGGCACTTCTAGTACCAGCTACTCAGGGCTGAGGCAGGAGAATCGCTTGAACCCAGGAGATGGAGGTTGCAGTGAGCTGAGATTGTACCACTGCACTCCAGTCTGGGCAACAGAGCAAGATTTCATCACACACACACACACACACACACACACACACATTAGAAATGTGTACTTGGCTTTGTTACCTATGGTATTAGTGCATCTATTGCATGGAACTTCCAAGCTACTCTGGTTGTGTTAAGCTCTTCATTGGGTACAGGTCACTAGTATTAAGTTCAGGTTATTCGAATGCATTCCACGGTAGTGATGACAATTCATCAGGCTAGTGTGTGTGTTCACCTTGTCACTCCCACCACTAGACTAATCTCAGACCTTCACTCAAAGACACATTACACTAAAGATGATTTGCTTTTTTGTGTTTAATCAAGCAATGGTATAAACCAGCTTGACTCTCCCCAAACAGTTTTTCGTACTACAAAGAAGTTTATGAAGCAGAGAAATGTGAATTGATATATATATGAGATTCTAACCCAGTTCCAGCATTGTTTCATTGTGTAATTGAAATCATAGACAAGCCATTTTAGCCTTTGCTTTCTTATCTAAAAAAAAAAAAAAAAAATGAAGGAAGGGGTATTAAAAGGAGTGATCAAATTTTAACATTCTCTTTAATTAATTCATTTTTAATTTTACTTTTTTTCATTTATTGTGCACTTACTATGTGGTACTGTGCTATAGAGGCTTTAACATTTATAAAAACACTGTGAAAGTTGCTTCAGATGAATATAGGTAGTAGAACGGCAGAACTAGTATTCAAAGCCAGGTCTGATGAATCCAAAAACAAACACCCATTACTCCCATTTTCTGGGACATACTTACTCTACCCAGATGCTCTGGGCTTTGTAATGCCTATGTAAATAACATAGTTTTATGTTTGGTTATTTTCCTATGTAATGTCTACTTATATATCTGTATCTATCTCTTGCTTTGTTTCCAAAGGTAAACTATGTGTCTAAATGTGGGCAAAAAATAACACACTATTCCAAATTACTGTTCAAATTCCTTTAAGTCAGTGATAATTATTTGTTTTGACATTAATCATGAAGTTCCCTGTGGGTACTAGGTAAACCTTTAATAGAATGTTAATGTTTGTATTCATTATAAGAATTTTTGGCTGTTACTTATTTACAACAATATTTCACTCTAATTAGACATTTACTAAACTTTCTCTTGAAAACAATGCCCAAAAAAGAACATTAGAAGACACGTAAGCTCAGTTGGTCTCTGCCACTAAGACCAGCCAACAGAAGCTTGATTTTATTCAAACTTTGCATTTTAGCATATTTTATCTTGGAAAATTCAATTGTGTTGGTTTTTTGTTTTTGTTTGTATTGAATAGACTCTCAGAAATCCAATTGTTGAGTAAATCTTCTGGGTTTTCTAACCTTTCTTTAGATGTTACCCTGTGTGAGGAGGCATTCTTCAGGTTTGCTGTTCCTACAAAGTTTACGCCTAACTGGCTTAGTGTCTTGGTAGACAATTTGCCTGGCACCAAAGTAAACGCAGAGAGTGTAGAGAGGATAAAACGGCAACACAGCTCACAAGAACAGACTTTCCAGCTGCTGAAGTTATGGAAACATCAAAACAAAGACCAAGATATAGTCAAGAAGATCATCCAAGGTATGATAATCTAAAATAAAAAGATCAATCAGAAATCAAAGACACCTATTTATCATAAACCAGGAACAAGACTGCATGTATGTTTAGTTGTGTGGATCTTGTTTCCCTGTTGGAATCATTGTTGGACTGAAAAAGTTTCCACCAACTGATAATGTAGATGTGATTCCAAAAACAGTTATACAAGGTTTTGTTCTCACCCCTGCTCCCCAGTTTCCTTGTAAAGTATGTTGAACACTCTAAGAGAAGAGAAATGCATTTGAAGGCAGGGCTGTATCTCAGGGAGTCGCTTCCAGATCCCTTAACGCTTCTGTAAGCAGCCCCTCTAGACCACCAAGGAGAAGCTCTATAACCACTTTGTATCTTACATTGCACCTCTACCAAGAAGCTCTGTTGTATTTACTTGGTAATTCTCTCCAGGTAGGCTTTTCGTAGCTTACAAATATGTTCTTATTAATCCTCATGATATGGCCTGCATTAAAATTATTTTAATGGCATATGTTATGAGAATTAATGAGATAAAATCTGAAAAGTGTTTGAGCCTCTTGTAGGAAAAAGCTAGTTACAGCAAAATGTTCTCACATCTTATAAGTTTATATAAAGATTCTCCTTTAGAAATGGTGTGAGAGAGAAACAGAGAGAGATAGGGAGAGAAGTGTGAAAGAATCTGAAGAAAAGGAGTTTCATCCAGTGTGGACTGTAAGCTTTACGACACATGATGGAAAGAGTTCTGACTTCAGTAAGCATTGGGAGGACATGCTAGAAGAAAAAGGAAGAAGAGTTTCCATAATGCAGACAGGGTCAGTGAGAAATTCATTCAGGTCCTCACCAGTAGTTAAATGACTGTATAGTCTTGCACTACCCTAAAAAACTTCAAGTATCTGAAACCGGGGCAACAGATTTTAGGAGACCAACGTCTTTGAGAGCTGATTGCTTTTGCTTATGCAAAGAGTAAACTTTTATGTTTTGAGCAAACCAAAAGTATTCTTTGAACGTATAATTAGCCCTGAAGCCGAAAGAAAAGAGAAAATCAGAGACCGTTAGAATTGGAAGCAACCAAATTCCCTATTTTATAAATGAGGACATTTTAACCCAGAAAGATGAACCGATTTGCCTTAGGGCTCACAGATACTAAGTGACTCATGTCATTAATAGAAATGTTAGTTCCTCCCTCTTAGGTTTGTACCCTAGCTTATTACTGAAATATTCTCTAGGCTGTGTGTCTCCTTTAGTTCCTCGACCTCATGTCTTTGAGTTTTCAGATATCCTCCTCATGGAGGTAGTCCTCTGGTGCTATGTGTATTCTTTAAAGGCTAGTTACGGCAATTAACTTATCAACTAGCGCCTACTAATGAAACTTTGTATTACAAAGTAGCTAACTTGAATACTTTCCTTTTTTTCTGAAATGTTATGGTTTTAATTTCTCAAACTTTTTCTTAGAAAACTGAGAGTGATGTGTCTTATTTTCTACTGTTAATTTTCAAAATTAGGAGCTTCTTCCAAAGTTTTGTTGGATGCCAAAAATATATAGCATATTATCTTATTATAACAAAAAATATTTATCTCAGTTCTTAGAAATAAATGGTGTCACTTAACTCCCTCTCAAAAGAAAAGGTTATCATTGAAATATAATTATGAAATTCTGCAAGAACCTTTTGCCTCACGCTTGTTTTATGATGGCATTGGATGAATATAAATGATGTGAACACTTATCTGGGCTTTTGCTTTATGCAGATATTGACCTCTGTGAAAACAGCGTGCAGCGGCACATTGGACATGCTAACCTCACCTTCGAGCAGCTTCGTAGCTTGATGGAAAGCTTACCGGGAAAGAAAGTGGGAGCAGAAGACATTGAAAAAACAATAAAGGCATGCAAACCCAGTGACCAGATCCTGAAGCTGCTCAGTTTGTGGCGAATAAAAAATGGCGACCAAGACACCTTGAAGGGCCTAATGCACGCACTAAAGCACTCAAAGACGTACCACTTTCCCAAAACTGTCACTCAGAGTCTAAAGAAGACCATCAGGTTCCTTCACAGCTTCACAATGTACAAATTGTATCAGAAGTTATTTTTAGAAATGATAGGTAACCAGGTCCAATCAGTAAAAATAAGCTGCTTATAACTGGAAATGGCCATTGAGCTGTTTCCTCACAATTGGCGAGATCCCATGGATGAGTAAACTGTTTCTCAGGCACTTGAGGCTTTCAGTGATATCTTTCTCATTACCAGTGACTAATTTTGCCACAGGGTACTAAAAGAAACTATGATGTGGAGAAAGGACTAACATCTCCTCCAATAAACCCCAAATGGTTAATCCAACTGTCAGATCTGGATCGTTATCTACTGACTATATTTTCCCTTATTACTGCTTGCAGTAATTCAACTGGAAATTAAAAAAAAAAAACTAGACTCCATTGTGCCTTACTAAATATGGGAATGTCTAACTTAAATAGCTTTGAGATTTCAGCTATGCTAGAGGCTTTTATTAGAAAGCCATATTTTTTTCTGTAAAAGTTACTAATATATCTGTAACACTATTACAGTATTGCTATTTATATTCATTCAGATATAAGATTTGTACATATTATCATCCTATAAAGAAACGGTATGACTTAATTTTAGAAAGAAAATTATATTCTGTTTATTATGACAAATGAAAGAGAAAATATATATTTTTAATGGAAAGTTTGTAGCATTTTTCTAATAGGTACTGCCATATTTTTCTGTGTGGAGTATTTTTATAATTTTATCTGTATAAGCTGTAATATCATTTTATAGAAAATGCATTATTTAGTCAATTGTTTAATGTTGGAAAACATATGAAATATAAATTATCTGAATATTAGATGCTCTGAGAAATTGAATGTACCTTATTTAAAAGATTTTATGGTTTTATAACTATATAAATGACATTATTAAAGTTTTCAAATTATTTTTTATTGCTTTTTCTGTTGCTTTTATTTGAATGGGACATTAAAGGGTCTGAGCTTTCATAATTTCCCTGTTATCACCAGGACATCTGGGAAATGCTAAAAATGCAGATTCCTGCACCAATTTGTTGAAAAACTCTGCCAATGAGAGCAGAAACTTGCATTTTTAACAAGTTCCAAAGTAATTCGTATTACACTAAGACTGGAGAACTTCTGAAGTCAGCCTTAGATTACAGATAGTGCAAGCCACTTATAACTGCTGCCACTAACCCTGAGACACCAAGCTACGTAAGCTATTTTGGTAGCAAATAAGAGAAACTGGCACTATTAAGTTTAAGAAAAATAATAATTGGAAGAGTAGTGTATTGATTGAGTTGAATGGTGGTCGCCCAAAAGATATTTTCATAATTCACAGAAGCTGTGAACATTTCCTTATGTAGAAAAAGTGTCATTGTACACAGGGAGGGAAACATTGCTCACTGGGGCCTGTTAGGGGCTGGGGGTGCTAGTGGAGGGATAGCATTAGGAGAAATACCTAATGTAGATGAGGGGTTGATGGGTGCAGCAAACCACCATGGCACGTGTATACCTATGTAACAAACCTGCCCATTCTGCACATGTATCCCAGAACTTAAATTTAAAAAAGAAGAAGAAGAAGAAGAAACTGGTTTTGGGGAATTGCATAAATTAAATATAAAGTAGGATATAGCTATAAAAAATAAATAGCTCTCCATTTCAGGCTGCTCAATTCTTTGGCATAAATTTATCTGAAGGGTGACATACACTTGTACTCATTTTTAACTACATCTAAAGCTGAATTAATAATAAAAACCTTAACTTTATAAAAAAGGAAAAAGTATCATTGTAATTAAGTTGAGGATCTTTAGATGAAGAAAGCATTTTAGGTTATTCAGGTGGGCCATAAATCCAATGACAAGTGTCTATGAGACACACAGAGTAAACAAACAGGAGAGAAGATGATGTGAAGACAGAGGCGGAGGTGGAAGTCATATAGCTGTTAAGTCAAGGAAGCTAAGAGCAGCCAGTAATGGGCTGCCCCCACTCTGCTGGAGCCTCTGTAGGGAGTGGGGCTCTGCTGACATCTGGATTTTGGAATTCTGGCCACCAGAACTGTCAGAGAATAACTTTCTATTGTTTGAAACCGTGCAGTCTGTGGTAATTTGCTGCAGCAGCCACAGGACACTAACAAAGATGGCATCCAAGCTTTAAAAAGAGCAGAATCAATTATTTTTGGGAGGGGGGCGGGGAGTGGTGGCTCAAAATTTTTTTATTTTCAGAGCTTGCAACAGTTGCTTAGCAATACTAGCTAAGCTGATACAATCTGAAGGCCATCCCACCTTTATCTTTAAGCATTTGACCAATAGAATCTCTTGCAAACAAGATCACAGACCATTTGGGATCTGTCTCAAGGAGTGCATGGGAAGAGGTCCTCTCCCCCATATACTTTTCTAAACAAGATTGTTTTATAGCCAAATGCAGTTCAAACCCATAACATAGCAACTAATCATCTTCAATATCACCGGTTCCCCCTATCCCCAGAATAGGAAGTTGAGGTAAGAGGGGAGAGACTGTCTTCTGTTGTAAGAAAAACCTAGCTACACCTCAGTGAGGCAATGATGGCAAGGAGGCTGGCACCGGAGGATGGAGACGAGTAAGTGCTAAAACAGGCCTCTCTAGAACTCTGGGTCCTTTGGGGCAGAAGGTCCAACTCTTCCTCCTAGTCAAACATCTTTGTATCTTTTAGTTCCAAATCCCAAATTCCCAGGAAGGAGACTCTAATGATCTTAGGTTGAGATTCATGTAAAGACATGGCCATTGAGGGTCTGTCCTTGTTTAATAGTTGTACTTCCCAGGAAGATGATATCATTGTGAATGGGGCCCAGTAACTAATTCCTATCCCTTCCTAGTGTATATTGCCTTCCTCACTTTACTATGACTTAGAATTTTTTATTTTTTATTTTTTATTTATTTATTTATTTATTTATTTTGATGGAGTCTTGCTCTTGTCGCCCAGACTGGAGTGCAATGGCGCGATCTCGGCTCACCGCAACCTCCGCCTCCCGGGTTCAAGCGATTCTCCTGTCTCAGCCTCCCGAGTAGCTGGGATTACAGGCATGCGCCACCACGCCTGGCTAATTTTTTTGTTTTTTTTAGTAGAGACGGGGTTTCACCATGTTGGCCAGGATGGTCTCGATCTCCTGACCTCGTGATCCGCCCGCCTCGGCCTCCCAAAGTGCTGGGATTACAGGCGTGAGCCACCGCGCCCGGCCTGACTTAGAATTTAGAGTTGACATAGACCATCCCTGTGAAAGCAGATTTGTGAAATTAGATGAGTTATGGCCACCTTGATAGAAGAGTACATCTAGGTAAATATCACACAGACTCATAAACCTGGAAAAATTAAAAGTGAAAGTGAAAGTGAAGAGGCTCTAACCTGGGTAACAGGCCTCCCAATGTTGCAATACTGGACATGACAAAAGTGGCCAAGAGTTAACTAATAGGCTTCATTTTCCCTTCAGCAGCTCCAGTTATTCCCTCAAAGTTCTTTCTAGAAAATGAAATGGCCTACACAACTCTGCAAAGTTTAAGAAAAGTTTGAAAGTTCATGTCATCAAGGCTAAATTATTCAAATGCTTATTTGATTGGTCTCCCTGGCTGCTCCTTTGGGTTCTGTTTACTTTGAACTTCTCTTCCAAGGGAGATAAAATTTGAAAATATCATGCCAGTCCTTTTTTTTTTTTTTTAATTGAGATGGAGTCTTGCTCTGTCACCAGGCTAGAGTGAATGCAGTGGCATGATCTTGGCTCACTGCCACCTCCGCCTGCCAGGTTCAAACGATTCCCCTGCCTCAGCCTCCTGAGTAGCTGGGACTACAGGCATGTGCCACCACACCCGGCTAATTTTTTGTATTTTAGTAGAGACGGGGTTTCACCATGTTGGCCAGGATGGTCTCCATCTCCCGACCTCATGATTTGCCTGCCTCGGCCTCCCAAAGTGCTGGGATTACAGGCGTGAGCCACCGTGCCTGGCCTCTATTTTTTTAAAAAAATGTAATTCTGAATTCATTTTGGACTTACAGAATCACTGAAAAGATAGTAAATAGTTTTCTAGTATACCCTTCACCTGGCTTCCTCTAAAATTATCATTTTTCATAACCATTATTCACTCATTAAAAGTAAGAAATTGGCTGGGCGTGGTGGCTCATGCCTGTAATCCCAGCACTTTGGGAGGCCGAGGCGGGCGGATCACTGGGTCAGGAGATCGAGACCATCCTGGCTAACATGGTGAAACCCCGTCTCTACTAAAAATACAAAAAATTAGCCGGGCGCAGTGGCGGGCACCTGTAGTCCCAGCTACTCAAGAGGCTGAGGCAGGAGAATGGCGCGAACCTGGGAGGTGGAGCTTGCAGTGAGCCGAGATCAGGCCACTGCACTCCAGCCTGGGTAACAGAGCGAGACTCCGTCTAAAAAAAAAAAAAAGAAGAAATTAATCTTAGTCTAACACTATTAACTAAACTGCCAACTTTACTGAGATTTTCCCAGTGTTTGCAGTGGTGTTCGTCCTCTGTTTCAAGACCAAATGAAGAGCCCATGTTGCATTTTGTCATTACCTCTTCTTAGTCTCCTGTGATCTGTGACAGTTTTTCAGTCTGTGTTGTCTTTCTTCAGCTTGGCACTTTTTGAAGAGAAGTGGTCAGCTCTTTTGTAAAATATCCTTCAGGTTTTGTTTTTGTGATATTTTCTCATGAATAGACTGAGATTATGGGTTTGGGAAGGAATATTGTGAAATCCATAACTCTTCTCATTGCATCCGATAGGGGGCCAATCATATCAGCATGACTAATTACTGTTGATGTTAATTTAAACGTGCTGACTTGGTTAAAATGGTTTTGCCAGGTTTTTCCACTGTAAAGTTACTATTTTCCCTTCATATACTCTATTCATTAGAATTATTTGTTAGATCGTTAGATCTAGCCCACATTCAAGGAAAGGAAAATTAAACTCTTCATATTGGAGAAAAATATCAAGGAATTTGTGGTAATATATTAAAACTACCACAGATTTAGTCACTTTAGGGAAGAGATTCTCAGAGGCTCTGAAAAAAACCATTTCTCCTTAAAGATTCTTCCACTAATTTTAGCATTCATCAATCAGTCTTGCCTGCAGCAACTGTTATTGTGCATTTCTAATGGGGATTTTCTATTTCCCTCATGCCCCCTACATTTAAATGCTTTCATTCTCTTCTATTTGTGTCAATCATTTACTTATATGTTTATGGGCTCAAGAATATTAATGTTATTCTTTGGATTACATTCCAATAATATCACTATTTATGTTGCTCAAATTGTTTCAGCTTTGGCCATTGCCTCTGTGCCCTTTCAATATGACCCTCCCCATCCTTATTTTCTTGGGCATTTTGTGTTCTCTGGCACTAGTAGATTCTCCATGCTCATCTTGCATTTCCTCTTCCCCAACCCTAGAACCAGGCATTTTTCTTTTTATTCTAAAGTGGTATTTAAAAACCACAATCAAGGTGCTAGGTGTGCTCTTTGCTACTGAGGTATCACTGCTTCTAGGCCATTTCAGTAGACAGAGCTAGTAAATAATATGTATGTTAACCCATGTATGTTTACACATACTTATTTCTATATCTATATACATATATATTCTGTGTAATACACACAGCTATATAAGTCACTAGGTTCATTCTAGCCTTCACTCTCCTTCCCCCTGATTATTTGTGTCATCCTCCTGAGAGTGAGAAACATGGCTCACATTATATGTAATTTATGTATTTGTTAACCTCAGATGCATGTAAAGTATTTTCAGATTTTCTAAGAGGTATCCCTGTGAGAAACAAATTTATCAACTAGAAAACAGTATTATTTTACAGTTCTTTTCATCTTCAGCTTTACAGTATGCATTCAAAACATTTTTCAAAGTCACTTGGGCCAACTCTTTTGTCCTCACCCCTTCTGTGAAGTTACATCATATATTGAAATAGTTACATTTAATTCTTATAGTCTACATTCTATCCTGGAGAATCCCCCTATACCCTGCATGATTTTTTTAATTTGCATACAATTACATACTTTTTGTGGCAAACCAATGGTTTTGAAAACAGCATAAAATCACGTATCCACCAACATATTGCCATACATCACAGTTCTGTTACCCTACCAATGTCTCTGGGTAGCTCCTTTGTAGTTAGTCTGTGCTCCCTCCATCAACTCCTAGCAACCACTGAACTGTTTCCCATTCTTATAATTTTGCCTTTTCTAAAATGTTATATAAATTGAATCATACAATATGTTGCCTTTTTTGTGACTGTTTCCACATGGCAAAATGCACTAGAGATTCATCCATATTGCTATGTGAATTAATAGTTTGCTCTTTTATCTTTCTGAGTAACATTCCATTAGATGAGCATTGTTTCAGTTTTCCATTCACCTGTTGAAGTAGATCGTAGTTATTTGCTATTTGAGATGATTACAAATAAAGTTACTATAAATTTTGCATATTAATTTTTATGTGAACATAAATTTTCAACTCACTTGGGTAAATACCAAGGAATGAGATTGGAGGGTTATATGATAAGTTTATGTTTAATTATAAGAAACTACCAAACTCTTTTCCAACTTGGCTGTACTATTTTGCTTTTCCAACAATAAATGAGAGTTCTTAGTGTTTTACATTCTTGCCAGAACCTCATTTTGTCAGGTTTTATTATTTATTTATTTTTTAGCCATTCTTACATTGTTTCATGGGATCTTATTGTACTCCTAATTTGCATTTGTCTAATGACTAATTGAATTAGTTTACTGGGGCTGCCATAATAAAATACCACAGACTGGGTGCTGAAACAACAGAAATTTACTTCCCACATTTCTGGAGGCCAGAAGTTCAAGGTCAAGTTTCTTTCAGGCTTGGTTTCTGGCAGAGCCTCTTTTCCTGGTTATAGAAGGCTGCCTTCGCGTTGTATCTGCACATGGCCTTTCCTCTGTGCACATGCAGAGGGAGATCTCTCGTGTCTCTTTCTCTTCTTGTAAGAACACCAGCACTCTGTGATTAGGGTCCCACCCTTATGACTTCACTTAAAATTAATTATCTCCATATAACCCCCATCTCCAAATACATGATAGGGGTTAGGGCTTTAACATATAAATTTTGGGGACAGTTTATTACATAATACTAATAATGTTGAGCATCTTTTCATGTTTATTTGCCATCTATATATCTTCTTTGATGAAATGTCAGTCAAGATCTTTTGCCCATTTTTTTAAGTTATATTGTTTATTTTCTTCTAATTGTTGAGTTTTAAGAGTACTTTGCACATTCTGGGTACAAGACCTTTTTCAAGTGTGCAATTTACAAACATAGTTGCTTAATCTGGGGCTTACCTTTTAATATTCTTACTGTGCGTTCTGCAGAGCAAAGTTTTAGGTGTTGGTACAGTTTATCTTTCTCTTTTAATGAATTGTGCTTTCGGTGTCATATCTACATACTCATCAACAGACCCACAGATTTCCTTCTGTTTTTTCATAGCTTCACATTTCAAATATAGGTTTAGGATCCATTTTGAGTTAATTTTTGTACAATGTATGTTGAAATTCTTCTCTTTTCTTTTTGCATATGGATGGCCCATTGTTCCAGTGTGATTTGTTGAAAAGGTTAGCATTTCTTGATTGAATTGCCTTTGCATTTTTGTCAAAAATTGATTGAAATGTTTGTGCTGGTATATTTCTGGGCTCTGTATTCTGTTCCATTAACTTATTAAGTCTATCTTTTCACCAATGCCACACTATCTTAATCATACTTGCTTTATAGTAAGTCTTGAAGGTATTTAGTGGTTGCTTCATTACTTGGGAATGTGTTGTTTTCTCTTGCCTTTTGGTATGCCTCATATCTTTGTTGTTGTTGTTAAAAGTCTGGCGGGTTAGGAAAGTCTGGGAGATAGTTTTTATACCTGGCAATGGGCATGCCTTTCTTTCCTCCTGCTTGAACCTTAACGGAGGGCTTTGACTTAATCCAACTGAAAATTGGACAGGTTTTATGATTTTTTTGTTGTTGCTATGGTTATACTCAGTGAACCGCAGATTTCAAATTCCTATAGATAGCTTATTTCTAGGATGGTGGATATATATCAGAGCAATGTTTACTTGATTCTGAGTTTTAGGTCTACCTTTGAACTGTGCATCAAAGAGGTTCTCTTTGTACATTTCTTGTTCTTCTCCTATCCCTCTCTCAATTGTATTCTGCTGTTAGTTGTTATTGGAAGCTTCTTAGCTTCACAGTGAAGGGTGTTAGGTACAGTCTCTGTTGTTCTCATTAAGACTGTGTTAAGTATGTCTGTTTCCCTGGGGTGTGTGGCCTTTTCAGCTCTCCTGCTTTTCTCTTGGCTATATTTGTGGGCTCTGTACTTAATCTGGCTGCTCTTCCTAGGAATATACTTTTATTTCTTCCATCCTGTTCCCTTTCCTCAGCTGCAATGAGTGGTCACCAATATCCTAAAGTCAGTAGTTTTGCTTTCCCTCCATAGATTAAACACTTTTGAGTGAGATTTGCTGCTCTCGTGCAGGGCGACTGCTCTCCAAGATTGCATGGCTCTTTCTGATCTTTATTTTGAGTGCTTAATGGGTTAATGGAGAAAGATCCTGCAAAAGGCTACAGATTCCCCCAGTTTTTCTAATACCCAGGGATATCTACACTGTTCCACCAACCCACACTAGGCCTACATTGATTTTTCAGCTAGTCTACTGAATTCTTCCTACTGGTGTCCAGTTCTATCAACCTCAGATAGGCACTCATTTGTACCTCCTCTCTCTCCAGAGTCACTGTCCCTGATTTGGGGCCAGTTATTCATTCTGTGACCTCAGTTCTCCAATGAGTTTTTGAAAGTCATGATTTTGAACTTGAATTTGACTCTTCTGTCATTAGTTTGGGAACATCACTAATATTTGCTGTCTACACTTTCCAGTTTCATATATACCAGGGTGGGAGCCAGAACATATCAAGTCAATTTCATTGTTTAAAGATTTGATGTAAAAGATTGATTTGGAGTTAAAATTATCTCCATGAGTCCAGATCCACTGTGTCCTCTTGCTCATCTAGAAGCCTATGTAAGTTGTGAAATATTTTATGAATATTATAGTCTAAAATATTAAAACTAAGAAACAATATTGAAGTCTTTATTCTAGATGTGTTAGCAAAACATTTTATGAAGTCCACTATTTTTTATTTGTTATTTTCATTATCTTATTCGATAGACTATCTTCAGTTTTTGATCCATATATTGAAAATCTCATCTGTTAATTATTGAAAAGAAAAGGTTTTTGAGTACTCAAGACAATGTACTTTAAACAGTTCTAAGCAAGAGATACAGTTGCAAACCACCACTACATTCAAGAGCATAGAGTTTTAGGTTGTTTTAATTTGTAATGTGTAAAATTATTCTCAAACAGAAGTTATTTACACATGGGTATAGAGATGATTTTGTGTGAGAGAGCGAGAGAGCGAGAGAGCGAGAGAGCGAGAGAGCGAGAGAGCGAGAGAGCGAGAGAGCGAGAGAGCGAGAGAGCGAGAGAGCGAGAGAGCGAGAGAGCACATGCTCTGATAGAGAATTCTAAGGCCTTCACCAATGTGGAGCTCTATAGCCCCAGAAATATCTCCTTTCTGAAATACTTAGTCCCTTCAGACTTGTTTCCTTAATTAATGCCTAAACTCAATCTGAGGGACAAGCTTTCACTATTCTCTTACCTTGATCAAGGGTTCCCAATGGCTATTATCTGTTCAATTAGTGTAATTCCAATTGTCGGTGTTGAATACAACTACGCTCCAATTTTTATGACTTCCTGGCTGTTATGTTTCAAATTTCTCTTTCGCAAACTAGGAAATTATAAAACAGGGATTTAACCTTAATAATAGCTAGCAGCAATTCTCTCTCTACCTGAGTTTAAATACATCTGTTCTGAAGAGGGTTATAATCTAGTTGGGGAAACAGGATATACACATGAAAGAATGTTTACTAATACCAGATGGTATGTGCTTAGTGCCAATTGAGTTGTATAAACAGGGCACAGTCATCAAATGTCATCTCTGAACCTTAGGACAGACAAAGAAGCAGTAACTTCAGCTAGGTCTTGAAGGAAAAATATATGTAACATGTTGGGGAAACACTGGTTAGATCCATGTGGTTTGTATAAAAATTCAATGAGGGCTGGGCGCACTGGCTCACGCCTGTAATCCCAGCAATTTGGGAAGCCGAGGCGGGTGGATCACGAGGTCAGGAGTTGGAAACAAGCCTGGCCAACATGGTGAAACACCATCTCTACTAAAAATACAAAAATTAGCTGGATGTGGTGGTAGGTGCCTGTATTCCCAGCTACTTGGGAGTCTGAGGCAGGGGAATCACTTGAACCCGGGAGGCAGAGGTTGCAGTGAGCCAAGATCACACCATTGTACTCCAGCCTGGGAGACAAGAGCAAAACTCTGTCTCAAAAAGAGAAAAAAAATTCAATTAGTATAAAATAAGCTTATAGAAGCTGATTGATAATACACTGTGGGTTGTAGTAGATAAAAGTAAATTGCTTTATCTATCCAGAAACCTTCATTTCTGTTTGCTAAATACAACTTAACCATACATTTCCAATGGGGACTGATAATTCCCAACCTTTCCCCAGCTCTAACCCAAGATTTACACATGGGTATAGAGATGATTTTGTGTGTGCGAGTGTGTGTGTGTCAATCAGAGACCTTTCTTAGGATCTGTACATTTGGAATTACTTAAAAATGATTTTTTTTTCTGTTTAATGAAAAGATGTAAAGATGTTGAACCTAAAGATGCCAGAGCCAAAGAGAGAGAAATCTAAAACTAGGGAGAAGAGACAGGCAAAGAATTCTAATGTTCAAGCCCTTGGTTCTAGCCATAGCTTTTCTTTCTCATTTTTAGTTTTGTGAATCATTTTGAATTTGCCTTTTTACCCAAGCCGGTTTCTGTCCCTCTCTTGTAAACAAGAGTCCTGACTACTATATGGAGTACATAAGAAGGCCTTGAATGTCAGACACAGATCTTTGGGTTTGAGGAGCTGTCATGATTTGTGAGGTGCTATCCACCTGAGAATCTTTAATTCTATAATATTTATCTATAAACACAATGGGAACAATTGAAGTTGATATTAGTTGTAAAGCAGCTTTTCTGAAAGATTCTTTTGGCTCAGGGGTGTAGAATGGATCGGAGCAGAAATAAGCTAGAGACAATTAAAACAGGTGGTTGGCTATTAGAGCTGTCATGAGTAAACAGACAACTCAGACTGGAGGTGGAGGCACAGAGTGGAAAGGAAGGGTCAGATTAAACAGCCATTAATCTTTCCAGAAGAGTCATAAGAGGAGGAACTTCATCACTGGGCATTTGGTTGTGACTAATGGATTGAGACTTCTGTCTTTTTCCAAGTATTTAATAGAAAATAAATCTTCCATTTCCTTGGGTTTTCTTGAGTCTTTTCCCAGGGAAATACACCTCATCTTTTGAAACACAAAGGCTTAAGTCATATTTCCACAAAAATCCTTCTAACTAAAACAAAGATGTCTTCCAAACTGGCATTTCTATAGCAATTTTGGTTTTTTCTGACTCACTGACTTCAGACATTTTGAGGTAAACAGGGCAGATCATGCATAAAACCTGTATCATGTTCATGGAATCATAGGTTTCTAAGAGATAATGAGGTCATCTGTTCATTTCTCCTACTTTGCTCCAGCCATATCCAAAACCATCTTGGAGAGTGGTAACTTGGGATTTAACAATTTTAAATATCTTATTACTATATTGATTCCACACACACACACACACACACACACACACAAAGCACTCACATGCACAGAGAGAGAGACAGACAGAGAGAGAGAGAAACAGAGCGTGTGTGCCAGTGGAACCCATAGCTCTTATTCTGGAATTGGGACTGGGAGAAAATGGCTTCCTAGCTAGTAAAAACTTCCACTCTCTTTAAATTTTACAGCATAGCAGGGGAGATTTTAGCCCAGTTCTAGCTAAAACTAGCCCAGTGTTTTTCAAACTTAACTGATCATATGAATCATTTGGGATTTTGTTCAAGAGATTACTAATTTATCTTCCAAGCTGATTTTGATTCTGTGGGTCAGAAGTGGGTTGCTGGGATTCTTATTGGGCAATTTTAGGAACTATCATTTTGTATTATCTTTAAGGATCCAGATAAATCTGCATGAAATTAAATTACACATCTAGCAGTAGAACTTGGAACCCATCAGTACAAATAAGATTCATTTAACTTTGCACTTCTCTTAATAAAGGTGGTGAAAAACAAGTCTTTCCTATTTGGGTGTGTGCATCTATTGTTGCACTTTATAATCTGACATTGTACTTATCAGTTTACCTGATACCGTATTATTTCCATTACCATACTTTTGGTATTTAACGAAAAGTTAAATATACCAACAGTATATGGTATGTAACTTTGATTAAATGCCAAAGTTACCATTGGTATATAACCATTACTATACTTTTGGTACGGTAATGAAAATAATCATCATCATCACATTATTTATTAAATGCTTTCCTTTTAGCCCCAGACTCTGGGCCCAGCTAGATTCCTAGAAAGCAATGTTTATAAAGCCAAAAAATAAGAGATTACTGATTCATCTTGTACTGATTTGCTATTGCTCCCTCATTGTCTTTGGTACTCATAGTAAATGTCATTTATTGAGAACTTGCAAGGAGCACAGCCCTACACTTAAGACAATTATAGACATCATCTTATTAAATCTCAATGACCCAATTAGCTGACTCTCTCTGACCTCCACTGCTCATTTATTACATCATTATCACTTCATTAAATCCTAACAGCTTTAGCAGCTGACTTTCCCTGACACCTACCACCCATTTATTGAGACCTGTACACCTGTTTACTGCTTAGACTAGGCACAGTGTTTGCCTAATCTCTTAGTCCCAACCATCTCAGGTTTTGTACCTACTACCAATTATGTATTTTGATTATACCTTTGGATTTAAGCTTCAGAAGTCAAGTATAACCCCTGAAATGTGATGACATCAAGAGTCAAAAGAGAAAAAGTAAAAATTCTGAAAAGCAGAAATCTCCTACCCAGGAATCCTGGAGTAATGGTTTTATATGTAATATAAATCTGCTATTTGTGGGGTCTGGGTCAGATTTCTCTCTCTAGCCAGAAAAATATATCACTCAAAAGGATATGCCTTGGATGGTGACAAGATGTTCTCTGCCATTAAGCACTTGTGGCAAGGAAAATCTCCAGGATTTGCTTACTAAGAGGAGATGGTAAAAGAAGCAAACCTTGCTGAAACCTCCAGAATAAATTTCAGTTAAACCCAAACCCTGAATTTGAAACTAGGTATTAAACAGCAACAATAACAACAAAAAAAAAACCTTAAAGCCAGCAGACTGGCACTTTGGTGTATCTAGTACTATATTATTTCCAAACAATTTGAAAATAAGCTCTGTTGACTAAGCTATATTTAAAGAATAAAAAAGTCATAATAAATCGTCTAGAAAAAATAAAATCAGATAGAGTTTGAGAATAAAAAGAAAACGGAAGCAGATTCCACCTAGAAATAAGTCACAGTCTTTCAAAAATGGCTTCAGAGTAAGACATTTGATTTCAAATCCTGTCTCTTCTCTTAAATAGTGTGGCTTGGGCAGGTCACTTGATTACTTTGGGGCTCAGCCTCCCTATCTGCCTAATAGGTAGAATAAAACCTCAAAAGCCTATTTGGAGATTCCCTACAAGTTTCTATCCCAGTATTTCATAGTAAAAGCAGGTATTAAAAACATTTCTTCACAAGAGATAAATTCACAAAAGAGATGGTGCCCAACCATTTCATGTAATCATTTTGAGGGTGATGATTCAGGAGCATTCCTCAAGATAACTATGCCAGTTATTTGGTTCACAGCTGTAACCACCTCACCACAAAGTGGAAGAAAGGCAAGTAAGGAGAGGACAGCTGAGGATACAAGGACAAATCCAAGGGCCTGGCTGTCATTCTGGGTTTCAGACTTGTCTGGTCTCTTTGGAAAAAATCACTTAAGTATATGGTATGACTATTGCAATGGTGCTATTGAGATCATTCACTAAACACCTGTAGCTCAGCTAGTCAGTGACAAATGTGGTGCCAAGCTGATGCAGGCATTGCAGAGATGTTCTCTCTTCACATGCATGGCAGAGATTACAAATTCTTCAATTACTGTAAAACTCTTCTTAGAACAAAACTCTCTAACAGCCGCTGACTTTTGAGAGGATGAGTTAGCATATCCCCCAAAGTCAGAGAGTTCGCTGAAAGCTCAGTGAAGCCACATCAATCACTTTGACTCCCTTTTGATAAATCTGGGTAAAAGAATCTCTCTCAGAAAAAAACATTCCAATTGGAAATAATCTTAAAGGACAACAGAAAATAACATTCTTTGTGCATCTCTCATGTACCAAGAGCTTACTTTTTATGTTCATCCTCTTAACAGCTTTACAAATTAGGCATTAATATTCCCATTTTAAGATAAGGGGCTATAATCCAAAAAGAATAAGTTACACGCCCGCTATTTCACAGAAAGTAAGTGACAAAGACAGAATTTGAACTCAATTCTGTCTTTAAAACCCCTGATATTTTATTCCATCACATTGGCCCAAAAAGTCACTGGGGAAGTCAGAGAGGTCAATCAGAAATCAAGAAGTGAATATTTAAATGTTGCAGTTAATTTTCTCTGATTTTTTTTTTTTGGCGTCAGTATTAAGTGGAAACTGGTTTCACATAACTGAGTTTTGCCCACAGACAGGAATTTACGTCATCTTAATGTCCACCTATTCTGTTTCCACCCCGAAGTGAGTGAACTAAAATTTAATTGACAGTAACTAGTCAGAGTAAGTGCCGATCTCCCAGATAAGGGCAAAATTCTTCACAGGACTGCCCGCACTTCAGATGCCAGCCACAAGTTTCAGAAGGTCCCTTGGCCACCACAGTTTTGACTGACTGGCCACAAATTGGGGGTTCCCACAATCCCATCAGGTTTGATAATTCATCAGAACAACTCACAGACCTCAGAAAAGCATTATACTTGTGATTACAATTCTATTATAAAGGATATCCATAGCAGTAAGATCCGGGAGGCTCCCAGATGTAAAGCTTCCATACCCTATTCCTATAGAATCAGCATATTACCCTCACAGAACATCAATAATGTGTGCACCAACCAGGAAGCTGCACCTTTTAGTTATTATTGGAGTTTCATTACACAAGCATGATTAAGTCATTGGCCACATGACTGAACTCAATTTCCACTCCTCCGTTTCCCCAGAAGTCAGGCCAACTCAGAGTTCCAATACTCTAATCAACATTATTGGTCTTTCTGCTGACCAGTCCCTGTTCAAAATCATCTACGGGTCTATCATAAGTTATCTTATTAGCATAACAAAGACACTCTTCATCACCTGGGATGGTCCAAGGATTTAGAGTCTCCATGCCAGAAACCAGGGACAGAGGCCAGGCAAACCTTTTATTACATAATACCACCTTACACCATCAGACCCCCCCAAACTTCTTCCCTTCTCCAACACTCCCAGTTCTGTCAGGGACACCACCAAACATCTTTTCATCTTGCCAGACCTGAAAACCTGGAATTATCTTTGACTATGCCATTCTTTTGCCCTTCTCAAGCAGGTTATTTTCCCTTCAGTTGAATTTCTTCAAGGTTTCCTGAATTCATCTCCTCTTCACTCCCACTTCCACTGCCACTCAGAGTTCAAACCCTCAGGAGTCTGAGTTATTGTCCGACTTCCTGACTGATCTGCCTGCCTCTAGCTTCATCTACTACAGTCCTTCTTGCACATAACTATCAGGTCAATTTTCTTTAAACATCCTAGTTATCACTTATTGTTCCTGTAAGAAATTTGTACAAGAACCCTTTGTCTCTGCACCAGGAGGTCCTCTATGAGATCACAGTTCCTTGCCATGTGCTTAAGGGAGATAAGAAAAATCACTAGAGTTCCAAGTGGTCTTAGCGAGGAGGAAAAGTACACAGTGTGGTAACTGGAATGAACACTGATTCTGGAGGCCAGAAGGCTTGAGTTTGAATCATGGTTCAACTGCAAGTTACAAATGTCTACAGTGTACAGGGATTCCATAGGGCAGATATGTAGGTGCCTAGTACATATACGATCCACAGCATACCTTAATTGTTATTAGTAAACTCCAGTGCATTTGACTCCTCTGTTCTTATAACCACATTTTTCTGCTTAGCTATGAAGGGTTTCATGTACTTCTCCAAAATACACACTGTGCTTCAACAGAAAATCTAATCTGTAGCTAAATGCATATTTTTCATTCTCTTCATATATTTTCTCTAAATTCTCCCTTTTTATTAAGCCACTGTACTAATTTCCTGCTGAAACAAATCTCCATGAACAGTGGCCTTAACAATACTTTTTTCTCCAAAATCATCACTATCTTTAATTCACCAGTTATTCTTGATTAACACTGACAATCTCACATGAATTCTTAAAAATATAACTTCTTATTTTCTATGCCAAATAACATTATGAAACACTATAATTTTTTTACCTTATAATTCTGGAAGTCATAAGCCCAAAATGGGTCTCACTGGGTTAGAATCATGTTGGCCAAAATGTATCCATTCTGGTTACTCTCTCTGGGTGATAATCTGATTCCTGACCTTCTTCAGCTTCTAGAGACCACCTGCATTCCTGGAGTCCACTTTCCATTTTCAAAGTCAGCAATATTGGGCTAAGTCCTTCTGAAGCCACTAACTCTGATTCTTTCATTTCTGTCTCCCTCTTCCATTAAGGGCCCATGTGATTACATGGGGTCCACCTGGATAATCCAAGCTAATTTCCCAGTTTGGGTCGGCTGATTTGCAGCCTTCATTCCATCTGC
This sequence comes from Homo sapiens, assembly GCF_000001405.40. Lineage (NCBI taxonomy): Eukaryota > Metazoa > Chordata > Mammalia > Primates > Hominidae > Homo > Homo sapiens. The sequence goes on along the minus strand of NC_000008.11, from coordinate 118,907,602 downwards.
AATCTTACTTCCATTTGTCATGGAAGGTAACATACTCAAAAGTCACAAGAATTAGGATGTGGACATCTTGGGTCAGAGAGAACATTATTCTGCCTGCCACAGGCCAAGTTCACCTATGAAGCTTTCCCTGATGATTCTCATCTGTATTGTTCTCATTCCTCTAATCCACTAGTTTTCAACCTTGATTGTAACATAGAGTCACCTGGGGCACACTTACAATGCTTGGGTCTCGTTTTTGTTTGTTTGTTTGTTTTGAGACTGAGTCTTGCTCTGTCACCCAGGCTGGAGTGCAGTGGCACAATCTTGGCTCACTGCAGCCTCTGCCTCCTGGGTTCAAGTGACTCTCTTGCTTCAGCCTCCCAAGTAGCTAGGATTACAGGTGCACACCACCATGCCCAGCTAAGTTTTGTACTTTTAGTAGAGACAGGGTTTCACCATGTTGGCCAGGCTGGTCTTGAACTCTTGACCTAGTGATCCACCCGCCTCGGCCTCCCAAGGGTCTCATTCTTGAGAGATATGATATTAGTCCATTTTCACACTGCTAAACACATTCCCGAGAATGGGTAATTTATGAAGAAAAAGAGGATTAATGGACTCACGGTTTTATGTGGCTGGGGAGGCCTCACAATCATGGCAGAAGGCAAATATCATGTCTTATGCAGCGGCAGGCAAGAGAGAATAGGAACCAAGTGAAAGGGGTTTCCCCTTATAAAACCATCAGATCTCGTGAGACTTATTCACTACCACCAGAACAGTATGAGGGAAACTGCCCCCATGATTCAATTGTCTCCCACTGGGTCCCTCCCACAACACGTGGGAATAATGGCAGCTACAATTCAAGATGAGATTTCGATGGGCACACAGCCAAACCATATCAGATATGGATTAAATTGTTTCATGATATGACATGAGCAAAGGATTTTTTTTCAAAGCTCTCCCAACAATTCTGCTATGCCGGCAAGATTGAGAACTACTGCTCTCGCAAATTTTTGTAATTTTATCTTAACTGTCACAGTGTAAAGGAGATATAACATGATGATTAACAGGCAGATTCTGCAGTCTACCTGCTTGCATTCAAATCTCCCAGCTTCACTTCTAACTAGTGGTCAGGTGCTGAGCGAGTTAAGCAATTGCTTTGTGCCTCTCTTTCTTCTTTTGTAAATCCAGAAGAAGAATAATGCCTCAGAATTGTTGAGAGGATTAAGTGAGGCAATGTATAGTAAATGTATTCTGCATAGCACATGGCTCAGAACATGCTCTCAACAAATATTAGCTGTAGAAGTGTTTTATGGCCACTTGACTTATCTTTAGAACTCACCTAGAAGATTTGCCTGGGCATGACCAATTTTTCTTGCTGCGGTTCTCAAAAAACAAAACAAAACAAATCCCCTTATTTGATGAATAGGACACAAATAAGGTGGCCAGACAACAGGATTACTGCACTTTGAGCCAAAAATCTTATTTTATTTTACTTTTAGGGTAATTTTGTCATATTTTTGCTTCCTGAATGTCTGCAACCAGTTTAATCTGCGTATGTGTTAGAATAATTTTTGAAAGTTTTTGAAAATACCAGGTCTAGGGCCCACCCCACCCCCCAGGGATAATGATTCCATTGGGGCCCATGCCTCAGTACCTTTTAAGTTCCCTAGATAATTACAATACACAACAAGGGGTGAGAATCTAAGACCAGGTCTAAGTGGCTACAGCTGTTCACATTCTGAGTACTTCCAAGGAAGCTGATTATTTATGTCTGGGAAGGCTATGGCAGCTCTATTGATCAAGAGAAAGTAATACAAGAAAAGAAAGGAAAAACAAGAGATGCAAAAGGGGAAACCAGAGACAGAGGAAGCAAGGAGAGAAAGATAAAGAAGTACAGCTAAAAGGTGTCTCCCGACTCCTTGTTGGTACTCACATCATGTTCTAAATACATTGCTCCATCCCAACTAGGTCTTTAAGGAGGGATGGAAATCCTTGAAGAGAATCTCAGTAAAGAAATGGTATTCTGTGCCTTTCCCAGAGTACATACTCAAAATATATTTCAGCTGATCCAAAATACTGCAGCAGCAAATACTTTTCTGTGGCTGCTCAGGTAGTGTTAGAGGCGGCATTAAAAAAAGATGAAGCTGAACGTTTGGGCTATTCCTTAAACAACTCCAGAGAGGAAATTCCTTGCTCATCCTGGGTAGCACCCAGGTCACAATGCAAGAAACGTGAGTCAGAAGAGCCAATTACTCAAGAAGTTGCCCAATTTCCTTCCATCTGGTGGTGGAAAGAGGCTCTAAGTAACCTCAAAATGACTCCCAGGCATCTATTACCAGCCAGTCAACAGCATTAGGCAGGTGGCCACAGCACAAAGAACTTTTCTATCTACTGCAAAAATATCCAGAACAAAAATTGTTATAACTTGCATTTGCATATATTTTTAATTCAAAAAATCCTTTCTTACTTATGATCTTACCTAATTTTTTTTCTCTTAGGGAAAACAAAACCCTTGTAAGATACTTAGGGGCCAAATATTATCCCCTTACTTGAAATGAAGTTAAGTCTCAGGCAGTGAGTGGCTGAATAGTGGAAATAAAGGCTTCTGATCTTATCTCCTTTCTGGATGTGCCCCTTTCCTTGAAAAAAAAAAAAAGTGTAATTAGTTATGGCATAGATGATTACAAAATAAACTATAAGTATTTAAAAACAACAAATTGTCAGGGTGCTGAAAATCATCATCGGTAAGACTCCATATAAGAAAACGTCTTTGAGAAATGGGAATTTAATTTTAGCAGTATTCACAAGCAAAAGGAGATTATGTATACCACTATAGCCATACTGTTAGAGTGAACGAGAAATCTCATATGCTAAATGTTACTGAAAAGTCAGATACTTTATTAATAACAGCGACTGATGATTAAATATCTGAACAGCAGAACAAGATTCTTGACATGCATTTATCGTCTTATCCTAACAACCTCCCTCCAAGATAGTTAATTATTGCAAGATTATTCTCAGTTTATGGACAAGGAAACAGGCCCACCAGGCCAGTGTCCCGTAGCTGGTGGATGGCAGAGCCATGATTCAGACTAGGTCTCTCTGACTCCAGAGCCCAGGCTTTTTCCACTGCTCTATGCCACCTCCTCGCAGCCCATAATTAAGCAAAATAATATGCTCTTCACAAATGAAAAGATCTCACGCATGAAAGTGACGAGACAACTTTTAGTTGATGAGCTTCCAAATACGCTGCGGATCCTTTTTCTGGAAACCGCATTTGGCATAAGGGGACCAAAGTCCAGACAGTTCCGATGACGTAACTCAAGGTCTCCGTGGATGTTGGCCTGGAGTCCGAAATAGCTCCGAGCTCTCCCATCCTGGCGTCTCTGTTGCCTCCCCTCTCAGCCAAGCTCGGGCTGCCCACGGGACTTTGCAGGAGGGTGAGGCGACAGCGTTCATAGGGCTTGAGACAAGGTACATTGCGATCTCTTTCCCCATCCCAGTAACTATTTCTGCTGCCTTCCCTCTCTCTGGAGCTTATTCTCAGCTTTGTAGGACATCATGTTTGTTTGTTTTGCCTTCAGCTTTAAAAAGATCTCTTAACAACAGCTTAAGACTTTTATAAAATTACCCATCACTTCTTAGAACAATCCAGAGAGCTGCTGAAAAGAAATAAGGCTCTAAGAGATGGTGCTTGGATTGGCTTTGCATTAAAATCTTTCTCACGGTGTTTCTCTCCACCTTCATTTCCATCCACCTTGTTTAAAACAAAGAGTATCTTCCCTCAAGCCTAAAAATCAGTCAACAATATGCCCAAGGATGTATCACACCCAAACAGCTTTACCTGGGGGTCCTAGGAATTCTTCAATTGTGGTTTCTGAGGTGTTCTCATCTTCCCCAACATTTCCTCAGTCCCTTGTCTTGTCTTCCTTACGTCTTCCCCTTTATCTACCAGGATTTAATTTCTGTCCAAAGGAAACAGTACGAAGTAGTGAAAGGGGACACTGGAATTAAAGTCAAAGGTCTGAGTCCAAATTTATCTTCTTTTACCTGGCTTGGCTGACCAAGTTGACTGTGGACAAGGTACCTCACTCTGTGAACCTCCTTTTCTCATATATAAACTGGAGAGCAGAGTAATACTTGCCCTACTTATATCTACAGTACAGATCAGAGTAGATGAAAGGGAAGCCCACAAAATGCCCAGTAAATATGAGTTTATTCACCGGCCACTCTTATGAGCAGATACTGTGTGCCACACTAGATTCTACAATTAATAAGATAAAACATCCCTTTTCACAGAGCACAACTTTAATGGGAGAGGCAGGACTAGAAGAAAATTATGACATGTTATAATGTTAACACAGTAAGGTGTGGAGTGTCATGGGGGCCTGGAGGAGGAAGCCTGGCTGAGATGTGGGGATACAGGGTGCCAGACAATTCCAGGAAGAATCCACAGAGGAAGTCAGGTTTGATCCAGGCCATGACCATTGAATGGACATTAAAAAAAAAAAAAAAAAAAAAAAAAACAGGAGGAAAGTGCATCTCACAAAGAAAGATCAGCACACATAAACAGCCTCTTGTGCTAATAGGAATTTTCTGTCCTAAGTGCCAGGGGGACAATCTGTGGTTTTCAGGAGGAAGTGAAGTAATAAGTGTGTTTTAGAAAAATCATTCTAGAGGCAGTGGGGTAAGAAAACCCTGAGAAGGAGATGATGCCAGAAAAGGAAATGAACCCCAAGATGGCAATTCTCGTCTCTAAGCTTGAACTCCAAGGAGTTGATATAAGTTCAAGGATATTCTTTTGACTTATGGCAAAAATGTCATCTGACAAAGAAGGACAGACATGCAGGGAGGAAGGAAGATCCCTGAAAGACACCCCCAGAAGCGTACACCTGGGGCTATTGCAGCTGAGTCTCCATATTAAATAGCAGTTGCACTTTCCTCTGATTTTAATCCCTCTTCTTATTCCTGAGCCATCAGCCATGTCAATATTAGATGTTATTAACTGGTCTCAGCTGTGTTGTGGTGAAATAAAACTTGCTCAGGCTGGGACACAGTGATAAAGAGAAAACCAGTGAATAATGGTTAGCATGTATTGTTTTATATGTGCCAACAATAATCTTGTGTCAACAAGATTTTCTCAGCAATCTTGAGATTATAGAACTCTAGTTATTCTCATTGTACAGGTAAGAAATCAGATGTGATTCAACAACTTGCCCAAATCACATAGCTGATATGTGGCATTCCATCTCCAGAGACAATTCTCTTTACTGCTACCCTTGAGTGCCTCCCAGCTTAGGCTCAGAAAGGGCAGTATTTGCCTTCCAGCTTAGGCTCAGAAAGGTCAGCTTCAGTCCAAGGGAGGGATGTCCCTACCCATGCATGGAGTGGATGCCAGGGAGAGGGCAGCATTGTTGGAAGCCGTATGAGGATGGAGCAGCCATTGGGGGTCCATTGCTGGATGATGAAAAAAGTGTAAGCAACAACCTACACTAACATTGAACATAGCCTGGGGCTTCTCTGAGAGCCACTAGAGAGGTCAGAGAACCAAGCTCCTGCTCACAGTAATGAGTGGCATTAAGCCAGCAGAATTCAGCCTAACTGATGTGGCTGTCTTTGTGTCCACAAGCTGGTGAGGTCCAGGGACATCCAGAATGTCATTATATGACAAGTAAGTCTGTAAAAATGAACAGGGAAGAACAGAAAAATATCAAGAAATTACAAACCGGTTCCTAATCGAATTTCAAACTTGAAAATTCACGAGAAAGGACTTTATCCTACATAGGCCTAAACAAATTACATGCTGATAGCATGCTGTTTTTAGAGCCCTTTGACTTTATCTGCTGTTCTATTATCAACTCTGCTGTTACTAATGGATTTTTCTTGTGGAACTCAATACTTGGCAGAGCAAAGAAGAAACTGGCAGCAGCATCAGAAATTCCCTTAAAGGCAAATAATATCAATGTTTAACCCAGGGGCATCAAAGACCTGCCATCGCCTTCAAAACCAGTCCCAAAGAAGCTGTATGGAGTCTTAGTCAAGGAGGAGTCTCTCATGATGGAGCTTCTCCATTTCTAAAATCCCTGTAAAAAGTTTCACAGTTCATAAACCACCCCACTATCAGAGACTTCCTAAATAAGACAACTGAGTATTAAGATCCTTGCCACTCACAATTGGAAATCCAAATCAGCAGCAGGAACAGCAACATCAGAAAGACTGTTACAAGTGCAGAATCGTAGGCCCTACCCAGGATATAATAAATTAAGAACTCTGTTTTAACAAGATCCCCAGGTGATTTGCGTGCATGTTAAAATTAAGAAGCACAGCTTAAGATTGCTTGAGATATCTAACTATTAGCCACAGCATAGGATATAGAGTCCATATTACAGCCTTCACTCAAGTATGGGTTTGTACCTCCCAATCAATTAATGAATCCGTTAACTATTCACCTCTCAACATGTGTGCCACTTCCTCTGCTAAGCACTTGCTGGAGAAACAAAAAGAAACGAATCAAGATTTGATGTCTGTTGAGAGGATGTTTACAATTATGCTGAAGAAAGAAAATACATATGTGCTCAGAATGACCTTTTGGAAAAGTAAATCAGACCTCATCTGCCCTGCATTAAATAACTAGGGTTTCCCAATGCTGCCTACATGAAGTCCAGACTCCAGCAGAGCATAAGAAGCCTTTTAACAGCTGGAAACATACCTTCCTCCCCAGGCTGATTCATAGCCACCATCTTTTTCCCACAGCCATGGTCCAGCCTCACAGGACATGAAGGTCCTTGCATGTGCAGAATTCACTCTCATCTCCATGCATTGTATATTTGCAAAACAATTCAGCCCTTTTCTGCCTTTCCTCATTTTCATGAGAACTCTAACTTTTAAGACTAACTTTAGCATCATCTTTCTCAGGAAGCTTTTCTTGGGCTTCAAATTCGAGAGTATTTTTGTCCATCTTGCGTGTTCCCATTGCAAATTCTGTTTGAGAATGTCTCCTAGGTACAAAGGCACCCAGGAAATGTCTGAATGAAATGAAAATGGTATATGAAACAGGTGTGAATTAGTAACATAAATGATGAACATCACAGTCTCCACCTCAGACATATCTAAGAGCCTGGCCCCAGAGTATAAGCGCCCCAATCTTTATAACTCAGGTACCTCTTAGACTTGCTGGCTAAGTCCAGTGGGAGCCGGAGGCTCAAGTCTACACTTGGAATGTCCTTTCTCACCCCCTTTATTTGAGAAACCCCCGAGTCCTTTATATCTCATCTCAAATGCACCATCTTCTAAGAACCTTCCTGCTTTTCCCAAGAGTGAGTTGGTCCTTTCCATCTCTGTGTTGCATCCTCACTTTACATCTATAGAGATAGATGTTGTCTGGTTTTATATATTTCCTTGCCTATCCCTTCCACCTGACTATCAGGTTTTCCAGGACAGAGACCTATCTTATAAGGCAGGAGTAGAATCGACAGTATTTTATTCATGTCCATATTCTCAGTGTTCTGCAAATGTTGGCACAAAATAGACGAGCACTTCCTGACCATTGCTAGCTAATCATTAGAATCAACCATATAATACCTAAAAATCCATATTCCTGCACTTTATTTTAAAACTTCCTGCTTCTGTAAGTCTAGGATTGGGCTTAGCCATCTGAATTTTTCAAATGCTCCCCAGATAATTCTGACATGCAAGCAAGATTTTAAAACCCTGCATTAGGTCCCTGCATTGGTGAAGAAATTACTCATCCTATACCCCTGAGCATAACTCACTTTTCTGGATAAACCTGAGGTACCTCATCAACATATTCTACTTGATTAGATTGTTGTGGTCCTTTCTGGCTAGATATATCTACTTATACCCACATCCTGGCATTTATACAATGATAGCAAGCAGTATATATACTTATGGGTTCTGTTGTGTGTGACCATCTTTATATGTAATAGGAGGCAGAGAAAAGGTAATTGGTATATAATTGGGGTAGAATAATGGCAGAAGCCCCTTCACATAGAATCAGTCTTCCCTTGTCCCATGTTCCCAAGGCATTAAACTCATACCTTCACAACATTATTTCTTACCTTTCCTGGAGTGAACATATCTGCTTTCCAACTAGGGTGTGCCCCAGATAGATTCCTCAAAGGCAGGGATATTCTCTTCAGTACTCTAATCTCAAACCTTAGACCAGCTGCCTGCCACATAGTAAGTACTCAACACATGTTTAATGACTGACTGACTCCATTCAGATTTAATGACTGAATAAATGAATAAAGGAGAGGATTTGAATAGATAGAAGGAAGAAAGACATTCCTGCAGGAGTGGGGATTTAGAAACAAGATGTCCACAGGTCTAAAAAAGAGAATGAGGCCAGGCGTGGTGGCTCACGCTTATAATCCCGGCACTTTGGGAGGCTGAGGCAGGCAGATCACTTGAGGTCAGGAGTTCAAGACCAGCTTGGCCAACATGGTGAAACCCTGTTTCTACTAAAAATACAAAAATTAGCTGGGCGTGGTGGCGTATGCCTGCAATCCCAGCTACTCAGGCGGCTGAGACAGGAGAATTGCTTGAACCCAGGAGGCGGAGGTTGCAGTAAGCTGAAATCGCACAATTGCACTCCAGGCTGGGTGACAGAGGGAGACTCAGTCTAAAAAAGAAAAAAAAAAGCGAGAATGAGCCTGGCATATGCACAGGACAAAGAGAAATGAGTTTGTGAAAAAAAAAAAAAAAGTTGCTCTTTGGAGAAATTTGAGGCCTTTGAGGTTAGTTCTCGTGGAATTTCTAACAATGGACTGCTGTACTGGGCAGGAGGAAACTTTCTTGTAGGTTCAAAGCAGTATATTCTTATTTCTAACTCTGCCGCCAAATCACTATGTTGCTCACAATAAAGTGAAGGGAGAACATGAAAGGAAAATTAATTTAGTATCTGTTATGTGCCTGGTGCTTCGCATAGGCTGTCTCCCTGAACCCCAACAACAGCTTCCTATGCTAATACTGCCGCTTTGCAGGAGACGGAAATCAAAGTGAGAGTTTAAATGGCTCTTACAATTTACGGTTCTCTCTGCATACATTGCTGCTTCCATTCATTTAAGCTATCTAGGCCTCAGTTTCCGTACCTGGAAATGAATGAATTCTGCTGGATTATTTCATAGGTGCTTTTAGTTCTAAAATCAATGGGTTTATCTCTGCAATAAAGTTTTTCAACCCAAAAGCAACTTGCTTTGAAGCCTATCTATTACTTAGTGCAGTACTATGCACTGTTCGGTAATTGCTTGCTGAATGTGAGAAATGAGGTTAATCAGCTGGACAGCTCTGGGAGATAAAAACAGTAAAACATTTTGCTCTAGTTAAAGATTTGCTCACAGTTCCCGAACATACTATGCATATTCCTGTTTCTTCACTTTTACCCATGACATGCTCTCCACTTATCGAAATTCTACTCTTGAAAGTCGAGTTCAATTGTACTTCTCCATGCAGACCTCTGTGGCTCTCAATGAGCCAATCACTATGCTAAGTAGAGTGGAATTATTCCAATTGACCTACATCTTTGACGGATTCATAATGAGGGAAGAGTAGAAAAATGATGAAAGGCAAATTCAATGTCCAATATATTTCCTGATGGGGATTTAAAGAAAGAACTGTCTAAAATTAGTCTTTCCTACAATCACTGGGCTTCAAAGAACTCCATCAATGCCTTGGAAATAAAGTGACCATATCTACATTTAAAGTCAAAATCACCTCTAGCTTTCAAGCTTCTTCATAGATTGTTCATAACCAACTTCTTCTTTTCTGTTAGATACCATTAAATCTGAATGTACTCAGTCTCGTCTGCATGGAAAATATCTCTTTGCTGGGATAGTGGTGGAATATTACTGAACAGAAGTGACCTTATTCATGACACCTCTGCCTGAGAAGACCCTGGAAGAGTCAGGTCACTATCTATGCAAGCAGAGCCATAACATTTCTTCTTTTTCATGCATCTCTGTTTGTTCTCAGCAAAACCAGATGGAATTAGCATTATGCAAGCACAGTCACAAATCAAAATGCTTACTCCTGTATATACACACGTATTATGATCCCTGACATTCAACATAGATGACTAAGGAATATGTTAAACCTTCTGGATCACTGTGCTATGGACCATAGTGAACTACTGCTCCTGGGAATTTTACAATCACATGATAACTTTTTGTCCTTTGAAAGCTATCATTTAATATTTGCTCACTTTTTTATCCCTAACACCTGGCATAATGAAAAAATGAGTCATTCAGTAAATATTTGCTGACTGAATACAAAAGTCAATGGTTTAATCTCATTTTATTTTCTTTTTTTCCTCCCCTAATATGACTGAAAATGTGTCATCCATATAGTAAACATGTTAATTTAACACTGGAAAATCTGAGTCATAAAGTGAAAGAAACCTCTGTCTTCTGTCCTTGGCTAATGTTTCTGTAGCAATACTTGCAATTCATTTGTTTTTACATGCATCTCTCCCCCACTAGACATGTGTTTTTTAAGGGAGGCGACTTACTCATCTCTATCACAAACATTTATTACAAAACCCAGCATGTAATAAATTTAGTAGATATTTATTAAATTAGTGAGTAAATATGTTTCCAAAATGATTGATGTGTCTACATAGACTTCCTGCTCCCTCTTCATCCCTTAGTGTCTGAGTCCATTGAGGCTGTTATAATAAAGTACCATAGAATGGGTGGAATATAAACAACAGAAATTTATTTTTCACAGTTCTGCAGCTGGAAGTCCAAGATCAGGGCGCCAGCATGGTCGGGCTCTGCCAAGGGTCCTCTCTGGGTTGTAGACTAGTAACTTCTCATTTTATTCCCATATGGCAAAGAGGACAAGGGTTCTCTCTGGGGTCTCTTCTATAAGGGCACTAAACCTGTTACTCATGACGTAATCACCTCTCAAAGACCCCACATCCTAATGCCATTATATTGGAGGTTAGGATTTCAACATTTGAATTTTGAGAGGATACAAACATTGTCCAAACATCTAGTTATTTTAGAATTCTAAGTTACTTTCCTGTCACATTTAGACATGCAGCTTGTGGGAAAATTAAAAGTAAAACTCTTTTATAAAAAGTCTGAGACGCCCTGATATAGATAATTTTTTAATGTTTTTTTAAATTGCAAAATTGTAATGCTTGAAGGAATCTTGGAAATCTTTCAAATGTAAATAACATATTGAGAAACCTGCCTAGCAATAATATGAAATTGGTATGATCTTTTGTTATGAAGAATATGTATGATACATTAAAAATGAATACTTAGAAAGAATGTATGAACAGGCATTACACAGGAGAAATTAAAACCAAAAATATCAGCATATAGAAAAGCAACCAAGTATTGGTATGGGTTGTGGGAATATTCGAGCTCCCATGCTTGCAGTTAGGAGTGCAGGCTGATGACATTCTGAACAGCCAGCTGGCGTTACTGGCCATATACGTATGTATCATATAACACAAGATTCTAAATGAATAACCCTCACATTTCTAACACCCTCTACATAGGAGCAAATAAGAAAATTTGGTGAGGAGTTGGAGGCAACTTGGGTATTCACCAGTTAGAGCATGAATAGGAAAAATATGATATATGCACACCAAGAAATGTATTGTTGCAATAGAAACTACAGATCAGAATTTTGCATAGCAATATTATGGGTCTTATATAATACTTAGTGAGATACATGATACAAAACCATTTATGTAAATTAATAATATGTAGACAGAAAACAAACTGTGTAATAACATATACAACTAAAAGCAAAGCAACCCACATTAAATACATCTTGATGGCAACCTATGATGGGAAAGGGAGAGAAATATGGAGTATAGTGATAAAGGAAAATACTTTTTTTTTTTTTTTTGAAATGGAGTTTTACTCTTGTTGCCCAGGCTGGAGTGCAATGGCACGATCTCAGCTCACTGCAACCTCTGCCTCCTGGGTTCAAGCGATTCTCCTGTCTCAGCCTCCATAGTAGCTGGGATTACAGGAGTGCACCACCATGTCCGGCTAATATTGTATTTTTAGTAGAGACAGAGTTTCACCATGTTGTTCCGTCTGGTCTTGAACTACTGACCTCAGGTGATCCACCGGCCTAGGCCTCCCAAAGTGCTGCGATCACAGGAGTGAGCCACCATGCCCGGCCCAGAAAATAAAGATTTTTTTAAAAAAGAGAGGGCTTGCATGACCCATAGATGGTAATGTTTTATGAACTTAGCAATATGATAAATTTAAACCCCTATACTTGAGGTCTAAGAAAAAAGAAATAAATAATTTCAAAATTACTAATAATCAAATTAATATAAGTTAATTGATGAGATACGCTTCTTACTAAAATAATAAAAGATGTCTTTTACTTGAATCAGTAGCTTCATTTTTGTCATTTACCCAGAAAATAATGACCAGCACTGCTATCTAACTTTAATTCTGGAGAAATAGTCCAATGTAGTTAAGGAAAAGAAAGAAATTTAAAGTATAAAAATTAGGAAAAAAAGGAATATTTCTTATGTTATTGTATATTTGAAAAACCAAAGAGAAGAGACAACGGTCTGTTTACAAAAATATGCAAGTTTGGCGAGAAGGTTGGGCACACATTTTATATACACAAATTAATAGCCCTCGTAGATAGAAACAAAAGGTAGTTTATAGGTATAATAAAATAATTCATCCACATTGGAGCAAAAAAACACTTAAAAAACACAAAGAAAACTTTTGTTCAAGATCTAGGTTAATAGAACTGTAAAATGTACCTGAGACTAAAAGAAGACTTGAACAGACAGCCAGGCAAGCAAGGACACTGGAGAGGAAGAGCCAACATTGTAAAGATGTCAGTTCTTTCCAAATCAATCTATCAGTTTAGTGTAACTTCATTAAACATACCAACAGGTTTATTTGTTAAACAAAAGAGCTTATTTTAAAGTCAATATAATAGAATAAATAATAATTAGGACAATTCTCAAAAAGAATAATATTGAGAGGGGGCAATTTTAATAGATGTTAAAATATTGTATAAAGCAAAATAATGTACAAAGTACATTATCAACACATGAATGAACAAATCAGTGGAACAGAAAATAACTCAAGAAATCATTCCAATTGTATTTGGGGATTAAGTACATGATAAAAGCGGCATATTTAATAGTGAAGAAAAGAATAACTCAATAAATGATATTCGAATAACTGAAGAGTCATCCAAAAGAAAAGTCTAGTTTGATTAATAATATAGTTAAAAAAAAATCAAGCCATAAAAGTGCAAGAAGAAATCATGGTAGCAATTTCTTATACAAAATGTCACAAAGGCAAAGTCTTTCTTAAGCATGATATAAAAACTGGAAGTAAAGAAACAGTATGTATAAAAATCTGACTATAAAAAAATTTGGCATCGCAAAACCCACAGTAACCAAAGTCAAAATACTCAGGGACAAAAATGAGAAAAAATATTTTCAATTTATATCTTAGAAAACAGGGACCAATTTGTATAACATATAAAGAGCTTCCATAAATCATTTTTTAAAAGATCAACAATTCAGTGGAAAAATTAAAGGGATATTTACAGAGAAAAATAACAATAGACCTTAAACATGTGCAATTGTATTCAACTTTACTAGTAAGATAAATGCAAATAAAAATTACAGTGATACACATTTTTGCTCATAATACTAGAAAATATTTTTAAAATTTATTGATACATGAGTCATCAAGAGTATAGGGAAACATCTACTTTACTACTTTGTTGGTGGGAATGTACATTGGTAACACTTCTAGGGAGGACAAAGTAGCTATCAAAATTACAATTGCATATGTTTTTGACACAGAAATTTCATATCTACATTGTCTACATATTCCTTCTACAAATACACATGCACAAGTCTATTCACTGTTGCCCTGTTTGTGAGAACAAAGATTTAAAATGACGTCGTTTGTTAATTCTCCGCTGAAATTTCATTCTCTCCTTTTATTTCCTTGGGCACTGTAACAATGCTTAATTTTCAAGTTAGTCTCTGAATTTCTGGAAACCCTGTGGATCTGTATCTGTTTTCTATTGTTTCTATTAAAGTTTCTTTCTGTGGTCATGTCTCCTCATTTGCCTGTTTTTTTGTTTTGTTTTGTGTTTTGTTTTTTGTTTTTTTTGGTTGGTCGTTGTGGTTGGAACTTTGTATTTGTAAAATTGTTTCTAAAAATAAAATGAAGACTAGCTTGTTATCTTTTCCAGAGAAGATTTGCCTTTGTTTTCACTAGCAGCTCCTAGCAATCCTGGATCATCTCGATCCAATTTCAGGAATTAAGAGGATGTGAAGTTGAGCTGCAGCTCCTTTTGAGGGCTGGCCAATTGGGATTCATTCTCTCCTTCTTAAGGTTCATCCCCTTGGAGTACCAGCCTTAAGTCGGTGGGGTCACCAGGGCTCTTCTTCTCGGAGGGCCCATGACTTCCTCCACCATGAAACTGTCACAAAATCCTTAGCATCTCATCGCTTAGGCAAAAGCAGCTTCAAATGCCGGACTCATAGTCATGGATTTCCATTCCCCTCTGCTCCCTACCAGGTAATTCCTCATTTTCTTTTTAACCCTCTAATATCTTCAGGCAGCCTTCTTTTAAAAATAACATTTATCTAGGGTTTTTGGTTTTCCTAATGGGAATTTGATACATATTATCTAGTCCAACATGTACAAAAACAAAATTTAAAAAAATCTTACATGCTTATCAATGAATAAATTATAGTATATTTATGCTGTAGAATAAATTATGGTGCATGAATAGTTAAATAACACAGCTAAATAGCTATGATGTTAAATAAATTATTATGCATTTTTGTAATAGAACATTATTCAGCTGTAAAAAGGATGTTCTCTAGATATTGATATAGAATAATCTTAAGATATATTGTTTAGTGAAAAAGCAAGGTACAGAACAGTGGGCATTGTATACTATCATTTAGGCCAAAAACATCTGTAGAAGGATTCAAACAATTTAATACTCAGTTGTTTTGTGGGAGAGAAAGTGTATGAGTCTGTTCTCACACTGCTTTAAAGAAGTTACCTGAGACTGTTAATTTATAAAGAAAAGAGGTTTAATTGGCTCACAGTTTTGCAGGCTGTATAGGGAGCAAAACAGCTTCTGCTTCTGGGGAGGCTTCAAGGAGCTATCAATCATGGCGGAAGGCAAACGGGGAGTGAGGCATCATAGTCATGGCAAGAGCTGGAGCAAGAGACAGCAGTGCTACACACTTTTAAACAATCAGATTGTTTTTGCTATCCTGGGTCTTCTGTGGTTCCACGTGAATTTTAGAAATGTTATTTCCATTTTGATAGGGATAGCATTGAATCTGTAGATTGCTTTGAATAATAGGAATACCTTAACAGGAAGAGACTTCAAAAGGTTCGTGGAAATGGAATTAAAAGATAAAAATAAAAAATGTAAACTTTATTTCTCAACATAAGCTCCATCAAGTTCAAGACACTTTTGTAAGTGATGATACCAGCCATTTAGTCTAGCCCTAAAAACTAAGGATCCTATGAATTTAACCATTTCAATGCAATCTTTTTTACATTATTAACAACAGCAGCAAAAAAAAAAAAAGTGCCCTTTAAAGATTAAAGATTTTTAAACTTAGAAAACAAAAAGAAAAGTCAGAGGAGCCAAATTAGGACTGTGAAGTGGATGCTTAATAATTTCTCATTGAAACTCCTGCAAAATTGCCCTTGTTTGATGAGAGGAATGAGCAGGAGTGTTGTCATGGTGGTGAAATTTTCCTTGACATTTTTCTTCTAAAGCTTTAGCTAACTTTCTCAAAACACGCTCATCAGGAGCAAATGTTATTGTTCTTTGACCCTTAAGAACGTCAACAAGAAAAATGTCTTGAACATCCAAAAAAAAAAAAAAATGTTTCCATGATCCTTGCTCTTCACTGGTCTACTTTTGCTTTGACTGGACAACTTCCTCCTTTTAGTAGTGATTTCTTTGATTGTGCTTTGTCTTCAGGGTCATACTACCAAAGCCTTGTCTCATTTGTTGTTACAATTCTTTGAAGAAATGCCTCAGGATCTTGATCCCACTTGTTTAAAATGTCCACTGAATGTTTTACTGTTGTCTGTAGCCGGTCTGGGAGCAGCAGTTTTGGCACCCATAGAGTGGAACGTTTGCTCAACTTTAATTTTTCAGTCATAATTGTACAAGATGAACCAATTAAGATTTCTGTGGTGTTGGCTACTGTTTCTGCTGTTAATCATCAGTCCTTTTCAATTATGGCACACATAAGATTAATTTTTTCCCCACAAATTGATGTGAATGATCTGTCACTGCAGGCTTCATCTTCAATGTCATCTTATCCCTTCTTAGAATGAGTTATTCATTTGTAAGCTGCAAATTTCTTTGGGGCATTGTACCCATAAAATTCTTGTAAAGCGTCATGATTTTGCCACTCTCCCACTCAAGCTTCACCATAAATTTGATGTTCATTCTTGCTCCAATATTCACAGAACTCATGTTGCTCTGATAGGGGCTTTTTTCAAACTGATGTCCTATCCTTAGTGCCTCAAACTAGATCCTGTTCAGACATATTATAATAAGTTAGTAGGAGTTTATTTTGGTGCAAACAAATTTTGAATTCCATGCACAGATTTTTCATAATTCTCATTTTTCATGAACATTTTGAAGACCCTTCACATTAATTCTTCCCATCCATGAACACGGGGTATGTTTCCATTTGTTTGTGTCTTCTTTATTTTTTTTCATCAATGTTTTGTAGTTTTCAATGTACAACTTTCACTTTCTTAGTTAAGTTTATGCTTCTGTATTTTATTCTCTCTAATGCTGCTGTAATTAGAATTATTTTCCTAATTTCCCTTTCAAAAACTTCATTATTAGCATGTAAAAAATGCAGGCCGGGCGTGGTGGCTCACTCCTATAATCCCAGCACTTTGGGAGGCTGAGGCGGGTGGATCACCTGAGGTCAGGGGTTCGAAACCAGCCTGGCCAACATGGCAAAACCCCATCTCTACTAAAAATACAAAATTAGCTAGGTGTGGTGGCGCATGCCTGTAAGCCTAGCTACTTGGGAGGCTGAGGCAGGAGAATCACTTGAACCTGGGAGGAAGAGGTTGCAGTGAGCCGAAATCGCGCCATTGCACACCAGCCTGGGCAACAAGAGGGAAACTCCAACTCAAAAAAAAAAAAAAAAGCAACTGACTTTTGTATGTTGTTCTTTTAGCCTGCAACTTTACTGAATTAATTTAATAGTTTTAGCAATTATTTTTGTGGGAGTCTTTAAAATTTTTTACATATAAGATAATTTATATGCAAACAGACACAATTTGACTTCTTCTTTTCCAATTTTGATACACTTTACTTATTGTCCTTCACTAATTGCCCTGGCTTTGGCTTCCAACACTGTGTTGATTAGAAGTGGTGAAAGTAGGCACCCTTGTTTTGTTCCTCATCTTAGAGTAAACATGTTTGTTTTTTTACTATTTACTATAATGTTGTCTGTGGGTTTTTGATATATGACCTTTAATATGCTGAGGTAACTTCCCTCCATTCCCAGTTTTTTGAGAGTTTTTATCATGAAGCCATGTTGAATTTTATAAAACACTTCTTCAGCACCTATTGAGTTGTTCATATTATTTTTATTCTTTGTCAATGTGGTATATCACTTTTATTGAGTTGTGTATGTTCATCATTTTTGCACCCAAAGAATAAATCCTATCTGATAATGGTGTATGATCCTTTTAATTTGTTGCTGAATTCATTTTGCTAGTACATGATTAAGAATTTTTGCATTTATGTTCATCAGGAATATCTGCCTGTAGTTTTCTTTACTTATAGTGTCCTAATCTGGCTTGGTATCAGGGTAACAGTGACTTCATAAGATATATTTAGAAATGTTTTCTACTCTTCAAATTTTTGGAAAAGTTTGAGAATAATTGACACTAATTCTTCATTAATGTTTGGTTAAATTAATTAGTGAAGCCATCTGGTCCTGGGCTTTTCTTTGTTGGGAGGTTTTTTGGTTTTTTGTTAGTTTTTGTTTTTAATTACAGGTTCAATCTCCTTACTAGTTATGACTCTTTTCAGATTTTCTATTTCTTTATGATACAGTCTTGGTAAGTTGTATGCCTAGGAATTTATCTCTTTCTTCTAGGTTACTTATTTGTTGGTATATAATTGTGCATAGTAATCTCATGATTCTTTTTATTTCTGTAGCATCAATTATGTCTTCTCTTTCATTTCTGATTGTATTTATTTAAGTTTTCTTTTTTCGTAGTCTAAATGTTTGTTGATTTAGTTCATCTTTTCAAGAAATCAAATCAATTCTTAATTTTGACTTTTTCTATTGTTTTTCTATTCTCTATTTTATTTCTGCTGAAATCTTCATTATTCCCTTCTTTCTGCTAACTTTAAATTTAATTGTCTTTCTTTTTCCAATTCCTTGAGGTATAAAGTTACATTGTTTATGTGAGATTATTATTCTTTTTTTTTTTTTTTTTTCCTTTGAGACGGAGTCTTGCTTTATCACCCAGGCTGGAGTGCAGTGACGCCTCCCAGGTTCACACCATTCTCCTGCTTCAGCCTCCCGAGTAGCTGGGACTACAGGTACCCACCAACACCCCCATCTAATTTTTTTTTTTTTTTTTTTGGTATTTTTAGTAGAGACAGGGTTTCACTGTATTAGCCAGGATGGTCTCAATCTCCTGACCTCGTGATCCGCCCTCCTCGGTTTCCCAAAGTGCTGGGATTACAGGCATGAGCCACCACACCTGGCCTATTCTTTTTTAAATGTAGTCATTTATTGCTATAAACTTCCTTTTTTGTATTCCTTTTGCTGCATCCCTTTTGTTATACTGTGTTTACGATTTTATTTGTCTCAGGAGGTTTTCAAATTTCCTTTTTGATTTCTTTTTTGACTCATTGGTTCAGGAATATGTTATATAATTTCACCACACTTGTAAATTTTCTGGTTTTTCTTCTAATATTGATTTCTAGTTTCATTCCATTGTGGCCAGAAAATATACTTGGTATAATTTCAATCTTCTTAAATTTCTTTTGTGACCTAACATGATCTATCCTAGAGAATAGTCCATGCATACTATGGGAAAGTTTACATTCTGCTGTTGTTGAGTGGAATGATCTGTATATGTCTATTAAATCCATTTATTACATAGTGTTGTTCAAGTCAGTTGTTTCTTTATTGATTTTTTTCAATATAGATATTCTACCCATTATTGAAAGTGGAATATTGAAGTATTGCTTTTTTTTCATTTCAGCTAATGTTCATTTTATATATTTAAGTGATCTGATATTGATATCAGGTGCATATATTTTTAATTATTATATCTTCCTGGTAAGTGGATTATGTTATCATTATATAATGTCCTTCTTTGTCACTTGTGACAGTTTTTGACTTAAAAACCTGTTTTTTTCTGATGTAAGTATAATCACCCCTGCTCTCTCAGTTACCATTTCCATGGAATGTTCTTTTCCATCTCTTCACTTTTAGCCTAAGTGTGTTCCTAAATCTAAAGTGAGTCTCTTATACACAACATATAGTCATATCTTGCTTTTTTTTTTATCCATTCAGCTACTCTGTGACTTGATTGGAGAGTTTAAATCATTTGCATTTAAGATAATTATTAACAGGAAAGGACTTGTTATTGCCATTTAGTTGTTATCTCTCTTTTTGTCCTTTTGTCCATCTTTTCCTCTCTTGTTGTCTTTGTGTTTTATTGTTTGTTAATTTTATATTGCTATGCCTTGATTCTTTTCTTTTTCCTTTGTGTATTTTCTATAGGTTTGTTTTTTGTGGTTACCATGGGGCTTATATAAAATTCCTTGCAATAGTCTATTTCAAGTTGATAACAACTTAACTTCAGTCACATACAAACAAATATTCTACACTTTTACCTCTTCCTCCCCACCATTTTATGTTATTAATGTCACATTTAACATCTTTTTATATCATGTATCCATGAACATATTTTTATATTTATAGTTATTTTTAATACTCTTTTTAATTGTTTGTACAGAATCAAAAGTGACCTGCTCACCACTCTCAGAGTATTACATTACTATGTGTCTATATATTCATCATTACCTGTGAGTTTCATACTTTTATATGCTTTTGTGTTATCACCATTTCTTGTCAACTTAAAGAACTCCCCTTAACATTTCTTGTAAGGCAGGTTGGGTGGTGATGAACTCTCTTGGCTTGTTTTGGTCTGAGAAAGTCTTTATCTAGCTTTCATTTTTGAAGGGAATTTTTTTTCAGGTATACTATTCTTTGTTGGCAGGTTTTTTTCCCTTCATGTTGAATAAATCATCCTACTGCCTCTGGCATGCAAGATCTTGCTGAAAAATAAGCTCATGAGAGATCTTATAGAGGTTCCCCTGTACGTGACCAGTCGTTTTTTCTCTTTCTGCTTTCAAAATTCCCCTTTTATCATTAATTTTTGACACTTTCAATATAATAAATTTAAGTGTACATTTTTGGAATAATTTCACTTATTTGAAGTCTGTTAGGCCTCCTGATTCTAGATGTCCAATTCCTTTTTTAGAGTTGAGATGTTTTCAGGAACTATATATATATACATATATATTTTTTTGTTTTTGTTTTTTTTTTTGAGACGGAATCTTACTCTGTCACCAGGCTAGAGTGCAGTGGCACAATCTCAGCTCACTGCAACCTCTGCCTCCCGGGTTCAAGTGATTCCCCTGCCTCAGTCTCGCAAGTAGCTGGGACTACAGGCATGTGCCACCATGCCTGGCTAATTTTTTGTATTTTAGTAGAGACAGGGTTTCACCATGTTGGCCAAGATGGTATCGATCTCCTGACGTCGTGATTCACCCCGCTCAACTACAGGCATGAGCCACCATGCCCAGCCTAGAAACTATATTTTTAAAATAATATTTCTGTCCATTTTTTCCCTCTCCTTCTTTTTCTTCTCCGACTTCCATAATGCATATATTGGTCTACTTATGGTGTCCTTAAAGTCCCTTAAGCTTTTCTTACTCTTGCTTACTATTTCATTCTTTTTTTATTTTTGCTTCTCTGGGTAATTTCCAATGATCTCTCTTTGAGTTCACTAATTCTTCTGCTTGATCTGGTGTGTTGTTGAACCTCTAGTGTTCAGTTACATTCTTCAGCTCTAAAATTTCCGGTTTTTAAAATATATTTTCTATCTCTTTTTTGAAATTTTCACTTTGCTTATGCATTGTTCTCCTGACCTTGTTAAGTATCTTTATGATGGTTATGTTGAATATTCTGTGAGGTAGATCACATATCTCTGTTTTATTAGGGTCAGTTTCAGGAGGTTTATTTTGTTCCTTTGTTTGGGACATATTTTCCTATTTCTTCAAGTTTTCTTGGTACTTTGTGTTGGTTAACTGCATATTAGAGAAAACAGCTATGATGTGGTTTGGATGTGTCCCTGCCCAAATCTCATCTTGAATTGTTACTCCTATAATTCCCATGTGTTATGGGAGGGACCCAGTGAAAGATAATTGAATCATGGGGCGGTTTCCCCCATACTGTTCTCACGGTAGTGAATAAGTTTCATGAGATCTGATGATTTTGCAAAGGGGTTTCCCCCTTTGCTTGGCTCTCATTCTCTCTTGTCTGCCACCATGTAACATGTGCCTGCTGCCTTCCACTATGGTTTTGAGGCCTCCCCAGCCACGTGAAACTGTGAGTATATTAAGCCTCTTTTTCTTTATAAATTACCCAGTCTTAGGTTATGTCTTCATCAGCACAATGAAAATGGATGAATACAAGCTATCCCTCTGAGTCTTCACAGTATTGCCTCATGCAAGAAAAGACCCTCACTAATCATCCCAGCCAGAGATTTGGGGTGGGGGGGCGGGATTTCAAACTTTATTGCTAGTCCAACTACCTTCTTTGTTCTCAGTGACACCCTGGTGTCCAGAGTATGACAGGTTCCATCAGTACTCTGAGACAAGCAAGACTGAAGCCAGTCCCTCAGGCAGCATCTGGAAAAGTTGAATAGTTGGACTTTCTGTTCAATTCTTTCCTTCTTCAAAGAGAAGTGGGGATCTGAGTATGTTTTCGTTTGCTCTGTGCTGGGCTAAATGGAAGGCCTAGCCTACGGTGGCTGATAGTCCAAACTGCCATCTTTTTTCTCACTGGTCTCTGGGCAGTAAGAGTATGCTAGGTCTTGTTAGTGCTCCAAGACAGGCAGCACAGAAACCAGTCCTTTGCATGTTCCTAGAGAATTTGAGGTTGTACACATGGTCTAACTTCTTTATTCCTCAGGGAGAATCTGGAAGCCGAGATTTTTCATCCACTTTTTCTGTGCTGGACTAGGGGGACTGGCTATGGAGGCTGACAGTGCAAACTGCAATTTTTCTTTTTCACTGATTCCAAGGCAGCTAGAATACACTGGGTCCTGTCAGCACTTCAAGAGAGGCAAGACAAAAGCTAGTCTTCTGGGAAGCCCCCAGAAAAGTTAAGGTGTTGGGCAGGCAATCCAACTCTTGCTCTCCAAGGAGAAGCTGAGATCTTGGGGGTTTGCTCCAAGTTGCATGGTACTATGCCAGGAGGAGGGATTATGGTGAGAGAGTGTTTCAAATTTCCCTACCTACTTCAATGTGGCTAGTCTCATGTTCACTCTGGGTACTAGAGCCTCTCAACTAGTTTCTGGATTTCTCACAAAGGGAATTTGTCCATGTTTTATTGTTAAACCAGTGTAATTATGGGGGGAAAGGGAGTCCAGGGTTTCTTATTCTGCCATCTTGCTGATGTTACATTAATAATATACTCTTTATGGAAATATGTTGCTTGTTATCACTTTGATAATATACTCCTTATTCAATCTTTATCTCAGAGATTCTGAGAGCATAAATTAAGATGTTATTATTATTAAAGATGATGATGAATATAAAACACTCAGTACAGTATAGATCTCAGCATAGGTAGCTATATACTCCACCATTTTTATTTTTAAATAAAAATAACTAAGGATCAAAGAGGATAAATGTAAAATAAGCAGCACAATCTTCCCCACTGTCACCTATCATATATCATTAGACAAGCAAGCTACTCTAATGCTTGACCAAAGCATATTTGAGATCCCAGGAACAAATTTTATGCTCCCTCAAGCTTGTGATCATTTTTACCTTTTTTTTTTTTTTTTTTTGAGACAGAGTCTGGCTCTGTCACCCAGGCTGGAGTGCAGGGTGGTGATCTCAGCTCACAGCAGCCTCTGCCTCCCAGGCTCAAGCAATTCTCATGCCTCAGTCTCCTGAGCAGCTGGGATTACAGGCATGTGCGACCATGACTGGCTAATTTTTGCATTTTTTATAGACAGGGTTTTGCCATGTTGGTAAGGCTGGTCTTGAACTCCTGGCCTCAAGTGGTCAGCCTGCCTTGGCCTCCTAAAGTGCTGGGATTACAGGCATAAGCCACCACACCCAGCAATTTTTACCTTTTATTGATCCTTCCATAAGAGCAAAACGAAGAGAAGATAAAGTAAAAATAAAGTAGTCTATCAGTTTAGCCAAGGTAAAGCTCAGATAAGAATTCAAAGGTATGAAGATTATCTAATGATATTATTTATGCATTGCTGCATTACAAATTATGTAAACCAAGTAGCTTTAAACAACCCACATTTTATATCCTCATGTTTTCTACGAGTCAGGAATTCAGACACAGTTTAGCTGGGTTGTCTGCTTCAGGGTCTTTCACAAGCTGTAATCGTGGTCTTGGCCAGGCTTGTGGTCTCATCTGAAGGCTTGTCTGGGAAAGGATCTGCTTCCAAGTTCATGGGTTTGTTTGTGAAATTTAGTTTCTCATGGGTCGGTGGACTGAGCAATATGTTTCTAGCTGTTTGTTGGCTGAAAGTACACCTCACATCCTTGCTTCATTCACCTGTCTAACACGACAGCTGTCTTCATCACAGTGCACACTGAGAAAGCAATAAAGTCTGCTAGCAAGATGGAAGTAATAATTTTACATAACCTAATCACAGAAATGGCATTCTATGACTTTTTCCATATTCTGGTGGTTAGAAGCAAGTCACTAAGCAATCCTACACTCAATAGGAAGGGGTTGTATGAGGGTGACTATCAGGAGGCAGGAATCATTAGAAGACATCTTAGAATCTACCGACCACACTAGTCAATCTTAAACCATCCTGATAAGAAAGGAGGAGCCTGGAACAACTGGAGGTATTATTTTCTGGTTTCTTTTATGTTTTCTTGGAATCTTAACATGAGATTTTACTCATGAAATCAGCTTTTATTTAAGCAAATATATTCTGAGGATGTACGATGTCTCTAAAACTTCATGGGTAACAATAAGAAGACAAGAAGGAAATCAAAGTTATCCATGACTAGTTGAATCATGTAACTACATAAAATTGAGATTATATGAAATGTAGGTGGACCAATTTAAATAATGGATATGGCACACTTAATTCAACATACACGCATTGAGCATACTAGTTTGCATATAGTAGGGGTTTAATACCTGTTTGAAAATAAATCAAATAGAATTAGATTTAAATGTGTAGATTTCAATTATTCTTGCTGGTACTGTTCATGCTTTAACTTTTACCAAGAGCCATTCTGCCTCTGCTTACAAGTGTAATGAAGAATTTGTTCCTTAAAGCAGAAATGAAATCAGAATCCATGCTGTTATTTCTCTCTCCTAACAGAACTGTGCTTATAAACTGCAAAGGGCTGACTTCTCTCTAATCTGAGGGGATGTTCCAGCTCAACAAATGGAAAATAAAGCCATATTCAGTAGCAGCCAAGGAGTCAAGGAGCTGGTATGAATTTGTGCCGCCTTCATTACTTGCAATGCATGGCTGAGATCATTTGAAGTAATGCCTGGAAATCCTCTGCTAAAACAATCACAGGGTGGGTTGGTGGTTTATGCCTTTTGACCAGGTCCACAACCCACACCTGCCACTGTGAATTTTAATTGGATATTTTTCTAGAGAGGAGTTCCTATGCTAGTATTAAATCAGAAAAGAAGTAATTGCACACTGCATTATTCATCATTCCAGCATAAATGAAAATAGAATGGAATTAGAGTAGAAAACTACTTTTCAGCAGAAAGAGGGCTTGCATATGACTGATCTATCAACCACAAGACTTGGGCCCAGTATGACAAAAATGCTTCTTAAAAATGAGTAGAAAATGTACTTCAAAATCACTTTCTCTACAGTATCTGTGGAGAAAGATCTATTTGTATCTTTACAAATAAAGCAACTTGTTTTTCCTTGTATTGTCGATGATTCCAAACCATTACTTTTTTTCTTTTTATAAGATCAGGACAATATTAACCAAGCCAGTGAGAATATACATACAAATTATCTTACTTGAAGTCCTGACTAGTTCCACTATACTTTATGTCTTTGTGATCTGCTTCTTGTTTTGTCTTCAAGTTTCTTTTGCGTCTTTCCAGGCAAAGTGAAGCTTTAATTCACCCTGAGTCATGAATGTAATTATTCAGAGATGTAGGATTTTTTATTCTTAGAATTTTTCAGAGAAATACTTTGTCAATGAGGATATGAAACCATTCATACTTTTAAGAATCTAAGTGAAAAGGCAGGAGAATTTGACATTTCTTGAGCATCTACTATGCACCAACTATTTTTTGACATATTCTCTCATTGAATGATCAGTACTGCAAGTAAATATTATTATTCCAATTTGACAAATGAGAAAACGAAAACTAAGAAACTATAGAAAAGAAGAAAACTAATATCTGGGCAAGTGAATACTAACATGGGGTGCACTTTATGTGTACAAATTCATTTAAACTTTACATATGTCCAACCTCATGTTATAGTTAAACAAACAAGCTCAGAGATGTTAAATAATCTGCATAGTACTATACACCTAGTAAGCAGTTAAGTTGACTTGGAACCCATGTGCATCAGATTCCTTGTATTTTTCCCAATTATGTCATAATGACTCAGCGTAATATTCCTTAAATGTAGCTTTTAGCAAAGGCACTGCGAAATTCAGATGGCTTTCTGCCAGCGCAAATAAAGAAGTTTGCTATTTATAAAACTGTTGTGTTCTTGAGCAGGGAAAGCCATCTGAGAACATCTCCAGAATTAAATTTGTCTGTAATTAAATAAATAAAATGCATAAGACTAAATATTAGAGGCATCTTCCTTGGCTCAATTGTATGTTCCAACACAGGCTAAGTCACCAAATCTACTCATTATAATTTCTTTTTCCTTTTTTTGGTTTAACATTTATTATGGCATTATAATTAGCTCTTAACTCATCTTCCTCTTGTTCTAGACTGGGAGTTCCTTGAGAGTAGATAGATACCTTGATATATTGCAGGCATCTAATACTTGCCGCTTAGTATATGTTCAATAAAAAGTGGAAGGATGAATGAATGGATAAATGAGCTAGTTAATGAACAAACACCTGAAACAACAGGATACCATGCCAGACTGACTATGTAGTTCTAGCAAACTCTAGAATACTCCCATACATAGCCTTCACTCTGAAGGTGATGTGATAACCCCAGGCTGCTTTGGGTTGTAGATTTAGCTTGGCAGATACTTACCCAGTATTGAACTTAGTTGAGTGTTATTCATCTCTGCCCCACCACTATCTCCAATAGCTGATAGACTAAGGTTCCTCTAACTTTGTGATTCTCCATTGTATTCTCCCCAATTTTCTTTCATTCCTCCCTTCTAAACACATTTTATTTTGGTGTTTGCAAAAATTTGGATGTGGGCTTTCCTTCTGCTCACTAGAATGTCTACAGATGACATGTAGTGGTTTAAGAGCACAAGCTTCAGATCAGACTAAGTTCAAACCCAACTACTACTTATGTATCAGCATTCCACCTTCATAAACCTACTTGATATGTGTAAGTCTCAGTTTCTGGTATGCAAAATGGGGATAATAGAAGTACCTACTTCAGAGTTTTTATAGAAATTATATTAGATCATGTGCCAAATGTAGTAAGCATAGCTCTTGATAGCTATATTTTAAATAATAGGATGAGAGTCAAAAAGTGTCTTTTCATTTGGCTGTTCAGTTTACAAAACCAAAAGAAAGAGATCTCCTTTATCTTCCTAAGGACATGTGAATTGAGTAGTCTAGTTATGAAGACGGGATGGTTTGGCCTAGCTTTATCTCTAGGGCCTATCCTGGCAATGGTGCTGAGATGTTTTGATTGTCAGCCTTGGTCATGTGACTTCCTCAATGGGCTGGGCTGGGTAAGGGAATGGGGTTAACTTCTTACCCAAACCATGTGGACTGAGAGTGAGAGGGGAGAGATTCACTAAAGGAAAATCAGAGTGCTTTAACCAGAAAAAGCTTTAAAGGGTGCTATGAATCTCTAAAGAACTAAACCAATTGTGGATAACCAATGTAGGATGATATTACTAAACAAGAGAAATAAAACAACCTCCAAATGCCTGCTTTCTCCTATTTGAAACCAAAATGTGGAGATAAACCAGAGAAACAGGTCAATTAAGGCCTATTCTGATTTAATTTAATTGGAGCAACAAAGGAATAATTATTGCTCTAGAGGCCATGAAGTTGAGTTTAAGCATAGCCAATGAAATAGACATAAGCAAAATAGTTGCAAGAGAAGAATTAGAATGTTCCCAACATAAAGAAAAGGTCAGTGTTAGAGGTGATAGATATCGCAATTACCCTGATTTGCTCATTACACGTTGTACGTATGTGATAGAATATCACATGTATTCTCCAAGTTTGCACAACTATTACATATCGCTTTAAAAAAGCAAATATGTATGTAGGTTAATCAGGGTTTCCTTTAACAGACAATTTGGCTAAACAAGAATTTCTTTGTAGAATTCTTTCTTCCTCTCTCAAAAATTGTCCAGATACTTACTTCAAACTTTCCTCCTTGCCTAGAGATGTACAGCTTTGAAAGACATGTCTCCTAAAATTTAAACCATTCACTTATCCCTATGGGAAATACGTGAGTAAAAGGACTGAAGTTATGCAAATAAAAGGATCGGTTTTTCTAAGCCTGTTTTTCCTTTTCATATTTGAATAAGACCTCATGTATTCTCTTCTCTCAGGAAATAATGTGTAAAAATAATAAAATTCAGAAGGGCATAAGTTGACAATACTTTCTCATGCAACTGTGTCCCATAAGCTTTTCTAGACATAAAATTAAGTTCTGTTGACAGCAAGTTCCAAATATTGCTTAAATCAGGCCACTTTGTCCTAGAGTCGTTGACCCCATAGCTCTGTGTGTGTGTGTGTGTGTGTGTGTGTGTGTGTGTGTGTGTGTGTGTGTCTTTTTTCTCTTCCCTTACATTTCTCCTCATAAGGAATTTTCTCTTTTTATAGTCATTTACCAACAGGGTCCTCAAACATGGAAGAATGAACACAACATTTAGACAATATAATTTTGTTTCTTAAATGGAATGTCCAATATACAAGCAAGTTTAAAAATGTTCACATGAAAAGACAAAATAAGCAAATGTGGAAGGTAAGTATGGAAGTCACAAAACATTCCCTTTCTTTTCTTTTGTTCTTAAAGTAAACATGCATTTATACATTACAAATTAAAAGGACATTATGGGAAGATCATTAAAAAGGTTATGAAATATGAAAATCTCAAGTAATAAATAATGAAAATAATTAAATAAATGACCAGTGAATTTCTCAACCTCTAAGCCAAGTGCTATATTCAAGATCTCAAGTTAACAGACACCGTAGAAACTGATAAACTGATACTGAGCTACACACGCAAAGAAACATTGTTTAATTCTGTTGCATTCTTAAAACATAAATATTTGAGTGGGCAGTGTATCAGATAAGTACCATGAAACATGACTTTCATTTATTATTAACCTAAGTAAATAAACTCTGGAGTAGCACATGACAAGAAAGGAAAACCTGGAACCAATTAGAGATGTTCCAAGTTCTAAGTTAGACCTGTTTTCCCTGGAAGGTCTATAAGCCTACAGCCACATTACTTCCAAGATGCCTCAAATTAAACAATGTCACATTAAATGAAAATATCACTGGATATTGTGAAATACTTTTGGGTAAATGTTTTATGAAAACACACCTCAATCATTAAACTTGACAGACAGACCAAGCCCATTATTAAACAAAAATATATCTGTATCTCTCAAGAAATCATGACTCATTAATAGCACTTTACTCATGTTGATAGCTTCCTTCCAAGTTCCAAAAGCAAATATTATCACCATGAATGTTATCATGGAAATGCTTTTGTCATTGGATTACAAGTTGCCTGCTTCCTTAAAACCTGATTTTATTCCTTTTTTACAGTCTTTTAAAAAGCCTCACTTACTTATTTTATAGTGTATAATATGCTTATATATAGCAATAAGTTGAAAAAGAATCCCACTGAGATTTAATTCAGGGTCACTCAATAATCCCCCATTCACCAGTATGACATTCATAGAGCCTGTTACTTGTAAATCAACTCCAGTTAGCATCTTCTCCAAAAAG
This sequence comes from Homo sapiens, assembly GCF_000001405.40. NCBI lineage: Eukaryota > Metazoa > Chordata > Mammalia > Primates > Hominidae > Homo > Homo sapiens. The sequence goes on along the minus strand of NC_000008.11, from coordinate 118,878,151 downwards.
ACTTCCATGAGCACACTCCTTACCACCAAAGTTATTTTCAAGAACTCCAGTATTTTGTGCAATGAGATAAAGTGCCAATAAATGTATAATTAGGGAATCACTCTCTCCTCTATACCACCTATTCAACCTCTTATCATTATACTTGGCACAGTGCATTATAGTTGTTTGTTTAATACCAGTCTGTATAATGAACCTCTGGGTTACCTGAATATAAAGCCTCGTTATATTCATTTTTGAATCTAGTAGTGGATGTTGCCTTAGCCTTGTCCCCTTTATGGAGCCAATGCACTTATCTCGCAGTTGTGAGCTTGGCTGCTAACGGCCCATAATTATCTGTCTTTGGCCAACAGGAGCTCAGGAATGCCTAACAGGGGATCCCTCATCAAATGACTAAATGATTCAAGGGCATAAAGGCCTAGCCTCTTGACTTGGAGTGAGATAAGCCTGTGGTGTTGTTCACAGAGGTTCTCTGGTGTTGGTCCAGGTTCTCTGGAGATTAGGCTGAGGTTAGACTTAGTGAAACCCACATCTCTGCTTAGCTTCTTCCTCTATCCTAATCTGCTTCCTTAGAAGTTTATCCTGAAAACACTTCATCAGTGAAGTGCTTGCTAAGAACCCCCAGTTCCCACTGTGCTTTTAGGAAATCTGACCTAAGACACACCTCTAAGTGCACTGATTTGTGTGAACAAATATTCAGTTTCTCCTGTTAACCTTTGAAATTCATAAGAACAGAAATGATGATTTATTTTTCTCTTCATATCCAGTACCTAATTCAGCACCTGATAGATAGTAAACTCTCAAAAATTTTACAAATTTGAATTAATATGTGTGTACATTTACCTCATTCATTATCTTCATTTTGTACTAAATAAGGAAATGGTAGGAAAAGAAAGAGATGGATCTAAAGATTATCCTTGCCATTATAATTTAATTCCAAGCTTTCTCCAAAACCAAAAGGATATGAATTGTTGGTTGAAGTAGTAAGGTCTGAATTAAAGAGGGGTGAAGAATCCCTTCCCCTATCTTCTATGCCTACAATAATGGAGATAATTAAAAATAGTATCTCATCAGTTGAACAGATTCATTAACAGTAGCTAATGGTCATATACGAGTACTCAATTTTCTCTTTTTCTCTTTTTCAACTTCCCCTGAGTATATTTTCCATTCCTCACTTTCGTTGTACTCCCATATCAAATCAGCATTAGGTTTGTAAATGTCAAGCCAACTCCAGGAAATAAAGATGGGGCATTTTCTCAGTAGCAGTACAGTATATCACCGGAGATTAAAACAAATGTGGAGCTCAGGTCTCTATTGTATCCTTTGCAAATGATCCTATTTCTCTTCACTAAGCAAGATAGATCAGATTCCACGAAAGGAATTAACAAGTTCATCTAGAAGGACAAGAACTCCTACATTAATCAAAAGCATGCGAATATATCTAAATTAATCTGAAGGCACAAGTTTATCCATCAGTGTTTCTGCTGTTGCCTATGTCTTACTAGAAAAGTTGCAGGATTTCCATGATTAAAAAATGGAACAATATTCTCAGTATTCTAATTATAATTTCTGTTACTTACTGATCATCCTAAAGTTTGGCTAAGAAAGCATAAAAATAATTGACTCTTCACAGATACATTTTGTTTGGGGGGTAGAGAGAGACTTCTGATGAGAAAGGTTCATTAGGTTTCTATTACTCTAACTTGTATCAAACAGGCAAGATCCATCCCTGAACACAAAAACAAAATAACTCAAATACTGTCTCTGAGGGGATTAAGTATTTGGGAACGTTTGTATTTGTCAGTGCTCCTCTGTGAACTTCCAGCCACCAATTATATTTTGATTGCAGAGTTATGAACAAAACTCCTTATATGAAGATTAGGGGTGAGGGTATAATAGGCGAACAGGAATTCTAAAGAAAACTGGTGTTTAATCTCAAATCAGTTGCCATTTAACCCAAGTAAACTGCTGGGAATGTGGAGTCATTTTTTCATCTTCCTGTCTTAGTCTGTTTGGGCTGCTATAACAAAATAGGACAGACTGGGTTGCTTAAACAACAAGCATTTATTTCTCATGATTCTGGAGGCCAGGAAGTCCAAAATCAAGATGCTGGTAGATCCCATGCTTGGTAAGAGACCTCTTCTTTCTTGCTGTATCTTCACATGGTTGAGTGAGGGATCATATCACCTGTGTCTTTTCCTATAAGAGCACTGATCCAATTCATGAGACCTCCACCCTCACGACCTCAGGCCCCATCTCCAAATATTGTAACATTGGGATTAGGGTTTCAACATATTAATATAAACGGGGTAAAATCGGTCCATTGCAACAATCTTTACAATGGCCTTAAGGGGGTATATTTTTATCTTTATTTTACAACTGTTAAAACTTGGTTTTACAGATATCAAATGATTTTACAAAGTCACATAGCTACTAAATTGTATAGCTGGTATTTAAACCAAGGGCTCTGTGCTCCAAAGTCCACCATCTTTTGACTCCATAACTCTGTAACAATTTAACTAGTACAACTGACCTTTGAACAATGTGGGACTTAGAGGCATCAAAACCCCATGCACAAAAATCTGTGTATAACTTTTGACGCCTTCCAAACCTAACTATTAATAGCCCACTGTTGACTGAAAGCCTTATCAATAACATAAAGTTGATTAACATTTATTTTGTATGTTATATGTATTATATACTGTATTGTTACAATATATATGCTAGAGAAAATAAAATGTTATTTAAAAAATCATAAGGAAAAGAAAATATATTTACTATGCATTAAGTGTAGGTGGATTATCATAAAGGTCTTCATCCTCATCATCTTTATAAGTTGAGTAGGCTGAGATGGAGGAGGAAGAGGAAGGATCATTCTTTCTGTCTCAGAGGCGGCAGAGGAGGAAGAGGTGGAGAGGAGGCAAGAGAAGCAGGCACACTTGGAGTTAATTTTTATTGAAAAAAAAATGCACATAACTGAACCCTGCAATTCAAACCTGCATTGTTCAAGGATCAACTATATTTATGAACATCTATTTTTTGCTGAGCTCTCAATATCTCTGACTTAGGAACTAAAAGAGAAGGTTTCTTTTGGACACTTACTTTTTTCTTAAACCATTTTTATAATCTCACCAACCTTCTGCTATATTACCTGCTAACTAGCAACTAATAAAAGATTTGTTTTAAAAAGCAATTCTTTATCCTGATTAAGAGTGGATGCAGTCTTCTTTAAGGTTAACAAAATGAGTTAGTAAAATTCAGTGGCTGCTTTGAAGGCATGCAAAATCTTTGGAGTATGTCAGCAAATGAAGAAAAGAAATATTGGATTAAGCAAAATAATCGGTACTCTCAATTTTGCAGCCAAATGCCGAAAGCCAACTTAGTATGTTCATAGCTCCATGGCCTTCCAAACTCTGGGGAAATTTCAAAATTACTGCCTAATCCTCTGAGTCAGGAAGAAATGAGGACAGGCTGGGTTCTATTCTCAATGGAGCTGGGGAGAAAACTAAGCTCCTGTCTGGTTTCTTTATGAAATGGGGTACAAAGTTGTCTACTAAGAGTGAAAGGTGTGAGATAAAGATGGGTGACTTAAAGAGAGTTGTAAGCTAAAACTCACTGTCTTGAAGAATGGGAGGAAAGATTGACAGATGACAGTTATTAGAATGGAAGCTCTATGAGATCAAGGAATTTTTCTCCCCTGTGTCTCCTTGGTGTTTAGTGCTTCATAGGTGCCCAATAAATATTTGCAGAATGAGCAACCTCAGGATAAATTATTGTTTTCATTTTATAGTATCTAAAATATGATGTGGAAATAAGTTAAATCTATTAACATTATTATAATGAAATTGCTAACATCTCATACCATATCATCTCTCTCTCCTGTTTCCTATAATGCTACCTAAATAGTCCTTGCGAAGTTGGGATCTGGATAAAATGACTACCAAGGAGGGATTAAAAGTACAAAGGTTTAGTCTGAAAATTGCCTGTACAAGATGGGTCTAGGTCATGTTCCCAGGCTTTACTTTGGTTATGGTGAAGTGGTTTGCGAGTATTGTGAGATGAGTCTGAGGTTTTTGGGGAACACTGCTAGTCACAGATACTTTCTTACCTCTCCCCTTTTTCCTTTTAATTAAAACTGTTATTTCAGATTAAGTGGGCACATGTTCAGGTTTGGTACCTGGGTATGTGCTGAGATTTGTGGTACGATTGATCCTGTCACCCAGGGAGTGAGCATAGTACTCAATAGTTATTTTTTTCAATGCTTGCTCCTCTCCCTCCCCTCTAGCAGTGCCATGTCTATTGTTGTCATTTTTATGTCCATGAGTACCGATGTTTAGCTCCCATTTAAAAGTGAGAGCATGTGGTATTTGGCTTTCTGTTTCTGTGTTAATCCACTTAGGATAATGGCCTCCAGTTACATCCATCTTGCTGCAAGGGACATGATTTTGCTCTTTTATATGGCTGCAGAGTATTCCATGGTGTATACGTACCACATTTTCTTTATCCAATTCACTATTGATGGGCACCTAGGTTGAATTAATGTCTTTGCTACTGTGAATATTTCTGTGATTAATGTACAACTGCATGTGTCTTTTTGGTAGAACAATTTATTTTATTTTTGATATATACCCAATAATGGGATTGTTGGGCCTAATGGTAGTTCTGCTTTAAGTTCCTTGAGAAATTTCTAAACGGTTTTCCACAGTGGCTGAACTAATATACATTCCCACCAACAGTGTTTGAGTGTTCCCTTTTTTTCTGCAGCTTCACCAGCATCTGCTGTTTTCTGACTTTTTAATTATAGCCATCCTGAATATGCTCCATCGTCAAGAGCCAGAATCTCTCAAATGCAGCACCGTCTAGTCTTTTCTTCGCCCCCTAGAGGAGCTTCTGCCAAGGCTACGGAAAGTTGTCCTATTTTCCTGCCGATAGCTTCCCATCAGTTTTGACACACTGTTTTGCAGAAAGTTCTAAATTGCTGTAGGACAAGCAGTACTGTTGGGAGGTTTATAAGTGCTCACCTGGCCTAGATATGTCACATCACGTTTTCTTCAGGCTTGGGGTCTACTTTCTCCTCAGTCCCCCATCTCATCAGCTTATCATGACCATGGCTGCTTTAGTGCACCAGTTTCCTATGTGTTTGGCTCCAGAATAGAAGAAGGGGAAATAGCAGTATTACCCTTCCTTTATTCTTGGTGTGTTGGTCAAGTTTAAGCTTTCCACATTTACTTGCAAATCCGACAAAGCACTTTTAATCTCCATATGAAAGCCAATGTTTAATGCAAAGACTTATTAAATCTGTGTAAAATATACAAATGAGTAAATTATTGCTAATGACATGACTTTCTATGTTCTTCAAAGCTGAACCAGGGAAAGTTTCTTTCATTTTAAATAAGAAATTCATTTTCCACTATCCAGAATACCTCACTAGTCCATTTCAGGTTTTCAGTATAATACAGATCTGTCTACATTTACCAAATGAAAGACTCAGCTGCAAGAAAAATGAGAAAATAGCAAGACTGCATTTCAAAGTAACATGGGAAAGCCATTACACCAAAATTCATTTGAAACAAGTTACTCCTGGACAGTGTGAGTTAAGTGTGATTACTAGTTCTGGAAATCCATTATGAAACAGATAAAGTTAAACATTGCCCTGGATAATTGATGCATTGAGTTGCATTCATTTATCTATTGAATAGCAAATAGAGCTCAGTTTTGGTAAGAGAGGTTATCTGGGAGAAGATTTTATCTTAAGGACATAGGTAAGAACAAGTTAGGTTAAGAAATTAAAAGTACAGAGTAGGAAATTTATACAATCATTTAGAATATGGTGGATTGGTGGTATATCAGTTTAACTCAGTTGGAACTATGTTTCGTAAAATTTCTTCCCTGTATAGTTCTTGTTAATAGGAAGCATCAGCCATGTTCTTTTTGCACTCTGAAGGTCAAAGCAAGCATGAGGCCCCCTGCAGTGTATGCACATTGTTGGTTATTGAGGGCTCACTACCTTGCAATGGCATCCCTCCTGCAGTTCCTATAGCTCCTGCCAGTCCTCATTCACGGCTGGCTCCTGTGCTAGGTGCAGATTTCGCTCTATGATGAAGAGCACTAGGTTCTTTTGCAGAATATCCCCATCATCCACATGTAAAGACAGTGAGAGATTATCCCTGATTTAACCTGTCCTCACAGGCTCCAGCTTCCCAGGTTCCCATTTGTTATGGCTTTCATCACTTCATACGCATCCTGCCTCTCAGCCTCCTGCCTGTGGATTTCTGTCTCCACCACCAAGCCCAGAAGAAAATGGTTTAACTATGTTCCATAACTGTGTAAGGTCAGGCACATCCATAATATATGAATGTATATTTCATATAGGTTGTGTTTCTCTGATCAAACCCTGACTGAAATACAGAGTGAGGTTATTAGAGTGGGAAAAATTGGGATGACAATTAAAGAAAGCATTTTTCATTTCAGAGAAGAAAGACAATGCCTTTGGCTAAGCTACTGTTGCTGCAATGTTCTCTGAAATGTTCCACAAAGGTTAAATCAGCCATATTTAAGAACTCCAGGTATATACTGTGGATGAAACAATTTACTAACAAACTATTTTCTTGAGGTTCGGTGTCTCCATATAGCTTTATCCTATTTTTGAAGTTATTAGTTACTCAATTTTAAATAATACACAGTAGTTGAGTGACCGTTGTATATTTATGGCTAACATTTCAAATGTATTTCCTGGTTGACATTATCTAGGTGACAGTATCATTCTTAGTACTGATGTTCAACCTTTAAAATGTTGCTTGCTATATCACTTTGATGCAAATTTTTATCTGTGGCCTGATTTTTTTTTCTCAAAACAATTCTAAGAAATCAGAAAAGAGCCAGCAAGTAATTGGGGTTTGGCATGTAAAAAGAAAACAAACATTCCTAGAGCCCATTCTATCACATTTGCACTATATAACTTCAGCTAATTCTCACAAACCCTCTGTGGTTAGAATTAATATCCCTATTTTAAAATTAAGAAAACTGACAGAGAATGAAAGTTAACATCTTATACTTAATAAATGGCTGTAAATCAAGTTTCTTACAACCCCAAAGCCCAGGCTCTTTCTGCTACCTGGTGCTTCTTCAAGGCAAGGGAAACTTGTATTTCTGAAGTTTGGCTAATCAGGCTTACAGCTTTCTGTTTTTACATCCTTCTCACCTATGGCTTTGCTGTTACTTCACTCCAGATAAATAAATAGGCTTAATTCTGCCTCTGTATTGGAAAAAATTCTCTTTCTAGCTTGAAGAAAGTTATGGAGGCCTATACTCAAAGGCTCAGCAAAGGTCATTGTTGATGTTAGATGCACTGTGACTTTCTCTTCTGTTTTCTATAACCAGGTCTTACTTTACTTTATCTCAAACCTTCACTTTATACTCAAGATTTATTAATTGAAAACCTGTCTCATTATTTATTCTATAAGCACTGAGGGTTCAGTATGGGCCAGACATAACCTTAATATTAGGGTTAATGAATAATGCATGGAATCTATTCACAATAAGATAATATTTCTAGTATAAGAGATAACCATGTAAAATAAAACTTTTAGCAAGATACAATAGTACATAACTTGAGAATGTGCAAGGACAGTAGGGACCAACTCTACTGGGAGAATGAGCAAGGTAGGCTTCAGAAAGGAAGTACTGCTTGAGTTAAGACTTGAAGGACGAGGAAGATTTTTCAAGGTGAAAGTTTTATAGTCAGAGGTAATAGCATGTGCAAAAAGATAGTGGCATAAAGTAGCGTTACTCTTTTGGAATTATAATTACTCAATGTATTGGAATATAGAGAATGAGAAGGGAAACTGGGCAATAAGGCTCATGGAGAAGGCATAAACTAGACCATGAATGACTGTTTGGGTCATGCTGAAGAATTTGGACTTTCATCCTGAGGACAATGGAGGTCATTACAATGTTTAAATAGAGGAGGAGTGTAATTACATGTGCAAGTCTGACATCTGTGTGTGAAGAATGAATTGGAAGGGGGGCCAAAGTTGACCCTGGAGTGGCTTCTGTTTTCTCAACCCTAGTCTTTTAGTTCTGGGACTCTGAGCTAGCCCAGGCCACGAGGAACCCATCCCTTTCTACCTGCTGCCTTTCTGGAAGTCAAGGCCCTTCTTCCTTGCCTGCCATCTATTGTACACTACAGCAAATGGATACTTTGCTCTCCTATCTATTGTGTTCTCTATCTGACCCTCACTGCCAGATCTCTGGGTCACAACTCATCTTCCCTCCACCGTATATGCTACTGATTGGGCCTCCATTATTACCTATGCTATCCTTGTGGATCTTATTGATTTCTTAATCCCAACCATTCTCCATTTGTCCCACTCCAGCTCGTCTAAATGTCTAGGGTTAGGCAGATGTTTTCCTTCAATAACTCTGAATTCTAAGTGACCAGTCCTATCAGTTAATCTCAATCTTGGCTAATTTCACATATATGTGAAATTGGGCTGAATACAGTGCTGGTCTTGTAATTTTGATACTGGACATGGGTAATGAGAATATGCAAAAAATCCAATTAAAGCTACATTTTTAAAATTCCACATATCAACTATATTGTTAATTCTTTAAAGAAAGTCTTTGGCTAGCTACCACCTTGTGACTTTAAGTTCTTCCTTAAAATTGAGTGAAGCCATAATACTATCAATGGAAAAACTTTAATAACCTTTAGAACCAGAAAAAGTTGAGGTGCATTATACATTTAGAAAACTAAGAAGATAAGAGGCAAGCAGGACCGTATGATAAGGAGCTAATGTCTGACAGCTGAACAGCAGTAACAGAAAACAATGGAGAAAATTTTTATCTCTTGGTAATCGGCGCTTTCTGATAGTAAACTATTTTCAGTATATTTAACATGTCTGAAAAGTGTTACATTTTTAATATGTTACATAAATAAAAAAATTTAAAGATGCAAAAGAAAGAATCAAACGCTAGACTACAAAACTTCAGGGAATCATCTAAGCACCAGAAAGGAAGTATGATACTGTAATGAAAAAAAATAAAAAGTCCCCAACGTATAATACCTAGAATTTTCATTTCAGCAATTGTCCCTCAATATTGAGACCCTTTGTCTGTTCCAGAGGGGTAATGGCAGGTAGAATTTACCTAAAATCCCCTCAAGTTTCCAGTTCTTCTGGTCACTTCCTCCTCAAAATTCTTTCTGTTACTAATTAATGGCACGTTGTTATGGCCTCTGTGTAACTTTGAACAGAAAGAGTCATTTCCCAATGGGTTGTAAAAATGAATGAGGTGTGGAGGGAAGTTATACTTTATACATTAGTAGAGTCACAGAATTTTAGTGACATTCAAGATTAATTTCCTATCTTTTACAAACAAGTGAATTGAAAATTGGAGAAGTTAAGTTGTATTAATTAGGGTGAAAAGTGGTTCCAGGTTTCATAGGAGCATTAGGTTTACATAATTTTGAGAACCTTCTTTAAAAAAATAACACAAAATCCCGTTCCTTAAAATGTTTTAAGTACAGTTGATTAAAAACAAATTTTAAAATCCCCAAAAACTAATGTTCTCTGTGTATATGGTAATAGTAATTATTAATTAATAAAAGACAAAGACCACATAAACTTGAAATAGTTGGGTTAAAATTTCAAGAGCTTTTAAATAAATGATTCAATGGTATTACACGAATTGCAAACAAACAAACAAAAATCACATACAAGGCTTTGGGTGCAGCTTGTGAAATTGAGGGTTTAATATTCTAACCCAAACTGAGTGAGATAAAACCCAATTTGAATAAGTAAAAGCCAAGTAAAGGTTGAATGACCCGGTCACAGGAAATGCAGGGAGGCAGAGGGGCATCAGGAACAACTAGAACGAGAAACATGGACCTCCCCAGGACTGTGCCTGCAACTGTTTCTCTCTGCGTGTTGGTTTTATTCCCTTTCACTGCAGACCAGCATTCTTCAGACTCAGGGAACCATGGCCACTGGTTCATAAGTTATGCACCATAAAGCTTCAGCCAATGCAGGAAAGCTCTCACTGGGCCAAGCCAAATCCTAGCGAAGGACCTTAATTGGTCTAGCTTAGATCCAAGTCAACTATTGCTAAAGGAGTAGAGTCTAATAAAAATATGGAGCCACCATTGGCACATGGTCAATGCAGTAAAGGACCCAGCTAAGAAGAATCTGCAAAGACAAAACAACTAACACGTAATTGATTTACTCAGAATGGAACAGCTAATAAGCAGTAGGTTCAGGATCACAATCTTAGTACAGTACAAAGTTCTTTCTCTGAAAGTGACAGCAGATACTAAATAATTTAATTTTCCTGGCTCAGCATTTTTGTGTTTTCTTAATCACAGAAAATTATCAAAGTACCAAAACAGACAAGATCAAACACAAAATAATTTAGTTTTTTCATTCAGAAACACTTAAATGTCCTTCTAAGTGATCATTACGCTTATATATCAATTTTCATTAGATATTTATTAATGAAAAATATAGGACATATGGATTAGGTGTGCATTATACATTAATGATAATTCAAAACTGTCCTTTTGCTATTCTGATTCTATTTATTTTATTATTGTCTGTTTATAATAGATATAGAATGCACAAAAAAGTGGTAGTTGTTCATGCCCTGAGATAAACTGATTATTTTATAGTGCTTTGATATGTAAATAGCATCACTACAAGCTATCACTTATTACAGCCACATTTTTTTAAAACAAATAGCATATTGCTAAATATTTCAGACCAAAAAGTTCCTGCATAAGGAAGTTGGTATTGATTTGCATTTTCTAGTTAAGTAATTCTCTATTGATTTATATTTCTTTGCCCTAAACAAAGTGCTTCAATCACTGGAAACATTAAGAGGAATTGAAAATGGGGAATTTTGAAAAAATATGTCGTAATAGAAAGAAAACTCCAAGCCTCCCTTTTTTCTCTCTCAACTCAGCTTAGTAGCATTTTTAAAATGTCATTTCAATTTTTCAACTCACCAACACTCATTGTTTTAGAACAGCTCCAGGAATTCCTCCCCAGTTGGATACATGATGTAAGTTGAATGAATTGCTGGAAAGATTTTACATAGTGCCTAAATGATGCCACTCTGCTTGAGATGACAGAAAATGTAAACAAAAACAGAGCTTTGCAAATAATTAATGAATTTCAGCTTCAGCTCCCTTTTACCAGGGAGGCCTTCTCTGGGTTAAACTCAGCCTCATGATCTGTTAAGGGCATGACCAAGGCTATACTTGTTCTACCTAGCGATTGGCAAGAGCAGAAAAAGCCTCAACTCAGAAATGGGCTTCAGGAGTGCAGAAATTTGAGAGTCAATGAAGGATTGTGAACATCACCAAAATCAAGGCATATGAATTATTTTCTAAATGAGTAAGAACAAAATCTGTTAATGTTCATTTTCAATTTCCTTCACATAGACTAAATCCTGCGGAGCAGGCTCACAGCACAGGGCTGCTTACGGAGAAGACAAGACGACAGGATGCACGAGGAGAGTGTGTGACAATGTGATTCCCCAGCAGATGACCTACAGTAATGACACAGTACAGAGGGTGTCCAAAGAAACATTGTAAGGGGCCCATGGGGCTGTGAAGCATTGAGAAATCTGAGCTGAGCTCTCACCAGCCTGGTAAATTCCACTGGCACCAAGATGCTGAGCCAATTTAAATGCAAAGCAAAAAACTTGCAATGTTTGCCAGACTCTTTAAAATGTAATTATAGCAACCCATTCAAGGATCAGTTTAACGTATAAGCAACTTGGAGAAGACTGCTGATCCCATTCAAACATTTTACATTCCACATACCTACGCAATGACATTACCTGGAGGATGTACTTTCTTAATTAAAAAAAAAAGTTTTCCCCTCACATTTTGAAAAGTATGTTGTTATTAAATGGATTTGTATCTTTAATTTTTGAATTCTTCAATTTTCTCGACCGATATTGTACTAAGTGATGGTACTGTAGAATAATATCTCAGGTATGCTTAGTGCTACACAGTAAGTCTCCATTCTCCCCCTGCCTTCTCCCCCAACCCTGCTGCAAAACCAACCTGGTAATTTCTGCCCATCTCAGCCTTTATCTGTGCCCAGGGAGAATGGCTTCTACCAACTGTGTCACCTAAGCTCCCTTGCTTTCTGGCTTCCAGTTGGGTTTGGCCAGTGGAAGGCACTGAAATGAAGTCAGATAACTGAAGGAGAGAGAGATTGAGGTATTATTAGGCCCTACTCTCTTGCAACAGGGTGGCACTTTAGCAGGAGTTGTGTTCCTCTGGAGTGGGTATATCAGATGGCCTCTGTCACATGGCTGCAGCTCTCTCCAAATGCCAGCGGCTGCCTCCTGCCCTTGCCTGTGTTGGCCTTGTTATGGTAATGACTTTCTGTCATTGTTAGTTTCAGAAGGCTTTGCCAATTCTTGAATTCCTTAACTCCTCCCATACCTTAGTACAGAGTCTCTTAATTATGTTTTCTTAAACTATTCTCATATGTACAATATCTCCTTTCCTCCCAGGACTTTGATTAATACAATTGACAAAGGAATACCATTTATTGCAATATTATTAGCAGCAAAGTTGATCCAAAGTGAAGTGACAACAGTCCCACAGACAAGGACGTATATTTCCAGAAAGCAGTATGGTGTAATGGATCTGCACATAGCCTGATATTATAGTTCGAAGTCTGGTTCTTCTACTTAGACCCATGAACTTCAGCAACTTTTCCAGCTTTTCAAAACCTGTTCTTTCTTAATAAGATAAGGCTGATAATAATATCTCCCTTATAAATTTGGTGCTGAGATTAAATGAGATAATTTAGTTTAAACTCATAGCATGCCACAGACATTAAAACTGGAAGCATGACAGTTATAATTCTGGCAATGGTGTTAAAAATGATGTTTCCAGTGATGAAACCTCAACTGAGAGGTGTGATCTAAACATTTTAAAGACATGTCCTTTCGTGACCTATGCTAAGGAAAGTTCATAGTGCTATTTTACTCAGTATACAAGTTGCCACAACATTATCACTACTGTCAAAGAATGATCAGTAATATCCTGGATTATTTTCTCAGTTAATTTCAGGCTAGATGAGGTTCCCAGTTTTGAAATATTTCCTTTCCCCACCCCAGAAAAAATACAGAATGAAGGTGATTATTATGAAACTGGTGATAATGATGATGGTGACTCTTACTGAGATTAACATGCCAGGACTATTCCAAGCATTTTACAGGTGTTAAATCTTTCAATCCTCATAACAATTTTGTATGGTTACATATTATTATTGTCCCATTTTGCAGATAGAGCATCAAGGCAAAGATTAAGTAACTTGTCCATGGTCCAATCTAGTAAGTGGTGGCAGTGAAGTTACAACCCTGGAGTTCAGGCTCCAACGTCGATATGCAAAAATGCCCAGTTATACTATCTCAGTCTGCCATTGTGACTATCCTCTCCATGTCATGGATATCCGAGTTCTGTATTTATGAACGCAAACATTTTATTCAGAATTATAACACCAATGAAAATTTTCTTTGTCAAGCATGCATTTTACAGAGGAAATATCATTAGGCCGTTTAAATTTATTATCGAATTTTCTATTCAGCACAGTTAAAATATTTTTATGTTTATTGAAATTATATTCATCATGATCGTTTTTCAGTAAACTGTACACTGAATATGTGATTTATTAGTCAGTCATTTCATCCGTGTCAAATGTGAATGATTAGAGCTTGCATCTGTAGGACTCCTCTTTTATTGTTATTATAATAGAGCTTTTAGCAGAACCACATTTAATTTACATGAATTCAATCAACTCGGCCAAAATGTAGAATATATCTAAAGGTCTCAGTGATTTCCCAAACCCACTCTCAAGGGATTATCAAACATGAAAAAATTGTATACATGATGAAGAGGGTTGTGACTCCTCCAGGAAGAAATTAAGGAATTAATGGGACCAGAGTTGATGAGAAACAGGTTATTAACATAATCTCAAAATACATCCCTACAAATTATAATTTACAGAAATTACACTTTACAGTACAACAGAGAAACCACACAACACCTTAACCAAGTTATGAACGTTAACATCATAAATAAAGTGTAAACACACATGACGTACCTACAAATGTGACAGCCTAAGAAGGACATGACATCATGTATTTAGCAATCCAGCCAGTAAGTACGAAACCAGAGTCATATGATAAGGAAACATCAGGTGAACCAAACTGAGGACAGTCTATAAAACAACTAGCTTGTAATCTTCCAAAATATCAAGGTTAGGAAAGAGGGGAAAAAAAAGGCTAAGAAAATTAGCCTTTAGATTGAATTAAATGAGATTTAGGAAATGTGATAACTTAAGTGTAATACATGATCCTGGCCCAGATTCTGTACTAGAAGAAAAATTGCTATGAATGCTATTATTGGGATAATTGAAGAAACCGGAATGTGGACTCTACATTAGATAAAATTAGCATGACAATATTAAATTTCCTGAATTTGATAACTAGGTTGTGGTTTTGTAGGAAAATACCCTTGAGAAATATACACTAAAGTATTAAGGGATAAAAAATAATGATGTATGCAATCTATTCTCAAATGGTTCAGCAAAAACCTGTGTGTGTGTGTGTGTGTGTGTGTGTGTACACAATGAGAGAATAAAAAAAGCAAATGTGGGACAATATTCAAAATCAGTGAATCTGTGTAAAGGATATACAATTATTCTTTGTACTTTTGTGAAACTTTATGTTGGAACTTATTTCAACATCAGAAGTTGTTTAACAAAATAATTCCTGGAAGTCTTTAGGGAAACATTAACCAAAATTGGGAAAATTGCTACAATCTATTGTAGAAAATAATGATAACACTAGAATTTAAAATTTCCACAAAATTGTGAAGTGTTGCAAAAACCCTCAAATTATTTACTTGCTGATTATGGTCTTTCTATGGAATTGCATGTTTAACATATTATCCTGTAATACATGCATATTAGTGAACAGAGCTATCTACCAAGAATCTTGTACTCTATATTTATGGGCAATTTAGGGATTTTCCAGGGTGATTTTTACTATTTGTGATTTTCAACTTATTTTAGAACTAAAAACCAGCTTTTAAAATGTTACCTCAGCGTATTTCTAGAAAGGCAAGTTTTTCTAGATCAGTTTTTGCAGATCTAAATTTTTAAGGATGCAGTCTACAACATGTGAGAGTTTGTGTTGACTGGACAAGGCTGAGTTTTTTGTTTCTCACAGGAAGACAGATCATTATGTTGACATATTCTTAGCAGCATCTTGCAGGAGGGAGAGAAAAGTCAAGATATATATGTTTTGAGGGTCTGATTTAAGGTAAAGTTTTCAATGTAGGAGTATGCTTAGAACTGGGCAAAACTTGGCCGGGCACGGTGGCTCATGCCAGTAATCCTAGCACTTTGGGAAGCCAAGGAGAGCAGATCACCTAAGGTTAGGAGTTCGAGACTAGCCTGGCCAACATGGTGAAACCCCATTTCTACTAAAAATACAAAATTAGCTGGGCATGGTGGCAAACACCTGTAATCCCTGCTACTTGGGAGGCTGAGGCAGGAGAATCACTTGAACCTGGGAGGCAGAGGTTGCAGTGAACCGAGATCATGCCATTGCATTCCAGTCTGGGAGACAAGAGCAAAACTCCATCTCAAAAAAAAAAAAAAAAAAAAAAAGAATTGGGCAACACTTGTGATATAATAGTTTAGGGTTGGTACATACAGCAAGACAGGTTTTACAGGTAAGTTAAAGAATAAACATTTGCTTGTTAAGCTCAGTTGAATCATCTGTTATCTTGATAAGAGGCTATTTACTCAAATAAGGGTAAGTTAAACAGTATGATTTTGAAATAAATGGACTTGTAGAAATTTTCTAAATTAAGCAATAAAGTTATTTAAAACTTTATCTTCCTAGGAAAGAACTGTATGAAATACCAAAAGTATGTTAATATGGACTGTGTAGGTGGTTTCTGTTCTGTTTCTACTCTTTTAGGCCTAAAAATGGTAATAACTTCCAGCAGTTACTAACCCCAGGGTGCTTCATCGTCTGTGGTTGATTTCCCTTCAACATGCCTACATCCTTGAAGATAACCTTTCTTAATACTTTTTTCAATTACTCTAATTGAATATGCCATCTGTTTCTTAATTGTACCCTAATAAAGATAATTATGAGTTGATAAACATTTGTTCACTTGTACATATTTATAAATTCACCAACTCTCACAGAATCACTTGGTTGCCTGGCATTAATCAATTGCATTGCTATTCCAATTCAATATCACTGCATATGTTGTAGTTACTGTTGGTGCAGCAAAATGCAAACTCAGGAGTAAAAGACTGTGCTTTGTGCCTGGACCTATTTGACTCCACATACAGAAGTAAGTGGTCTGATTCTTAATCTCTTGCATTAGTTCTGACAGAGGACAGGAGAAACTTAAACTACTCCAGCCAAATACTGGGAATTTTGCACCTGCGTGGCTTATTCCTGCACTTTTGTTCTGGTTCTGAAAACTGCACTTATTTTTAACTTTTCTCAGTCTCTGTCTTCATTCTTGCCAGTCCCAGTTGCCAAGAATTGGAGATTTGCAGATAAATCATAGTCGAGTGCAAGGGCAGCTACCTACTGGCTGCTTGACTGTTGCTGCTGGCCTGTCTGGAATCTTAGCACCGCTCTTCAAACCCGTCTTCTCTCTAGCTGTGTAACCAAAACACTGGAGTTATTCAGTGACTTTTCATGTAATGCATTATAAGGGGACAGCTCTCCTGATTAGGAATATGTGTTTAATATTTACTGCCTAAATTATTCCTAGGTTGTGTGGGGGGTGTGTGTGTATTTAGCCTCCAGTGCCACTGCCTATGTACATTAGCTCCTCTACTGCTATACCCTTTAGCATGGTATCTGTCCCTTAAGTATCTAATGGAGAAAACAAATAAGGATTGTCTGCCAGCTCCGCTGTAATACACTCACAAAAGCTTGTGAATCTTTAAAAGAAACAAAGCAAAGAAAATAAATGCATGTCTAAGCACATTTCCTGAATATGTGAAAGTCCTCTGGCCTTTCTCTTCCCTACAAAGATTACCATCATCTTTAACATACATACCTCACAAACATCCGCCAAGTGCTGTATTGAATAATTTAGTATGATTTAGTGTGGCTGCTTGTTCTCTGTTAGACTTGTGTGGAATGAAATAAAAGAAAGGACGTAAGGCAGACACAGAGGAGCACAATTATAGGCAAATCACACTAGGTTTCATTCATCATTCTGTGCTTTCATGCCAGGAACTATTTCAGTTTAGTTATAATATGCACATTACATTTATTTCAATGAGAAACAAATACTCATATAACACATATCCCAATACTTACATAGATAAAACTGAACTCTACTCAAAAGCCCATGTCACACACAATTTCCTTGGCACTTTGAAAAAGAAGGGTAGTGCTTTTGTAAAGAACATACTATGAATAGCCAATGTATAAGCAGAAAATATGAAATCCCCCTTTGGGTTTCATATTGGATGCTACTCTCAGAGAGCTGTGTTACTAAAACACTGGAGTCATTTCCATGACTTGCTGGGCTTCTCATGTAATGTGTTGTAAGGGGACAGCCCTCCTGATTAAGAATATGTGTTTAATTTTTATTGTATAAATTAAACGGTATAAAATCTAATATACTAATTAAAACCTTTGGCTTCCAAATTAGACAAACCTGGGTTTGAATTCCAGCTCCCACTCTTACTAGCTCTGTTGGCTTTTGCAAATTGATTTGTTTCAGCAAACTTTGGTCACCTCAACTGAAAATGGTGATAAAACTAGCTCCTACTCATGAGGGTATTATGAGAATTAAATGAAATAATGCAAGAAAAACACAAAGCATGATGTCTAACATATGCGAAGCACTTCACACACTACCATGTCCATTTGAAGTTGCTGTTTTAATATTGAACTTGCATAGGGGAATAGCCAGTTTTCACATTTAACCCTATTATCTACATTCAGATGAAACCCAAATAAATAATACTTCCTAACTTCTTTCTGCCCACCAGTTGCTAATAATCAACAACCCACTAGGGATTTTCAAGTGGAAGTCCCAACAGCACATCACAGTTTCTGTGTCTGAAGTCAGGTGTATTATTTTCCATCTAACAAGAAAGTTCTTCCTCTTGACTTACTGACTACTGTTAAACTGGGAAAATTCCCTTGTATTCAAAGATAGCTAGAATCGTGAATTTTACTTGATCTTGTTAAAGACTAAGGAAACTGGAAAATAGAACCAATGAACAGGGCATTGTGCTTCTCCAGATCTATCTATCTATCTATCTATCTATCTATCTATCTATCTATCTATCCACCTATATATCTATCTCTCTGTTTATATATATCTATACCTACATAAATGTACCTGATTATTACTATTGATCATCATATATATCATGACTATAATCCCTAAAACAAGACAAAAGTTCCGAAAATGGTTAATACAATTTAGAAAAGAAAAAAGTTAATCAATATCTAAATTTAAAGCTTTTAGTAAATTTCTTGCAGATTACTCAGTTATAAAAAATGCAAATTATTTACATTTGTATAGTATCTTAAAGTTTACCAAGATTTTTTATATATATCAACTCTTCACAAAAAGAAAGTAGGATTATTAATCTTGTTTTTCATATAATAACACAAAAACAAAAAATTTAAGAGACTTCATTTTCTCATTAAATACATTAAATGATTACATACAAGGATACAGATACTGAGGCTACAATTTTGAACAAAGCAGATGGTGTCTCTTTTTCATAGATATGTGCTTTTTCATATATATATAATTTATTTTTATGTGACAAATAATATTTGTGCACATTTAGAATGCTATGTGATTTTTTTTTTTTTTTTTTGAGACAAAGTCTCATTCTCTCACCCAGGCTGAAGTTTAGTGGCAAGATCCCAGCTCATTGTAGCCTAGAAGTCCTAGGCTCAAACAATCCTTCCCTTCAGTCTCCTGTGTAGCTGGGACTACAAGCACGTGCCACCACACCTGCCTATTTTTTTTTTTTTTCTCTAGAGAATAGGTCTCACTATGTTGCCCAGGATGGTCTTGAACTCATGGGCTCAAGCAATTTTCCTATCTTTGCCTCCTAAAGTGCTGGTATTACAGGTGTGAACCACTGTGCCTGGCCTGATGTTTTGATCTATTTATATATTGTAGAAAGGTGCAATTAAGCTAATTAACACATGCATTGCCTTCCCAATCTATCATTTCTTTTTCTGATAAAAACATTAAATACCTGTTCATTGACCTCAGAGATCTTATAGTCCCTGAAGATATTACACTCTGTTATGTTTTATCAGAATCAGAAGCCAGAGTCTAGTAAAGGGCTACTTTAAATTGGGCTATCACGAAAGGCTTCACTGATACTTTGGCATGAGCAGGAACCTATACAAAGTGAGGCATCAGCCATGCAGCTCCGAGGGACAAGCATTCCAGGGAGAGGGAGCAGCAAGTGCAAAGGCCCCCAGGCAGGAGCTTGCTTGGAAAGGTGAGTCCATGGCAAGGTGGCCCATAGGGAGGGGACAGAAGCAGCCAGGAGCCCCATAGTGCAGGGCTTTGTGGGCAATTGGGAAGGCTTTAGAACCTCTACTACATGCTTTGCCAAAAAGTTCTTAGCTAGTAAGTGGCAGACCTAGGGAACAACTTTGAGTATTGAATTTCAAAATCTGAGATGATGGCACATGAAGAGAGCTTCTAAGGGAAGCAGATAAGGCTCTGCATGGCACCTTTAAGCACCACAACAAGGCCTCACCACTTTTTCTCCTTGATGCCACTGGGTGTCGAGAATAACTAGAATCTTTCTGGTTCCAACTTACCTATGAAACCAGCTCATGTTCTCAGTCATTCCTCCTTCTCCTTTTTGCTCAAAACCTCCTAATGGGAGAACAAGGGCTGGCAGAGTGATCACAGAAGAAGTCATATTCCCTGTGCTCTCTGCTTTAGCCACTTGTTAAAATTTAGTTCTAATGAAGCTCTGCCATGCTTTCCAGTGGCGCTGTAAGATGAGTCACTTGGACACTTTTGTTTTTCTTTCTGCAAAAATAAAGATACTGATGCTTTTACTATTTTCAAAGGCTGCTTTCTGCCGGAAACATGAGGTAACAAGTGCATAATTGTTTTGGTCTCTTTTCTAGAAAGATATGTTAACGATATTCATTAAGTAATGTTATGTCCCCAGCCTGTGCTAGGTTAGCATGGAACATGAAAGGAAGTAAAATGCCAAGGTCCTGACCACACAGAACTCAGAATTCTGTTCAGGGACAGAACATGTGTCCATAAGCAACACCAAGGGTTTAAGGTCCTTAACATGAAGAAAAGGGCCACAGTGATGTGGCCAGGTCCTTTAGGCCAAACTCCCTAAAAGGGTCTAGGAATCAGCTGACATCTAGCTAGGATTCAGGCTTCTCTGAATTAATAGGAAACCTTGGTCCCAATTTCTCCCTTCAAGGTGTATAAACTCTCTATATATTTTTAAAAATCACATCAGATTTTAAAAAGTATAAAAAGAATGCTAAGGTCATGCAGTCCCCTCAAGGAAATTAGGAGCACCCCTATCTATATATGTTCCATTCAACAAGGCAGGTCAATGGGCTATTTTCTAGTGATTTTAAAGAGGGCCTTGACCAACCCCCACCCTCAACATTTCCCACTGACCCAACCAAAGTGCTTATAATTTCCACTTTTTGTGTTACTTTTTTAGAATAGATATATTATGTTTATTAAAAGTCTTTGTTAGAATGAAAGCAAGTTACTAAGAAGTAACTCATTAACTGATTAGCATGGATTAATATATCATTTTCAAGGAGGAAGGTCTCAGGAGACTGTAAATATGAAGGGTTTTGGAATAAGATATAATGCATGAGAAAAATGGAACAAAAGAATCCAGAATCAGAGACCCTAAAACATTTACGAGACACAATGAGAACATCTAACTATTGACGAAGTGGAGAAAAGAGAATGCTAAGGGAAGATAAGAGTACATGAGACCTTGTAGTATAGCTTGAAGTCAGGTAGCATGATGCCTCCAGCTTTGTTCTTTTTCCTTAGGATTGTCTTGGCTATACGGGCTGGTTTTTTGTTGTTGTTGTTGTTGTTCCATATAAAATTTAAAGTACTTCTTTCTAATTATGTGAAGAAAGTAAATGGTAGCTTGATGGGGATAGCATTGAATCTAGAAATTACTTTGAGCAGTATGGCCATTTTCACAGTATTGATTCTTCCTATCCACAAGCATGGAATATTTTCCCATTTGTTTGTGTCCTCTCTGATTTCTTTGAGCAGTGGTTTGTATTTGTACTTGAAGAGGTCCTTCACATCCCTTGTAAGTTGTATTCCTAGGTATTGTGTTCTCTTTGTAGCAATTGTGAATGGCAGTTCACTCGTGATTTGGCTCTCTATTATTGGCGTATAGGAATGCTTGTGAATTTTGCACATTGATTTTGTATCCTGAGACTTTGCTGAAGTTGCTTATCAGCTTAAGGAGATTTTGGGCAGAGACCATGGGGTTTTCTAAATACACAATCATGTCATCTGCAAACAGAGACAATTTGACTTCCTCTCTTCCTATTTGAATACCCTTTATTTCTTTCTCTTGCCTGATTGCTCTGGTCACAACTTCCAATACTATGTTGAATAGGAGTGGTGAGAGAGGGCATCCTTGTCTTGTGCCGGTTTTCAAAGGGAATGCTTCCAGCTTTTGCCCATTCAGTATGATATTGGCTGTGGGTTTGTCATAAATAGTTCTTATATTTTGAGATATGTTCCATCAATACCTAGTTTATTGAGAGTTTTTAGTATGAAAGGGTGCTGAATTTTATCAAAGGCCTTTTCTGCATCTATTGAGATAATCACCTGGTTTTTGTCATTGGTTCTGTTTATGTGATGGATTACATTTATTGATTTGTGTATGTTGAACCAGGCTTGCATCCCAGGGATGAAGCCCATTTGATCGTGTTGGATAAGCTTTTTGATGTGCTGCTGGATTTGGTTTGCCAGTATTTTATTGAGGATTTTCACATTGATGTTCATCAGGGATATTGGCCTGAAATTTTGTGTTTTTTTGTTGTGTCTCTGCCAAGTTTTGGTATCAGGATGATGCTGGCCTCACAAAATGAGTTAGGGAGGAGTCTCTCTTTTTCTATTGTTTGGAATAGTTTCAGAAGGAATGATACCAGCTCCTCTTTGTACCTCTGGTAGAATTCAGCTGTGAATCTGTCTGGTCCTGGGCTTTTTTTGGTCGGTAGGCTATTAATTACTGCCTCAATTTCAGAACTTGTAATTGGTCAATTGAGGGATTTGACTTCTTCCTGGTTTAGTCTTGGGAGGGTGTATGTGTTCAGGAATGTATCCACTTCTTCTAGATTTTCTAGTTTATTTGCATAGAGGTGTTTATAGTATTGTCTGATGGTAGTTGTATGTCTGTGGGATCAGTGATGAGATCTCTTTATTATTTTTTATTGTGTCTATTTGATTCTTCTCTCTTTTCTTCTTTATTAGTCTGCCTAGTAGTCTATTTTGTTAATCTTCGAACTATGATACAAGGCTACAGTAGCCAAAACAGCATGGTACTGGTACCAAAACAGATATATAGACCAATGGAACAGAACAGAGGCCTCAGAAATAATGCCACACATCTACAACCATCTGATCTTTGACAAACCTGACAAAAACAAGCAATGGGGAAAGGATTCCCTATTTAATAAATGGTATTGGGAAAACTGGCTGACCATATGCAGAAAACTGAAACTGGACCCCTTCCTTATACTTTATACAAAAATTAACTCAAGATGGATTAACTACTTAAATGTAAGACCTAAAACCATAAAAACTCTAGAAGAAAACCTAGGCAATACCATTCAGGACATAGGCTTGGGCAAAGACTTCATGACTAAAACACCGAAAGCAATGACAACAAAAGCCAAAATTGACAAATGGGATCTAATTGAACTAAAGAGCTTCTGCACAGCAAAAGAAACTATCATCAGAGTGAAGAGGCAACCTACAAAATGGGAGAACATTTTTGCAATCTATCCATCTGACAAAGGGCTAATATGCAGAATCTACATAGAACTTAAATTTACAAGAAAAAAACAAACAACTACACCAAAAAGTGGGTGAAGGATGTGAACAGACACTTCTCAAAAGAAGACATTATGTGGCCAAAAAACACATGAAAAAAAGCTCATCATCACTGGTCACTAGATAAACGCAAATCAAAACCACAATGAGATACCATCTCATGCTCGTTAGAATGGCGATCATTAAAAAGTCAGGAAACAGATGCTGGAGAAGATGTGGAGAAATAGGTACACTTTTACACTGTTGTTGAGAGTGTAAATTAGTTCAACCATTGTGGAAGACAGTGTGGCAATTCCTCAAGGATCTAGAACCAGAAATACCATTTGACCCAGCTATCCCATTACTGGATATATACCCAAAGGATTATAAATCATTCTATTATAAAGACACATGCACATGTATGTTTATTGCAGCACTGTTCACAATAGCAAAGACTTGGAACCAACCCAAATGCCCATCAATGATAGAATGGATAAAGAAAATGTGACACATATACACCACGGAACACTATGCAGCCATAAAAAATGATGAGTTCATGTCCTTTGCAGAGACATGAAGGAAGCTGGAAACCATCATTCTCAGCAAACTAGCACATGAACAGAAAACCAAACACCACATGTTCTCACTCATAAGTGGGAGCTGAACAGTGAGAACACATGGACACAGGGAGGGGAACATCACATACCAGGGCCTGTTGGGAAGCTGGGGGCTAGGGGAGGGATAGCAGTAGGAGAAATACCTAATGTAGATGACGGGTTGATGGGTGCAGCAAACCACCATGGCACATATATATCTATGTAACAAACGTGCACGTTCTGCACATGTATCCCATAAGTTAAGGTATAATAATAATTATGACAAAGACTACATGAGACCAACTCTAGCAACTTTCCAATTTTGTCTAGGGTTGCTCTGGTTAATTCCTCTGCTTTATATATAGAGAACCCATTGTCCAGGGCATTTAATTCACTTGCCCAAGTGTAGTCAGTGACTAAGTGGAAGAATAAAGATTAGAAATCTAGATTCCCAACTCCACACCTGCTTTGCTAAATTAGAAAAACAACAACAACAACAACAAAAACGCAGCGGCTCTGAAGATTCTTTGATTAGGGTTTTTCCAGATCCTATTTTCAAGGCTTTTTAGTCTTCAAATGAAAGGTGTTTTTTTGTTTGTTTGTTTGTTTTTTGGCTATTATGAATGTTTACTTAAGAAAAGGATATTAGACAGGGCTCAAATTGGGATTAGAATGAAAAGAAACTTAAACCTCTGGTGAACTACATCTTAAAATTCAGAAGTAGAAAAGTACTCATGGATCAGAGGTTGGTGCAATATGCAGACACATTTCCTCTTTTCTTCCCACACTCATCTTAAAAATAATACCAGACAGTACTAGACATCAAAGCCAGCCAGCCGAGACAGGAGGAAGTGACTATTCAAACAGGGAGGAATTCAACAAGGTAAGTCCCTAACAAATAAGTCCTGGTGATAAATGGAACAAAGCCATCACTGAATTGATCAATGTCTCAAAAAACATATGGACCTAACCCACAAACATTATGAAAAGTTTTCCTGATAATGCTGGTGGTTGAGTCAGTTTTGTAGAAGAAAATTATGTGATAAAAACACCTGAAGACATTTTTTCGAGTCCTACATTTTTTTAAGCTCAAGAGAAGACATCATAGTACAATGGGGGAAAAATAGTGCTTGACTTATATAGATCTGTTTTTCCAATTGCTGGCTTCAGTATAAATAGTATCAAAAAGAAATGTGAAAGCACAAAACATAAATTTTATGTTTTACCTATTTACCCAAGAATTTAAATACTTAGACTCTGTGACCCAGAAATACAATTACAAAAAAAAATTATGGACATAACAAAAAATGTACAATGATGTTTGCTGCAATATTATTTGAAATATTACAATTATTGGGAACAATTTAAATATCAATATTTCTTAAGATGCTTTGGGCTGCAAGTAACAGGAAAAAATTTACAATGGGTGAAAAACAAGAACATTTTATTATTGCATCTGTCAAAAACGTCATAGGCAAAATATATTTCAAGAGTTGATTAATGTATTAATTCAATGATTCTTGAAGAATAATGGTTACTTCCATCAGTTTCCTCTACTTGGCATATAAACTGTTCTCACAATAACTCCACTCATCAGTATATGGTTCCACAAATACAGGCTTCATAACAATATTGAGCAACAGAAGAAAAACATTTTTTTAACCTATGGAAACACCTTTCCAGGAAACCTCTGTTAGACTTCTTCTCATTTCCCTTTGGCCAGAATCACATCACATACATATTCCTAAGCAAATATCAAGCTAGGGGTATGGGATTCCCTTATCTGATCTAGGAAAGCACATAGGCTATTAGTGTAACTGGGTCACTCAAACTAGATCTGAGATCTGAAAGGAATAGGAATAGACATGGCATGGAAAATTTCTATACTTTGATTGAAAAAAAAAACATTGATATACAGTAGTTACCTCCAATGAATAAGATTGAGAGATAAATGAATCAAAATATGAGAGGTTATGCTGTGATAACAAATAGGTCCTGAATTTCAGAAGCTTAATGATATAACAATATAAGTTTTCTTTCATGCATATCAACAGTCTTATGCAAGTTCCCCGGCTCTCCTTAGCAGCTCACTTCCAAGCAGTGACGTTAGATTCAGGTTCCTTCTAACCCTACTATTTAAAGCATATTGCCTTCAAAATTATTGCAGAAGGCAAAGAGAACATGCTGACTGTGCAGGCATTTTAATGGCAGCCTTAGAATTGGGTTGCATTACTTTCACTAACACCCCTTTGGCCACAATGCAATTACACATTACCTCCCCTAACTGCAAGAGAAGCAAGGGAATGCAGTTTGTATGCACAGAAAATGAATAATAAAACTCCAATTTGGTTATATATAGTTTTGTCTTAGTCATGAGAGATTCTTAACATGACTTTTATTTTACTTCATGCACTTGTCCCTTTTTGTTTGAAAACAGCTGTTATTTTGTAAATTAAAATAGTTGTAAATAGAAAGAAAATAAAACCATCTCTAGTTGTGTTTAATAAGTTACCTGGTTATGGTAGTATTTAACCGCATTTTCCTTGTACAGAAATCCTCTCTGCCTTTTTATTCCATATGGGGACTTAGATAGAGAAGAAAATCATTATGGAGAGTCTGCAGGTTATGGACCCACCATAGAAGGCCAAAGATTTGGAACCCAGAGAAGCAAAAGAAGTCAGAACATTCTAACCAGACTTTACTGTTGTTTGTATTTTCACTTACTTCTTTTTAGGTTTATTTTTACTGTGGCAAAATACACATAAAATAAAATTTACCATGTAACCATTTTCAAGTGTACACTTTGGTGTCATTAAGCTCATTTACAATGTTGTGTAGCCATCACCACTACCTAGTTCTAGAATTTTTCATCACCCCAAATGGAAACTCCATACTCATTAAGCAATCACTCCCCATTTCCCTCTTCCTCAAGCCTTTGGCAACCAATAATTTGGTTTTTGTTTATATGGATTTTCCAATTCTGGATATTTCATATCAATGCAGTCTTACAACAAATGGCCTTTTGTGTCTGGTTTCTTAGACGATGTAACATGAGTCAGTTATGTGATCATGTGCTAGTTTATCTTAAACTGGTCTTGGCCAGGTGCAATGGCTCATGCTTGAATTCCTAACAGTTTGGGAGGCCGAGATGGGCAGATCACTTGAGCTCAGGAGTTGGAGACCAGCCTAGGCAACATGGTGAAACTCTGTCTCTACAAAAAATACAAAAAATTAGCATGGTGGCACACGCCTGTAGTCCCAGCTACTTCGCAGGCTGAGGCAGGAAGATCCCTTGAGCCCATGAGGTCGAGGGTTCAGTGAGCTGGGATCGCGCCACTGCACTCCAGCTTGGGTGACAAAGTGAGACCCTGTTTCTAAAAAAAAGGAAGAAAGAAAGAAAGAAAAGAAACTAATGCTATTCAGAAAAATGACTTACTTCAGTCTGAGGCCTTTAAAAACATTCTATTTTTATCTGTAAAAAGAAGAATGAGCCACAGAATAATTGGAAGAAGTAAATATATAAACAGGAAATTATAAAAATGCATAATAAATGCAGTAGTAGATATTTGCATGGAGCATTTGAGGATTATGAAGGAACACGATTATCCCAAAATGATTGGCCTGAAAGAAATTCAGTAGAAGTAATCCCAGACTTTTGTATTAATGGATTAAGGAATGTTAATAAAGCAAAGTGGTCCTGGGGAAGAAAAATGAAGGCCATGTGAGATAGAGAAAGTACATATGTTGAAAAAGACACCTTGAGACGCCTTAAGCAAATTGGCAACTCAATAGGCTGCTAAATGAATTTTAACTCAGACAAAATCATAGAACACACAGGATTCAGAATAAGAATGGCAAAATTGAAAGAATTTGCTGTAGCAAACCTCCATCTCATTCCCATGAAGCCAGGACTCATCTTTCACTTACATCAGATATCACCTCTCTCAAATCTTCAGCCCCAATGAATTCACACACATTTTAATACTTGAGGATCTACTGGCTTGTAATCATCCTTATTCATATTTTATTTCTCGTTGCTATAAGCAGATATTATCTCCTTCAAAACATAGACATGTAGAAGACATTGCATTGACTCATAAGGGAGTGTCACCACCCATTCCAGGGAAGGTAAACACAAGCACATCAGGAAGATGGTGAGGTAGAAATCTGTGATTTAATATAAATAAGTAATAAGATATGTCCCAGCCTAGGTTAGGATGAGGATTAGTAACACCACTAAGCAACTGTGCTTGCTTCAGGGCGTGTGTGGTTTCTTGCCTGGGCAGCATACCCTCTTCTTCTGGTAGCTTCAACCTGCCTCTAATTTCTTCATGTTCTAAGGTCTTGTTTGCTCTATCGATCAAGGCCTTCCCTATCCTCAAGCCAAGGCAAGTGCACATAAGTCCATTTGGCTTTGCCACCCAGAAGTAAACCTGGAACTAACGGACAGCTTCTTCTTCAGGCCACCTTGGGAATGGCTCAGTATCTTTGTGGTCTCTTAAAGATTCAAGCTTCTGGGACAGTGAGTTTAAATAGCTGATTTGGAATGACATGAAACCCACCTTGACTGCTCAGACCCAGTTTATTCCAAACCCATGGAGAATACCTAGGGTTGGTACCAGAGAAACACTCCTTCTGGGGCATCAGCCTCCTATGCCTGACCTCCATCAACAACACTTGAAAAAAAAAAATCTCCTTCATCTCAATCTTACTCCATGACCTCAATGCCTAGTCAAGAATTTTTCCATTCTTTAGCTAAATTCATATCTCCAGGTTATAGAACATTAAAAAGGAAACATTATTGTTGTATGCCCACCTTTTTTTTGGAGGGGGGGTGTCATTTTCACTGTTGTGCTAATAATGATCCTGGAAAAGCCATCTTTTAAAAAAAATTAATAAATGTCCCCAATGCATATGATGACTTTTAAGATGAGGTAAATAACAACAAAAAGACACAGACTTTCTTCTGAGTAGCAAAGAAATGCAGAAGAGTCAAATTTCAGAGAAGCAGAAACACAGACGGGAGGGAATATGGAATGCTACCACACATAATAGATTCAGGTAGCTTCAGGATAATATTTTCGTTAAAAAATATTCATTACACATGCCGGGAGACCTAAAAACCATTGCTCTTTGGCCAAAGACAGCACAGGAAGAAGGTTGGGTTTCATACCAATCCATTTCCCTATGAACATAGAGATAGATAATAAAAATAAACAGTAAAAAAATACCCATCATGTTTTAGGCACTCAGAAAAAAACAGTGTGTGAGGGGCCCTACTCCTTCTAATAGCTTAGAGGGGGAAAATATGTAAAATGAGACAACTGGATTTTATATTACCAGTAAAGGGAGGGAAGAGGTTTTGGAGCAGCAGTGTTCACCTTACTCATAATTGCCACAAATAGAAAGTCCATGTGTTGAACATCGTGGTGGGTAGGAGAATGGGCTTTGGGGTATGCAGGCCAAGGCTTCACTTCAGAGCCTGCTGCTCACTTACTTAAGACAAGTTTATTAATGCTTCTAAACCTCATCTTTTGACTTGTAAAATGGAGATAATAATAGTACCTATCTCATCAGATGTAGGTTTTTCTGTTATTATGTTCAATTACTGTTGTGATAAAATCATTGGTACCTCATAGTGCTTTTGTAAGGATTGAATTAAATAATATATATGCAGTGTCTTGTACATAGATGCTCAGTAAATTTTTGTTGTTATGGCTATAATGTCTTAGTGCCATGTATCAGGATTAAAAGCTAAACAAGTTCAGGACACTATTTCTTATTTTTATTTTTATTAACAGGAAGAGAGTCCTCTTATTTGCCTCTGTCCCTTCACCACTGTCAACACTATGCCTGTTTAACATTTTGTCATAAAATATGGACTAATCTGGTTTCAAGACAGCAAAGATGACCTAAGCCTCATTTTCTCCAAACACTTTTCTGACAGCAGCTTCCAAGAGACAACAAAGAACAAAGGTAGCAAAGAAAACAGGCATGAATAGAATTTACAAAGAAAGAGTTTGCTCAATATAAGGAAGATCTCTCTAATAACCAGAGCTTTCAAAATACAGAATGGGCAGCCACAAACTGGTAGAATCTTATGGTTGAGAAGGACTTCAGAAGATATTTCTTCAGTTGTCCTCTAGGGTTTGAATTCTTTTTACACAACTTCATTTCTTCCTACATCATCCTCATTCTACTGCCTTCTCAATTGATAGAAAACCCACTCACTCCCCAAGGATGCCGTCTCATTTTGAGAAAGATTTTCAGGTTTGGCAAACATTTTTCGTAAAGGGTCAGATAGCAAATAGTTTTGACTTTGTGGGCCATGGACAGTCTCCACTGCAACTTCTATTGCTGCTACTTCATCAAAAACACTTTAAAAGTATAAAAACCATGCCTCACTAACAGTCCATACAACAACAGGCCGTGGGCAAAATCCCACCTGACAGAGTTTGCTAACTTCTACTCCAAACTGTGATAATTCTTCCCAATATTAAGTGAAAAGCTAACCACTATTGGCTTAATACTTAATGCCTCTTAATTTTAAGGCAAAACGTAACCCCTCTAAATGTTTCCAACTCTTAGTCCTCATTAAGTATAAGCAAATATAGTATAATGTATCCTTAAACTTCTACTACAAGTTTATTATTGTAACAACTCTTTGAGATATATGCAGTGATTTTCACAATTTCCAGACAGGAAAATGGAAACCTAAAGATGTTAGGTAAGTTACTCAAAGCTACATAATTAGTTGGCTGGGGTGGGGTGGGATAGGATGCAGGATACACAACCTAGATCTTCAAGAAGCTCTTTCTACTCTGAGGTTCCATGTCCACCGCCAGGGAAACACGAAGACATCACAGCCCTCTTATGATGGCAAATCCCAAAACAGCTGCCAAAACTCACAAAATATTCTCTTCTCCATGTTAAATATCATCTGTTTCCTGTTGCTCAAATAACCACCATAGTGTTCCTTCTCCTTTAAGTAGGGGTTTTCAAGTGTGTTCCCTCCTTAGTAGCTGCAGCCAGTATTGATCTTTCTTCTTCTTAATGATAAATATATTTTTGCTCCATACCTAGGATATAGGATATGGATTTACGGAGACAGTCATTTGGGTATAGGTTTATAATAATTATTCAATTCTATCTGACTGCCTTTTTAATGTGCAAGGCACATATATTCAAAGCTTATTGTGTTGAGTCTTTTTTTTTTTTTTTTTTTTTTTTTTTGAGACGGAGTCTCGCTCTGTCGCCCAGGCTGGAGTGCAGTGGCACGACGTCTGCTAACTGCAAGCTCCGCCTCCCGGGTTCACGCCATTTTACTGCCTCAGCCTCCCGAATAGCTGGGACTACAGGCGCCTGCCACCGCGCCCGGCTAATTTTTTTGTATTTTTAGTAGAGACAGGGTTTCACTGTGTTAGCCAGGATGGTCTCGATATCCTGACCTCGTGATCCGCCTGCCTCGGCCTCCCAAAGTGCTGGGATTTCAGGCGTGAGCCACCGCGCCCGGCCTGTGTTCAGTCTTAATTGTTGTGTTTTGCCTGTGTAAATTTTTTATCCCCTAAATTAATGTAAATTCTTTTAGAGGTACAATGGGAAAAAACAAAACCACCTTCTAATTATGAACAATTACTCAAAAGATGGATAATAGATCCTTAAATTTCCACCATTTCCAAACCAAAAAAATCTGGAGAATGCCATGCATGGTAGGCAGCCTCTGAGATACCCCCTAGGGATCCCCAATTCTCAGCACATTGCTGACTCATGCCGTTGTGTAATCCTCTCTCTTTTAGTATGGGCTGGACCTTAGTGATGGCTTTTCACAAATAAAATAGGGACAACATGACGTGATGTCACTTCCAAGACTGGTTACAAAAAGACTTGCTGGCTGTCTTGTCTCTGTCTCTGTCTTTCTCTCTTCTATTTTTTCCTCACTTGTTCTGACGGAGCCAACTGTCCTGATGTGAGCTTCCCTGTGGAAAGGTCCACAGCATGAAATTGAGGCCGGCATCTGGCCAAAACCTAGCAAGGAACAGAGGCCGCTAGTCCAACAGCCTGCAAGAAAATGAATCCTGCCAACACCCACATGAGCGAGCTTAGAAAGGGACTCCTTCTAAGTCAAGCTTTGACACAACAGCAGCTCCTGACACCTTGAGCAGAGCCTTGTGCAAAATGCTAAGTTGAAGTCTAGGCCATGTCTTGATTGTTGACTCTCAAAAACTGTAAGACTAAGAAATGATTGTTGGTTGAAGTCGCTATGTTTCAGCCATTTGTTACACAGCAATAGGTAGCTAATATGATAAGTATTTTGTCTTACCAAAAGGTAATGAGACTGCTTGGTGGGCAACAAGATTCCTTTTGGGGAGAAGATGTGGTAGAACAAGATAAAGATATGGTTCCACAATCTTGTGAATGTACTACATAACATTGAACTGTAAATTTTAAAGTGATTAATTTTATGTTCTATGAATTTCACCTCAATAATTTTTTAAAGGAAGCAGCACAAGACATAAACAAAGAAGGAAGGAAAAAAATAAGAAGATAAAGGAAAAAACAAAAGTTTACTTAAGAACGCCTTCAAGAAAACAATCCATCACAATAAATGAAAACTATGATCAAAATTCAGCACCAAGTTACTTAACCTAATGAATCTATCAACTTACAAATGTGAGCAAATGTAGAGAGCCCAGGGCTCAGTAAGGAGAGAACAAGATGACAAAAGGAGCTGAAATGTGTGTCACAGCACTCAGTAAATGAAGCAGAAACTATAAAAATGTTTTACTGTGAGAAAAGAAAATAAGACAAGGGACATAAAGTAGCTGTTTCTCAATAAATAATTCTAAAACAATTTAACCCTTTAAATTATGTGAGTATATAATTTGATTCAAAAGTAAAACATTAAATAGCAAAAATA
The DNA here is from genome assembly GCF_000001405.40 of Homo sapiens. NCBI lineage: Eukaryota > Metazoa > Chordata > Mammalia > Primates > Hominidae > Homo > Homo sapiens. The sequence goes on along the minus strand of NC_000008.11, from coordinate 118,845,519 downwards.
AGATAATGAAGGTATTTTGATTTTAAAATCTCAATAAACTGCAGGTAGATTCTGAACTTGTTTTTTTGTTGTTCTTTAATGTACCAAAGGCCACTAAGGTACAATCTGAAATCAATAATTCAATTAACAAACAGAAACCAGAACTTCTGCTTGTAATAAGGTAAGGTGTTATATTTAGTATGGGAAGAGACAATTGTTTAAATTATTTTACAATTAGGAAATTATGTATTTGTCATGCAACATATTTAGACTATACTGTGTCTGAGACTTCATGTTTGCTTCTAGGAAATGTATATGGTCTTGTACTTAATGTCAAAGCCAGCCACCCTCTCGCCGTCCCTCTTGTTGTTCTTTTAGATCAGTGGTTCTTTTTTTTTTTTTTGAGACGGAGTCTTGCTCTGTCCCCCAGACTGGAGTGCAGTGGCGTGATCTTAGCTCACTGCAAGCTCCGCCTCCCGGGTTCACGCTATTCTCCTGCCTCAGCCTCCTGAGTAGCTGGGACTACAGGTGCCCGCCACCAGCTAATTTTTTGTATTTTTAGTAGAGATGGGGTTTCACCGTGTTAGCCAGGATGGTCTCGATCTCCTGACCTCGTGATCTGCCCGCCTCGGCCTCCCAAAGTACTGGGATTACAGGCGTGAGCCAGCGCACCCGGCCAGAACAGTGGTTCTTAACTGTGGCCTGGGGGGCTTAAAAAATTCATGGTTCTACCCTCAGAAATTCTGATTTGGTTGGCTTGAAATGTGGCCTGGGCATTGGATAGGAATTGACCTTTGTTCTAAACAGAATGGAGAAATAGAACAAGCCTGTGTTTCAGATTAGAAAATGCCAGAATTTAGGAAATGCATTGCTGAGGATTACTCTGTTTCAATATATCCTGCAAATGTGACAATAAACACTACGGCCAAAAAGATGTGTGTAAATAATGGGTGGTGGAAGGTGGAGGGTAAAGACTCAGAGTGGACAGGTTGAATGACAGGGACATACAGTAGGATAATAAGGCAAGTTGGTGTGTCCATGTAGAACCTTACCAGTGAAAGAGATATTTTATGGAGCATTATTTTTAAAGTGTCCACAACCTATGTGCGCAGCCATGTCAGGTCACTTACTATTTTTTCCTGTTTAACATTGTCACTGTGTTTAGTTAACCCCAACTCATCAATATGGTCTGATATACCCATGAAACCTTAGATGCGGCTGCTGCAGGGGAATATGGAGCAATGGAGAGCAATGTGGCTGGCTCACCTTGACTTCCTTATTAACAGCCACTTGGAGGGGCTGCCTCCTAACAAAACAGACATGGTTAGGAGTTCCAGGGGCTGACCACTGGTGAAGTGACCCCTGGCCCAAAATTGAATTAAAGGAAGATGGAATTGAAGGCCATAATACAAACTCTATTGTTAACTGAGATAAATTTGATCATGCAAACTCTTAACCTTGGTTGGAGATTAGACAATCCACCACAATTTTGCCATCCAGTTGTGATCAAATTTTGCAACACAGACATATTTATTAAAGTTTTATTTTATGCAAGCACAAAAAGGTTTTACACAACTGGTTCTGTAAGCACAAAGAAGTCTCAGCTCTCTGTCTTTTTTTAAGTGTTGCAACCATACATTGTATAAAAGGTCACTTGGGGAAACCACAACATTTTTCTGGAAGGAGTATTCTGTCATCCTACAGTGACTAAACCCAAGACAATTTAGAAATCAAGGTGTAAACATCCAACCTAGGCTCCAAGTCTCAGTTATTATGCCGATTTCACACAAAAGTAGGGTGTATCTTTCAAATATTTTAGCCAATCCACTCATATTGAATGGAAATTTAATCAATTTATTTCAACAAGAGAGTATATTTCTATCATCAATTTATGTTAATTAGCAAAGATTCTGAATAACAGAAGCACTTATACTAGATGCCTCTGAAATATAGGCTTCCCCAAAATAATGTCAGATTTGTATTTAACTGTAATTCCTGATTGGATAGTTATCTATACCTGGGTAAAATTTTATACAATACACACATAATGTTTTACATAACAAGTCATCAAACCTACTCTCTTTCCCTTGATACATTAAAGCTGAATGCATCCTGAAAGAAATAGTTCTGACAGGACCTTAAAATGTAAATAAATGTATATATCTTTTTCTCCCCCATCCCAGATACTCGCAGACAGAAACTTGTACTATAGTGTAAGGTACACACTATGTGCTATTCTTAGCCTATTTTGCATTGTTTTAAAGAAATACCTGGCCAGGCATGGTGGCTCACACTTGTAATCCCAGCAGTTTGAGAGGCCAATGTGGGAGGATAACTTGAGCCCAGGAGTTTGAGACCAGCCTGGGCGCTATGGTAAAATTCCATCTCTACAACAAATACAAAAAATTAGCCAGGCCTAGTGGCGTATGCCTGTAGTCCCAGCTACCCACGAGACTGAGGTGAGCGGATCATCTGAGCCCAGGTGGTCAAGGCTATAGTGAGCTGTGATCATCCCACTACACTACAGCCTGGGTGACAGAGTGAGACCTTGACTCAAGAAAAAAAGTAAAAGAAAAGAAAAAGAAATAACTGAAATGGGATAATTTATAAATAAAAAAGGTTTATTTGGCTCACAACTCTGCTGGCTGGAACGCTGAGCATCTGGTGTAAACCTCAGGCTATTTCCACTCATGGTGGAAGGTGAAGGGGAGCTGGCATGTACAGAGGTCACATGGCAAGACAGGAAGCAAGGTGGGGAAGAAATGGCAGGCTCTTTTTAACAACCAGCTCTTATGGGAACCAATAGAGCAAAAACTCATTCACTTCCCCTTCCCCACAGTGAGGACATAAATCTATTCAGGAGGGATCCGCTCCCATGATGCCAACACCTCCAACTCAGCCTCATCTCCAACACTGGGGATCCACTTTCAACATGATGTTTGGAGGGGACAAATATCCAAACTTTGGGAGATGCTTTAAAAATATTTGAATTGAATTCTGCCATTTTACAATTCTGGATAATAAATAGGTGAAGCAGCTGTATTAGTTTGTTCTCACACTGCTATAAAAAGACTACCTGAGACTGGGGAATATATAAACAAAAGAGGTTTAATTGACTCACAGTTTCACGTGGCTGGGGAGGTCTCAGGAAACTTACAATCATGGTGGAAAGTGAAGGAAAAGCAGGCAAGTCTTACATGGCAGCAGGAGAGAGAGTGAGAGAGTGAGGAAGTGCCACAGTTTAAAACCATCAACTCTCATGAGAACTCACTCACTATCATGAGAACAGCAGGGGGGAAACTGCCCCATGATCCAATCACCTCCCACCAGGTCCATCCCTTGGCACGTGGGGATTACAATTTGATATGAGATTTGAGTGGGGACACAGAGTCAAACCATATCGTTCCACCCCGGCCCCTCCCAAATCTCATGTCCTTTTCATATTTCAAAACCAATCATGCCTACCCAACAGTCCCACAAAGTTTTAACTCATTCCAGCATTAACTCAAAAGTCCAAGTCCAAAGTCTCATCTAAGACAAAGCAAGTCCCTTCTACCTATGAGCCTGTAAAATCAAAAGCAAGTTAGTTACTTCCTAGATACAATGGGAGTATAGGCATTGAGTAAATGTTCCCATTCTAAATGGGAGAAATTGGCCAAAACAAAGGGGCCACAGGCCCCTTACAAGTCCAAAACCTGGCTAGGCAAGTCATTAAATCATAAAGCTCCAAAATCTCCTTTGATTCCATGTCTCACATCCAGAGCATGTTGATGCAAGGGCTGGGCTCCCACAGCCTTGTGGAGCTCCACTCCTGTGGCTCTGCAGGGTAGAGCCCCTGTGGCTTCTTTCACAGACTGACATTGAATGCCTATGGCTTTTACAAGCGCATGGTGTGTAAGCTGTTGGCGGATCTACCATTCTGGGGTCTGGAGGACAGTGTCCCTCTTCTCACAGCTCCACTAGGCTGTGCCCCAGTGGGGCCTCTGTGTGGGGGCTCCAAACCCATATTTCCCCTCCAAACTGCCCTAGCAGAGGTTCTCCATGAAAGCTCTGCCCCTGCAGCAGACTTCTGCCTGGACATCCAGGCATTTCCATACATCCTCTCAGATCTAGGCGAGGTTCCCAAAGCTTAACTCTTGTCTTCTGTGCATCTGTAGGCCCAATACCACATGGAAGCTGCCAAGGCTTGGGGCTTGCACTCTCTGAAGCAGCAGCCCAGGCTGTACCTATGCCCCTTTTAGCCACAGGCAAAGCTGGAGGGGCTGGGATGCAGGGTGCCATGTCCTGGGGCTACACAGAGCAGTGGGGCCCTGGGCCTGACCCATGAAACCAATTTTTTTCCTCCCAGGCCCCTGGGCCTGCAATGGGAAGGGCTACTGCAAAGACATCTAATATGCCCTTGAGACATTTTCCCCATTGTCTTGGTTATTAACATTCAGCACGTCGTTACTTATGCAAATTTCTGCAGCTGGCTTGAATTCTACCCCAGAAAATGGGTTTTTCTCTTATACCAAATGGTCAGGCTACAAATTTTCCAAACTTTTGGCCTCTACTTTTTTGAACATAAGTTCCAATTTCAAACCATCACTTTGTGAACACATATAACTGAACACTTTCAGAATAAGCCAGGTCATATCTTGAATGCTTTGTTGCTTAGAAATTTCTTCCGCCAGATACTCTAAATCATTATCCAATCACCTACCACCAGATCCTTCCCACAACATGTGGGGATCACAATTTGGTATGAGATGTGAGTAGGGACACAGAGCCCCCACTCTCGGTCTCTCTCTCCTGCCACTATGTAAGATGTGCCTGGAGGATCTGTCCCAGGTCCTCTCTCCATGGATTTTACATGGCTCTCTTTTACATCTCTTGACATCATCTTTGCCTTCCATCTGTACTTATCCCTATGTCCAAATTCCTCCTTTTTATAAGGACAGCAGTCATGCTGGATTAGGGCACAACACTTTTTGAAATATTAAAAGTTTCCTTGAACTCTCCCAAATTCAAAGTTCCGCAGGTCTCTGGGCAGGGGAAAAATGGCACCAGTCTCTTTGCTAAAGCATAGCATGAGTGACCTCGATTCCAGTTCCCAATAAGTTCCTCATTTCCATCTAAGACAACCTCAGCCTCGACTTCATTGTTCATATCACTATCAGCATTTTGGTCAAAACCATTCAACAAGTCTCTAAGAAGTTCCAAACTTTCCCTCATCTTCTTGTCTTCTTCTGAGTCCCCAAACTGTTCCAACCTCTGCCTGTTACCCAATTCAAGAGTCACTTCCACATTTTCAGGTTATCTTTATAGCAGTACCCCACTTTGCCAGTACCAATTATCTGTATTAGTCTGTTTTCACACTGCTATAAAGATACTTCCTGAGACTGGGTAATTCATAAACAAAAGAGGTTTAATTGACTCACAGTTCCACGTGGGTGGGGAAGCATCAGGAAACTTATAATCATGGTGGAAGGTGAAGGGAAAGCAAGGCATATCTTACATGGTAGCAGGTGAGAGAAAGTGAGAGCACAAGGAAGTGCCACACTTTAAAACGATCAACTCTTGTGAGAACTCACTCCCTGTCACAAGAACAGCATGGGGGAACTGCCCCCATCATCCAATCACTTCCCACCAGGCCCCACCCTCAACATGTGGGGATTACAGTTCAAGATGAGATTTGGGTGAGGACACAGAACCAAACTGTATCAGCAGCTGTAGTTCTAACTTAAATCTTCCCTGCATTTTCTCTTTTTTCTATCATAAGCAATACCATGCCAATTCTCTGGGTGTAGTTCATTTATTTCCTCATGTTAAATGGCATATTTAAATAATTTAAGAGAAGAAGAGACACATATTTAGAATCATTATTTCTTACATTTTTCCAACACATATAGCAATATTGTTTTTGAATAAGATTGTAGAAATGAACCTCTTTTACAAGTTTACCTCATATTAAATTTAATGTTGAAAAGTACCTGAAAGAAAGGGTATCAGTCTCTCTCTGAATCATGTTTTTAATCACAATGTTACATATTAAATTTCTTCCTCCAAGTACTTTAGGTCATAGAGTTGGAAGCCATTTATTACAGAATAATTACATGCAGAGCATGCACATCTGGATGAGCCCAACACTAGCAAGTCAGGAGCTCACCTCTTGGGCTGGGCATCTTTTCCACTTCACAGAGGCTGAGGGGTGACAGTGCCTATTCACTCCTAGAAAAGTTCCAGCCACCCTAAGACTGGACAATTCACTGGAGCTGACTCAGAGTACAAAAATTATTAGAAATATGCCTTGCAGTGGCCCTTCTTTCAGTTCATGCATGAAATGAACCTTGGAGAGAGCCCCACTCTCAAGTCCCACTCCACTCTTCGGATGCCAGCAGTCATTTCTCCTCTCCTCCCTTCATCTCTAGTCTCTCCAGCTCTTTCTTTATACTCCCACTTCCGCCTCCACACACAATCACCACATAAGCCTTAGTAACTGATTCAGAAAGGATGCTCATTAGCAAAGGGAGGATATTATTGGTTAAATTGTGTCTCCCCGAAATAACCTGAATGCCTACAATGTAACTGTATTTGGAGATAGGATCTTTACAGAAGTAACCAAGTTAAAGCGAGGACCATTAAGGTGTGTCCTAATCCAACATGACTGTTGTCCTTATGAAAAGGGAGAATTTGGACATAGAGATAAACAGAGGGAAGGCAAAGATGATGTCAAGAGATGTAAATGAGGGCCATGTACAAGCCATGGAGAGAGGATCTGGGATAGATCCTCTGTCTCACAGCCCCTCAAAAGAAGCCAGCCCTACTGACACCTTGATTTTGGACTTCTAGCCTACACAGCTGTGAGACAGTAAATCTTTGTTGTTTAATTATCCAGTTTGTGATATTTTCTTACAGCAGCTCTAGTTAATTTATACAGAGGGCTTTGTCCTTTTCTTTAGAGTGAGAAGACTTTTATTTGGAATAGCAATTCCTGGGTTTTTCAAACAGGGGAATATCAGATTACCCCAGAATAAGCTAAATGATTTATCCTAATATAACAAAGAAATGTTAACCTCCCCAAAAAGTTCCATTTTATTATGAAAATATGTCACTGAGGTAAAATAAGAAATATTTAGTTTTTGTACCCAATTGCTGGCACAGAGCTCTTAAAACTTTTGGAATTTCCTGAGTGATGGGAGTATCTTTTGTCTTTCATAACAAGCCCCTTTCAACAATGACTAAGTTTATGTTAATATATAAACCATTCAACAAGTCTCTAGTAAGTTCCAAACTTTCCCTCATCTTCTTGTCTTCTTGAGGGTCCCTGGATAACTTCATGATGGAAGGTGGTCTCCAGAAAGACAACAGAATGATTAGTGAGTTGAAACATTCAGCTCCACCCCCTGACTTTGCAGGCAAGGGGAAAGGGGCTGGAGACTGTGTTGAATCACCTGTGGCCAATGATTTAATCAATCATGCCTACGCAATAAAACCTCCATAAAAACCACTAAACAACAGGGTTCAGAGAGCTTCCTGGTCAGTGACCACAATGAGGTGCTGGAGGGTGGCACACCCAGAAAAGGCAGGGAAGCTCCTTGCCTCGCCCCATACCTTGCTCTGTGCATCTCTTCTACTTGACTGTTCTGAGTTGTAGCCTTTGTAATAGATGGATAACAATAAGAAAAGCACTTTCCTGAGTTTTGTGAGACATTCTAGTGAATCACCAAACCTGGCAAGGAGGTTGTGGGAGCCTCTGAATTTGTAGCCAAGTCAGACAGAAGTGCAGCTAACCTGGGGACCCAGTCCTTGAGATCTTGAGACAGCATCTGATGGGAGGGCAGTCTTGTGGGACTGAGCCCTTAAACCTGTGGAGTCTGATGCTAACTCTGAGGAGTTAGTGTTACAATAGAACTGAATTGTTGGACACCCAGTTGGTGTTTGGAGAATATGAGAATTGCAGTCACAAATATCCTTATTCTGTAACACAAATAAAAAGATTATATTCCTCTTGTTACTCATTCATTGACTTTAAGGGTCACCTGCTACATAGGAGGCTCTTATTTCTGCCCCTATAGCTTAATAGAATGGTGAGGAGGAGAAACTTCCCAGGAAATCCTAGCTGCAAGGTCCCTCAGAGTCACCCTGGAGCTTTTGCTTCACTTAAGCCCCCATTTTCCTACAAAGCCTGCTTGAAACCCAACTCTCCTTAGTAGCCTCCGCCTGGGCAGCAGCTGAGTGCAAACAGGAAGAGTGGGAGAATGTGGGTGAGGTCAGGAAGGAAACCAACCTTGACTTAAACTCCCACTAGCTTTCCTTTCTTCTCTCTCCTACTCCTATTCTTCAAGGCATTTTTCCTCCCTTTGGACAAGAAATAAAGTCAGGATGAAATAGAAATTACTAGTTGTAGGCCACTGCAGTTTTTAAGTCACCCACAATTCTCACCTCCAAGCCAATTAGATTTCCCTGAGCCAAGTCAATTTCCTTTCACCTCCACCATATACTTATCCTACATGAATGCCCACCCCCAATTCACTCACCCCCAAAAACATGAACGTAAGCCCTCCCACCTTCTCTGCCTCTCTTATCTTCTGCTCTTTGAAATGCTCGATAGGTGCATTTTTTAGTTGTTTTGCCAGGCTTCTCTGGACTTTCTACCGCAGGTTGATGCAGGTGGAGAGCTGTACAGCCTGAACTTAGGTTTTGGGCAGGTATGGGTTCAAATTCCTCCATGCTACTTACTACCTATGTGTCCTTGGATAAGTCACTTAAAGCCTCAGAACTGGTTTTCATTAACATTTCAATAAAATTGAGATTTTATTTCAACAACCTGATATCCAGACACGTTTAATTTGTCAGATAGGTTGGAGCTATCGGTTAATATAATTAAATAAAATCACCAAATCATATAATTTGGGGGGTAACCTTAGAGCCTAAACTTCTAAAAGGGCAATTTGACTATTTTTTATTCTCACAGTGAATTAATGTATTATGGCTTAGAAACCTAATAGTAAACCTAAATGGAGTAAACTCTGCAGGTAAGAAGAAACACTTTAGAATTTGATATTCATCCCTCTTCTCCCCTAGGGTTTTGATGGTCATGTTAGAGCAGAGTGAAAACATGATCAGACACCTGCAGAGAAACTTTCCTTTATTCCTCATTAGGAGATGCTGTTTGTAAACTTTAAAGTGCAAAATCCTCTACAGGTTTGTATGATGAAAATCACATCTTATACTCCTCGTGAATCATATAAGAAATCTTTAGCATAATTCTGACAATACCCAATTTTACATTACACACTGATGAAGAATTGCATTTTCTTGGTAAATGTTTATTCTTTATTTTAAGAGACCACATGAAACTGGAGTGTAAATATGTATACATTTTCAGTATAGTTATACATCTTTAACAATGCAGATTGGTTCTGAGAAATGTTTCATTCAGTGATCTCATCATTCTACCAATATCACAGAGTGTACTACACAGTTCTAGATGGTATTGCCTAATGATACACACCTAGGCTACATGGTATAGACTATTGCTCCTAGGCTACAAACCTGACCAGCATGTTACTGTACTGACTGCTATAGGCAATTGCAACACAATGGTCAGTACTTATATGATCTAAACAGAAAAGATGAAGTATAAATACATTATAAAAGATAATGTATTTAAGATAATGTAAATGATAACGTGCCTTACCTGTATAGGGCACTCACCTAGAATGGAGTTTGCGGGACTGGAAGTTGCTCTGAGTGAATCAATGAGTGAGTGACGAGTAAATGCGAAAGCCTGGAGCATTACTGTCCACTACTGTAAACTTTATAAAGCTCTACACTTAGTACACTAAATTTATAAGCAATATTTTTTCTTTAATAATAAATTAACCTTTGCTTATCATGACTTTTTTACTTTAAGAACTTGTATTTTTTAACTTTATAAGTCTTTTGTAAATACACTTAGCTGAAACCACAAACTGATTTTCACAGCTGTATAAAACTATTTTTTCTTTATATCCTTATTCTATAAGCTTTTTCTACTTCCTATTTTTAATTTTTAAACCATTTTGTTAAAAGTTAAGACACAAACACACACATTAGCCTAGACCTACACAGGATTAGGATCATCAGTATCACTGTCTTCCATCTCCATATCTTGTCCCACTGGAAAGTCTTCAGGGCAATAACACTCATGGAGCTGTCATTTCCTAGGATAACAATGCCTTCTTCTAGAATATCTCCTGAAGGACTTGCATGAAGCTGTTTTACAGTTAACTCTTTTTTTTATTTTAAAATAAGTAGGAGGACTATATTCTAAAATAACAAAAGAAGTATAGTTTTTGCCGGCTGCTGCCATCTTATACAACACCCCTCCCTCCCAACACACACACACACACACACACACACACACACACACGCACGCACACACGCACAAGTAGCCAGCCTGGTGTCCTTTCAAATCAACATTCTCAACAAATATATTCTTGCATACACACACGTGCACACACATCTATAGTACTTTTATTGTTGCTACTGTTGATAAGAAAATAGAATCATAGCATATACATTACCATGCAATGTGGACATTTTTTCACTCGCCATATATACTCAATATGGCCAGTAATCATAAATATATACCTAAGTTTATCTATTTTTTCAAGACTTTATGTGTATACGTACATGCATTGGAAATTTTATGTACTCAAATTCATATCAAATGTTCTGAGAGGATTTTTGTTCTGTATTTTTTTGTCTCCTTATTTTATTTTTATTCATCTACACTTTCCTCTCCTTTCCTATATTTGGATGTATTCTAGTAATTGTGAATTTAAGGATTCTAACATATGGTTTTGTTTCTAAGAATTGCCAATTTACATTCTTTGTTCATTATACTATTGAATTATGTTTCTTGCCAGAATGAATCCTAAATATTCTTTATATTATGTAGACTTTAAAGTGTATCTGTATCTGTGTTGCAACTTCATTTTACAGATCTATGACCTATCTAATGACTTTGCTATCTTTTGCTATACAAAGACATAAATTTATATTTATTTATGTACGTCTATCTTTTACAGTTCCTGAATTTCCTGGACCCATAAAAATGTTTGTCCCACATTTAGGTAGTAAGTATAAATACTTAATTTTTTTCTACATACTTTTTTATTTTTAATATTTAAGTTTTAAATTCAGCTAGGATTTATTTTCATATGTGGTAAAAGGTGTGACTTCCACTTCATTTTATTCTAGATGAATTAAATATTAGCTATGCTGTAACCATTTATGAAATAACTGAAATAACCTTTCCTCAATGAAACAAAATGCCAACTTTGTGATATAATCAAAATCCATAAATAATAGAATTTGTTTTTTGCTTCGCTATTTTATTTCTATGATTTATTTATCTGTTTAAACTTCAAAGCTTCATAGCACCTTCTAATGTCTAACAAGGGAATGTCTTTATCATGATAGTTATTTTTAAAGAATTTTTTGGCTATTTTTGTTATTTATTCTTCTATAAGAAGATCCTTGATGAAATTATCAAAGTCTTCTTACAATTACAATTTGAATTTCTATTATTTCAGAACTGATATTTTTATTTATTAAATATCACCATCTAAGAATATGATATGTCTTTCTAATTATTTAAATATCCATGTGTCTTTCAATAACAATTTTCTCTACATGTTTCCTATTAATTTTTTTTATTAAGTTCAGATGCTTTTTTCTTAAATTAATTCCTAAGTATTTATCATTTTTGTCACCATTATAAGTGAAATATTTTACTACTTTTATTTTTGGTTGTCATTATTATAAGGAAAATTATTATAAGGAAAAATTATTATTATAAGGAAAAATATACTGAGATTATATATATATACTTATATATAATATATAAATACATATAAATATATTATATATTATGTTATATATATAAAAATATATCCAGTACCCTACTATAATATATATATAACATATATATTATGTTATATATATACATCTATATTATGTTATATATATATATATATATAAATATATCCAGTACTATGATAATTTTCATATTATAGTTGAACCTTGAACATCATAAGTTTCAACCACACAGGTCCACTTACGTGTGAATTTTCTTTTGTCTCTACCATCCCTAACAAGCAAAATCAACCCCTCCTCTTCCTTCTTCTCCTCAGCCTACTTAACATGAAGATGGCAAGAATGAAGGCTTTTGCTGATCTACCTCCACCCCATGAATATTAAATACATTTTCTCTCTCTTATGATTTTCTTAATAGCATTTTTCATTTCTCTAGCTTATTTTATTGTAAGAATACAGTATATAATACATATAACATACAAAATACCTGTCAATTGGCTGTTATCAGTAAGGCCTCTGGTCAACAGTAAGTTATTAGTAGTTAAGTTTGGGGAATTCAAAAGTTACAGTTGAATTTTCTATTGCACAGGGGAGTCAGTGCCCCTAACACATGTGTTATTCAAGGGCCAATTATAATTATACTTAATGTAGTATAATCTTGTTCATTTCCCAACTGTATAATTTTCACAGTATCAACAAATATTTTTACAACTTCTTTTTAAAAGTTTTACCAACTTAAGTGAAATTATTGGAATATTTGATGATTCAGAATGATATTTGTAATTATGTTGGATATTTGAGTGTAATTTTATATTCACTAAACCATTTTTACTATCTACAAATATCTCTTTTTAAAATTAATATTAATAATCTCCAAAAATTAGAAGTGGATAAGAACTAAATGTCAACTTCCCCATAATATTTACCAGATACTATATTTAAATGATAATAATCATTCAAGCATTTATTAGCAATCCAGCAACAAAAATAGTCAGACCTCCAGTCTTTAACAACTCAGTGAAGCCCTGGCATCACTTCAACTTCTTTTTTTCTTCCAACTTCTTTTTTTAGGTTTAGGGGGTACACGTGCAAGTTTGTTACATGAGTTAATTGCATGTTGCTGGGGTTTCATGTACAATTGATTTTGTCACACAGGTAGTGAGCATAGTATCCGATAGGTAGTTTTTCTATCCTAACACTCTTCCCACCCTCCAATCTCAAGTAAGCTCTAGTGTCTATTGTTCCCATCTTTGTGTCCATGTGTACCTAATGTTTAGTTTCCACTTATAAATGAGAACATGAGGTATTTGGCTTTCTGTTCCTGTGTTAATTCACTTAGGATAATGGCCTCCAGCTACATCCATGGTTGCTGCAAAGGACATGACCTCACTCTTTTTTATGGCTGTGTAGTATCCCATGGTGTATATGTACATTTTCTTTATCCAATCCACCATTGATGGGCATCGGGGTTGATTCAGTGTCTCTGCTATCATGAACAGTGATGCGATGAAAATGTAAATGCCTATGTCTTTTTGGTGGAAAAATTTATTTTCTTTTGGATAAATGCCCAGTAATGGCATTGCTGGATTCAATGGTAGTTCTGTTTTAAGTTCTTTCAGAAATTTCCAGAACTAATTTACGTTCCCACCAGCAATATATAAACATTTCCTTTTCTCTGAAGCCTCACCAGCATCTCTAATTTTTTGCTGTTTTAGTAATAGCCATTCTGCTTGGTGTGAGTTGGTATCGCATTGCAGTTTGATTTGTATTTCTCTGATGATTAGTGATGTGGAGCGTTTTTTTCATACATTTGTTGCCTAATTGTTTGTGTTCTCTTTTGAGAAGTGTCTGTTCATTTATTTTGCCCATTTTTCAATCAGGTTGTTTTCTGCTTGTTCAATTGTTTAAGTTTCTAATAGATTCTGAATATTAGACCTTTGTTGGATGCATAGTTTGCAATTATTTTCTCCCATTCTATAGGTTGTGGGTTTATCCCGTTGACAGTTTCTTTTGCTGTGTAGAAGCTTTTTAGTTTAATTAAGTCCTACTTGTCAATTTTTCGTTTTGTTTCAATTGCTTTTGGAGTCCACATTTTGAAATCTTTGCCAAGGCCTATGTCCAGAAAGGTATTTAATAGATTTTCTTCTAGAGTTTTTGTAGTTTTAGGTTTTACATTTAAGTCTTTAATCTATCCTGACTTTAATTTTTTATGTGGTGAAATGTAGAAGTCCAGTTTCAATGTTCTGCATATAGCTAGCCAGTTATCCCAGAGCCATTTATTGAATAGGAGGTCCTTTCTCCATTGCATGTTATTGTTGACTTTGTCAAAGAACTGATGGTTGTAGGTGTGCCACTTTATTTCTGGGTTCTCTAACTCATTTCGCTGGCCTATGGTCTTTTTTAACGCCAGTATCATGCTGTTTTATTTACTGTAGCCTTGTAGTATAGTTTGAAGTTGGGTAGTGTGATACCTCCAGCTTCATTCTTTCTGCTTAGGATTGCTTTGGCTATTCACACTCTTTATTATATCCATGTGGATTTTAAAATAGCTTTTCTAATTCTGTGAAAAATGATAGTGGTTATTTGACAGGAATACCACTGAATCTACAAATTGCGTTGGGCAGTATGTTCATTTTAACAATATTGATTCTTCCTATCCATGAGCATGAAATGTATTTCCAATTGTTTGTGTCATCTGATTTCTTTGAGGAGTGTTTTGTCATTTTGGTTGTAGAGATTTTTCACCTCCCAGGTAGGCTGTATTCCTAGGTATTTTATTCTTTTTGTGGCTATTGTGAATAGGATTGCATTCAGCTTAGACGTTGTTGGTGTAGGGAAATGCTATTGATTTTTGGCCAGGCACAGTGGCTCATGCCTGCAGTCCCAACACTTTAGAAGGCTGAGGTGGGCAGATCACTTGAGCTCAGGAGTTTGAGAACAGCCTGGGAAATGGAGAAATGTAATCCTTTCAAACAAGCAAAAGCTAAGTACATTTGCTACCACCAGACCCACCTTACAAGAGGTCCTTAAGAGCCACTCCATGCCTATTTAACTCACCATTTCCCCAGGAGCCACTCAGGGTCAGGGAGGAGTCCTGCTGCGTGGCAACCCCAGGCAGTGTTCTTAGCTTCCTCCCCATTCAGCCTAGGGTCTGTGTCCTCCCTCGGTTGACTCTCAATGTCTTCTTTCTGAAGATCAATTCAGAGTGTGCCAGTCTTCTTGATGGTCTGGTCTCTCCGTGGGAGAAGTTTTTTCTGTCTGTGTCTATTCAGCCATCTTGGCTAAAGTTCCTCGAAAACTTGCTCTTTTTTTCTTTTCTTTTTATTATACTTTAAGTTCTGGGATACATGTGCAGGACGTGCAGGTTTGTTTCATAGGTATACACCTGCCATGGTGGTTTGCTGAACCCATCAACTCGTCATCTACATTAGGTATTTCTCCTCATGCTATCCCTCTCCTAGCCCTCCAACCTCTAACAGGCCCTGGTGGGTGATGTTTCACTCCCTGTGTCCATGTGTTCTCCTTGTTCAACTCCCACTTATGAGTGAAAACATGCAGTGTTTGGTTTTCTGTTCCATGTGGTGTTAGTTTGCTAGCAATGATGGTTTTCAGCTTCATCCATGTCCCTGCAAAGGACATGAACTCATCCTTTTTATGGCTGTATAGTATTTCCATGGTATATATGTGCCACATTTTCTTTATCCAGTCTATTATTGATGGGCATTTGGGTTGGTTCCAAGTCTTTGCTATTGTGAACAGTGCTGCAATAAACATAGGTGTGCATTTGTCTTTATAGTAGAATGATTTATAATCCTTTGGGTATATACCCAGTAATGGGATTGCTGGGTCAAATGGTATTTTTGGTTCTAGATCCTTGAGGAAATGCCACACTGTTTTCCACAATGGTTGAACTAATTTACACTCCCACCAACAGTGTAAAAGCATTTCTATTTCTCCAAAACCTCTCCAGCATCTGTTGTTTCCTGACTTTTTAATGATTGCCATTCTAACTGGAATGAGATGGTATCTCATTGTGGTTTTGATTTGCATTTATCTAATGACCAGTGATGATGAGCTTTTTTTCATATGTTTGTTGGCCCCATAAATGTCTTCTTTTGAGAAGTGTCTGTTCACATCCTTCACCCACTTTTTGAGGAGTTGTTTGTTTGTTTGTTTCTTGTAAATTTGTATAAGTTCTTTGTAGATTCTGGATATTAGCCCTTTGTCAGATGGATAGATTGCAAAAATTTTCTCCCATTCTATAGGTTGCCTGTTCACTCTGATGATAGTTTCTTTTGCTGTGCGGAAGCTCTTTAGTTTAATTAGATCTCATTTGTTAATTCTGGCTTTTGTTGCCATTGCCTTTGGTGTTTTAGTCATGAAGTCTTTGCCCATGCCTAAATGGTATTGCCTAGGTTTTCTTCTAGGGTTTTTATGGTGGTAGGTTCCAGGTTTAAGTCTTTAATCCATCTTGAGTTAATTTTTGTATAAGCTGTAAGGAAGGGATCCAGTTTCAGTTTTCTGCATATGGCTAGCCAGTTTTCCCAATACCATTTATTAAATAGGGAATCCTTTCCCCATTGCTTGTTTTTGTCAGGTTTGTTAAAGATCAGATGGTTGTAGATGTGTGGCATTATTTCCGAGGCCTCTGTTCTATTCCATTTGTGTATATATCTGTTTTGGTACCAGTAACATGCTGTTTTGGTTACTATGGCCTTGTAGTATAGTTTGAAGTCAGGTAGTGTGATGCCTCCAGCTTTGTTCTTTTTGCTTAGGATTGTCTTGGCTATGCGGGCCCTTTTTTGGTTCCATATGAAATTTAATATACTGATTTGTAATTCTGTGAGGAAAGTCAATGGTAGCTTCATGGGGATAGCATTGAATCTAAAAATTTCTTTGCGCAGTAAGTACAGCCATTTTCACGATATTGAGTCTTCGTATCCATGAGCATGGAATGTTTTCCCATTTGTTTGTGTCCTCTTTTATTTCCTTGAGCAGTGGTTTGTAGTTCTCCTTGAAGAGGTCCTTCACATCTCTTGTAAGTTGTATTCCTAGGTATTTTATTCTCTTTGTAGCAATTGTGAATGGGAGTTCACTTATGATTTGGCTCTCTGTTTCTCTGTTATTGGTGTATAGGAATGCTTGTGGTTTTTGCACATTGATTTTGTATCCTGAGACTGCTGAAGTTGCTTATCAGCTTAAGGAGATTGTGGGCTGAGACCATGAGGTTTTCTAAATATACAATCATGTCATCTGCAAACAGAGACAATTTGGCTTCCTCTCTTCCCATTTGAATACCCTTTATTTCTTTATCTTGCCTAATTGCTCTGGCCAGAACTTCCAATACTGTGTTGAATAGGAGGGGTGAGAAAGGGCATCCTTGTCTTGTGCGAGTTTTCAAAGGAAATGCTTCCAGCTTTTGCCCATTCAGTATGATATTGGCTGTGGGTTTGTCATAAATAGCTCTTGTTATTTTGAGATGCGTTCCATCAATACCTAATTTATTGAGAGTTTTTAGCATGAAGGGGTGTTGAATTTTATTGAAGGCCTTTTCTGCATCTATTGAGATAATCACGTGGTTTTGTCATTGGTTTTGTTTATGTGATGGATTACATTTATTGATTTGTGTATGTTGAACCAGACTTGCATCCCAGGGATGAAAACTTTTAAGAAGTCCAAGGAATACCTTGCCTGAAAGGCTCACTCTTGCACAAATAAAACAAATATTCTAATGGTAAGATCTGGTAATCATTCAGTCAAATCCATTTTTAATTTGATTTGTTATGCAGCTATAGATAACTAACACAATATATATGATGATATACTTATTTTCATTTATTCCATCTTACTCTATGTTTAGTATTTCCATTTGATATTTTTCTTTCCCTCCTTTGTATATTTGCAGCTAATTTACAAGTAGAAGTGCTCATTAATTTGGGTTCTTACTGTATGTTGGTAGTGTACTTTGGGTTCCCTTCCCATTCCTGGCAATTATAATAAAGCCTATTATTTATTAATATTAATTTTACTTAAAAAATTCTTACTAAGGGCTTTATTCCCCTATTACTTTTCTCTATATCTCATGTACTTCTTAGGATGAGGTTTTTAGTTTGCTTGCATTTTCTATTTTTCCTATCCTCACTCACAGATTTAACCTCTTCCCAGCCACCTCTCAAACACCCCATTTTCATCTCTGTTCTGGCTTGTTTGCTAGTTGTAGTTCATTCTCCAGAATTTTCCTGCTGTAGAGTGTTTGAGTGATGTGTACTTTCAATTCTTGTACATCTACAGTATTTTTCTTTCATTCGTGCTACTGGAATGGCATTTGGGCTGCTGTCAGGATCCATGGTTGTATTTCTTTTCTCTAAGTAGTCTATAGATGTCATTCTATGATTGGCTAGCTCCTCTTTCTGCAGATGAGCTGTCCAATGTCAACCTGCATCTGTGAATTAACCTTTGAAATAACTTGTCTTTTCTACTTTGAAACCTATAAAATGTTTTCTTTATTCTTGGAGTTTAGAAATCCTATTAAGACTTGCCTCAATGTACCTCTGCCTGCTTAGGTCTTCCTTCAGGTTAGGAAATTTTTCTGCTATCATTTGTTTAACAATTGCATTTCCATGAGATCTTCTTGTTTTCCCTTCTCATTATTTGTGTGTTAAGTCTCCTGTGGCTGTAAGCCTCATCTTTCCCTCTTGATTTCTATCCCTTTGCAGTTTGACTAGGTAGTCTCTGAAAATTTCCTTCACTTAATCTTCCTGGCCTCTAATTTGAATGTCAGTAAGGACCATTTTCTCTTTCAATTTATTTGCAAGAGCCCAGTCATTTCCATCCTCCAGGCTATGGCTGTCTTCCAGTCCCATCATCCATTTGGCTCATGTGGAGGAAGGATTAAAGTTGAGTTTGGGAATGACAAGGCAGCAGGATGTTTTAGTTACCATATTTTCAGAATTCCTTTCTGTCTTTAGAATTTATTTCTTAACTAAGGTGTGATGCTTATTCATGTCTGGCACATGATGTTAAGCAACATCCCAACCCTCAATCATCCATTTACATCCTCTTATTTGCATGCAAGAAGGCATGTTAAGATGTTGCCTATAACTAAGATATTTCTGGTACAAGTCATATATCAAGAACAAATAATAGCTGTTGCTGATGTATGAGAATATCAACTTTAAAAATTTTACTTTTTCTGGCCTCAGTTTTGAATTAACTGGGAAGTACCATAGAAGAAAAAGTAGATGAGATGACAATAGCACCTTTATTATCTATTTAAGAACATGGCTGAAATGTTGTGATAGTCTCTTAAAAAGACCCCTCTTTTAACCACCTCATGTGTTAACATCTTTGTGTAGTCAGCCCTCACCTACTGAATCTTGGCTGGCCCTGTTACTCACTTATACCCTGCAGAATACATCAGAAATGACACTGTGTCCCTTTCAAGATTAGTTCAGAATAAACCTTGCAGTTTTCATGTTGGTGTCTTAGAATGCTCATTCTGTGGGGAACTAGCCACCATGTAAGAAGTCCAACTACTCTGATATCACCATAATGTGAGGAAGCCCAAGATAAGCTTATGAAAAACTAGTGATGTCCAGGCAGCCCTAGTTGTTTCAGCTCTCCCAGTGCAGGAAAGATATGCTAGTGAAAAAGCATTTTAGACATTCTGGCACTGGTAGATATGATGTGGAGAAAAACTGAGTGTCTTAGTCCATTCTCACACTGCTATGAAGAAATACCTGAGGCTGGGCAATTTATAACAAAAAGAGGCTGAATTGACTCACAGCTCTGTGTGGCTAGGGAACCCTCAGGAAACTTACAATTATGGTGGAAGGGGAAGCAAACACTCCCTTCTTCACATGGTGGCAGGAGAGAGAAGTGCACAGTGAAGGGGTGAAGAGCCCCTTATAAAACCATCAGATCTCATGAGAACTCACTCACTATCAAGAGAACAGCATGGGGGAACTGCCCCCATGATCCAGTCACCTCCCACGAGTCCCTCCCATAACACATGAGGATTATAATTCAGATTACAATTCGAGATGAGATTTTGGGTGGGGGCATAGCCAAACCATATCACTGAGGAAACCAGCTGACAGCCAGAATCAAGGCCCAAGACATGTAGCTCTCATGAAGTCAGCCCAGCTAAATCCAGCTGTTTGAGCCAATCTAATTAAAGGTCTTAGTCATCATCGAGCAGATATAAGCAATCTTTGCTGTGCTCTGCCCAAATTTCTGCCCCACAAAATTTTGAAATTAATAAAATGATTGTTTTACACCACTAAATTTTGTAATTGTTTGTCACCCAGCAAGAGGTAACCAGGAAAGGTGTGCAGCAACAATGGGTTTCCTGTTACCCACTGCCACAGACAGCACAGGGTAATCTCAACCTGTCTAACTGGGGGTGCACAAATACAATGAAAGCCATAAAGGTGGACACCAGAGCAAATGCATTCTGAAGGCAGACTACCATTCATGAGAATGAGGAAAGGAAGGAGCTGAGACACTGATACTCAGCTCCCCTCCCAAACTCAGCAACCAGATAACTCACTCTAGTTCTTGGTCAGAAACAAAGGAGGTAGGGACCTTAAAGAAGCCAGGAATTTTTAGGGGAATATTTTTTTACATGGAAAGGAATGGGTAGAGAAGAAATATCCCCCACTTCAAGGATTCCTGATTGCAAAAAGGGAAATGATTCTGGCCCAGAAAGCTGTATCTAGCAAATTTTAGGAGGAGTGGTAATTCTAAGTAACACTGTACTTGCCATAAGACCCATTCTTGTATGCATGCATTTTAAGAAAAGGAACTTCATGTAAGTTGAAAAAGCGCCTGTAGAATTTCATAATTGATTTACTTTGTGAGGGCTGCCATTACAAAATAACACAGGCTTAAATAACAGGGATGTATTTTCTCACAGTGCTGGAGACTGTAAGTCCAAGATCAAGGCAGGTTTGGTTTCTCTTGCAGCCTCTCTTTTCAGCTTGCAGATGGCAGCCTTCTTGCTGTGTCCTCACATGGTCTTTCCCTGTGTGTGCATGGCCCTGGTGTTTTTCTATATGCCCTCATCTCTTCTTCTTACAAGGATACCAGCCAGATTGGATTAGGGCCACCCTGATACAGTCACTTTATGAGTGCTGGGAGCAGGACTTCAACATTATGAGTTTTGGGAAAGCACAGTTCAATCTCTAAGAGCCATCTTTTCTCTGTGTTCACATGGTTTTTCCACTGTGTGTGTGTGTGTGTGTGTGTGTGTGTGTGTGTCCTAGTCTCTTCTTATAAGGATACCAGACATATTCAATTAAGACCTGACCCCAGCGACCTCATCTAACCTTAATTATCTGTTTAAAGATCATCTCTTCCAAAAACAATAACATTCTGAAGTACTAGGGTGTTTTCTTCAATATGTGAATTTCAGAGGTACACAATTCAACCCATAACAATAACTTAAACAGTTTAGTCATGTGAGATCTGTTCCAAGTGAGTTTAAGACAAATAAAGGTCTTCCTTTTTATTCTAGTAAGACAATCATGCTTTCAAAGTATTCTGTGGATGACAATTAGTACAATATGGAACAGATCTCCTGCAGTCATTGAACTATTTTAGGTAATTTGGCAACCAACAGAGAATGCTGCAACAGGATCGTAGCAGCTCAAGAGAAAGCAAAGTAATGATTATACTGAATGATCAGGCTGGGGTCCAGGCAAATATGCTTCTGAGATCCCTCCAACAGTTGAGTCCACCACAAAGGGAGAAAAATAATTGTCCTTCTTACTTTGCAAGAATATAATTGGCTGAGAAGAAATCACAGGCATTAGTACCAATGCACATCTTTCATTTGTGAAATTCCATGGATGTTAACTGAACATTTACCGTGTGCCAAGCTCTGTTGTAGGTACTGGGGACCTAAGAGTGAATGAATTGAGAAGTTGACATTCTATTTGAGGCAGACAGAAAATCAGATATGCTGAAAAAATAATTTCAGAGCTGTGTACTACAAAGAAAATAACAGAGAAACGGGCATAGGATGAAGGATACTTTTGCTATTGTCTTCATGAAAATGACTCAATCTCAGTTATGAGATTTTATATTGTTTCAATAAATATTAGAAGCCATTAGAGGTTTTCAAAAATGGAAATGAAATGATCAGATTTATTAACATCTCAATGTGACTATGAACAACAAAAATAAATAAATAAATTCAGTTGAGGAAACTTGCAGTGGCCCAGGGAAGAGATGATGCTAGAATAGGCTAGTCATGCAGAAGGGGAGATGGTGAGATGACAATTGATAATGGCATGTGTCTTTATTTAGGAGGTAGTGGTTTGGAGTTATTAGCATTCTTGTGTTAGTATTGATGTGACCCTATTACCGGGATTGTTAGTGTGACACAATGGGATTACATGAGAATTAACAGCATGTGATATTATGTTGCCTAAGAAGTTACTTACAAACACTGCATTATACAAAGTGATGTACCTGCTTATAAGTATCTTATGTGTATGTGTAACAACAATTTTAAAACAGTATTAAGTTACCCATAGGGAATCCTTCTTCCCTGTAATAAACAAGACGTGGGGCTCCATTTGGTGCTTTGCCCTCCCACTTCACAAAGGACTCTGTCACCAGAACTGACAGGAAGGTGGGCCACCAGGATCGTATGTGTCCATCTTGGATTAAGTCTCTCAAGCAAGGTGATCATTTGTGTGCCTTGTTCCTAGGTCTTGTTTTCATTGTAACATAGCTCTTAGTGCCAAAGAAATGGAGAGAAGATTTGGGCCTCCATCTACTTCCAGTCACCAAAGGCTACTGTGTACCAAAAGGCCTGACAAATGTGAACTGCTAAATTGTGTGTCGTAAATCACTAGCGCAGCTCAGGGGTGAGTTCAGCTCAGTTGCCATGTGACGAAGTATAGACGCAGGGATTTACAGTCAGCCCTCAGTATCTGCAGCTTCCACATCCATGGAATCAGCCAATCACAGATTGCAAATATTTTTCTTAAAGCAATAGAAGATAATACAAAATTTAAAAATACAGCATAGCAACTATTTACATAGCATTCGCAGTTGGCACTTGAACAACATAGGTTTAAACTGCAGGAGTCCACTTACATGTGGATTTTCTTCCACCTCTGCCACCCCAAAGATAGCAAAACCAACCCTGCCTTCCCCTCCCCTTCAGCCTACGCAACATGACCATGACAAAGATGAAGACCTTTATGATGATTCACTTCCACTTAATAAATAGTAAATATATTTTCTCTTCCTCATGATTTTTTAAAATAACATTTTCTTTTATCTAGCTTACCTTACTGTAAGAAGAGAGTATATTATAAATATAACACACAAAATGTGTGTTAATTGACTTTATGTTATAAGTAAGTCTCCTGGTCAACAGTAGGCTATTAGTAGTTACATTTTGGGGCAGTCAAAAGCTTCATGTGAATTTTCAGCTGGGGTAGGGAGCGTTGGTACCCTTAACACCCTCATTGTTCAAGGGTCAAATGTACATTGCATTAGGTATTATAAGAGATGATTTAAAGTATACAGGAGGATATGTGCAGGTTATGTGCAAATACTATGCCATTTTGTATTAGGGACTTGAGCATCCTTGGATTTTAGTACCTGCAGGTGTCCTGGAACCAATTTCTTGCAGATACCAAGAGACAACTGTATTCATCAACACCATCACGCCCACCCAATGTACAGAGCCTTCTTCATTTTAGGGGCCCCCTGGGTGTCATGAAGCTTCAGAACAAGGCCCCGCAGATAGCCTGACTCCATTTCCTTATCTACTTCCCCCTAGTCCCTCAACCTGTTTGAATCTGGAAAAAAGTCCTTTCTCTTTTCAAGTTTCTCAGGCGCCACTTTCCTCCACTCTTCTTGCCCCATGCATTCTCCTCTACTTGTTGTCGTTATTGGTTTCCACATTAAACCTTTATGGTCCATTAAGCCTAAAGCCAGAATTATTAGCAACTCAACTATCAGGGTTCCTTTTTTCCTTGAGGCTAGGAAAAGCTTAAAGTTTAAACTTTTCGGAAGGTGAAGAGAAATATTTTTTCCATCCTTCTAATGTAGCAAAAGAAAAAAACAAAAATCAAAAAAAGAAGAAACAAAATTCAAGTCAAATAGTGAAATATGCTAATGTTCAGGTGTAGCCACAGAGTTCAATATGCAAAATATGTACCATAAACAGCTACCAGTGATTTCCAAACATGGGCAGAATTTCTTATCCTACTGGCCATTAGAGTTGTCCCATCTCATGCTTATTGCTGGTGACAGAAATAAACTCTTTTGGAGCATCTAAGTACCTGGCAATGGGTAGAGCTATTAACCTGGTCCAGGTGAACGGCCTGAGAGTAAGTTAGTCATCAGGCTCAGCAGAAGAGCTGATGGCCTGGGAGCTGATTCAGACAAGAAAGAGGGGCTTAACTGGTGGCACATGGCAGGGTTTCAGACGTTGTTAAAAAAAAGAGCCTTGTTTCTAGGTGTTAAGAGGCATATACAGGCCATATTGTCAGAGGCATTTGAAACAGAGCAGCTCCATCTTGAATAGAAGCTGGGTAAAATGAGGCTGAGATGTACTGGGCTGCATTCCCAGATGGTTAAGGCATTCTAAGTCACAGGATAAGAGAGGAGGTCAGCACAAGGTACAGGTCATAAAGACCTTGCTGATAAAACAGCTTGCAGTAAAGAAGTCGGCTAAAACCCACCAAAATCAAGATGGCCACGAGAGGGACCTCTGGTCCTCACTGCTACACTCCCACCAGCACCATGACAGTTTACAAATGCCATGACTATGTCAGGAAGTTACCCTATATGGTCTAAAAAGCAGAGGCATGGATCATCCATCCCCTGTTTAGCATATAATCAAGAAATAATCATAAAAATGGGCAACCAGCAGCCCTGGGGCTGCTCTGTCTATGGATAACCATTATTTTATTCCTTCACTTTCCTAATAAACTTGTTTTCACTTACTCTACAGACATGCCCTGAATTCCTTCTTGCACAAGATCCAAGAACTCTCTCTTGGGGTCTGGGTCGGGATCTGTTTCCTCTAACAATATCAGTTGGGTTCTAGGGGAGCTGAGTTTCACCCGTAGGTAGAACTAATATGAGCTGGCTGGTAAATAAACTAAAGGTAAAGTGATAGGACAGAGAGATGCCACCGAGCTATGTTGTCAGAAACGTGCCTGCTTTCCCTTCAGCTGCACAGCCAACACTCTCTGGAAAAAACTAGTATCAGTAAACCCATCTGTTTCTATTTTTTCTTTCTTCTTTTTTTTTTCAGTTTTTAATATTTAAAAATTGTATTTAGTAGACTTTAAAAATAAAAAACCTATTATAGTTTCACAGTAAAACTGATCAAAAAGTAGAGAGTTCTCATATACTCTCTCTCAATGATTTAGTTTACCTGTCTTTTTTCCCTTATTATTAAAAAAAAAAAACCCACAATACTGATACCTGCCAAAAATTTTATTTCTAAAATTAGTAGTAATTTTCAGCTGGGATGTCAGATGATGACATTGGAGAAAGAAGAGATGAGTTAGCCTATGGTCACAATTGTGGTGTCACATTGGAGTCAACTAGCCTCATGCCTGTTTCCAAAGCCAGAGATTAATAAGTCTGGAGTGCAGCATTAGGAATTTTACAAAGGCATTCAGGCGATTCTAAATGTGTCAAGATTTAGGACCAAAGAGTTGGAGCCACGTTCAGCCAAAGCAGGGGAGATTAGACACAGTTAAAGGTCTATGTTCACTTTCTTGCTTCATTCTGCCAGGGGTTTTCTCTCAGTTTAGAGCCCAATGAAGTTAGTACATGTAAAAGTAGAAGTTGGGGATCTGGCCGTTCCTGCCCTTGGAGCTGTGGACATCGGATCAAGTTCTCCCTGGTGCCCTCGTCACAGTCACAGCTTACTAACTATAAGCCATTCTTTCAGCCCCAAGAAATAGCTAGTCTACTATTACTTTCAATCCTCAAAGCTAATTTCTTCAAATAGAGATTTGATTTTCCATTTTATTCTGAAGATTTTCTACCTGAATGAAAGGATGGCTTAAGCTTTAGCAATTCTCTTTGGAGCCTTAAAATCATGAATAAACTAGTTATTGCCTGACAATCTCACTGACATCTGCCTCTTTACAATTTTCCATTTATAAATGGAGGCAGCAGATGAAGAAAATGGAAAGAGGACCGTCCAGATGCCCTCTAAATCTCCATTTGTGTCTAAAATTCTCTGGTTTTCTGAGGTCTTTTTATGAATAATCCCCAGAGGCGCCACTTAAAGTGAACTTTCATTTTATTGTTCTGAGAACTTTTATATATTTTCTTGTTCCTTTTACAAATCCAGATGTATGATCTATCTGGTTTGGCTATGACCCTATAGCTGTGGGCAGTAAAGGGAGTTATTGATCGGCACTGCAACCAGTGGGAGACAGAGGGGCATAAAGAAAAGCCAGGGCTTAACCGTCAGAGAAATCAAATTGTATATAATATCAAACCAGCTGTATAAACATAAGCCATTAGTCTGTCTCACTGATAGTTTGTTCATTGTTGCAATGGATAATAACAAAACTCACCTCCTAAAATTATAACATTCATTGATGTTATCTTAAGCACTGAGTACAAAGGCACTTAATAGTCTGGTTGCTTTTTTCTTACATTTTAAGCATTCATTCAATTCAAAATATCAAACTAGTCAATAATCTTAACATTCAATTCGATTGGCCATTCTAAAACTTCTGCTTTAAATTGTCAGTTCTAGTATTTAGGTTAATTGAACACTAAACCAAGTGTTGGCAAAGATGTAGGGAAATTGGAAGTCTCATACATATCTCATTTAAAGGCAATTTGCCAGAAAAAAAATAAAATATTTAGATTATGTGAACTTAACCTCATAGTTACACTTCTTAAAATTTATCTCAGGAAAATAGTTGGATAAATGAGCAAAGAAGTATGTATAGTCATCCCTTGGTCTCAAAGGGGTATTGGTTCCAGGAATCCTATAGATACCAAAATCAGCAAATGCTGAAATCCCTTGTATAAAATAGCATAGTATTTGCCTATAGCCTACACACATAATCCCACATACTTTAAATCATCTCTAGATTGCTCATGCCTACTCTAATGTAACTGCTATGGAAATAGTTCTACTGTATTTTAAAATTTGTATTTTTATTGTTATATTTTTGTTACTTTTTAAAAAATATTTTTGATCCATGGTTTGTTGAATTCATGGGTACAGAATCCATGGATATGTAGGGCCAAATGTATAGATATGTTTATCACAGCACTTACACAGTTAACTATTAGAACTTATAGAGAATTGTTTAACTAATTGTAGATTTATACAGAGGATATGTATAAAACTACAAATTATTATATTTATCAATTTAAAAAGATAACCACCACATTCTCTGTGTCTATATATGCACACACAAACACATACTACATACATATGTGTACACACGCATACAAACACATACCACATATGTAATTCCATTTTATATAAATGTTTCAATAAATACAGAAGCAGCTGGAAACGCATATACTACTAACAATGGTAAACATTATAAGGTGGGACTATGGATGACTTAAAACTATTTGTATGCATTATTATTTATTTATTTATTTGAGACAGAGTCTCACTCTTTGCCCAGGCTGGAGTGCAGTGGCGCGATCTGGGCTCACTGCAAGCTCTGCTTCCCGAGTTCAGCCATTCTCCTGCCTCAGCCTCCCCAGTAGCTGGGACTATAGGCGCCTGCCACCTGCAGCGAGTATGTGTCTTGTTTTCAATTTCCTAGAAGCAGAGTCTAACACAGGGACTCTTTTGCAAATACTTTTTCCAAATTCTCTCTTACAAATAACTTGGAAAAAAGAGAGAACCATATAAGAAAGAGGAAGAAGCCAAGCAAGGATGTCTAGCTTTCAATTTCATTCCATGGGGAGCTTTACAGCATGAACAGCAACACAGAATAAGACCTACCTTGATGTAAGAGGACAACCTTTGCACACCCAGAGAGTCAGTCCTTGGCTGTAAGCCACTATCAACACTGTATATTCCAATCAGGATGGTTCCCATATTCTGAGGGCATTTTTCTGGAGAAGAGAGTATCTGTAAGCTTTTAGGACCCAACACTCATGAGAGCTGGGGGATAAGTGTTTCAGCCTGAAAAGGAGATCTGAGTTGGACATCAACAATATTTTGTATAGTCTATACTTTGCACTATTCAGAACCACTTGCTCCTCACATTAAATTCAATCTATTCAGCATAGTTCCTCTGGAATTCTGATTAATCACAAGAACACATTAGTGGAAACTACATGCCCCACTGCCACAGTTGACTTCAAGTCCATGACTGATACTCATCATCTCCCTCATCCCTCATCCACATTAGATTTGCCACTTCCTCTGACAGTGCATCTGATGGTGCAGGTATCTTACCTGGTTGTCTCACCTATTCCTAAAGAGTCTGACACCCTAGTTTATATGTCCCAAAGTTATTTCCTTCCCTCATAGTTAAAACTAGGAGAGTACCTGTTGATGTCCCAGTGGTTCACCTGACTGTCAAACATATTCTTGTCCTGTCCCTCATTATGTAGCAGCAACCCTATTTCCCCAAAATGATTAGGGTCAATAGCCTGGCCTTTATGTGACTTTTTTTCTTTGACTATTGGCCTGCTGGCATATATATCCCAAGGCAAGCAATGGCAGCAGTAATTGCTTTAAGTTTAGTGGGTCTCTTTGCTGTGCCCCTGGCAGAAGCGTCATCCCTCTAAGACCCATAGAGCTTAAAGTTGCTGGGACAGAAGACTTAGTGGGCATTGAGAATGATAGCGAGTGAGCTCACTCCTATTCCATCTCTTAGTTCTTCTCCCATGTTTACTATCTACTAAACTGATTTAACAGCCATTGTTTTAAGAAATATATCAGAATGATGGTGTTATCCCTAAACTTCAAGTGTCTATTCCACCACTCTATCAGGCCAGCAGCAACTGGATCCTGGATCGTGTGTTAATGTGGTAGAACCAATGATCTCATGATTATGTGTCCACAGCCACACCTACTGTCCCATATAGTTGGTCCCTTGGTCTGAGGCAATGTCAGTGATTGTATGGAAGGCACTCAGAGTGTAGGGGTGGAGATAACCTCCTCAACAGGGCATGAGTTGTTAGCAACCAGCACTCACAGAAGCTGGAGGATTGATTCAACCACTCAATAAAAGGAATCTAAGTGGAAGCCAAGAATGTTTACTAGAGTGCATATGGCTTCTACGGCCAGAAAAATGGCAATAAGCTATAAAAAGTATTTTATATTCAGCTATATTTTTAAAATGTTGTACTTATCTGTAATTTAAAACCGAATATTAGAAAAAGTTACATCCTTATCTTTCACACTAGAGAATTAATAGATGTGTCTAAAGTTGATGTCAAGAATTAGAATTATAAGCACATTATTAAGGAAATTTAAATTAGACCTTAAAAATAAACACTCAGATTATGAGTGGAAAATGCAAATTTCACACTGTTAAATTAATTAAGAAAATATTACATGCTGAAATTGGGCAAGAAACAATTCTCCTTGGAAATATCAAACTAAATGGGAGTTCAACAAAAATATAGCTTTCAGGAAGAACATTCTAGAAATAGAGAGAAAATCTTCAGTTTCAATGTTTAAAGATCATACTTCAGTCAGCAAGATAAATATTTTATTGGTTTTTAAAATCTTATCTGCATCTCTGAGAGTTCTTCTAAAAAATATTAAATACCTGTTTGAAGTAAGAATGAATCAATAAGTTTCTCACCAGATGCTTAACAGTTGGCTAAGGAACGAAATGTCTAAGTCTTCATCTGGCAAG
The DNA here is from genome assembly GCF_000001405.40 of Homo sapiens. NCBI lineage: Eukaryota > Metazoa > Chordata > Mammalia > Primates > Hominidae > Homo > Homo sapiens. The sequence continues at coordinate 118,815,841 of NC_000008.11, read as the reverse complement.
TTCCTCAATGACCAAATTAAAGTTAAATTAACTTGGCCTTCCTCATAGAAGACTTTTAGTCTATTAGGAATACCAGAAGAATATTATTCAGTGTTAGAAGCAAGATAAATCCATATTTATTTCCTTCAGTCCTACTTTGTTTTTTTGTTCTTATTTTCCCTTGATAAAGACCAATGTGACAATTAAGCTGGCTTTGTAGCTGGCAAAAGCTGCAACAAATCAGGAATTATAAAGCCCCCTTCTTCTCCTTTATCAGATTAATGCATTCATTCAAGTGATATTATTGAGAATCTTGTGTGGCCAGCACTGAAATGCATGGTAGAGCCACATCACTGAACAAAACAGACACTAGAGCTAAAAAATCTCGTCCAGGTTCATATTGGCTGCATCTCAATACAAACATGTTGAAATATTTTTAATTTATGTGTGTCCACTGGTCGGGTCTGCATGGATCAGTACTGAGGATTCATCTCCAAATGATATTGATAGCACGAGAAGATTTGTGTGTCCAAATCTTATGGTCTTAATAGGCTGGTTAAATTCCTGGGGAATTTAAGCTGAAGAAAACATGGAACTGAATGAATTTTTTTACATATCAAAAACACACCACTAGAGTAAATCACGGTTTAGAGCTCAGTCCATATAATATTATATTGATTTTTTATATAATTATGCATTCGCATACTTAAACATAACGAATTGGCTTTCTAAATGTTAACATGCATTTTTTTAAAAATAGACTTCATTTTTTAGAACAGTTTTAGATTGACAGAAAAATTAAGAAGATAGTATAGACAGTTCTCAAATACTGTGCGTGCAGTTTCCTAATATTAACATCTTACATTATTAGTATGATATATTTGTTACAGTTTATGAACCAATACTGATACACTATTATTGACTGAAGTCTATAGTTTGTTCATATTTATTTAGCTTTACCACTTTAGCTTATTTTTTACCTTTTTATGTTCCAGCATCTCATCCAGAAAACCACATTACATTTACTCTTGGTTATGACAGTTTCTCAGACTTTCTTTGTTTTTGATGACCTTGACAGCTCTAAGGAGTACTGGTCAGGTCCTTTGGTTGATGTCCCTCTATGGGAATTAGTTTGATGTTTTTCTCATGAGTAGACTGGGATTGTGGAGTTTGGGGAGGAAGATCAGGGGTAAAATGCCATTTTCATCACACCATATTAAGGATACGTCCTATCAACATGGCCTCACTGCTGATGCTGACCTGGACCACTTAGCTGAGGCAGTGCTTGTAATATTTATACACAGAAAAGTTTCTCTTCCCCCCCCCTTTTGCATACTTACCATACTTACTCTTTTTTTTTTTTTTTTTTTTTTTTTTTGAGACACGGTTTCCCTCTGTCACCTAGGCTGGAATGCAGTGGCATGATCATGGCTCACTGCAGCCTCAACATCACAGGCTCAAGTAATTCTCCCACTTCAGCTTCCCAACTAGCTGGGACAACAGGCACGCACCCCCATATCTGAATAATGTTGTTTATTATCATTATTTTTAGAAGAGACAAGGTCTTGCAATGTTTCCAGACTGGTCTCAAACTCCTGGGCTCAAGCGATCCTCCTACCTTGGCTTCCTGAGGTGCTGGGAATCACAAGCGTGAGCCACTGCGCCAGCCTGTGCTTACTGTTTGGAAGGAAATCATTATGCACAGCCCAGATCTGAGTCGAGAGTTATTCTCCCATCCTTGAGGAAGGAGTATTTATACACATTATTTGGAGTTGTTTCATACTATAGATTTGTTTATTCTTTCATTTTATGTATTTATATCATTATGGACTTACGGATTTTTATTTTCTACTTTGGGTTATAAACCAATATACAATCTAACATAAGCCAAATAAATTATTTTTCGCCTTGAAATGTTTCAGCTTTGGCCATTGAAAGCTCTTTTAGGGCCAGGCATGGTGGCTCATGCCTGTGATCCCAGCACTTTGGGAGGCCGAGGTGGGCGGATCACCTGAGGTCAGGAGTTCAAGACCAGCCTGATCAACATGGAGAAACCTTGGCTCTACTAAAAATACAAAATTAGCCAGGCATGGTGACGCACGCCTGTAATGCCAGCTACTCACGAGGCTGAGGCAGAAGGATTGCTTGAACCTGGGAGGCGGAGGTTGCAGTGAGCCAAGATCATGCCATTGTGCTCCAGCCTGGGTATCAAGAGCAAAACTCTGTCTCAAAAAAAAAAAAAGAAAGCTCTTTTAGTTGGTTCTTGGGCTTCTTTGACATGCCCCCATATATGTGGGGGTTTTGTTTTTATTTTTAAGTTAGCAGGCAATTTTTTATTAAGATGCAATGAACATAACAAAAAATTACAATTTTAAAATGTACACTTCACTGGATTTTTGTATATTTACTATATTGTGCAACCATCACATCTCTCTAATTCCAGAACATTTCTACTACTCCCAAAAGAAATCTCATACCTATAAAGATAATTAGGCCAATTCTCCCCTTTCTCTAGCCCCTGGTAACCATTAATCTACTTTCTGTTTATTAATTTGCCTATTCTGGACATTTAATATAAATGGAAGCCTTTTGTGTCAGGCTGCTTTCATGGAGCATAATGTTTTCTAGCTTCAGCTGTGTTGGTATTGTGTTTTAGTACCTCAATTTTGTATGGCTTAATAATATTCCACTGCATGTATACAATACATTTTGTTTATCAACTCAGTCACCAATAGACATAAAGTTGTTTCCACTTTTAGGTTAATATGAATAATGCAGCTATGAACATTTGTATGTAGAATTTTGTTCTAACATGTTTTCAATTCCTTTATGTATCTAAAAGTGGGATTTCTGGGTCATCTAGTAATTCTATATTTAACTTTCGAGGAACTAGCATGTAATTTTAAGTCAATTAAGTAATCATTATTCAACTCTATTTGTCTTTTATGCATCATTTATAACTCTCTTGCCAAAGAGAACTTGAGGTGGTTCATAGTAAAAAGAAGTATAATAAATTTATCTTTAAAAATTAATAAAGTAAAAATAAGCACAGGGATGTAGTATACACATAAGTAATTCTTAATCTTTGGGGGCAAATCATACCTTTGAGAAGCAAATGGAAGCCATAGAGCACGTTCAGATAATCTGATATTCAGGGGAGAAGAGACTCTTGCATCTTGAACATGGGATAAGATGGATTCATTAATCAAGTGGTACATTTGGTTTGCATGTGTCCAGCAGCTGGAGCTACTTAGGCTTTAGAAAGGAAACCCCAATCTCCCTAACTCCTCATTTCACAACTGTCACCCAATTATAATATTACACTATAATTTACTAGAGAAAAAAAACATAAATGTAACAGAATAACATAAAACTGATTATGGGAAATCTCTCCTTTTAAAAGCCCATGGGTACAAGCCGGTCTCAGAGACCCAAGATGAATTGGCATAACTCTTGCCTAGTTCCAGCCTGCCTACATATTGCAAGGACTAGCATATCCGTACCACCTGGAATGCTCCATGCAACTTCCCAGCATAGTGACTGAGTCTACCTGTTCACAATCCCCAGAGAAGAAGTTCTTCTTTCCCCTGGTACCTGGCCTAACTTATCTCCTGTTACTAGATTAACTTCTTCCCAGGAGACTTGCCAGTCCCTTCTGGGTGTATTCTGGCACAATGATGTAGACTAGACAATCTCAATTATCAACAGTTTATTTCCCATCTTACTTATTTAATCCCGAAAGCCATTACATTAGAATACTGACACCCAGTGGTTTGCTGAACCTTGTGTGCACCACTGAATGAAAGCCAGTTATAGACATCAGTTTTCAACTCCACATTCAGTGACATCATGTTGTTAATCTGAAATGAATGAGGGTAGGTATTTATAATTCAGAAATTGGCAAACATTACATATTAAGGCTTTTCTCCCCCGAAAAGCTAATCAACCTTTACCAGCATATCACTGTTGATACTCCAGTCCTGATTTCATCACACCAAATCTTACTCATTTATTCTGTTTATACAATGTTTTATTTAGCATTGTGCCCAAGTATTTCATATATTCATGAATGCCTCCATTTCACAGATAAGAAACGTGAGATATAGAGACATTAAATGCTCAAAGTTACATAGCTAGAAAGCAGCAGATTTGGAGCTCACAAACAGATCTTATTAACCTCACAAGGTACCCCAAAATATATGTGTGTATAATTTATACAAGTCTTAAAACCATCCACTATTCTAGTATGAAAAATATTGTGTATATCTATATAAACTTGTGCCTTTGTGTCTTACACCTGTGCTGAAACACAATCAAAAACAAGTTATAAAAAGAGCATTTCTCTCATGATAATTGCTTAACTCAAGGCAGCTCTACTTATCTTGCAAAATAATTTGGGAAAATGTTTTCATCATAAATCCCTTCTTTGCTTGCTCTCTCTCACAACCTGAGGGATTTAAAAACGAATCCTAAATTATCTCATTTCATATTAATTTCTTCTCATCCCCTTCTCCTATTTATATCTCCCCTTTTATAGCACTGTTTTAGTCTGTGTTTTATTCAGGGGTCTTTTTTTTTTTTTTTTTTTTTTTTTTTTTTTTTTTTTGAGACAGAGTCTGGCTCTGTCACCCAGGTTGGAGTGCAGTGGCACGATCTCAGCTCACTGCAAGCTCTGCCTCCCAGGTTCACCCCATTCTCCTGCCTCAGCCTCCCGAGTAGCTGGGACTACAGGTGCCTGCCACCACTCCCGGCTAATTTTTTGTATTTTTAGTAGAGACGGGGTTTCACCGTGTTAGCCAGTATGGTTTCGATCTCCTGACCTCGTGATCTGCCTGTCTCGGCCTCCCAAAGTGCTGGGATTACAGGCGTGAGCCACCGCGCCTGGCTCAGGGGACATTTTTCATTTTTAATTTGAATTTGAACCTTTTTCACTAGACTGTGAGCATCCAGTGAGATACATCTTGCTTGCTTCACAGTTCCTAGAATAGTGCTCTGCACAGAGGTGCTTCCGGGTAGATACTTGCCGCATTGAAATTAACCATCTCTTGACCAAAAAGAGCAAATACTAGATTTTATTTCTTTTATTACCATCCCTTTCACCTTGCCACAATGATAACCTACTGCTTCTATATTCAACACTCACTTTTTTTCTAAAGTCATAATTCCCTTCAAGTTTTCTATCAAATCACAAGTAGAGAAGAAATACTACATTGAGCACTGTGGTTCTACTTTGCACTACTTGGTAGAACAGGAACCTGCCCAAAAGTTTCTGTCTGTTTCTCTGAAGAGTTACAGTTTGTACCTTTTCTGAACAGTGGTGCAGAATTTGCAATTGCGCCAACACTCAGTACACTTTGTATTATGGAAATATTTTATCTCATTTGTCTAAGATTATGTATTAAAATGTGAATCTATAAATTGTAGATAGTATGACAGAGCCATTATAACTTTTTATGTATAGTTTAGTGTATTCGAAGCCTCAGCAGTAGAATCTCAGAAACTGCATTTGCCATTAACCTTAGCAGTCAATGACCTCATCACTGAAAGTCCCCGAAGCATTAATCATTGTATTCCACCACCACCGCAGCCTCCTTACCTCCAAATATGTTGTATATTGCCATGTTTTGTTTTCAGATCCTCTAGGATTGGAGAGTATGAGATTCTCTATAAAAGTACTCAGTATATCATTAACCTGAATGTCTTGATACTTGCCATAAAAGACTACATATTTTTTTCAAGTTCAGCCTGTTAATCCTACCTAGAAACCTTTTTGCCAACCCACATAATTTTTCTTCCATCCCAACCTTTATAGGGATTTTGTTGTTGCTGCTAGGACTTTCCCTTTCTGTAGCACTTACTCATAAATCATCCACTTAGGCTTATAATCACTTAATTTTCCTCTTCAGTTAACTTTCTGTAGGTAATATAAATCAGGTTATTACATTATAGATTTGCATAATTTTCCCAAAGCAAATCAAAGAATTTCTCACAAAAAGGATCCTACTAACCATTCTCACAGCTCCAGATATAAGATGTAAGAGAAAATGGAGATATTTGGGCATGGAGGAAAAGGAGTCACCAAGCATTTCTGTGAGGGGTGGGTTTGAACCTGGTAATAACTATTACTTCATAAAACACGATTGCTAAATGTTATAATGGCAGGCCGCTAGACACGTTTCTATGAAAAACAGGGGATGCCTTTGCCCATTTCACCACTCTTGAGAAATACAGAGTTCCCACGTTGGTTCACAGAGCAACACAAAAACCCCAGTTGCCTCTGGTTTCCTCAGAAAGTACTTTCTACCCACCCTTCAGTGAGTATTTCCATGACACTTGTTTGTCGGTATCGATCCTGGCCGTCCGAGGCCTTTGACTCCCATCCTGACTCCACACTGCCTTCAACAATGCTCTGCATCTTGAGACACAGTAGAGAGAAGTGGTTCAGAGCAGTGGGTATGAACAGAGAAGTGGCTGAATATCTTCCCATAGGAAACACAGATCAGCCTCAAAGAATTACCCTCTCAAATTTTCAGTACTACTGAGGTTGAGAAATCCAGCCTAGAAATGTAAAATTCCTTTTTACCATCATATTCCCAATTCTCTAAAACTCATCTGAAGAGAGGGTCACATACCTCTCCTCTGAGTGTGACCAACTCCATCTTCTCACTCTCCACCTCCAGCTTCTTTTTTTCCAAGTCATGGCAGGGATCCCAGCAGATAAGGTGGAAAATGTGGGGGATGGGGGAAACAATCATGTTTCGACTACATTCTTTCTGGGCTAATGTGGACATTCCTGATAGGAAAGTTAAGGGTTGGAAATAGGTAGACGTTGAAGAGATATAGGGAGAACTCAGGACTGGCTCTAGAAAAATAAATAATTAGGAAGGCAAATTTTGTCTCCCTGTTCCCTCTCACTGCCCCTAAGTTCTTTCAGTTTCGCTACTTTCTTTTCCTGTCATCTCACATTCTCAGTACTCCCTGCAGACCTGCCCCTTTTATAGAACCTGGCTAACATATATCTCTGTGATACTCTTGCAATCAAAGAAATTAGTCTATTACTGGATAATAGCTATCTAGAATGTGTCCTATGTGAAAAGAGAGAGTGAATTAAGAGGAAGGATATTTTTCATAGCAAACCTTAAGCTAAGTGTTTTATAAGTACTATCACAACAAAACTATGAGACAGGTACTCCTCAGCGCCATTCTGCAGATGAAATATCTGAGGCTCAGTATGACTAAGTAACTGGCTAACTATCACATGTGAACAAGAAGTGAAACTGAATTCAAAGCAGATCTTTCTGTCCCCAAAGCCATGTCCTTTCCATTTTACCGCATAGCTTCCTGGGTCTCCTTTTGCCTTCTTCCTACAAAATGGTTCATACATCCAGAAATTCCTTCAGGGTTTGAAATATCAGTAGTAATTTCAGACATAAATGCATTTTGGTTTGACACATCTTCCAATGGACATGTTCATCATTGCTCATTAATCACATCAAGTAGGCATAACATTTAGTCCATCTACGTGGAGTGTCACACCTGGGAGGACTTTGAAATATAATTCAAGGAGAAAAATATTTCTTAAACCAAGTGCCAATCAACACCATTTATGGTAAAGTATTGTAATCACCATATGAAGTCTGGATTACTTAAATATATCTAGCAGTATAAATGAGACATCAGTTTTCTACCCATCTACTTTGACCCTGAGTCAGGTCATTCATATGTCTTTGGACTTCATAAATGCAATGAGTCATATCTTTAAAAATTATTTTTATAGGGTGTCAGGGATAAGAGTAGCTTTCTGTGGTAAAGGGAAAATACCCAGAAGGCATAGGGGCCTCTAAAAATCTCAGTCTTTATCCCATGAACTGTTAATTCATGAATGGATTTTAAGAGATCTATGTTTGCAAAATGTCATATACATGTGCATTTTTTTATATGCTTAATGCAAGCTCTCTTTAAATCCTTCAAGGTAACTCTGATCGCTGAATTTAATAGTCAAACTCTCCTACCCCACAGACCTTGCACCATGATTTCTGCTCCTATCCCACTATTCTAGATTACAGTATAAAGGATTTAACTCCTTAATACTAGCCTGGAGTACTGGGTGCGTCAGGATAGAAGGCAAGTTTGGATCTACAGCCATCCATCACTACCATGTGCAGAGAGTCTGAAATCCCATGGTTTCCATCAGGAACCATCTCTAAGTGAAGAACATGATTGAAATATTAATAACTGATGTTTTCAGTTGAATGACACAGAGTAAATGTTTCTTCCTTCAAGGTGTTTCTGGAATTTCTGTGGGAATTTAGTACAACTAGAAAATTCAAAACTTTCTGTGTATACTAGCCATCATGCCCTCTGGCAGTTCTCTTCACAAGGAATAGTCACTTTCTATCTTTTAAAATAATCTTAAAGTTGAAAGAAACATAAGAAATTGAGCTTTCTATGCAGAGCAAAAATTTGACCTTGTAATATCCCTTGTTCAGAGAAAGTCATCCCTTCTATGTATGGTCCCTCCCAGTGGTGAGGTCTTAATATAGTTTATAAAGCAGCCGGTTGCGTTTGTTAGAGAATCTCAAGTGCGCAGACTTAAAGTCCACTGAGTTAAAAATATGAACCCTTGTAGCATTTACTCATTTATTTTATTTCATCAAATGTTTTTTGAGCAACTATTTTGTGGCAAGTATTATGCTCGGTCCTAGGGTACAGAGACAATTGTTAACAGACAGTATTCCTAACCTCTTAGAGACTAGACTAAACATCTAGTTTAGGATTATTCTTTAAGTGAGCCAGAGTGAGCTGAGGGACATTTTTCACAAGACAGACTCAGCATTTGAAGTGATGACCAGGTTTCCTAAAGCTCTGTTTCCTTTCTTGGCTCTATCTTGGATGCCTCTATCTGAAGTGTTTTACAGATCCCTTCACCATACCAGTCAGCCTCTTCTATGTGGGGTTCTGTTTCTCAGTGGTCAACTGAGTAGGGTGTTGCCTAGAATGAAATACAATATTGAAGTTTACTGATGCTGAGGCAGAGAGATTAATTCCTTGAACAGAAACTGGATTATGCACTTTATAAACCTTCTTCCAGATGGTACTGATGTTCTGATTAATGTGAAAATCCCTACAAAGTGTCCGGACAGTGAAGAGGACAGTGAGAATCCATGGAGAATGCTAATGTTGCTCTCCAAAAATTCAGCCAACGAAAGCAGAGCCCATCATCCTCATCCACAAGGCTGCAATCCTTGAATGATGGTGATGAGTCCGCACTGCTGGGACCATGCCGTGCTTCTGAGCTAAGCAGCTCTGCTAAGTCTCATCTCAGCTCCGGACTCTAAAACCAATCACACGCTCTCCTTAGTCCTATTTTCCTCACTCTCTCCAGATATCGATACTGAGAGCATTTTCCAATAAACTTCCTGAACAAAAAATATCAAAGTCTGTTTCCTGAGAGAACCTGATCTAAGACAGAGACCCACAGGGATCCAGATAGAAATAAGCTCAAGCCAATCAAGCTCTACAGCTGAAATGGCTTTTCAAGTTTTTCCCATCCTCCAGTAAGTGGGCTAGTCATTTATCCTCCACATTGTCCAGTCATTGGATGTGGGCTGGCCCCAGGGAGTGAATGCATCCTTGGGCATGGTTGCTGTCCGTAGCTGGGAACAGACTTCAGCAGCTAAGGGGATTGAGTGCCTCAGCCTTGTGGGCAATGTACTACAGCATCCACTGCAGTTCCCAAATGACCATGTGGAACAGAGCCTCTGCCTCCCTGCTTCGGAATATGCATAAGTGAAAATAAACTGTGTGTGCACTAAGCCCTGGGATAGCACGGTTAATTTGTATCCTAGACTACCCTGCTTAATAAACCTACTTCATAACATTGCTGGAGAAATACATGAGAATAAGTGGGAATCACCTTACATAATCAGGGCCTTTTCCACCTTTTTCAGTGTTTGCACTTCTCTATTCCCTGCAGGATGACGGACGTTAGAGAACTGTCTCTGTTTATAGTGTTACTCCCCCAACCCCAATTCCTTTGTGTTTTTCAAAGTGTGTTCCTAGACCACCAGCAGCAGCAGCATCTGGACATTTGTCAGAATGCAAATTATCAGGCCCATCTCAGATCAATTGAATTAGAAACTGTGGGCATGGGCTCAGCAATCTGTTTTATCAGTCCTTCCAAATAATTCTGATTCACGCTAATTCGGGAAACTACTACTCTAAGTCATTTTCTTATTTTCCCCAGACAACACTACTGATACCCAGCCCAAGCTATGGGATCAGTGTGCCTTTTTTGAGCCTAGGTCCCTATACTACACTTTATATTCCTCTATTTTACCCATTGTACATTATATTATTTGTGTAGAAGTATGTCTTTTCTCATAGACGATGCCTTCCCCCAGGGCAGATATTAGATAATCATTATTTTTGCATACCTTATGCCTTGCATTGGTTTGAGCACATCAGGAGTACTTAACAAATTCATTATATTGATAAATATTTATTTAAAACATAATCTGTCATGGAATTTTCTAGGTATCTCAGAAAGCTCCCATGTACAAGAAAAGACAGACAACCTAAAAAATCAATGTAATAAAGTGATCCAGAAGCTATGGGCAAAATATGTGTAAAGGATATACTGTGTGTCTGGTACTCTTCTGAGTGGTTTGCATGTGTTAATTCATTTAACTTTCATGGTAATCCCATGAGGCACTTTTATAGTAAGGAACATAATTCATTCTGAGAGAAAAAATGCCCTTTTGTTTGGCCATAATTATTAATAAGACTTTTGCTTATAAAGGGCAAGACAATAGCTCAATCTGGGAGGAGGGAAATAAAACAAAGGTAGTTAAAGTGAAGGATGATGTAAACATTTGGCCTCTTTAGAGATTAGCGTTTATGTTTTGATAATTGATTTTTCATCTCCTATAAGAGAACTGGGTGGGGGTTTGGGGAAGAATAAACTGATAAATGGAAAATGTCTTTAAAAAATCAACAAAACTTTAGACCTAGTATGGTGGCTTATAGCTATAGTTCTAGCTATGGGAGGCCATGGTGGAAGGATTGCTTGAGGCCAAGAGCTCAAGACCAGCCTGGGAAACACAGTGAGATCCTGTCTCTACAATTTTTTTTTTTTAATTAGCTAGGTGAGGTGGCACACACTTGTAATGCTAGCTACTTGGGAGGCTGAAGCAGGGGGATTTCTTGTGCCCTGGAGCTATGATAGAGCCACTGCATTCCACAGTGAGACCCTGTCTCGAAAAAATAAATCCATAAAATTTTAGCTCCAAGAATGACTCCCTAAAGTAAAAATTTAGTCATTAGGAGCAGGGAGGGAGATACTGGAGTAAGGGAACTTCAAAGTACAGTGCCTAGGAAAACCATCCAACTTTATCTTTAAAATAAAATCTTTCATTTCCCAAAACTCTAGGAAATATTTTCTTCGATGTTACTTCAAGCAGAAAATTAAAGAAGGTTGTTTTCTAACCTGAAAGAGGTGTGGAAAAGCAGGATTTTAATACTATTAATCCAAAGAAGTGTTTCTTGGATTCCTACTCCGAACTTTCCTCTCAATGGATTCATGACTGCTGTTTGAATTATTCACCACTATCTGTATTCAGCAATATTCCCCAACATGACCTGACCTCCTCTGAAAGGCTCTATTATCAGGAAATGGAAAAATCCATAATATTGGGCAACCTAAATGATTTTGTAATTAGCATGACATGCTTTTCTATAATGTGACATTAACTATGAGCATGAAGAAAGATTGGGAATAAATCTGAGCCAAGAGTATTAAGTGGATCTCTTTCCAGCATATGTGAAACAAACCATGCAATATTCTTCATGCTATTTACATCAGAATGTTTGTTGTTATCAGGAAATAGGAGGCTAGAAGTCTTTGAGTCACAGAACCTCCAAGAAAACAAACAGGTACTGAGGTAGATTGTATAGATTGTGTTAATGGGCCCAGTTTTTCATCTCTCTCTCCATCCACCTTTTTCTATGTGGCTTTGTAGTTCCTCCCATTAAAAAAAGAAAAAAAAGGTAAGCTCAATTTTCTTGCCCTCTGACTTTGCGTTTGGCCGTGTGGCTTGCTTTAGTCAATCCAATGAAGCAGTAGTGACAGTGTGTCATCTCTGAGCCTAGGCAATAAGAGGCTTTGCATGGTGCTACTTGTTTTCTTGACTTTCACCATCTCAATGAGAAGAGCATGACCAGCCTGCAGGCACCAGGACAAGGATGAGAGCCCCATGGATCAGAGTCATAGCAGGGAGATACTCTACCTCCCTCCTTCTAGGTGAGCCAAGCCCCCACCAATTCACAGATGTGGTGTGAAAAATAATGCTTTTGCTGAATGCCATGAACGTTTTGTGCTATTATGTAGCATTACTGTGGCCATGGTTGACTGATACAGATGGGGATCCATTCTTTGTTCTGAGATGTCTTTAAATGCAAACTTGACAGTTAACCAATAATAATAACTGAGTTTCACCTTGAAATGTACCCAAAATAGGAAAACTAGAAACAATGCAACCAGAAACAAAGACTAAGAAAAATAAATGGTTCCTTGAATTGGCTTTCATTTCAAATATGATAACACAGAATTCAGTCCTCTCAGTGAAACTCAGGGACTATGGCTTGACACTTTTAATTAAAAAAGACATTAAAAAATTAACACAGAACTCTTCCCACTTTGCTCCAGGGCAGCTCATGAAAGATTGCTGCTTTGCTATCTGAATGCATAATATCTGTGTCCGGGCCCATCTGCTTCCCCTCCTACAGGAAAGATTGTGAATGTCACTGCCTCCAGTGAGAAACTGTTCTATCGAGACTTAATTTCCTCAGTACTGATAATGTAAAAGCGATCTGGCAGAGTAAATTAGTGTATGATTCCAAAGCACAAATTTTGGATCATCTGCCATACTTCTGACATAAATCATAAGAGTCAAATATTTTTCACTAACAAGAATGTAAAAAGGCCTATTTGAAATGGCACAGCACAAACCTGTTTTATCCACTGAAGCAAACTTTGTATGGTGTTATGGAGGCATAACACCTAGGGTAGTGCTTCTAAAACACTGAAATATGTAAAAATCAGCAGATAACGTAAAAAGTAGAGTCTGTGCAGTTAGGAAGGGATGAGGTCTGAAAGTTTGAATTTTTAATTATCTTCTGTTTGTAGCAGATGCTGCTAGTCCAGAGACCTCTATGGGGACAATTTTCATCTATGAAAAATCTCTGTTAGGGTGAAGTTATCCTGAACTTCAGGACTGATTTTCAGTATTAATAAAGAGTAAAATGTAGGGAAGGGAATAGAATTTCAATCTAGTTGGGCAAGTAGATTACCTGTTCATTCAACTTGATATATATTCTTGGCCAATCTGTTACATATTGCTTAGCCTCCATGCCTTTGGCAATAACATGGAAGTAACCATCATGAAAAAGCAATTAATCTATAGAAAATCTTGCTACATGGTAACTAGACAATAAAGTGAGTTCTCTTTTTTAATACAATAAAATTTCAGTTAACCATAATCTTACTTTCTCTAATTTACTGGAATATTTCATGCTTTTAGAGGGGAATTTATCCTGGTTCTGGTTTTTTGTTTGTTTGTTTGTTTTGTGACATGATCATAAAGAGACATGGAGACAATATTTTCTGAGATGTCTCAGGTGTATATATGTTATTCATTCAATAAAATTTGATTTAAGGCACATTCTTTGCTAAAACTGGGATGGGTGCTTTGAAGTATTCAAAGACAAATTTTCACAGCCTGAAGGAAGCTAAATTCTAGAAAGGATCAGATCTCAGTTCATTTGGATGTCACTATCTTCTTCTTGAACCTGTTTAGTTAGACTTCCTAGAATTCTGCAACTGAATATATTTCATTAGTATTGCCCTCGTGCTTTTAAGAGACATTGGGTTTTGTAGAGTCAAAGAATTTTTTCCCAAAGATAAGAAATTTAAAAGCTGTTTTGAGCAGCTAATCATTTGTAAGAGGTTAACTGATCTTCATGCCTTCCAAACTGCATTCTTCCATATTTAAGCAGTCTTAAATATAAGTCACTGGTAAATGGCTTTTGAAACTAATAGGAAAAAATACAGGCAAATGATTTCACTGAGCAATTCGTAGTGTATAGTGTTTGATTGTTTGGATGGAAGGAAATTATTGAATTAATGGATTCTTGGAAGTAACTTCTTTTTTTTTGTTTTGTTTTTTTGACATGGAGTCTCGCTCTGTCACCCAGGCTGGAGTGCAGTGGCACAATCTCAGCTCACTGCAAGCTCCGCCTCCCGGGGGTCACGCCATTCTCCTGCCTCAGCCTCCCAAGTAGCTGGGACTACAAGCACCCACCACCATGCCTGGGTAATTTTTTGTATTTTTAGTAGAGACGGGGTTTCACCGTGTTAGCCAGGATGGTCTCAATCTCCTAACCTCGTGATTAGCCTGCTTCAGCCTCCCAAAGTGCTGGGATTACAGGCCTGCCTGGCCTGGAAGTAACTTCTTAATAGCCACCACGGCCAGCGTAGAAGTAACTTCTTAATTCTTGAATCTCAAACTCCTCCTTTGTAAAATAAAAATATATAACATATAATTTTGAAAAAACATAATAATTTATTAATATATGATGACAGTTGTTATTCATTAATCTTTTTTCCTTCCCCTTCTCAGGTAAGATACCAAGTATGTAAAGCCAAGAAAAATTAGAAAAAATGGTTTAGGGGTTTTTTGGGTTTTTTTTCCAATTCTTTTTTTTTTTTAATTTTATTATTATTATACTTTAAGTTTTAGGGTACATGTGCACAATGTGCAGATTAGTTACATATGTATACATGTGCCATGCTGGTGTGCTGCACCCATTAACTCGTCATTTAGCATTAGGTATATCTCCTAATGCTATCCTTCCCCCCTCCCCCTACCCCACAACAGTCCCCAGAGTGTGATGTTCCCCTTCCTGTGTCCATGTGTTCTCATTGTTCAATTCCCACCTATGAGTGAGAACATGCGGTGTTTGGTTTTTTGTTCTTGTGATAGTTTACTGAGAATGATGATTTCCAATTTCATCCATGTCCCTACAAAGGACATGAACTCATCATTTTTTATGGCTGCATAGTATTCCATGGTGTATATGTGCCACATTTTCTTAATCCAGTCTATCATTGTTGGACATTTGGGTTGGTTCCAAGTCTTTGCTATTGCAAATAGTGCCACAATAAACATACATGTGCATGTGTCTTTATAGCAGCGAGATTTATAGTCCTTTGGGTATATACCCAGTAATGGGATGGCTGGCTCAAATGGTATTTCTAGTTCTACATCCCTGAGGAATCGCCACACTGACTTCCACAATGGTTGAACTAGTTTACAGTCCCACCAACAGTGTAAAAGTGTTCCTATTTCTCCACATCCTCTCCAGCACCTGTTGTTTCCTGACTTTTTAATGATTACCATTCTAACTGGTGTGAGATGGTATCTCATTGTGGTTTTGATTTGCATTTCTCTGATAGCCAGTGATGGTGAGCATTTTTTCATGTGTTTTTGGCTGCATAAATGTCTTCTTTTGAGAAGTGTCTGTTCATGTCCTTTGCCCACTTTTTGATGGGGTTGTTTTTTTTTTTCTTGTAAATTTGTTTGAGTTCATTGTAGATTCTGGATATTAGCCCTTTGTCAGATGAGTAGGTTGCGAAAATTTTCTCCCATTTTGTAGGTTGCCTGTTCACTCTGATGGTAGTTTCTTTTGCTGTGCAGAAGCTCTTTAGTTTAATTAGATCCCATTTGTCAGTTTTGGCTTGTGTTGCCATTGCTTTTGGTGTTTTAGACATGAAGTCCTTGCCCATGCCTATGTCCTGAATGGTAATGCCTGGGTTTTCTTCTAGGGTTTTTATGGTTTTAGGTCTAACGTTTAAGTCTTTAATCCATCTTGAATTAATTTTTGTATAAGGTGTAAGGAAGGGATCCAGTTTCAGATTTCTACATATGGCTAGCAAGTTTTCCCAGCACCATTTATTAAATAGGGAATACTTTCCCCATTGCTTGTATTTCTCAGGTTTGTCAAAGATTAGATAGTTGTAGATATGTGGTGTTATTTCTGAGGGCTCTGTTCTGTTCCATTGATCTATATCTCTGTTTTGGTACCAGTACCATGCTGTTTTGGTTACTGTAGCCTTGTAGTATAGTTTGAAGTCAGGTAGCATGATGTCTCCAGCTTTGTTCTTTTGGCTTAGGATTGACTTGGCGATGCGGGCTCTTTTTTGGTGCCATATGAACTTTAAAGTAGTTTTTTCCAATTCTGTGAAGAAAGTCGTTGGTAGCTTAATGGGGTTGGCATTGAATCTATAAATTACCTTGGGCAGTATGGCCACTTTAACGATATTGATTCTTCCTACCCATGAGCATGGAATGTTCTTCCATTTGTTTGTATCCTTTTTTATTTCATTGAGCAGTGGTTTGTAGTTCTCTTTGAAGAGGTCCTTCACGTCCCTTATAAGTTGGATTCCTAGGTATTTTATTCTCTTTGAAGCAATTGTGAATGGGAGTTCACTCATGATTTGGCTCTCTGTTTTTGGTGTATAAGAATGCTTGTGATTTTTGTACATTGATTTTGTATCCTGAGACTTTGCTGAAGTTGCTTATCAGCTTAAGGAGATTTTGGGCTGAAACAATGGGGTTTTCTAGATATACAATCATGTCATCTGCAAACAGGACAATTGGGCTTCCTCTTTTCCTGATTGAATACTCTTTATTTCCTTCTCCTGCCTAATTGCCCTGGCCAGAACTTCCAACACTATGTTGAATAGGCGTGGTGAGAGAGGGCATCCCTGTCTTGTGCCAGTTTTCAAAGGGAATGCTTCCAGTTTTTGCCCATTCAGTATGATATTGGCTGTGGGTTTGTCATAGATAGCTCTTATTATTTTGAGATACGTCCCCACATGCAGAGACACACATAGGCTCAAAGTAAAAGGATGGAGGAAGATCTACCAAGCAAATGGAAAACAAAAAAAGGCAGGGGTTGCAATCCTAGTCTCTGATAAAACAGACTTTAAACCAACAAAGATCAAAAGAGACAAAGAAGGCCATTACATAATGGTAAAGGGATCAATTCAACAAGAAGAGCTAACTATCCTAAATATATATGCATCCAATACAGGAGCACCCAGATTCATAAAGCAAGTCCTGAGTGACCTACAAAGAGACTTAGATTCCCACACATCAATAATGGGAGACTTTAACACCCCACTGTCAACATTAGACAGATCAACGAGACAGAAAGTTCACAAGGATACCCAGGAATTGAACTCAGCTCTGCACCAGGCGGACCTAATAGACATCTACAGAACTCTCCACCCCAAATCAACAGAATATACATTTTTTTCAGCACCACACCACACCTATTCCAAAATTGACCACATACTTGGAAGTAAAGCTCTCCTCAGCAAATGTAAAAGAACAGAAATTAGAACAAACTGTCTCTCAGACAACAGTGCAATCAAACTAGAACTCAGGATTAAGAAACTCACTCAAAACCGCTCAACTGCATGGAAACTGAACAACCCGCTCCTGAATGAATACTGGGTACATAACGAAATGAAGGCAGAAATAAAGATGTTCTTTGAAACCAACGAGAACAAAGACACAACATACCAGAATCTCTGGGACACATTCAAAGCAGTGTGTAGAGGGAAATTTATAGCACTAAATGCCCACAAGAGAAAGCAGGAAAGATCCAAAATTAACACCCTAACATCACAATTAAAAGAACTAGAAAAGCAAGAACAAACACATTCAAAAGCTAGCAGAAGGCAAGAAATAACTGAAATCAGAGCAGAACTGAAGGAAATAGAGACACAAAAAAACCCTTCAAAAAATTAATGAATCCAGGAACTGGTTTTTGGAAAGGGTCAACAAAATTGATAGACTGCTAGCAAGACTAATAAAGAAGAAAAGAGAGAAGAATCAAATAGACGCAATAAAAAATGGTAAAGGGGATATCACCACCGATCCCACAGAAATACAAACTACCATCAGAGAATACTACAAACACCTCTATGCAAATAAACTAGAAAATCTAGAAGAAATGGATAAATTCCTTGACACATACACTCTCCCAAGACTAAACCAGGAAGAAGTTGAATCTCTGAATAGACCAATAACAGGATCTGAAATTGTGGCAACAATCAATAGCTTACCAACCAAAAAGAGTCCAGGACCAGATGGATTCACAGCCGAATTCTACCAGAGGTACAAGGAGGAACTGGTACCATTCCTTCTGAAACTATTCCTATCAATAGAAAAAGAGGGAATCCTCCCTAACTCATTTTATGAGGCCAGCATCATACTGATACCAAAGCCGGGCAGAGACACAACAAAAAAAGAGAATTTTAGACCAATATCCTTGATGAACATTGATGCAAAAATCCTCAATAAAATACTGGCAAACTGAATCCAGCAGCACATCAAAAAGCTTATCCACCATGATCAAGTGGGCTTCATCCCTGGGATGCAAGGCTGGTTCAATATATGCAAATCAATAAACGTAATCCAGCATATAAACAGAACCAAAGACAAAAACCACATGATTATCTCAATAGATGCAGAAAAGGCCTTTGACAAAATTCAACAACTCTTCATGCTAAAAACTCTCAACAAATTAGGTATTGGTTTAGAGGGTTTTACCTTGTAATTTCCCATATAATACACAAGGATGAATGTGCATATTTACTGTACATTGAAGTCTTGTTATGTTCAATTATTGTTCTTCAGTTTTTCACCACCCTCCATTTGTGGAGCCCTACTCACTTCCTCACAAAGATCTTATATCTCAGATAAGCTACACAGCCACCTTGGTGCTACAAAGAATCTTCTCTTACGGTATTGGAAAGCCTTCACCAACATTCTGTCCTCATTCCCAACTGTGTACAGTCACCTCTGACAGCAGCAGCCAGAACTGATGATAAGTCCAGTGGAGTCTTTAACTGCTAACAAAGGCTGAAGCTATGGAAAATCACAGAGTTGGAAGGCTTCTCAGGAAATGAATTCCAGACATTCACTTCGGACTCTGGGGTAGGATTCTTTTTTTCCATCCAGGAATGCCAACCCTAGGCTTCTCTAAGTTGGCAGAGTTTGTGATTCAATTATAAACATTCTTATCATATAACCACAGAATTGCAACAGGATACACAAAAGTTAGCAAACACATGCATAACTTCTATATTTGTGTGAAGATGTCAAAGAGAATGTGGATATTTGCAAACGTTTATGTTATTGCAAGAGTTACTTTCCTTGAAGGACATGATTTAGATTCCCAGTGCAATGACTTGCCTCTGCTTATTGAGCACCTATTGTATTCTGGATACATATTTGTCTTACTTGACCCTTACAACAACTTTATCAAGTAGATACAGTGTTATCCTCTCAATTAACAGATAAGGAAACAGAGACCTAGCCTGGTTAAATAAAATCTTGCTCAAGTCAGAGAACTGTGAAATGACAGAATTAACTTCAGGTCCAGTACTAGCTCCAAAATGCAAAATTGTTTTTGTAATATCATGCCAATGTATTAAGAAAGGGCTCTCTTTCCCTTTGGAAAGGGAACTTCACTTTAGAATTTATAAAATAGGGAAAATTAAATAAATGACCAATTTCATGGTGCCTCTAAAAATTGCCATTGGAGCTTCTTCCTCCAAATTTTTTATGAAAGTTGCACATGAAAAATTTTACTGATTAGAATTTCCTACACTATTTACATACTCCTCTATAATATCTAGGGGAAATGCTGAGCTGTTCAACAGTGGAATATCAAGATGGTAGAGATTTTAAAAAGAGGGCTTGGATAGTTGAAATCTTGAAGATATCTTGGAAAATAGGGTACTATTGAGAAATGGAAAACTCAGTAAGGTTTACAAATTCATGAAAGAGATTTCCTTATGAAGACAAATTTGTTTCTTAGCAACAAAACAAGAAATCCCCCCCTTAAAGAGATGGGCTTTATTGGATAATATTTCCTTAAGTTCTCTCTAGGGTAGGATTGGGAAAGGAAAGTGTAGAAGTGGTAGCCAATAAAGAGGGAAAATGTAGTAGATAGAGAGTGAAAAAAAATAGAGAAGGAGATCTAGGAGAGGAAAAATGGAGAATGGACAAGGTGAAATGCAGTGGGCTTTCTAAGATAACCACTGCTCATGACCTCAAGGAGTTTCAATAGAGACTATCAAAAGTATTGACATGAATCAAAGTTGAGATTTAGAAAACGAGCATTGGATAGCAGATGTATTAGTCCATTCTCATGATGCTAATAAAGATATACCCAAGACTGGGTAATTTATAAAGGAAAGAGGTTTAATTGACTCACAGTTCAGCATGGCTAGGGAGACCTCAGGAAATTTACAATCATGGCAGAAGAGGAAGCAAACACATCCTTATTCGCAAGGCAGCAGGAGAGAGAAGTGCCAAAGAAAAGGAGGAAAAGCCCCTTTTAAAACCATCAGATCTTATGAGAACTCATTCACTATCATGAGAACATCATGAGGGTAACTGCCCTCATGATAAATTTACCTCCCACCAGGTCCCTCCCAGGACATGTAGGGTTTATGGGAACTACAGCTCAAGATGAGATTTGGGTAGAGACACAGCCAAACCATATAAGCAGAGATCACAAAGAAGTCTGGAATCCTTGTCATGGTTGATGCCACTGGGCAAGAGTACATCTGACTTTGGGTCATATTCAGAATATAAATTAGCTATTCCCCAGTATCACAAGAGAAAAGGACCCAGACTACACCTGGGGTTGAGGCAGTTGCGTTAGATCTCTGAAATTGCCAACACTTAAACCTCTTGCATGGTTCATGCCTTATCCTGTCTTGATAACATGGCTCTATCCTCATCCTATGGCTCCTGAGGGATGAGAGAATAAGTGCCCTGTGGCAACATTTTGTTGAGAATCATCTTTGTACACTCTGTGATATCTAGTAGATAAAGTGCTGAATACATTTGTATATTAATGAATAATAATATAATGTTAGAGAATGTTTGGAATGTAGATTGCACTTTACAGCTGTGTGTCCTGGGACAATTTATGCAACCTCTCTGAGTTTTATTTTATCCGTGACAAAGTTAAAATAATAATAACCACTTTACAGGACTAGTGTAAAGAAGAAAAGGAATCATCTTTGCTGCATATATGTGTGTATATATATGAAATACATGTCAGGCATGTGTCACAGTACCTGGAATATGGAATGTACACAAATAATAAGTGTAAGCAGTATGTTTAAGTTATAAACATATTTTTCGTATCTGTTGACCTTGATCTGAAATCCAATTCCATAGACTGAGAATCCAGAGCTCTCCTAATATTCCTGCTAGTTCCCAAGACTGGTTTTCTCTTGTCTCTTTCTAACTCTTCATTTCTGTTTCAGGCTTGCTACCATTTGGGATTAATGCAAGTGTGAAGCAGGGTTCCTTCACCACTTCCCTCTCTAACTACAACTTCTCATGTATGCATACCACATTCATGCATTTTAGGGACAATTCAGTTTTGAAGTTAATGGGGCAGGGTCATCTCGAATATCCTATAGCAACTCACCATCACATTGGCTACATTGCTTCTCCCTTTACCCGCCTCTGATGAGTAGCGAGAAAATCTCTTCCTTTACTAAGCACGAGCAGTAAAGCTCATATTTATGCCCATTGAGTCCAGCCTTCCATTAAGTGGTTTTCCCAACAAATATAGTTGTTTTCCTTTATGGAATTCTGGTGAATAAAATGTTCTCCAGTCTGATATGTTATTACTCATATAATGAGGAACTCCCTAATGGTGAGTTTCACTAAGGCTGTAATAAGTTAACCAGGGCAGCTACTGAGTCTTTTCCTTCTCTAGGGTTCTTCAAAAGTAGATGTTGATTAATGTGTATGTGCAAAAGGGAGCTTGAAATTCTGTACTTTTCAGCTGGCCTAATAAGTTTTTATATTAATAAAAGAGATTTTGCATAAATGACCTCAGATAGATTAAGTTGGATTCAGGAAAGCTCAGAAAACTACAGATACCTGAGTAGCAGCAGAGAAAATATGACAAATTTGGTCTCCTGAGCCTTAGTTCTATATGTTCTTTCCACCACACATTACATTATAACCAATGTCCTAGCTCAACCAAATAAACCTCTGAAGACCTCTGATTAGAGACCAAGAAGCATCCTCCTTCCTGATCAAGGTTGACCTCAAAGTTCTAACTCATTTAATTCTATTTTAGTTCCTCAAAACAAAAAGGACATGCTTTTCTTTTTAAATGATGCAGTGTTTGGAAACATCCCCAGAAAATTCTTCCCTTTTTTTCAAAAATAAACCTCAGGGCCTGGTTTTGTTTGTTTGTTTGCTTGTTTTTGGTGAGGTTGCTCTTCAAAAGAATCCACTGCACTTGGGTTGCAGAGCCATCTGCCACTACATGCTCAAGTATTGTGGTTAAAAAAATCTGGCCACCCTGCCTTTGATATAAAAGAACCACATGGGTTGAGTCATATGCTGTGGAGAGAACACAGCTAATTATGGGATGTGCTGGGCCCAGAGAAGATGTTAACTGCTCCATAATTACAACTGCAATTCAAGGGAACAGAGTCATGGAAATCCAGTTAATATAAGGACATCAACATAAAAATACTAAATTCTAAGCCCCAAGCTACTAAAATATAGTTCCATTCTTGAACTTTTATTCTCATGAACTTCCAAACTGAAGATCTGTGTTGTCATCAGGGATATTCATGATCCTGAAGCACTTTTTGGCATGAAGTAAAATTTTGTTTCAACAATGCTATGTTATGATTGTTTGAATGATGCTGAAAGGATGGTACTAGTTCAGGAGACACAGGACCTTGTTCTAGCTTCAGCTCTACAGCTAAATGCACTGGACCTTGTGTATGTCACTTAATATAAGTGGGGGAGTTTAGGAGCAAGTGAGTTGAGAGAATGTCTGAATTTCTTCCAGGACAAATAGAAATAGTCCCTTTCAAAAAAATTATTGATCCTCAAGTTCATGGCAGGCAAGTATTTGGAATTCAAAAATGAATAAAACATAGTATAATAGGCAATTTCACAAGGTTGTTACACTTTCTCTAAATGTTCCCTAACTTAGAAAGGTCATGATGATAATAGAAACTTTACTCTTTTGATATTTTATGTTTTTAAAATTTCAGCTCAAACTCTCATCAAGGGAAGTAACTACTCATGATGAGTGGACTAAGAAGGTAGTAGTCATAATAGAGGAACTCAGAACAAATATTCAATAGTATTTAAAATATTTTAAAAATTGTACTGAGTAGGTATCTACAATAAATTAGGATCAGGTATTTTATGTATAGTAACACATAGTGCTACACCAACTCTTCGAGGTTGATAGGTTATTCCTTTGTAAACTGGAGATGATGCCAAGGCTCCGAGAGGTACCAGTCAAAAGTCAGAGTTATCAGCTAGCACTGACAAGTGCTAAGATTAGGACACTTACCAAATTTCAAAAACCAAGCTTTTAGCATATTAATGGGTATGCAGAGGGACTGAAATTGCAACAGAAGAAATGTGTCTAACACAGTGTGCTTCGTCAAACTATGAAGGGAAGAGTAGACTTTGAGGCATTATTTAATAGAGTTTGTCCCCATTTAGACAATTTTTTTTTTTTGGAAATGCAGATGTCTAAGTCAATAACCATGGCAAATTATGGCCAATGAGTTTAGGGTCTTCAAGAAATAAATACTAATATTACTTTGCTTTTTCAAAAGGAAATGAGGCAGCAAATCTAAAATAAATACCTGTTTTGACATAGGGAATGAAAATAATCTCCTTCCCCCACTCTTATTATTATGCCTGATTTTCTTTGACCCTGAACAAGTGGAAGAATTAAAAGTCACATATGATTCTATCCATACACAGTCCAAACCTACTTTAGTTATTCTAAGTGATGCTGGGTGTGTGTAAATCAAATATCTAAATAGAATGACTTTTCGTATTATTGTTTTTGGATGGACATTGCCCTGCCTAAATATCTAGAAATCATTAAGTAGAATGGAAGGAATAGCAAAAGGCTTTGGTGACTTTGGAAAGGCCAAGACATTTTTGGTATATGGGGCCAAAGACAGAATTGGAAAATAAGATGTTTTTAAAAATACCTGTTTGTATTGGATTGAATTATTTTATTAAGTCCTCTTCTGATCCATTGTTGGATAAATCCATATTCATGTCTCCAGTGCCTAGCATGATAACTGGCACATAACTGATGATAAATATTTTGCAAAATAAGCAAAGCAATGAATGTCTTGCGGTTTCTTCAGCCATGGGGTTGGAATATATTGAAACCTGATACTTATTAGTAAATGGAGATACCTCTTCTGCATTTCAGTGTAAGGCATTTCAATGACAACAAGCCAACTGACTCCGTAAAAGACAGAATAATCTTCTTTTTAAGCCTTTATACTAGCCTAGAATCTGACCCAGTGACCTATACATCATAAATGATGGATTAATATTAGTTGAACTGAGCAACCCTCTGACATATTGGCATACTGAAAAGCAAATCCAGAAAACCCCACTAAGGTAATACTCCTTGAATCTGGAGGCAGGTTTTTAAAAATATTTGGAAGGATTTAAAGAATACTATTTTCACATTTTTTTTAGAAGGGAATTCTATGAGATTGGTAGGTTGAGTAGTATTACTCCATTTTACCAGTGAAGAATTAAAGAAACCCAAATTTAAATGATTTTCCTAAGATCACTTAACAAGTTAATAACAGAGTCAAGATTAGAATTTAGACCTTCTAAGCTAGCTCCTCTTGGTCAAACCTATCTTTCTAATGGATACAATTCTGCAGGTAACAGGTGGGTTAGAGACAAAGACTATCCTGGCATAATAATAAAGCCAACATAATTTTGTCAATTATCTTGTTATAAAGCTACCTGGACAGGTATTTATACTTTTAATTTATGATATCAAAGCCAAACTTGTTCACATAGTTGGGTGCAGTGAATTCCTGAGTGTTCTTTTAATGAACAAATAGTATAAATTCAAAGAGTTAGCTTCTTTCAATCAATACATATTATTTTCTAAATCTTCAAGTTAAATGCCAATGGCACTGCTAATGAAATATC
Organism: Homo sapiens; assembly: GCF_000001405.40. Lineage (NCBI taxonomy): Eukaryota > Metazoa > Chordata > Mammalia > Primates > Hominidae > Homo > Homo sapiens. The sequence goes on along the minus strand of NC_000008.11, from coordinate 118,790,735 downwards.
CCATACACATCTCTAGCTTTCATGAACCCAAACTATCTTAGAGTTAATAGGCAACCTCACATACACCCTCAATCAGAGAGTTTGTTCCTTTTTTCTATGTTCTTTTTCTCCTCATTAAACATTTTAATTAATGATTTATCCTATTTTGAGGAGACTTCATGGGCTCAAGAGCCTAAGTGTGCACACAAAGAGAACAGAAGAGACAGTGTCCTTCAGATCCCTCAGTCCATCCTCACATCCTTTTATAAGGGCCCTTTGCATTTTGAAATTAATCCATCCAGTTCTTTGATACGTCAGTATTTGGGTAAGGTGAAGAGAGTCTCCATCTCTGAATCAAGAAGCAATAGCTGGACAGCTAACTCCTTTTGTTCATTTAAAATATTACTGAAGTTAGCCAAGCTTTAGTTTTGCTTAGCCTGCTTGCTGCAGTTGGCCTGGGTTCTTCCTACCATCATGAGTATCTCTGGGAAAGAACTCCACTTTGGTCATGTGGTAAATAGCTTCAACCTGAATAGAGAGCCTTCAAGCAGCATTCTGGGAGGTGGCCCTTAGAGAGCCACACATCCACATCAAAACCCAGAAGATGTTCTCAGTCTTTAAGTTATCAAATCCCACTGGAAGTTGATTTAAATTTGCAGTTTCTGTGAAAATAGATGAAATTTGATGAAGTTTTACAAAGATATTAATGCCCCAAATCAGGCCTATGCTATGCAAATATTTAAAACTATAAGCCATTTTTCCAAAGGACAGGAACTAGGAGGTTAGCCTGCTGAATTTCTTGGTAAGCAGTTGAGGACCATTATCTAGTTTTCTTTAGATTTCAAAACTCTTCCTTCTGAAGGAGATTCATATACGTTGGCCATGTGTCCTCTAGTGCAGTTGATTTCCAATTAAATGTAAATAAGTGACCTGTGTTAATATAAAAAAAAAATGTGATGAAGCGAATTCTGGCAAACCTTCTCTTTATTGTCCAGAGATTTTATCTTAGCTTTCTCGCTCCAGCTGGTACCCGAAAAAGCATTGTGGATAGAGGAAGTAAAGCTCAAAGGGAGGAAGAAAGGAGAAAGTAAGAGCTCAAAGTCACCTACCTCCTACTTCTCTTTTCCTTGGGTCACACTCGAATTTTATTCAGTATTAATTGGTTTTGTTTATTTATTTATTTATTTATTTATTTATTTATTTATTTGAGACGGAGTCTCACTCTGTCGCCCAGGCTGGAGTGCAGTGGCAGAATCTGGGCTCACTGCAAGCTCCACCTCCTGGGTTCACGACATTCTCCTGCCTCAGCTTCCCGACTAGCTGGGACTACAGGCGCCCGCCACTACGCCCGGCTAATTTTTTTGTATTTTTAGTAGAGACGGGGTTTCACCCGTGTTAGCCAGGATGGTCTTGATTTCCTGACCTCGTGATCCGCCCGCCTCGGCCTCCCAAAGTGCTGGGATTACAGGTGTGAGCCACCGCGCCCGGCCAGTTTTGTCTTATTTTTTAAACTAAATTAGAGAATGTCTCCAAGGCTGTTTGAAAACAAGTAAATTCCCTAAGAAGAACATCAGTAATGAATGGCAAAGAATAACACACACACACACACACACACACACACACACACACACACACACACACACACTATCAGTCAGTCAATTGAGAAGGACACGGAGTCCAGCTGAAGAAAACAAAGTTGAGAATCTCTTTATTCTTTGAGGACACTCATGTTTGTTTCCCTCTGTATTTGCATTTCAGAGGAAGTGTAACAATTGATGCATGCCAGCTGAAGTCCCGCTTCAGTCCATATTCTAGACCTTTTCAGTTCCAAAACACGAAACACAATGTCCTTCTGCCAAAATATTTACTTTGCAAAACAGGTTGTTTTTGCTATTTGGCCATGGACTCAGCATATCTTAAGAAATGAATTATAAAGCTAGTTCTTTCAGCATGTAAAAATTCTAATCCCGGAGTAACATTTCTTACTACAACTTATTCATTTTGTAAATAGATATTGCGCATTAGATTGTGACCACATTTATGGGATACTCTTTTTCCTGGCTGAAGTGAATGGTTCTCTCCCTGAGTCCCCATAATTTGGTTTGGCAGCCTGACATCAATCGAGAAAAAGGAGGAGACAGGTCTCAATCATTTTATAGGGTTTGTTTGCCAAAGTTAAGGAGGCGCAACAGGGAGACAGGTCTATGCCTTTCTCCAAAGATGATTTTGAGGGCTCCAAATTTAAAGGAGAAAGAGCAGGATATTGAGAAATACACAATTTTCATGTAAGAGGTGGGTAGGGCAAAATAGCCACTCATGCCTTTGTCTGGCTCAGTGAATCAGCATTTTTTACAGAAGATGACATAGAAAAATGGGGTAGAGGAAGAATGCAAGGACTCTGCACTTTACATAAGATAACATAGACAAAATGGGGCAGGGTGACGATCAGATATGCATTTGTGTCTGGTGGGCAGGGGGGTGACTGCTCCTGTAAAAATAAGCTATCAATTTACATTGCCATGGTGAAATTTTAGCAGAAACAGCTTAAGGATCTTGCAGCTCACTAGGGATTTCCTTGTGGGCAAAATATGGGGGAGCCGTTTAGCTTTTTGTCTTGTAACCATTTCATTTAGGAAACAAAAGGGGGTGGCAGGTTTGCATGACATAGTTCCCAGCTTGACTGTTCCCTTGGGCTTAATGAGTTTGGGGTTCCAAGATTTAATTTCCTTTCATCCCTAGTAAATTAATCTACCAAAAAAAAATGGGAAAGTTGTGGCCTTGAATTCTGAAGTCACTCTAGGTTGTGTTTATTAATTTAAATATAGATATTTTTCTGTATGGTATTGAGGCAGGCCAGGGTTGGAGTCAGAAACTAAAGTTTGATTTCCTACTATGCTAATTGGCTGAGGGTCTTCAGCAAGTCACTTAATCTCTCTAGAATTTATTTTTCCTTATCTGTAAAATGGGAATAATATGTAGCCCAAAGGAATATTCTGAAGATTAAATGAGGCAATTCATATATAATAGTTCTGTTGCTGGCATTTAGTAATAGTTCAGGAAATTTCGGTGATGATAATGACGATTCTTCTGAGTTGTATGTATAGATAGTGTTCTAATGGAAGAAAACTTAAGAATTTTGAGGCTAGTCAACTCTCAATTATCTATGATAATCAGAAAAGATTACTTATCATAGAAAGTACGATTAATAAATAATCTAAAAATGTATTTCCCAAATTAAATCTTTATTGTTTTTCATTATGAAACTTACATATGCTTATTGTAAAATTTGTAAATGATATAAATATGTATAAGGTAGAAGTCAAATTTTACACTTCCCAACTCTTAAGATTCAGTGATTATTTTTTTCATATTTCTTTAGGTATGTCTATATGTATGTGTATATATAATAAACAAATTATTTAAACAAAAGTGAATCATATTATATATGCTGTCCTACAGATTGATTCAGTTCTGTTCAATAATATATTTTGAAACTTTCATGTCATGACATCTAAAATCTCTCCTTGATTTAAAATGCTATGTAATACAGCACTGTATAGATATACAAAAATGTATTTACCCAAAGCTGTTTTGAAATATAAACTGCTGGCTGGGCGCGGTGGCTCATGCCTGTAATCCCAGCACTTTGGGAGACCGAGGTGGGTGGATCACAAGGTCAGGGGTTCAAGACCAGCCTGACCAACATCGTGAAACCCCGTCTCTACTAAAAGTATGAAAATTAGCTGGGCATAGTGGCGGGCACGTGTAATCCCAGCTACTCAGGAGGCTGAGACAGGAGAATTGCTTGAACCCGGGAGGCGGAGTTTGCAGTGAGCCAAGATTGCACTACTGCACTCCAGCCTGGGTGACAGAGTGAGACTCCATTTCAAAAAAAAAAAAAAAAAAAAAAAAGAAATATAAATTGCTTAAAATTTCTAAGAAATACAATGCTACAATAAGTAAAAACTACTACACTTTGGTCAATGATACAGAGCGTTTCTCCAGTCTTTTGAAAATAAATTAAGGCATTGCTAGAAGAAAGGAAATAAACGAAAGAAAGCAAGGAAAAGTTGATTAATTTACCTAGTAATTTGGTATATATAATGACGAACAGCATATTTGTAAGTTTCTTTTTTTTTATTGAATTTTGCTGATAATTTTCCTCAATGGGAATTAACTGAATTGGGTAGCACCCTTGGTGTTGTGCTTGCATAGCCTCAGAGAAAAACTATACAGTTCAACATAATTGGTCTTCAATGAAAATGTGATAAATCTCATCTAATGAATCTAATTCTAGGTTTCCAGAATTTTTCTAATACTCTCACCTTGTGCAGGTATCCCATTGTGAATCACCTCTCCAGGCCACTTCCACTAAATCTAGAGCCAGACAGCAAGGCTTCCTTAATGCTATGCCCAGAATTTAACCAGCAAGACATCTTGGTCTCACAGGTTCATTTTGTGGATGAAATGGGGCAGGCTTTGGACTTGACTTTCATTAAGATAGGGAAGAGGAGTATTTTTCTTCAGTGTTAACTTTGGGAACGTGTTAAGCAACCAAACATTTTAAAGGTACCAGTTCTTGATAACATTATATACTGGGAGATTTGTTTGAGCAAACATCCTTGGTTGTAAAGATGATTCTCTCTACTCTAGTGGATCTACATATACTATGTGGTTTCAATCAAAACTTCAATTAGATATTTCAAACAGACGTTTATTTCCTAATCTTAAAGTTAACCAAAACAGTACCTGCCCCAAAATAGCCAAGAAATACTACATGAAAATAATAATGTAGCAAATCAAAATATAAAGTTACCGTTATGAAAGTGACACTGTAATTTGGAGGGAAAATAAGGGACTTTCAAAATGTAATTAGAAAAAGTGACATCTATTTGGAAAAAATAAGCTATGTATTTTGTTCTAAACACAAATGAAGACTGAATATATTAAAAAGATTTAAAAATTATCAGAAGAAACAAAATGCTAATAAGATTAATAAATTATGAATTGAAATGTGAACATAATGCACTAGTAGAAACCACAGGATATGTATATAACAGATATAATATGAAGAAGGCCACACACATGACAGAAGTGCAAGTGGCTTCTTGAAGCTGACAACAGCTCCTGGCTGAAAGTCAGCTAAGAAATAAGGACCTCACTCCTACAACCAAAGGGATCTAGACTCTACCGACAGCCTGTATGAGAAGCAGGTTCTTCCCCAGGCCCTCCAGATAAGAGCCCAGTGTGCTGGACACCTTGACTTTGGCCTTGTAAGATGCTAAGCAAAGAACAAATCCAAGCCTCTCAGACTTCCAACCCACAACTGCGAGATAATAAATGTGTGGTGACTTCAGCTGCCAAGTCTGTGATAATTAACACATATAAATACCACACAGCTGATTTTTTTTCAAAAAAAAAAAGGTGGGTCTCAAAAATATTAGCTAAATAACAAAACAGCACATGTAGTATTATTACATTTTACTTTAAAAATAATCTAGGTATGTGTTAATGCACAGAAAAAAAGTACAAAATGACACACATCACACTCTTGGAAAAGGAGTGGGATCAGAGGTTGATGGATGAGAAGGAGAGCTTTCATTTTTAAATTTTATATTATATGTAAACATAGTTCTGCACTGTTCATTTATTGTAATCAGCAGGTATTAATTTTTTATTTTTATTATTTATTTAGTTAGTTATTTTTGAGACAGAGTCTTGCTCTGTCACCCAGGCTGCAGTGCAGTGGCATGATATTTGGCTCACTGCAACCTCCACCTCCACAGTTCAAGCGACCAATTCTTGTGCCTCAGCCTCCTGAGTAGCTGTGATTACAGGCATGTGCCACCACGCCCAACTAATTTTTGTATTTTTAGTAGAGACAGGGTTTTGCCATGTTGGCCAGGCTGGTCTTAAACTCCTGGCCTCCAGTGATCTGCCTGCCCCAGCCTCCCATAGTGCTGAGATTGCAGACATAAGCTACCATACCCGGCTGTATTAATTTTATAATAAAATGTTTTTAAAAGTAAAGTACATTGGATCTTTACTTGGTAGAATACTATCTACCAAGCGCTTAAACATAATATTTATGGCTGTGTATCTTCTATAATCTGATATTTTATATTAATCTTATATCCAGGAAATGCATTGCTAATCTTTATAACTTCCCAGATTGGTTTCTGCATACATATAACTCTTCCTCCCTATATAATGTAGTTACCTGTGTAACATATGCCAACTACTTCAAATGTATAAAATGATTGACAGGATAAATAGAAGGTTTAAAAGAGGGCAAAAAAAATATGCTGGAGAAACCTGGCTTGAGTGGATTCTCTTCAACTCAATTCACTAACCATGCTGGAGGAGACACAGCGTGGAAAAGGACCATATTTTTTCAAAGACACTCCCTCATTTTGAAGAAACACCCAAACCTTGTGCACAGAACAGAGTCAGTCATCTGTTTTGTGCCCTAATTTGTCTTCTTTTTTTAAAATCTAAAATCAAGGCAATACTTTAGAAAACTTAAAATAGAGGTTTTACATCAGTGCCTTTTAGTATTGATGTTAAGAAACAAAATGAATATGATCTTCAACTGAAAACTCACTCTTACAGAGTAGTATATCAAGTCACTTATTTACTAAAACATGAGGGTAAAGCTATCATCAAGGAAACATTGCTCTTTGGGCCATGGTCAGAATTATATTCTTACCAATAAATGACTAGAGTGTCCTTTTCGCTACTGTTTGTTAAAGGTTTGTGAAGTTCTAATTTCTATAGCCATATTTATCCACTTACTTATACAGTGCAATCTGCATTTAGAAGGCTAGTTTTATTTCATTATAGTTTCTCAGAGACAAAACAAAAATATTTGTTTTAACTTATCCGTTGAAAAAAAGACTATTCATTTCTTATTAAATTAATACTAATGTTGGATTTGAACATTAAAATAATGAGAATGATGCCTTTGCAGCTGAACAGAGAGTAAAAGAATCTTAGAGTGTATCACTCTTTCCCTTCTTCAAAATGAGATTATCAGTAGGATACAAAACTCAGTTTCTTGAATCACTGAGAAGCACACCATCCCCAGTCTTTCTAATCACACACCTGCTCCCAACCACTACTTAATGTCACTGAGGTCTGTTTTGCTTTAATTCTGCTCCTCTCCCCCAAAACCAGAGAACCATATGTAACCCCAGATAATACATACTTCCACTTTCTTTTCTGCAGTTAGCATTCCTGCAGACCCTTCTGTATGAGTCTCTCAGAACTACTTGCAAAAAGGAGCTCCACTCACTTGTGTTATGAAGTACTGGGTACCCAGGAGCATAATGATTAAGGGTTAGGATGCTAAGGAAGTTGGATTACTTAGTTTAACATCCTAAGCCTTAATTATTACGAACGAAATTCCAGCTCTGCCATTGGTGTGTCCTTCCGCATATTACTTGACTTCCCTCAGCATCAGTTTTCTCATCTGTGAAACTGGAATAATAGAAGTACTTACTACAGGGTTTCCATGATCGTTAAATGGGATCATATGGTGTCTGGCACATACAAAGGGCAAAAAGTAAGTTAGCTCTAATTGCTAGCATTCTCACTATATATCTGCACACCCATGTTGGCCAGACTTATTCAGCAAAACAGGTTACACCAATTCCCACAAGGCCAGTGTATCACTTGCAGGTTTCCCCAGTCTCTGGGTAAGTAAGCCACATGGAAGGCAACTCTAGCAGCAAGGGGGTGAACTGGGGAAGTTCTGTCCTGAGTCCCAGCTATTCCTGTGCCGCCATCTTCCATCTCACTTTCTCAGGACCCAGATAAAAAGGACACAAGTTCCATGGCTCATGCCACTGTATAGACACTGCCCTTCTAAAACAGGCCCTCTGTAGTTAATTGTGTACCCATGTGTGAGTTGCTAGATTGTGAACTTAAAGGAGGGACCAAATTTCCTTTCTTTTTGTTTTCATTTGGTCATTTGCCTTGTACTATGCCTGGAAAAGAATGGTTAATAAAGGATGAAAGAATGAATGGTAGTAATATTCATAAGCAAGTCAATTGAACCAGCCTAAAGTAAAAGAGAAATTGTCATGTTATTTCCCAACTCATTGTGGGATCCTTTGTTCCACCTGTAAAGGATGCTCTTCCCCTTGGTTATCAGTGCCTTCTAGCATGCCTTAGTTTCTCTCCATCCCCTGCTTCGGACCCCTTCCCTCAAACCTCTGTATCAGAATCCTCCACTCTCTTTCTCCCAAGTGGAAATCAGGAGTGAATGTATTCATTAATCAGGGAAGTAGCCCCTAAGACAAGGTACTAATACATCAATGTAACAGAAATCGTTAATTCAGGGAAAATTTTATCTGCTAAGAATCTAATATGGGTCACCATAGTGGGGCAATGTCAAGATCTATATCAGGCAGGTGAAAGACCACTATTTTATTGTTATTTCTTTTGGGGATCCTAATGACCTCTTTAAGTGACATTAGAGAAATGCTGTTGTACATGCAGGATCTGAATAAGTCTGGCCAGCCGGCTACTGCTTTACTAATTCTATCTTTTTTCTTTGGGTCCTCCAGAACCACTCTTGAAAGAAAGTGTATGCAGAAGGCATCATAAGAATAGCTGCTGCTCTGTTTGCAATCAATTAGAGATGGCAGAGGGGTTATCTACTTCCTCATCAGAGGCCAGCAGCAGCACTGTTCCAAATACAATCAAATGTTTGATTTCTTTGGGTGGCCACATGAGTAAACGTGACCAGAGGCTGCTACTTTCCCTCTCAGTTGAAGCTTCTGCTAAATGAATCATAGCAGCTCTATGAGAAAGTGAGGGGAAAACCCACCAATGACTAGCCAAGAAACTTTCAAGTATAACTGAGGAAGTCATTGGAAGAAAAGAAAAGAAAGCCTACCAAATCAGCTGCTTTTCAGATGGCACCTCCTATGACCCCTGAATAGCCTAAGAGTTCTCTAAAATAGAACATGTATTGCACTACCTTGATTGGCTTTATTAAATTAGAGTGTAAACTCCCTAAGGACAAAATCTCACCTGGCATAGTGGCAACAGTAGATTTGGTGAGTCAGACTACAGGGGTTTGATCACAGCATCTGTTACTTATACATCTATAACCTTGAACTAGTTATCCCATCTCTCTGGTCTTCATTTTTATTTTTGAAAAATGAAGATGATCATACTGTCTACCGTATAAGTTTATTATCAGTTTTGCTTGAATTAAATCGTCCATCTAAAACCCCATGCACAGGGCTTGGCATGTATTAGCACTCAATAATTATCAATATCAACTGCTAACACTGATCATTGCTGCCTTCCAAGTACAGTGCCACTGAACGGAATACTCTCAAGACAAATACAGTTTAACAGGTAAATCTCAAGTATTGTCCTATAGAGCTGCTACATTGACGTATAAATTACATGGCCTAGAACAATTGTATCATCATATCATCACACCTCTGGTTAACATATCAAACACTTCTGTTTTTATCATTTAGTACCATGATATGAAATATTTGAGGCAGCTATATATGGATAATAGGAATTTAAACTAGGTCAAGAGAATTGTTTCTTTATTCAACAAACAATTTTGAAGCAGATACAGTTTTCTAGGCATTTCAAATCACTAAGAAAGTTACAAAAGGATAAAATTCATATATAATTCTTATTGATAGTAGCTTATATTTATTACTCACCACAGAATAGGCATTGTGTTAGGCTCTTCACATATGTTATCTCTTTTACCTTGACAAAAACCAGCAAAGTGATTAGTATGCCCATTTTAGAGAGAAGAAAACTGAGACTCAAAAATATTCAAAGACTTGCCCAACATTTTTCAGCTAGAATTTTCAAGAGCCAAACCCCACTCTGCAATTCCAAAGCCTGTTTTCTTTCTATTCTCTCACTATTCCTCTTTCAACGTCTCACCATAATGTCAGGTAGAATGGAATAAGCACTGGATTAGATGTACAAGTAAATTATTACGGAACTCAGGGAGGGAAAATGTTGGATTTGAATGCTAGAGGATTTGGGAAGGTTTTCTTCAGGGCATTTAAAATGAACCATATACAATACATGGACTTATAGAGGGAAGGGAGGAGTAGAAAAAAATGGGGGCATCAGGAATGAAAAAAATATCAGCAAAAATTCGGCAATGTCAACTTGCAGGGGAGAGTAGCTGTGTGGTGAGATATAGAGAACAGGCTGCAAATAGGGGCAAATCATGTTCATGTGGAAGTCAATCTCCAGTGTTAGAAAAGATGGTTAAATCTTTTAAAGCATGGACAAAATTTCCCTGTATCTTTACAAACCTGGTTGCATAACTGAAGCAAAGATCAACTTGAGCTCTACCATAATTTTAAAAAACTATCACACTTCCTGTTTGAGCAGGTCTGACTTAATATTTGTCTATAGCACATAGACGCACACACATACAGCCGTGAGCAGCTGATGTCTGAACAATCATATCTTGGCCATTCATTCTCTCCACCCAATTTCTCCCATATGGCAAATTGCCCAGAGATCATTATTAGTTCCACGAATAGCCAATCAGCAAATATTTAGGTAAAGTCAGTCTGTTGCAAGATCCAAAAGAGAGAGGGAGAGGGAAAAGGAGAAAAAGAGGGAGAGAGAGATGGAGAGAGAGAAATGGAGAGACACAGAGAGAAGGAGGGAGGGAAGGAGAGACAGAGAGAGAGAGAGAGAGAGAGAGGAGAGTGCTAGAGTACTTTATTAGTGGCTCAAAAGCAGGTGTCTTAAGAGGAATATAGAGTTAAAAAAAATGGCAAGCCTAGGCATCAATATAGAGCTTGGGGCGGTGATGTTCAGAGACCTGCAGACCTTCAAGATGGCCTATTTTACCCAGTTTTATAGATGAAATGTTTAGGAAGCCTTGAACCTGCACCTAAACCCAATGCTCCTGTTGCCCTAGACTCTCTCCAACCATTTTATCATTTAGTTGTTGTGAAAGCAGTGACTACTGCCTCTAGAATACATCCCATTTGCCCCTGAAGAGAAGGCTTTTTTTGGCTACAGCAAAAGGAAAGTGGGAAGATAAAACAAACTTTAATTCATCTGTTCTTACTCATAGGCTTCCCATCAAGGATGGGTTTTATCCTTATTTAGAATCAATACTAAGTAAAGAAAGTATAAATATACCAATTGAAAAATGCTTTCTGTGGAGGCCTTGGCAGCCACAGCAAATTGCCTGAGGTTTAGAGACACCATGCATTTTCCCTAGGTTTTATTCTGAAACCCTCAAGTGTTCAAGCCAATCATTTCCTGGGACCCTTGATATAATAGCATCTAGGATCTGTTAATAGGGTTTCTTTTTTTGTTTTTTGTTTTTTTTTAGTTCTGAGACAGAGGTAAATTCCTACCAGACCAATGGAGTTTTTACCCCTTAATTGCTTTTGTTGAATATTTCTCCCCAAGAGATAATAGAAGCTATAGTTAAGTTGAGTATTACTATGTTGAGAACATAAGAGGATCTTGGAGAAACTGGAGGATTTCCCCTGGGCATCTCCCATTGGTTAGACTGGTGTCAAGGAACTCAAATGTCCGAATGCTCCTAGAGTCTCCATATGCTGCCGTAAGTGGCATAGACTCTGAATTAGGTGGCCTTAATTCCATTGTCATTTCTCACACTAACCAGCACTTTAACCCAAGGGAAAGTTGAACTCCAAAGAAGGATTTTTTGTCTATATAGTAGGAGAGTTTAACTGGCATGTTCCCTTAGGATCCCCCTAGTGCTAGTCTATTACAATTTCTTTGGGTTGCCCTAGACCAAACTTGTCCAACCCTTGGCCCACAGGCCACATGTGGTCCAGGACAGCTTTGAATGTGGCCCAAGACAAATTTGTAAACTTTCTTAAAAATTGAGGGGTTTTTCTGCAATTTTTTTTTCATCATCAGCTATTGTTAGTGTTAGTGTATTTTACTTATGGCCCAAGACAGTTCTTCTAATGTGGCCCAAGGAAGCCAAAAGATTGGACACCCCTGCCCTAAACAAACATGAAATGAACCGCAAGATAACGGGTCAGGGCTGATCATCCTGAGGAAATAAAAGGGAAATGGATATTGGGGGTTCATTTAAAGGGTTTATGGCTGGATTTGTTCTCAGGCTTGTGGAAGACCTGAAATCTTTTGGCCAATTTTGTCTTTGGGTTAATGAGTCTCAAGTTAACTCGCTTTGTTGAGGACATAGCGGCAACTTATTTTCGTAAAAAGTGAAACCAAAACAGCCTTGACTGATGAGTCCAGGTCTTGGACCACTCCCTGGTCACTTTTTCACTACATTGTACCACCTAGATTTTCTCCTTGAGACCTAAAGGAAGGAGAACATAAAATAAAAGGCAGATGACTTGAAAATATTAAATGATTATTCCCAGCCTAAAGATTGTTCTAGAAGATGTTACACATAAAAATGCTTTCAACATGCAAAAAGTGTAAGAACTTAGAAAATTAATGTCTCTCTTAGAACTTCAAATTTAGCATTAAAATGGTTAGAGGATCCTATTGTAAAGATACCTATATACCTTGTCTTAAATTGGCATTTTCTAACTTATTTAACAAATGAATACACAGTTCACAAAAACCACCAATTATCATTGTATTTGGTTTGAAATATGTAGATATGACCACTCCTATAGACCTATGGAAAGACCATTTTATCTGCACTGTGAAGTAACCATCTCACTCATCTTAGCATGTGCCTATTTGTATCTCCTTTTTCCTAATTACCTTCATTTGGCACAGAATTGACTTTTAGTATAGGGTTCACAGTCTGATCTCAGCAATTTCTTTATTCCAGCTATTAACATGACACCTCTGTATCCCCAGAATTACCTGGCATAATTCTTGCATACCGTTGATACAGAAATATTTGTCATTGTTCTGTAACTTGTTTATATAAAGCTTTTCTGTCATTTTTCTGTGGGGACAAAAGCATGAAGTAAATGACCAAGCTGGTCACTTATATATGGGCAGCATTGATTTCTATCACATTGGTTTGTGGCATACTATCCAATGATGCACGCCTAACCTCTCATGCATTAGTGAGAGGAGTGCAGCCAATCTAAGCCTCCTTTAAGTGTAAGTCCAGGGAAAAGGAAGCCACAAGCCTCCTCCCTCAAAGCCAGTACACGCAAATCAAGGTCAGCAGTTGAAGGCCAAGGTCATCTGCTCAGTGACCTGTCTTTACCCTTGGGAGCTGGTTCAGTTCCAGATAAGCTCTGGTTGGGGAGGAATGAGTCCAGAGCAGAGTGGCCAGAGGGTCCACATGACATATAGTTGCTCCATGAAGTCCATCCCAGCTGTAGGCCATCTCTTGGATGTAACCCCAAATGACAAAGTCGTAGACAATAAGAAGTAGCAGATACACATGGGCACGGATAACAAGACTCAGCCATATGCATTTATTGATCAGAAGGAACAAAAACAATTTTTCGAGACAAAAATAAATGTACTTGAGATGTTGTAGGGACTCAACACATTGCATTATTATTCTTAATCATGGGCTCTGACTAAGAAGGTTTAGACTGCAGCTGGAGTATTGTGCTCAAAATCCCCCTGATCCCTCAATTTTATTATCTATGAAATGAAAATGAAATAGAATCATATAGAGGATATGGCAAAGTAGGCAGTTCCTAGCACAGAATAAGCATACATTAAACATTTTTTTTAATGGGACAGTGTGACAACCTAATCATTTTGTCACTGCTAGTTGGGATCTCTTTGAAGTTGACCTCCAGACTACCTCAATGTCTCTCTTGCCTTATTCCATTCTTCCATTTTCTTTTCTCCTCCTCTCCCTTCTCAATCCTCTCCTCTATTTATTCTCTGCCATCTCCTCTGATATACCAGGTCAACCATGATCTTTCAGATGCCTACTCCTTTCTTATAGATAGAGCTGGGGAGAGAGAGACAGAACAATGTCCCAGCTAGGGAAGGGGTTGGGAGACAGGTTCTCCCCACAGATATGCTGGTTAGAAGTGGTCTACTGGAGTGAAGGAAGGCGACAAGCTTTGGTGACAGTAGCTCACACACATTTCAGGAACTGAGGAACAATGGAGTAAATATCTCTTTTTTTAATCTCTTAATTCACCATGAAATTGCCAGGATCTAGCCCCACCACTGTCCTCTCGAACTTATATGCAGTTCCACTAAGAGTGCTCAGCTTAACTGCCTTTGATTATGATGAGGGTAACACCAACCCATAATACTAAGGTGTCCACTGGGCTGCTGGCCAAGACATGCTAGCTCCTTTTTTTTGTAACTGGAAATCATTTACTTAACAAATATTTCCCAGAAATCAAATATGATTCAGTTACTAATTTGAAAAAAATTAAGTTATTTTGCAGAAGTATTCAATGACTCCATAACAACATATGTACATGCAAACATCTCTTAAGTAAACAGCAATTTTTAAGTAATATTTTTAAATGAAAATAAAAGGTATGAGACGAATACACAAATGATAAGCATACTGCTTGCTGAATTTTCACAAGGGGAGCACACCCATATAACTTTCACCCTGACCAATAAATAGAATATTCTAAACATCCAAAGCCTCCATCACCTCCATCACCCTCTCTTCCAGTCGCAAGCCCTCTCAGGGTAACATTATCAGAGTTCTAACACCACAAGCTAGTTAGACTGTTTTTGAACTTTATTTAAATGGAATTAATCAGTCTCTAATCTCTTGTAGTCTGACATTCTTTACTCAACATATGATTGTAAGATTCATCCACACTGCCACACGCAGTAAACGTTCATTTGTTTTCATTGATGTAGATTAGTCTTTATCAGCCAATTTCAATTAGCTTTATATATCAAACCTTGCATAGTTCTAAGTGCTTATAAAAGCAGGGGCTGTGTATTGACTAGAGGCAAGATCAACAATTTGCTGAACTTTTACATGGCTCTATTTATTCTTTCTCCTACAGGCTTCCACTGGCAATAGCCCAGACCCAGCCATGAAAACGGGCTTTCAACTGTGTATTTCTTTCCTCCCTTTTCCAGGTTCTGTCTCACCAATTGATACAGTTTGGATGTTTGTCCTCTCCAAATCTCATGTTGAAATGTGATTCCCAGTGCCGGTGGTGGGGCCTGGTGGGAGATGTTGGATCATGTGGGTGGATCCCTTATCAATGGTTTAGCACCATCCCCTTAGTGTTAAGTGAATTCTCGCTCAGTTCATGTGAGATCTGATTGTTTAAAAGTCTGAGACCTCCCTGCCCTTGCTCTCTTGCTCCCTCTTGCCATGTGACGTGTCTGCTTCCCCTTTGCCTTCCGCCATGATTGGAAGCTTCCTGAGACCCTCACCAGAAGCAGATGCTAGCACCACACTCACTGTACAGCCTTCAGAACCATGAGCCCATGAGCCAATTAAACGTCTTTTCTTTATAAATTACCCAGCCCCGGGAATTTCTTTACAGCAACGCCAAAACAGCCTAACAAAACAGATGCCAGTCACCTGGCATCTCCCCAACCACCTTCTCAACTTTACCCACCCTTCCCAAAAGTATGATCAGAGAGGTTGAGGTGTAATATTTTTCCTTTTCTGCCAACATAGAAAAAAACAAACTACATGTGCGGAGAATATTGCACAATTTTTCAACCCCTGCCTATGTTGGTCTTCACATTGAAGATACATGATTTTATTTAAAATACCATGGATATTCATACAATTATATACAAGAACAAACGTTTGTCCCCACATTTCAAAAAATGTTTAGGGTTTATCTGGGTGAATTTTTTTTCGATCACCTTAAGTAGGTAGAGATAGGTGAAATTAGACTCTAGTGAGCTAAAGTGAGGGCAAATATTACAACAAAACAAGGGATGCTGAGAGACAACATGTGTGGTTAACTTAGCCATGGAAAAAGCCCTGGAAATGGAAGAAAGTCTAACACGCTAAAAATGGAAGAAAGGAAGCACACCAAGCAATGCAGTCGCTC
The DNA here is from genome assembly GCF_000001405.40 of Homo sapiens. Classification (NCBI taxonomy): domain Eukaryota; kingdom Metazoa; phylum Chordata; class Mammalia; order Primates; family Hominidae; genus Homo; species Homo sapiens. The sequence goes on along the minus strand of NC_000008.11, from coordinate 118,774,794 downwards.
CGCCAATGTCATTAGGGCCCATCCCAAAGGAACACAAATAGAAATATTCTGGAATCTAGCGCCACTGATATTTAAACTCAATTTCCCGCAAGGTCAGGAATCATAGCGAGTTATTTGTTTTACTAACTTAGGTTGCAAGTGCCTTGGGCGGATCCTGTGCCTTCTTCTATATCGCACTCAGCGCCAAGAACACTGTTAGCCATCAACAAAACCATAATAGACCTAGAGCGTTTTCTAAAGGCCAACGAAAACACACGCTGAGCTAATGGAGACATTTACAGGCAAAGGATTCCGGTTTCCTTTCTGAAAATGCCACCAAGACAGCCTAGCTAATTAGGTCTTAGTAAATGACAGACTGACCAGAATGGTCCACCTGCCTTTATGTGTATACCAGACCATTTTTCTGCTAGCTTGGTTTTTATCTTTGCTTTTATTCTTCTAGCTATAAGTTAAAAGGTCTATTTTTGAAATGTCAAAAGACTTTCTCTGAGACCTGACTTGTGAGTTCACAGTGATTTCAGGAAAATGGGAATACAGAGCCTTAACATTGTAAAGAATGAATGTATTCACTTGGAGCTGTTCACTCATTCCTCTCCTACCCCTATTACCTTCCTTTTGGCAAAACTTCAAAAAATAATTTTGTCCAAGGCCACCCAGAAATGCAATGACAATTCCAGGGACAAAATTCAGATGTTCCATGCAAACTTGTCTCTTACCCAGCCTAAGAGTAATCATAATTTTTCCAATATTCCCATTATAGTTGTCCTCATGACAGTCTAACTCAACCCTTGTTTGTGTTTCTGAAAATAACCCAAATTGATGGAGATAGGCATTGCAAATACGGGACACTGAAGTAGCACAGACTCGAAGCCTAACAAGGTCTCTCCGTGAACAAGAATGACTTTGATGTCCACTAAGGTTCTGTAAGCCTCAAGAAAGACCACAGAAGATGAATGTTAATCACTGGAAAGCTCAAGAAAAATTAATGGAGCTTCTATTATAAGAAATCAGAATACAAATGTTTCTGTGTCCCTCACATTCTCTTCCTCCAAAATACTAGCAGAAAATGATAAAACTACAAGTCATAGACTTTATCTACCAAAAAATGAATAAATAAAAATTTTTGGAGAAGCCAAAGCATCAGCATAGAAGCCAAAACATACCAAAAACTTGTAATGCAGTATGACAGAGCAGAAAGAAAATGGACCCTATAAGTAGATATGTCTGATTCTAGTTTCATTTGTTATTAACATTGCAGTTTTCTAAACCTCTCAGTTTTATTTCCCCACCTATAGAATTAGGACTAATAATTATGTATATAATTATATATATAATTATATATATTCCAAGCTTTTTCAATTACAAATATGAAAACATTAATCCAAACTTGCTTAAGCAAAACAAGCAAATTAATTCATTAAAATAAAAGAAATATATTGAGTTAACTACCTGAAAAACCTAGGAGCCTCTAGCTTTTGGCACAACTGGATTCAGGTATGCAATGTTGTCAGGAAGTGATATGTTCCATAAGTCTGTTATTTTCTAAAATGGCTTAATTTTCAAGCATGTTTTCCCATCTTGATGGCTTCCAGAACTAAAGGATAAAATACTCACAGCCCCAAGTTCAGTGGAATAAAGACTTCTCCTTACCAAAAATTCTGCTTGGGAAATGAACCTCATTTACTCTGTGCAGTTATATATCCACACCTAGAGGCAGGACTAGAAGGAATTACATGCCATTACATGAAGAAGGGTAAATGGCTTCAGGAAAGGCAAAAGAAACCAACATCCCCTGCAATAACACACTGGGGTTGTTGCAAAAAGAAAAGAAGAAAACTCATCCCAGTGCCTGTAATTTTGACTAAGACAAATCATAAATTAAGTAATTCTTATTGCTGGACAAAATTTTGACATCCAGGAAATATTTCCCTGTATTGACCCCAGTTGAGGCACACATTACATGCCCTAATGGAACCTCCATGATGTACATAATGTTCTGCCAAAATGATAAGGGGTAATTAGGTAAAGCTGCAAGATGGTGAGATTTTAGCTGGATTGAAAGGGAGCAGAAGATTTATCCAGGCTAAGAGGCACAGAGAGGTCATTCTAATGGGAAGTAATAAAACAAGCTGATGACTATGTATTTTTTTATCTAAGAGACAGTGATGTCAGTAAGATGGGCATTCTAACCAATAGAAAATGGCATATGATGAAGTAGATGCGTGAATATTAGTAGAAAGATTGTGCATACCTCCAGCAAAAATAACATTTACAAAATTAAGTTGTTTAAAATGCAATTAGTGAGGAAAGATTTTTAAAGAGCTCATTCAACATAGTTCTTTGAAAAGATATTCCTCCTTAAGCTTATCTCCTTTCAGTGGGGTGGCCTGTGTACAAACATAAATTTGACAAATTAAGTTTAGAGCTCTTCATTATAAGACACAATTAACTTACTCCAATAAGAAGGATGATTTATTGCTTTAAGAATGTTAATAAAAGCCCCAGCCACAACTGAGAAACAAAATATACTTTAGAACAAGAATACTGTATTAATATACATGATGTGGGTTCTAACTAGGGTCAAAATGAGAAATAGTTCCTGGATTTCAGATAGAGGCCTGTCCAACAACAACCTTATTTTGAGGATTTCAAAGGTAGATTTCAAATAAATTATAAAAAGCAAGACAGAAACATTTAACCAAACGTGAAAAGAGACTTTTTAAACACATTAAGAGTGCCAACCATAAATAATTTTTGCAAGCAATATTAAGCCAGACTTACCATCCTTCCAGTAAAGCACCTACATCACACACTAAGAATCTTTATTTCTTCTGGCCATGATGAATTCATATGAGTTACCCCATTTTCAAAAAGATGTCTACAGAAGGCTCTCCTGGCAGCCAAAAGCAGTATTCTCTCAAAATAGAAACCTCTTCTGAGTTCGACTTAACAGGTCTGTTATGATAATCTCAGGGAATTTACCAGTCTGAGGAGCTTTATTACATGTAAATGTAAATTTCTTCCAAGGCTTGAAGAAATTCACTCCATATTTCGGGAAATGAACATGTGATTTTTTTTACGTGTTGTTTTAATAAATGAAACAATGGTTCTTTCTATGAGGCACCTTGAGCTACTGATTAAAAGCTATTGTATGTTTACAACGAAGCAAAAATGCATTCAAACACATCAATATATGAGACAAAAATTATTCAATAGACCCAAAGGCAAGTGAGGCTTGTATAGAGGCTAGGGTAAAGTAAAATAATCAATTCCTATTCCAGGTGGTGAGTGGTATTTGGTTTCCTGGCAGCTGAGGCAAAAATGGAAAGATGCCATGCATTACAAATTAATTACAATAGTTAGTACAGGTAGAGCAGCAGGGAGGCCTAAAGGTAAAGTTAGCACTTTGTTTCTCAGAACAGAGCTTTGATCTTTTCATGTGCACTTATCTGAAACCCCACATTCAGCACAACACAACATAACACACAAAGATTTAGTCTTGTTTAAGTTTAATCTTATAGCTGCATGTGTGTGCACGTGCATGTGTATGTACGCAGGTGCATGTGTGTGTGGCCATCTGTCTCATCTATAAAAGACAATCGATATATAAAACATAAAACTAGCAAACATCTCATTTTAAAAACTAGATCCCAAGAAGCCATCAAAATGAATTAAGAGTAAAATGCATCCCTGAATAAATCCACTGTGTGCTGAAAGTGACTGAATCCCTACAAAAGACATAATAAATTGACTTGTTGCCTGAGGATATTTAAGATTGAATGTCTACCAAATACAATAATGTTTTGTTTCGCAGAATTTTATGCTGAGTTGTTCTTTACAGACATAATATGCCAAAAGACCCATACTGCTTCCTAAGTTTACGCTTAGACAATATGACAAGGTTATCAGTATAAAGTAGGTAACTTGTATTTCTCTTTGTTGTGGCAGGAGGAGATAAAGTTGATTCATTTCATACTTGTGTCATGTTAATATAGATTTAAAAGACAGGTGTTAGAACTTTGTCTTTTTTTACCTCATTTAGGGCTAGATTTCCTTCAACACGAGCATATTTTTACTTGCTCTAATTTTGGCAAATATATTGAATGAAAGACATTGTAATACCTTAGGGACCATCTGGATTGACTGCCTGGATTGGTTGGCCCAAAGACACTTATTATCCAGAGAATCAGAGTCAGATGATGGAGCAATGATGAAGTTTACAAATGGCTTTGAGATGCCCTTAAACCTGAGGTATGTCAATGCAAGTGCATAAAAATAAATTGTTACATTTTCACTTTAAAATACAGGAATTGGAAAGACAATGTCAAGAGAATGGGATGACAAGCCACAGACCAAGAGAAAATATTGCAAAAGACACTTCTAATAAAGGACCTCTGTCCAAACATACAAATAACTCTTAAAACTCCACAATAAGAAAATGAACCCAATTTAAAAATTAGCAAAAGCCCTAAAGAGCCACCTCACTAAGGAATATGTACAGATGGCAAGTAAACATAGGAAAAGATGTTCAATATCATATGTCATTAGGGAATTGAAAATTTGAATAACAACAATATAGAACTACACACCTCTTATAGTTGCCAAAATCCAAAACACTTACCATACCAAATGCTGGCAAGGATGTGGAGCAAGAGGAACTCTCATTAGTTACTGGTTGGAATACAAAATGGTACAGCCATCTTGGAGGAAAGTTTGTCAGGTTCTTACAAAAACTAAACATACTCTTACCATACAATCCAGCAATCACACGCCTTGGGACTTACCCAAAAGAATTTTAAAATATGTGTCTACAGAAAAACCTGCACGTAGATGTTTATAACACTTTTTCTCATAATTGACAAAATTTGGAAGCAATGAAAATTTCCTTCAGTAGGTGAGTGGATACTGTGGTACATCCAGACAATAGAATATTATTCAGCACTAAAAAGAAATGAGTTATCAAACCATGAAAAACATGCAGGAGACTTAAACGCATATTACTAAGTGAAGAAAGATTTTAACAAATGTGCCACTCTGGTGTAGAATATTGACAATAGAAATGGTTGTGTATGTGTGGGAGAAAGGAGGAATATAGGAACTCTCTGTACTTTCTGCTTAATTTTGCTGTGAACTACAACAGCTCTAAAAAAAGTGTATTAATAAACAAAAAACATGATGATTTCCTATATTGCGTTGAAACCAACATCATAACTTGCTTTTTTCTCCTCTTACAGGGATAGAAAGAGTGGTTATATATTTATATTCCTCACTTCTCAAACAGCTGACTCCTAAGTTTTATTTTCTTCATTTTCTGTGTCCTACCATCTCTGTTAATGGCACATGTCAAATAACAAAAAAAAAAAAAAAAAAAGAAAAGAAAAGAATGCTGCTTTGAGAGTAGCAATCAAAAGCATTGTTTGAAAAGTGACCAAGATTATTTAAATAAGCATCCTGGAGACCAACTAGTTGAAACTCATTAAGAAACCTTGCCTCAGCCTTTCTAATCTCTTTTCTTATTACTCATCAATTCCAAATTCCATTAATCTCCTAGCCTGACTAACATGAGAGTTTTCCAGAATGATCTATCAGAAACACGTTCTTCTTCATGGTACTTCTTGCACACCTGTCACAGTCACTTCACCTCAGGATTGTTCAGAAGGCATGATCACATCCCCCACAAAGGACGTTTTCTTCCATCCTTGTCTCTTTATTAGATAGTACCCAGAAGTGCCCCAGCAGACTTTCACTCAATACTCACCGGCCTAGATTATTCTTCAACTGAAGTTGGCAAGTGATTGGCAAGAAAAATTACCCTGTTTGGCTATGATCAATTACAATTTATACCACAGGACTGAGAAGGGGGTTGGTTATGTTTACTTATCACATGGAAGAAAAGTCCAAGTATTATAAAGTCTCACCTAAAAGAAGGGGTAGAAGAAAACAAAAATGAAAAAGAAGAGGGAGGAGGAGAGCAAGAGGAGAAGGAAGAATAAAAGAAAGGGAGTGAAAATATCTTTGGGATAAATAACCAACAGCATCTATCTACAGTTTTATAAAGACAATTTCAGTAGAGTGTAAGATTTAAAATTCTATTAAAGCAAACATGGAGAGAAATTAGATGAGGAAATAAAGACAGTACACACAAACTATATTTTAAGGGATATTGATGTAAATGGGAAAAAGATATATCCAATAGTTTCCAGAGAAGAATATAGGGTCAAAGAAGTTTGAGTTAGTTTTAATTTTATTTTTAAGATAGGTGATATTGTGGCATATTTCTAGGCCAATATGAATAATCCTGAAAAGGGAAAGAAAATGATGTAGGAAATGTGAATATTACATGATCCAACTCCTGCTGAAAATGAGATGGAAAGGATTTAAGTTACTGATAAAGAGTTTTCTCTTTGCAACAGAAGTATGTACAACCTTTTAATAGAAGGGATAAGTCAGTAGCTGAATACAAATGCTGAAAGATTGATTGAATTGTTAGTAGGAAAAAATGATAGTTCTTATGCAACTATATTTCTTTTCTTTCTAAAGTGAGCTTCAGTGTTATGAAAAGAGAGTAGGCAGATAGAGATGTTTGCAATTTGGGGAGAGAGGAGAATGTGTGAGAATCTCATAGAGAAAGGAAGTGCATTTTCTTGAGAAATATTATGAGGAAGCCTAGTAACATTGAGATTTTTAGCAATATTTTTACTGTTATAGCATTGGCACAGAAGAAGTGGATAATTTGGTTGGGTGAGTTTGGGGTTTTGCCAGATAAATAGTATAATGGAGGGAAGATGAAGAAAAGGAGTTAAGGGTGCTTTTAAAAGAGTGTTACAGAACTAGCCCATGAAAATTTTAGGCTGCACAGGGGAAAGAGATGTAAGAACTGAATAGAGGTGACAGATGGTGAAAAGGAGTCAGGTCAATGGGTTTAAAGTTTGAATGAGGTCAAAGAATGTTTGTTTGGGGAATATAAAAGGACGTCACTGAAAAATTGAAGGTGTGCAGAAGATGGTCAGAGAAGAGGGTTGGAATTAAAATGTTGAAGGTGCTATAACTATTGATGATGACAAAATGGCTGAACTAGAATGCAGAAAAAGATAGTTGAAGCTAAAAATAGTTGGGACACCAGGAAGTGGGATGGACTATTCACTTCTTGGATTCATCACTTATTTGCTGTTAACCTTGGATAAGGTAGTTCACATCTATAGTTCTTGGTTTCTTCTTCTTAAAAAGGAGGATAATAATATAAACCAATTCATAGGGTTGTTGTGAAATCTAAAAATGTTCATTATGTAAAATGCTTTCGACAGTGCCTAGCATATCGTAAGCATTCAGTAAGTGTTGGTACTATTTGCATTTATATCATGTATTTATTACTTTATTTTTAAATGGTGAAGTTATTGAATATGTTAAGTATTCACTCTATAACAGGAACTGTTCTAAGCACTTATCTTTTTTTAAAATCTCATTTAATTATCACAGTGTCCTTACAGGTAGGTACTATTGTTATACTCATTTCATAATTCAAGCGACAGAGCATAGCTAGTAAGTGACACAGACATGCTTTTAATCAAATCAGTCTGCTTCCAGATTCTCTGTCCTGAAGCACCATCCTATGCAGTGATTGACAGTGGCATAGGTGAATCCAGGTGATGAGAACACAATGAGGAGAAGACATTTGGAGGGAGAGATATGAAAACAACAAGGAAGGGTAATGGATAATGAAGTCTATGACATGCACATCAAAGAATCTGGGGTTTTGAGGGAGGAAGGAAGAGAGACAGCCTGGAAGTGACAGTGGGGAATAAGGCTTACAACACACAGAAGCATTTCAAGTATTTCCGACCAAAGGACAATGTGAAAAAATAGCTTCAAATTTGGTCATCTAGTGAACTTGGCAGTTCCTTAGGATTCTGTCCTTGTCATTGTATTTTTATCCCAGGGAAAGTTCTTGTGAAATTCTTGCCCTCTACCCAATCTTGCTAAGAATCATACTCAGTTTAGGGGCAAAGCTACAAGGTTAATCAATCGGTTACCAAGATGATTTTTTTTTCGTGGTTCTCAGACCAGTTCCCGCATGAAAGCATTGTTTTAAAAACAAAGCAAATTCTCAAATATGGGGACTTTTCTGGTACATGAGATATTGCAAATAGTGTAATTATATACAACGTTCCTAATTCCATTTACTTACATGACAGGTTCAAAAATCAATCAATAAATAAACCAATCAAATGCTTTTCATAACCAAGTATTTATAGATGAGGGATTAGCAAAATGCTGCCAATGAACTAAATTCACTCTGTCACCTGTATTTACATGGCCTGAGAGCTAAGAATTACTTTTACAGCTATAAATGGGAGAAAAAAGTTAAATGACTAATAGTATTGCATGACATGCAAAACATATAAAATTAAAATTCTAAATGAAATAACTAAAATCTCATTACAAATCAGCATTAACAGATAACATTTGCAAAAACATTTTTGATCAGTTTAAACCCAGATTAAATAAAATGTTTTCCCCCCAAAGAGTTCCATTCTTATCTTCCCGTTACAGAAATGTGTATGTGATTATTATTATACTTTGAATTCCATCAATAAAAATCTTTTTTTGCTGTATATTTGCTATATAATCACCTACATAATATTCTCAATTTTGTCTTTTATCCTGAGGTGCTTAAGATATTTGATATCTGGACTCTTACAGAAAAACCTTGCTGATTTTTGGTCATAAATAATGAGTAGACAAAGTTTATATTACTGTAGGTATTATCATGTGAATATTGTGAATGTGATACGTGGGTGTCTGTGTATAAATGTAGCCATTTGATCACATATCATTCCACTCACAGACATTTATTGAGCACCTATTCTATGCCAGAAACTGTCCTGGGTGCTGAGAATACAAAGTTGAAAATAGGTAGTCATTGCTTTTAAGAAAACCAGTCTTATTATTTTATTGTGCTGGTAATTTTGATAAAATTTAAGAAGAACAAAGAATTTCTGCAAAATTTTCTTTTAAATGAATATGCCCTCTTCTTTCTCCAACTCAATTACCAGCTATTATTGGTTACTGAATTTTATTATTTTATAAAACATTTGATGAATTCACTGGTTTTCAGTCTCAGCTAGAAAATTTGAGTGGGCAAACAGGATATCTCTCCCGACTTTTAACTCCATTGGAGTAAGGTTCTTGTGACCTCTCTCTCCTATGCTTACCCCCTATTATGTCATTTGATTTTTTTTGGTGGGGGGGTTCCTGGCATGTTACTTGGATAAAGTCATCCAAGGTCTGTGTCTCTGCCAAGCTGAACTGAGCATTGTCAGTTATCATAGCAATTGTGTTGCTCATCAGCAGAATTGAGACCCAAAGCCATTTCCATAGTTTTCAGTAGCTAACGCTTATCCTTTTCTTTCTAAATTGTCTCTGACATCAATTGCCCTGCAGGATTTCCGTGTGGGTTTAGGGGATTGAACAGCCAATGAATTCAGGCTGTTCTTATAGCATGCAATCATTACTTGTGTTTAGCTTTCATAACAGAATCTTATCCAAAACCATCTCAAAGATGCCAAAACCAATCTGAAACCACTTCCTAGGTCCATTGCATAACAAGTGGATATGCTCTTCCCACCACATGATGAAGAGCGCTAGGCAGCTAGATATCTGATCATATGAATGGTGAAAGTATTTGTCTCGCTGTTATATTTAAGCTACAAAACTTGCAAGATTTCTGGTTCCACATTGTTTATTGAACATTTTTCTATTCACATTCATTGCTATTTCTTCTTTAATGCCTGAGAAGAGTCTATTGCTATCTCTTTTCCCTCACATCCTAGAGTGAGTCTAATTCATTAGCCCTCACTTTTAAATGCACTGCTTAAAGTACAGTGTTATTCACTAGGACTGTTCTACCATAGTTTAAAGTTACCGTTAGTAAGATTTTGCCATTTTTCTAAGTGTTTGCTGCTTCCAGGGCCTAATACTTATACATGTAAATGCAGGCATAGCCAGAAGGTGGAGTATTCAGTTCTTCAGAAATTAAGGGGTCTCATTTTTATGTTGAATCTGGACTTTGACCCTCAGATACCCTTGATCAACTTAACCAATGATTTTCCCTACCTAAGCACATTAGAAAAAAAGATAGAAAGAGGACAGAACACAAAAATCCCATGAATTTCCTAAAGCCAGAGTTCCCAGCCCTTGCAGTATTGCCATTTACTTCCAGTTTCTGTTTGATCCAGTCAGGCATCTGAGGCCTCTAAATGGATCCAATCTAGTTAATGATCAGATCCAGTACAATCTTGGACCCAGTCCAATTTCTGTCATGACTGCTGAACCCAGTTTAGATCCAAAATTTCCTCAAACTTGGAAAGCTCAAAATACAAATCCATGCAGCTTTGGAATCAGAGAACTTACCCATGATCCTCAGGTGCTACCAGAGGGCAGTGGACACAGTGGGCCTGGCAGGCATCTCACTTGGTGCTCCTGGGGGCTGCTGGGAGTCTATTGCAAATCTCACTCTGACATCTTCTCTAAGAAGGAAAACATTAGACAAATTAACTTTAACAGAGTTTAATTGAGCAAAGAACAATTCAAGAATCAGGCAGCTGCCAGAATCAGAGATGCAGGAGCTGCCACAATAGGAATTTCAGGGAAGGTCAAGGGCCTGGGGAATTTCCTCAGGTGGTGGTGATAGATGTCTTTTAGTTTACCTCCTAAATGAAGGCAATTTTCTCAGAATTTATTTTAGAAGGTTTTAGTGCCATTAGAAGTAAGTCTCCTACTCAATTTGCCTGGTTCTAAAACCAGCTTTTTCCAATTGTATAAGCAAATAAATTATTTTAGGCATTTCAAAAGACCCCTTGAGGGATATATATATATATAAAATATATATAACTTTTGTAGGAGTAGGATATTTGGGAATTCAGGCTTTTACCTACTACCTACAGATCAAGAAATAGGAGAGAAAGAAAAATGAGTATTTAAGGGTTGCTTTGACAGAAATAAAAGAACCAGGGGACACAAAGATTTTTTTTAACATATAAAAAGCTTTTTTATTTCCCAAGTGTCCTGTTTCCCTAGCTCTGTCAAACACTATTGAGCTTATCTGCCTGGGAAATAGCAGGGCTATGGGAATTCTTATTTGGTTCAGCAGCCACCTGTTACCCCAAATGTCTTCTGTGGTAGCAATGTTGATTCTGTCTGAATCCTGCATCCATGAAAAAGAAGTGCCCATTCTTTTCCTTTTATTTTACAAATACACAAAGCTGGGAGGTTGTGCTGTAGCCAGAGCACATTGTACAGAGAGGAGAGTTTGGCAATGCTGGAATAGGAAGGAATAAAATAACAAATTTAAGGCTGGAGGGGAAAGAAATTGGAGAAAAAAAGTGAGAGAAAAATTAAGTGTGCAGGGAGGGTGACGGTCACATCTAAACCTAATGGCCAGAGACCAGATTATGCAAATTCTTCCAGGCAGCTCCACACTCTGCTCCACCCAAGCACCCAGCCAATGAAAGAACATTTCTTCAATTGATTTTTCATGGTCTCTAAAACTGCCAGCATTATCTAAATTCTTTAATGGTATAAAAAAGAGACATTTTAACTTAATGAAATCAATTTAATGCCATTTTGATAAGAAAGTAATATATGAAGTGATTAATAAATTTGGGAGTTTGAGTTAAGCCCTATCTATACCCACTACCATCAAAATAACAGACTTCAATCAATTCCATTTAGTGCATACCATGTTTCTGGGAAGACATCACCATGCCCTCACCTGTGACATAATTCTTAGAGCCATTCAAGACTCCTCTATCTCTTTCACCATCTCTCCAAGCTTTGGCATAAGAAATTACCAATACAGGCAATGTCTGTTTCCTAAATATCTCTCAAATCTGTCCTCTCCTCTCTATCCACACTACCACTACTTCATCCTAGGCCATCCAATTCCTCATCTGGATTTCTGATATGAACTAAGTGGTCTTGTCTCCTGACTATGCTTTAAAGAGACAATTTGCTAACCTGCAAATCTGTTCTCATCATCTTCTTGCATATCTTTCTTTGGGGTCTCCCACAGCCCTCGGAATAAGGCTTACACATATCCCTATCCTTACAGGATGCTTCCTTAATGGCCTTTCCAGAACAATCCTCTGTCTTTAGGGGCTATCCATGCTATGCCACAGTGACATTTCTTCCAACGTTTTATGCTGTCTCATGCCGTTGGAGCTTTGTTGTGACACTGGATATTCTTGCCTATTTGTCTCATGAAACTGTGTGTTCTGTAAGTGTAGAGACCATGTCTTATTTGTTGTTGTAGCCATGGCACCTGGCATAGTGTTTGGCACATGGTAGAATGAGGCAAAAAACTGGTAACTTTTAAAACAAATCAACAATTTTAAAAGGAAGGAGTGTTTGTGAGCTGGATACAGGTACCATAGTCATGACTGTGAAGCTATCCCTGACTGTCCTAAGAAAAAACAATGGTCCTGAAAGTTTGGGCCAATGGGAGAAGGCTAATGTGGCTGATGGTCACCAGAAAAAAGAAAAAAATTAAATGCTTAAAAGCAAACAGTCACTCCTCTCTTCGGTCCGTACCTCCAAGATGACAAAGAAAAGAAGGAACAACGGTCACACCAAAAAGGGCCGCGGCCACGTGCAGCCTATTCGCTGCACTAACTGTGCCCGATGCATGCCCAAGGACAAGGCCATTAAGAAATTCATCATTCGAAACATAGTGGAGGCCGCAGCAATCAGGGACATTTCTGAAGCGAGCGTCTTCGATGCCAATGAGCTTCCCAAGCTGTATGTGAAGCTACCTTACTGTGTGAGTTGTGCAATTCACAGCAAAGTAGTCAGGAATCGATCTCATGAAGCCCGCAAGGACCGAACACCCCCACCTTGATTTAGACCTGTGGGTGCTGCCCCACGTCCCCCACCAAAGCCCATGTAAGGAGCTGAGTTCTTAAAGACTGAAGATAGACTATTCTCTGGAGAAAAATAAAATGGAAATTGTACTTAAAAAAAAAAAGCAAACTGTCTACTGCATAATTTTGCAGAGGGCTGGCCCTGTTGTAAGGGATGGCTCAAAAGGAAATTACTGCCCGACACAGGAGGAAAGAATACCAATTATTTTTCTCTTAAGCAGGGCCAGGCCAACTCAACAGAAAACCAGAGAGGATGGGCAATGCATTCCTGGAAGGAAGCTACTGGTGCTGGTGCCATCAGCCTGGTTGACGAAAGAGACATGATCTAGGAGCCACCCAGCTGAAAGCTGGTACACCACAGACAGACATGCTTCTTGGAAACGACCTCTGGCAATTAGGAATTCAAGCTTAGCCTCAACTTCTCAGATGAAGCCTTCTAATTTTCCTTTTCCCTCCCATGTGCTTCTTCCAGGAAACCTGCCTTGTCCTCTGTGGTAGTTGTGAAAGATCAAATGTGCCTTTTACCAAAAAGGCACTTTCATCTCCTCCCAACTCCTTTGTGTGTGTCCACATGGGATGGCTCATACAGGGACACTCCTAGGACCTGACATGGGGCCACCTGCACTCTATGCCTATGAGTGTTTGTGTGGAATGAGAGTACACAAAGTCAAGGTGGAACACCAGACCCACTAGTCTAAGACAGTAAATGATTATAGAATAATGTGACCATGAAAACCACCACTTTGAATAGAATTTGTCTGTGATATATTTTGAGCCCAGACAAGTTTTGCATGCTTTTGTGCCACTTCTTCATGATGTTACTCATGCTAACAACTAACTTTAACAAAAACTTTACCAGGAGAATAAGGCAAAATCAGATGTGCTAAGTGCACAGGAAGGAGACCAGAGCCCTGAGGCGTTCTTTTGAAGTCTAAGTACTGGTGTTTCAAAAGTTTAATGAAACCTACTAGACTCTGAGCAAAATTCGTTTTACGAATGGGGCCACAAGGGCACCATCAGCTTCTTGTCTGGCCAGAGGCAGATGTCAGGCCCCTGGAGACTCACAGCCAAGAACCTGAATCTGAGTCCACCCAGCCTGGCATGGCCTTCGTCAGCTTTCGTTGACTGGCAGGGGAGCCTGAGTGTGTCTGCAGCAGGGGGCTTCTGAGCATGCTCATGGTGGGGTGCTCACCCCACCACAGTTGTACCAGTGCTTATAACCATTACAGCATAGAATCATTCCTCTTCCACTTCTTTCTCCCCCATCATCTACCTTCCTTCTGGAAGGTAGGGAATTTGTCTCCATCATCTCAACTTGTCATCATTAGGTCACTCTTTCCCTCTAAACACCACTTCCTGTGCCTCACTGCTGGACTGCCACTATGGCCAGGGATCATGATCTAATTCAGCACATAAAAAGCAATTCATAAGTATTTGTTGATTATCTAATTTGGCTGATTTCATGTACTTGAATACAAAACTTGGGACATGGCAATATGTTATGTGTTGAAACTGTGTGCTCCGTAAGTGTAAAGACCATGTCTTATTTATCGTTACAGCCATGGCACCTGACATAGTGTTTGGCACACAGTAGAAGGAGGCAAAAAACTAGTAACTTTTAAAGCAAATTGACCATTTTAAAAGAATGGAGTGTTTGTGGGCTAGGTACAGAGATTACAGTCATGACTGTGAAGCTATCCCTGACAGTCCTAAGAAAACATGACGGCCCTGAATGAATATAAAACATGTCCAAAGTTTTGTCTTCAGGTACACTGTTGCTCCTTTCTGAAACCTTCATTTTCTCACATTAACTTAAACACTGCATGCAGATGGGGGATTTTGTCTACCCATGAGAGTTTGACAAAATGTCAACCCATGAGAGGGCTACAAAAGTACAGATGTTGTCAACCCTGAACATAATTTTGAGTTTGGGGAAGCAGTGACAATGTGGTCTAAGTGATTCTTCACTCAAGATGCTCACAGAAAAACATTCACAAAGCTCAATCAGTAGCCCCAATGAGGCTAGAAAATCAGGGTAATTCTGGAAATAGAGAGACCATAGGTTATATACAGAACAGCCATTGACAGATGATGTACTGTGTTTTATAAATCATAGGGTTTCTAGCCCACAGAACAACTCAGTTTCTTTGATTAACCCACAGTATTTTTAGCCATTGCACTGACAAGTTCCATGTCTGAATAATATTCCTCTTTTGCTTGCTCAATTCTTGTGTCTTCCGTTCTTCCTGCTGTGAAATGCTGTGTCTACTGTGTCTTGCTATATCACTACCATATTTACTTGTGTTTTTTCTGCCAACATGCTCAAAACCTGTTTTGTCCCCATCTGGGGGAAAAACATAACTTGAAAAAAGTAAAAAGAAAATTGTGTCTCTTATATGAATAGATATATTCCACTGTATTTTCTACCTCATTTTGAGCCCTTCCTGGTTACCAGGCATCATTAAGCAATTAACACATATTATCACATTTAACATTCACCACATTCACAGTTTAGGTACCTGTTATTACCTTCAGTTTAATTTGTGAGGAAATGGGCACAGAGAAATTTTCCCAATGTCATTTGCTGGTATATTGTAAAGCCAGAATTTGAGCCTAGGTCAGTTCGAACTTTTAACTCTTTGCTACTAATCTTCTATGACTTTGAAGTCTGGATCTTCATTTCCCATTGCTCCCTCCAATTCTGGCCATGTTCATCAATTTCAAAAGAATTCTTGTCTAATGAAATTGTGTGTCACATAAGAGCACAGAAATCATAATGATATAACTAAGACTGAAAGAATTTAAATGACTTAATGTAAGATGTTAAAGCTATTTTGTGCCATCTTAAATCAAAACTAAGTTTTTCCTGTCCTTCTGTTGTTCTTTTATCCTTCTTACAACACTGTGACCCTTATATGTTTCCTATTTTTTTAAGAAACAGAGTCTTCCTCTGTTGCCCAGGCTAGAGTGTAGTAGTGCAGTCATAGCTCACTACAGCCTCAAACTGCAAAGCTCAAGCAATGCTCTTGCCTCAGTCTCCTGAGTAACTGGGACTACAGGCAAGCACCACCACATCTGGCTATTTTTTTAATTTAATTTAATTTTTTTTTTTAGAGATGGGGTCTTACTATGTTGCCCATCCTAGCCTCTTGGTCTCATGCAATCCACCTGCCTCAGCCTCCCGAAGTGCTGGAATTACAGGTGAGAGCCACTGTACCCAGCCTTATTTTTTCTATGAATTTTTGGTGAGCAGTATTTCTTTTCCTTCACAGAAGCAGCCCTATTTTGGCAAAGAAGAATGAAACATCTCAGAGGCAGAGATCCAAATACACTTGACCCTTGAACAATGCAAGAGGTTAGTGATGTCAACGCCTTGTGCAGTTGAAAATCCATATAAAACTTTTGACTCCCCAAAAACTTAACTAATAATAGCCTAGTGATGACTGGTAGCCTTATTGATAACATAAACAGTTTGATTAACACATATTTTATGTTATATGTATTATATATTGTGTATCATTCAAAGCCATAATGCACACACCAGATAAATAAACCTTTTTGATTCTTAAGACATCTTGGTTATGAAGGATGATTATGTAAATGCAAGATGTGAATTTATACCTTCTCACTTTATAAGTTGCCCATAGGAATTCACTTGGTTGGTGGATGAGACTAAATACAAGCAAGCCAATGCCAAGCAAGCTTCAAATTGGGCCTCTTTGTTTTGGATGGCCTCCCACGCCCCTTTATCTTTCTCCTGTCTCCTGGAATTCATCTTCTTCCCTGCTCATCTATCACCTGTCTATAGTTTCTCACTGATTTGGCTGCCCAAGCACAAACAGTACCAACTTCCCTTTCCTCTACCCCTGTTACCCTCTCTCTTCTTCCTTTCCATGAATTCTCATTCCCTAAGCTGGATGACCTCACTTAAGTTTTTGGGGTTTTGAGATCTCTATTATTCTTTTCCATTTTTTCCCCTGTCCTTTGCTGAGAGCTGCCATGACCTTCCAATACCTTCTTCAGTCCACCCTCTAAAGAAGAATTCCAGCAGAACAGAGCCTTGCTGTAAACTGGGAACCTTTCCAGTACCCTTTATCTATGACTACTGCCCTATCAACATTTAAACTATCTGAATACTCTTCCTTCAAGTCTTGTGCTTTTGGGTGGTTAATGAACACTAAAATTACTAAACTAATCCCTGCAAATTTGTGAGCTTCCTAATACTTCACCTCATAGTAATCAAATTCAAAAGCACATGTGTATAGAAGACCCTCTCTAGGAGTGGCTGCATTTAAAGACAGCAAGATGGGTTCCTCAAATCTCGTAAGAGACCAATCACTGCTGGCTTCCTTGACCTCCAAAGTTAAGTTTATTCTTCCAACTCTTGATAATTACCATTTCATTTCTCACTGTGTCCCTTAAATTACTTGTTTCAAATAGATGGTTTATAATTTCATTAGATGGTAGTAAAAGCTCTATATGTCCTATTACTTATAGGGTTTATTTTTAATTTAAAAAGAAATGCAAGCTTGTTTTAATAATTAAGTATAAGAATACTGAAGAAAAGGTTAACAATCTCACTCTACCCCATTTCTACTCCATCAACTCTGATTAACCAACGTTAACAATTTGGTATGTATTCTTCTACCTTGTTCTCTATGATCCAAAAAATTATATCCAAAATAAGTACATATGTTCACACAAAGATACGCACATGTGTAAATAACATATATTATTGTACTTCAGACATGGGATCATTTTATACCTATGAATCTTTTGCTTGCTTTTGTTCTTAATAACATATCATGGATATCTCTCTGGTCATTATATCCTATATTATAGAGTTCTATAGTTTAGTCAAGCTTCTCTCTAATAAGAGATATTCAGGCTGTTTCTAGTGCCACTATAAATAACAATACAGGAAATATCACTGAGTATAGCTTTGCATTTAATTGCTTTTTAAACTGTAGGATGTATTTCCCAAATTGGGATTGCCCAGGTCAAAGAAAATGTACATTTCCTAAAGAAAGTTGGTTAGAGTAATTCCCTCTCTCATTAACAACATCTCAAAGTGTCCATATCCTTAGCATATTTATAATATGATTTTTAAAATGGTAAACATATTATTTGTTATAAGCATAGAAATGGGGTATGTTTGTGTGTATGGGGGCTTGTGTCTACTATAGAGAGACCCTTAAAACTAGGGGCCTGAGGTGGAAGGAATGAAAACAGTTACTTGAGGGCCACCTTTAAAGATGTATACTAAGATTTTTGTATGTGTTAAACCTGGTTGAAAATACTGACAACGACCCTTCTGGGAGCATAAAGATAGAGGAGGTAGACATTCTAGGAAACATGAATGCAGCCTTTAGAATGGGTATGGAAAGAGGGAGAATGTTGTTATTAGCAGCAAATTGCAAAACAAGCAGATTGCTCTAATTTAATGTCTGTATATGGATAATTTGTCCAGTTTCTTTATTTTTCCTACCCATTGTCAATCTGTATGGCCATTTGTTCCCTGAAGTAGCTCAGAGTACACATGAGAGGCAGTAGAGTGTATAGTTAATAACAATGATGGAAGTAGTAACAGGAGTTAATATTGATTGAGTGCTTGCAATGAACCACACATTCTTCCACGTGCTAAGTCCAATTCCCTTGATATCGCCATGCACTGCACCACCAACATGCACAAACTTCCTATATTCCTAGAATGTCCAGTTGGTCCTAGCCACATACATGCATTGATGGGATGCCCTGTTAGGAGTTATATTTGAATTTGGCCCCTTCTGCCCACATCCTCATCTTTCTGCTCCCTTTCTCTTCTCATTCCCCTTCTTCTCACCCACAGTGCTCCATAGAAACTGCTAAGGTGAAAGTTGCCAGGTGGCCTCTATATGGCCAGATCTAATGAACACTGTCTTCAGTTTTCTCCCCTTTGATATTTGGCCACTGTAAGTCTTCATGAATACAACTCTCACGTGTCTCATCATGCATATTAACCCTCTTGCCCGGCTTTCCTTCATTCCCCCTTTCTTCTTCTCTATTATCCCCTTAAAGGCTGGTCTTCTCCAGGATACGAAATTTGAATCCTTTACCCGTCTATGGAAAACCCAATCCATATCCATGAAATCAAATACAATATATAGGCTGCCAATACACAAAGCTAAAACTCCAGGCCTGAATCCTTTCTGATAACCATATCTTTATCTCCAACTACCTAGCCAAAGGACCAGATATATCTATCTATGATTAAAATAAAATTCACTTTTTTCCTTTAAACAAGCCTATTTTTCCTTCATACTCTGTATATCATGACTATCCAGCTACTACTCATCTTACAAATCTAAAAACATCATCCTAAATATCTCCTTCTCTCTCAACTCCAAATAATAGCAGTTATTTATTGGATTTTGATGTGGGGCCATATTATTTTTATACTTTGATTCGTTTCATTAAAAAGTGTCCCACAAATTAGTGGCTATAATTCCCACTTCACAGGGGATAAAGCTGAGTCTTAGAGGTACTCAATAACTTGACCCAAGTCGGACAGATAGTACAAGGCAATATGGGATTGAAATGAAATTCGATCTGACCTAAAACTCCTTGTATTTTCAACTGCACTGTGTGACTGCTCACCCAGTACTGATAGTAATTATAATAACCAATGTGGATTGAATGACTATGTTTGAAACACCAGATACTGAGAAATTTTCACAAATTAACTCATTTAACGCACACAGAAGCTCTATGATTTAGATACTACAATCCCAGTTTACAAACGAGAAAACTGAGATTCAGAGAATTTAAAACTTGCCTTTTATGAATAACCCAACTAGTAAGCTATAAAGTTGTAGTTCCAGGACTCAAAACCAAACTCTCTAAGCTTCTGGGATTTTCCTCCCCAAAAAGCACTTTAATCTGCCTCTCTGTCTTCATCACCACTGCTAGTACCCTGGTTCGAACTCTCATCATTTCCCTCTGCCTTTCGTCTCCTACTCAATTCCCATTGAACCTACTACATTTCATACATGGCTGCATCATTAGCACATAAGACATGATTTTCTAACTCTTAACTTCTCAGGGACTTCATGACGTTAGGTATTTCATCTTATTCGTCTCTGTTTCCATCCAAACATTGATACATTTTAGATAAATGGATAGACAGGTGCGTATCCTCCCCAACAATCAGGATGGCTTATTTGTGAACAAATCTCTAAGGTTTCATCCCCAGCCACCATGTGCAGAAAGATAAACAGATTGAAAAAAAGGAAAAGTAAATCAGTACATTGACACTACCATAGGCAGGTTAGTAATTCTATTCCTCATTTGACTTTCTCTACTAGGTCATTAGCAAGACAATTTACAATGAAAACAAAGATAGTAAGTCCAATTTTAAAATTATTTTTCTTTCTAAAGTTGGGTCTCACTTTGTTGCCCAGGTTGGTCTTGAAATCCTGGCCTCAAGCAGTCCTCCCGCATTGGCTTCCCAAAGCTTTGGGATTACAGGTGTAAGCACTGTACCCAGCCAAGTCAAATGGAATACAGGCTTATTTTTTATTTGTTTGTGTTGATTAAAAAAAATAAGGATTTCCAAGTGAATAAGAACATGGAAAGAATATATTTCTTTACTGTATGATCATACCTAAACTGACATCTTAGCACTAAGTATAATGAAATTATCCCTGTCTTTAAAACTTTAACCATAATATATCACATAGTGTGGATAAGATCATGTTATATGGTTGTAATAGCGTGTTTTTGGGGGATGGGGGAGGAGCGGGGCACAGATTTTCAGAGATGTCAACTTCCTGTAAATTAGCATACTGGTGGGAATTTCAAATAAGTTTTCAAATTTTATAAGAAATCGGCTAATATCTACCCATAACACACAAATTTGTAGCAACAAAATAATTGACTCCTTTGAAGAAGACATTTTTCCCTTCCCACAGGTATATCACTGAACAGCCCTGAACATGGTGAGTCTAAAGAACAAAAGAGTAAAAGGAAACAAGCCCTGGGCTTCTTCCCAATATGCCAGGAAAGAAACAGCAGCAGGACTTTAAGAACACTGGAAATTGGTAGGACAATGACCTGTTTATAAAACTCAGTTTATTCTTAAAGAAACACTTGATTCTATTTCTCTTGATATCTCAAACTTTGCTAACTTCTAAAGATGGCCATTCAAAAAGAGCACGTCTAGTCATCATTCGCTTTGTGTGGAAAAACATTTTTTACTCTACTTCAAATAAAGATGGAGCACCTTATCTATGAACAAACCACTAAAGTTTTATTCCTGGCCAATTTTTTTTTCTTTCAGTGAAAAAAGAATACAGAATTTGACATGTTATGAGTTAAATCCAACTGTTCTCTCTTAAAATAGTAAGACATTTTGATCCTCATTATCTATATCTGAAATGAAAACTGACTTTTACTTTTAAGCTATCTTTCTCCAAGTTGCTGGAAACCTTTTAGATAGCATCTACTTCACTATGTCAGAACTTTTAAAAGACAAAGGGATAGGCCTGGGATTGAAGTGGTTTCAAATCCATGGCTTACACTGATGTGTCAATCCAGGAAAATTCAGAATGGCCAGTGTTTGAGGGTTGAGCCCTATCCTTGAGGATCTGTGTCAATGAAATCTTTGGCCTAAGGGTCACTGGTGGAGCTTAGCTATGCCTTGGAAGCCAAAGGATTGGCATGCTGTGTAGCCATGTATAAAACAGTTTTTAAAAGTATTCTTTGTTTTAGAGGTTTGCTATTAATTCTGACATTAAAAAACCTCCTGAAATACCTTAAATAGAAACACAAGTATAAATGTGGAACTTGAAAAAGCTTTGTTCACCCAGCCTCTGATGCCTCAACTCTATGAACTATAGGTCTCTTCTTCTTTATCCCTTTCTCTAACAATAATGACGGTGTCCTTTGACTGCCCATTGCCTAAATGCTGCCCCCCAATATTCTGTCATCAACCAAGAGCTCTTCTACTTCTAGTCTTCCTGCCTCCCTGTCTTAGTCAATTTAGGCTGCTATTACAAAAATATAAACTGAGTGGCTTAAACAACAGAAATTTATTTCACATGACTCTGGAGCCTGAGAAGTCCAAGATCAAGGCACCAGCAGATTCAGTATCTGGGTCATAGATACTGCCTTCTTACTATGCCTTGGTATGGTGAAAATGGTGAGGCATTTCTCTGAGGCCTCTTTTTATAAGGGCACTGATCCTATTAATGAGGGCTCCATCCTCATTACCTAACTACCTCCCAAAAGCCTCATTTCCTACTACCATCATCTTGGGAGTTAGGATTTCAATATATGAATTTTCAGGGGACACAAACATTCACATCATAGCACTCCCCAAATTACTGTTTTCATAACACAGCAAATTGCATGTTTCACAAAAAAGCAAATATAAAGAAATATATCATTCCTCACCATACAATTAATGGCTCCTTATCACCTACAAAATAAAATCCAAGTCCGTGAGCATGACTCTCCATGAACAAGTCAAAACCGTATGTATTAGTCTGTTCTCATGCTGCTAATAAAGACATACCAGAGACTGGATAATTTACAAAGGAAAGAGTTCTAATTGACTCACAGTTCCACATGGCTGAGGAAGCCTCAGGAAATTTACAATGATGGCAGAAGGCACCTCTTCACAGGGTGACAGGAGAGAGTTGATATCCGAGCAAAGGGGGAAGCCCTTTATAAAACCATAATTCTCAGGAGAACCCACTATCACAAGAACAGTATGGGGAAAGCTGCCCCCATGATTCAATTATCTTCACCTGACCCCTCCCACAACATGTGAGGACTATGGGAACTACAATTCAAGATGAGATTTGGGTGAGGACACAGCCAAACCATATAATTCTGCCACTGGCCCCTCCAGAATCTCATGTCCTTACATTTCAAAACACAATCATGCCTTTCCAACAGTCCCTCAAAGTCTTAGCTCATTCCAGCACTAAACCAAAAGTCCAAGTCCAAAGTCTCATCTGAGACAAGGCAAGTCCCTTTTGCCTATGAGCCTGTAAAATCAAAAGCAAGTTAATTACTTCCCAGATAAAGTAGAGGTACAGGCATTGGGCAAATACATCCATTCCAAATGGAAGAAATTGGCCAAAATAAAGGGGCTACATGCCCCATGCAAGTCTGAAATCCAATAGGGCAGCCATTAAACATTAAGTTTCCAGAATGAATTCCTTTGACTCCATGTCTCACACCTAGGTCACACTGATGCAAGAGGTGGGCTCTCACAGCCTTGGGCAGCTCCATCCTTGTGACTTTGCAGAGTACAGCCGCACTCCTGGCTGCTTTTACGAGCTGGCATTGAGTGTCTGCAGCTGTTCCAGGCATGTCATGCAAACTGTCAGTGTATCTACCATTCTGGGGTCTGAAGGATGCTGGCCTTCTTCTCACAGCTCTACTAGGTAGTGCCCAGTGGGGACTCTGTGTGTGGGCTCCAACCCCACATTTCCCTTCTGCACTGCCCTAGCAGAGGTTCCCCATAAGGGCTCCACCTCTGCAGCACACCTCTGCCTAGATATTTAGCATTTCCATACATTCTCTGAAATCTAAGTGGAAGTTGCCAAACCTCAATTCTTATCTTCTGCATACCTGCAGGCCCAATACCACATGGAAGCTGCCATAGCTTGGGGCTTGCACCCTCTGAAACAATGTCTTAAGCTATACCTTGGCCCCTTTTAGCCATGGCTAGAGCAGATGGGATGCAGTCCCATGGCTTCACAGAGCAAAGGGCCCTGGACCTGGCCCCAGAAACTAATTTCCCTCCTAGGCCTCCAAACCTGTGGTGGGAGGAACTGCCTTGAAGGTCTCTGACATGCCCTGGGGGCGTTTTCTCTATTGTCTTGCTGATTAACATTCAGGTCCTCATTACTTATGCAAATTTCTGCAGCCTGCTTGAATTTCTTCCCAGAAAAATGGGTTTTTCTTTTCTATTGCATCTCCAGGCTGCAAATTTTCCAAACTTTTATGCTCTGCTTCTTCTTGAACACTTTGGCACTTAAGTATTTCTTTGGCCAGATACCCCATATCATCTCTCCCAAGTTCAAAGCTCCACAGATCTCTATGGCAGAGGCAAAAAGCTACCAGTCTTTTTGCTAAAGCACAGCAAGAGTCACCTTTACTCCAGTCCCTAACAAGTTCCTCATCTCCATCTGAAACCACCTCAGCCTGGACTTCATTGTCCATATCATTATCTGCATTTTGGTCAAAGCCATTCCACAAGTCTCTCAGAAGTTTGAAACTTTCCCACATCTTCCTGTCTTCTGAGCCCTCCAAGTCTCTAGGAAGCTCCAAACTTTCCCACATTTTCCTGTGTTCTTCTGAGCCCTCCAAAACGTTCCAACCTCTGCGTGTTATCCAGTTCCAAAGTTACTTCCACATTTTTGGATATCTTCATAGCAGGACCCCACTCTCTGCAGTACCAACTTACTGTATTAGTCTGTTCTCATGCTGCTATAAAGAACTGCCCAGGACTGGGTAATTTTTAAAGAAAAGAGGTTTAATTGACTCACATTTCCGCATGGCTGGGGAGGCCTCAGGACACTTACAATCAGAGTGGAAGGCAGCTCTTCACAGGGTGGCAGGAGAGAGAATGAGAGCCAAGTGAAGGGAAAAGCCCCGTATAAAACCATCAGATCTCATGAGAACTCACTCACCATCGTGAGAACAGGAAGGGAGAAACCACCGCCATGATTCAGTATCCCCATGGTCCCTCCCATGGCATGTGGGGATTATGGGAACTACAATTCAAGATGAGATTTTGGTGGGGACACAGTGAAACCATATCACCATGCTTAAAGAGAAATTTATATTCATACATTTAAAAAGAAAAAAATGTGAGAATCAAAGATCATATTATCCATTCAAGAAGTTAGATGTGCAAACTAAATGCTACACATGAAAAAAGGGAAAAAATGAAATAGAAATTAATGGGAAAACATACAGTGAAGACAATGGACACACCAAAAGTTAGTTCTTTGTAAAGACTAATTAAACTGATGAGCCTCTAGTGAGACTAATCAAGAAAAAAGAGAGAAATGGCACAAATAACTGCAATAGGGAGAAAAAGGGACAACCATTACTCTTTCAGACATATGAAATATAATGATGACATTATGCAGCTGCCAGTTAAATATAGGAAATGCAGTTAAATTTGAATTTCAGATAAACAATAAATAATTTGTCACAAATATTGTTTATCCGATATAGATCAGAATAATTTTATATTGTTAAAGATATTGAAACCATAATTAAAAATCTTTTCAAACTAAACTAAAAATATTCCAGGTCTAGAGGGAATCACTGAGAACTATATCAACCATTTTAAAAAGAAAGCAAATGATTTCCGATTCATTTTATGCAACCAGCATAAACTTTATAATAGGCCAGACAGAACATTATAAGAAAAAAAATTCTGGCCAATTTCTCTTTTGAAGTAGTACAAAAGATATATGATCTATAAAGATTAAACAGCTCAACAAAGTTGGGTTTATTCTAGGAATGAAAGGTTAATATTTTGGAATCAGTCAATGTTATTCACCACATTAACAAAATAAAGAAAAAATATTATTTAATCTTACATAGAAAGAAAGCATGTGGTAAAATTCATGTTGACACCAGGATGTTCTGCCTATACTTTGTTCTGACAACAGTGAAGACAGTTGGTATACTGTGTGTGTTAAGTTATTGCAAGTATGTATACTGATTGAATTAGCAATTTCAGACTTGTTGCAGTTGAAAATAATTTCAAGTTGATAAAAGTGCCAAGTTGGAAATAGTTTAGCTGTGATGTGTCTAAATTATTTGGAGAACTATATTCACATTCCTAGAATCACAAAAATATGTTAAAATAGGAAGGGTTTGGTCAGAGTCAAACAGGGCAAAGGTCTCTAAAAAGGTGATCATATGTTTGCTGTGCAAAACTAGCACCACGGTTATAAACCTCTGCCTCCTGTCAATAATATTACAAGGAAAAAGCCCCATGCAAATGAAGTGAGCAGTAAATTGGGTGGAATAGACTGTACTCTCTGCCTAGTGGAGAGGTTTGAGAGAGGTAATGGAGAATTCACAAGTGTAAGCACACAGGACTTTAGTCTTGGGTTATACAAAAGAGAATTCAAGCCTGCATGCTCATTGTAGAAGCCTGCCTGCACAGATAAACTAAACATGCTAACACTCTTGTTGGCATGCCTGCTGTTCCAAGTGGCCTCTGTTGCATGGAAGGAAACCTCAAAACTGGTAGGAAGCTCTGTCCCCTGGTATGGTGGTTTTTGCAGATTGGCTTGGGCTCCCAGCAATTGAGGCAGCCTTTTGGCTTCATTACTTTTGGTGGGACTTGAGCCCACCTAATGGGTTAGGATGAATAAACAGAAGACTCAACGTATACCTTTAGATTTAGAGAAAGTGGTTCTTTCTACATTATAAAGATCACATTGTATACTCAACTTTATATTTAAATATTTTAATTTAATTTTGTATTATGAAAATTATTTCCTTTGAGGCCAGAGTTCCTATCATAGTTTTCCTGATGCCTGGCACTCAGTGTTGAGTGAATAAAAACAAGTTCAATATTAAGAACAATATTAAAAGCCTGTATTTTATGAATATAAAGGTTTAAATGGGTAGGAGTCTTTCAGGGAGCATTGAGTAGAGCTGAATAATTTGAAGTTGAAGAGTATTGGGCAGGGGGAGGCAGCTTAAACTTGGATCTTTCTAAACAACATTCCCTGTTCAAAAAGCTTCCATGGCCCAACTCTGCCCATTGCAATGGTTTTCAACTTCTGTTCATCAGAACCCAGGAATTACAGAAAAGTAGCTGAGGATTCCAGGAATGGCTGGGATGGGAAGGGAGGGGGAAGTGTGTGTGAGTTAATGAAAAGATCAATGAAATGTTTCTGAATGTTCATTCCTCCTCCAACCAGAACAGCAAAGTATTTATCAATTTTTAATGCATTAGTTTATGGAGAATATTTTATGTGGAAAAAAAAGGAGTTCGCTTGCTTGATATGAAAACCACTGACTGTTTAGTAGTACTCTATTATACAGTTGGTAACAAGGAGACTGCAGACACCATTTAATGAGCTATGGCAATGGCATACAAATGCAAAGACAGTAGGTTGAACACAGATGGAGTGACAGAACTGGCTAGATGCTGCCCAATCCTGTTTCCTCCTCCTCTACACTCAGGAAGAATAGATTTTCCAGCCCTCTTTGCAGTTCAGTTAGTACCATATGGCTGGATCTGACCAACTGAATGTAAACAAGAGTGATGCATGCTATTTTCAGGCCAGTCCATAAAATATTTTGTCTGATCTTCAACATTTTCTCGTCTCTCATTTTTCCTTCTGTATGCGTTAGTTGTCACTTTGAAGTGACAACATGGCAGAGGCTCAACATGGTGAGCCCTTGAGCTTCTACTTGCAGACAACCACCCAGGATTGCCATCCAATCAGGAGCTTCCATATTTGACTGTGCTGGGAAGCCACAAATTTTAATTGGGTTAAACCACTGAGATGTCAGAGTTTAATTGTTACTATAGAATAGCCTAGCCCAGTATGATCAATCAATACGGTGAAAGACTGGAATACTTTACCTAGCATAACTGGCATCTGGAGAATCATTTTAATACCCCATTTTTTGATAGGAAAAGAGTATTTCATGTAACACATATCGCAAGAAAACCTGGTCATATAATAGAAGCAGGGTAGTATTTTTTCTTTTATACAACTTAATTTATTTTTAAATAAAAATATAATGCCTTAATGTACTTTTAAATAAAAATAAAATAAGAATATAAAAAGTAATAAATTAATTGTGTTAATTGCAATGCTGTGTTTTTTAAAGGGGAAAATATACCTAAATATTGGTCCATTATAATAGTAAACAATAAAATTGCAGTTTCTATTATTTTCTCCTTCTTTCTTTCTTTTTTTTTTTTTCTTTTGAGAGAGAGAGGGAGAGTATTACTCTATCATCCAGGCTGGAGTACAGAGTACAGCGGTACAATGCTTGCTCACTGCTGCAGCCTCAAACCCCTGGGCTCAAGCAATTCTGCCTCACCTCCCAAGGAGCTAGGACTACAGTCTCGTGCCACCATGTCTGAGTAATTTTTTAAATGTTTTATGGTGATACGGTCTCACTTTGTTGCCCAGGCTGGTTTCAAAGTACTGGCCTCAAGCAATCCTCCCACCTCGGCCTCCCAAAGTGCTGAGATTACAGGCGCAAGCCACTGTGTGAGTCTGGTTTCTGTTTCCAGCCTTAACTATATACAAATCTTTCAGAAACTTTGTCAAAATTAATTTTCTTCACATATTCATGTTCAATAGACAATAAATGCTTTTTTGTCCATCTATTCCCTGGTAGTTGATGAAAGAACATGTTTTATTAATTTTAATCTCATGAAATTTCTTTCACATGAAACAGCAGAGATACAAACAGCTAAGAAAATTCTTAACCTAAGTCTAATCCTGGCAACTTTTCATAAAAATTCCGTTTCATAATAAATTCCAGAAATCACATACTTCTCATATCTTTGTTTTTTTGGTATCATTCTAGTCCCTTTCAAATATTTTGACAGTCAAAAAAATTCCCCTAAAATACTTTCAGCAGAAATTCATCATAAACTTCTATTACATCTAGTAAAAACTTCTCTAAGTCTTCCTTCTGCTTTAGAACTAATGTCCAAATCTTGGTGAAAATGATCAGGACATTCAGACATTGACTTCTGATTTCTTCTGACAATGTGAAAGTGGCATCTTTGTTATTTCTATGGGCAATTTTTTCTGATCTGATTTTTTTCCCATGTAATGTCCAATTCCTTACATTTTTCATAGTTGATAGCCTTTTCACTATTTCTATGCACCCGTCTTCCAGCAACAAGCTTGAAGCTTGTTTCTGGTACATCATTAAACCATTTCTGGCTGTCTGCAAACATTTTTGTGTCTGGTTAACTTTGCCCACAACTTCAAACCAGAAACAAAATATAATTCAGATAAGAAAAATTACTATAGCTATCTTTGTTTATCTCCAATGCATTGTCTAAATACAGGAATATACAGTATCATGGGGGTTGAAAATATGAACTGTACCAGAATTAAGATTGAAGGATTCTGAACCATAAGAAACTTCCTCTGGAAATGAATGTGGTAGCTGAGTCCACATGTGTGGGAGGCCAATTGCATAGCTGGGAGTTGTCACAATTAACTTCCACAGAGAATTCAATGTTTATTAAATAAGTGATTTAAATGTGCTAATTTGAAGCACGCATATATATTATTGAAACACAGCTGCAATCACAGCAAATGTTTGCAAATTAGACCAGAAAAAGATCTTTTCATTAATGGTACTTAAGAATTTCTGAGCATGGTGACTATTTAAAAGCAGATTAAATTTTAGTCAATTTTATTGCGTATTTAAGTTATGTATGGGTAATGTACCCCCTCATTGTCTGCACCCCAAATGGACTGTTTCCACTGTCCAGACCTTGGCTGGAACACTGAGGACATATGTATCCGACCTCTACTCAAATATGGATGGATGATCATATAACTATCCAATTACTAGGATGGAAAATAAGCAAACCCTCAACCTTCAACAAACATAGAAAGGGCAATAGGAACAATAAGCTGCGAATGCCTTTATGGTTTTACATCACAGTTTTGCAGATAGCTCTGCAGATAGCAACTATCTGTAAATAGCTGCAGATAGTTATACAGTTTATGATAACCCATTGATCATAAACTGTGTAATGACACAGTATTTCCAAAGGAATTCTTTATAGTAAGAATAAGAATTTCCACCAGATAGAAAAGAGACATTGCACATACAATAGTGTCACACTTAAATCACTTATTTAATAAACATGGAATTATCTGCAGAAGTTAATTGTGACAACTCCCAGCTATGCAGTTGGCCTCCCACACATGTGGACTCAGCTACCACATTCATTTCCAGAGGAAGTTTCTTATGGTTCAGAACCCTTCAAGCCTGATTCCGGTGTAGTTCATAAGTGGCAATCATAAACTGTGTAATTCCACAATAGTCCTAGTTTCAATATTTTCCTGGGAAAAGAAACATTTTGAGAAATCCCTGACCTGTGTGGTCCATTTTCATGGTACTTGAGGCTTCTTTCTAACAATAGATTGTGGCCATTTTCCTTAAGCAAAGCTTTGTTTCCACAGCTTTGCCGGTCTCAAAAGACCAACTCAAATATAGAGAAAAAATATGTCTTTTGCTCAGGTACAGAAACCACATTGTAGGTCAATAAATAGGAATGTCCTCTTGATACCATTTAACCCTACACCTATCCCAAAGTCAGCACAACTTCAACTAAAAGCAGAGCAACCACGTAACTAGTGGGAAGGAGAGAGTAACCAAAACCATCAGGGTCATGGTGGAAGAAACTCAGAAACGCATGATGAGGTAGAAGTTGGGATGCCCGCAGTACATCAATGTCTCCTTTCCGTCTGGGGGAAATCCTTATTCCTACTATCAATAATTTCTTGGAAATACTGTGTTACCTCTATGGGAGAAAGAAGAGCTCTTCTAAGATTTCTAATTTCACCTTGGAGTTTCTTCTGTTTTTCCTCTACCACACTCAGCCACCCCAGAAGCAGTTAATCCTCCTGAAAATAAAATACTTTTGCAGTTAGTCGTTTCCAGTCTTATTTTCTCAGCCATTCTGCTTTCATGCCAGCTCCCTGACTATGATTATATTGATCCATGTATCAGTGAAACAAAGCCCAGCATAAGCTCAAGACCTTGGGTTGTCCACCTCATAGCTCATTTTGACAGACTTAGCTAGAGGTTTGGGTTTTTGTTTGTTTGTTTGTTTGTTTTTCCCTCTGTTTTGTTTCCTTTTTCAACTAAGAATATCTTCAAGTTTAGGGACAAATTTATAGACTTATGTAGTGAGTTCTCTGGAATTCATCTCCGTGCTAGTTACCCCTCCTGCCATGGCACAGAGCACATCAGACCCTTCCTCTGTGAAAAGGACAGATTCCTGGTGTTCTCAAGCTTAGCTGATTGCCACAGCGTGGTGTGGTGTGACTGCCATCTGCTGGCATGGGGCTGACATTACAGGATGGTAACCATGCACTCCCTGGTAAAATAATCAAGAAGTACTTGTTTGGAAAACAAAAGCTTTCTCTGGAGAAATGAAGAACAAGTTTTGTTATAAACCTTGTCCATCTTCAACACCAAAAAAAAAAAATTCTTTTACTCTGGAAAAGCTAAAGAAAAACAGAAAATTGGTTTATGGCAGACTTCCAAGTGTTCAACACAGTGAGGAAATGGGATTATCAGCTACTACCCTTATGACCACAGCAGAACCCAGTAGCATAAAATGAGAAACCAAACCTCACTGACTCCAGCAACAAGTTCCTACCTTGTGAAGCCACTTGTGTGTGGACACTAACACCAATGACAGGTTGAGGGATCTTCCTTAAGATACTGACAATGTCTGTAACATTTTTCTCTTTAAAAGATTGTGTTTTTTTGGAACCCAAGTGACCAAAACATAAGCACTGACATTTAGGGGATGAGAGACTTTTTTTCTCATTATAAAAGCCATGCCTCAATGTTTAAGGATCAGAATCATGCGTAAGAGATGTTTATATGAGCTCGCCTTTAAAATCAGAGCCAGGCACTTTTGCTCAGTCCTGACTTTCTTTCCAAGTCTTATCTTCAGGATGTGTGGACCTGCACAATTTGTGGCAATGGAAGCCAAGTTTCTATTGCTGACTTCAGTGGGCGTTGCTGCTTATTTCCATGTCAAAGAATGGGACCTTGTATAATTGTGAATAGACAACAAGGAAGAATTTCCCATAGAGAACACCCTGATAGCGGAATAAAACTAAACTTCTTGAAAGGGCTTTATTCATTGTAGAAGCAATAAAGTCAACACTGAAGGCACTGTCTGCTGTTAATCAACACAAATTTCTTCATTAAAGCCTATGGGAACTGAATCAAATTTCAAATTTTATAAAACCAAGGGTATATAATAACTATTATATTTCTGCACTTATACAAATGTAATTTTTCTTATCCCCAAATCCTGTTTCTCCCCCAAGCTTCCCCATCTTATAAATGGCCACACATCTGCTCAGTTGCTTGAACCCCAATTGTACAAAATCATCCTCGCAAGCTCTACGCTCTCACTCACCAAACCCAATCCGTCTCCATGTCTTGGCAGCCCTACCTCAAAATCCAAAACTATCTCCACCTCTCTTTATCTACAGGGGCCAGAGGAGTCCAAGAGTCCAGCCCACTTTCATTTTTCTTTATCATCTACAACCATAGCCTATTTAATGGTCCCAGCATCCACTTTTGCCTCTTCATCTTCAATTCTCAGCAGCACAGTTGGAATGATCTTTCTAAACTATAAACCTCCAGGGATGACCCAGAGAATAAAACCTGAACCCCATAGCATGGTTTACAAAGCCCTTCCATAATCTTGCCTCTACTTATTCTTCACTCTCTCAGCTTCCTCCCTTCCCACAACTCAATATACTGCAGGCACTCTGGCCTTCTCTCTGTTCTTCCAACTCTCCCAGGCTGCTCCCACTTAGGAGTTCAGATTTGCTTATTTCTCTGTATGGCACCATATTCTTGCACGTCCAGCTCCTTCTTTTCATTTCAGTGTCACAGAGAATATCACTGCCTCAGGCCAGTACACCTTCCTGAGCACCCTGTGAAAATCAGTCCTTTCCCTTCTGGATTTCATAACTCCATTTTACTTGCTTCATACCATTGATCCTATCAGCAATTATCTTGTTCCTTTTTTTTCACTTTTTTACTTATATTCTAGTATTGGAATGTAAAGCCATGAAAACAGAGACTTTGCTATCTCATTTAACATTGTATCACCAGTACTTAGATTAAATCTGGCTCATATTAAATACTTAATAAATACACGTAAAGGAAGGAATGTGTGTGCACATTATCCATCTAATTACATTTGCCTATAATTAAGGTTTTCTCTTATAAGGAAGAATAATTGGCACCTTTTTAGGAAGAATCTCAAATTGGATCATGTGTAAGAGCTTGAGCTCTGATATCAAGCACTATTGGTTGGTGTCTTAGGTGAGGATAACCAGTATCAGATACTGAGAAAGAATTTGTGTGCAAATTGTTCATTAAGAATGGGATCTCCAGGAAACTTATAAGGGACAAAAAGAAGGAAAATAAAGTAGGGAAGAAGCCAAGGATGGGCATGACCTCAAGCAAAAGGTTTGATGAGGAAAAATACAGTCCAATCCCAGTGGGGCATGCTGGAGTGGAAGTTACCCCTCAAAATCATCTCAATCTGAATCAAGCATGCTGGAGTTTCATAATCCAGCCCAGGCAGGCATTGGCTAAGAGCCATCAGGGTGGGTACATGCTCCCAGGCCCTGCTTGTGGGCAATGCAACTCTATTATACCCAGCCCCACCACTCTTCGGCACTCTGACTTGGGGTATGTGGAATAACGTTTCTAAGAATGAATTTATGAGTAATTTTCTCTTGGAAAATTTTGTGCATTAAATGAGATAATGCATATAAGAGAACTTTGAAAATAGCTATTATTTATGATCTGGTTTTTAAAAGCAATTTGAGGGTTAAAAACAACATCTAGGAAATTAGGTTCTTACTTAGGAATAGAAACTCTGGTATATTGTCCAGTCCTATATATACAAAATTGAAAATAGAAGTGGGGAATGTAGGGAGAAACACTGCATAGTAGACTTAGGAAAATAAAAAAGCAACATAGCATCAATACGATGCTCACTTTTGTGAATATACTTGTAAGTTTTCTACGGAGACCTCTTAGGGTCCTGGAATATTGGCAGAAAAGAAAGAAGTTTGGCTTTCTGAACACACAGGAGGTGAGAGGTCCAACAATTTTCAGTTCCTTTAGAATAAGAGAAGTGGGTTCTGCCACAGTGATAACAAATGGATGCAGTCATCTAAAATATTTATGTTTGCACCCAGAGAAACTATAAACAGTTATTGGCGTCAGTTTGGATTCGTCAGCATGTGTTGTCAAAAAATAACTTTGATCTTAGAGAGAAAAGCAGCTGGAGCATCTTCAATCCCAGATGTGATCAGAGCCTGTCTACTGGATAATTTAAGAGAATTCTGCAGTCTGAACCAGCTTCAGAGAAAAGTGAGTGAGATTTACTTGCCATTTTTTCTTCGATGATGGTGAGATCTATTTAATAAGCTTGGGTAAATGCTCAAGTAAATGGTAGAATTTGGATCTGGGAAAAATCAGGCAAAACCACCAACCCCCATGACTGCTAGAGAGACCAGCACACTGAAAGGCAGGGGCCTGAGTCACTCATGGGAGAGCGGAGCTGATACCTTGACACCAGCTCTTCACACAAGAGCACGCACACAAGTGGGGTCGGTGGGAGAGAGATCAGTTCTTTACAGAAGATGAGTGACTGCCAAAGATGCAAATGGTGGCTGCCTAAGATGCCAATATGGCCAGCCACACTCACTGTTTAATAGGGTTGTTGTTAACATGAAATAATGCATGTGAGGCATTTAATACACTGTTTGGCATATAGTAAAAGTCTAACAAATATTGTTATTTTTATTATTCCTATTTTACAGCTGTTGAAGAGTGAGGATTATGAAAGTTTTTTTTAATTCTCAGAGATCAGAAAGTTGATAAGTTGCAAAGCCAGAATTTAACCCCTAGAACTTTTTCACTCAAAAGGTCATGCTCTTACCCATCTTTCTGATGAAGTGGTTTTTAAGTGACCTGTATAAGTCAGATTTCTCCAGAGAAACAGAACCACTAGGAGATAAATCTTAGAGAGAGAGAGATGAAGATAGAGATAGGTGTATAGGTATGAAAGGCATAGCTGTAGATAGATTTATTTTAAGGGATAGGCTCACAAATTGTGGGGGGTGGCAAGTCCAAAATCCGTAGAGCAGGATGGCACCCCAGAAATTCCAGTAAAAGTTGATGGTGCAGCCTTAAGGCTGAAGACAGTCTGGAGGCAGAATTCTTTTCTCTTCGAGGGACCTCTGTCTTTGGTCTCAAGACCTTCAACTGACTGGCTGAGGGCCACTCACATTATAAGGGTAATCTGCTTTACTCAGAGTCTACTGACATCTAAAAATACCTTCACAGAAACATCTAGATTGCTATTTTGACCCAACAACTGGGCACCATAGCCTAGCCATGTCAACACATAAAAATTAACTGTCACATGAGACAACAGATACAAAAGTGATGTGCACAAAGCACCAAGTGCTAGAAAAAAAGAAAATATGTTATTATTACTAAACGATAGGCCTAGTACTACCAGCATACTTTGCCTTGCTTTTCAATTCATTTTATGTTTTTGCTCACATTGGATGGAAAGGCTGAGGGAGCTGGTTAGTCTATTATAAACACGGACTCTAGAAAACCTGAGAAAGAGAATAAAGAGGTCACTGAAATTTTTACAGGCAAAACACAATTTCTGCCAATGCATAAATGTTTGCAAAGTGTTGCAAGATTACTCTATATGTCTTTAATTGCCATTCACACCTGAGGGTGAATAGCTCCTTAAATCACACAAAAAAATGAGTGTCCAAATTTCTATCATGATTCACCATTATTATGTTTATTTTAACTATGCTATTAAAGTTAAATTTGTGAATTTTCCTCCTCCACAATCTTTCAAAACTTCTGTTGGTGACAGGACAAAATAACTAATTGAATTAGACAGCACCATGCAATTAGGGATGCCTAAGCCTCACCATTCCTACATTATTTTCCTGGAATTTGAAACTTTTGAAGGTTTACTCAAACCAAGAAACAAAATAATGATTGTACAAGAAGTCCCAAATATACTTTAATGAGCTGACAAAGAAATTCATATTATCTGTCTGAAATAATAGAAGGTGTTTGAGAGTGGTTTACTGCAGAGTAGGGCTAAACTGCTCATCCTAATACTCCAAAAACAGAGGAAATTTTGCTTTGTTAATTGTTGCAAAAGGTGCCATTTTAAAAAAATTATCACAGAGCTTATGGCATTGGTGAAGTAGAAATAGCAACTGGCTTTCAGAGATACAAGACATGAAGTTGCCTCCGGCAGCCTAATAATTTGAAAGCCCTTTAAGCCACTAGTCCTAAAATAGGTTTAACTATGTGTTTGGAGAAGATTCGGAGCTCTGCCTAAAGAAAGGAGGTCATTGGAGCGCCCTGGCCAATTTAGTTCTGACCCTCTAACTTGCATCCTCATTCAGATGAAAAACAGAAGCCCTGAACTGAACTAGACTCCCTTTCTTAAAAGGCAGCTTAGTTAAACACAAATTGTTACCCCAGTTTTCTCATTAAAACAGTCCCCCAAAATAGCTTAACAAAAATCCTATTCAATCACACACATTATTTTCCTGGCAAGAGTTCAGCTAGATGCTATTTTCTCCATCTAATTCTCTCCCCAAAGCTGTTTTAGCAACGTATATTAGTCAGGGTTTGATCAGAGAAGCAGAACCACTAGAAGATTTATATAATAAGAGATTTATTATAGGTATTTGGTCTTAGATGATTGTGGGCTAAAGAATCTATTGAGCTATAGCTTCTGCAGCTGGGAAAGTCAGCTGGGGCTGGCAGTTGGGCATGGAAGAATGTGAAATGGAAGCAAGCTCAAAAGGAACCCTGCAGGGCTGGGCTGGAACCTGTGAGAATGGATGAGAATCTGCATGGGACTCTCACTGCCTCTGAGCCTTTCACTTGGATGATGGGAGTGAAATGAAGGAGGAGTGGCCCCCTTTGTCACAGAGCTAAACCTACACCTGACCCATGAGTCAGAAAAACTAAGAGGGCTGGAGTTCTACATGCCCACAGGTAAGCCAGCAAAGAAAAGACAACATGCATTAGAGACAACAACATTTCATGGCCTGGCTGACACTGACCTCTTGGACATAAAATAAAAGGAATGTCACTGCTGTTTCACTTCCACCTTTTCACTCTTGTTCAGAGCATCTTTTGTGGTTCACCCATCCTGGCGCTATATATGGAAGGGAATTCTGGGACCATCAGTTCCAGGTTAGCAAAACTGATATACTATGAATCCATCACATACCCCCAGGAAAATGTTTGGCTGGTCCATCTACAGATTCAGCTATCAGTTAAAAAGAAGTTTTGTGACATCAGGATGTAAGAGAGACACAAGAGAATATTAACACTGGAATGACCTCAGAGTCAGCCCATCCCGAATTTTACAAATGAGTGAAAATGAAATCCAGGAAGGTGTGGAAACTTGTCTCAGGTCTCATAGTTGCCCAGAGGTAGTACAAGAAAGCCGTTTGCCTGCCTGCTAAATCATTATCTGTAAATCCAGAGAGATACATGAAGAAGCAGAAATTCCCAGATAAGCCTACCCCTGGTCAGACACACTCAGGGTCCTTGAAGCTGCATTTAGGAACATGTGAATATGTAATAAACGTGTGGCCTCAATTGCCTCATTTAAAATAAATTCTCAGTAATAATATTCTCAGTAGAAATTAAAATTGTTTTTTAAATTTTTTCTCAATTATTTTAATTTGTGGTGCCCTTATGTAAAAAGGTAGCCTAAATACAATTAAGGTTTAGGTTAAATTAAATTTGATATTCTAAATCTTAGCCATAAAAAAGAGGTATTTTACATAACATTAGGAACATAGTTCTTGGATTCATATAGCCCAAACTTCAAATATGAGCCCAACCACTTGCGAGCAATTGGGCTGGCAGCAGGTTCCCTAAACTTTCAGAAATTATTTCTTTTTTTTTTTAAGTAGAAATTAAAGTGTTTTAGGACTAAATGAGATAATTCATATATAACATTTACTACAGTGACACAGGAATAGAAAAGGCATCAATATAGGAGCTATTAATTATTATCATTATTATTGTTGTTATAAATGACACCATTAGTAAGGGTGTTACAGTAAATCATATCCATAATTAATTACTATTAATTAGTATTATTGATAGTAATTAATCACTAAGAGTATATTAGACCTAAAGCACTGAATGCGATGCAAAATAATTTTTACATTTCTTCCTGAAAGAATAATTTATGTGATTCCTTCAATAGGTCATATTAATGAAACTAGGGTTTAATATAAAAATAACCTGATTTTATCACCATATGCCTTGAAGTCTATCAGATCTCTCAGTATGAGAAGTGTTAGGCAAATGTCAAGCCTAGGCTTTAGGATGAGAAATAGGAATTGTGTGAAATTACATGTATATCTTTGCCAACATCCTACCTGTAGCTATTTATCTTCTTTCCATTGTTTAGATTCCTCCTTGAAATTAAGAAATGCTCATCAAAACATAACTCTGCTGATCCAGTAGACTCTCTTCAACTGATCTTGGCCACAGATCAAGGTGCTGTCTGCATAGCCTTTTAACACGGGAATAATTTATTCTGAAGTTGTTGGGCCCCATCATTGACAGTCAGCACTTTTGTCACTATGCAAACAAAAGTGCACTGATGTTTATTTAGAAAACATTTCATCCAGGGCTCTACAAATTGGCTGTTTCACAAAGATTTCCAAGCTTATTTGATGTCATCATCTAGTGCCATGCAGGTTGTTGACAAACATGAGATCAGTTGAATTCAACTTCAGATAATTTATCCCTTCCAGAGTTCCACTGCTATTTTGACCAATTTTTCCTATTTTCTATTCACAATACTTACTCTAGCTCTCACTTCAATGTGTAACAGCCTACTGGCTTTAAATATCAAAGACTTATTTATCTTCTGTGTTATATATCCATTACAAGTGACAGAGGTTTCATCTCAAGCTCATTTTAGTCATCCAGGCTCCCAGGTTGATGAAATGGGCACCATCTTAAACATTGCCAGTTGCTATGCCAGAGGAAAAAGAGAGCTCTACAGTCCTGCACCAGCAATTAAATGCTTGGCTTGAAAGTGGCATGAAATAGCTGAAGTAGCTTCTTCTAAGAAGTCATCGGCCAGAATGGTCACATGGCCCCATCCAACCAGGATAGGGTTTGAAAGTACAACTTTAACCAGAAGCGAATAAACCAGAAATACCTGAGGAAGTGCCCTAATGACTAACACATAGAATTTCTAAGATTTGAAACAGCAATTTTTTTTTGAAAAATTGTAACCTTGAGAAGGTTATTTACTTATTTTCTGCAAAAAACATTCAGTGGTAAGTCACAGGATATAATCATTCCATGAAAGGATTTGAAAATCACATAAGTGTGTAGCATATTGATTATGAACCTCAGATGCAAGCAAATTTCAGTCTAGGAGGTTCTCTAATAGAAAATCACCACAACACCCTAGAAATCACACTCACATGGAGAGTTACGTATTCCCCATCCCGCACCCCAATCAAGAACGAAGTAAAGACAACCTGGAGGAACAGGCCTATCCAAGAGTTCTGCAAAGAGCAAGACCTTCAGTTGTCAACAAACTGCTTCCATGATGATGCTTCTCAATTTGCAAAAGAAATTTGACCAATTCACTTAACTTAGATATAAGAATTCTAATTATTGGTCTTGGGACATACATGTTATGTGAATAATAACAGGTTAAGTCTGCACTAACAGTATCTACTAGCCGTACGTGTGGCTATTTTAACTTAAATATAAAATTAAATTAGTGTTCTTGAATCACACTAGCTACATTGTGAGTGCCCAATAGGCACATGGAGTTAGTGGCTACCGTATTGGAACAGCACAGGTAGCAAACATTCCCATCCAGGCAGAAATTTGTATTGGACAGCTCTGGTCTAAGTCTTTCACCTTTGCCTGTAGAAATAGTTTAATGTCCTCCATTTCCTAAAGCCATACTTTCAGAAGAACTAAGCTGATTTCTAACATCTCAAAGAACTAAATAGGAAGTCATATCTACAATAACGTAGGCTTAGAACACAAATAGCTTGGCTGGTTTTGGTCTCAGTTTGTTATGCCTTGTACCTTAGTTGCAGGAGGTACCTACAGTAGTGATTCCAGTTCAAAGCCATCCAAGCTAGAAAAGGAAAGCAAGACATCAGAAATCAGATAGAACTTAATCTCATTTCTACTACTCCTCTATTTCATAGAGCCAGGCTAAAATTTTGGTGTAAGTTTATATTTTTATGGAAAACTATTACAGAAAATCTAGGTCAATAGTCATAATTGATATATAATAACTTGTTTGGATTTGTCGTAACTCATTCAAATGTTTCCATGAAATTAAGAACATTTTATGCCGTCAATGAAAATAAAGAAAGAAGTGGATGAACTAGGTTGTGAAGACAAAGAAGAAATAATGGAAGAAGAACCCATTCTGGTCTTTCTCAAGTGTGATATTCATATAAACTGTGCATTGATCCTCAGGATGGATATGACTGGTGACCAAAGTAATGGTCAAGGTCTCTGAAAACATGACTTGGGCAGCAGATCAAAATTCAGTGTCTATTGCTTTGTTTCTGGAATGTAATACATATATATTGCCAAATTTTTTTTAAAAAAAGATGTATATTACTGCAGCCCAATTCCTCACTGGTGAGCCCCTTTATAATGTCTCAGCTTCTGTTTAGTCATATTATTCTTCCCATTTCTGCAAAGGCTGTCACATCAGAAATGAAAGATTATTTTTCACCACCTCACCTAAATTTGTGAAGATTCAGTAAGAGGACTGGGGATCTAATTATAAATGGCTTAAGTCTTTTATCTGATTTGAACAGACAGAGCCTCAGCAACACTAAAAATCAAAATGTTTTTCCAGGCAAGTCTTATTAAACTGTGGTATATCTTAGTTTAAAATATATTCATTCTCTGAAACCTACACATATACTCAGAAGACTTATCTTTCTTATTTGCAACTGGGAGAAAGAAATAGGAGAATTGTAATCTACAAACTGATATATACTTTACATTTTTTAGCCCAATTCCTCAAATTATAACTTTAAGAAGAACTTTAAGAAATAGTTATATAGCGTGAAATGTGTATGTATGAGTATGTATTGTGAAAAATTTTCCATTGAATATAAACTTGTAGTTGTCAGGGATTAATGGTATAAACCTTTGCATTGTGCCAGCATCTACAGTGACCAGGATTGAGTCTATTTCTACAGGATAGAAACTAACATGATGGTTAGAAGTTCAGCCTTAGAGTCAGACTAGGATTACAATATCAGCAATGCTACTTTCTGTCACTTTGGAAAAGTTATTTTATCTCTCCAGGTCTGTTTTGTCACTTGTAAATGCAGAAAGTAATATCTCAGACTGGTTGTAAGGATTAGTAGTAATGAATTCAAAACATCTGGCATATGGCAGGGAGCCAATGGATGTTAGCTGCTGTTGTCACTCATGTTGCTGTCACCCTTGTCCATGAGCAAGACAGCACTACAATGCTATCCACAATAGCAATCATGGAATCAGTCTAAGTGTCCATCAACATTTGTGGTAACAAGTGAATTGGATAAAGAATCATAGTATATAAACCATGGAATACTATTCAGCCATAAAAAAGAACTAAATCATGTCTTTTACAGCAACGTGGAGGCCATGATCCTAAGTGAATCAATGCAGAAACAGAAAACCAAAAACTCCATGTTCTCACATATAAGAGGGAGTTAAACAATGGGTACTCATGGACATAGAGATGGAAACATTAGACACTGGGGACATCAAAAGGCAGGGAGGGATGGAGAGGAAAGGGTTGAAAAACTACCTATTGGGTGCTAATTTCACTATTTGGGTGATGAGTCCAATAGAAGTCCAAATCCCAGCATTACACAATATAACCATGTAAAAAACCTGCACATGTGACCCTGTATCTTTTTTTTTAAGTTTTGGACTACATGTGCAGGATGTGCAGGTTTGTTACATAGGTAAACGTGTGCCATGGTGGTTTTCTGCACCTATCAAGCCATCACCTAGGTATTAAACCCAGCAATGCAACAGCTCTTTTTCTTAATGCTCTCCCCTGACCACCCTCCCCAGACAGGCCCCAGTAAGTGTTGTTCCCCTCCTTGTGTCCATGTGCTCTCATTGTTCAGCTCCCACTTATAAGTGAGAACATGTGGTATTTGGTTTGCTGCTCCTGCATTAGTTTGCTGAGGATGATGGCTTCCAGCTTCATCCATGTCCCTGAAAAGGACATGATATCATTTCTTTTTATGTCTGCATAGTATTGCATGGTGTATATGTACCACATTTTCTTCATCCATTCTATCATTGATGGGAATTTAGGTTGATTCTGTGCCTTTGCTATTGTGAATAGTGCTGCAATGAACATATGCATGGATGTATCTTTATCATAGAATGATTCATATTCCTTTGGGTATATACACAGTAATGAGATTGCTGGGTCAAATGGCTTTTCTGGTTCTAAATCTTTGCAGAATCACCACACTGTCTTCCACAATCATTGAACTAATTTACACTCCCACCAACAGCGTAAAAGCATTCTTATTTCTCTGCAACCTTATCAGCATCTGTTGTTTCTCAACTTTTTAGTAATTGCCATTCTGACTGCCATGAGATGGTATCTCATTGTGATTTTGATTTGCATTTCTCTAATGATCAGTGATGTTGAGCTATTTTTCATACGTTTGTTGGTTGCTTTTATGTCTTTTTCTGAGATGTGTCTGTTCATATCCTTTGCCTATCTAGGCAATACCATTCAGGATACAGGCATGGCCAAAGACTTTACAATGAAATCGACAAAAGCAATTGCAACAAAAGTAAAAATTGACAAATGGGGTCTAATTAAACTAAAGAGCTCCTTCACAGCAAACAAAACTGTCATCAAACAGACAAGCTATAGAATGGGAGAAAACTTTTGCAATCTATCCATCTGACAGAGGTCTAATATCCAGAATCTACAAGGAACTGAAGCAAATTTACAAGAA
This sequence comes from Homo sapiens, assembly GCF_000001405.40. Classification (NCBI taxonomy): domain Eukaryota; kingdom Metazoa; phylum Chordata; class Mammalia; order Primates; family Hominidae; genus Homo; species Homo sapiens. Next base: position 118,732,007 of record NC_000008.11, on the reverse strand, counting down.
AAAAAACAAACAACCCTGTATCTTAAAAAAAAAATGGTGCCATAATGATATAAATATGCCTGTAGAAGACACGATGACATCATCAGCCTTGGAAAGCCAAAGCACTTCTGTGTAATCATTAGGCATGTATTTTAAGCATTAAAGTAATAAATGCCTCCTTGTATGATGAATTTAGTGCAGACTACAATCACGTGAAATACTACCCCTAACCCTCATCTGGGCCACATCGGGACTGATTTCCCTTTGAGAGAGAGGCTGTTGTGGTGGAAGTTTCTTGTTTTTTGATGTTCACAGTTGTGTTGGTTTTGGTTTTCATTCTTTATCTTTTTTAATGTCCTGGATTTGAAGTCTAGAAACCTAGGTTTGAATTCCAGCTCTGTCATTGATGAGTTGTGTGACCTTAGCTGCTAAATCTCTTGCCTTGCTGGATCTCGATTTCCTCATCTGTAAAATTGGGGGCCATTTTGAACATTATGGAACTTGAACTTTTGAAAGTGCTTCGCAAACTATTATGCTAGTTATGATGTGGATTAAGAAAAAGCCACCAGAAAGATGTTACTACAATACAACTGTGTTACCAAGGAAGGGCACAAATGCCCTGGGGCTTCATTGTCTTATCACATTTGTCTGCTCTGACTTTATTTATTTACTTATTCACTCACTCACTCACAAATATTTATTGAATGCCTACTATGTGCCAGATGCAGCTGCGGAATCTGGAAATGCAGCGGTGAAGAAAGCAAATGAAGTCCTTCTCTTCCTGAAACACACACACTGGGTGAGGAGACAATTACCAGGTCAACAAATACATGCTCTAATCCCAGGCAGTGGTAAATGCAATGAGAACAAGTGAAGCAGCTAAATTAGTGTATTAGTTTGTTTTTGCATTGCTATAAAGAAATACCTGAGGCTGGGTAATTTATTTTTAAAAGAGGTTTATTGGGTTCATGGTTCTGCAGGCTGTGCAGGAAGTGTGGTGCCAGCATCCGCTTCTGGTGAAGGTCCCAAGAAGCTCCCAATCATGGTGCAAGGTGAAGGGGAAGCCAGCATGTCACATGGTGAGAGACGAAACAAAAGAGAGGGAGCAAGAGAGAGAAGCAGAGGTGCCAGGCTCTTTTTAAACAACCAGATCTCGCATAAACTCAGAAAGAGAACTCACTCATTACCATGGGGATGGCGCCAAGCCATTCATGAGGTTTCTGCCCCATGACCCAAACAGCTCCCACTAGGCCCCACGTTCAACCCTGGGGATCACATTTCAACATGAGATTCGGAAGGACAAATATCCAAATTATGTTAGCAGTCTTAGGAATAGTTTGGGCATAGTCTTCTCTGAAGAGGTGACATTTAAGCAGAGACTTATATGAAGTGAGAGACTGGGCCACATGACTGTCTCAGGAAGAACCTTTCTGACAGAGAAGACACCAGTATAAACACATTGAGGGAGGAGCATACTTGGAATCTTGGAGGAACATCAAGGAAAACAGGGCATTTGATGTCTAGTGAGCCAAGAGAGGAGTGGCAGGAGAGGGAGCCCAGAGCATTTTGTACTTGTAAATCATGGTAAAAAGTTAGGATTTTATTTGGCTATGTCAAAAGATCAAAAAAAGCATGAGAGCTGAGGGCTAAAAGAGGAGAAATGTGGGTGAGGGTGGGGAAGGGAGATGGAAGGAAATACAACATGGGGCACAGTGGAGGAGGGTAAATCAAATAAGGAGCCACAGCGGCCAGTCCTGGACTCCCAAATCCCTCAGAGCTTGGGGAGTGATAAGGTAGATGCAGACAAAGGCAGTCCTTCCCCAAGCTGGCCAATGCCTTCAGCAGGGAGCATGATCAGTACTGAGATCTAGTACAACTTTTGCAGAACAACATTTGACACAAGTATAGTCAAATAAGTTAGCATTCACATTTAAAGTGCATTTGGCAGGAACGTGTTCAGATGCTGATGTGAATGAAGAAGAGGCCACAAGCATTCACAATAAAGAAAAATTAAGAAAGACATTGTATATCTCCCAAAAGGTGTAATAAAACACAATGTGTCTGAGATGGTGTTTTATTATTACTGCTACATTTCTAATCCCACTTGCCCACTGCCTATCACATAGTAGGCACTGAAAGGTTTGCTGAGTGCATGAGATAAGGAAGGAAGGAAGGAAGGAAGGAAGGAAGGAAGGAAGGAAGGAAGGAAGGAAGGGAGGGAGGGAGGGAGGGAGGAAAAAGGGAAGAAAGAAGGGGAGAAAGGGAGATATGAAGAAAGAAATGGGTAACGTATTAGTTTCCTAGATCTGCTGTAACAAATTACCAAAAACTTGGTAGCTTTAAACAACAGTTATGGAAGCTAAGAAGTCCAAAATCAAGATGTTAGCAGAATTGTTTCCCTCTAGAGGCTCTTAGAATATATTCCACGCCTCTCCTAGCTTCTGGTAGCTGCTGGAAACCCTTGATAGTCTTGGTTTGGGGCTATGTAACTTCAATATCTGCCTCTGTCTTCATATGGGCTTCTCTCTGTGTCTGTGTCTCCCCTTCTTATAAGGACATGTGTCATTGCATTTAAGATTCACCTAATGGTCATATCTGAAGATCCTTAACTTGATTATATCTGTAGATGCTCTTTTACAAAATATGTTCCTACTCAACAGGTTTCAGGTGTACATACATGTCTCCTGAGGGGGCACCATTCAACCCACTATAGATGGTGTATATTTTTCATATGAGGAAAACTACTGATAGGTCAGTTTTTTATATCAGGAGTAGCACCAAGTTTATTCCTATAATTTTTGCTAATTGATATAGAGTATAAAAATTTTGTTCTATACAAGTATATTTTCAAAAGAAGAATAATATGTTCTAAAATATTTTGGTATTCTTGAATAAGATTGCACCAAAAATGATTAATTAGATTCTAAAGGTTCAGTTCCTAGTTTTAAAAGAAATTGAAGACATTGATTACTATCCCTACTCTGAAGTATTCTACCTTTTGTCTGGTCCAATTTAAAACAGTTTGAGAGTGATTATATTCTGATTGTTATGTTAAAAGACCTTCTAATAGTCACAGATGCATGGGAACAAGATTGCATAGTATAAATATTGCATAGTATAAAGACTGCATAGTATAAACACTAACTAACACAAATACATATTTACATTCTAAAACAAGATATATAACGGTCCAAAACCACTTGATAGGCAACATACATCAATACGATTCTCAGGTTGGTAGGTGCAGCCCATGAACAAAATTAAACATAATGTTTTCATGCATTACATGGTCTCTTCTGCAACTTCTTGGCATTTTTTATGTGGAATACGTACTGATATACTAAAATAAAAACTACATGTATACACATAGTTTAACATTATAATATAGTTTAGTATTAATAGTACAGTTTAATATTTCTTTTTAAAAAATTCTTTATGTCCATAGGTTATTGGGGAACAGATGGTGTTTGGTTACATGCATAAGTTCTTTAATATTTCTTTCAGACATATTTATGATGAATGTTAAAAAGAAAAATACGGCTAGCATTGATTTCTTAAAACAGAATATCTAATAACGTACTTTAGAACGGTTTAAAAAATGTTGATCTGGGAAAATTCTGGAGCATGAACTGCCATTTGGACAAACTTCAGGGATGTGCTTCAAATGGAACAAGACCTCCAGAGTTAGCCCTAGGGCACCAAAGACTTTGGAAATTCCACAGGGCTATGGACTTAAAGTACCCCTGGATACATCCAAAAATAGCCAAAGGCATCGAATGAGCATTTCCAACTCTTCCACTATTTTCTCAACAAGAAACCTTTCTCTCCAGCTGGGCAGATACATAACATGCTCATTTTCATATTGCCACACTATTTCCAACCCAATCCAAATAGAAATATACTTACTGCCTCTTATTTCTCTCTATTGAGTTTGGTTTTATCCATGTTTTCTTTCTTTCTCTCTCTTTTTTTTTTTTTCCTCAGGATCTCACTCTGTTGCCCAGGCTGCCTCCCCGGGCTCAAGCGATGATCCCATCTCTGAGAGGCAGGAACCACAAGGTGGGCACCACCACACCCCGCTAATTTTTGTATTTCTTTATAGAGACAGAATTTCACTCTGTTGCCCAAGCTGGTCTTGAACTCCTGAGCTCAAGCAATCCAGCCACCTCAGCCTCCCTAAGTACTGGGAATACAGGCATCAGCCACTAGGCCTGGCCTTCATTTCTATTTCTATTGTGAAGTATTTCCTGGGCACACAGCCTCTACTAGACTTCTCTGGGTTTTATTATCGCTGTCACTCAAATGGCAACTTTTCTACATTTCTAAAATTTTCTGCTTATATTGTTTAGATTTTCATCTGTGTCGCCCTTGTTCCCCCAATGTGTGTAAGCTTCTCATATATGGTAAACCACGTCTTACGTCTCTATGGCCATCCCAATTAAGTGTTTTGTACATAGTAAGAACAAAAAATCTGTGTGAAATGAATAAAAGAATTAATATACTAGTCTGTTCTTTATTAAAATGTCTGGAAACATTAAACAGTACAGAACTGACATAAAAGAATTAATGAAACTCTCCAAGGAATAGTTTGTGATTAGGGCATAATGTATCCACCATGAAACCTATATCCATTACTCACCAATGTCTTTCAGCAGTAAGTAAGTCTCCTCAAAAGAGAGTTTATGTTTATGATCTTGTGGGTATGAGCTTATAAGATATTGGCTATGGTCTTTGTAGAATTTAAAAAATAGTGCTAATAATTTCCTATGTCAGGTAAATTAAAACAATTTTGTATCCAGCTTCAACCAGTGTTCATCAACCAAACAGATATGAGGAATTTGGGATGGAGACAGGCTGCATTAGAAAGTCCTCCTTTTTTCTAGGACATTAGGGAATGTTCACGTTTACGCAATTTCATCTTAGAAAATATCATTTCTTAGCTCCAGTTGAGACCCACATCCTAAACCAGAGAATGATAAATTTGTGGCATCTGTTTTTTTCCCTCAGCTTCCTGAACTGTGGCAGCCATCATTAAGTGACCACAGGACACTTTCTAATTAAACATGGACTTTGCCTCAGAATCTATCTCAGCCCAACTCTTCAGGGCCATCACCAATCAAATAGATTTGTAAGTCTTCATTTCCATTCCTGGTTCTAAACCACCCTCAAAGTGTTAATCTTCTCTTCCAGTTTTAATTCTTGGCAAATTATGACCATTTGACCAAAGCTATCTGGCATTTTTCCCTCAATTCCTTTGCTTAAAGTTTACTTTTGCTGCTGTTTTTTCATCTCTCAGGTTCAAAAGGAAAATACAACTCTTTCTGATGGTAGTCTCTCTTTCAGAGTCTCAGAAGCAGTATAGCATAAACCCACTCCCTGCAAACACTTTCATCTGTAGAAATTTTATTTTCTTCTTTAAAGGATGTGATGTGTCACAGACTCACACCAAAAGAGGATCATTGGTGAAAGGGGAAACCAAAGGGGAAAATGAGAACCAAATACCATTAAGAAAGCCTTACAAGTTATTTTTATTCAAAATAATCTGCCTTAACATGCTTTTCATACTTAAAAGTGTTTGTCCTCTTTGGTGCAGAGAGAAGGAATTACCCTAACAGGCTGCAGTCTCCCACTTGGTGACTTAGTCATTTGTTCACATGCAAATGATCTTTCTTCCCCAGACCTAATATACTGAAACAAATGATTACCCTTGGAATATAAGAGGGGCAAACTAGTGCCAAATAAAAGTAGTACCGAAGAGGAGAGTATTTAGGAAAGTTTGTTAGTCAAAAGAGGAGGCATGATAATCAAAGACATCAATATACAATTTACAAAAGAAGAAAAAACAACTAGTAAAATATAATAAATATTTTGAACTCAAGAAATGCAAATATAAACCACTACTAATTTTTTTTTGTTTTGAGTATTACTTTGCCAAAGTTGAAAAATATTGACAGTACCTACCAAGAACCAGTGTAAAGAGGTGCCACTCTGATGTATTGCTGCTGTTGGGAGTTTCTTTAGGACATATTTCCTGAACAGCAATTTGGTGATAGGTGCTACATCAGTCAAGGTTCAATCGGAACAGAAGCCATTCTAGGAAAGAAGAGGAATGATATTGAGTATTTACACTGAGGTTTACACAACAGCTGGGAGTCTGGAGGAATGTAGATTGGGAAGGCTCCTTTCAAGAAATCCAGCAGTGCAAGATTACAAGGCGGTCACCAGTTATATCTTAGCTCCCTGCAATACTGAAATAGGTGATTCTCCAGAGAGCACCTGGAGACACAGATGACCTCACTGATGGTAGTGCTGATGTGTATAGTTCTCATGAGGATGCCCAGATGCAATTGGAAAACTTCATGTTTGAGTTGCCCCATGTGTCAGCCCTAAGTTGTTCCCAGAGAATAATAGCTTTTCCTTCTCCATCTCACAGGAGTGCCTCTCATTAACAGATTCTAAACTGAACTTTAACCCAAAGGAGTCTGAGAAACATACTTTCTGGGCTTTAAGCCCCTGTGTTACATGGGAGAAGAGCAGGGATGAGCAGTCTAGGTCCAGAACCTATATTAATATTTTAAATATACTTTTGACTTATTGATTTCTTCTCCAGGAATTTAAACTGAGAAATTAATGGATGAGAGTATGTAATACATGTGGAAGGATGTTCATCACAGTGTTGTTCATAAAACAGAAACAATAGTAACTATGAATCCAGAGAAAATTAGCTAAATAAATGAAACATTCCACAGAAGAATTCTCAGGTGGGAGACATTACCAATTTCTGGTTCTCTTCGCCTTCCCTGAGGCACACAGAAGATTATATATCCCAGGCTTCCTGAAGTTAGATGGCACCATGTGACTACTTCTGGTCAGAGGACCAGGAACAAAGTGTTTCAGGTTGACTTTTAGACCAAGGCCGTGGAACGCCTTTGTGTAATGTTCCAGCACTTTTCCCCTGCTGCAGTGACCAGAAGTCCCTCACCAAGATGAGAACCATAAGATGGAAGAGGCATGGATCTGAGAGTCACCATTTAGGAACACCGGACCCACAGCCAACTGTGTAAGCAAGAAGTAATTCTTTTTTCATTAAGCCACTGAGTTGAAAGGGTTAATTTGTTACTACAGAATAACCTTGCCTATCCTGACTACTGCAGATTATTACCCATGAAAAGATTGATATTTCTGTTCATTGAAATAGAAAAGTGAACACAACATATTGTTTCAAGCATATCATTTGATAAACGTTAAGCTGTGAATAAGTATTTTGAATGAAGCAATGAATGGATAAAAGCAAGTTACAAATAATATCTATAGTAAGATTCCATTTTCCTAAAATTGTATGATTGCATATATGGTACATGCATTAAATGTGTAGAGAAAGTAAATGTAAAAATACTCACCAGAATATCAACTATGGTCATCCAAGACGGTGGAGTTTCTGATGATTTTTGCTTTATTCTATATATTCTTCTATATGTTGGATGATTTTCATGAGATGCCTGTGTATTATCTTAATAAATTAGAAAGTACACATACATTAATAGCAATAATAGAACATAGTAAATTCTAGCTTTTGTTAGTTGTTATTTTATTACATATAAATGGGAAATATTTTAAGCAATTCCCCAAAACATTTAAACTCATAATTTATTGTCTATTCATTGAAGTATAAACACACTGATTTGGGTGACAGATCCAAGCGTGCTTTTAGGCTCTGCCTTTAGCAGCGGTGTGACATTGGCAAATGTGTCCCTTAAAGATTCAATCGCTGCTATTAAGACAGGCTTTTGACCCTGAATAACTGAATGTGAATTCATATTCTTCCTTTTAGCAGTGGTATGATTTCAAGCAAATACTTAAATGCATTGGACCTCAGTGTCATCATCTGCGAAATAGAGATATATTACTTTCCTCCTAGGGATGATTAAATGAGCTTCATTGTCATTGGGTAAGAGATGTAGAAGTAAAGAACCTTAACTCTGGGACCAGACTATCACTGTGCAAACCTGAAGCCTGCCACTGGTTAGCTATGTGACTCTGGACAATTCTCTTTAACTTTTTGTGCCTTAATTTTCTCACCTGGAAAATGGAGGTGATAAAAAGATTACCTATGTGAAGGTTTTTTGCAAGAGTGCATGAGTTAATATTCATTGAATACTTAGAAAAATTTCTGGTGGGAGGAGCCAAGATGGCCGAATAGGAACAGCTCCGGTCTACAGCTCGCAGCATGAGCAGCACAGAAGATGGGTGATTTCTGCATTTCCATCTGAGGTACCGGGTTCATCTCACTAGGGAGTGACAGACAGTGGGCGCACCGTGTGCGAGCCGAAGCTGAGCGAGGCATTGCCTCACTCAGGAAGTGCAAGGGGTCAGGGAGTTCCCTTTCCTAGTCAAAGAAAGGGGTGACAGAGGGCACCTGGAAAATCGGGTCACTCCCAACCGAATACTGCGCTTTTCTGACGGGCTTAAAAAACCACGCACCAGGAGATTATATACCGCACCTGGCTCGGAGGGTCCTACACCCACGGAGTCTCGCTGATTGCTAGCACAGCAGTCTGAGATCAAACTGCAAGGTGGCAGCGAGGCTGGGGGAGGGGCGCCCACCATTGCCCAGGCTTGCTTAGGTAAATGAAGCAGCTGGGAAGCTCCAATTGGGTGGAGCCCACCACAGCTCAAGGAGGCCTGCCTGCCTCTGTAGGCTCCACCTCTGGGGGCACGGAACAGACAAACAAAAAGACAGCAGTAACCTCTGCAGACTGAAATGTCCCTGTCTGACAGCTTTGAAGAGAGCAGTGGTTCTCCCAGCACGCAGCTGGAGATCTGAGAACAGGCAGACTGCCTCCTCAAGTGGGTCCCTGACCCCTGACGCCCCAAGCAGCCTAACTGGGAGGCACCCCCCAAGTAGGGGCAAACTGACACCTCACAAGGCCAGGTACTCCTCTGAGACAAAACTTCCAGAGGAAATATCAGACAGCAGTATTCGCGGTTCACAAAAAACCACTGTTCTGCAGACACCACTGCTGATACCCAGGCAAACAGGGTTTGGAGTGGACCTCTAGCAAACTCCAACAGACCTGCAGCTGAGGGTCCTGTCTGTTAGAAGGAAAACTAACAAACAGAAAGGACATCCACACCAAAAACCCATCTGTACATCACCATCATCAAAGACCAAAAGTAGATAAAACCACAAAGATGGGGAAAAAACAGAGCAGAAAAACTCAAACTCTAAAAAGCAGAGCACCTCTCCTCCTCCAAAGGAACGCAGTTTCTCACCAGCAACGGAACAAAGCTGGACGGAGAATGACTTTGACGAGCTGAGAGAAGAAGGCTTCAGATGATCAAATTATTCCGAGCTACAGGAGGACATTCAAACCAAAGGCAAAGAAGTTGAAAACTTTGAAAAAAAATTAGAAGAATGTATAACTAGAATAACCAATACAGAGAAGTGCTTAAAGGAGCTGATGGAGCTGAAAGCCAAGGCTTGAGAACTACGGGAAGAATGCAGAAGCCTCAGGAGCCGATGCGATCAACTGGAAGAAAGGGTATCAGCAATGGAAGATGAAATGAATGAAATGAAGTGAGAAGGGAAGTTTAGAGAAAAAAGAATAAAAAGAAATGAACAAACCCTCCAAGAAATATGGGACTATGTGAAAAGACCAAATCTACGACTGATTGGTGTACCTGAAAGTGATGGGGAGAATGGAACCAAGTTGGAAAACACTCTGCAGGATATTATCCAGGAGAACTTCCCCAATCTAGCAAGGCAGGCCAACATTCAGATTCAGGAAATACAGAGAAAGCCACATAGATACTCCTCGAGAAGAGCAACTCCAAGACACATAATTGTCAGATTCACTAAAGTTGAAATGAAGGAAAAAATGTTAAGGGCAGCCAGAGAGAAAGGTCGGGTTACCCACAAAGGGAAGCCCATCAGACTAACAGCGGATCTCTCTGCAGAAACTCTACAAGCCAGAAGAGAGTGGGGGCCAATATTCAACACTCTTAAAGAAAAGAATTTTCAACCCAGAATTTCATATCCAGCTAAACTAAGCTTCATAAGTAAAGGAGAAATAAAATACTTTACAGAAAAGCAAATGCTGAGAGATTTTGTCACCAGCAGGCCTGCCCTAAAAGAGCTCCTGAAGGAAGTGCTAAACATGGAAAGGAACAACCGGTACCAGCTGCTGCAAAATCATGCCAAAATGTAAAGACCATCGAGACTAGGAAGAAACTGCATCAACTAATGAGCAAAATAACCAGCTAACATCATAATGACAGGATCAAATTCACACATAACAATATTAACTTTAAATGTAAATGGACTAAATGCTCCAATTAAAAGACACAGACTGGCAAATTGGATAGAGAGTCAAGACTCATCAGTGTGCTGTATTGAGGAAACCCATCTCACGTGCAGACACACATAGGCTCAAAATAAAAAGATGGAGGAAGATCTACCAAGCAAAGGGAAAACCAAAAAAGGCAGGGGTTGAAATCCTAGTCTCTGATAAAACAGACTTTAAACCAACAAAGATCAAAAGAGACAAAGTAGGCCATTACATAATGGTAAAGGGATCAATTCAACAAGAAGAGCTAACTATCCTAAATATATATGCACCCAATACAGGAGCACCCAGATTCATAAAGCAAGTCCTGAGTGACCTACAAAGAGACTTAGACTCCCACACATTCATAATGGGAGACTTTAACACCCCACTGTCAACATTACACAGATCAACGAGACAGGAAGTCAACAAGGATACCCAGGAATTGAGATCAGCTCTGCACCAAGCAGACCTAATAGACATCTACAGAACTCTCTACCCCAAATCAACAGAATATACATTTTTTTCAGCACCACACCACACCTATTCCAAAATCGACCACATAGTTGGAAGTAAAGCTCTCCTCAGCAAATGTAAAAGAACAGAAATTATAACAAACTATCTCTCAGACCACAGTGCAATCAAACTACAACTCAGGATTAAGAATCTCACTCAAAACTGCTCAATTACATGGAAACTCAACAACCTGCTCCTGAATGACTACTGGGTACATAACAAAATGAAGGCAGAAATAAAGATGTTCTTTGAAACCAACGAGAACAAACACACAACATTCCAGAATCTCTGGGACGCATTCAAAGCAGTATGTAGAGGGAAATTTATAGCACTAAATGCCCACAAGAGAAAGCAGGAAAGATCCAAAATTGACACCCTAACATCACAATTAAAAGAACTAGAAAAGCAAGAGCAAACACATTCAAAAGCTAGCAGAAGGCAAGAAATAACTAAAATCAGAGCAGAACTGAAGGAAATAGAGACACAAAAAACCCTTCAAAAAATTAATGAACCCAGGAGCTGGATTTTTGAAAGGATCAACAAAATTGATAGACTGCTAGCAAGACTAATGAAGAAAAAAAGAGAGAAGAATCAAATAGATGCAATAAAAAATGATAGAGGGGATATCACCACCGATCCCACAGAAATACAAACTACCATCAGAGAATACCACAAATACCTCTACGCAAATAAACTAGAAAATCTAGAAGAAATGGATAAATTCCTGGACACATACACTCTCCCAAGACTAAACCAGGAAGAAGTTGAATCTCTGAATAGACCAATAACAGGATCTGAAATTGTGGCAATTATCAATAGCTTACCAACCAAAAAGAGTCCAGGACCAGATGGATTCACAGCCGAATTCTACCAGAGGTACAAGGAGGAACTGGTACCATTCCTTCTGAAACTATTCCAATCAATAGAAAAAGAGGGAATCCTCCCTAACTCATTTTATGAGGCCAGCACCATCCTGATACCAAAGCTGGGCAGAGACACAACAAAAAAAGAGAATTTTAGACCAATATCCTTGATGAACATTGATGCAAAAATCCTCAATAAAATACTGGCAAAACGAATCCAGCAGCACATCAAAAAGCTTATCCACCATGATCAAGTGGGCTTCATCCCTGGGATGCAAGGCTGGTTCAATAGACGCAAATCAATAAATGTAATCCAGAATATAAACAGAACCAAAGACAAAAACCACATAGTTATCTCAATAGATGCAGAAAAGGCCTTTGACAAAATTCAACAACGCTTCATGCTAAAAACTCTCAATAAATTAGGTATTGATGGGACGTATTTCAAAATAATAAGAGCTATCTATGACAAACCCACAGCCAATATCATACTGAATGGGCAAAAACTGGAAGCATTCCCTTTGAAAACTGGCACAAGACAGGGATGCCCTCTCTCACCATTCCTATTCAACACAGTGTTGGAAGTACTGGCCAGGGCAATTAGGCAGGAGAAGGAAATAAAGGGTATTCAATTAGGAAAAGAGGAAGTCAAATTGTCCCTGTTTGCTGATGACATGATTGTATATCTAGAAAACCCCATTGTCTCAGCCCAAAATCTCCTTAAGCTGATAAGCAACTTCAGCAAAGTCTCAGGATACAAAATCAATGTACAAAAATCACAAGCATTCTTATACACCAACAACAGACAAACAGAGAGCCAAATCATGAGTGAACTCCCATTCACAATTGCTTCAAAGAGAATAAAATACCTAGGAATCCAACTTACAAGGGATGTGAAGGACCTCTGCAAGGAGAACTACAAACCACTGCTCAATGAAATAAAAGAGGATACAAACAAATGGAAGAACATTCCATGCTCATGGGTAGGAAGAATCAATATCGTGAAAATGGCCATACTGCCCAAGGTAATTTATAGATTCAATGCCATTCCCATCAGACTACCAATGACTTTCTTCACAGAATTGGAAAAAACTACTTTAAAATTCATATGGAACCAAGAAAGAGCCCGCATTGCCAAGTCAATCCTAAGCCAAAAGAACAAAGCTGGAGGAATCACACTACCTGACTTCAAACTATACTACAAGGCTACAGTAACCAAAACAGCATGGTACTGGTACCAAAACAGAGATATAGATCAATGGAACAGAACACAGCCCTCAGAAATGATGCCGCATATCTACAACTATCTGATCTTTGACAAACCTGAGAAATACAAGCAATGGGGAAAGGATTCCCTATTTAATAAATGGTGCTGAGAAAACTGGCTAGCCATATGTAGAACGCTGAAAATGGATCCCTTCCTTATACCTTATACAAAAATTAATTCAAGATGGATTAAAGACTTAAACGTTAGACCTAAAACCATAAAAACCCTAGAAGAAAACCTAGGCATTACCATTCAGGACATAGGCATGGGCAAGTACTTCATGTCTAAAACACCAAAAGCAATGGCAACAGAAGCCAAAATTGACAAATGGGATCTAATTAAACTAAAGAGCTTCTGCACAGCAAAAGAAATTACCATCAGAGTGAACAGGCAACCTACAAAATGGGAGAAAATTTTTGCAACCTACTCATCTGACAAAGGGCTAATATCCAGAATCTACAATGAACTCAAACAAATTTACAAGAAAAAAACAAACAACCTCATCAAAAAGTGGGTGAAGGACATGAACAGACACTTCTCAAAAGAAGACATTTATGCAGCCAAAAAACACATGAAAAAATGCTCACCATCTCTGGCCATCAGAGAAATGCAAATCAAAACCACAATGAGATATCATCTCACACCCGTTAGAATGGCAATCATTAAAAAGTCAGGAAACAACAGGTGCTGGAGAGGATGTGGAGAAATAGGAACACTTTTACACTGTTGGTGGGACTGTAAACTAGTTCATTGTGGAAGTCAGTGTGGCGATTCCTCAGGGATCTAGAACTAGAAATACCATTTGACCCAGCCATCCCATTACTGGGTATATACCCAAAGGACTATAAATCATGCTACTATAAAGACACATGAACACGTATGTTTATTGTGGCACTATTCACAATAGCAAAGACTTGGAACCAACCCAAATATCCAACAATGATAGACTGGATTAAGAAAATGTGGCACATATACACCATGGAATACTATGCAGCCATAAAAAATGATGAGTTCATGTCCTTTGTAGGGACATGGATGAAATTGGAAATCATCATTCTCAGTAAACTATCGCAAGAACAAAAACCAAACACCACATATTCTCACTCATAGGTGGGAATTGAACAATGAGAACACATGGACACAGGAAGGGGAACATCACACTCTGAAGACTGTTGTGGGGTGCGGGGAGAGGGGAGGGATAGCATTGGGAGATATACCTAATGCTAGATGACGAGTTAGTGGGTGCAGTGCACCAGCATGGCACATGTATACATATGTAACTAACCTGCACATTGTGCACATGTACCCTAAAACTTAAAGTATAATAATAATAATAATACAAAATTTCTGGCACTTTTAAGTATTTGTGACTAAAAATAAATAAATACTATATGGGATGTGTTTGAAAAAGTGCCTGGCACATAGTAAGCATTCTCTTTCAATTTCAGTTATTTTACATAAACTCAGCCTGGTGGAAAGTAAGAACATCATAGAAATGATGTGTTTCTGTTAAGAAAAACTAAAATGCCTAAGAGGACTTCCTTATTCTTTGAGAATGTTATTTAGAAAGTGGATGCCTCATAGGAATCTTCTCTCAAATATTCCACAGTTCTGTTACAGAGGGCACCAAAGTTGGCCAGCTTGGTATTGGAGCTGTTCCTCTTTAGGAACATTTTGGAACATGTTTACATTCTTAGGTCAAACTGTCATAATAAATATGTGTGGATATGAAGAGATGTTATCAGAAATACCAATTTTAAATGGTTTCTAGATTGAGATCTATAGATACCACAACTGCTTCCTCCCCACCAGGACCCCTCAAGGTAGTTGAGGAGCCATCGAACGTTAGGGGGATGCTGGGTTTGAGGAGGGCTTCTTGCCACCATCCACATCCATCACATCATCTCCAATTCTGTCTATTTCGCATATCAATAGGCCACATATATCATGGTGATTTGCTGAAAATTTAATGTAATAAGACTGCTTATTAAAAGATTAAAGAATGGTACTTTCTTTTCTCTTAGATAATCTCCTATGAAAGAACAAAAAATGTATCACCCCCACACCTCAAAAGAGTGACGGGCCCTAATCCTTAGGTCTACATTCCAGGTTGCAGAGTCAAAAGAGCTTGCACTGTTGCTTCCTCCACCCACCTCTTCAACAGCCAGGAGCAGAAGAATTCCCTAATGATAACTCCTAAAGAGACACTTAAAGTTCAAAGCTCTAGCACATGATGAAAGTAAGTTGAATGACCTAAAGAGGAGAAATATGGAGATGGTGCACCCTGACGATTAGGAAGGGAAGCTCCAAGGCTTCTGAAAGAGTGAATCTCCCGAACTTAAATAAGATAATGATGCTAAATGCCCTACACAAAATGGAATCTCTCTGAGACAAGCCGGTCCTCAAAAAGCCTGGCAACATGGGCACTTATAAGGACTTGGTGTTAAGCACAGAGCCTCGGTAACCTCAGCAAAGACACTTCGTGGCAGAGATGGAAAAGTGGAGCCATCTTGTCTTGATGGATCATGAAACCATGGTGGGGAGCCAGGGCCACAGGAATTATTGTGCACTAATGACCCATGCCTTGCCAGACATAAAAGACTCAGAGGATCTTTTTAATATTGTCAGGGAGAGGCTGGAGCCAGATTTGATCTGTTGAAACAAATATATAAGTATGGTATCATCTGTATCCCAAGTGTCATGTAGTAAATAAATGTTATTTTCATAAGACTTTCAAAAAAATAATTTTCCTGCTTTAAAAAAAGTTAGAAAAGCACTATTATTAGAACCCACCACTCCCTCTAGCCACACTGTGCTTTACCTACCACAGGAAGGATTCCAATGAAGGAATTTTTAGTTCTTATGGGTTCAACATCAACACACAAACAATTTGGATAAAGTCTAATGACATACTCCATGATGTACATCCCAAGCCAACATAGCAAAGAAGAGAGCAAAATTCAGAAAAGTGGAAAGATCAGAGTATCAGCATCCATAAGGGTGTTGAATATTAGCTCACAACAGTAGCTGAGTTCCAGCAAACTGTAGAATAGCTGCTTTCCATCCTTCATCTCACTCCCCACTAAGCTTTTGTGTGTGTGCCCCTAGTCTTTTCAAAATAATAAAAATATACCAGATTGCAGCTGAAAAATATGGCAAACCTAGGATTTTTACCCTCTGATTATTTCCACCCCAGGGAAGAGCTACCATGAAAGTGCTGTGTCTAGTGGCTGAAATTGAGGCCCTGTAGGATTTAAAACATTCCAAGGAAAATAAAAAGCTGATGGCACAAGTCTAGAGATTAAACTCTCATTATCACTTTTCTCTGAGAGTTCAGAAAGAAATGTGAAATAAAGTCACTGAAGCAGAGCCAAAAGCCACTCTCATTTTGGTACAAGCAACTCCAGCTGCCTTTTTTTTTTCTGTGTAATTTATCATGAAAGCATTGCTTCTATTCCAGGGCATAGGGGAAGCTGGAAGTCAATTTCATCCACCTCTTTTGAAGAGTATCATGGGTGACATGGGAATTAAAACAAAAGAAAAAAAATCACATCCTATACCAGGAAAAATAATAGTCAGCAGCATAAAGGAGATAAGTACCACTATTATGGTCTAGAATTAATGAGAACTCCAGGCAGCCCGAAAAGCTTTTCTTTCAGAAACTCGATGGTGTGTTTTCAGTGCCTCTTTGAATGACAAAAGCAAGGTGGATGCCCCTTCTCCAGCATGGTGAGCCCTAGGAGAGGTGGTCTTCCTTGATTACTTCTTCCTTTTTAATGAATTATCTCCATTTCTGATGCAACTCTAAGGGCAATGGAGAGTAGGGGGCTGGAAGTGAGAAGCTGAATTATTTTGGGAAAAATATATCAAGTCAGATACATGCGTCACGCATACATCAGAATGAAATCCAAATGGATTAAAGTGTAAAATGTAAAAAAATAAATAAGACCCAGAGATAATTGATTATTTAGTGGATATCATTACAGAAAGCCTTTATAAGCATAAAAGCAGAAAGTGCAAAGGAAAATGTTAACAGAATTTGTTACATGAAATTTAAATTTTTATATACCATGAAACATTATAAATAAAATGAATAGGCAAATAAACAACAGAGCAAATATTTGCAATATTTAAGATAGACAAAAGATAAGCATCTGTATACTTAGTTTCTTTTGGTATTTTTTTTTTTGTTTGTTTGTTTGTTTGTTTTAAGACGGAGTCTGGCACTGTCGCCTGGGCTGGACTGCAGTGGCGCAATCTCGGCTCATTGCAAGCTCCGCCTCCCGGGTTCATGCCATTCTCCTTCCTCAGCCTCCCAAGTAGCTGGGACTACAGGCACCCGCCACCATGCCCAGCTAATTTTTTGTATTTTTAGTAGAGACGGGGTTTCACCGTGTTAGCCAGGATGGTCTCGATCTCCTGACCTTGTGATCCGCCCTCCTCGGTCTCCCAAAGTGCTGGGATTACAGGCGTGAGCCACCGCGCCTAGGCAATTAGTTCTTATAAAGCAATAAGAAAAACCTTCAGTGAAAAAATAGATAACATACTCTACTCTCAAAAATACAAATTATCAATAAGCATATGAACAAAACTTTACCTCATAAAGAACCCAAATGTGGAAATAATAAATAATACTCTCATCAAATGGCAAAGTTGCTTTTTTTCCTTTTTTTTTTTTCTTTTTTTTTTTGAAACATAGTCTCACTTACTCTGTTACCAAGGCTGGAGTGCAGCGTTGCAATCTGGGCTGACTGCAATCTCCATTTCCTGGGTTCAAGCGATTCTGCTGCCTCAGCCTCCCGAGTAGCTGGGATTATAGGCACACACCACCACGCCTGGCTAATTTTTTTTGTATTTTTAGTAGAGATGGGGTTTTGCCATGTTGGCCAGGATGGTCTCAAGCTCCTGACCTCAAGCGATCCACTTCCCTCAGCTTCTCAAAGTGCTGGGATTACAGGCGTGAGCCACTGCGCCCAGCTGCAAAGCTGTTTTTTCATGACAAATCCATGTTGATAAAACTCTGAATCTTTCTCAAATAAATTGGACAATGTATAGTCTAACAGAAGCCTAATTATGATGAGATTGCCAAAAATATGTCCTGCTAGATCATGGAGAGCAGGAGCCAAAGAGACTTTCTCTGTGTACACTCAACCACGCTACTAGGAAGGACATATTTCTAGGTTTTTGATGCGACCTTTTCCTCTCCCCCAGGATAGCATTGCTGCCTAAGGCCAGATCACGAAGTAAGGGATGGAACTCACACACACCCAGCGCTATGGGAATTTTATCACAATGAACAATCTGCAGGTACTTCATCCCGTGTGTCTGCTGTAACACCAAATCTGGGTTCACTAAGCTTGGTAGGCCCAGCCATGAAGGTCCACAGCACAGCGTATCACACATCTTCATATTCTTTGACTCAACCATTCTGCTTGTGGAAATATGATGTAGCAAAATAGAGATGAATACAAATTCTGTCCAAGGCTATTTGTGGAAGCATTTTTTATTATTGAGAAAACATGGAAATAGTTTGAATGTTCTGTACCTGAGGGATAGCTAAATTATGGAATCCTCAAATGATGAAACACCAAGCAATTAAAAGTAATATTTCTAATAAACTTTTAATGACTTGTGAAAGTTCTCAAGATACATTAAGTAAAAAAAATTGAAACAAAACTCAGTGCCACTGCACTCCAGCCATGATGTCAGAGTAAAACCCTGTCTCAAAAACAAAACAAAACAAATGAAAATCAAATGCTTCCTATGGTTTGATACAGATGTTTTAAAAAGAAATGCCAGAAGATAACAAAATATTAACACTGGTTATTGTTTTGTTTAATTATAAATTTATAATTTAAAAAATATTTTGTAACTAAAAAAGTAGAACATAATAGTTAAAATTAAAACAATCTATGAAC
Organism: Homo sapiens; assembly: GCF_000001405.40. Classification (NCBI taxonomy): domain Eukaryota; kingdom Metazoa; phylum Chordata; class Mammalia; order Primates; family Hominidae; genus Homo; species Homo sapiens. The sequence goes on along the minus strand of NC_000008.11, from coordinate 118,713,139 downwards.
ATGTAAAACAAAAATAAAACCCTTCACATGTTTCACTCTTCATCACTGACTTACTTAACACAAGATTGAATCGGTATACATTCTTTTTGATATTTTCCTAGGAGGATTTACATTTATTTATTTTAGGAAAATTGAGTCATATTTAGAACACATTTAGTGTGCTAAAACTTTATTTTCTTCATTCAAAAGGATATCATGAATGTCTTCCATGTACTTACATTTAGATAGATATTCTTTGTTATTTTCTAGCAGCAAACTAAATGTATGACTATTTTTTATTTCTTTAATTTTTCATAATTCAAATTTCTCCAAAATGTTCGATAATTCTATAATAAGCATATATTACTTCTAGGATCAGAAAAAAAAATACACATTTTTAAAGAGAAGGAGGACTGTCTTCTGCAGTGAAGACAGGGAGAGGGGCAATTCCTTGCAAATATCCCCTCACTATGGGAATGGGAGAGCCATCTACCGGAGAAGCATTCCTTTTTTCAGCCTTGTAACAGACAAGCACTGAGGACTTGCTGTGTGTCAGCCCTGCAGGAGGCGCTGGGGAGACAGAGGTCACTGCCCTCCTGCCCCGTGCCTCATCTCGTTGCCAAGATCTAAGCACCTGCCTCGGAGTCAGCTCTCAATAAATGACAAAACTGAAATGTGCTACTGCTGCTGAAATGGAGCAGGGAGCTCCCCACCAGAAATAAGAACATTAAAGGGGGAGAAGCGACTTTGGGGTTCCCTTCAATTCATGATTTTCTGTTAATGCCTACTAGGAATGGAATAAATGCTTTTCTGTGCCCCATAGCTGTTCATAATCTGGTGGGGAGACAGCCTTGTACGTGGATGATTCTACCTTACAAAATAAAATGTCCTCAACCCTGGAGGCAGACAGACTTAGATTTGAATCCAGATAGTTCATGAGCTTTAAAATGAGAATGATAAAACTGTCTCATAGAGATGGATAGGAATTAAGGGAGAACTTGGGGGAAACGCCCAGCCAATGCACAGCACATGGTAGATTTAATAAATGAACCTACTCAGAGGAACCATCCATTCTCTGGCTGCCTTTCCCCTGCATCACCTGGGCAGGGAAGATCAGCATCTTTATCTAGACTCAAGTAGCCACTCTGATGGTTGCTAAAGTGCCATGTTCTGAAGGGTCTGACACTGTGTCTAGGTTCAGTACCTAAACTCTGCCACAGGCAAGGGGGGAGGAGGGGGTAGAGCTGTTGCTTGTCCTCCCTAAACCCAGGTATTTTCAGAAGTGCATGATCATTTTTAAATTGCCCCAAGTCAAATAAAAGCAGGAAAACAGATCTGTTACTACTAAATAATTTGAAAATATAGTGACAGGATGTGGGATTATCTGGGATTTCGCATTCTAGACATCACCTCTCCTACCCTGGGAGGCATGTTTCACAAACCCATGCCTGATTGTGCAAAAACAGAGAAGAGCAAAAGAAAATATTGAGTTAGAGTTGAGCTTAAATAAGACTAGAGGAAGTAGTCTTGGTGTAGCTTTGAAATAAACCTAATGTGGGTCCTGTGGTTTTTTTCCTAGCTGCCATTAACAAAGCAAAACAGTTGAGCATTTTATGAGCAACTGTCATCCCTGTTAAAGAACGCAATCTAAACAGGAAAGAGGTTTCCACACTCAAAGTGATATTGTCTCACTAGGTTGTAAATGAACCCTAAACAAGATTTTAAAAAGCAGCATATTAAAAGGATGCAATCATCACTTGAGGTCAGGAGTTCGAGACCAGCCTGGCCAACATGGTGAAACTCCCCCCGTCTCTACTAAAAATACAAAAATTAGCCAGGTGTGGTGTGCACGCCTATATTCCCAGCTACTTGGGAGGCTGAAGCAGGAGAATTGCTTGAACCCAGGAGGCGGAGGTTGCAGTGAGCTGAGATCATGCCACTGCACTCCAGCCTGGGCAACAGAGTGAGACTCCATCTCAAAATAAATAAATAAATAAAAGGACATTCAGCAACCCTGGATACATTTACTTTCTGTGTAAACATATGTTTGCTGAAGTCAAGGTAAACTGAACCACTCTGCAACTAGAGTTCTGACCAATTCCATCAAGAATTGTCTTGCCTGGATATCATAATTTTATCAGTGGAGTTTACCCAGGATCAGATGTTTCTGCATTAACCACTACCTGTATGAAGTTCTGAAATCTCTATGGCATTTAAAAATAAACCCACTAATTAAAAAAAAAAAAAATGTGTCCTGTTTAGTAAAGCCTTCTTTGAAGTTCCCTCAGATTAAAGTGATGTCGCCCTGCTCCAAGTTCCCATAGGTCTGCATTTACGTCACGTTACACCTTGTACATAAGTGATGGGTGTGCATGTGGCATAGTTCCTCCAGAGGCTATGCTCTTTGAAAGCAAAGCCTAGGACTGCTATCTTTAGCTTTCCCAATGAATTCAGCTCAGTACATAGTAGGTGCTTGGTAAATGTTTGTGAAATGATCAAAGAATGAATGCGCACACATACACACACAAATTATTCTAGACAAATGATATACAAACTTTGTTACAGTCACCTCAAGCCAGAGTGTCCTTCACCAACTCAAATGGCTAAGAAGCCAAGTGGCTAAGGTAAGGGAGTGAAGCAGGCCTGAGACGGGGCATTTATTTGGTGAATTGATGAAGGGTGTGTTCTATCTAAAGACAGCAGCTGCCACTCAGTTCCATGTACTTGTTGCTATGTAGAAATTTGCAATGGATTTCCCAAATCCTTCTTTTTCAGGTGCCAGAAATCTTGACCTATGTGAAATATTTTTGGTTTTAAAATCTCACCACCTAATTAATACATTTTTAAATACAGAGCAGAACAAATAGAAGCTACCTGTGGGTCAGACATAGGACAAAGGCTTATACTTGTAAGTCAGGTATTTTACAGATTCATTGCACCATGCCCTTCCCTTGGGATATGTTCTTGTTTAATCTCTCACTGCCAGACATAAGTATTTCCCTTCAGTCTATAAACCTCTACCCTGGTCTTCACTGTTCTTGTGATCTTACTGGGAGGATTTTCTCTAAGACCGGGTTTATTGCTGTTTGTCTGTCTTCCCCTGGTTTTGTTGACTCTTGTTAGGACAAACACAATTTTCCTCCCCAAACCTGGCCCTTTCTACTATCTTTCTTGTGTTTTTGCCAAGTGAAGGCCATTTTTGCTCTTTATAATCCAAACCACTGCACACTTTTTCATCTAACCTTCTTTGAAATTCATTGATCTCAACTCAGCGAAGTTTCTTTCATTCTACTTGCACTTGAATATCCTTCTCTTGTGTCAATCAATTCCCTTCTACCTTTTAAATCTGGGCTTTCTCTTTTGCCATTTTTCCTTGTGAATACAGTTTAGGCTTCATGTTTGTCCAGGAAACTATGCCTTTGACTACAGAACCACCAGCCACAAAGTACACTGTTTTCCTTTTTCCAGTGGACTCACCAATCCATGTTGGGGATCTTCTGTGAGTAGCCACACTGACTTACACAGGATGTCATTTTATAACGGCATCCTGATCACCGTTTTATCAATATGTTGTGACTCTTGGGACACAGAGATGACATTAATCTATCCTAATCCTAAAATGTCACTGAAATTCTGGTCTCTTCTCTTAACATGCTGGGAGTTGCTGTGGATTTTGATTCCATAGTCTTTAGCAAGAAAGAAGTTTCTGGGGAAAAAATATAATACTCAGATACTTTTTTTTCTGCAGAATAAAAGTCTTCCCGTATAATCTCCTCTGATTTATCTTTTCAAAACCTTTCCCCTGTTCCCAAAGCCATATAACCTACACAACCTAACATACTTTAAGTAGAAATACTGATGTTCACTTTCAAACTGGTGCTACTCAGCTGAAAAGGCCTCTCATGCTTACCTTTTTAACTATTCTTGTTCTAGTCTACATGGGCTGTAAACACTACTTCAAAATCTTATTTTTCCAATTTGTGAAAGGTAGATCTCTTCAAATGATTGGGCTTGAAACTGAAGAGGTTGTTAAAGAAGATAGTCGGGCTTTTTAAACTATAAAGAACTGGAGATGAGCTAAAGACATATTTCAGGGCATTTTATAAACATAAAATAATAATGGCAGTAATCAAGATGTCATTAAAAGATACATGAAACTAGCATGCAGGAAACGCACAGATTCAAGAACAATCTTCCTAGGATACCTACAGGATAATCAAGTTGGACTAAAATGTGTTGCATATTCATTCCCAATTAGTCTGAACTCAGTTAAATGATACTCTTTACAATGTTAGTCAAAGAAAAACAGATAACGCTAAAGTAAGATTAAGGGTGCTGATGGGCAAGGGATGGAGGGGGTGAAAATTAACCAAAGTATGAAACCCTCAGACTTCTGAGTGGCCTGGTGACCTTCTGAAGGCTATCTGCCAATATCTGAGTTTGAACTGAAACTTGAGTTTGGTAAACAGAATTGTGGTATTGTATAAATTTCAAATCAAATGTCCATTCAGAGGCTGTGTATTTTTCAGGTGTTTCCATGGTTACATAAAAAGAAAATTGTAATTCACATCTTACTACCCCAGGCTTTTAATACTAAAATCTTCAGAAGTCTTAAAATTGTAAGCCACTGATGTAATTTATTTGCCCCATTTCATTTCTGGTCATATAGTCTGAATTATAGTGGCAAACTACAGTAGCTTATTATTGCTTAATACCAATTCTAAATCTGATTGAGTGGTTCAAAGAATTCCCTTCTTAGCTAGAACCACCAGAGACAAGCCAGACCCACCTCTTGGTCTAGACAAGCTAGATCCATCCAATTCCAAAATGTCACTGGGTCCTGTCTTGAGATTCAGAGTACTTGAGTCAGTATTCAAGTACTGACTACGAGCGTTGCTTTATTTGTTTTTGAGATTTTCCACCATTCTTTCTGCTCCATAATATGAGAAAGTAACAAGATTTTAAGAGAACAACATTATCCATATAGAAAAATATATTAAAATATTCAAGCATCAAAGCTATGCCTATTTTGAGGCAACACAATGCTGCCTCTTATTTAAGCATGGCTCTATTCCCCAAATTGTGTTACTTCTAGCTTTTGGTTTAGAGATTTTGTGTTTGGTATTCAAGGTTAACTTCCTAGTTGATTCAATTATTAACAGTAACAACCGCCACTGTGAAAATGAGATGCTACACAATATTTGGCCTTAAAAGTTAAGAACCTATGAGTTAACTAGATGATCTAATCTAGCTTCAAATTAGCCACATGAAAATAAACTAAATGCTCTTTCCTCTTCATGTTGCAAAGCATTAAAATGTCATATTCTGTAACTTAAGAACGACTGTTCTCATTTGATTCAGGAGATGGTGTGGCATCTTTAATTCCTTTATCAATATTATCTCAGACCAACAGATGGAAGATCTGGCAATTAAGAAGAATGAGCATGTGGTGTACTTATGATGCCTCTTCCACCCCCCTGTGAAGTTTGCTTACTGAAATTTGTTTTACCTTATCCACCAAGTAGGGATTTTGGAGCCAAAAATTACTAAGAAAACATTAAAGAATTTAGGGAAATTAATGATATATTATAGAGGCAGAGACAGAGAATAAATTCGCCACTCTTTTCTCAGCCTATTTCTCTGTTGCAAGATTTTATTCTAACAGACAAGTATACAATATTCCTTGTTCTTTGTTCTTATATAGGGAAATTGTGACATAGATTTTGTCGATAGTAAGTTAGTCAACAAGCATATACTAAGCTTTTAGGCCCTACGGACACACTGGTGACAACAGATAATGGCCCTGTCCACTCTAGAACCAGCAAACTCATAGGAAAACAGGCAATAAGAAAATTACTTCATTTCTTAAATGTAAAAGAGTTGAATTTTAGATCATAGCTCCAGGGATCAAGACATGTTATGTGCTATATCCCTTTTCGTTCCAGCAAGAAACAGATAGTAAAGTCAAGCAAGTAAATGGGAGGTTTTAATAAAGGGAATATTTATAGAGTTGTGGGCAGGATTTAGTCTCCTAAAAGGACTAGTGTTGCACTCCAGTGTGGAACAAGGAATGGTGGAGTCCCCCAGGGCAATAACAAGGAATGGTATGGTACCCTAGGTCTAGTAACAGCAGGGAGCCAGCTGTAACAACCAGGTTCCTCCCCTGCCTTCACTAGCCATCCCTTTCCCTACACCACACACACACACTGAGAGAAATAATAAGGACAAGGTTGGGGGACCTGGAAGAAGAACTGTATGGAGAAATGTGCTGATAGAAACCATTGCCTCAGTGGAAGAAAGCAACAAACCCCCAGCAATCCGGCAGAGAGGAAGCTGGGGAATTAATACACCAACATCATTCTTTTCTATCCTGTCTCCTATTGGTGAATACAGGACCAGAACTAGGCATACAGTTTAAAGAGGCCCTCGCAGTACCCTGGGGTCCTCATTCCTTTTACCCTAATCCCAGCCCTGAGCAAACCCAATTAAAGCTGGAGGGCAAAGCAGCCTGTTGGAATTTTGCAGGGCACAGAGGAAGTCTGAGAGAGTAGAGAGCAAATTGATAGGAGAACAAGTAGAATACTTAGCACACCTCCCTTTATTTTTCTAAATCAAATTATACCTAGTCTAAGTCTCCATTCTTCTGGTTGCAGAGAAATTCAATTTCAGTAAATGTCTGGCTCCATTCACTTCCTTCATGGGATTATACTGATAGAAACATCCTGAAAATTTGTGGCAGAAATACTGGAAGAGGGGCCAGGTCTTGATGGTTGTGGCCTCCTCTAACTTTTTCCATTACAATACTTGATATTCCTCTACTTCAGGAATTTACGCATCTAGGTACTATCTATACAATATTATTATTTTCTTGATATGTTCTTCAAATTCATTTAATTAGTAGAAAAAAAGGAATAGCCATTCAACCATTTTTAACATGTAAAGAGTATATATATTCCGTATGCACATTAAAATAAGTAAGTAAATGGCTGCTTAAAATTAGTCTACATTGTTTGAAGTTAGGCAATATGATGCCCCAGATATATTCTTTTTGCTTAGTCTTGCTTTGGCTATGTGGGCTCTTTTTTGGTTACATGTAAGTTTTAGGATTGTTTTTTCTAGTTCTGTGAAGAATGATGATCGTATTTTGATGGAAATTACATTGAATCTGTAGATTCTTTTGGCAGTATGGTCATTTTCACAATATTGATTCTACCCATCCATGAGCTAAAGTTACCAAAACAGCATGGTGCTGGTATAAAAATAGGCACGTAGACCAATGGAACAGAATAGATAACCCAGAGATAAAGCCAAATGCTTACAGCCAACTGATCTTCAACAAAACAAAAACATAAAGCAGGAAAAGGACACCCTATTCAACAAACGGTGCTGGGATAATTGGCTAGCCACATGTAGGAGAATGAAACTAGATCCGCATCTCTCACCTTACACAAAAATCAACTCAAGATGGATCAAAGACTTAAATCTAAGACCTGAAACCATAGAAACTCTAGAAGATAACATCAGAAAAACTCTTCTAGACATTGGCTTAGACAGAGAGTTCAGGACCAAAAACCCAAAAGTAAATGCAACAAAAACAAAAATAGATGGGACCTGATTAAATTAAAAAGCTCTGCACAGCAAAAGAAATAATCAGCTGAGAAAACAGATAACCCACAGAGTGGGAGGAAATCTTCACAAACTGTGCATCCCACAAAGGACTAATATCCAAAATCTATAAGGAACTCAAACAAATCAGCAAAAAAAAAAAAAAAAAAAAAAAACCCACAAATAATCTCATTTAAAAGTGGGGAAAGAACATGAATAGACAATTATCAAAAGAAGATACACAAATGGCCAAAAAACATATGAAAAAATGCTCATCACTATCAGGCAAATGCAAATTTAAAATACCACCTTATTCCTGCAAGAATGGACATAATTTAAAAAAACAAAAAATACTCGATGTTGAAGTGGATGTGGAGAAGAGGGAACACTTTTACACTGCTGATGGGAATGTAAACTAGTATAACTACTATGGAAAACAGTGTGCAGTGTGGAGATGCCTTTAAAAAACTGAAAGTAGAACTACCATTCAATCCAGCAATTCCACTACTGGGTATCTACCCAAAGGAAAAGAAGTCACTATATTCAAAAGACATTTGCACACACATGCTTATAGCAGCACAATTCACAATTTCAAAAATGTGGAATCAGTCTAAATGCCCATCAACTAACGAGTGGATAAAGAAAATACCACTCAGCCTTAAAAATGAACAAAATGTCATTCACAGCAACCTGGATGGAGTTGGAGACCATTATTCTAACTGAAATAACTCAGGAATGGAAAACCAAATATCATATGTTTTCACTTATAAGTGGGAGCTAAGCTGTGAAGATACAGAGGCATAAGAATGACATAAAGGAATTTGAGGACTCGAGGGGAAGGTGGGAGAGGGGTGAGGGCAATGAGGGATAAAAGATTACACATTGGGTACAGTGTACACCAAAATCTCAGACATCACCACTAAAGAACTTATCCATGTAACCCAAAACCACCTGTTCCCCCAAAACTATCGAAATAAAATAAACTATAAAAGAATATTTAAAATATTAGTCCACATTGTGACCCTTGTTTGAATATTTTTGGCTTGCTCAATATTAAAGTCCATCTTCCCAACCACAGCTGCCCTGGACAAGCCCAGGGATGCATCTCATAGGAGTTATTTCCACACACCAGTTTTACAGCTTCCTTCTCCCCACTGGTGCAAAGCAGGGCTTGGTCTCTGCCAACTTGACCTTATTCTCTGTCTCAGCAGTCACTCTGACACTGCCTCTAACTCTGCCTGTCCATGCACTCTGCCCATCCTTTCCCTTCTCCACTGAGGAATCCACAATTAATCCTCCTGGATGGACCCAACCCATAAGATCTCCTGGCTCTACTAGTTCAAGAGTACTCAGAAATTTAGAAACATAGTAGTGGCTTCTCTGTTATGGGAAGAGAGAAGGGAATCACATCACTTATAAAATACGTTCTTCCTAATAATTCACACTGTCACTAAATAATAACAGCTGTTACGATGAAACAAACAGTGGTAAAGAAAACTGCCTGCAGGGAAGGAGGATATGACCTGCACAAACTTGGAAAGAATTGGCCACAGGCAGCCTAGAGAAAGGTGTGCAGAAGTCAGAGTGCCTGAGCTTGGCAGGCATTCTTGCTAATTTTGCAGGAGACCTTCCAAGTTTTCTAGGTACCTGCCTTATCACCTTTGCTAATGATGATAAACTGTTGCCTCAGGATTCACAGCTACCCTTTCACACTGCGTATGGATTTATTGCTATCAGCCTTAAACGGTAGATAGCAATTAAGGGAAGATGAGTGTGTGGTATAACATAAAAACTTGCAGGTGTTGCTTTGATCCTGAGTGACATCCAAATGTAATGGAATTTCTAGGGACAAATCTCCTGGAAACTATGTATAGTAACAAAGCTATTGATCTTTTTTTTTAATGGAAGAATAAAATTGCCCATCTGGGCATGCCCTGTAATGGCCCATGTGCTAATGCTTCCCACCCTAGGTCAGCACCGAAAGAGTTCAACTAGTGTAACTGGAGCCCAGTGAGAGCTGGGAACCTGGAAGAGGGACTATCTGGCTGGGGTTGTTACCACAGGACACTGCTACTGCTGAAGAAGCATCATTGACACATGGAGACAGCAGGGAAGAAACTCTCCGACCTTTTTCTCCTTCAACAAGCCAATTTCTTTCTTCTTGCCTCCCACTGGTTTAACCCAATGAGAAGCCAGCCAGAAAGGGAGGTGAAAAATGTCGACCTCAAGGATCAGCTTTGCAGGGCACAGAGCAGAGAAGAGAACAGGTTCAAGGTGGACGGGCAGAGGGAAGATGATTTGAGTTATTTTTATCTTCTCCATTTTAGACTCCGGAGATCCACTTAGCTCAGGTGAACCTGACAGGATGAGAAGGAGGGCTAGGAGAGGGCAGAAAATGCTCATTCCCCCTGAGCAAACTCTACAAAACTCATCGGTTTTTTCAACATTTTTGAGGTGGCATACTGACATGGCTGTAAGACTCTGATATAAAGACATAGGAAGTGTGTAATTGACCGTGAGAGTCATAAAAAAAGTATTAAGGATGCATTTTATTATGATCTTATCCCCTTAACCACTAATAGTATGGATATTGAATACTGAGTTAATAGAGAATATTCCATAATAGGATAGCAAAACAGCATTCATAGAAAATTGCCCTTCTATAAGCACCTTTTTTCAGAATATGTGGGTCACAGTGACACACCATCAAGATTTCTCATCAAAATGAAGTTATTAGTTCTCAGCTATCAGCACCATCCAGAGATTACCTTATCTTGAAGGAAGCCACTCATCCAAGGTCACACACCTTGTCCCAGTCCCAGAACAGCCCACATCCAATGACTGATTAACACAGGCCTGTAAAAGACCAGCCCTTTCATTCCAACTAGGGACCCAAGGGTCATGCCATCTTCAGAACTCCCCATAGGAATGACTGAGGTTTCCACTGGACTGCATCTCAGCCCAGCTTCTTTCTCTGCACAATCCTACTTCTTTTCCTCCCTTTTACAGGTTGATCCCAAGAGCACTCCCTAACAAAAGCCCACCATGTCGATCTCCGAGTGTGTTTTCCTGGGACTCAGCCGGCATCACAGAGAGATCCTAACAAATAAACATTTGTATTTCCCTATATTGTTCAACATGCCTCCTGTTTAAAACAGCAAAACAAAGAGATTATTTTCCTGCCAATATTTCATTAAACCCTCTACACATTAGTTTCCCTTTTCCTTTTTTTTTTTTTTTTTTTTTGAGATGGAGTCTCGCTCTGTCATCCACACTGGATTGCAATGGTGCAATCTCGGTTCACTACAACCTCTGCCTATGGGGTTCAAGTGATTCTCTTGCCTCAGCCTCCTGAGTAGCTGGGATTACAGGTGCATGCCACCATGCCTGGCTAATGTTTTGTATCATTAGTAGATACTGGGTTTCACTTTGTTGGCCAGGCTGGTCTTGAACTCCTGACCTCAAGATCTGTCCGTCTCGGCCTCCCAAAGTGCTGGGATTACAGGTGTGAGCCACCGCACCCAGACATTAGTTTCCCTTTTCTAAGATTTTAGTTTTGCTCTTGAAATGTACTTGGAGAAAATGAATAGACCTGGATTATTTAAAATAAAACCCCAAATACACCAAGTCTTATACCAGAAAACCAGAGAAGAAGGCAAAAGGAGAACCAAAGGCCAAGTCAAAAAGGGATGGGCCGGGTGTGGTGGCTCATGCCTGTAATCCCAGCACTTTGGGAGGCCCAGGGAGGCAGACCACTTGAAGTCAGAAGTTCGAGACCAGCCTGGTCAACATGACAAAACCCTGTCTCTACTAAAAGTACAAAAATTAGCTGGGCATAATGGTGCATGCTTGTAATCCCGGCTACTTGGGAGGCTGAGGCAGGGCAACAGCTTGAACCCTGAAGGAGAGGGTTGCCGTGAGCTGAGATTGTGCCACTGCCCTCCAGCCGGGGTGACAGAGTGAGACTCCATCTCAAAAAAAAACAAAAAAAGGTGATGAATGAGAATGTAAGAAATGTATTTACACATCCAATGAAAAAAATGCTTTGTAAATGGAAGGCAGATGCCTGGTCTCATGGACTTTTGCGATGGAAATCTACTAAGTGCTTTAATAGTATCTTATTTAATGGAAAAAGAGGAGATGCTGATGACTATAAATTATGTGTTGCATTATGGCAGTTATTAAATGATTATATATGTCAAGAAAAATGATGAAATTTAAAACGAACTATAGTGGCTTTGTAACTTGTCCTGGCTGATCTACATTTCTCAAAATTCCTTTCTTGTATGTTTCTAGTTAGAGTAGGCTGCAACGGAGATTCTTAGGAGAGACTTGGAGGGCAGCAGTGAAGCATCGTCCTTCCGTAGCTCACATACATTGTTGCCGATCGTTGGCATGTTGGCATGACTGGGGTGACAACTGCTCCACTTTCTTTGGATCTACCAACTCTATAGTGGTCACACACAGAGGTAGGATGGGCCCACATGACCCAAAATTTGGTTCAAATGCTGAGACTGATGACACTACACATGCATCAAGAGGTTATGAAAAGGTCTTACCCACATAATGAGGTTTTCTGGGGAGAGCAAGAGAGGTTCTCAAGCAGAACCTGTAAAAATGACAGGAGAGAAAGCAAGAAAAAGAGACTGGCTGTGCAGAAGCTCTTTAGTTTAATTAGATTCCATTTGTCAATTTTGGCTTTTGTTGCCATTGCTTTTGGTGTTTTAGACATGAAGTCCTTGCCCATGCCTATGTCCTGAATGGTATTGCCTAGGTTTTCTTCTAGGGTTTTTATGGTTTTTGGTCTAACATTTAAGTCTTTAATCCATCTTGAATTAATTTTTGTATAAGGTGTAAGGAAGGGATCCAGTTTCAGCTTTCTACATATGGCTAGCCAGTTTTCCCAGCACCATTTATTAAATAGGGAATCATTTCCCCATTTCTTGTTTTTGTCAGGTTTGTCAAAGATCAGATGGTTGTAGATATGCGACATTATTTCTGAGGCCTCTGTTCTGTTCCATTGGTCTATATCTCTGTTTTGGTACCAGTACCATGCTGTTTTGGTTACTATCGCCTTGTAGTATAGTTTGAAGTCAGGTAGTGTGATGCCTCCAGCTTTGTTCTTTTGGCTTAGGATTGACTTGGCAATGCAGGCTCTTTTTTGGTTCCATATGAACTTTAAAGTAGTTTTTTCCAATTCTGTGAAGAAAGTCATTGGTAGCTTGATGGGGATGGCAAAATAAACTGCCATCAGAGTGAACAGGCAACCTACAGAATGGGAGAAAATTTTTGCAATCTACTCATCTGACAAAGGGCTAATATCTAGAATCTACAATGAACTCAAACAAATTCACAAGAAAAAAACAAACAACCCCATCAAAAAGTGGGCAAAGGATATGAACAGACACTTCTCAAAAGAAGATATTTATGCAGCCAACAGACACATGAATAAATGCTCATCATCACTGGCCATCAGAGAAATGCAAATCAAAACCACAATGAGATACCATCTCACACCAGTTAGAATGGTAATCATTAAAAAGTCAGGAATCAACAGGTGCTGGAGAGGATGTGGAGAAATAGGAACACTTTTACACTGTTGGTGGGACTGTAAACTAGTTCAACCATTGTGGAAGTCAGTGTGGCGATTCCTCAGGGATCTAGAACTAGAAATACCATTTGACCCAGCCATCCCATTACTGGGTATATACCCAAAGGACTATAAATCTCGCTGCTATAAAGACACATGCACACGTATGTTTATTGCAGCACTATTCACAATAGCAAAGACTTGGAACCAACCCAAATGTCCAACAATGATAGACTGGATTAAAAAAATGTGGCACATATACACCATGGAATACTATGCAGCCATAAAAAATGATGAGTTCATGTCCTTTGTAGGGACATGGATGAAGCTGAAAACCATCATTCTCAGCAAACTATCGCAAGGACAAAAAAAACCAAACACCGTATGTTCTCACTCATATGTGGGAATTGAACAATGAGAACACATGGACACAGGAAGGGGAACATCACACACCGGGGCCTGTTGTGGGGTGGGAGGAGGGGGGAGGGATAGCATTAGGAGATATACCTAATGTAAATGACGAGTTACTGGGTGCAGCACACAAACATGGCACATGTATACATATGTAACTAACCTGCACGTGGTGCACATGTACCCTAAAACTTAAAGTATAATAAAAATAAAAATAAAAAAATAAAAAAATAAAAAGAGACTGGCTTGGGTGGTTAGAGGATAAGGCTAGGGCTGATGTAGCTTGGACTTCCTGCCAGTGCCAGAGGAGGGAACATTCAGGCTTTCTTATCAGCCTGCCCATATGTGGAGCAGAAGAGGAAGGAGGAGTGGTGGGACTTGAATGCTTTCAGCAATGAAACAACATGAAATTGGATTCAGCAATGAAACAACAAAAATGGATTCAATATTTAATACAAGCTTTTTTGATTCATGCACCAAAATAATTTTGTCTGAATTTAACTTCAAGACGAAGGGCCTTGGGTTCTGAAGCGTACCTCCACCACCCAGATCAGAAGCAATAAAAGCACACACGGGTTTCAGTCTATCCTCATGGGCTCCAGCTCACACTTGTGGCTTATAGCTTGATCATGCTCTCCCCTGCTTTACTTACATATTTTCTTCAGGATTGCCTGGGCTGTGAACTTTAAGCGTCAATAACAGGTACAAAGACAGCAACTTCACAGTAACTACTTAACCAGCTCCCATCCCATACAGCCAAATCCCTGCCACAAGTACCTATGTGCGTGTGTGTCTGTGGGTCTCCATGTGTGTATGTGTGGGTACACATACTAGTGGCTTTTCAGATTAAACTCTGATACAGGAACCCCAAACCCTACTTGTTTGGAAGATGGGAATATGGATTAAGAAAGGTTTGGAAACCCATCTCAGACCAGATGATATTCCCATTCAATAGGTTGAATGGTTCCCATTGGACCACCAATTAAGTATTTAATTCATCCAGGTGTTAAAGATCCTTGAGCCTATATCTGTATCCAGAACTGCAGCCAAACTGAACTGCTGGAAGTTCTCTAACTAGACAGACATATTCATATACACAAAATGCAATAATGTGGGAAGAAGGCCCAGGTCACAGTCTCAGTTTTGCCTCCACCTAGATGAAAGACCTTGGCCAATCTTACTCTGCTAGCCTTGATTTCCTTATATGTACAGTGGTATGTGTGGTCATCTTGGATAATTAACCATCTTTATCAATTTCATTTTGAAAAGCATGAGATCACATGTGCAAATGGTGAGGTTTTTCTTTTTTTCAAAGAAAGAGTCTATACACTGAGACTGTCTTAATTACTATTTTTGTTATAAACAAGTTCTCAAGGCCCTCATCATATAGTGTAATTTCTAAATTTTAGATCACAGGGTCTAACTGTGTCAGTCATGATAGCTACACATGCATTAATTTCCTTCCTTTCACTCTCGCTCACTTCCCTTACTTAATATATTAAATGTCACGACAATTTTCTACCATGCCCAATTTGTGCCAAAGTGCAGATTTTTCATACCTGCAGATAGGATTTAAAAGTGCCAGCATTTTAAAGCTTAAGTTCTTATGAAGGCAAATGATGGTAGTCATTTGTGTAAATCTTGTTGAGAATTTTCTTTAACTTTGGTCTCTAAGTCATAAAAATTAATGTCTATAATTTGCTTTATAGTTCCACAGAGAGGGACAGTGAAGGAAAGGGGAAAAATACCTGCTCTATTAGAGAGTGTGACCAGAATTGATCATGTGAGTGAAAATCCAGAATTATAAAATTATTGCTACTCTTATGCAAAGAAAAGGAAATGGAAAGAAAAAAAAGGATTAAACAAATATACCAAGAGAAATTTAAACGCTACAGAAGACAAGTCTGCTAATAAAAAGACAGAGTACTAAATTATTATGACTCTAAACTTAACTAAATGATTGTAGTCATTTTTCAACTCCTGCTTACCAAGTCAAATTAGAAAAATAAACTTGCCCAATAAGAATAATGGAGACAATTCAAAAAAAGTATTGGCAAAGTGCAGGTGGGGAGTAATTCGAGTCAGTGTGAACATAAACATTTGGTCTGAATGATATGCATTGTGACATAATAAGAAAATTAGCAAACATCTATTGAATTGCTTATAATTGTCTTTAAACAAAGCACTCAAGACACGCCATATGATTAGAGGAAAACAGATATGCTATCATTCCACAGAGCAGGTAGGAATGGCTGAGCCAGCTATTATAATTCAGAAATTGTACCTTAGCAATATAATGAAACAAATATAATAAGATGAAAAATCTTTAAACAGTTAGAACACAATGGGATCGTAAGCAAAAGATAAGATGGCCTTATAAAGAAAATATCACTTTAGACTGAAGTCATAGATTTTTGCCAACAAATTAGAAAATCAATGGCTGAAGGAAATGAAGTAGATGTTTCATAATTGCAATGCCTTTGGTGAAGCTTGTAACAAAAATCACATAAAATGTTATTGCTTAAATTGGTTTGAATTGGCTTAAAGATGAATATAGTCACTTGAATGGAAAATTGTTTGCCCTATTGAAGAAATATGCCTAGAAGATATTGACAAGGATGAGTATTTATTTATTTCAATGCACCCAAATTTTCCTTCTTCTTTTCAAGGTCTTGATGCAAATGAGGATAGACTTACAAATACAGGTACTACCCATATGCAAATAGTAAATTCTATATTTATTTTTGGCCAACTAAATGATACAGCATCCATTTAAAGAATAAAAAAGGTAGAAGAAAATGAAGGAATAAGGTAAAATGAAATATATCTAATATAGGCATATAGTACAAAATATTGGTTATTTCTGATAATATCTATGTAAAGAAATGGAAGTATGGTTGTTTGGGGTTTTGTTTAACTTTGGTTGAGTTATCTTCTGTACAAATTTTGGGGTGACTGCATCTCCATGGGAGGTATGCCCTGTAGGCTCAGGCTTGCATGAAAGTTACAGCCTGTTCCTTCTCTAGATGGAATGACAGCATCCTACACATGAACAGAAATGGCTGTCTGCCGAGTGTGGTGGCACATGCCTGTAATTCCAGCTACTTGGAAGGCTGAGGCAGGAGAATCACTTGAACCTGGGAGGCGGAGGTTGCAGTGAGCCGAGATCAGGCCACTGTACTACTCCAGCCTGGGCAACAGAATGAGACTCTGTCTCAAAAAAAAAAAAAAAAAAAAAAGGGGGGGGGGGCTGTCTAATCTGAATACCCAGAACACCAGAACACTGGAACAAGAGTGTGATGAGGAGTTGGATCACTTTTCTGCCAACCTGGTAGTAAAACTGAGGCAACTCCCTCCCTTCCCCCTGCAAAGACCTCAGTACATTTCACCAGGAGCTCCCTCAGCCAATTCCATCAGGGCTACGACATTTTCCCACCATTGGAGTATTGCATATACCCACCTGCTATAGCTGTAGCCAGTTCTTACCCGTGGGCACCTCCTACCAGCATGAAAGCTGAACTGTTCAACCTAGTAGAGAAAAAACACCTGAGGAAAAAAAAGTGGAAACCACTGGGGAACAAGGAAAGCTTCATGAGATCTCTGCCATCCTAGCCTGATATGGTTTGGATTTGTGTTCTCACCCAAATCTCATGTCACATTGTAATCTCCAGTGTTGGAGGAGTGGCCTGGGGTAGGCAATTGGACCATGGGGGTGGATTTCCCCCTTGCTATTCTTGTGATAATGAGTTTTCATCAGATCTTGTTTAAAAGTGTATAGCACCTCCCTTTTCTTTCTCTTCCTCTTGATCCAGCCATGAAAAGTGTACCTGCTTCCCCTCTGCCTTCCGCCATGATTGTAAGTTTCCTGAGGCTTCCCCAGCAATGCTTCCAGTACAGCCTATGGAACTGTGAGCAAATTAAAACTCTTTTTTTAATATAAATTACCCAGTCTTAGGTATTTCTTTATAGCAGTGCAAGAATGGGCTAATACAGAAAATTGGTACCTAGCAGAGGGGCATTGTTATAAAGATACCCAAAAATGTGAAAGTAGATTTGGAACTGGGTAAGAGGCAGTGGTTGGAACAGTTTGGAGGGCTCAGAAGAAGACAAGAAGATGAGGGAAAGTTTGGAACTTCCCAGAGACTTGTTGAATAGTTTTGACCAAAATGCTAATAGTGATATAGACAGAGAAGACCAGGATGATGAGGTCTCAGATGGAGATAAGAAACTTACTGGGAACTGGAGGAAAGGTCACTTTTGTTATGCATTCACAAAGAACCTGGAGGTATTGTGACCCTACTCTAGGGATCTGTGAAACTTTGAACTTGAGAAGGATGATGTAGGGTATCTGGTAGGAGAAATTTCTAAGCAGCAAAGTGTTCAAGATCTAGTCTGGTTGCATTTAAAATCCTATGCTCATATGTGTGAACAAAGAAATGACCTGAAACTGGAACCTAAATTTAAAAGGGAAGCAGAGCATAAAAGTTTGGAAAGTTGCAGCCTGGCCATATGGTAGAAAAGAAAAATTCATTTTCAGGCTGCAGAAATGTGCTTACCTAAAAGGAAGAGAAGTACGAATAGCCAAGACAATGGGATAAAGACCCTGAAGGCATTTCAGAGACCTTTGTGGCAGACCCTCCCATCAAAAGTCCAGAGGCCTAAGGAGGGAAGAATAGTTTTCTGCGCCAGGCCCAGGGCCCTGCTACCCTATGCAGTCTTGGGACACTGCTCTCTGCATCCCAGGTGCTGCAGTTCCATCCATGGCTCAAAGGGGCTCAGGTCCTCAAGCTGCTGCTTCAGAGGGTGCAAGCCTCAAGCCTTGGTGGCTTCCACATAGTGTTAAGCCTGTGGGTGTGCACAGTGCAAGAGTTGAGGCTTGGAAGCCTCTGCCTAGATTTTAAAATTATATGGAAAAGCCTGGATGTCCAGGCAGAAGTCTGCTACAGGGGTAGAGTTCTCATGGAGAACCTCTACTAGGGCAGTACAGAGGGGAAATGCAGGGTTGGAGCTACCACGTAGAGTCCCCACTGGGGCACTGTCTAGTGGAGCTGTGAGAAGAGGGCCACAATCCTCCTGACCCCAGAATGGTAGGTACACCGATAGCTTGCATTGTGCACCTGGAAAAGCTGCAGGCACTCAACACCAGCCCTTGGGAACAGCCATGGGGGCTGTGTTCTGCAAGGCCACAGGGGCAGAGCTGCCTAAAGCCTTGGGAGCCCATCCCTTGCATCAGTGTGACCTGGATGTGAGACATGGAGTCAAATGAGATTATTTTGGAGCTTTAACATTTAATAACTGCCCTGCTGCATTTTGGACTTGCACAGGGTCTGTAGTCTCTTTATTTTAGCTAATTTCTCCCTTTTGGAATGGGAGTATTTTCCCAATGCCTGTACCCCGATTGTATCTTGGAAGTAACTATCTTGTTTTTATTTTATTTTATTTTATTTTATTTTTTATTTTACAGGCTCATAGGTGGAAGGGACTTGTCTCACATGAGACTTTGAACTGAAGACTTCTGAGTTAATGCTGAAATGAGTTAAGACTTGGGGGACTGTTGAGAAGAGATGATTGTATTTTGCAATGTGAGAAGAATATGAGATTTGGGAGGTGGCAGTGGCAAATGATATGGTTTGAATTTGTGCAAACATCCAGGGCTGAAGTTAAGCAATCACATCTTCAAAGCAGGGAAAAACCCACTCCAATCAAAAATAAATTAAAAACTATTAAGAAATAGTCTATCAGGATGAGAAGGAACCAGAAAAATAATTCTGGCAATATGAAAAAACAGAGTTTTACAACACTCCTAGTGGATCATACTAACTCTCCAGCAATGGATCCAAACCAAAATGAAATTCTTAAAATAACAGGTAAAGAAATCAAAATATTGATTACAAAGTTGCTCAATGAGATCCAAGAGAAAATTGAAAAACAACAAAAATAAATTTAAAAAATCAGAATATGAATGAAAAAATTTCTAGAGATAGTAAGAAAAAGAAAAACAAAACTTCTGGAAATTAAAATATTTAAGAGCCTGAAGACAAAGATTTCAAAATAACCAATCAGACAAAAATAAAGAAAAAAGAATTAAAAGAAATGAAAAAAGTATCCAAGAAATATGAGCTTATGCAACATAACCAAACCTAATAATTTATTCATAGGCATTCCTGAGGGAGAAGAAGAAAAAGCAAAAAAAAAAATGGAAAACATATTTGAGGGAATGATTGAGGTCTTGCTAGAGATTTAGACATCCAGATACAAGAAGTTCAAAGAGCTACTGGAAGATTCATTGCAAAAAGAATATTACCAAGGCATATAGTAATTAGGCTATACAGTCAATGTGAAGGAAAGAATTCTAAGAGCAGAGAGACAAAAACATAAAATAACTTATAAAGCAGAACCTATCAGACTAAGACAGCATATTTCTCAGCAGAAACCTTATAAACCAGAATGAATTGGGGTCCTACCTTTAGTTTCCTTAAACGGAATAACTGTCAGCCAAGAATTTTGTATTCCAAAAACTAAGTTTCATAAATGAAGGAGAAATAATGTTTTTCTAAGACAAGCAAAAACTGAGGGTATTTGTCACCACTAGACCGAATGATCCTACAAGAAATGCTCAAAGGAGTTCTAAACATTAAAATGTAAGGTCAATATGCAACAGTATAAAAACAGTCAAAAGTGGAAAACTCCCAGGGCTTATAAAACAATGCAATGGAGAATACAAAGCAACCAGGTAACAATCAACATGGTGACTGGAACAGTATCACACATATCATTACTAACTTTGAATGTAAACCCACTGTCAACATCATATTGATTGTGGAAAAGTTGAAAGCATTTCCTCTCAGAACTGGAACAAGACAAGGTTGCCTATTTTCACCACTTCTATTCAACATAGTACTGAAATTCCTAGCCAGAGCAATCAGGCAAGAGAAAGAAATTAAGGACATCCAAATCAGAAAAGAGGAGGCCAAGCTATCTCTGCTGATAATATTATCTTCTACCTAGAAAACCCTAAAGTCTCCTCCAGAAGACACCTAGATTTGATAAATAAAATCAGTAAAGTCCCAGGTGGCAAAATCAGTGTACACAAATTAGGGGCACTATTACATATCAATAACATCCAAGTTGAGAATCAAATCAAGAACTGTATCTCATGGACAATAGCTGTAAAAATAAAATAAAATAGGAAAACATTTAACCAAGGACGTGAAAGATCTCTACAAGGAGAACCACAAAACTCTGATGAAAGAAATTATAGATAACATAATCAAATGGAAAAACATTCCATTCTCATAGATTACAAGACTCAATATTATGAAAGTGATCATACTGCCCAAATCAATCTACAGATTCAATGCAATTCTTATAAAAATACCAATGTCATTTTTCACAGAATTAGAACAAAAACCAATCCTAAACTTTATATGGAAACAGAAAAGAGCCCAAATAACCAAAGCAATCCTAAGCAAAAAGAACAAATCTGGAGGCATCACATTACCAGATTTCAAATTATAGCACAAGCCTATAGTATCCAAAACAGCATGGTACTGGTATAAAAGTAGACACATAAGACAATGGAACAGAATAGAGAACCCAGAAATAAAACTATCTACCTATGACCAGCTGATCGTCAACAAAGCAGACATAAACATACATGGGAAAAGGACGCCCTACTCAATAAATGGTGCTGAGACAATTGGATAGTCATATGCAGAAGAATGAAACTAGACCCGTATCTCTCACCCTATGCAAAAATTAACTTAAGATGGATTAAAAACATTAGACCTAAAACCATAAAAATGTTAGGAGAAAACCTAGAAAAAACTCTTCTAAATATTGGTCTAAGCAAAGATTTTATGACTAAGACCCCAAAAGCAAATGCAAAAAATAAATAAATAAGTAAATAAAAGGGACTGAATTAAACTGAAAAGCCTGTGCACAATAAAAGACATAATCAACAGTAAATAGACTACCTACAGAATTTGAGAATATATTAACAAACTATACATCTGACAGAAGACTAATATCTCAAATCTACAAGGAACTCAAACAAATCATCAAGAAAGAACAAATAATCCTATAAACAAGGGACAAATACCATCAACATTTTTTAAAGTAAATATATAAATGGCCAGCAAACATATAAAAAAATGGTCAATATAACTAATCACCAGGGAAATGCAAATTAAAACCACAATGAGATGACATCTTACCCCAGACAGAATGGCCATTATTAAAAAGTCAAAAAATAATAGATACTTGCATGAATGCAGTGGAAATGGAATGCTTATACACTGTTGGTGGGAATGTAAATCTATACAACCTCTCTGGAAAAGAGTATGGAGATTTCTCAAAGAACTAAAAGTAAACCTACCATTCAATCCAGCAATCCTACTACTGAATATTCACCCAACAGAAAAGAAGTCGTTGTATAAAGATACCTGCACTTGTGTGTTTATCTCAGCACAAGTCACAACTGCAGAGATATACGATCAGCCTAAGTGCACATCAGCCAATGACAGGATAAAGAAAATGTGATATAAACATACCATGAAATATTGCTCAACCATAAAAAAGAAAAATAATGTCTTTTGCAGCCACTTGGATGAAACTGGAAGCCATTATCTTTGAAGTTACTCAGGAATGGAAAACCAAATACTATATGTTCTCACTTATAAGCGGGAGCTAAGCTGTGGGCACACAGAAGCATGCAGAGTGGTATAATGGATATTGGAGTCTCAGAAGTGGGGAGGGTGGAAAAAGGGCGAGGGATAAAAAATTACCTGTTGGGTACAATGTATACTATTTGGGTGATGCGTACACTAAAAGCTCAGACTTTACCACTATGCAATTCATTCATGTAACCAAAAAGCACTTGTACTCCTAAATATATTAAAATACAAATAAAATTAAAAGCCAGAGTCTAAGAATTTAACCCTTGAATTATCCCCTCTTTTATTCTATACCCTTCCCTCCCTCCCACGTAAAAATTATCATTTTCAGTGGAAAAAGTTGTCAGAAAGCTTCCAAAAAGATACTTTGTGTCACAATTAAGGTAAGCACTCTGCTCACACAAATCAAATGAAAATGAGCCTAGAGGTTATTGATCCTCTCTCACCTACCAGGTGAGGAACATACTTTATCTGGCAATATCCCAGGGTCTGAACTGGGGGCAACTTTTGTTCACAGAGCCACATAAAAGCAATGAGCAAACAGCAGGATTTGATAAGATGGCTAAAAACTAGGTCACCTAATCTGACACAGAGGGTGGGAGAGACCAGGGACTTGGATAAGCAAAGTAGCTGAGAGGGAGGCTTGAACTGTGTCAAGGAAACCAGGAGACCATCTGGGATTTAGGAGAGACAATCAGGGGAAAGGAAGTCTTAGGCAAAGGGAACCTCACATGCAAAGACACAGAAGCAGAGTGCACACCAAGATTCAGAGCAGCTGAGTGTGTCTTATCTTAGTGTTAGATTGACCATACACCCAATGCTTGCTATGCAACCACAGCTTAAAGCATTATCAGTGCTCTGTTGTGCATAGGACAAAAGGGGGAAATTCCTATTGTGGCCTACAAGACCTGCCTGGCCGTCTTGCCCACATCTTAACTCTCCAGTTTCATCTCGCTGCATCCTGTTGGGAGACAATTATCCGTGTATATCTCACATTGCCGCACTTCTTAGAAAAAGATGCAATAACTGCCATTTTGTTCCAGATTATCTTTTCAAGAGTACAGGGAGTTGTCCTGGAAGTTAGAGACAGTGTTTGCCTCTGGAGCAGAAGGCAGGTTTGATTACGGTCCAGTGTAATAAAGACGGTATTTCCCTCCAGTAAGTCAGGAAGGCTTACTATCCATTTTAAAAGATTGAAGTTCAGAAAGCTCAGGACTCCTTAAGGGTGACACAAACTCACTGCATGTGTAGCTCCACTGGCACCCCTTCATTTTACCTCTGTGGGACTTTGAGTGGGAGTGGAGGGGTGGTTGATGCAAACATGCAGCTCCTGCTACTTGCTGTGCCATGAGTAATAGTCTTTTTCTCTGACCCTGGAGTCTCATGTTGTCTGCCAGCCACTATAAAATGGTAACAGGCTAGCCTGTTTGTTTGAAAATAGGATAAAATCTCACACCCTTCACAATTTGTTTTTGTTTTTGTTTTTGTTTTTGTTTTTGTTTTGAGACAGAGTCTCTCTTTGTCGCCCAGGCTGGAGTGCAGTGGCGCGATCTCGGCTCACTGCAATCTCCGCCCCCGGGATTCACACCATTCTCCTGCCTCAGCCTCCCGAGTAGCTGGGACTACTGGTGCCCGCCACCGTGCCCGGCTAATTTTTTGTGTTTTTAGTAGAGGTGGGATT
This sequence comes from Homo sapiens, assembly GCF_000001405.40. Taxonomy (NCBI): domain Eukaryota; kingdom Metazoa; phylum Chordata; class Mammalia; order Primates; family Hominidae; genus Homo; species Homo sapiens. Next base: position 118,689,198 of record NC_000008.11, on the reverse strand, counting down.
TCACCGTGTTAGCCAGGTTGGTCTCAATCTCCTGACCCTGTGATCCTCCCACCTTGGCCACTTTCTGAATTCTGGTTACTCTGGCTTTGTTTCCATTTTTTGAAAGTATCATGTTCCTGGCCACACATCCCTTCTTTATAGAGTGTTCCTTTGCCCTCCTTGTCAAGTTAGTACTTATTCATCCTGAAGATCTCAAGTATCACTTCCTTAGAAAGCCTTCCAGAGCCTTTTCCCCGTAAGCATAAGGCACCCACCCACCTCTCACAGTGTACCTTTAGCTTATAACATCAATCACAGTGCAATAGGATGATAAATAGAAATTTCCTCACGTTTTCAATTTTCAAATGAGGACCTGAAGTTTAACACAATAGATGATGAATGTCCTATATATTGTAAAGCAAAGTGCTGGGCATATAACCTAAGGACTTGCTTAGAATAATCAAAATTGGCTCATCCAACTCCTGCCTATATAAATAAAGCCATGGTCTTCATCTAAAAGAAGACAAATATTTATTTGACAGGAATTTGCTGATGAGCTGTAGAGAATGCGGGATGTTTTTCATGTTCTGTCCTTTTCTTTGCTCTCTGTCTCTGGCCAGGTGAAAGGTCCCCAAGAAAAACTTTCACAGAAATTGGGATTGTTTAAATAGAGGAAATCACCAGCCAGCTCCCTCGTTAGTTGCTTACTTGGCAGTAGAAAGTAGAACTTGCCCCATGCTGCTGCTTAATGGAGCCCATGTGTTCTTGCATAAGCCTTACATGTGTTTTCTGAAGTCAAAGAAAGAAAGTCAAAGATCTGAGCCTGATTCTTCTGGAAAAGCCTGAATGAGAAGTTAGCTGAAGCTTTCCCCAGAACAAAATGATAAGAGAAGATAGCAACAGGAGAGGCTTGAATGCCTAACATTTGGAAGGACAAGGATGCGTAATATCGTTTCAAGGGTGAAGTGGACGTGGTTGAAGTTGGGCAGGCAAGAATGTTATTAAAATAACTTGCTCCACAGGGCTACCTACTGAACCATGGGGTTACAAGAGGAAGTCTACCAGGAAGAAGATGTTATAGAGCAGTCTACAGAGAGGGAAGGAATTAAAAGAAGCATGCTGCCAAGGACAAGATAGAGGAGAGGAGAGAGGGGAGCAAGGAGAATGAAAGAGCACATCCCTTCCCCACTGCTGGTCTGGGGAGTCACAGGTCTGGTCCAAGCTGGATAAAGAGAAAAAAACTCTTAACTGAAGAGGGTAAAGTTTTTATTGAGATTAGTATAGACTTCTTAATACCTGAAAACAGACTTTTAAAAATGCCTAGACGTTATACAAAAAGTTTTGAGCAATAAGGAAAAAAAATATAAGGCAAGATCAAATAGATAAGAAAGGAAGAAATAAAGCATCCCTATTTGCATATGACATGACTGTCTGTGCAGAAAATTTTGAGAAATCTACAAAAAGTCTCTTAGAACTAGGTGAGTTTAGCAAAGTTGCAAGAGACAAGATTATACAGAGATCATTTGTATTTCAATATAGTAACAATGAAAATGTGGAAAAACTTAAAAACCATAAGATTTACAAATGCTCTAATGAAAATTAAATTCTTAGGGATATACTTAACAAAAGATGTGCAGAATCTGAAAGCTAAAATGTATTTAATACAAAATTCTGATTAAATAAATCAATAATCTAAATAAATGAGGAGACATACTGTGTTTATGGATTGGAAGACTCAACATAGTAAAGATATCATTTCTCCCCATATTGATCTATAAGTTTAGTATAATGCCTATCAAAATCTCAGCAGGTTTTTTAGACAATATCTATGTAGACATATATCTATATCTATGTAGACATATGCAATTTTATTCTAAACTTTACATGGCAAGGCATATGTCATAGAACAGCTAAAACAATCTTGACAAAGAAGAATAAAGTTGGAGGAATTGCCCTACCTGATAAGACTTATTATAAGCTACAGTAATCCAGACAGTGTGGCACCAGCAGACAGAAAGACTCATTGAACAATGAAATAGAACAGGGATTTCAGAAATAGACTACATAAATATGCTTAGCTGATTTTTGACAAAGATGCAAAAGAAATACAATAGAGGAAAGATAATCCTTTCTCAATAAATGGTGTTGGAGTAATTGGACGTTCATAAAAACAGACTTCAACCTAACCCTCACATCTTATACAAAAATAAGCTCAAAATGGATCATTGACTTAAAAACTTTTTAGGAGGACATTGCGGATACAAAACCTTCTAGCGCTGGGAAAGAATTCTTAGATTGGACAACAAAAGCACACACACACACACACACACACACACACACACACACACACACACACAAAACAGCTGGGTACAGTGGCTCGCTTGCTCACACCTATAATCCCAGCACTTTGAGAGGTAAAGGCAGGAGAATTGCTTGAGGCCAGGAGTTTGAGAATAGCCTGAGAAACAGTGAGACTCTGTCTCTACAAAAAATTTTAAAAACAAAAAAAATTAGCTGGTGGAATGCAACTGTAATCCATGCGCCTCGGGAGGCTGAGGTGGAAGGATCACGTGAGACCAGGAGTTTGAAGTTGCAGTAAGCTATGATCATGCCACTACACTACAGTGTGAGCAACAGAGTGATATTCTATCTCTGATGATGATGATGATGATGATGATGATGATGATGATGAAAAAGAAGAAGGAGGAGGAGGTAGAGGAGGAGAATAATAATTATTTATGAATTGGACCTCATCAAAATCTAAAAATATTGGAACTCACCAAAATTGAAAAAGTTTTCCTCTGAGAAAGCCCACATGAAGAGGCTGAAAAGAAAAGCTACAGACTGGGAGAAAATGTTTGCAAACCACATATTCAACAAAGGACTGGTATCTAGAACATACAAACTCTCAAAACTTAACAGTTACAAACCAAACTATCTAATTAGAAAATCAGCAAATTACCTAAATACGTATATCAAGGACGAAGATATAGATGGAAAAATAAGCATATGAAAGACATTCAACATTATTAGACACCAGAAAAAATGCAAATCAATATCACAAAGAGATATCACTGCATACTTATCTGTTAGCTAAAATTAAAAATAGTGACAGCACTAATTGCTAACAAGAATGAGAAGAAACAAAATTACTTATCCTTTGCTGGTAAGAATGTAAAATGGTACAGCTACTCTAGATACTATTGCAGTTTCTTAAAAAACTAAATATGCATTTACCATACCAGTCGGCAACTGCACTCTTAGATATTTACCCAGATAAATAAAAATTGTGTTCACACAAAACTAGTACACAAATGTTTATTACACTTTAACTTGTAATGGGAAAAAAAACTAGAAATGGTCTTGATGTCTTCCATAGGTGAATGGTGAAGCAATCTGTGGTATATCTGAACTATGAATGTTACTCAGTGTAATGCCTACATAACATCGCTGAATTTCTACCCTGCCCTAACTCTGCTTATCTTTAAGAAAAATTGGAAAAATGTTCCATTTGTAACCAGACCAGCTAAGACTGGTTAAAATCAAGATACCCAGATAGCTGACCAACAACTTCAAAAAGACTATAGGCTTCATTATTACCTCATTTCCATTCTAAATGACACTCCAGCAATGCCATAACAGTTGATAACTGCCATGACAACAATCCTAAAAGAAGCAATAAAAGGGCAAAAAGGAAGGTGACACTCTGGTTCCAGAGAAGTTCACTGCTCATTTTCAGAAAATACTGAATATTCCTACCCTGACTTTTAACGTCCAATCCCTTCATTAGAGAAATCCTGTATTTTATCCCTGTCTCCCCTCACTAGTCCGGAAGGTGATTTTTGAGCCACACTCCTGTTTCTCCACTCCCTTGGCCATGGAATAAAGCTTGCTCTCTACGTGATCCTCACTTTCAGTTTCATGTATTGGCTCTAGGACACTGAACAGGAAAGAGCCCATCTTCTGGGGCTACCGAGTTTAGAGGTAGCATGAATACTACTCAGCAATAAAAAGGAACAATCTATTGAAAAGAATCAACTTGGATAAATTTCCTTAGAATTATGCTGAGTGAAAAAGCCAATCCCAAAAGATTACATATTGTATTATTCCATTTATATAATATTTTCGAAATGACAAAATTTCTAGAAATGAAGAACAGGTGAGTGGTTTCAAGGGGTTAGGGATGGAGGTGAGAAACAGGGAGGGAGGTATATGTTGTTATAAATGAGTGACACAAAAAAAATTCTTGTGATGATTAAACTGTTCAGTATCTTGACTATGGTGGTATATACATGAACCTATACATATGATAAAATTACGTGGAACTAAATACACGAATATGTACACATGGACACACAAATGAACATAAGTAAAACTGGAGAAATATGAATAGAATTAGTGGATTTTATCAATGTCAATATCCTAGTTGTGATAATGCTTTGTAGTTTTGTCAAATGTTCCCATTGGGGTAAAATGGGTAAGGAGTACATGGGCTCTCTCTGTATTTTTTCTTTAAACTATACATAATTCTAATATTATCTCAATAAAAATTTCAATTAAAGACACATGGGACATGCCAAAGATTCCTTATTTGGGTAAGAAAGGCAATTTACCAAAGTGGGTTTAAAGGCAAAAATGAAAAAGATTGATCACTTCCAGTTTATACCACCTCAAGTTTAACCAGTAGCATACACTCTTGCAACATTACATAATTTCACACTTAGTTTTATGTGTTTTGGTGGATATTTGTTGCCTTATTGTACTGTAAGCCTCTTCATAGCTGGATCATATCTTGATTGCTCATTATTTTAGCTCTAGATCCTGACAGTTATTAAGTAATCAAATAGTATTCCATAAATTAACAAAGGAAGTTTTAAAAAATGTTAAAGAAACAGAATTTAACAATCATTAATACAATATATTAAGCAGCAATAATGCCAAAAGAAAAAAGTGCCAGGACAACAGTGAAGTAAGTGCTTCCAGGTGTCAGGCTGGTGAAGGTTCATGTTCTTCCTCTGGCTCATGTCTCATAGGTGAACAGGCAAGTTATGTGATTTTCTACGCTTCAAATTCCTCAACTGCAACATGAAGGTGCTAATAGCATCCATCCTAGAGGGTTGCTATGAGAACTGAAATTTTATAGGTAAAGCATAATAGTTGGAACATAGTAGTTGCTCAATAAATGCTGTTTCCTCTACTAAAATTATTGTTACCACTGCCAAAACTCATGTCACAAAACGAATTGCGCCAGTTGAGGAACAACAATGGTTACAAAAAGACACTGGCCAGAGGGCCAAATAGAGAAAATAATGAAAGACACTTTTTACATGTTTTTCAATAGTAATAGTGTTCTGTAAGTGCATTTTTCTAAAGAGAGATAAAATTAATAAGCGTTAATAAAATCACTTTAAAAAATCTCATATTTACAAGATATACTACATTCTAGGCATAAAATATGCCTTAACAAATTTTTTAAAAATAAAAATTACACAAGATATGTAAGAACATCCCCCAATAGAATTAAACTAGAAATCAATAATAGAAAGCTGAAAAATCACCCAAATATCTGGGTGTTAAACAACACAATTCCAAATGACCCAAGGGCTAAAGAATAAGTAAAAAGAGAAATATAAAAATATTTGAAACTAAAAGAAAATGAAAACACAACTCATCAAAAACTGGGATTCAGTGAAAGCAGAGCCTAAAGGGAAATTTATAACATCCAATGCATATATTAGAATGAAATAAAGATCTAAAATTAATAGTCTAAGCTTCCAGCCTAGAAAACTAGAGAAGGAAGAATATAAGCCCAAAGCAAACAGAAAAGAAATAATAAAAAGTAGGATCAATGAAACTGAAAACGGGAAAACAGTAGAGAACATCAGTAAAACCTAAAGGTAGTTCTATGAGATCAATATAATGAATAAGCTTCTAGCCTTAATCAGAAAAAAGGAGGAAAGATACAAATTTATCAATATTAGAGATGAAAGAAAGACATCACTACTGATACCATGGATATTAAAAGGAAAATAAAGAAATAATATGATCAACTTTATGTTCACAAATTTGATAACTTAGATGAAATGTAACTATTCCTTGAAAAATACAAACTATTAAAACTCACACAAATTAAACAGACAATCTGAACAGGCCTCTATGTATTAAATAAATTGAATCAATCATCAATAACCTTCCAAAACAGAAAAAAAAAGGAAAACACCAAGCCCAGATGTTTTCGCTTATGAATTCTATCAAACATTTAATCAATATGTGATACCAGTTCTCCACAATATCTTTCAGAACATCGACATGGATAGAACACTTCCCAACTTATTCTATGAGGTGGGTAGCACTACTGCAATACAAAACCAGCTAAAAGCTTTACAAGAAAGGAAATCTGAAAACCAATATCTCTCATGAATAGATACAAAAATCCTCAACAGAATATCAGCAAAGAAAATCTAGTGATATACAAAAAGAAGTACACCACAACCAAGTGTAAATATGCAAGGCTGGTTCAACATTCAAAAATCAATTGCTGTAATCTGCCACAATGGACAAAAATAGAAAAATAATATGATATATCAATATATGAGACAAATAATTTGGTGAAGCCCAACACCCATTCATGATAAGATCCCTCAGCAAGCTAAGAATAAGAGAAACTTTCTTATCTTGATTTAAAAAAAAATTATTAAAAACCTATAGCTAATATCATACTTAATGGTGAGTATTTTCCCCCTAAGAAGGGGAACAAAGCAATGATATCCTCTCTTCCCTATCCTACTATATGTAACACTGGAAGTCCTAGCTAGTGCAATAAGACAAGAAAAGAAGACAAATAGTATACAGATTTTAAAGGAGGAAATAAACCTGCCCTTATTCTCAGATGACGTGATTGTCTGTGTAGAGAAATCCAAAGAATACACAAAAGGACTCCTCAGACTAATAAGCAAGTTTAGCAAGGTCACAAGAAACAGGATTAATACACAAAAGCTAATTGCTTCCCTATGTATCAGCAGTGACCAATTGGAATTGGAACTTTTAAAAAGTACACATTATTTACAATGGCACCAAAAAAATGAAATACAGCTGTGTCCATTGGTGTATGCAGAGGGATTGGTTCCAGGATCACCATGGATACCAAAATCCATGCATACTCAAGTCTTGCCATTTTCCCTGTGGAACCTGGTAATGCAAAAATTCAGCCCTTTACATACACAAGTTTCATTCCTCATGAATACTGATCTGCGTCTGGTTGGGAAAACTGAATATAAGTGGACCTGTGCAGTTCAAACTCGTGTTGTTCAAGAGTGAACTGTACGTAGGTTTAAATTTAACACATGCACAGGGTCTATATGTGGAAAATTATAATTTTTTTTTGTTTTTTGAAAGAATATAAATCTGCTATACTCTTTCATTCTTCGGTACTCACCAATTTAGTTTCTCTGCTTCCTTTCTCTTTGTTCACACTTCCAAGTGTCATCCTCTCTATGAAACACTTGCATGAAATTTCAGGCCATTCTGTAGAATTGACCACTCCTGCTTTTGTGCCCCATTGAACCCAGTGTATGTTTCTATCATGGCATATAAATCACTGAATGCATTTTGTTGTTTAAATATATTTATCATTTTACTAGTCAATAAATTATTTTTAAAAATGTATTTTTTATCTTAAGATAGATCATTTTCTTTTTATTTTTAAATTGACAAATAAAAATTATGTATATTTTGGTGTACAACATAACATTTTGAAATATGTATATATTGTGAAATGCCTGAATCAAGCTAATTAACATATTACCTCACATATTTATCATTTTTATGGTGAGAACACTTAAAATCTACTCTCTTTGCAATTTTCAAGTATATAATACATTGTTATCCATAGTCACCATGTTGTACTATAGATCTCTTGAAATTATTCCTCCTGTCTAACTGACATATTGTACTCCTTGACCAACATCTTTGCAACTACACTGGTTCCCCACACCAGCCCCAGATAACCACCATTCTAGTCTATGCTTCCATTAATTTGACTTTTTGGGATTCTACATATAAGTGAGATCATGCAGTATTTGTCTTTCTGTGCCTGGCTCATTTCACTTAATGTAATGTTCTTTAGGTGAATCCATGTTGTCACAAATGACAGGATTTTATTCTCTTTTAAGGTTGAATAGTATTCCATAGTGGATATATGCAACATTTTCTTTATGTATCCTTTGTTGATGAACACCTAAGTTGATTTCATATCTCTGCTATTAGAAATAGTGCTGCAATTAATACAGGAGTGAAGACATCTCTTTGATACACTGATTTCATTTCCTTTGGCTATATACATACTCAGTAGTGAGACTGATGGATCATGTAGTAGCACTTTTTAACTTGAGAAAATTCCATACTATTTCCCATAATGGTTATAATAATTTACATTTTCATTTTCACTAACAGTGCACAAGAGTTCTCTTTTCCACACATCCTCTCTTTTCTCCACGAGTGTTATAATTTTACTTGTAAACAGAATTATACGGAATTTTTAAATACTGATTAAAGAAAATCTAAATAAATATTTTCCATGTTCATAGAGTGGAAAACTTAATATTGTTTAGATGATAATACCTCATAAATCAATCTATAGATTTCATGAAAACCCTAATAAAATCCAAGCAACTTATTTTACAGGTGTTAACAAAATGATTTAAAGTTTATATGGAAATGTGAAAGACTTAGAATAGCCAACACAATATTGAAGAACAACAGTGAAGGATGCACCCTTGCTGATTTCAAGTCTTACCATAAAACTACAGTAATCAAGACAATGAGGTATTGACTAAACAATAGACATAAGTTACTGGAACGAAACAGCTCAGAAAGAGACTCACACAAATATAGTCAACTGCTATTTGTAAAAGGAGCAAAGGCAATGCAGTGGAGAAAAGGATCATCTGTCCAACAAATGGTGCTGGAGAAATTGGATGGCCATAGGCCAAAAAAAAAAAAAAAAGAGAGAAACATAACATAAAACACCTAGACACCAATTCAAAATGGATTTACATGTTACATGTAAAATGCAAAACCATAAAATTCCTAGAAAAGAGAAAAGCAGAAAATCTATATGAACTTGTGTTTGGTGGTGAGTTTTTAGATGCAATACCCAAAGCATAATCCATTAAAAATTTGATAAGTTGTACTTTATTAAACATAAAAGCATGTGCTCTCTGGAAGACACAGTTAAGAGAATGAATAGGCAAGCTGCAGATTGGAAGGAAATATTTGTAAAATACGTATCTGACAAGGAACTTATATCCAAAATATACAAAGAAATCTTAAAATTCAACAATAAGGAAACAACCCAATTTTTTAAAATGGGCAAGAGCAGATATCTCACCAATGAAGATATACAGAAGACAGGTAACCCTGTGAAAAGGTTCTTAACATCATTTTGTTAGGGAATTTCAAATTAAAACATTTGTAACTTTATAATGGAGGAAACTGACAAACACTACCTGAGCCACGTAATCAAGGTCAATATCAGTAACAATGTCAGATTGATAGCATGTACTCTAACCCAAGTCCAATCATGAGAAAACATCAGATAAATCCCAAATGAAGACATTCTACCAAATACCTGACCAGTACTTCTCAAAACTGTCAAGGCCATCAAAATCAAGGAGTCCAAAAATTTGTCAGCCAAGAGGAACCTGAAGAGTCATGTCAACTAAATGTAGTGCTGAACCCTGAACAGATCTTGGAATAGAAAAAAGAACATTCGGTAAAAGCTAAGGAAATCTAAATAAAGTATGGACTTCAGTAAACAATAATATGTTGATATTATTAGTTGCAGCAAATGTACCATACTAATGTTAGATGCTAATAATAGAGGACCTGGGTGTGGGATACATGGGAATTCTCTGTACCTTCTTCGCAATTTTCCTGTAAATTTAAAACTGTTCTTTAAAAAGTTTTTCTCGAAGGCTTGTTGAATGGATATGGAGTTTTTGTTTTGTAAGATGAAGAGTTTTAGAATCCTGTTTTACAACAATGTGGATATGGTTACTGATTTACACACTGAAAAATAGTTGAGATGGTGAATTTTCTGTTGTTTTCCTCCACAATTAAAAATAAAATATTTTTAAAAGTCTCCTTTTTACTTTTAGCAACTTGAGTTTCTCAGTCTCTTCAATTAACTTAACATTAAATACTAATTATTATTCTAACATACTAATTGTTAGTATACCTTATGGCATCAATAAAATGCTTTATGTATGTATGTAGGCACTGTGCTAAGTGTTTCACAAAAACTTGATGGAATCTTTACAACAACTCCATTAGGTGAGTACTATTATTATGTTTCCCATGTTACAAGAGGTAACTATGAAGCTCATAGAATTGAAGTCAATTGCTGTGGTCACATTGCTAGTAAGTGGTTCTAATTCCCAGAGCAATCTGCCTCCAACACTCCATATTCGCAACTACTTTGTTATATTAGCAAATTTCCCTTGCAACAGGAAGGTATCCGAACCCCAAGGTATTAAGACAAAAAAAAAATCCAACAACAAATACTTTTAAAAAAACACAAGAGCGAACAAATAAATAAATGCTAAGCTAGCAGAGCAGCCAGTCACTTAAGTAAAGTGGCTTTCCATTTCTATGCATTTCCCATAGCAGCTTTGTGCCATTGATGGCTAGTCTCCAATTCGAATCCCATTACCATCAATAGTGGCTGTTGTGATGTAATCTATGCTCCCTATCACTCACTAATATTCATTTATGAAAACTGGGAGGAAAAAATATGCCATACCTCACAGACCCAAAAACTAAATGTTGCACATTTCGACAAAAGTTGCATTTGTAGGAAAATTAAACTCGAAAACTCCATCATAAATGTCAATTCTTTTAGAGGGAGGAAGAATCTTTGAATAAAGAAGGGAAGTAATGTTGCTAAGAAACAGGTTAATCTTGCATTTTGTTAAAATAAAATAAAATAAATTAAATAAAAAGACCTGCATGTTACCCATCTGTTTACGAAGCCCCTTGCACATGTCAGGCATGGGCTGTGACTGATGGAAAAGCAATCTCTCTGTTTGTGAAATCTCACATTTCTCTCCTGGAATTTAAAAGAGGCAGAAAGCTCATATGAGGCTAAACTGGATAGTTCCTTGGAAATTAAAGTTGGAAAACTTTGAGGAAAAATATTCCAAGCTCCATCTGATCTAAAAATCAGCACCAATGCTTACCTTTAATGTGGAAAATCATAAGTAGCCAGAATAGATCCCTGTTCAGGATGGAGCAGGCCACGTGAATGGAATGTGGAAAATACATAAATAACTTTGAACTGAAAATGTGAATACATTTTATAACTTTGAAAGTGCTATGAAATGTTAAACCAGGGTTCAAACTCTATGATTTTTTCCCCTCCATCAGCTTTCACTAATTTCAGTTTCAAAGACTCTTACATAAAAGGAAGGCATAGTCTCTATTATTACTGTTCCAGTTTTATAGATATTAGCTTTAACTTATTGATTATGTTGAGTCTTCTCCATCCTTACTAGCATTTTATCCTTTGGCTTTCCTAGAACTGAGAGAAGTGTGTTAAAATCTCCTACTATTAGTGTGTCTCTATTTGTCATACCTAGCAGTTTCTGCTTTTTGAAAGTCGTTTCTGTGTTACTGGAAGAAAAGATAACTTTTGAATCTTCTTTGTGAATTTCTGCCTGTAGTATTATAAAATATCCTTCTTTATCTATTTTAATATTTTTGGCCTTAATTTATACTCCTCTATAAGAAGACCCCTGATTTTTTTAAAATTTGCAATTGCCTATTCTTTTATTTTTAACCTTCAAAATCACTTAATTTTAGGTATGTCCCTTTTAAATATCATAGAGCAAGGATTTTCTTCTTTGGGCACTCTGAAAATCTTTTCTTTTTTCATTATAATAAGTAAGGTGAGCCTATTTGCATTTGCTGATATGATCTATGTGTTTGGTCTCTGTTCTGTCATAATGCTTTATGATATTTTTTATTGAATATAGAAAGTTGTTCACTATGTGGTCCTTGTTCTTGCCTCCTTCTTTTTTAAGATGCATACTAAAGTATTTGATAGTAAACTGATATTTTACCATTTTACTATAATTTACTTTAAAATATTTCAGCCGTAAAAAGTGGTGTTTGCAGGGGGACACATAAAATAAATACAGTAAAATATTGGTGGTTATTCAAGATGGGTATTGGGGTTCATTGTAGTTCCTTCTTTTATGTATGCTTGGAAAAATTTGTTTTTAAAAGTGCTTTGCTTTTTAAACAGTTACAAAAAAGAATTTCATCTGTTTGGTCTATTATACAAAGTTTGAATTTTTTAAATTTGCTTTCACAATAAGCCAAGTTATATCTTCATGAACACAGACCTGAAATAATAAACACTTAAAAGCTTCATAAAAAGAAGTGTTAGTCTCTAAATCAAATAAAGACTCTCTTATTGCCTCAAGCTCTGCACTAAATTATACATACTGTAAATGAGCACAGCTTCTTTTAAACTTATAAGAAACAATTTTGTCTTTGTGAGAGTTTTATAACTACATCCACAGCCTATAAAAAGCCTGTCTTGATGTGGTTCCCATGGTGACAGGACATAATATATGTGTCCATTAAATTTGGAAATGTAATGAAGTGTAATAAAAATCTACTTCAGAAAAATACACTTCTCAGTATATTTTTATTAATTAAAATATTACATTGAGCATTTTTCATGTCTGAATGCCTGACAGCAAATAAAAGCTTTGCCACAGATTAACTGTGACTCTTGAGTTCCATCCAATATTAACTGGTACAAAATGGGAAAGGCATTTTTGCACAGAAAATATTTTGACTGGTGGCCCAGAGTGATTAATGGGTAAACAGTAACGCTTCCTGAATTGTGCATATACCATTTCAAATGCCACCAGCAAGACCGATTTTGACATTTGTGTCCACAGGGACAGAACAGATGAGAAATTAGATGTCTTCAATTCTTGTGGAAGAAGAGAAGTTCCTTATTGGTGATTCCCTATCCCAGCCCTGCTGAGAATGTGAGACCATTTTGCCTGTTGGGAAGGCATAGTATCATAAAAGCAGTTTAAGAAAATATCGTATAAGCTCAGCTATCAACAAAAGCAAAAACCAGCTGAGTACATCATTGGAAACACATCAGTAGCAAAAAACGAAAAAAGTGAGGGATGGAGAGAAAACCAAGGAGTAATGAGCTACATCACTCTCACATTCCACTTTGAACGGTTAAAATTCTAAGCAGAATAAGAGGAGAGGAGAGCATCTTATTTTCAGAATGGTTACCTAGTTAACTTCAAATGAGGAACAGAAAATTCTCAAGTATATTCAAATATATTCTCTGTGCCTGTCCTTCCAAATTAAGAATATCTGAATAAGTTTGATATATTTGAAATCACATGAAAAATGTCACTGGGGAAAGAATGCATAGTTTCTTACCCACTCCAAAAATCAGGATGAGCTTGAATTTCCTCTCATATATTAAGTTAATCTGAGAGATATTTATCTTTTGAATGATTGTGCCATACTGCAAAGCAATAACTGTAAGAGTCTTCACTGTCCTGTTTGTTGTTCCATGAAGAACCTGACCAATTAAACTACATTGAGCAACTACACAACTAAAGAACAATGTGCTAAACTTACAGGATTATAAGCCCTCCCAAAGATAATTTTTAATACTCTTACAGTATTCCTATTACTTAACCATACCTCAAGACCCTCATCACATTTTTGGAATATGGAAAATATCTGAAAATCACTGCTCTCACTGACATAGTGCCATGCTCAAAAATGAAAAGATATGCTTTATACATTATATTACTACTTAATAGTACAGATTTGCCTTGCTGTTGCAGTGAAAAAGTAGTCAACGGCAATTCACAAATATTTGGAAGTTCCCCAAAGCAAACTTTTCTTCCTTACTGGCTCAGAAGGCTTTTTGAAAATAGAGAACTCTAGGAGTGCACATATTTCGAGGCAAAAATAGAAAGCAAAAGAAGTGAGGAAACCAAAAGCCTTCCAAATCTGGAGGCTCCTGAGGTGTTGAGCTCAGATCTTGCCAGCAGCTCCTTCTCATTTGGTGAGGTGGGGATTTATAAGCACACTCCTTCTACCCAAGTGGAGTGTTTCTGTACCAAAATACATAAGAGGACTCTTTAAGATTTAGCACTCTAGTCAGGGTTCCTTGATTTTTAACACATACACTCCAGCATCTGTCCATCCCAGGGTTTCTCAGGTACACTGCTAGCTCCTGATCCTTCATTTCACATTGAAGCACTCATCAGACTATCTCTAATGATCTCCTCTTCCATGCCACTGGCCCACCCACTGGACTGTGAGCCCCTTGATGGAAGGAAATGAATCTTGCTATTTTCAGCATTTCACCCTTAGTGACTACTTAGCACAGAAATGTTGATTTATGTGGATGGAAAAAGTCTTGATCTATTTGTAAACTACTATATACATATGAACACTGATTCTGTCAAATACATAATGGCACCCTTCATTCTTTGCAACTCAAGATCACATTATCTGGATAGTAGACACACAAGGTTGTATTTCTTTGTTCTCTGCCCTTTTTTGACTAAAATATTACTGAATTGTTAAAGTGTGAATACAGAAAAAGAATATGTATATATAGTGTATGTGTGTGTGTATATGTGTGTGTGTGTGTGTGTGTATATATATATATACTGAGTCACTGCCTCTGCCTAATTTTACCCATTTATTTATTTATTCATTGTATTTTTTTAACATCTATGAAGTGTTACGCTTTATCTGAGACACTGGGCAAGGAGTAGTGAACAAACTAGAAATGTTCTTTTCTCTCAAGAAGCTTACATTCTGCTGTGCTTGAGAAAAGACAATAAACCAGTAGACAAATAAAGGTACCAGGTAATTTCAGGTTGTAAAACATGCAGATAAACAAGGCAAACCATATGATATAATAAAGTGAGTAGAAGGGAGAAGCTGCATTAATAAGTGGCAAGAAAGGCCTCTTTGAGGGGTGGCTTTGATCACAGCAAATTTAGAAGAGTGAAGGAGAGAAGAGGGGTAGCCGATGAGACAGAGTGGGTTGGGGTAAGATCATGGAGGGCTATATAGGTTGCCACAGGAGTTCAGATTTTACTCCAGCGCCACAAGAAGACATTGGACTATTATAAGCAGGCAAGTGGCAAGGCCTTATTCTTAGGAAACACTACTCTGGCTATTGGGTAGACAATGGAATGTGGCCTGCCACAGGTCAAGTGGGGGATCCTACAGGAAGACTGAGCCACATTTCCTCCAGGGGTTCTCAATTAGGGGCGATTTTGCCTCCCAAAGGACATCTGACAACTACTAGGACCATTTTTGGTTGTCCCAACTAGGGAAGAGGGGTGCTACTGGCATCTAGTGGGCACACCCCATAGATGCTGCCAAATGTCCTTCAATGCACTTCCATTCAGTGATGCCACGACTGAGAAACCTTGATTTACTCTACGCATATTTGCTCTTTGGCTTCTGGGAAGCATGGTAAGAGTAACAGAAAAAAAAAGTTAAATAAATTCCAAGGGGTGTGTGTTCATATGACATAAAGCAGCAAACTAGGGAAAAACAAAGAGCACACAGGAAGTTATAAAGCTAGACTTACAGTCATCCCAAACAAGGAGTCATCTACTAGGGTCACCTCTTGTATCAAAAGCAAAGAGGCCTTGCTCTAGAGACTAGCTGAACTCCGTTTAATTTTTTATTGCATCCTCAGCATTGTGACCCCCATAGCTGAAAAATAGAGAATTACTTTTTTATTTTCCTTTTGTTAAATTAAATAGCACTCGATTTAGATTACTTTGTAGTAACACTTAGAAATATTTCACAAATAGCACATCTAGGCCTTAAAGTGTCCTCCTTTCAATAAGTTGATAATTTGCTTTCAGACATGTGAATCTTTTATTAATTAGTGATTGAGATAGAAAATATTCTTTGTTGTGACGTCTGCAACTTTTCTGTCAATATGTCTACAAACAGAGACAGTAACCCACAATGGATACCACAGTCAGATAGCTTGATCTAGGGTAAGCTCATGATGAGACTGACGCACCAGGATTCCCCCAGCAGGTGATTATGCTAGTCTTAGAGAAGGTTTCACACTCAAAGGGAACCCCTGGGATGCTGCTATTACTCTTTGAAGGACACTTGACTTTCACTGAACATCTGCCTTGCTTAATGTATGTACCCCTACTAAACATGCACACCTGAACTGAATGTTAACCGAGGAAAAAAATGAGCAAGAAACCATTTTGAAAACCCCAGGACCTCTGCTAGTAAGCTAAAATACAACTTGGATCCAAAAAAAAAAAGTCTTACTATAGGATTTTAGGGGTTTCCTATTAAAGGGAAGTTTAAGTTTATATTTCCTGAATAGCCACATTCCATGAGAATCAATAAAAAATTAATGGAAAAACAAGATTAAATACTTATATAAGAATATGAAAGTTACACCTACTAGAATAAAATAATTCTAACGTGAGGCAATATATAGGCAGATAAATATATTTCTTAATGAAAATGCAAATTACACTGGTGAGAGTTGTAAGATGGGTTCCTTCATACACTGATGGAAATTGGGGTTTATAAATTACCAAAACCTTTTACTGAAGTATCCCTGGACACTTTTTTTAAAAGTTCATGTTTTATAGTTTGTTAACTAGTCTTTGAACTTACTTCCATTCTATCCTAGTGAATGATCAAAGAAAAACACAAAGATTTATGAATAAAGCTACTTGTTGCAAGATTACTAATTGTGCTGTGAAATGGTAACAACAACAGTCAGGAATTGGTTAAATTAACCAATTTAGTTGACCTAAAATGTAAAACATTAGTAAGTCATTTAAAATCAAGTTTTTCAGAAAAACATTCAAAATACTGTTGACTGGTGCACTCCCAGAGCCTAAAATAGTACCTAGTACATTATGTTAAGCCCTCAACAAATATTTGCAAAGTGAAAGAATATAAGAATATATTGAATCAAAAAGAGTACAAAATCGTTTGTTTCATTATGATCCAAATTCTCTTGAAAAAAGGACACACACATGCACAACATACACACACACACAAACACACATGCATACCTACATATATCTATACCCCGACTTAGGCCTAGAAAAAGGCCTGGAAGAAAATACACACAATTATTTACAATGGTGATCTTTGGGTGGTAGATTTGTGCATTGCTTTTGTGTCCTTTGTTTCTTTATTTTTCAGATCTTCTACAATACCAGTTACTTAAATACAATAAATATGTATCAGTGCTGTAATCAAAAAGAGCTATATTTTTAAGTGGCAAGACAACTGCATACATTAGAAAGGTAAGTCACTATTCTTTTTGGTGACATTTCCCACTGGCCTTTACTTCATTTCTCTATTGGATCTCTTGAGTGTGTATGGGATCAATCAATTAATTTAGTTTAACAAACATTTGTTGGCTGGACATGGTGGCTTACACCTGTAATCCCAACACTTTGAGAGGCCAAGGCAGGAGGATCACTTGAGCTCAGGGATTTGAGACCAGCCTGGGCAACCTAGTGAAACCCCATCTCTACCCAAAATACAAAAATTAGCCAGATGTGGTGGCACACACCTATAGTCCCAGCTACTCGGGAGGTTAAGGTGGGAGGATCACTGGAGCCCTGGAGGTTGAGGCTGAAATGAGCCCTGATCACCCCACTGCACTCCAGTGTAGGTGACAGAGTGAGACCATATCTAAAAAAAAAATTAAAGTAATAAAAATAATAAAAGAGTAAACACTTATTGATGCCCTATTAGGTGTCTGTCTAATTTGGGGAGACATAAATGAATAGTATACCACTTTTATTAAAGATATAGTTAATATAAAATATCATTTTATATATTTAATATAAAAATAATACAGTGAAGATACAACTAAAGAAACCTTTGAGTAGTTGGAGCCAGTACCATAAAGGAAGTAAGTGGACATAGGTCATCATGGGAGCAAAGATAGGAGTGACTTCACCAGCCTGGGAGAGATCAGAAGGAGCAGTTAAAGCCATAAGAGGAAAACAAGGAGTGCCCAGGATTCCAGAAGCCAAGGGAAGAAAATGAGAGGAGGAGGCCAAGTTGTCATGCTGCCAAAAAATTGAGTAAGACAACACCTGAGATGTGAAGTGAACAGACAGCATGGGTCGCTTTGCTTTTGGGTGTGTATTCTTGTCACATCTTCATCTCTAACCAAGGAGAAATGATAAATGGCATGTCTACTGCCTCCTCCAGCCTCAAGGTTAATTTACCATCGCTCAATCTAACTCTCATTTGTGAGTGAACCTCCTTTCTCTTGGTTATACCTTCACAACCTCAATCACTCCATTCTACACTCTTTCCACATCTCATAACTTCCAGCTTTCTTTCCAAAGAAACACATCCCATGATGCTTTAGAGATTTTAAGACATTTGAAGACAGGGAGCTTATAATTTAAGCTGCAGAAGAGGGTCAATTCAAAGGGGATTTAAGTAACTGGTAAATGGTAACTTTTGAGCAAGATCGGTAGTCCTTCCCTGCTTTTTATCAATTTGGGCACTAAAGATGGATGTTCTTACTGCCAAGTCCTTTGCATTAAAAAACACTGGGTCCAAAGGGAGTAGCCCAGAGCAGAACCTCATTTCCGGTGGGGTTCATGTCAACATACGCTTTACTCAACAGCTACACAGATATAAATATTATCAATATAAGACCATATGATCAAGAACAGCTTAGTCCATGTTTGTGGTATAATGTCATAGATAAGCAATGCAAGTGGGAATTTTATTTACTTGTTTGTTTGTTTATTTATTTAGAGACAGAGTCTTGCTCTGTTGCCCAGGCTGGAGTCCAGGGGTGCAATCTCAGCTCACTGCAACCTCCGCCTCCCAGATTCAATTGATTCTCCTGCCTCAGCCTCCCGAGTAGCTGGGATTACAGGCAACCGCCACCACGCCTAGATAATTTTTGTGTTTTTAGTAGAGATGGTGTTTTCACCATGTTGGCCAGACTGGTCTTGAACCCCTGGCCTCAGGTGATCCACCCACTTCGGCCTCCCAAAGTGTTGGGATTACAGGCGTAAGCCACTGTGCCCAGCCAGAATTTTATTCTTAAAACACAGAGATCAGAAGTAACTCAGCAAAATATAAATCTGCTAGCGAATGTGTGAGCCAAAGAATGCTAATTTTATGGGATTATTATAATAGCTGTTATAAAAAATGAAAACTCTGATTGAAAATTCTGGGAAATACTGGGTTAGAAATGTTTTTACCATTGTCTTTTGTATGTGTGTGTGTGAGACAGGGTGTCACTGTCACTCAGGCTGGAGTGCAGTGGTGTGATCATGGCTTACTGCAGCCTCAACCTCCTGGGTTCAAGCAAGCCTTCCACCTCAGCCTCCTGAGTAGCTGGGACCAGAGGATTGCACAACCACGCCCGGCTAATATTCTTTTTCTAATTTTTTATAAAGGCAAGGTCTTGCTACATTGCCCAGGCAGGTCTCAAACTCCCAGGATCAAGCAACCCTCCTGCTTCAGCCTCCCCAAAATGCTGGAATTACAGGTGTGAGATCCCATACCGGGCCTATCATTATCTTTAATGTGTCCAGGTGAATTAGATTTCTCCAAAAGGATGATAAGATATGTCACACTTTTCAAGTTTATTGGACCACAGAATCTCTTTGCATAGAGTAATTTTCAGGTCTAGGGGTTTCTTTAGAGAACATAGCTTTAAAAATCATCAAAGCATATTAGAAGAAATTGCTAATTTTGGTTTAGATGAGATTTTAGAACAGCTGTCTTCAACTGTGGCTGCATATTAGAATTACCTGCAAACCTTTAAAATCCCAATCCCAAACCATACCTCAGACCAATTAAATCGAATGCCTCAGGCTAGGACACAAACCTCAGTATTTTTTAAGCTCCCAAGGGGGTTCCAATGGGCAGTATAATTGCAAGCCAGTGCCATCGAATCTCCCACCAAGGCAGGAAGCTCTTTTTCAGGATCCTTGATATCTTGTGCTAGCTCTTCAATTATGGGGAACCTGGATGCTCCCATGAGACAGTAAAACATTCCTCTGCTATGTTTAACACAAAATGAAGCACTTTGTGTCTAAGACTGCATTTATCTCAATAATATATTGCTAAAACTGTAGAGCACACGCTACATTCCTATCTTCCATCAAAAAATAAATGGCCAATATTTTTTCCTTAGTTGTTTGAACATAGTGTTCCCGATAAAATTCACACATAGAGAAAAAAACAAGCTTCAAATGTATTAATAAAGTTCTAGCAGCTAATATTGAAAAGTAGATATCTAGACAGAGAATGCAGAATATTAACTGTGACATGTAATATTTAAGGGCAGAAAATTTTTATTAATATTTATATACCTAATATGTACAATCTAGAAATCTAAATAGCAGAGATGCTTTTTGCATTATGCAGACATAGGCCCAGTAAATCTAACCAGCCTCCTGGGTACAAAGGAAGACTATCTTAAAGGTAGACACTGACACCAAAGATTTTGCCAATCCGCATTGGTAGGAGCTTTAATTAACTTTACTTACAGTTCTCCCAAGTATTACTTTGCTTCTTCTCAGTAAATTCTTTGGAACCCGTGTTCTGTTGTAACGCACTGCTTTCAGTTGAATAGTTAAAATGAAAATACTTGAACTCCAGCAACTCTAGTCGTACAACCAATCAGTCAAAATCTTGGGACCTAGAAAAGACAAAGCACTGACTGAATCCACCAAAAACCAATTTCTCAAGTGACACCTCAAAAAGCAGTGTTCGGCTGGGCACGGTGGCGCACGCCTGTAATCCCAGCACTTTGGGAGGCCGAGGCGGGCCGTCACTTGAGATCAGGAATTCAAGACCAGCCTGGCCAACATGGCAAAACC
Source organism: Homo sapiens (assembly GCF_000001405.40). Taxonomy (NCBI): domain Eukaryota; kingdom Metazoa; phylum Chordata; class Mammalia; order Primates; family Hominidae; genus Homo; species Homo sapiens. The sequence continues at coordinate 118,668,268 of NC_000008.11, read as the reverse complement.
CCATCTCCACTAAAAATACAAAAATTAGCCGGGTGTGGTGGTGCATGCCTGTAACCCCATCTACTCGGGAGGTTGAGGCAGAAGAATCAGAGGCAGAGGTTGCAGTGAGCGGAGATCGCACCATTGCACTCCAGCCTGGGCAACAGAGTGAAACACTGTCTCAAAAAAAAAAAAGCAGTGTTCATGATTTGAGGTGATTTGATATGTTATAGGTCATCTTGTTAAAATGCATAATTATTTAATCTTTTGCTACTCATGGATTTAATGTAAAATTCTCATCAAACAAACAAAAATAGTGCTTTATCTTTAAAACTGAAAAGGCTTATGACAAGGTAGTTGCCTTGTTTATCTGAATTATAAAACTGAGCCCAATTTCAACCTGACTTTCTAAAATCAGCTATCTGATCTTAGAGTCACTAATCTTTACTTCCTTTGTAATCCAATTTCCTTTATTATTTGCATGGCTAATGATGGTTTTGATTAAGGAATTAGGGATAGAAATGATAATGCTGTATAATTAAGTATGCAGATTTGGAGCTTTTTGCCTTTAAATGCAGTGTATTCAAAGAGCCAGATCTTGGTACTAGGTAATTTGTCAAATTATGTATTATACTATCAACATATTAGGATAGTAGAGGAGCTAAGAATTTTAGGATTATCCCCTGTCCAGTGGCTGGTGATACATAAATATAGCAAATGAATCTAAGATCTTAAAATAAAACTTATTGAATTAAGTATTAGGTTTAATAGCCCCATAAAACATCACTGAAAGAAAAATATTGCAAACTACATTGCCCGATTTCAATGCAGCAATTCATTGAACTTTGTCTCTCTAGAAAAAATAAATATTGCAATTACTTATCATGACAAATTTGAATCTAATTTAAATGATACTCCTACACAAAACTGATAGTTTCTATAAGAATGGAATAATAACTTGGTCCGTTGTTTCTAACACAGTTGATCAGATATTTTGAAACTTTGAAACAAAGACGGCCTTAGGGAACGTTTGGCATTGATGCTAAAGAGGAGGAAACACAGAGAAAGAAGCTGAGAGGATAGGGGAAATCTGCTGCTGTGTTTACTTTGGTGGTTGGGCTGCTGTCCTTGCAGAAGAGGGACTAGACCTTCTCTGATGTTTCTGAAGGTGAGAGACTGTATAAAGATAAATTGTAGAACAACATAAGGAAATATTTTCTAGTAGCAAAAATTATTTCAAGATGGACATCCTCCAAAAGGAAGTGAGCCTCTCATTAAGGCAATCAACCCCAGGCTTCATAACCACAGCAAGAATATTGAAGAAGACATCTGGCATCAGAACTAGAGCTCAATTGGCTTACTTCTTTTTAAGTTTTTTCTACCCTGAGATCCTACAATTTTATGTGATTAACTACAGTTAATTGGGCTTATTGAAAAACAAGGTATTTAGTTTAAATAAATCATTTGAAATATCAGAACTCAGAATCAATCTAAAATAAAAACTTTTAACCCAAGGAGCAGACACTAAGAGACACAAAAACAATGAAAAGTGTTGTAAAAAATATTTCTTTCTTTTTTTTTTTTTTGAAACAGAGTCTCGCTCTGTTGCCCAGGCTGGGGTGCAGTGGCGCAATCTTGGCTCATTGCAACCTCCACCTCCTGGGTTCAAGCAATTCTCCTGCCTCAGCCTCCTGAGTAGCTGGAACCACAGGCGCGTGCCACCACGCCCGGCTAATTTTTTGTATTTTTAGTAGAGACAGGATGTCACCATGTTAGCCAGGATGGTCTTGATCTCCTGACCTCATGATCTGCCTACCTTGGCCTCCCAAAGTGCTGGGATTACAGGCGTGAGCCACCACACCCAGCCTGTAAAAATATTTTTTATTAAAAATATGTACCTAGGTCAGGCATGGTGGCTCATGCCTATAATCCCAGCAATTTGAGAGGCTGAGGTGGGAGGATCACTTAAGCCCAGGAGAGCACAACCAGCCTGGGCAATATAGTGAGACTCCATCTCTACAAAAAATAAAACATTAGCCAGGCATGGTGGCATGTGCCTGTAGTCCCAGGTACTAGGGACGCTGAGATGGCAGTGTCACTTGAGCTCAGTGGGTGAAGGCTGCAGTGAGCCCTGAGCTCATTGCACTCCAGCCTGGGTGACAAAACAAGACCCTATCTCTAAAAAAAAAAAAAAAATTAATTAAATATGTACAAATATGGTCATATTTTTCTATATATAGTCATGACTTTTGAAAATCTGTACAAATATGGTCACTTTTTGATAATTCACATTAAAAAATAGAGTACAATATAGTTACATGCTTGTTTTCTCTAGATTGTGTGATTATAGATAATTTTTATTTTCTGCTTATGTTAATATATTTGTTTTCTAAATAAAGCACACAGTTAGTTGAGAAATAACAAGTTTTAGTAAACTATTAGAAGTATATTTTGACATATATGTACATTCATAGAATACAGTTAAAAACTGAGACAAATAATTCTCCATCAAACCTCTCTTTGAGTCCAGCACTATGGCTCATGCCTGTAATCCCAACACCGTGGGAGGCTGAGGTAGGTGGATCACTTGAGGCCACCTGGCCAACATGGTAAAACCCTGTCTCTACTAAAAATAATAAATAAGTAAATAAATACAAAAATTAGCTGAGCGTGTGTGGTAGTGCGCGCCTGTGGTCTCAGTTACTCAGGAGGCTGAGGCAGAAGAATCCTTTGAACCCAGGAGGCTGAGATAGCACCACTGCACTCCAGCCTGGGTGACAGAGTAAGGCTCTATCTCAAAAAAAAAAAAAAAAATAGAACTTCCCTTTGACCTCAATTATCTGGCTATTGTAAAAAAAAAAAAAAAAAATTACATTCCTAAATTATAATTCTTTAAATTTGTCCTTTCATTTCTCAGGGCAGAAACAGCCTATGCATTTCATCATCTAAAAGTTCATACAAAATAACAAAATTCAGCATTCTGAACAAATTTTACTTAAACTGAGAGCATTACATTTCTCATTATGTAAATGTGTTCTGAGGGATATTTTAAATTTTATAGTATTTTAGTATAAAATTAAATTATTATTGATAATTATTTAGTGTTATAATCTCAATAGCTATATTAATTATTGGTATAGAAAAGCCTCCAAATTAATTCTGGCAAAATTAATCATTTTTCAAACTATTCAAAATCAAGGTAATAACCACATGGTACAAATACAGGAAAAAAAAGATAATTTATTTTGCTACTGCCTGCTAGTATCATGCAATAATACCTATGAAAAAATTCACAATATCTGCTGTATACCTACCATCTATGATCACTATTTTAAAATCACAGTTACTTTCATTTAAATGCTATGACTAAAATTTTAAAACATCACAGATGGCATTAGGATTCAGACTTCACATGTTCAAGATTATTTGAAACTTCTAGAAACCACTATATGAGATAACTCAGCTTCGAAATAAAATTTCTAGTTTCTATCAGCCTCACCCAATGTGTGACTTAATTAATTGTTCTAGAAGGTACAATTTTGGTGTCAGGCCAAATAAATTAGCATGCCATTAAGAAAAATCTGATTCTCCTCCCCAGGTTAGCATCATATACCCAGGTGGGCACACAACTAGAAGCAGCTACTTTTGGAAAAATGGTTGTGATTGTCAAATGCTTTTGCCACCACTTGCTTGGTTCCCTGCATTCATATTCTGTCTCTCATCAGTACCTGGGGCTGCCTGGTCCCCTCATCGAAACTCAGCTCTATTCTCTAGGTTCTATGACTAATTGATCCTTCATCAGAGAACACTGAGAGAATCCCAATTTAGAACTCAATAACAACTATGGAGTCTGCTCAACTCTGGCCTGTGTTTGGTCTTTTGCCCTACTTTTGATGTTCAGTCTTTCAATCAAGACGCCCATCTTTCATCTCCGTGCTGACAAATGATTCCTGTCTCATTCTTCTGCACCTGATTGTCTGCTTGGATGCATGACTGGGAAGCCAATCTCTCTGAAGCTGGAACACAACTTTGTCCTTGTGCTTGGTAGAGGTGAAGTCTCTCAGATGTTTAAAAAATGGTGCACACACGCAATTCCAAAAGAGTTTTTAAATTGTGATATTCTTTAAATGTTTACTTTGAATAAACTGTTTTTTATTCAATAGATTCTATTTTGGAGACTTGGTGTAGAAAGATGTTTTTAACATGCAAAAAGTTCAACACAATATGATTGTGTTAGTCACAAGAAAATTATAGAATTAATTTCTAAAATAAATTCAAAATGCATTACAAGAAATGTAGCAGGAATGGGACTCCGATATAAAATGATACAACCAGTGACTCTACACTCTGATCACCTATGCTTGTTTGTGTTCTCTCTTTAAATTTTTTTCATCTGCTCATGTATTTTCTATGCATGTATTCTCATCGGGAGATGTACTGGATGATGTTCCTTAGTCCCTGCAAATCCACTCATCACCCCTCTACCCTGCTCTGTGCTGAGGCTGACTTGTAGAAACAGCTCACCATGCTCCCTTGCCCATGGCTTCCTGTTGAGTTTGCCAGTGCAGAACAGTAGCAAGAGGTTGGGGGCTAGTGAGATTGGGTCAGAAATATATGCCCCTAGCTCTAACCTAGCTGGGTCACCATGGGCTGTCTGCCTCTCTCAACCTACACTCAGAGCTCATACAGGGTTTCTTCTCCACACAGCTTCTGTCTCCAAGTTTTGCTTATAGCTCTCCCCTGCAACTCTTCACATCTGTGGATGGTAACAGCTCCCCCACTGTTCTACCTCCAGGGAAATGCACTATCCCTTGCAGTATCTCTATATATGGTCAACACCTTAATAATAGTCCCTTCCTTAGGCTCTCCAAAAATTACTCAATTTGACAATGGCATTTATCTCCTGATACAACTCTGACTGATACAAGAGATAAAGCAAAAATTCTAAACTTAAGGGTCTACATAAATGTAAGATCAAATTACCTTCCTGGCTTTGTTCCGATAGCCCTGGGTTTCCATTCCTTATGTCCTAAAACTGGAGTCCTGGCTCTGACCTAGGCTTGTGGCTAATTACTTCCAAGCTAGAACTCCCAGTTTCAACTTCGGTGAGTTTTGTGCTTCTGGTGCCTCCTTTACCAGGCTTTGCTGCAGTCAATGCACCACTGTAACCTATGTCATCCTTCAACTGCATGACCATCTACCATTATTTGTCCACATGCCCTTAATATACCTGCCTGGCTAGACCTTCTCCCACCTCTGGAAAGCACTTTGCACTGCATGGACCTGCTGCAGCCTAGTAGAATATATCTCCGCTTTGTCCTTCCATCCTATTGAATCAAATACTCCAAGTCTCATCCACATCTCAACAGATTCTATTTTGGAGACTTCGTGTAGAAACAGTTTATTTGTTCCCTTTCACAATTACTATGACATCTTTTCTTCATGAATAAAAGTTACAGTGGAATATACATGTGTTCACCATTCACTTTCAGACGTGTGGTTCACTATGCATTCTCTTACTTGCCTCCCCTAGTATGGGGTATCCATAGCTCTCCTTTCAAGCCTCTACTTTACTAAATAAACATTCAGTATAAAGTCCTTTACAAAAGTCAATATGGCTCTGGGGCCTTGATCAGTAGCTACCATTACGACTGATAAGAATCCAGGAACACACTTGTGATGCTGGTAGATATTTAGGAGAAATGGGCATTCTGAATGCGCCCCCATGTGGTTGGGCCATACCGATTCATTTTATCACAGGTAAAGCAAGAAAGCCGCTCAGAATTGTTTTGTTTCTGCAGAGTCTACCATCCGCTTTGCTGTTCTCTATTAAAGCTCTTAGAATTTCAGAAAAAAGATTTGTAGTTAGCTTGAGTGGCACTTAACTTTAAATTGTTTTAGGAAAAGCATAGAAACTTTGCACCCTCGGAAGGGATGGAATGAAAACAAAACATGTTGGGGGTTTTATACCAGGTTGATAATATAACTGAACCCCTTGAAGAGACAGGTCAAGAACTTGTGTTCTACCAACACTGACCTGGATGGTTTTATCTAGTCTCATGGATTAACTACAGACTCATGAATCCCAAATTCAAATCTTCAGCGCAGACCTCTTGCTGACCTCCAGACTCACTACAGAAGTGCCTCCTCTACAACTCCACACAGATGTCCACCACATATCTCACACTGATATCCAAACCTGAGATAATGCTCCCCTACTCTCCATCTGTTTCTCCTGAAATCTTTCCTGTCTCACTAAATAACACTTCCATTCTTCCAGGTATACAGTTAAAAGAAATCTGGATTACTCCCTTTCACATCCAACCTCTTAGCACATTCTAACAGCTCTTCTTTCTAAATATGTAAAATGAAACCACCACTGGCCATCTCTACCCCTATAACCCTGGTCCAAGCAGCAGCATGTCTTGCCCAGATGAACACAGTCTTCGATCTATGGCTGCCCTGCTTTCACATCTGCCCCTACATTGATTCTATGCTGAGCAGATAGATGTTTGAAAAAGGTGAGTCAGATCATGTCACTCCTCAGCTCAACCTTCTGCAGTGGTTTTCCAATTCACACAGTATAATATTTAAATTCTTTACCAAGGGCTTATATGAGGCTTGATGGCCTTTGACCCAAACTTTCCCTGCCTCTCCCCTGCATCTTCCTGATGACATCTCCTGTCATTCTCCCTTACTCTCTCTGTTCCAGCCACAGGGGCATCCATGCTGTTCCCTAAAAGCACTCCTACTTCAGGAACTTTGCCATGATTGCTGGAAACACTCTTCCCCTGACATTTGCCTGTCTTGATCAATCATTTCCTTAATATCTCAGCTGAGATGTAACTTAGAGAGGCCTTTTCCTGCTCATTCTATAAAATAGTGTCTCACTCGTATCATTCCTTATCTTGATTTATTTTTCTGATATAATCTAATATATTTTTGGTTTATTATCTGTCTTCTCTTGGATAATGTAAGCACCTTGAGGGTAACAATTTTGTATCCTCAGCACCTTCAACAGTGCTCAATATAGAATAGGCACTCCTTATATATTTGTTGATTGACTAAATGAATGAATGATGTACTCTTTTGTTCCCAGTCTTCCTTCTAATGGAAGTCTAAGTATTTATTTATTCTAGCACATTAGCTGGAACATATCAGACCTTGATCCAGGCATTCACAATGCCCCAAGAGTGTGAAATCTGGAGTTAACCATCCTTTAAAAATTGGCACTGCCTCATGGGCATTTTATCCTTCCTTATACCAAGAATGCTGGAAAATCCAGATTGAGTGATTACAATGTTCTAAGGAGCCATTTGCTGTTCATAACATTCTTTAAAAAACAGCATCTATGGAACAAAGAGACTGATGCAGTGTAGAGATACATTATCCTGAACAGCTTAAGATGGCTTCCAGGAATAGGCTGTACTGTGTAATAGCACAATAACCTGTCCCTTTCTCATTAAAAGGGGACCGAGAGTGCAACTGACACCACATATTAATTTTTAAAGCTCTTTCATGAAGTTGTTCTCTTAGGCTCCAACTGTGGACTTCAAAAGCAAATACAAGATTCTAAAAGAGAATTTCTAATATCTCAGCAAATAATCAAAATATCCCATGCTTTCTAAATGTGGAATTAGAAAATGAGGTAGAGGAAAACAGGGAAGAAATTGCTCCAGAGAAAATAGCACGTGAATTTTAGACAAATCTTTACTTTTTAAGAATTAATGAACTAAAAGATTAGGGACAGAGCAAATATCTTATCATATTTGTTATGTGTCGGGTAGATAAAGTGTTTGACTCCGAGGAGGCACTGAATATTTGGTATTATTTAATCTACATAAAATCAGTTAAGATGATAGACTTTGATGTCATATACACATGGGGTTAATCTGGGCTGTTAGTAATTAGCTACGAGACTTGACCAGTCACTTAGCCTCTTTGATCGGTCATTCTCCTATCCAGAAAGTGGGGGTACTAATACTCTCCACAATGGAAGGATCGAGGAAAATAAACAAAAGTATGTGTGTAGTGTGGTGTCTAGCACATACATAATACTAACAGTAGATAAAGTAGCATGTGTTACAGGAGGAGAATGAGAAGGAATAGAGGGGATGTCCGATGTATTCAGTAATTACTCTTCCACTCCTTCCAGTCTCCACTCAACTGTCTATAGTATGTGATTCGAAGAGTTGCTGACAAAGTGAAAGGCTTTGGACTCTTGTTTCTTATGCATTATGGAGGGAAAATTATTTTCCTCTATTTGTCAACTGATTCACCACCTGACTTCACTCTGAACTTAGCATGCCTTCCAGAGTTTGATAATGCCACTCTTCCCCTGGGAGCACACGCTCGCCTTCTTAGAATTAAGGCAGATACATCCCTTGGTCATTCCTCTACTCCTGCCAGATCCCCCGCTTGCATTAGATTGGCTCTTGTACCCTTGATACTCCATTCCAAGCACCTCGGCTGCTTCTCCCCTGCACTCTGTGTTCCAGTTACAGAATAATCCACACCACTCCCTGAAGAAAGAGGCCAGGACATTTTACAGCTCATGACACTTGAATGTGCTGATCCCTCTCTGTGTATCAGGTTTATTCTTCAGGATCACCTCCCTGCAAAGATCCTGCTGTCCACCCCCACGAATCATGAGAAGATAATTTCTGATTCCTTTACATCATCTGTATGCCTTATTATAACTTCATTATGACTTTAAGAAACTATATTGCAATGATTGATTCATATGGAGCAGAGGATTAGGGTCAAACAGACATAATTTCTAATTTCAACTCCTCACTTACTATATGACCTTGAGGATATTATTTAATGCCCTTAATTCTCAATTTTCTTGCCTGTAAAATAGAAATAATAATATACCTCAGAGGATTATTATCAGAGTTCAATGAGATTTTGGAAATTGATGTGTTGCCAATGCCTGCCACATACTAAGTGTTTTAATGCACAGTGCCTGGCACATAGAACTAAGTCATTCAACCAAAACATATCTGTACAACAGTTATATGTTGGGCTTTGCGTTAGAAGCTTGCAATTCAACAGAAGTAAGACCCAGTTCCAATACTCAAGCTCAGAGACTTGTTGGGGTGGGTTAGGGAGTGCTGGTTCAGGGACAGATATGGCAGAGCAGGGCATGAAGTAGGTGGATGGAAAAGGAAACCTGCAATCATGACACAGTATAGTAGGTGCTACGATGGAGCGGGATTACATGTGAGTGCACCCATTCATCTCTTGGAGGGGCAAAAAGTCTTTACAGAGGCTTTAGGATCCAAGCTGAGACCAGAAAGGTGAATGGGAATTAGCCATACAATGTTGCTAATAGAGGTGGTAAAGTTAGTGAGTGGGATGGTGCCAGGGAAGGCAGAGCACAGGGGATATTCTTGGCAGGCAATGTGCAGGGCTCTGGAAACAAAACAGACCATACTTAAGTTTAAAGAGCCAACAACATTTCAGAGCCAACTGTTTTAGCTGGAGACAATGAAGATAACCAATAAATATTGAATTAATTAATTAGCTAAGTAATTGATTAACTGGATTCTTCACCCTTCCTACTCTTGCGAAGCTCTTATAGTGCTTTTCAGCTACTTGCCACATGCATTTGAAGACTTGTTCACATCCAGGATAATACAGTGATTAAGAACAAGGGCTCTGGATTCAAGCTGCCTAGGTCCAACCTCATCTCTGCTACTTACTAGCTGTGGGACTTGAGTTACTTATCTCTAGTTTCTTCTCTTGTGAAACATAGAAAAAAACCGTTGACTCCTTACAGATGGTTACATGCATTTAGTTAATAGTATGGTAGAAGGAACAGACCAATTATTCAATAAATGTTAATAACACGGCATGTATTTATTCGTAAGTTTTTCCTGTGTGCACTTCTTGTCTCATGACCAGACTGCAAGCTCCTTAGGGTCAACATCACAGTCTCAAACATGTTCCTGATAGGACAGGGAAGTGCTGTTCAAAGATGCTCAATAAATATGTACTGCCAGTTCTATTAGTACAGGCAGTGTAGCATTGTGCTTAAGAGTGTGAAAACTGGAGCCAGACCTGCCTGAGCATAGATTTGTAGTTCTGCCATCTTCTGCTTCTGTGGTCTTGAGAAAGTTACTTAACCTCTCATTTTCCCAGTTTTCTTATTTATAAAATGGGGATAATCATAGTAATGACCTCATTGGTTTGTTAGAAGCATTCAATGGGTTAACATACAAAACTCTTAGACCAGGGCTGGTATTTAGGAGCTGGTATTATTATTACATTGTTTGTATTTGTAGCATTAGAACAGGAAATCAGGAATGAGATGGTAATGCAAGATGTCTAATGAGGCAGCCAACCTAGAGCTATAATGGTATAGAAACGTGTAATTGTGTAAAATCACCTGCACATATGCGCAAAGATATATTCCAAGCTCATTATATTAAAAGTAACAGTGTCTAATGTAACAGGCCATTCCCTCTGCCCTGTATCTGATTTTTGTCATATTGATCTTGAGTCCAACAGAATCTTGGCTTTAGTCAAGCCCAAGTAAGAGACTGGCGTGCTTTCCAGAAATAAGAAGCCAAACAACAAAAGTCTGCATTTTAATATCCTGATACCAATAAATGCCTATAATTATGGCTTTAAAAATTTAGATATTAATGATTGACCTAATCCTAAGAGACTCAATGCAATTTGAACCATCAAAGTCAGTTCTAAAGCTGGATCAAATCCACTTACCCATTCCTGATTTAGAGCTTATGGATTTTATTCTTCTAAGGATCTGTAATCCAAATATCTCATTTGAGGCTCACGAGCAAAGATGCAATAAAGTGTGCAGAATGCCAGGAATTCAAACAGGAAAATTCCTAACTCCTTAATTAAAGTTGCAGGGATAATGCTTCCTGCATGAATCAGATTCATAAAAGTATAATAACAACTACAGATTTATAGCTGGACAATGGATATATGTCATACTCTGAGATACAGCTGAGAACAGAGTTTGTTAAAGCTGAATTATAGCAAATGCCTTCAACTGAAAAATGTATGCATAAAATATTAGCTATGATACACACTTAGAATACTCTGCAGTATAGTAAAGACAGTTTCTTTTAAAGCTTATAAATTAAGACTGCTTTCTTTCAAGTGAATTACAATTATCGATTTCTTTTTTAAAGTGGGTGAGCATTTATCTCATGCCTATTTCCTATAAAAAGGATGTGTCTTTAACCTTAAGATTTTCCTATGTAACGTTCTCTAGTTCTTGGACTACAGGCACACAGCTTCTATAAAAATGAGAAAGAAATACACCTCAGCCATTACAACCGGTAATTATTATGTTAGCCACCAAGTGCTTCTAGGTATTCTTTGATTCAGTGGGCAGGTTTACAAGTGTTCAGAGCATCTTTTATTTTCCTTTCATATTATTTTAAGAAAATCCAGGTAGCAATTGCCTAGGCCATAAATATTCCTTGGACACCCACTATGAAGACATACTTTATTTTCCTCCAAGCTAGGAAATGAAAGAAGAAAAAATTTGAAAGCATTTGAAGGTACAATTTTCATTAAGAAACTTAGGGATTTGAGCTCATAACTCACATCTCCAGGAAAGGGAGGCTATTGGGTGGAATAAGCAACCCCCTAGGCCTGCATGGGGATTCTGTCACTTAGCTGGCAGATGATGGAGTGAGTTTCAGTTCTGTCATTTGTCAGATTTGCAATAATATTTAGCCTTTGTAAATTACCAGCTCCCAAGATCATGTCTCTAGTTTTTGGTTTTTTCTTCCCTGAAACTTGGCTTTGAGTCCTACCAGTCTACTGACTTGAGTTATTGCTGAATTTATCCAAAACTCATCAGTTTTTGCTTCATCACCCCCTGGCCAGAGCATGATTCATTTAAGCTTCTTAATTATATACATATATATATATACACATATATATACACACATATATATATATATTCCCCCTTAAAAATATATACCCCTCTGTGTGTATGTATTTACATATACACATGTATACACATGTATTTAATGCTGTTTATTAAAGGATACTCTCTAATAATTAGACTTTAAAATTTTTTTTATTTGAAAGTTGTTACTCTTTGGATGTATTTGAGATTCCCATTCTGTTTACTCAGAAACTCAGAAAAAAATTAAAATTTATTAAAGGAAATAAAATTCATTGATCACCACTTTTCTCTGTATACTTCTTTAATATATATTTTTCCTTCTTTTTTCTAAATGTAAGAATAATGTACATGTTTGTGGCAAATTTTGAAACTATGGAAAAGATAAAAAATAAAATATAAAATTATTCCTAATTTAGTACCCTGAGATGATCACCATTAATATTTTGATATTTTCTTTTAGCACTTTTCTATGTGCCTTCTAAGAGCATTAGGATTATAATGCCTATAGGCAACTTTGGATACTCTCGTTAAAACATAACATTGTATCTAAGAACTTCTCCATTACCATATTCTTTGAAAATCTAATTTTTCATGGCTGTATAATACACTCTAATATGAATATACTCTAATGAATTTAACCATTTCTATCTTGTTTTACTTTAAGATGGATTTAATTTTTCCTTCTTATGCCTAAATCCTTTTTCCCATCTCTGGTTATTTACTCAAAGTTTCCATAAGCCCAAATACTGTGTCAAAAGATATTTTAGAAGCCTATATAATTCATATTATATGGCAGATACTGTTAACTTTAATAATATTGGTTTATTTTATCCTTATAAGAGATCAGTACTATTATAGGTTATTGTAAATTATTTTACAGATGAGAAAGTTGGGGCAGTGAGATTAAGTAACATCCTAAAATCACACATGAGTATGTAATGGAATTGAGATTTGAATTCAAGTACATGCTCCTAACTAGTATTCCAAGCTGTCTCTTAAGAAAATTTGCTGGGCTTTTGATAAATATTATCAAATTTTATAAAGATCATACAACACACATGGGAGAGGACTTATTTCACCTAACATCGCTTTTCATTTGCCAACAAAGAATACTATTGTGTTTCATATCTGTCCCCAAATTGTAGATCTTAAATTGGTGTTTATTCGATTCAGCCATTTTATTGTAAAATATGCTCTTTGGGAAAATAGTACTACGAATATAGTTGGAGTTCAACCGGTATTTGTTGGTTGGTTGATTAATTGATGGATTGAGAAAAGGGAAGAATTAATTTGATTCAGATCAATAAGTATTGATTCAGTCTATTTGAATATAGACTAGCAGGCCTGAGAGAGCTGTGTGGCTACCTGAGCTATTACAAGCAAGGCAAATATCTGTATATTCAGGAAAACTCAAGCAGCCATGCTTGTGTTCAGTGGAGTTCCTTTTCTAACTTAGATACAAGCTGATAGATGCTCCCTCAAGATGCCTACTGTTCCTGAAGGGTCAGACAGAAAGCAATTAACAAACAATGCAAAATTGTATTCAGTCATGAGCTAAATGAAACACAAATGTTATAGTAGATCTGAGAGGAGAAAAAGCTCCCAAAAGTACCCTGAGCTGAACCCCAACAAACACTGTGAGACTAGTCTTGTATAACTGTATTAAATTAGTTGAGCACTCCATCTGAGGAATGGTGAGCCCACTCTTTTGGATGAAATCCTAATATGGGAAAATAGAGATACATTCAAATGGCCACATTGTTAACTGACTTTTATTTTTAAGCAAGAAATGCCATATCTACAACTGTACCTAGTCATTTTCCTTTCCACTATCATAATTTTATTTTATGTCAAAAATGTAGAAACTACATAAGTAGCCTGAACTACAGTATGGTTATATGCTGTGCTTTTGAACATATTTTGAGTCGGAATAAGATAGATTGATGCCATGTGCATCAGCTAATCATGAAAGGTAGCTTTTCTAGTTGCCCTTTATAATAAAGTATTCTTTAAATTAGAGATTATTTTTCACTGCACGGGCTATTAACAGTAGCTTTATACAGAACTACTTCTTATGTTTGTGGGAACATGAGATTACTTCTAGACACTTTTCTTGAGTGCAAATGTTACAGCCTTTTAAATACTATACCACTTCTTAATTATGTTTTGTAGTTGCTAAGAGAAACATAATTATAGAATCAGTAAAAAATTTTTAAGTATTAAGACACAAACAAATCCATTTCTTCCACTAGACACCAAAAGCACAATGCCTAGGGCCTATAAAATTTTCAAAACTCACATGCACACAAAGCAACAAAAAAAGTATCTAGTTTATAATTGGAAAAGGAAATTGCAAAATAGGAATTAGTAAATGCTACTATTAAATCTACAGAAGGTATCATTTTTAACTATTCAAAGACAAATCTTAAGACAGTTATATATAAATTAAAATGTTTCATTTCCCTTATGAAAATGTATTTGATATGATGTGGGCCTCCAGAAGTATGAGAGCCTAAGGCTTGCAAAGATCTTAAATTGGCCCAGAGTTTAAGGAGGTAAATCTGACTGATGAAGCTGTTTTCCAACATTGCTTTATTAAACATGGTTTTCATTTCTCCATTAAGTAACATACCAAGGTACACTTACAGTATCAACAGGTATTATAAAATTCCTACATCTGTCTACAGCCTTGATTAATAAAGGTCCGTTGCTTCAGGTATTTGCTTCTACTTAAGATGTTTGCTTTATGGTTTCCTCTAATTTAGCCACTGCTTATTTTTCATCGAGTATATAGTTGCAATCTGCTTTTTGCTCAGACCCTGAAAGAAACTAATCACTGCTCCTCTCCAGTAGCCATCCAGCTTGTGGAACTTTGTTATGGCAGTCCTATCAAACTAACACATTTTTCTCTAGGTTGAAATTCCATATTCCAACAAGAAGGAAACGGATCTATCTTGATTCAGATGCCTTTAATCAACTGTGATCCCACGGGCAGAATCATAACTTCCGCAGACCAAGTGTATATATGAGAGAAAGGGATGTCTTTGCTTGATCCCTAGAAAATTGAGCCAGAGGAAATAATTAAGAGCTGATGCTTTATTTCGGAAGTACAAAACCACGGCAGTGAGGGTGAGGACAAGGTAGCGCTACCATACATCCCCATTTGCTTTAGTCTTGGTTTACACCTGGTTGTCCCGGTAGGTTGCTGCGAGGTGATGAGCAAATTCATCCATGGAAGAGGAAGGCCTTATGATCTCCTATGAGGAGACACAGGGTGATACTCCACAAATGGGGCAATATCCTTTCCTTCAAGAAAGACTATGCGAAGTCAAGTGACCCAGGGGTTCACAGGACTAGGGGTCAGGATCCCACATACATAGTTTTGTTTTTGTTTTTGTCTTTCATTTGGCTTAAGAATTTCTATGTAATGCTAGGTTTCAAAGGCATCTAGTTTGGGGTTTACCGACAAATGTAAGTTTTTTATAGTTACGCTTTTATTTTAATGTGTATTACAAAAATTAGCATTAAATATGCAAAATAAATGTACCTAATAAGAAATAAATGAATTATTTAAAGAAAAAGATCCAGTAAATAATAGTACAGAGAGCACTGCTGCAAACATTGTGGGGGTGGTTCACAAAAGAAGTTCATTCATAAATCTGCATGCAACATGGGAGACTGGCCGTGGGCAGTGGTTCAACCTGGCCTCGAACAGCTCCAATGACTAGGTTCTTGTGCGTCCCTTCTCCTGGTGCCTCAGCCGGGTCTTTCCTCTTCTTCCTCCTTGCTTTTTCCCATTAGTCCTGATTAAATCCTGTGGAGTCATATAGAATTATTCTGTTGCTCCTGCTCCATATCTGTCCTTCCTATATTTGAAGACAATCACAGCCTTCTTCAAACCTTCTTTTTCTCATGTATAACTATTCCTGTGGCCCTTCCTCATTGAGAATCTTTTCTCTTGTCTGTCATTTTCTGAATAAACAGAAAGGATGCCCAAATGTCATGAGCAAAGATTTCTCATGCAACCCACTTGTGTAGAACTCCAAGAGACTAATGAGTCTCTGCTTTTAATGTAACTCAAGTATTTAAAATTCTTGCATAAAAATTATTTCATTTGATCCCCTCGAGTTACAGATGCAAGACGGGCCGGTGTTGGTAGCCCTATTTATTAGACTAGAAAACTGAGGGATTAAATTATTAGTGATTTTAGTTTAATTAGAAGACAACATTCCTGAGCACAAAACGGAGTCTCCACACACATCTGTTGCTTTTTTTTCTGCTATTTATATAGCCTCTTCTGTCATATAATTCACAGTACAAAATATAAGATAGGGCAGATAGATCCTAAGACAATGGAGAAGAAGAAGAAAAGAAGTAAAGTAGAAAATTAAAAGAGAACATATAAGGGATATGGAGTGGGTTGGTAGGCAAAGCAGAGGGAAATGGGTTTGAAAGAGAAATAACACTTTATTTGAGTATTTTATAGTGGATTGTCTTTCTTCATATTGGCTGTTGAACTTGATTTCCCTAAAGCAAGGGCCTGCTGCTTGTGTGGTACTAGGGAAGCCTCTCAGAAAATGCATATTTTCCCCAGAAGGACGAGCCTCAGGTCTGATCATTTGCTAGAAGGATTTACATGACTCAGCATACAGTTGTACTTACAGCTAAGAGCTGTTACAGTGAAAGGATATAAAGCAAAATCAACAAAAGGCAAAAGTTTGTCATACAAAGTCTGAAGGAAACCAGATGCCAGCTTTGAAGGTGTCTATCCCGGTGGAGTCACACAGGACGTGCTTAATTCCTCCAGCAACGATTGTTACAACATGCCTGAACTGTCTACTGGGGAAGCTCGCCAGAGACTCAGTGCCCAAGGTTTTTATTGGGAGATGGGTCCCTTAAGAATTCATTGTCTAGCATGTACCCAATCCAGAATCCCAGAAGGAAAGCAGGTGTTCAACATGAATGAAATTGTACAAACAGTTCAGGCACACCGAGCCATTTTTGTCAGTGAGGGGCCATTGATATCAGTGCAGGAAACTGTTTACCCAAGCTTCCAGATGCCAGTCAAGGGCCAGTCTAAGGATAGCAGTCTCAGGCCTGCTTTGTTAACTTTTCTGCACACACAGTAAATGCTCCATCCACCCAAAAGCTTCACTATACTCTCAAGTTGATTACAAAGAATTTCTTTTTTTCTCTTGGGAGAAGGGAATCCAGACTGTCCTAATATAGAAATGCAAGTCATCAGAAATATACTGGGATAGTAGATAAAGGAGAATGAGTGATACCAAGTAAATAATGAGTAAACCCATGTGACGGATGCACAAATCTATAGTTTCCTCAATGATCCTTAAAGAATGTTATTTCCCAATCCCACATGACAGCTAGTGCTTGCAACTGAGATATTTCTGCCCCTTAAATCTAATCTAAATCTTTCCTTCTTATTGAACTAGGTCTTTGCATTCCCTGTGGAAGTTCAATTGGTGACAGCATTACACATCATCAGGATCTATGATGACATCTATACTGGGGTGTATCCCTAAGAAGAGAATATTTGATCCTTACATTTCAAGAGTTCTTAAACTTCTACACATAGAAAATAAACATAATAGATTCAGAATACTTGAGGAAAGTATGCCAAAATCCAGTTTCTTTCAGAGAAAAGTTAGGCACTGATTAGCTGTGTCTCCTTGAGCAATTAAACCTCCAAGCCATTCTGGCCAACATAGTGAAACTTCATCTCTACTAAAACAAATACAAAAAAATTAGCAGGCCATGGTGGCACATGCTTGTAGTCCCAGCTACTCAGGAGGCTGAGACAGGAGAATTGTTTGAATCCGGGAGGCAGAGGTTGCAGTGAGCCAAGATCACGCCACTGCACTCCAGCCTGGGCGACAGAGCAAGACTCCATCTCAAAAAAAAAAAACAAAAAACCTCCAAGCCTTAGTTTTCTCATCTGTAAAATGAGGGGATCAAACTACGTGCCCTCCAAGATTTCTTCTGACTGAAAAACTCTCTAAGTCAATGGGTTTTTATGATTCTGTCATGTAAACTGCCATTGGCATTGTTTATAAGTCATAATGCCTTTGATTCGAATGTCTTTCCTCCATTCAGATCTAGGGATAGGAAGGACAGAGGGGCAGAGAGCTTGGGGGTAGAGTTGGGGAGCAATGACTTCAAAATAAAAAGTTGTGGGAACTCAAAGAACATCTAAGTAAAACAGGAGTCCTCCAAATATCCTCCCTACTCAGAAACTTATATTTGGATCACATAGAACTATTTCCTGTGCTCCAGCTGAACTTCCCTTTCTTGGTTTTTAATAATAAAGAAACCAGCACATTAATTTTTAAAACAGGAAATAATAGGGCAAAGACTCCATAAACAGCTGAAATGTTAATCACACAAAGGCTCCCAAAGCAATTTCGCTCTGGACTCCTCATGGTTATGCATTACAATAGGAATTTTCATCAAAACACTGACCCTAGGACTGGCTGCTGGGCAAATGGCACCTAGGGCAGCCTTTATCCCTGTGCCAGCTCTTGAAGGAACAACCAGGGCAGAATGTTTCAGAAGAGCCATTGCTTAAGATGGTGCTGGTGGGCTGGGGAATGAGAAGCAGTACTTAAACCATGTTGACTAGGTAGCCTGCTTATATTATCACATATCACATATTTCAGTGATAATTATCATGTTTGTTTTATAGACAAGAAAAATGAGGTACAAAGAAGGTAGGTAACTTCCCTGAAGTCACACAACCATACAGTGTATTCTTCATTGCTGTGTTCTTGCTGCGTAACACATTAGCATAATCTCAGCAGTTGAAGGTCACACAAATTTATTATCTCACAGTTTCTGTGGGTCAGAGTCCAGGTACAAGTTATCTGGGTCTTCCACTCAGGATCTCACTGGGCTGAAATTGAGA
Organism: Homo sapiens; assembly: GCF_000001405.40. Classification (NCBI taxonomy): domain Eukaryota; kingdom Metazoa; phylum Chordata; class Mammalia; order Primates; family Hominidae; genus Homo; species Homo sapiens. The sequence continues at coordinate 118,649,471 of NC_000008.11, read as the reverse complement.
TATTAGCCAGAGCTGTAATTCTAACCTGAGTTTGATGTTCTCTTTCAAGCACATTGGTTATTGGCAGAACTCATTTCCTTGCACTTGTATTACTGAAGTTTCTTGCCAGCAATCAGCCTGGGACCCTTCTCAGCTAGTACAAGTCACAAGTGGTCCTTGTCGGGTGACTCCCCATGCACAGTTCACAGCATGGCTATTTACCCCCAGGCTAGCAGGTTCATATCTCTCCAATGTGCCACTCTCTTTAAAGGCTCCTCTGATTAGTCTGTTCTCACGCTGCTAATAAAGACATAGCTGAGACTGGATAATTTATAAAGGTAAGAGGTTTAGTTGACTCACAGTTCCATGTAGCTGGGGAGGACTCACAAACATGGTAGAAGGTAAAGGAGAAGCAAAGTCACGTTTTACATGGTGGCAGGCAAGAAGGCTTGTGTAGGGGAACACCTATAAAAGCATCAGATCTCATAAGACTTGTTCACCACCATGAGATTAGTATGGGGGAAACTGCCCCCATGATTCAATTATCTCCACCTGGCCCCACCCTTGACACATGGGGATTATTACAATTCAAGTTGAGATTTGGGTGGAGACACAGCCAAACCCTATCACACACCCAGGATAATCTCCCTATATTAGTCTGTTCTCATGCTGCTAATAAAGAGATACCAAAGACTGTATAATTTATAAAGGAAAGAGGTTTAATTGAATCACAGTTCCACATGGCTGGGAAGGCCTCACAATCATGGCAGAAGGCAAGGAGGAGCAAAGTCACATCTTACATGGCAGCAGGCAAGAGAGAATGTGCAGGGGAACTCCCCTTTGTAAAACCATCAGATCTCAAGAAGCTTATTCACTATCATGAGAACAGCATGGGAAAGATTTGCCCCCCATGATTCAATTACCTCCCACCAGGTCCCTCCCATAACACATGGGAATTATGGGAGCTACAATTCAAGATAAGGTTTGGGTGGAGACACAGCCAAACCATATCACTGCTCTTTGGTTAACTTAAAGTCAACCTCCCACGCATAATTACCCAACCATCTTTCCATAGCCCCTACACTCCCACACACATATGCATTCATAATTCTTCTGTCTAATGACTATTTATTCTTCAGTTCCTATATTAGGCAACACTTCCTCTAGAAAGCCTTCCTCAGTGTCAGAGCTTTGATTTAAAATGTTCATCCTAGGTGTTCCCATAACATTCTATGCACTTCCTAGCACAGCATTTATCACACCTCTTGCACCTGTTTTTTTTTAAGCTACTGGAAGATACAATATAGCCAGTTAAGGGACCAGGGTATCTTTTCACTCTTTCATCTCCAGTGCTTTCCAGATAGTTAGTATGTACTCAAAAAATATTAGTTGAACAAATAGATGAAAGACACAGAAGCAATCTTTTGGGTACGAATACTGGAAGAATATTAAAGGCATCATAGGCTCAATAGAAACTAAACTGCCCATGTGTTCCAGAGCCTAGTGCCTTCACTGGGGCAACTGATATAAGCATTCTTACTCACGTGTGGGAGCTAAAAGAAAAAGTTGAGCTCATACAATTAGAGAGTAGAATTGTGGTTATTAGAGGATGGGAAAGGTAGTGGGGAGAGATGGCTAGAGAGAGGTTGGTTAATGAATATAAAATTACAGCTAGACAGGAAGAATAAGTTCTAGAACTTTATAGCTCTACAAGGTGACTATAGTTAACAATAGTTTATTGTATATTTTCAAAAAAGCTAGAAGAGAGGATTTCAAATGTTCCCAACACAAAGAAATGGCAAATGTTTGAGATTTTGGATATGCTAATTACCCTGATTTGATAACTACACATTGTATGCATGTATCAAAACATCACTCTGTATCCCATATGTACAATTATTACATGTCAATGAAAATATAAAAGAAAAAAAGCATTAGCAGAGAATTTTTAAATATATGGATGTGGCACTACTTAAATGAAGATGAGAATAAAAAGAGAGACCCTTTTTAAAATTAGTTTGTAATTCTGATTTTTTTGGTTGGAATCATACTCCAGAAATCAGAACTGCTTTCCATAGTTGGCCATTTCTAGAATGCAGGTATATCAGTTCAGGAAAGGTTAGGTTTTGCTGCAGAAACAAATGATTCCCAAAATTGCAGAGGCTTAAAGCAAAGGTTTATTTCTTGTCCATAATACATGACCATTAACTGTTCCAAATATTTGTCATTCCAGGACTTAGGCTGATGGAATATCTTCTATCTCAGATATGATCTTTGGCCATCAAAACAAACAGAAGAGACATGACAAATCTAAAATATTCGTTCATCTTTGAAGTAACATCATTTCCATCTACATTCCACTGAATAAAGTAGGTTCATATGAGCGAGTTCACTCCTGAGTACAACAGGGCAAAGACATATAATTCCCCCACAAAAAGAGGTTCTTCAAGGAAGGAAAGTGAATTTTTGAGAAACAGTAATATGATTCATCACATCAGAAATCAACAGGCTACAAACTTCTGTTCTGCACATTTGGGGTTTCCCTTTGCATTTGTTAGAAATTAAATTTTATGGCCGGGCGCAGTGGCCCATGCCTGTATTCCTAGCACTTTGGGAGGCCGAGGCGGATCATGAGGTCAGGAGATCGAGACCATCCTGGCTAACATGGTGAAACCCTGTCTCTACTAAAAAATACAAAAATTTAGCCAGGCATGGTGGCGGGTGTCTGTAGTCCCAGCTACTTGGGAGGCTGAGGCAGGAGAATCTCTTGAACCCAGGAGGCAGAGGTTGCAGTGAGCTGAGATCGTGCTACTGCACTCCAGCCTGGGTGACAGAGTGAGACTCGGTCTCAAAAAAAAAAAAAAAAAAAAAAAAAAGAAACGAAATTAAATTTTATAATACTTCCCTGAAGTTGGAGAAAATCATACAAGTTAGCATTTTAGAGGAAACAGAAATAAAGCATGCTCAAGTTAGAAAGGTCCTTACAGTTCATGCAGTCACACCGCCATATTTTATGAATGAGAAACCCAGCTCAGAGAAGCCAATTAAGTTCCCCAAAGCAATCCAGAATTATGTAGAGAGTTAAGACAAATTCCCAAAACACTAGTCTCAGAACTTACAACTATTCTTCTATTGCCTGTCCATGGGATAAGCCAGCTTAACATCTGTGAGTCAGATCCAAAGCTACACATAGCATAGATATGGTTCCTGTGCTGGAACCTGATTTATGGTCCTGCTGAGAGAACACCCCAGTGCAACGAGTTACAATGGGCTTTTCTCAAACCAATTCTCCTCGCTCTGTTGAGAGAGGCTGTAATTATACTCACTTCTTTCCTTGTTTTATAGTTTGGTACTGACATAGTGAGAACATCCACAATAAAAATGTCTATGGGGCTTTGTTTCCTTTTGTATAAATTCATTGTCTGGAATCTAGCAGCCACATGTCTTGGTGATTTATCAGAATTAGTCCATTTAGGAAGTAATGCCTTGCTCAACTGAAATCTGTTCTCTTTGTTTTACCCAAACCCTAGTATTGTCATGAAGCTTAAACTAAGCTCTCATGTCTATTTTAAAGTAAAACAAAAACAACTCTTTGATCCTTGGTCAATTCTTACCCTAAAGCCTCTCTGTTCAAACCATTTTTGTGCTTTATGATTGTTAATGAAAATCATTATTTATCATCATTTTATCTTCCACCACAGACATTCCATCTAATTTGACAACATAATCTGATTGGCCATTTCTTAGAGATGGCAAAATATATATTGGAAGAGAGAGCTATTTTTGATACATAAAGTATGGTTTATCTAGTCTTTCATCTTTGGTTTTTAATATAAGCTTTTTAATGTATCATGAATTTCATGTTTTTAAAATCTTATTTATAAAAACAGGGAGTACATAATCTAATGTTCTCAAACCTTTAAGAAGAAGATATGTGTATATCAATGCACACTATTAGCATTTTGTTCACTCTCAGTTTGAATCCATTACTTGATCATCCCGTGTTTTCTATTTTTTATTTATTAAGGGTTACATTCTTTCTTTGAATATAGTCATGGTATAGATGCACAAGGTTTAGTGCTAAGAACTGAGCAAATGATAGACATATGAAGAAATTGTAGGAGAGATTGTACTATTCTAAGAAATACATACATACACACGTACATACATACATACACGTTCACTACCTTCAGGGAGGTTAGAATCTAGGTTTTTTTTTTAAAAGAGTTCCTTGAACTTTCAGGGCTGGAGTCTGCAATGTCGTTTAGGGTCCCCTACCCATCCAATTAGATTTTGCCCGCTTGCTCCTCATTTGCTGACTCTAGCAAAGTATACATAGGAGTAGTTTATGTGGTTATGTTAGAACAGCTCCAAGGACTCAGAATTTGATGAGTGAATACACCTTCTAATGATTTGTTGTTCTGCATTTTATATCCACACACACATATAACATAGGTATAGTATTTCCCCGAGAGTTCTCCACATAAATAAACTAAATGATGTCAAGTCAGACAAGGGGTATTCTTCAAAGAAAGCCAACTTCGCATACAGAATCCAGATGTAGGGAAGCACGTTTGAACAAATAGACTGTGTGTCTGAAAAACTGTTTCTCTACAATGCCAGAATTGGAAAAGCTAAACAGTTTGGTTACTTGAATAGGAATATTCCTGGAAGACATCAGCGATGACTGGACTAGCATGAGAAAGCCATAATTATGCCATAGAGGTCTAGGAAATTACCCTGCTCCATTGCATAATCTGCACAGCTTAGCTTGGTATGATTCTGTCTTGACTATGAGACCTACACTATGACCCTTTCTCTTGTTACTAAAAAACTGCTGAGATGATATTAAGTCTACTGCTCCTGCTAGTCCAATTTGTGTTGCTATAAAGGAATACCTGAGGCTGAGTAATTTATAAAGAAAAGAGGTTTATTTTGGCTCATGACTCTGTAGACTTTACAAGAAGCATAGAGCTCACATCAGCTTCTGGAGAGGCTGGAGAGGCTGCAGGAGGCTTACAATCATGGTGGAAAGTGAAGGGAATCAGGCATGTCACATAGTGAGAAGGTAACAAGAGAGAAGGAAGCAAGTTGTGGGGAGGTCCCAAAATTTTTTAAACAACCAGATATCATGTAAGCTCATTACTACTCTTACCACAGGGAGATTACCAAGTCATTTATGTGGAATCTGCCCCCATGACACAACACCTCCCATTAGGCCCACCTCAAACATTGGAGGTCACATTTCAATATGAGATTTGAAGGGAACAAAACATCCAATCATATCACCGAATATTGGTCTCCAGATATGTCCACATCCTAATCACAGGTTCCACATTCCAGAACCTGTGAATGTTACCTTATATGACAAAAGGAACTTCGCATATCTGATTAAGATAAGGATCTTAAGCCTCAAAGATTAAGGCTAGAAGATGGGGATATTACACTGAACTGTCCACAAGGGCTCCATGAAATCATAGCAGTCCTTATGAAAGGGATGCAGGAGGAATCTGAGTGAGAAGAGAAGGCAAGGTGATGACAGAAGAGATTGAAGTGATGTGCTTGAAGATGGAAGGGGTCACAAGCCAAGGAATGTGGGCAGCCAGTAGAGCTAAAAATGGAAAGAAAAAAGCCTATTCCCTCAGATCCCTTGGAAGGACCCAGCTCTGACGCTTTGACTTTAGCCCAGTGAAAACCTGATTTTAGCCTTCTAACCTCCAGCGTGGCAGGAGAATAAATTTGTGTCATTTAAAGCCATGAGTTTTAAAGTAATTTGTTACAGCAGCAACAGGAAACTAATACAGATATTTAGGGTTTTTCTTTTTCTAATTGTTTGTTGTTATAATGATGCTGTGATGAAATTCCTTCTACAGATACTTTTGTCTGCCTTTCCAATGAGTTCATTAAAACGGATTCCTAGAAGCAGAATTCCTGTAACCTTGTATCTTCTTAAAATGCACCTGGGAGTATCTGGGAAAGTGCTGAGCAACTTGGCTGTTTAGAATAGTATGACATTTTGGGGTTTTTTTGTTGTCTTGTTTTGTTTTGCTTGAAACAGGGTCTTGCTGTGTTGCCCAGGCTGGAGTGCAGTAGCCCAATCATGGCTCACTGCAACCTCAACCTCCTGGGTCCAAGTGATTCTCCAAAATAGCTGGGACTGCAGGCGTGTGCATCACAGCAGCTAACTTTTGTATTTTTTGTAGAGATGGAGTTTTGCAATGTTGCCCAAGGTGGTCTTGAACTCCTGGGCTCAAGCAATTCTCCTGCCTTGGGCTCCCAAAGTGCTGGCATTACAGGCATGAGCCATCACATCCGACTGAGTTTAGTAATAATTTAGTATAGAAAACTGTAAATGGTTAACTTTTGTGTTTTCCACGTTTTCCCCCTTTTACCCTCTAGAGCCTTGCAACTTAAAGTGTGTTTTGTGTACTAGCAGCATGACCACCGCATGGGAGCTTCTTAGAAATCGCAGCACTCTGGGAGGCCAAGGTGGGCAGATCACCTGAGGTCAGGAGTTCAAGACCAGCCTGGACAATGTGGTAAAAACCCGTCTCTACTAAAAATACAAAAATTAGCTAGGCGTGGTGGCTGGTGCCTGTAATCCCAGCTACTTAGGAGGCTGAGGCAGGAGAATCGCTTGAAGCTGGGAGGTGGACGTTGCAGTGAGCCGAGATCGCAACACTGCACTCCAGCCTGGGCCACAAGAGTGAGACTCCATCTGAAAGAAGAAAGGAAAAGAAAAGAAAAGAGAATCTCAAAACCTTATGAAATTCGAATCTGCATTTTAACAATATATCCACATGATTCTTATGCACATTAAAGTTTGATAACATAAGCCCTACAGCCTAAGTTGCATAAAAGCAAAGCCTTTGTTGGTTTTGTTTAGTGATGTGCTTGCAGTGCCTCAAACAGTGCCTGGCATTACTTGGAGGGGCTCAATAAATATTTGTTTAATGAATGATTAAATAAGAAAATGAACTAAGGCTTGCATGCTAAAGATGAATTTGAAGATGGGAGTTACCTGTGGATTATTCTCTGTACTTTATACACACACACACACACACACACACACACACACACACACACACATTTTAAATTAAAGAATGTTTTTTGTATCCTTACCTCATCAGCACAACCTGAAAAACTGGCTGCAAGTTGAACTATTTTCCTGGCCATTGTGAAAGGATACATCCAGGGAAGAGGTTAAAATGAAAAAAAACTGGAATAAGATGGGAGAAGTTACACTCAGTAACTAGTGTCAGAAGTCACATCTCTTCTTGGGAACAAAGGGACCAAGATTCAGAGGGGAACGACCATGCAGAAACCTAGTAGGGACCTAGGGAGGGTTGCCTTTACCATGAGTAGCACAGACCTCCGAAAAGATTCCTGGGTCCAGCTTTGGCATAAATTACTTACTTTTTCCTAAGGCTCATTCATACCAGATAATGACCTAATAGCCTTAAGATTTTGAGGGTGCCACATAAGCCTCCAATATTGTTGAGTTATCCGAGCGAGGAGACCACTATAATGACTGAGATTACATTTTCCTCCAGCCTCATAATATGTGAACCAGGTTTAATTTCATGTAAGGAAAATAAAGTACTATGATATTTCCTATTTTAAAATTACTTTTAAATTTTTTATTATCAACATTTCAAATATCCACAAAGGGCGAAAAGGAAAAATTACAATGAACCCTCATTATCCATCATCCATTTTCAAGAATTATCAACGTATTATCAAATTTGTTCCATTTATACTTCTCACTCTCATTATATGCTAATTTTTAGCAGCTTTATTGAGGCATGAAATATATCAAATTCATCCATTGTAAGAATACAAGTTAATGATTTTCAGTAAATGTTTACGGATGTGCAGATATCATCACAATCCAATTGTAAAACATTCTCATCTCCCCCAAGTCCCCTTGTGTCTTTTTGCAGTCATTCCCTGCTTCCATCCCCAACCCTAGACAACCACTGATTTGCTTTATGTCCATAAATTTCCCTCTTCTGGATATTTTATATAGAGAGAATTATATATTATGCAGTCTTTTCTTTCTGGATTCCACCACTTAGCATAATATTACTGAGGTTCATCCATGTTGTAGCATATGTAAGCAGTTCAATCATTTTTACTTCTGAATATTATTCAATTATATGGATATACCACATTTGTCTATGCATTCTCCAGCTGATGGACAACTGGATTGTTTCCACTTTGGAACTTTTACATTATAATAATGCTATGAACATTCATTAATGAGATTTTTTGGTACATATTTTCATTTTTTCTTGGGTAGATAACTAGGCATGGAATTGTTGGGTCATATGGTAACATTTTAAAACTAAAACCTGTTTTCCAAAGTGGTTGCACCATTTTACATTTCCACCAGCAGCGTAAGAGTTCTAGTTTTTCCACATCCTCCCCAATACTTGCTTCTGTCTCTTTTTATTATAGCCATTCTAGTGCATATAAAGTAGTATCTCAGTGTGGTTTTAACTTGTAAATCCCAAGTGACTAATGATGTTGAGCATCTTTTCTTGTGTTTATTGGCCCTTCATATGTCTTATCTGGTGAAATGTCTATTTAAGTATTGGCCTCATTTGTTAACTGGGTTGTTTGTCTTCATATTATTGAGGTGCAAGAGTTTTTTGTGATATATTCTGGAAGTCTTTTATCAGATAAAAATTTTCAAGTTTTCTCAGAGCAACCTGTGGCTTGTCTTTTCATTTCCTTAATCATGTGTTTTAAGCTCGTCTGACCATGGGTGGTTACAATTTCTGCTTACTCAGTAGGTGCAGGGGCCTCATTTAGCTACATTTAGTTTATTTGGCTACAATAAATGACTAGAAAACCAATTTCAAAGGAAACTTTTCAACCTTTACTTAGCACAAAGATATGCATCTGAGGAAACCAACTCTCACCCAGCTCTGGCTAACAGGATAACCCAGACAGTGGATCATAGGGCTTCTCATGAGGGCAGAAAAGTAATCCCAGAGGGAGGCCTGCTGGGATTTTGAGAGCAATTGAGTTGAATCTGTAGATCAATTTAGAGAGAATTAACATATTCCATATGAAATTTCTCACCACTTATTGAGATCACCTTTTATTTCTATCACCAGTGTTTTATAATTTTCACCGTAGAAGTCTTATGCTTCTTTGGTTAAATTTATCCCTAAGTATTTTATTCTTTTTGGTGCTATTATGAATGAAATTGTTTTCTAAATTTCATTTTCAGATTGCTCATTGTTAGTATTGAATTACAATTGATGTTTGTACACTGATCTTGTATCCTGTGATCTTGTGAACTAATGGATTATTTCCAGCAGTTTTTAAAATGTATATTCCTTAGGATTTTCTACACACAACTATGATTTTTTTTGTACTCGTGTTTGTGGAGTAAGATTCATGGCAACCTAATTTTAACTTAAACAAAATAAGAATGTACTCAAGATTATTCCTATTACAGTGGTGCCTGTGCCTAAGGAGCAGGGTAGGAGAGACGTCATCAGGGCTGTGCTGGGAATTGGGCATCATCTGCCACCTGTCCTATCTCTTCTAGAGCCATACAAGACAGCTTTGCAGTTGAGGCTTTTGTCAAAATGTGCCTACTCCTATAGGAATGTGTCAGAAGGGGGAAATCACTCAGAACTGGTGCCTTTGGAAGATTGCTTGGCCTGAAACATGACCTTGGGGAAGATTCTAGGAAGACAGAAGAGATCTCCAAGAACAAAAGCAGCATGGGAAAGAAACAAAAGAGACATAGACCTGAAGGCAATGCATCAAAGTGTAAGAAGAGGCGTCTTCTCCATTTCACAGAGGGCCTAGGAGATGTTGCAAAATCAGCATTTTGAGTCCTGCAGAGTGTCCAATTCAGAGATCAGATAAAGGCAATGAAAACGGAGAAGGCATGGCAATAGATAATTGCTGCTACAAAAGTGGCAAAATCCTTGTGTTGTAATATAATTTAATCTCAGTACATTGAGTTAGTGTGTGTAAAGCACTTAGCACAGGGTTTGGTTAATAACAAGTATTTGATAAATGGTAGCTGTTTATATCATTATTATTATTACATTTTCAGCTAAAATTAGAGGCATTCTGTGATTCCTTACAGTCAATATTTATAATGTGACAGGCAGTTTCTTGCTCAATTTTTATGGTCATCTCAGAGAAAATATCATGGGACTCAGGAAGTAGATAAGGCAGCCCAGGATAGAGGCAAATTTCAGAGGAGAACGTGATAAGAAAGAAGACAAAAGAAACAAAACTTTGTATTAACCACCCATAGCAATCAAGACTATGAAGTGCTTGTGGAAATATTAATCGATATGTCTGAAATGCATACATTTGTATGTGTGTGTTTACAGTCAGAAAATCTACTTCAAGCTAATTGCAGTCATATTTAATTGCATCTTTTACTTATAATTATCAGATGAAAATATAAACTCCCTTCTCATTGTATTTGAAAACCTAACACTGGATGTGCCTGCCAAAAGGCAGACCATTGTGTGGCCAGGGACTGCAGCCTGAAGGGCCCCAACAGAGGCAGTTTCAAAATGAGCCTCTCCCCTCTACTCCCCTCCCCTGGGTTAGTTAAGGGTGGAGTCATCTGATCCTGCATGGTGACAATATGGCTGGCTTAGGGAGTCTTTTAATTCACGTGGCTACAACATATAACTCAGGACCTGAGTAAAACTGAAGCTTTTTAGACCCTACAAAGCATAGGAATCTGTATCTGGAGAAACCACTTCTGTCTGTCCTGCTCTGCTTCTGTGCTCCAAGTAACCCAAAGACAAAGCCTGGCCAGTAGGATGTTCCAGGAAAGGGACTCCAGCAGCAGCCTAGATGCAGTCAGGAAGCAAGAATGCTCAGGTGTGACCAGGCACAGTGGTTCAAACCTGTAATCTCATCACTTTGGGAGGCCAAGGTGGGTGGATTGGAGCCCAGGAGTTCGAGACCAGTGTGGCCAACATAGTGAGGCCCTGTCTCTACAAACAATTTTTAAAAATTGGCCACACCTGTAGTCCCAGCTACTTAGGAGGCTGAAGTGAGAGGATTGTTTGAGCCCAGGAATTTGAGGCTGCAGTGAGCCATGATCACACCATTGTACTCCAGTCTGGGTGACAGAGCAAGACCATGACACACACACAAACACACACACACACGCTCAGGTGGCCATTACCTCCAGGGTAAATGGCCTGTGACAGGTAGCTGAGGCTAGCAAGGCAACATCTGACCTCTCAGTTTTCTGCTTCAAAGCAGATAGATAAACCCAGACCCAGCAGATAGAGAGAACCCTAGGTTGATGCAGGAAGCAGTGAGCAGTGAATGGGATGAACAAACTCTTTTTTTTTTTTTTTTTTTTGATACAGAGTCTGGCTCTGTCGCCCAGGCTATAGTGCAATAGCACGATCTCAGCTCATTGCAACCTCTGTCTCTCGAGTTCAACCGATTCTCCTCCCTCAGCCCCCCAAGTAGCTGGGATTACAGGCTCCTGCCACCATGCCTGGCGAATTTTTGTATTTTTAGTAGAGGTGAGGTTTTGCCATGTTGGCCAGGTTGGTCTCGAACTCCCAACCTCAGGTGATCGGCCCACCTCGGCCTCCCAAAGTGCTGGGATTACAGGCATGAGCCACTGCGCCCGGCAGGAATGAACAGTCTGGAATCAACTTTGCCACTAGGGAAGTGAAGTTATTTCACTTCTGTGAGCCTCTGTTTCTGCTTCATAAGTTGGGAATAGAATAATTCCTACCTACAGGATTGTATCCAGGATAAAAAGAACATGCTATAGAATTTTTTTTGTTTTGTTTTGTTTTTTGAGACAGAGTCTAGGTTTGTCACCAGGCTGGAGTGCAGTGGCGCAATCTCGGCTCACTGCAACCTCCGCCTCCCAGGTTCAAGCAATTCTCCTGCCTCAGTGTTCCGAGTAGCTGGGATTACAGGCACGTGCCACCACGCCCAGCTAATTTTTGTAATTTTAGTAGAGACGGGTTTTCACTATGTTGGCCAGGATGATCTCAATCTCCTGATCTCATGATCCGCCCACCTCGGCCTCCCAAAGTGCTAGGATTACAGGAGTGAGTCACCACGCCTGGCCTAGAGTGGTCTTTATGAGGTCTAAGCACTATACAAAGAGGGACCAAAATCATAGACAAGCTGCCTCAAAGTTGCTATATTTAAACATGACCCAGATCATTTTTTTATTTTTTTTATTTTTGAAATGGAGTCTCGCTCTGTTGCCCAGGCTGGAGTGCAGTGGTGCAATCTCGGCTCACTGCAACCTCTGCCTCCTGTGGTCAAGCAATTCTCCTGTCTCAACCTCCTGAGAAGCTGGGACTACAGGTGCCCGCCACCAAGCCCAGCTAATTTTTGGATTTTTAGTAGAGACGGGGTTTCACCATATTGGTCAGGCTGGTCTCGAACTCCTGACCTCAGGTGATCCACCCTCCTCGGCCTTCCAAAATGCTGGGATTATAGGCTTGAGCCACCATGCCTAGCCCATAATAATATTTTAGTGGCCAAAAGCAGGGCCAATTTTCTCATTGACATTTTTCTTAAAAAGATAATTTAAGCTGTAAGAATGCATATTTTATTTTCTTAGAATTTTATGTTTTATTATTTGTATGAAGAGTATGGTTCATAAACCTTTCTCTTTTTTCCCTGAATGGGTCCCTCTATAAAAAGATGTTTGTTTTTTGCTTTTTGTTTTTGTTTTTGTTTTTTTTAATCACAGCTCTAACTGGTTCCCTGGTTTCAGTCTGACACTCTGAGCTCTGTGCTTCACACCACTGCCAGCCTGCTCTGGCTCAAAGACAAATCTGAGGTTGACTCCTCTTTTTCCCTAACGACCCATATCCAATCACTCAAGTCTTATGGATTCTGCCTACTTAATATCTCTCAAATCCATCCATCGCTCTATCCCACCTGACATACCTCCATTTTAATCACTATCATTTCTCACCAGAAACTAATGAACCAGCCACCGACATGGTCACTCTTAGGAGTCCCCCTGTGTTACTCTTTTACCTCCAATCCTTTCTCCACACCGCAGCTAAAAAGGATATTCCCAAAGTGCAGAATTTATCATGTAACTTTCAGCTGGAAACCGTGACTTTCAGGACAATCCAGATAAAATCCCCCACTGTCATGCCTGCTTCTTCATGTCCATCCTTCAGGTTCAGGGTCTGGCTCAGCTCCCTTGCCTCCCCTTGCACCACTTCCTCTATTGCACTTTCCACTCCAGCCATTCCTCACTCTGTAAGAAGCTCCAATGCCATGTTCTCACATTGCTTGCCCTATTGCACATGCTGTTCCCTTTACCAGGAAGACTCTTTCCCTTTAGCATTTTGCACAACCACTCCTTTCATATGCTCACTTCCCCTTTGCAGTCTCATTATTGCCATTGCCTCGTCTGGGAATCCTTCTCAGGACCCCTACGACTGGGCTAGATGCCTTTGCTGTGTGTCTTCACAGCACTTCCCACACTCTTGCACTTATCTATCTGCACTTGCTTTTGCCCATTTGTTGCTGTAGCTCCTCAGCTGGACTCTCGGCTTCCTAAGGCATGCATGGATCCTTGCCCTATTATAGCCCAATAGTGGATGTTGTGTTCTCACACAGATTTCTCCTAATCTCCCAGCTACTAGGAATATCAATTGCTGATGGTTCAAACCATATCCCTCACTCAGCATTGCCTGGGCTTCAAAAACCTGCCTTGTCCAGGACTACAGTCCTTCTCAAGGAGGATGTGCCACCAATGACTGGATGGCATGGGCATACAAAGGCCTGGCATGCTTCCCTCTTTGGGACAACTCTAAAGAGTTATTTCAGCTCTAGATCTCCTATTAGGACTGGACAAGGTCTCAGTTGTAACTGCATTAATCATCAGTTCTCTCCCTGTCCAGTTCTCTCATCCTCACTTTCTTTCGGGTGCACCGCTGAAGAATATTCCCTAATAAACCTCCACATACAATTTACTATTCTCAGTCTCAGAGTCGAATGTCAGGGAACCCAGTCTAAGGCATTCCCCACTGCTCAATATAGTCTTTGGCATATAGTAGGTGCTCAGAATATATGTGACATAGAACAAATGAGCGGATAAATGCCTTTCAAGGTCAGCTCTCAGCGGGGGAAACTTGTAGTATTCATGTTTTCATTTCTAGTGCCCAGCATACTGCCTACTGCTTACTTGTCTGAATAGTCCTTCAAATGTTCTTTACATGACTAAGGAAGCAATCTTTATGAGGCATATGACTCTTTTACCATCAGGCCCAAAGTGATACATGCCAAAAGCATTGAAGGAATGTAATATTACTCTGCATAATAATGAAATCTACTGCCTTCAAAGGAAGAAAAAGTTATGTTGTAAATTACCAAGTAGTTAGAAAATACTTTGCTTTTTATTAGGGTTTAGAGAGACTGTGCCCTCCCTGAGAATTAAAATCATTTTAGAGCAAGTCATGTGCTGTTTTAACCAATCTAATAGTTGGGGTTGGTTTTTTTTTTTTTTGGTGGGGGATACATCTTCAAGAAAATCTCCAAAGAAATCTAGCTTGGGGTTGTGACCAGCCTAGCCAACGTGGTGAAACCCTGTCTCTACTAAAAATACAAAAAATTAGCTGGGTGCAGTAGCGCACACCTGTAATCCCAGCTACTTGGGAGGCTGAGGCATGAGAATCATTTGAGCCCAGGAGGCAGAGGTTGAAGTGAGCCATAATTGTGTCACTGCACACCAGCCTGGGTGACAGAATGAGACTCTGTCTCAAAAATAAAACAAAGAAAGAAGGAAAGAAAGAAAAAAGAAAGAAAGAGAAATAAAGAAAGAAAGAAAGAAGAAAAAAGAAAAAAGAAAAGAAAAGAAAAGAAAAGAAAAGAAAAGAAAAGAAAAGTCTACCTTGGGTGATACATGCATACCTGGATGCTGCTGCAGAACCTGCAGAACCAAGAACCTTCATCCTGTACCATTCTGCAGCTCTCAGGTTATCAAAAGAAATCACTGATTATTTAAATAAAAACCACAGGATGCTACTCTAGTGATCTGAATTTAGGAAACTGTCTTAATGTGGGAAATCACAGTGGGCTCCGGAATGACTCAGTGGGTAGGCATTGGAGTTTTCCAGGATATGAACAGAGTTTTACTGGGAGTGTCTAGAAGATAAGGCTCTCTGGGATAGAGGGGCAAAACCAGTAAATGGCAGTACAGTCAGGTCCAAAACTGTGGATGTGTTCAAAGAGCACCCATGTAGTGAAGGGTTGACTTCTCAGTCAATGCACATACACACAGGCAAACACATTTTTGGACCTGGGGAAGTTATATTTTTACTACATGGTTTTTAACATTTTTTATCCTGTGAAGCAACACCCTTTTAAAATTAACCAGTCCTTCAGGTTTACAGCAACATAGATGCAACTGGAAGCCATTATCTTAAGTGAAACAACTCAGACACAGAAAGACAGATACTGCATGTTCTCACTCTTAAGTAGAAGCTAAATAATATGTACACACAGAAGCAGAGTGTGGAATGATGGACAATGGGGACTTGGAAGGGAAGGGGATGGGACGGGGGTAGATGATTGACGGTTGCTTGGTGGGTGCAATGTTCATGGCTCCAGTGATGGGTGCACTGACGTCCCTGAGTTCACCACAATGCAATATATCAATTTAGCAAAATTGCACTTTTATCCTATGATTTTATACAAATAAAAACAAATAAATAGGAAGAAAAAATGAATAAATAAAATCACCCAGTCCTTCAGTAAAGAAAGCTACGTATATGTATACACACACAAACATAACGTTGATTTTCTGAAGTGGTGGTTCTGGGAGGCTGAGGGTTAGAGAGTCAAAGAGCGAGAGAGAGCAACAGCCTATTGAGCAATGACTTTCTGGACTTTCACTTGTTAAGGTACAATACAGTGAGTAGGGGCCTCATCACCAAGTGAGAAGTGCCAGGGAAGAGACATCAGTGATAAGAAACAGCTTCTAAAATCGCAACCCAAGGGAATTTTCTGACCTGAAACCTGTGCTTGCCCACAACAAGCCCAAGAGAGAAAACCTCTTGGTTATATTATCTCTCCTTCAGGAAGACTCACATTGCACATTAGCATATCAAAGTCACCATGAAATTCTATTAGTAAAGGAAAAAACTTAACTTTTTTTAGACTGTATTCTCTAAAACCTGTCTATTGATATGTACTCATATCTGTGGGGCCCCCATATGAGAAATGCGACACAGACAATTGAAGGGTTTTGTTTGAACAATGGAGCAGCATAACGAAAGGATATTCTTGAGGATTTATGTGGCCACTGGACACAAGATAATTTGGAAGTGAGAGTACTGGCCTGGTTAAGGGAATGCTACAATGTGTCGATTTCGGTTCTTATCAGATGTAGAATGAGGGAAGGGACAAGAAAGGGAGACCCAAGAGAGCAATTGTTGAGGAAAGAATTGACTGGATTTGGTCACTAACTTCTGTACTGATGGGGAACAGGGAGGACTCGTGCTCATAAGATGGTAAAGCAGGAAATGACTTCTAGAGATGATCTAATTTGGCAGTTTTCAAACTTTTATGTAGCCACAGGAAAAACAACAAAGTTTCATGGAGAAGCCTGAAGTATAGAACAGAAGAAAGGAGAAGGGTTGTGGGTGTGTTTTATCAAATGATGGAAAAAAGAAAGAATGAAGGAGAAATTCCTGTCCTTCACATTGTTAGATTTTGGTTGGGAATGATTAAGGCAGTCTAAATCTGAAAGAAGCGCTTCAAGATATAGGCTTAACCATTCAGGCATTATTTCTCCCACCCACAAAGTATTCCTGGACAAGTAAGTTTCAGAGGCAGGAGTATTTCAGATGAATAATTTTGGAGGCCTTGATTGGTGTAAACACCCAGAGTAAGGTGGTTAAAAGCTGCATCCTATGGTTGATTGCTTGAGAGCAATTCCTGGCTCCATCAAGCCCTCCATGTTAATATCTAAAAAATTATTTAACTTATCTGTGCATATTTCAGCTTCCTCCTCTGTAAAATTGGGATACCAATTGACTGGGACCCATTTCCCAGGGCTATTGTGAAGGTGAAATGAGCTATTTCATCTAACTTGCTTAGCCCAATGCCTAACACAAGAACAAGCAATACATTTAGCTATTATTTAAGAAGGGCTGTTGGCCAGGCGCAGTGGCTCATGCCTGTAATTCCAGCACTTTGGGAGGCAGGTGGGTGGATCATCTGAGGTCAGGAGTTCAAGACCAGCCTGGCCAACATGGTAAAACCCCGTCTCTACTAAAAATAAAAAAAATAGCCAGGCATGGTGGCAGGCGCCTGTAATCCCAGCTACTTGGGAGGCTGAGGCAGGAGAATTGCTTGAACCTGAGAGGCAGAGGTTGCAGTGAGCCAAGATCGTGCCATTGCACTCCAGCCTGGGGGACAAGAGCAAGAAGGTCTGTTATATACCAAGCACTGCTAGTACTAGAGAGGTACAGTAGAACAGGATACTATTTAAGCTTCCAAGTAATAATCAATTTCATTTACTCCACACTTATTTTATGACAATAATTTTACATATGTGGCCTCTTGTGCTGATTCAAAATACTTCCACAAATTCTTATACACCCTCTTCAAAAAGTGAAGCCTCAGCAACCAAAACAAAATGGACAAATGAGATTACATCAAGTTAAAAAGCTTCTACACAGCAAAGGAAACAATCAAGAATGTGAAGAGACAACCCACAGAATGGGAGAAAATATTTGCATACTATCCATATGACAAGAGATTGATAGCCAGAATATATAAGGAGCTCAAACAAATGTGTAGTTATCTTCCTATGATTATTATGCATTGTATGTCTGTATTAAAATATCACATGTATTCCATGAACATAAACACCTACTACGTACCCACAAAAATTTTCTTTTAAAAAGTGGAACTTAATTCCCATTCCTTTGAGGGCTAGAGTTGGTGGCTTTCTTGTAGCAAGTAGAATAGCTGGAGGTGACAACGTATGATTTCCAAGACCAGGTCATAAAATGTACTGTGGCTTCCTTCTTGCCCCCTTTGGGTCACCCTCTCTGGGGAAAGCCAACTGTCCCTCTATGAGGACAATTCAGCCAATCCATGAAGAAGTCCATGTTGTGGGGGCACCAAGCCTTCCTGCCAACAAGCAGCACTAAATTTCCAAGTGGGTGAGACAGCCACCTTGGAGCAGATCCTCCAGCCCCAGTCAAGCCTTCAGATGAGTTCAGCCCTGGGTGACATCTTTACTGTGACCTTATGAAAGACACTGAGCTGGAACCACACAGCTAAGCTGCTCTCATATCCCTTGAGCCACAGAAATTGTGTGAGATGATAAATGTTTATTTTAAGCCGCTGTTTCATTCAGAGTTCTCCAGAGAGACAGAAGTGATAGGATATATATATATGTATATATATATATACACACATACCTGGTTATATATATATATTGCCTGGTTCAAAAAAATATATATATATCCTATAGATATATATATAAATATATAGGATATATATGTATATCTTTTAGTTATTTTAAAATGTACAGTACATTATTGTTGACTATAGTCACCTCTGTGTGTGTGTATATATATATATGTGTGTGTGTGTATGTGTGTGTGTATATATATATACACACACAGAGGTGACTATAGTCAACAATAATGTATTGTACATTTAAAATAACTAAAAGATATACATATATATATATATATATATATATATATATATATATATATATGCAGAGAGAGAGGAAAAGAAATTTATTAGAAGAATTGGTTTACTCGATTACGGAGGCTGAGAAGTCACGATAGGACATCTGTGAGCCCAAGAACCAGGAAATCTGGTAGTGCAGCTTAGTCCCAGTCTGAAGTCCTCAGAGCCAGGGAAGCTGATGGTGTAATTCTCAGTCCAAAGCCAAAGGCTGGAGAGCCCATGGGTCCACTGGTATAAGTCCTGGAGCCCAACAGCTGGAGAACATGGAGTTCTAATGTTCAAGGGCAGGAGGAGAAGAGAGGGCAGCTCTAAGGGAAGCTCTAGAAGACAGTGAATTAGCCCTTCCTATACCTTTTTGTTCTATCCAGACACTGCACTGATTGATTGGTGTCCACCTACATTAAGACCAGATCTTTCCCACTCAGCCCACAGGCTCACATGCCAATCCCTTTTGGAAACACCCTTACAGACACACCTGGGGCAACCCAATTATTGGAATCAAATCCCAAACCACCTGGGTTTCCCTTTCAGCAGATGATGGACAGGCTCAGTGCCTACTGAAGCCCTGGTAATAAATAATGCTTTAGCAGCTATCTGTGTATCTCTTCATCCAGTCAAGTTGACATCACAAATGAACTATCACAGTCACTAAATTTGGGGATAATTTGTTGGATAGATAAATAACTTGCCCTCAAAAAGACCTGGTGAGGGATATTGTCCATTTTATAGATGAGAAAACCAAGGCCAGAGATGTTAATCCTTTTGCTTTAGTTCACCCTGCTGGTTTGTAAAGAGGCAGATTTTGAACTCTGATCTATGTTTCCAGGGTCCAGGGTATTTCTACTGTATCACTGTGTGGAATCAATTAATATATCCAGCACATGTAAGGCAGCATCTATAAGAAACCACAGCTTCGGGGAGGCTTTTTGTGTGTCTGTTATTGTCTTTTATTTTATTTATTTATTTATTTATTTATTTATTTATTTATTTATTTATTTTTTGAGACAGAGTCTTACTCTGTCACCCAGGCTGGAGGGGAGTAGTGTGATCTCGGCTCACTGCAACCTCTGCCTCCTGGTTCAAGCAATTACCCTGCCTCAGCTTCCCAAGTAGCTGGGACTACAGGCATGTGCCACCATGCCTGGCTATTTTTTTGTATTTTAGTAGAGATGGGGTTTCACCATGTTGGTCAAGATGGTCTCGATCTCCTGACCTCATGATCTGCCCACCTTGGCCTCCCAAAGTGCTGGGATTACAGGTGTGAGCCACCATGCCTGGCCTATTGTTGTTGTTTTTTTGAGACAAGCCCAGAGGAAGAGAATAAGGAACCTCTAAGCATCCATAGAAGGGTTCTACAAGGAAGGCAGAGATGACCTTAACAAATACACCACCACATCACCGAAGATACCTAACAGATACTACTCTATTAGCATTTAAAAGTGTGGGGCAAAAATTAGCCAATAATTTTCCCCAGCCCCACAAGGTTCATATTTCCAGCTTTTAGGATCCCTGAATAAAACTAGACCTTGCAGAGATACCTTTTGAATGCCACATTTTTCACTAAAAGTTATCACAGGCTAGAAAAGGCCAGTCAAAGGTGAAACCCAGGGCTGCACCATGCTAATACTTGCCTTATCTCACAAGGCACATCTTAGGTGTGCTGTGTCCTTTCTCTCCCAGCTGCGATCTAAATTATCTCCTAGGTCCCATTTTTCTTCTACTTCTTTGAGTTTTCAGACATTAGGATTGAGCCCTAGATCATGACTTCAGGTTTATGAGGACAGTCATCTGTCATCAGCACCTGCAGAGCCTTTTGTCTTTCTCTGACTGCATGAATTCCTCAGACTCTTACTTTCTGACAACTGATGGACTTTTCTCATCTCTAACCACAAAAGCCCAACTCCATTCTTTCTTTGTGCAACACCACAACATGTGGGGTTTTTATTCTCCCACAGGGAGAACAAGAAAGCATATGGCCTCCTAAAAAGAAAAGGTTCTTTATGTTTTTGGTCCAGCCTCTTTCCTTTATAAATTTCCCAGTCTCAGGTATGTCTTTATTAGCAGCATGAGAATGAACTAATACACCTTGACTTTTGGATTGGCCCTATGACTTGATTCAACACATGATGTAAGAGAAGTGAAAGTGCTGCAGTTCTGAGACAGGGCTTAAAAGCCTTGCATATTTCCTTTTTCTCTCTTGCTCCTCTGCCGTTAGCTGCTGCCCCTTTAGCCTGAGGCAGAGTTCCCCAGCTTACTCAAAAACCTGCAGCGAGGAGCAGAGCTGCCCCAGCCTCCTTGACTGAAAGCTCAGCCACCAAGCCAAACTGAGCCCAGTGGAACAGAAATCTCTCCCCACCACATCCTCTAAAAACAAAAACAAAAATCAAACCACCAATGAAGAACCTTGGCCTGAACCTGGGTTCTAGACATTGTTCTGCTATGATGTGATCCTGGCAAACTTTTTTGGTTTTCTGCCTCAACTGTGAAATGATAGGACTTAGAGTAACTTGCCTCTAAGTCCTTTCTGAACAGATTCTAGGTTAGAAAAAAAAAGCCTACTTCTAAGAGTATAAAACATTAACACAAACACAAACAAAATACTAACCTGCAGTTTAATTGGGAAAAATAAACACATTTATGATTAGGTAGTTTACTCATGTGCTCCTTCAGTCAGACAGTACTTACAGATACATAATACATGTATTAAGTATGTATTGTTGGGCCAGATACAGTGCTAGTGGTTGGAAGATCAAAGGGGAGCAAAATCAGAGTCCATTCTTAATCCGATGGAATTAGTGGGGATACTGACACTATTTAAATGAAAATAATAAATATATTCCTACAAACTGATATGAGTGTTGTGGAGAAAACTAACCCAGAATGGGAGCCTAAGAAAAACTTTGCTAGGGCTTGTAGGCTTTAACCAAAGAGTAAAGGGATGCAATCAAATGACTTCAAATTGGAGTGAGATGATTAGATTTGGGTCATACCATTCTGTTTGCTGGTGGAGAGAAGCCACACTGGGGAAGAATTGTATGCAGATAGACTAATTAGTAAACTACTGAAATTAGTAGTGGTCTTAGTGAGAGAAAACCGTAGCTTAGACTTGAAGAGTACTGAAGATGAATATCTTCTAGCTAAAATCTTCCATTAAGATCACTGTACTTTAAGCTCATTCAAGAAAAGTTTCACTCTTAGAGAGTTCTTTTGCCCAAATAAGGTGGGATTTTGTTGAAATTCCCGATATCAAATGAGATTCTTCCTGTCAGAGTGCATTTCAATATATTTTTGGAAGCCAATAGGGTAAGTGGCACTTTTACACCTGATGAGAAAGTACATTGAGATGGAATGAAAAAAGTACTGAATGCAGAAGTCTCAAGTGTTGAATTCAGGCTCTGTCTGGGTGTATAAATTTGGGCTAATCATCCATCCTTGCCCAGCCTCTGTTTCATACCTATAAAATGAAGTAAATACTATCCACTGACAGCCATTGTAAAGATAAAATGCAATAATGTATGTGAAGGCTCACTGTACCCTATATAATGATTAAAAATATAAAGTTTATTAGGTAATTATTAACAGAGGAACAGAAGGGAAGGGAAAGGACTGGTCAAATAACTACAGTAAGCGGTCAGCTTTAGCATCTCTGCCTAGTAAAGATTTCTGGTCATTTTGGAAGTAGTAGTAAAAGGGAGCCCATCACACCTTAAGT
Source organism: Homo sapiens (assembly GCF_000001405.40). Lineage (NCBI taxonomy): Eukaryota > Metazoa > Chordata > Mammalia > Primates > Hominidae > Homo > Homo sapiens. Next base: position 118,627,060 of record NC_000008.11, on the reverse strand, counting down.
TTTTAAACATCTGGCATAGAATAGTTCAGTTGTGAAAATAAGTTGCATCTCTTCTAGTGTTCTCTTGTGCTGATGTGTACCAATGACAAGTAATTCCAGATGACCATTCCTATGCTTTTACACACAGTTTACAATTTCCCCTGGTTGGGGAAGTAGGGGCAACTCTGCTCAGAAGAGGTGCTGCAAATTTATTAGGTTGGTGCAAAAGTAATGGCAGTTTTTACCATTAAAAAAAAAAATGGCAAAAACTGCAATTATTTTTACACCAACCTAATACTTCAGGGTTGGAAATCCAGAACACAGAAAGTTTGTATGCAGTCAGCCACTAGAGCCTACAATAATCCCACACTCTTTTCTATCAACAAAACCTATCCAAAAAGGGACAAGTGTCCAGGACACTGCTCTTCCATGGCACAGCCCTGTTTTCTTGCCTGTCAGAGGAGGCTCTGCATTGATCAAGTTAAGTTCATTCAGTGGCTTAACTACAAGTCGGACTGGGCAGACTTACTCCACACTTGGCAAATATCCTGAGGCCCTTGCTACTGCTTAACTGAATTATATCCATGTTCTTTGGGAATGGCCTCTCAGGCTTCCATGGATGATCAAAAGAGCAAACACTTATTGGGCATCCATTATGTGCCAGGACAGCGCACAACACTATAGATACTCTCTCAGTCACTGCTGAGCCCCAAACTGTGAGCTAGGTAATGTATACATTACACAATTAATAGCATTACAATACATGTGGGAAAACCAAGGCACAGAAATGTCAAAGAACTTTGCTAATAACCAACATCGAGTAAATGAGAGTCAGGATTACAATCTAGTTCTGTATGTCTACGAAACTTGAGTACTGAAGCCAAATATTCAGATAACCAGTTAATATAAAGGTAGACAGATTCTGCTCAAATTTTGAAGACATAATTTAAGTCTGATTTTGAAAGTATAGTTTAGACGAACGATGGTATAGAATATCACCAACTTATCAACAAACAGATAACACACAATGCGATTTAATTATGCACAATGTGATTTAAGCAAAAACAACTAGGCTTTTGCTTAAATCATGTTCCCTGAAATATGCTTACTTCCTCCAATGGAAGCCTGATATAACTTGAATGGTTGGCACTTTATTCATGACTCAAGGATTAGAGTTAGTATTTTTTATCTTAATTACAAAAAAATTATTTTTTTCCTCTCAGTTCCTCCTGTCAAAAATTTTACTTTTTAGGGTTTGAATCCTTTTGGTTAGGTTTAGAAGATCTCCCTGAACAGAATAGAAACATAATCTATTTACTTTTTGAGATTTATGAATGTTTTCTGTAGAGGCTTGTGAATATAGCAACCGAGTTAGAACAATAAATACAGTAAAGTACTTATATGTACTATTTTAAATCTTAGAATCCAGTGAAATCTGTAGCCTCATCTCAATATTTCTTTTTTTATTTAATTCACTATAAGGTAATGGGCTTTTCCTTCCCTTTCTGTGCTCTCTGATATATTCAGAAATTTTTGAATCATTCTAAATATCACAATTTCTGATATTAAAATATTTTAAACCCTTCATTTTATTAGTAATGACAATTCCTATTTGGCCAAGTGCTTATGAATTCAGATTTGTGATCACGTAATCAGTATTGAAATCTAGATGGAGTAACATCACAGAGTTCTACACTTAGGTAGACCTCAATCCCCTTGCTACAATTCATGTTTTGGAGACATGGGGCAAATTACTTAAATTCACTGAGCTTCAATTTCCTCATCTGGAAAATAGTGATATCTGACAATATTGTAGTGATTAAAGGAGATGATGTATGTCAAGATGCTTAGACAGAGCTTGGCACTTGTAATTTCCCAACAAATGCTACTTATAACAAGGATAAAAAAATAGTAGTAATAAATTATCTATTGAGTACTTACTATGTAACCACAATTATGACCAAGAATCTGGAAGATATGAAGCATAAGACTCAGTTCCAGCACTCGAAGTGCTTATATACTATAAGGAACAAACAATAGCATCATAATGAACACAGAATTTGGCTTATGAGAGGTATGGGATGAGGTCTGGACTTTGCCCCTTGCTAAAATTGGGTATATCTGTTAGGAACTGTACTTGGCTGCTGATAAAAAAGACCAAAAATAAGTCATGATTGCAGTCTGTGAAAGATACTAAAGCAGAAGCTAAGCTGTGCCCAAATTACTGAGCCACAGAAACTGAAGTAATACATGGGTATTGTTGTAAACCACTAAATATTGGGATAATTTGTTAACAGCAATCGATTAATACATGTGGCTCATCATGTTGTTGTATACAATTGTAATTCCTTCATTTGCATTACTTTATAGGAGGGTTTGGAAAGCTTTTTTTCTGCAAAGGATCAGGTAGGAAATATTTGAGGCTTTGTAGGACAAGAGGCAAAATTGAGGATATTATGTAAGTATGTCTTTATAATTTCCAGGCTTTGCAAATTATACTTTTTTTGTTTTTTTTCCAACCATTTAAAAATGTAAAAATCACACCTAGCTGGTGAGTTATAAGAAATAAATGGTGAGCCATATTTGGCTCATTGGTCTTAGTTTGTTGACCCCTGCTATATGGAATTATTTGGTTATACCACAGTTCATCTCTCCAATCTGTGTTGATAAATATTTGAGTTGTTTTCCATTTGGGAACATTAAAATAATGCAGCCACAAACATTCTTGCACATGTCTTTTGGAGAACATCTGTATGCATATTTGTTTGGTGTAAACCTAGGAGTAGAACTTCTGGGTCACAGGATAAGCATATATTCAGCTGAATATTTCAGATGGTTTTCCAAAGTGGTTTTGTGAATTTGCACACCACCAGCAATATATAAATCTTTATTGCTTCACAATCTTGCCAACGGTTGGTATTTTGTGTCTTTATCTTTCAAACATTCTAGAGATAAATGTAATTTTTTTTTAGTACTTCCCAGGTGATTCTAATGTTCAGCCAGAATTGAAAACCTCTGCGCAACTATTGTTTATCCCTTATTAGGCAGAACCACATGAAATTGTTCTATTTGTAGGTTTTAAAAATGGTCAAACATTGGCTATTTCATATGGTAGAAACTAACATCTCCTTCACATTTTATTTATACTAAAAATAAAACTCGTCTAGAATGCACATCACTGGGAAAAATATTAAAGATGAGCTAAGATGAAGTTTTAAAATTAACCACAGATTTCAATGACTTTTATATTTTTATATCACCCAGATATTTAAAAGCTTGGAACCAGACCAATGGTTTTCACCCTCAATGAAGACTGGAATCACCTGTGGGTTTTTAAAACCTGAGTGCCTCTACCCAAACCCCCATAAGCTCTGATTCTGTGAGACTAAGATAAAAGCTTAGGAATATATATTTGTAGAAGGCTGATGCACAGCCAAGGTTGAGAACCATTGATACTACCTGTCCTATGGCTTTCTTTCACATTCATTCAATCTCAGAAAATACTTAACACTTTGGTGATTTTATATACATAAAGTAGTGAAGCACCTGGATTTCAGTTCTTTCCAGAGTTTAGAATGCTTGGCTGTGTATTAGGTCGGAAAATTCTTTTTCCCATGGAAATTATGTCTCACTGAATGGGTCTCTCTCTACTGTACCTAAAAGAGAGGCTTAGGTTTGACTTGTACACAGCTCCATGGACTCAGAATTAAAGTATCAACAAGAGCATTTAATGGTTACACGCAGGTATTTTTTAAAGTACCTATACACATATTATTATTATATATTACCCAGTAGGGGAACTAAGCATGTAATTAGTGACCAGAACAACAGGTGTGCATGTATACACTGAGAAACGAAATTGTTTTGAAAAACATTTTTTTTTTTTTGCTGATGACCAAGACACACAAAAATGTCTAAGTAGTCATCATGGGAAGAATCCGATTTTTGTACTTCCTCATTTTACAGAGATTAACATTATATATGAGTGACTGGGTGGATGTGGTACCAAATACATTTGTAAACTGAAGGCCTTTAAAAGTCAATCCAGTCTTGAGCCAGATTTATTCCCGAGGCTATTCCCTTACCCCTTCCAGCCACAACTGTATCCGTATTTTCACACGCAGGAAAAAATGTTTAGAAACTTAATTTTTACGAGCTGTCGAATTGTATTGCTATCCACGTGATTCCCATTATCATGTCTGCTTATAGCATCCCCAGCACCTACAGCTAGGACATAGGTTCAGAAGTTGAAGGAACCTGATTCTCAGGCACTGTTAATTATTAGGCCCTATCACAGGCTGTCAACAGGCTCCAAGTCTAGGCAAATTGAAAGCCTCCTATCCTGGAAGCCAGACAGGCTTTCATCTGACCTCCTCCGGTGCAATCCTGGCTCCCAGACTTTGTTCCTAACAACCCCTTGGGGACGTTGCCTATTGGGGTTTAAGCCACTCCTCCTCCCCTACACCCCCATGCCAAGTATTTAGCCACCTGAACCACCCTGTAGGATAAGACAACTGTATCAACCGTCGGAATTCCCCCACAAAACCCATACATCTCAGGGTGCGAAGGAACAAGTTTCAACCTCACCCTGGGCAGCGTTCTCTGGCCCAGGTGGAGAACCACACAGGAGGACAGTGGTCCTGCTCTCCCTACTAAATGGTGGTTCAGGAGGCCAGGGGGCGGGGCGGTACCGGCGGCAGAGGCCCACGGACGAGCTCGCAGGAGCTCATCACACAGCTGACCGTCACCTGCCCACCTCACCACACCTGCTAGGTGCCAAACCCCTTGTAATGGACAGGGAAGGGCTCAATCACGGGTCCCTACTCTTAGCAGCGAACCTATCTCAGCGCACGGCCTCCTGGGAGATGTAGTCCAGACCGCTTCCCGGGAACCCCCCCCCCCTCCCCCCCCGCCCCGCCACAACCAGGCATCCCTGGTCCCCTCACAACTTCCCCAGGAGAGATTGCTCGGCCTGGCCAGCTGAAGCTGGAGTTGCTCTCCAAGTGTCGGGGCCAGGCGGCACTCCGCGGAGGAGTCGGGGTGCTCTCCCCAGTCCGAGCGAAGGGAGGGAACTACACTTCCCAGGACGCCCTGCGCGCGCCGAGCCGGGAGCCGGCTGCCTCGCTTTGCGTGACCGCGGCAGGTTGGTCCTGGAGCAGATAAGCGCAGAATATTTAGGCGAAAGCGAGAGGAAGGGGGGAGCGCGGGGCAGGAGGAGTACCTCGGCCAAGAAAATTATGCATGCGTTAGGGAAGCTCTGAGAGAATGGCTGTGGAAGGTAAGGGACGCTTGGGGCATTTTTAAGCTCCCTCTTAACCCGCGCACCCCAAGGCACACATCCCCGATGAAGCTTGGCGATCGTGGGGAGGCGAGGAAAGGGGGTGGCGGAGAGCGGGCCCCTTCCTCCTCCACCTCTTGGCACTCACCTGCGCCGCCAAGGCCAGTAGGCGCTTTAATTCAGTTGCTTTGGAGAGACGTGAAGGGTAGGTGCGTAGGACTTTGAGGTAGGAGGTGTGGAGACGAGTGTCCCTGATGCGAAACGATATCCTGGAAATGGGGGGAAAGCCGGAGGATCCGGCATGAGGTTTTGGCCCCGAGATGCCCTTTTTCCCTGCCCCCTCCCTCCGGAGCAGGCTGGGTGGCCCCGGGGCTGGGGATGCTTGGTTGGCCCCCCTCACGTGGGAGAGGTCCCCAGCCCAGGTGCGTCATCCGGAAGCTTGGACTGGGATTGGGTCGAGGGCCCTTCGTCCTATGCACCCAGCAGCGGCGGCCGCAGATGTACCCAGAGGGTAGAGGTGTCCCTACACCTGTCTCTGCTTATACAGCCAGCGCCCCGGGCTTAGCAAAGTTTACAGACATGAAATGTAATCAGCCAGGGAAAAGAAGTGCAACAACCTCTTCGATTTGGGTGAATCCTTTTCTTTGAAGATCACTTTCTTCTTACAGTCTTGAGCTTCGGCTTTGCAGTTTTGACCGTAAAGTCCTGCCTCCCTTGAACTTCCTGGTTGAAAGCAGGGTCAGGCTGTTCGTGAGGGATCCTGAGTTTTTCATTTCAGGTTATCTTACCTTGGAACACAAACTTCCTTGTTTAGGTAGTTTCTGAAGAAGAAAAAAAAACTGTGGACCGGAAGGGTTTGTGATGTCACATTAGAGGTCAAGCTGTGCCTGAATGATGAAATGATTGTGGGACGAAATGGGAGCCTACATTCACCTGCAGAATTTTGGTTTCTGAGTGCAGTCAGGTCAGAGGGCGTACTGAAGTAGGAAGAGGAGGGCTTGCCTGCCAGCTGCTTCAGGCGCCTTGCCAAGGGGAAATCAGCCTATTCCTTGTAGGCTAGAGACGAGAAGGCCACGAGGCTGGCTTGCTGCTCCCTCTCCTCCCTGCCCCAGGAGAAAGAAATTGAACTAATCTGACTCTTGCTCCCCTTATAACGACTGTCTTAACAACCTGAAGTAGCAACAACCCAGCTCCTATACTCAGCACCCATAAACTCGGGAAACTCTTGCCTTTGGGCTATCTCAGGTTCAGAGATCCACAGCCAGCCACTTCCAGCTTTCCTAACTTTATTAACAAAAATGAAATCCTCTCTCTCTCTTACAATCAAGATTTTTCTAGGTTTTCTTTTCTGTGCAAATGTACCAGTAGGGTGAGAATCTTTTTTTTTTTTTTTTTTTTTTTTTTGCATCGTTATGCTTGATAGTCAAGACTTCAGATGCCAAAGAACAAAACAAAAGCCGAGATAAAGTTCATCTTGAGCTTGAGACCAAGGATATGTTGACCTACTCCTTAAGTGTCCGTTCTATGTCACCCATCAGGTGACACTGATTATGATCTCTCGTCTTCACCACTCCTGTGTCCCCAAGACAGGGACACTCCTCTTTGTTGCTAGTCCACACTGTTCTCGAAAACAATTTCTTGTTCCCTGTAAGAAGTATAAATTTGTCTTATTTCTTGCGTGATGGGTGATTACACCAGTGAAGCCAGACTTTACAAAAACAAGAACTTAGGAAGGAAGTACATGTGGACTATGGAGAGTTTATTTTCTAGTGACTTGGTTAAAGTACCTGTCTAGTAAACAGGAGATCCTGAGTTTGAATCACAATGAGGTCTCAAAGAATGAAGGAAGTATTTTAAACTTTAACTTCAAATATGATTCCTATCTTTGGTCTTTGCAAAGATATCAGCCTGGACCAGTCCCTTCCTGGTTACTCCTACTTGGTCTTTCAAGCCTTTGGGAAAATGTCACTTCCTCTGGGAAACTGTCCCAGCCCTCCTTTTTCTTCTGCCTTCTCAGCACTCTTTCCAGTCTATGGGAAGTGCCTCCTGCTCACATTTATCTTAATACTTATCATACTTAATCTGCCTCTTACTAGACTCTAACCCCCTTGGGGGTTAGACTTGGACTTTATATTCCTAGCTCATAGCACAGTACTTTGCCCATAATAGGTACTCAATGCTCATGAATTGCATGGCAAATATATTCATGGAGGTTTTGTAACTGGTTCTATAAGGGTACATGGGGCTTTCTTGGAAGCCTAAATGTGATACAATAAGGGATTTCTGACAGATTTGAGGATGGGAGATTTTTTTTTTTTTTTTTTTGAGACAGAGTCTTGCTCTGTCGCCCAGGCTAGAGTACAGTGGCGCGGTCTCAGCTCACTGCAAGCTCCGCCTCCCAGGTTCACGCCATTCTCCTGCCTCAGCCTCCCAAGTAGCTGGGACTATAGGCACCCGCCACCATGCCTGGCTAATTTTTTTGGTATTTTTAGTAGAGACGGAGTTTCACCATGTTAGCCAGGATGGTCTCGATCTCCTGACCTCGTGATCTGCCCACCTCGAAGTGCCCTTCTCTTCAGTCTTTTGTCTTGATGCCCAAAAAATCTTTTAGAACAGTTTACCTCTACTGCTGGGTGACATTGTCCCTGGACACATTTGGGATATGTAGGAACTGCTGCTGGGGGCTGCTGTTGGTATTTTGTGCCCATGGCCACAGATAATAAATGTCCTGCAGCGCATGGCCATCCCGTATAACGAGGCCAAGCCATGGCCAAGTAATGATCAGTTTACCCAACTTATTGAGAAATGCTGCTTCAGAGAATAAGGAGTTTTGCCAGAGGAACTGGAATAGAAAATACAGTTCGAATTGCTTAACATTCTAAGCTTTAGTCTCCACATCTGGAAAAAATGGGCTCACTACTGCTTTCCTCCTGGGAACATTGTGAGGATTTTTTTTTTTTTTTTTGAGACGGAGTCTTGCTCTGTCGCCCAGGCTGGAATGCAGTGGCGCGATCTCGGCTCACTGCAAGCTCCGCCTCCCGGGTTCACGCCATTTTCCTGCCTCAGCCTCCCGAGTAGCTGGGCTACAGGTGCCTGCTACCACGCCCGGCTGATTTTTTTGTACTTTTAGTAGAGACAGAGTTTCACCATGTTAGCCAGGATGGTCTCCATCTCCTAACCTCGTGATCCGCCCGCCTCGGCCTCCCAAAGTGCTGGGATTACAGGAGTGAGCCACCGTGCCCTGCTCATTGTGAGGATTAAATAAAGGAGAGGGCTTCTAGAAGGGTGTCTGGAACCTGCATCCTAAGTAAATATCACTTGTACTCTCATCCCTTCTCTTAGGAAAAGCTATACTATTTGGCATGTGTTTTATATCCTGAATTTTCACTTATTCATGCCAGCCAGTTTTTCTAATTAGTAACAAATTAGAAGGTTTTTTACTATGTGTAACTTTTTCTTAAGTAAACTTGAATTTGTAAAAGTGTTACTAGCAAGTAGTTCACTCATTCACTTTGCTGAACCTGCAGCCGTGTGTTTAAGATGAAAAAGAGGTGCCCTTTGTTTATTGTTTTGTAACTACCCTGTGTTATGTTTTCTTCTTAGTTTATTTGCAACATCCTATTTATGTCTCCTAGTCTGCTTGTGACCCATGCTTTGCATTTATGGGCAGCTTACAGGTATGCTTTCCCGCCACAGAACAGGGTACGACCTTATGGTCTGCATTTGGATTAGGATTATACTGGCATACATTGCCTTTTTTTAAAAAAAAAAAAAACAAAAACAATGTCTTGTGAAATAATTTAGCAGGACTGGGGACTAGGACCTCTTGGAAGGAGGTAGCAGGGACCCCAAACTAATCCATTCTCTATGGACAGACTGTGTATAGACGGTTAAACCTATTGATGTTTTCTAACAGAAATGGGTTGCAATATTATTCAGGGAGAAGAAAAATGTGGATTCATTGGGGACAGTGTCGTATTCATCTTTGTATTCATCTCTGTATTCCAGGGATGGCGCCTGGCACTTAGGAGGCCCACAGTCATTGTTTCATGAATGACATATAAATGCACGAGTCTCCAGAGCTAGAGAAGGATTTTTTTTTTACCCCTCATCCCCAATTCCTTTTCTTGCTTTGTCCTCAGATATTTATGAAAAAAATAGGGAGGATGGACATTGTACATGGTAATTTCTATTCCAGGTCTAACAGAATAGCACCTCTCATGTGGCAGAAAAATGATTTCCAATATTCAGCACTCACCTCTCTCCCCAAGAAAAACATGTCAAATGCAAGACTGTGTGCTCTTAATGACATCTATATTAAGGGATCTGAATTTTCCATCATAAATGAACATGGTAGCTTACCAAATATCTTCTGATAAGTCATTCAGTGCTCAGGTTCTATGTTTTTTCTCCTGTAGAAGAGTGAAGAAACTACACATCACCAAAATATTGTAAGGCTAAGTAATAATAACGGTGACTGGGAAAATGGGAAATGAGATAGCGTCAAACGTTTGTGACAAATAGAAGCAGTCACGGTAAACACTGGGCTTTGCAGCCCCATAAATGATGACTTTGTACCCAACTTGAACTCAGAACTGCATCACAGAGAGTAAAAGGAGTCACATGGGAGATAAAAACATCATTTTTATCACAAGCTTATAGTGGGTTATTTTTTTCTGACTTTGGGTTGGAGGGTAAGTGGGCTTGCTAATATTGTATGCAGCAGTGAACTTACCCGTCATAGGGATGCCTCCCTCTATGCTAGTGGTCCTTAACCTTTTTGGCACCAGGGATCAGATTCATGGAAGACAGTTTTTCCATGGGGGATGGTTTTGGGATGAAACTGTTCCACCTCAGATCATCAGGCATTAGATTCTCATAAGGCATGTGCAACCTAGATCTCTCACATGTGCAGTTCACAGTAGGGTTTGCACTCCTCTGAGAATCTAATGCCTCTGTTGATCTGACAGGAGGTAGAGCTTGGGTGGTAATGCTTGCTTGCTCACTGCTCACATCCTGCTGTGCGGTGTGGTTCCTAATAGGCCACGGACTGATACCAGTTCACAACCCAGGGGTTGGGGACCCCTGCTCTATACCACTGGCAGCTGGAGAGCAGAGAGAACATGGGCTCCTGCAGCAGGCAGGTGGGACCCAAAGGAAGAGGTGGGGAACCTATGCTTTGTGCCTTTTCACAGACTTGCTCATCAGAGAGTTGATTTCTCCTCTCCTGAGGAGGACCCAGAGGGTAAAGAGGGAGACCAGAAGTGTAATTCTGATGGATTTCCCTTCATAGAACACAAGAAGCTCTGTCCTGCCTCTGTGTGATTCTCTTGGTGCTAGCTCACCTATGCTTTCCTAACTACCTTTTCTTGTTGGGAACATCATTATGAATGTACCTCTTCTACTGGTGGTACTTTCTACGGCAAGGACTATGTCTCATGTCTCATCCTTGAAGCTTGAATGAATGAATGGAGACAAATGAAGGAATGGGTGGGTTTATGACTGCTTTTGATTCCCACAGTAACTCCCATACACATTTAATGAGAACTTCCAACTGTGTTCCTCTACAGAGCAGATGTCATGAAAGCAGTGAGACGATGGACAAGTTTCCCTCATAGGTACTTATCCCTGCAGCAGCTTCATTGTGTGATTGTTAAACTAATTACTCCCTGATTCTCTCCCATTCACTTATTCCTGAGGATCTTTTTTTCTTATTTTTATTATGTTCTCTATACCACCAGATCTGACTTTCCTGCACCAGAGTTTCTATTGATCACTTTGTTTTAGGAAGGAGAATGACGGCTAGAAGTTCGTCATTGAAAATTCCTTCCAGTGACTGTGTGAACAAGAATGGGGCCTCCAACCTAGTTTGAAACTTGCTGTGGCAGCAGTTCCTGCCACCCCCATCTCTTTTGTAGCCCTCTTAGCTAGTTCGGACAGGGTTTCAGTCTAATTGTACTGTTGTATTTCCTAGCCCAGCCCTTCCTAATTCCTTTTATCCCACCCTTTCTTTCTCATCTGCCTTGCTGTTTTCTCACGCCTGAATGAAGAAACAAGCGCTGGTGCTGAGAAGCAGAAACTGGGAAACCTTTGCTGGTGTAGCTGTGTTCTGTAATGCTGAGTCACAGTGGATGACGTGGTGACATATTACAAGGGTAGGGGGAGCTGGGGATCTGAAGCCCATGCTTGAACTCTGGCGAGTGAGTGTCAGCTGTTGTGCATTTAATTATGAGAAAGGGGATATTGCAAATGCTCATTCACAGGCATTCAAGCAGATGGTGCCTTTCTGTTGATAAGCAGTAGAGTAGCACCCATGTACAAGGAACTCTACGAGATGTGGTGGGGAGTGTAGTAAGAAAGGGAGCTTAGCCCACTCTGACCCCTGCCAGTCCCGGCCCTCCCCTGCAGCCTCCACTGGGGGAAGGAGACAAGAGAAGCAGATTAGACTGAATGATATAAGTGCTAAATAAAAGTGCAAGCACCATGACGTGGGAGGTCTGAGAACAAATGGAGCATTTAGTTCTGAGCTGGGTGGGGATAGCCTAACGAAAGGGGTAGCATTGAGTGAGCTTTTGAGTAGGATTTTGATGGGTGGGAATCGGGGAAAGGGCACAAAACTGAGTAGTGTATGTATAATGCATGCTTCTTAATGGATTTCCCCCATGTCCCAGGGATGTGGTAGTTTAGCCCTTTATAGGAAGGAAAACGAATGGGGAGCCTCCTAACTCATGTCTGGTAAAATCCTTTTCCTAAGGGCTCTATTATCTGCCTGGCCAAACCTGCAGCATTCCCCACAGTCCAGTTGGATCTTGCATATGGTCCTTTTGAAACCACAAGAGCAAGCGTGGAAAGCTGCTCTCTTGTAAATCAAGTTGATTCCTCCCCAGTTTTCTGAAGTGGAATGTAGCAGCACCACCCGCTCTGAGCTGGCTCATGAGAGCAAACTTGGCTATATTTAGTCTGATTTTTCTAAAGTGTGGGTGCAAGAATCTGCTTGTACAGCTTGCCTCCCGCGTGAAGAGCAGGACAGGACAGCAGCTGTTGGGTGACAGCGGTGGCCCACCTCACTGCCTTCAGCAGCCTCCTTCCCAGAGTGCTGGGGCTATTGGCAAGTTTTGTTCCTTTGCTCCTCCCTGCTACCCTCCCTTGCTGCCGCAGAAGGTATTTGTGTTCTATTCGGCAAATCCTGACTCTCAAGTGATTTGACAGATGTTTGTGGATTGGCTATGGGGTGTGGCTCTCAGAGCTACAGCTGCCCTTGAGACCTGGGGTACAGAATGGGCTCAGGCCTGCTCATGGCTTTTCACTGCCTCCACAGTGCAGGACTCTCTCCTAGGGGATCATAGCAGTCACAGTGTTCTTAAATGTGGAAGATCTGCAACCAGGCTAGATGTGAACCCCAGCTCCGCACAGGACCTGCTGAGTGCCTGGGTAATTCACTCAACAGCTCTGAGACTCCTTTGCCTGTCTATCAAATGAGAATATTAATGGTAATGACCTCATAGGCATGTTGAGAAGGTTAAATTAGTATAAGGGAAGCTCTTAAGACCTGGTTTGTGGTAGGTGCTCAGTAAACACTGAGTAAGATGTTAGACAAGATGATAGTGATGATGCTGTCTGTTTCACCTTGTCTTCCTGCCATACTTATGAAAGCATCTAAGACATTTTTATAGCATTTTTATAGCCCCATGATATTACAGTCTGGCATAATAGTGTGTGCTCAATGAGGGAATGTAGGTTATCAGAGTTGGAAGAACACCAACAAAGTGTAATTGATAAAATACAAGGCATCCTCAGCTTAAAATGTATTATTTGGTGTATTCATGATCTGACTCTGTGCAGTCATGAGGCAACAGAGGGAAGTAAATGTTATGATTATATTCACTAAAGACTCATCACTTACATAATTTTTCTCTACCACAAATTTACTTGCCACTTAACACCAGCAATTTTGTAGGCTGGCCTCTCTCTGATTGTCTGATCATCACCCATCCATACAATATGTATGCAAAGTAAGTTGATTACAAAGAGAAATTTCAGATCTTGCAAAAGAGAAAATAATTCATGGACTCCATGAAAGTGACATTGGGAAACTGCTGGAATCATATGCCATGGCCCAATTAAGATCTGAGTTAAGCCAAATAACCATTAAAGAAGAGAAAATTGACTAAGATATTGACTTGATAGGCATTAAAGAGAAATATTAGGACCTTTTAGGGATTAAGGGAAGTCTTTAGTGAAAAGAGATGCTCTAAATATTTTGGGGAAAAATGATCTCCTTTATAATCATGCTATGAAAAGTCAAGTATGATATGAAAGATATTTTGTCCTGCTGACATAAGTCCTGTTGCTGAAGTTATATAACAAATAAAAAATGGATTTTTTTGTTCTAAGAATTAACACATACTTTCAATTATAACCTAAATTTGGTTAAATATCAGATAAACTTCTCCCTTTCTCTTTTCAAGATAAAGTACCATTGAAACTCACTATTAATTTTGAAACTCTAGCCCCCATTTCAAGTGTATTCCTTTTCTTCCTTTCTCACTCTTTCATGATTTTTTATTGGTATTTAAATTGGTTTTAAACTTTAGGTTGTTTAGATACAATTTACACACAGTAAAATCAGCTATTGTAGTTCTTTAAGTTTTGGTAAATGTATAGTCTTGTAACCACTACCACCATCAAGATACAGAGCAATTTGAACAACTTGTAAAGTTTCCTTGTGCCCCTTTGTGGTCAGTCCTTCCCTCTACCCACAGCCCCTGACAACTACTGCTCTGAAGTCTGTCCCTAGACTTTTGCCTTTTCTAGATTTCATATAAATGGTATCATACACTGTGTTGCCATTTGAGTCCTGTTTCTTTCACTGAGTAGTAATGCATTGAAATTCCTCCATGTTGTTGCCTGATTCAATAGTTCAGCTCTTTTCATTGCTCACTAATATTCCATGGAATATCTATACAGCAGTTTATTCACTAATTGAAGTACATTTAGGTTGTTTCCAGTAATTGGTAATCATGAGTAAACCACTAAAAGCAGTTGCTTACAGGTTGTGCGAACCTAAATTTATTTCTCTTGTGTAAATAGCTAGGAGTTGGATTTACAAGTCATATAGTGAGTATGTTTTACCTGTATTAGAAACTGCTGAGCGGTTTTCCAGATTGACGGTGTCTCAAATGTGTTCTTTTATTTGGATTTTTTCCCTGTGCTTATCTTCTGATAATGACAACCTCACAAGGACAAGAGAGTTAGATTAATGGGGCTATGCAGGTAGTTGGAAGGGATTAGAAGGACACAGTTGTCCAGAGGTGAGTTTCTTGAGCTATGCAGCTACAAGATTGGGCAGTATTACTATGGTAGATATTCCCCTTGATTACCAGTTCAGTACAGACATCAAGCATGGATATAGCCCAGAAATGCCACTTGTTTTGGCATACAAAAGAAAGCTTCTAAACTTTATCTTGTAATAAGAATTTGTCATCATGTTCTGTTTTGTGATTTTGCTGTTGTAGAAAAACAATCAGATAAGGAGGACAGGCCAGGGAGAGCTTATTTTGGGGGAAAATTAGGCAAGACAGGAAAGGGAAGACTAAGTATAAGAGATCACACAAGATGAATTTAGCTAGAAAGAGAAAAACTTACCTGTCCCTGAAAGGAATTGGTCTTGCCTGCCAAGGTTGGTTATAGACTCCATCTCGTGAAGCCTGAGAAAATGTTAGTTGACCGTTTCTTGTATGGTTGAGTTTTGGGGATGGCAGGGGTGAGGCTTATATTTTGCTGTGCTGTGTGATTCTGATTTAGAACTGAGTCTTGCGTTGGATGTCCATTTATACAATGGGAGTAGTGCTTGGTTCACTTGCAAAGGCCACATTTTACTCAGCCACATATTGGGTTTGGGGCCTGATAGTGGGATTGCTTCCAAGTGCAAAAGACTATGTGATTTGGATGCTGACATATTGGGATTTTCCAGGGCTTACCACTGGTCTCTGGGACCATAGAATGGAATATTTGAATTTAGAAAATTCAAATATTCAAAAATTCAAATACTACAGAACTCCTAGACAAACAGTTGCCCTAATACTTGTTGTCTGAGGTTGGAAATGTGAACATTTCAGTTGAGGGTTTTGTTTTTGTGTTTGGAGAATATGCCTGTGCAGTACATGGAGGAAAAACATGATTATTAACAAGGCTCCCACAGATGTACTTTGTACTTGATTTTGTTGGAAGTTTGTTTATTTCCTGCTTGATGACCAGTGATATTTTTGGTGGAAGAGAAGGTGAAACTGGTAACCAATAAATGGGGACGGGGACAGGGATGGATGGAGTTGGAGACGGCATCCAAATCCTTGCCTCAGTCGAGTCATTACCCTTTTGTTCTCTTTCCATCTCTGAGAGTAGCACCAGGTATGTATCCGTGCTTTGTGATGCCTTAGCTCTTGCCTTTCATTTTTTTCTGCTTTCTAAGCTTTTTACTGAGCATTTTTTTTCTGCTTTCTAAGCCTTTTTACATTGTGGTCGTTTAGTAGATAATTCTGCCTGGATAAACTATGGGACTGATATTTTGTGTTAGTCATCTAGGGAAGTATATGTGGGTATAGCATTCACTTCCCATCAGTTAGAAGTACACTGAGTACCTACTATATGCTAGGTAGAAGAAATTTGATTCATAATTAGATAATAGGGTGGGTAAGCTTAGGAAAACCAAGTGTGCCAGAGTCTGAGATCTTAGGCAGTGTTTCCTTAGACGATAAAATTCTCCTGGGGCACTTGATAACATCCATATTCCTACTTCCCACCCTAGGGTAATCTTTTCAGGTAAATCAGAAATGGGGTCCTGAATCTAACATGCATCCTGATTCATTCTTACTAAACTTATTTAGGAGACCCTGACTGATCTAGGGATAGAGTAAGATCACAAGAGGGAACTGCAGGATTTCATGAGATCCTTGACTGCCTTGCAACTGCAGGCATAATTTGTATATGGAAATTATGTGTATTTTCATGGGGAGAGAGACTGAAGCTCTTATCCTATTATCACAAGGGCTAAAGACAGTAATCTCTGGTCCATGAGCACATGTATTTGCCTTTTTTATTCTCTAATCTATCAGCAGTGCCTACAACCGTATCTGGCTTGTAGAAGGCACTCGACTATTTGTTGAGTAAACACAAGAACTAATGTTATTTTGTGATTCCTCTGAGCCAGGATCTTTATGCCCACTCTCTAAAACTTAGATTTCGTAATGCAGTGAGCTCTATGAGTTTTTCTCCCACCTAATCATCGAGAGAATTTAGCTCCAGAGAAGATAACTAATTTTCCTGAGGTCACACTGCTAATTTGTGGTAGAACTTGGCTTTGTAGCGATGTCTGCCGTATGCCAGAGTCCTTGCTTTTTCACTCTACTGTGTTGCTTTCCGGTCTGTCAAAGTTCACTAATTTGGTTCTGATTTGCTAGTTGTCTTTTGGAAACCTTGGTTACTTAAGAAAAACAGCATTATAATAAAACAAAAAATTACTTAATTGGGCTCTGCAATGGGGAAAATTCTTTGGGGTTTTTGGATCAAATTTTTAATAAAGTGTGTATCTTGGTATTAGCTTTCTACACTTTTGCATTCTCTTTTTATGGAGCCCTAGGTCTTTGGGTTTTTGTTGTTTTCTCATGCTGCCTTCCAAATTCACCCGTACCCCAGCACACAATTAGTGTAAATTGCTATTTTATTTGAACAGTAAGTATTCATTGTGCACTTGCTATAAGCTCAACACAGTGAATGACACTGGGAAATACAAAAGAATCTATGGATATTGAACTTACTGCTCTTGGAACTTACAGTCCAGCCAGAGCTTCAAGATTCCTGTCATATATGTGTCACGGCAAAACAGGTTGGGACATGGGCAGGGTGTGTGGGCAGGAAGGCTGTCTAGGGGCTCTGCTCTGTCTATCAGAGGGGAGCTGCCATACACACAGCCATGGTCCTCCCACTGCCCTGGACTTCCCTGGAGAGGTTACTATATGGATTTGTTTTGTTTTTTAAATAGAATGAACTAACTGAAATGGAAAGTTTGCTCACAGTCTGGAGAGATTGAAAAAGCAAGGGGGAAGCTGAAGTAATGTAATAATAGGGTGATAAGGGAAGATAAACGAACAGGGTGGGCAGATGTTAGAAATGTTTCTTAGGTGAAAAAGAAGATATGATTTTGGATTGTTTAGTTCTAGGGAGTGGTAGATACATAATCGCTTCCAACTCTTCAGGACTCTCCACTGCCAATAAAATAAAATCCAAACCTCTTAGCATTCAGGGTCCCTCCCAGATTGCCAGGATTTCCTGCTCCAGGCTGATGTCCCACTCCTTCCCCTTAGGAATCTTCCTAATCTTCGGTTAAGCCCAGCTACTGTTTCCTGGGCTCTCAGTGTACATTTGACTACAGATGATAGTAAAATAAAAATTCATAAAGTAGACCGTAATGAAACAGATGTGTAACAGTAAACAGTGTGGTACAGAAGTGCTCAGTGAACCCACTTCGTTTGTTGTCCTTTGTGTTTGAACTGCATGGTGGCCAGAGGTGCTTCTGACAATTTTCTCTTTGCAAACTTTTGTTCCTTGATGTAGCCCACCACACTATGACCACCCTCACTCATGGATTCACTAAAACTTTGGGTGAGTCATTATCTTACTTGTTCTTTATTCTATCTTTTAAAAATGTATGTATACATACTTTGAAAAATGTATGTATAGCTCACATTGATTTCAGTGTTTTATTTTAGAAATGTTTGGGATCTTTATTTAGAAGTTTAGGTTTTTAGGACCAGAAATATGCTGTGGGAATATAACTCCTGTTTATATCAGTTAACTTATGGTAAAATTGGGTTCATAATATGTCGTGTCACTTAAAGTTGTCATTTCCAATAACCTATCGAGCATTAAATGAGACTTCCCCTACCTTGGACCCCTCCTGTCTTTGTTTAGGCTGTTCTTCCCATCTCTCGTGCCTTCCTCCCACATGCTCACACATGGTACCTTTCAAATCCTTTCAGCACTTTGGGAAGCCCAGGCGGGCAGATTACCTGAGGTCTGGAGTGTGAGACCAGCCTGGCCAACATAGCGAAACCCTGTCTCTACTAAAAATACAAAAATTAGCCAGGTGTGGTGGTGCACACCTGTAGTCCCAGCTACTTGGGAGGCTGAGGCAGAAGAATTGCTTGAACCAGAGAGGTGGAGGTTGCAGTGAGCCAAGATCATGCCATTGCACTCTGGCCTGGGCTACAGAGTGAGACTCCATCTCAAAAACAAAAACAAAACACAGATCCTTCTATCCTTCTACGTACACGTCTAAGGCAAGAAGAAAGGTGAGCAAGAGCAGGAGATTCTGTCTTGTAAGAAAAGGATGACTGCTAGGCAATGCAGTGCTTAAGAAATGGGACGGGAAGACGAAACTAGGAAACTGAGGGAGACAAGCAGAGACAGCCAGTGGTAGTAGACATCCCATTTCTGAGCGGGGTGTGTCAGTGTGGCGAGATGCACAACCAGCCAGCAAGGTGTGTGCTGGGAAGTACACACCTTGCCTGGGCTTGGCAAGCAGTAAAAGGCATTCTAATGAAATGGGGAGGCAAATCCATATAATAATGTTATAAGGCTTAAATGAGTGATGAGAAGGCTACTCTTGATGCAAATTTATGGAAATGAAAAGAGGAAAATGTACTGAGGTGGAAAGAAGGGATAAATAGTTATAGCAAGAGAGAGATCAAGGTCAAAGGGGTTGTAAATATGGCAAGATGCTGAAAGAAGGAAGATAAAGGGTTATACCTAGCCTAGAAACATGTTAACTGAAGCTTTTATAAAAGGTAGAAAATATTTGACAGTGTTTATAGACTATGTACATTGACTTAGTGGAGAGGAAGATTTTGAAGATAAAAGGATAGAAGAGATGACTGATAGAGCAAGGGCCACCAGGAATTTAGATGTAGTAGCACTTAGAGAAGGTACTGTTCCTGCTGGAAGATTTAGGTGCTGGGTAGGATAGATAAGGAGTGTTGTAACTACAAAATATGAAAAATATTCCTGTAGTACATGATAGGCACTGTTCTAGATGCTTGTTATATTAACTCGTTAATCTTCACATCAACCTTTCAGGTAGGTTTCATTATCATCCCTATCTGCAAATAAAAAAAGGGACTCAGAAAGCTTAACTTGCTCATGGTCACACAGCTAGTAAGCAGTAGAGTTGAAATTTGATAAAGATGATGCCTAAAAATCCTAATTAGGACATTTGGCGGGGCTCAGTGGCTCACGCCTGTAATCCCAGCACTTTGGGAGGCTGAGGTGGACAGATTACCTGAGGTCGGGAGATCAAGACCAGCCTGACCAACATGGAGAAACCCCGTCTCTACTAAAAATACAAAAATTAGCTGGGCGTCGTGGCACATGCCTGTAGTCCCAGCTACTCGGGAGGCTGGGGCAGGAGAATCACTTAAACCCGGGAGGCGGAGGTTGCAGTGAGCCGAGATTGTGCCATTGTACTCCAGCCTGGGCAATAAGAGTGAAATTCCGTCTCAAGAAAAAAAAAAGGACATTTGGGGAATACTGGATCAGGACTTTATCATCTTCAGAATTTTCTGTAAAAACGTGACTATTAAAGAATGACTTCTTATTTCTTGTGAATTCATTTATTTTGCAATAACTAATTCCAGGTAGGGTAGGAATGGAATAGGAGGACTTCTAATTCTCAAATGTCAGGAGAGGATATAATTTTCAGAACATGAGTCATATTCTGGAGAGGTTAGGCCTTGGTAGGTGCTTGCCTATGGAGTAGGGGTTGGGTGCACCAGCCAGCCAGGTGGTACCATGAGGGTACTCTGACCCTATAGCCTGGGGTTGGGATTCAAGTGAAACAACAGAAAGTAGGGGGAGTGTCAGAAAGGAAAGTAAAAAAGATGCTGAAAATAAACTTGGTCAACTTCACAATTTTGCCAAGACAGACACATGATCTCCATTTCCTTCTCCTATCTCCTGCCTCCTTCCTGCTCTCAGAGGCTTTAAGATTTAGGTTTCTAGGGCGTTGAGGTTTTTGTCCCTGATTTTAATGGTAAGGGAGAGTGATTCTCCTTGGCTGATCTGATGCTCAGTCTATTGCTTGCTAAGTACCACTATGCTGCCTTATGAATCCTGCCTCATCTGGCTGCTTTGCCTGGCCAGGGATGTTTTTTTTTCTTTTCTTTTCTTTTTTTTTTAAATTGAAACTCAGTAGCTGATAGCTTTGGCATCTGCATGTTTTCTGGGGTTCACCCCAGGGCCATCATCACTGAAATCATGCCACTCTGGCTTTACGTATACTCTGTGCTTTCCAAAATACAGTTTCTCATCTGAGCCACCATTGATGCACTGGCAGCTGGAACAGGTGCTCTTCTTCCCCTTTCACAAACAAGGATGTGAAGACTCCCTTACCCAAGGTCACATAATTCATTAGTTGCAAAGCTTGGATTTAGAATTTGATATCTTGAGTCTTTTTCTTGAGGCTTCCATCATTGCTGCCATGATTGGAAGGGATGGCACAGGGCCCACTTTAAAGGGGTTTGCAAATGGGATATTAAAAGGGATCGAGAATGTTTCTTAAATTATGGATGAAGGCAGCCAGACTAGGGCCAAGATCTTGGGGGTCTCCAAGGTACCTAATGCGTGACTCAAGTAATGAGAGTTTTAAGTTCCTTTCGTTTTTTCCTAGTATTTTGTTAATTGACTCTCCAGTACCAGATCTTTTAAATTTCCCTATTAAGCTAATATTTTAAAACATTATTATCTGGGCATGAAAGTCTTTTGTATTCACCAGAGCAAGAAAGAAATCATAAAAACACAAATAAGAAACTAACAGTACCAGTTGTTAACATTTATTAGGCACTCACTGATATTAGCAGCCAGAATTGCTCTTCAGCCAGTAAACCCTTGTACATACAGCTATACTGGTTGTTGATGGTCAGTATATATATATATATATATATATATATATATATATATATATATATATATATATATATATATATATATTGTGATGGGTTTGTTTTCAGCCATACTGGTTGTTGTGTATTTTGAATATCCTACTTGCTCACAATAATCCTACGAGATGATTATTATCTCAATTTCCTTTCTTTAAAAAAATTTCATAGCGACATCTTAGAAAATATCTCCATTTCCTAGATGAAAAAAATTGAGGCCTAGAAGATTAAATAATTTTTCTAAGGCCAGTAGCTGGTAAATGAGAGAGTAAGAATTCAAACCCAAGTTCAGATGACTTCAGTGTTTGATCTCTTGCCACTAAACAAGCCTGCTACTCTGACATACCCCATAGTTACCCCAAGGATTATTAACATTTCCTTCTAGGCTTTCTATAAATGACTAGCTGTACCTGGAGTAACATAAGCTATTCTAGCAAATCTTAATAGTTGTTGATAAAATATTTTTTAAAATAATGTATTTTTTTTACTTTCTTATGGTAAATGTGTGTAAGCACAGTAAGTAATCTCATTTTCCTTAGAAACAGCCCTTAATGAGGCCAGTGATGGGAACTTGAGAAAGCAACAAATTACTGTCCAAGTTTGAAAAGGTATCATCCCTTTCTGTTCTGTCCCTGGGACTTTTTGATGGTCGTTGTCAAGGCTAGAGACTTAGAAAACACTTAGCTTTTCTAGTGAAAGGCGTATCTGTGTTGGACCAAATGAGGGGCCTTTGCAATATAAAGACAGTATCTAAGTTACTTGTAAACTCATTGTTATATTTCTTAACCTATGCTCGTCTATCTTTATCACAGCTTACTGATTATCCACATGCATTACTTTTACTTGATTATTTTCATGACATTTTATTTATTTATTTTTATTTTTTTTATTTTTTTGAGACGGAGTCTCTCTCTGTCGCCCAGGCTGGAGTGCAGTGGTGCGATCTCGGCTCACTGCAAGCTCCGTCCCCCGGGTTCATGCCATTCTCCTGCCTCAGCCTCCCCAGTAGCTGGGACTACAGGCTCCCGCCACCACGCCCCCCTAATTTTTTTTTATTTTTAGTAGAGACGGGGTTTCACTGTGTTAGCCAGGATGGTCTTGATCTCCTGACCTCCTCATCCGCCCGCCTCAGCCTCCCAAAGTGCTGGGATTACAGGCGCGAGCCACCGCGCCCGGCAGACATTTTATTCCTGTAATCATCAATATATTATTTTAACAAGGTTTTCCAACCATCGTTTTCTTTTGGGGTTTCATGTTGGTCTGGTCTGTTTAGTCATCCCTCTAATGTTTCATTGGTCTTTTCTTTTTCTGGGTGTACTGTGGAGGCTGTTCAGCTATTTTTATCTTAAAATTTTAAAATCCTTGATTAAACATTCAGAAACACTGCGGCTCTTACATTCAACCACTATATTTCTGTGACCTCTTAGTGTCATTATTTCTAAATTAGGATTCTGATTTTAGGCAATAAAACATCTTATATACAAATACTTTATATACAAACGTTATATATAAATTTCATATACAAATATAGATAAATATTCTCTACCATTTATTAAATGCTTACTTGTATACCAAGTATTGTGGCTTATAAACATTCTCTCTGATGCTGACAACATTGTACTTATTTCCATTTTGTATATAAGGAAACAGGCTCTGGGTAGGTAACTTACCTGGTGCCATTTAGTGGAAGAAGCAGTTGGAAGTGAAGCCTGGTATGTATGTATAGTTGAAATCATTGTTAGAATAGTGGCTAAATGTATGAAGTACTATATGCCAGGAAGTATAATAAGCACTTTAAATAGGTAAAATTTAGATTTTATTTTTATGAAAATTATATGTGAACATAATTTTAAAAATTAGTCATTGTCTTTTAAAAATATGCTTAGTAATTTTTTGTTATATGCTGTGTTCTATAAACTTATCACTAATTTAAATAAAAAGTTCCCTTGTTTAATTTCCTTCCAATATATTCATATATTAGGAATCCTGTCAATTTCTTCTCATTGAAGAAATTCCCCCCACCAAAGAATTCTGATATTTGTTCCGAATAGGTCGTTCTGTTCTCTTGACTTGCTCCATAGCTGCTGCCTTTGGATTTGCTTTCACCATCGTCCGTGGGATGCCTTTCTTGCCTTTGTGTTAGTTTCGCTCTAGGATCCTGAGTGTTCTTTGTTTTCACCTTGGTTTTGATGGAGTACATCCTCCTGAGAAAAGCTAGCTGGGAAGCATAGTTTTGAGAACTTGCATATCTGAAAAAGACTTTATTCTACCCTTGTACTTAATTTGTAAGTTGACTGGCTTTAAACTTTTTTTTGAAAGTTGGAAAGTATCTTTCCCCACAATTTTGAAGTGTCTAATATATTCTAGTTTCCAGTCATGTTTTTGGGAAATCTGAAGCCATTCTGATTTTTTCTCCTTTGTATAAAACATACTTAGTTCTTCCTGAAATTATTGAATCTTTTCTCCAGTCTGAGTGTTCAGAAATTCCATGAGAATATGCCTAGGTTTGAGTCTATTTTGTCCACTGTGTTGTGTATTTTGTGGTGTTACTGAATGGAAATGCATGTTGTTCATTTCTGGGATTGTTTTTTGAATTATTTATTTGATTTTCTTTTATGTATTTTCTTCTTTCTTTCTCCAGCTTTTATTTTTGAGATGATAAATTGGCTGGACTAGTTCTTATTTTTTAAAGTGTATGTTTGCTATTTTTCATCTGTTATTTTTTATTTGTGGATATATTTTATTTTCATGTTTCTCTGGCATTTACAATTTCTATGTAATTTTTAATTTCTAAGACCTCGGTTTTTGGAAAAAAATTCAGCATCCTATTTTGTGGATGTAATGTTTCTATTTTTTATTGATTATCATTTCTTAATGATATTTTTATTTTCTTAGTGTACTCCTCTCTTCATAGTTCTTTCTTCCTAATTGTTTGTTTTTGTTTGTTCATTCTGATCTCCTTTTATGTTAAATGTTTTCTTCAAATATTTGCCAATATTAGAGACTTTGCTCATATTTTTTGTGGCCCACTTTGAAAAAACATTGAAAGCTCTCTAGGTATGAATGGGGCTTGTTGATCATGGTCTTCATTGTAAGATGAGTTGGCTGATTATATTTAGGGGCAGAGAGAGGGTTTTCTTACATCAGACTGTTTAGTTCTTTTTTAATAGGCTGGTTAATTACCCAGATAAAAGCCAATATTTGAACTCTTAATTTCTGATTCCAGAGTTTGTACTTCTGTCCACCCATTTTATTAATTTTCAGATATGTTTCAATGTCTATGTACATTTTATTGTGTTGTCTCTAAGAAAGTTAGCAGTTGAAATGTAGATTAGGCATTCTCATTTCTGAAGATGATTCCTTTAATCAGGGATTCCCTTCTATAATTGTAGTTTTTTTAAAATTGTGTTTCAGCACCTAGAAGAATGTCTGGTGCACAGTAGGCACTCAGAAAATAACTGTTAAATGAATTCAGATCTTGCACACAGCATTGGGCTTTCTGAATCATATATGATAGGAAGTAGAAGAAAGCCCAAGTGTCCTAAGTCCCATTCTAGTGCTGTAGTGCACGTGTACACACTCAGATTTGACAAAGGCAGTTGTGCAAACCGAAATACCTTCAGCCCTGAAAGAGAGGTTTCCTGTGTATGGAACTTCTTGGGGCAAGCATATTTTTTTTTCCTATTTGGCAGTTAGGAGGTATTATTGAAGTGGTAACAACCATAAGTGGGCCTGATAGGAGCAAGTGGAAAAAGACTTTGTGGGGTACAGAACTATTCTGCTTAAGAAGTCTGGGGGTACTTGTGCATGAAGACTGCAGCCTTCTGGATCTTGATTTAAGCATACAGTCTGCTGACTGCTTCCCAGAGACCTTCCCATCTGTTCCTTTCTGCTGAATAGGTCTTTTTAAACTTAGAATGGAGAGACGTCCCTAAGGGCCTCTCCAGAGCCATCTCTTTCCTTCCCTATTAGCTTTCTTTCCTCTGTTTCTCTCTGCTTCTACCCATCAGTTCTTCATCTTTGGAGTAGGGATGGGGGTAAGAGATTGTTGATGTTGACCTGGTTTTTAGAGGAGCCAACTGCCAAACTAAACAGGCTCAGCTATTGGCATGGCCATTTGCTCTGTGATGTTGCTTTTGACATCTGGGTCCCCATTCTTAGGGAGGGATCAGTGGAGTAGGGCTTCCCCAAAAGAAGCAGGAAGAGGGCAAGACCACAGTATTTCTACGATTTCTCTTCTGATGATAATGAGTAACGATGTTTGAACTTATGATACTCAGTCTGCCAGCCACGTTAAGTTTTTGTCAGTGAGTGGGATAAAAGGGAGTTGTACTAGAAAATAGAATAATAATGAGGAGGGTATGGTGTCTGGAAATATTTAAACAAAGAAGAGTCACTGTCTAGGCATGGAGAGAAAAATAATTTATTGTTTTAAGCTACATCATATATTTAGACCTAAAAGCATAGTTTGTTTGTAAACCTAAAGTAATTTTAACCTAATTTAATATATTCTGGTAATATCCTAGAGTAAGATACAATTAGAAATTTAAGAATTTTTTTAAAAAATGCAATATAGTAACATTTCCCTACATTTTAAATTAATCTTTTAAGATAATTATAATTACATGCTTATTATATATACCCATTGGAAAATAAAAAAAAATCTTCATGAATTCACCTTCAAAAGGCAGCCACTGTTAGTATTTGGCATATTTTCTTCTAGCCTTTTTCTTTTTGTATGGTTTTTGGTTTTGCATAGCAGTCAAGGCATTTTGCTTGCCTTTTAGTGGGATTTTTTTGGTCTTCAGTTGGAGTTGACTGTGGTTATGTTCTGATAATGCATGTCTGTGATTTATTCTTTTCTTGTCATGAGTCGGAATAAGGAGTGCCTTAGTTCTTGGCTTGAATAAATTCTCTATCCTCTTTTAACATAACACATTGTTCAGATTAGAAAAGTGAATAATCCTTAAAGCAAAGGAGTGTGATATATGTTTCACAACCACTTAAAAAAAATCAGATCTAAAAAAAAAAGCACAAATGGCTTGGGAGAAATGTGCATAACAAAGATAAGACTTCAAGGCTCTTGAGATGGGAAATAGTCCTTCAGAAGTGCTAGGACACATTATTGATGTCTAGTAATATTTACTACATGTATAATTATTTTTACATGTAACATGGTGGTCTCAAGGCTGAGAGAGAAATATCTTTTCATCTAGAAGCATGGAAGAGGGGAATATAGTGCAATAGAGTCACTAGTGATGCCAGAATTAGAAATTATGATCTTGTCTGCACTGCTGACTATTAGTAGTTGCCACCTCAAAGACACCTTTCCTCAATATCATCACCAATAAAATGGTCTGCAAAGCCTGAAATATTTACCATCTAATCCTTTATAGAAAAAGTTTGCCAACCCCTGATCTAAGTGATCCCAAAACCTATCTTCTTTCATCCTCATTACCTTTGTCCTAATTTAGGCCTTCATTTCTTCTCACTTGGAAAACCCAAGATACTCTAAATGTAGTTTTTTTTTTTTTACTCTAGTTTTGAACCTCTCAAATGTATTGTGTATGGAGGCAGTATCATTTTTAAAAATTTGGAAACAACATTTTTGCTTGCTTCAATTATTTGGGGCACCCTGCTGCACTCAGGATAAAGTCTAAGTTTCTTACCTAACACACAAGGTTAGAAAACCAGCACACTTCACTGACATCTAAAGACCCTTACAATTATGAGAGACTAGATTTTCTTTCACGTGACATATGCTATATGAATTGCAAGTCTCAGAAAACCCAATCCAACTCTACCAGGCCTAAGTAAAAAGAGGCGATCTGTTGCCTCCCATACCTGAGAGATCTACGAGTAGATCTAGTTTCAGGGAGTCTTGATCTGGGTTTCTAATTGAGTCGCCTGGGCTGTCGTTTCTTCTATTGGCTTCCCTTTTGCTCACATGGAGACTTTCATCTTGAGAGGTCTAGATTGCTGTAGCAGTTCCTGCCTCAGGTTTTTCCAGGTTTACATATGGTGGGAGAGAGAACAATTATTTCCCACTAATTCCTATGCAAGTAGTAAGGTCTCTCTGATTGGACTGCCCAGGTCATGTGATCAGGGATAATGGCATGTGCTGATTGACTTAGGGCCAGTTCCCACACTGTAGCCCTAGAGTTAGAGGGGAGATCCCACCTGAACCATAAAGACTTTATCCCTAAGCGAACATTGAATCGTTGTGAAAGTGGGGTGATTGGAGGTGAACTGGGACAAAACTACCGGTATTTACTGAGCACCCCACGAGCGGGAGCCTTTTGACAGAAGCGGTACCAGCAGCGCTCCGCACCTGGGCAGGCCAGCAGTGAATATTTGGGGCTGCATGCCATGGTCTTGTTGACTGCGTTCTCATGTGCACATGGTTGTCACTTGGTTCTCGGAGCACGTGAGAGAATGTTAAATTCGGAATGGTAGAACTAAAAGGAAGTTCACACATTAAGTTTGTCTCCTTTATTTTACAAAAGAGCTACATGTAGTGCAGAGAGGACGAGGGGTCCTAACTGTAGGTATCTGTATTCTGGCAGTGGAAACCTGGACATGTTGCATCTCTGCTGCAAGATGTGCACACCATGCCAGACTACAAAGTACACGCCATCCATTTTGAGTTCAAAATAGAATTAGGTGGGTGCTTCTGTTGGCCAGGTGGTTGAAGCTCTGTGTATACCTCATTCCTCCTGGGTGCTCAATAGGGCCTTGCCTGGGATAATTAAAAGTAAAGCAGAATCGCCAAGTACTTTCTCCTTTTCTTTGCTAACACTTTAGTCCAAGGAAATCAGACTTAGTAAAGAATGGATGGCAGTTTCAGACAGAGATCGCACAGTTTGGGGATTGTGAGTGCCTTACTCAGTGGTTCTTAATTCTGCCTGCCTATTATAATCACCTGATGCTCTATGAGGATCAATTGACTCAGGATTGCTCATGGTTGGCCAGGTAAGAGTGATTGCATACGTTCTTCAGATGATTCTAGTGTGTGGCCAAGACTACTATTGACTGGATTTAGGTCCTGACTTCATTGACTTGTTCAGTGACTTTGGGTAAATAACTTAATCTCTTTGAGCTTCAATTTCTTCATCTGTGAAATGGGAACAATCCTATTCACCCAGAAGGATTGTTGAGAGGAATAAATGAAGTGATTTATGTAAGGTATACAGCCAACCTAGGTGCTCAAATAAATAAGTAGTTTCTTTTCAGTGGTTCTTAACTTTACAGGGATATTGTGTTAGTCTGCTAGAGCTGCCATAACAAAATATCACAGACTGGGTGGCTTGAACAACAGAAACTGAATTTCTCACACTTCTGGAGGCTGGAAGTCCAAGATCAAGGTGTCAGCAGGTTTGGTTTCTTCTGAAACCTTTCTACTTGGCTTGGAGATGGCCTTTGTTCTGTGCTTGCACACTCTGGTGTCTCTTCCCCTTCTTGTAAGGACATCAGTCATATTAGATTAAGACCCCACCCTTACAGCTTTATTAACTTTAAATAGCCCTTTAAAGGCCCTCTCTCCAAATATGGTGACATTAGGGGTTAAGCCTTCAGCATATGAATTTTTAGGGGTCGGGAGAAACACAATTCTGTTCATAACAAATGTGGCTTCTTTGATTCTCGGATGAAACTAGGTTTCCTTTGACCAGAAGAATGCAGAGATACACATGCATATCAGACCTTGCATACATTTATCGGACCTTAAAGAACCTTTTAGCAATAGCTAAAGAAGCCTTACAGAAGGAAACAAATATGAGAGACAGAGGGATGGGAGAATATATATAACACAGAAGAGGCATCCTATTCTCATTTATTCCTTCATTCAACAATTATGTACAGCATGCTGCCCACGTGCCAGCCATTGTGTGAGGATTATGAAACTGGCAAGGTCCCTGCTCTTAAGACTTACAATTTTTGTTGGGGGAGATAGACAGGAAACAAACACATATGCCATTAAATAACAGAGTACCAACTGCCATGTAGAGAATCAAAACAGAAAGATGTAGTGCTCTTTGCCCGGGAAGCAACTTAAATGTCTTCACTGAGATGATGATGGTTAGGTGGAGGCTTGAGTGACAAGGAGTCAGCCATGCAAATGAGGGCATAGGGTTTATGGCTGGTGAAATGCCTGGTGTACTCTGGTTTATTTTAGTATCAGTTGGCAGAGCCAACTCCTCTCGCACCAGCTGCTTCCCAGATTCAGTTCTGCTGCCTGCAGGGCGAGACTTCAGGATTTGCTCTGATAGGCATGGCTATTGTGGATTGCATCCCTAGCTTGGGATGCTTTTCTCTCATCCTGTCTCTGAAATGTCTAGGTCATGTGTTTGAAGGGGCAAGGCCCATCAATTCAAACATCTGTTTCTCTAAATCCTCACTGACATTACCAGAGTTTTGTCACTATTGTCTTTAGCCTGAATTAAAGCAACCATGGGGGTGAGGGGGAGTCAGCACTGGTGGTATGGCAAATGCACAAGGAATATTTTGCACTACAGTACATCCTTCTACAATGGTCTGATGGGGCCCTGAAGAATCCAAAGGGACCCCAAACAGCAGCTGATAGGACAGGAAGACTTCTAGAAGCTGAGCCCTAAGGAGCCCCCGTTGGCCCTAGGATAAAGAGGAAAATCCTTTTGTGGCCTGTAGGCTCCTACAGATCTGGAGCCTGCCACCCTCTCCAGCCTTGCCTAGTACTACCTTCCCACACCCTCTGTGCCCCATGCATGCTGAGGGCTTCAGTGTATCACCGTCCCTCCAGCTTTGCACATGTGATTCCATCCACCTAGCTGCCTCTTTGCCCCGTGGATTCCTGCACACTCTCAGTAAAGCTTTTCTAGACCCCTATACTAGGTGGGGGTTTCCTGTCTCCCAAACACTCTCCTCACCACACACAAGCCTGTCAATGCTCTGTGTGCAGTTTTACAATTTAGAGTACCTGAAACCCTGCTATTTGTGTGATATCTGTCTTCTCTGCTAGTTTCTTAGTTTTCGTAGGCATGGACCACATCTGATTTACTCACTAATTACTCTTCAGTGTCCGGCAAAGTTCCTGGCAAACCGAAGGTATTCAGGAGGGAAAAAGAGATCTGGAAGGTAATAGATGGAGCAGGAAGAAGACAACCTAGAAAGGTAAAGTGCCAGATGCCAAGGGAGGGAGAGCATGGAGTTTGCCAGTGATCAACAATGCCTAAAGTAGTTGAGTTGCCAGGCCAAAGGCTGGCGCTTCCTCCAAAGTTAGTATTAAGGGGTCATTGATAGAATCAGCAGCAGGTGGAAGAGCCAGATTATAATGGATTGAGACCTGGGTGGGAGGTGGGCATTAGATATAGCAGGTGGATAGGGTTCTTTAGAATGGAAGGATGGAGTGCTTACCAGTACACATGTGGCTGGACTGCTTGTTTCAGATGTTTCAGATCCTGCCTCTGCTACTTGGAGCATGTGAGTTGACAAATTACTTCAGCCTCCTTGTCTCAGTCTTTTCATCTATAAAATGGGACCCTAATGCATCTAGTTCCTAGAATTTAAATATTCCTGGCAGGTGTATTGGCTGTTGTGTGGAATCTGAGCAGCGAACAAGGACACATGTATTTTCTGATTCATAGTCTTCAGGTGGGCACAGCTTGACTCCAGGCTTCTGGCTGGGGCCTGCTGTGTAAACAAAGTGTGTGTCTTATTCTGGGATCCAGGTTTACAGAGCGGTTGTTCAACAACAATCCTGGGTATGCTCTTCCTCTGGTTATCACAAGTACATAAGGGACTGAATCAAACCACTTAAGCATGTTTAACTCCCCTGCTCACATCTTGTCCACTTATATCCATTGACCAAATTCACATGGCCAAAGCCAAAGTCACTGTATAGGGACAGACACTCTGCCATAAGGGGAGGGGAGTGAATATTTATCAAACACTAATGTAAAATGCTTAAAATGGTGCCCATAGAAGTCTGTCTGTACTGTAAAAAAATAATGTACTTCTGACAATCTTACTGTGGGGAAGGAGGAAAAGAGGGAGGAGTTTTAAAATAATTAATAGTCAAATGGAGAGATTATTACATAGGGCAAGATTCGAGCATGTTAATTGACTCATGGGAGAGAGCCAGTGGGCTGGGTGAAGAAAAAAGAGCAAAGCAGAAGAACTCAGCTGAGGTTTGGAAACATGAACTTAGAGTGCTGCTGTCTTCCTTATGGCTTTTGCTATCAGCAGTAGCCAAGGAGGCAAATGCTTGGATTGATAGACTTTCTCTGGTCTGAGCTTTGTGTACTTGATTTTTTTTCCCTTCTCCCTGATCTTAAGGAGAGACTTAGATTATAACAGTTGGTGTTTACAATGTTTTAATGGCTGTCATATTGAGAACTGACTGGAAGCATCTTTAGAAATAATTTACACCACCATAAAATGAATTGCTAATCTTTCCGAGTGGATTCTTTAGCCTTTTTTGTTTGTTTTTTAATATATCAGCCAATGAGATCTAGACCAATGAGAATACTGGTAAAATATTTTAGAAGCATTGTCTGATTTGAAAAGCTAAGTAGGAATATAAATCCTTCCCTAAATATGCAGTCACACTGTCTGCCATTTGCTTGATGTTTTGTTTCTTCACTTGTTTCTTAGAGCAATGTGCATGTATGTGATTAAGACGTCCATAGGATGCACATCCACCAGTGCTGGGCTGTAGGATGCATGGGTGGGAACATGAGGGATATGGGATATGTGTTGATTTGAACCAGCAGTCATTATGTATCTTCTCTGATGGCCCCGGTATCTAAAGGGATGTAGGTAATGGTGTTGATGAACAACGACATTATTTAGGGAATGTCTAACTTTATGGTAGTGACTTGAAAAAGTGGAAATACACTGCCCTGAGTAGTGCAGATAAACACTTTAGGAGATTAAGGAATACAGGTATATGTTGGAATAGGAGAGAAGGTTTTAATGAGACAAATTGCATCACGAAGGATGCTTGTATATCAACACAGGAATATTGCCAGCCTGTGTTTATTCATTTGTATTACTGAAACCACATGGGCTAAGTTTCTCCCTGCTTTAAACATTTATTGGCTTTCCACCTGCTTAGTGAAAAAAAAATTCAGATGTCTTATTCTAATACCCAAGGCTCCATGCACTCATTGTAATGGGTCCTGTATCATTTTTTTCTCGTAGTCTTTCCTGATTTTCTTGGCTTGGAGGTAAACGTTTCCTTTTTCAATTTTGCAGCCTCTTATTATTACTTTCTCCACAGCTTTTATTTCCACCTCCCCTTACCACTATATCATCTACAACGTAACTATTGGCTAGCCTATTTTTTGGTCAGTTGCATAGAAGTACTCAAACCTTTAGCTTTCGTAGTTTTCAAAATAGGGGACACAGAGTTTCTATAGGTTTTTTTTCTTTTGCTAACATTAAAACTCATGTGCACAGATACATACACACTTAATGTATCTTATCTAATTTCATAAAATGGGGTTAACACCAAAAAATGCAGACAAGACAGTAGAATAATCAAGAACAGACCTTCACACTGAAAACATTTGGCCAATGGAAAGCTTACAGAGCTGTTTTTTTTCTTCATTTTGCTGAGGACCACCGAGAGCTTCCTCACATATTTATCTCCTCTTTAGGAAGACATTTGGGAGCCACTATTTTAGTAAACTGTGAGCTTTACCAGAGCTGATTTATCTCTGAATCCCTGTTCATCTCTTTCTCCCTCAGAGATAATCTGGGGTCTCTAAAAGCTTATAACAAGAAAATAACTGTGATTTGTGACATAGAAGCAATCAGTGTGGGGGACAGGTTATTCAAAGATCTGACAGTTGTCTAAAATAACTAAATAGGAAGTCGCTTTTATAAAACTGTCTAGAATGTGTATGAAAGTCAGAACAGCAGACAGGTTATGAAGGCTGTTTATTAAAGAACTACATTTTTAGAATAGTGGCATTATGTTTATTTTTTTGTAATTCTGGAAGTGTAGATGTGGTTACTTAGATCATTACAAACAATTACACAACTATAGAAAAGAAAATAATTTTCCGACGTAATTTCTGACCTCAAATTCTACTTTTCTCTGTTCTTTTTAAAACTAACATTTACAGAAAAAAACACATTGACTTTAACATTGGGTTCTCCCAGTGTTAAAGGACACTGATAATTTTTCAAACTTGCACTATTCAATAGGACTTTATGTGATAATCGAAATATTTAACAATCTGCACTGTCCGTTATGCTGTACACAGCCACATGTGGCTACAGAAATGTGGCTAGTGCAACTGAGGAACTAAATTTTAAATTAAAAAAACATAATTTAAAATAGTGACCACTGGCTCCTGTATTGGACAGTGTAATTTCAAAAGATGGACCAAGGTACATTCAGAAGTATTGAGCTGTTATTAGTAATACCACCTCTGATGGCATCTTGTCAGTTTTCTTGGTAAATTCAAGATATTTGAAAAGGAACTTGTTTTTTTTAAGGAGTCTTTAGCAACTCGTATACTTATCAATGGCTCCATTGAACTTTGAACTACTTTTAGCCTTTGGACCACTGCAAGTTTTTAAAGTGTTAATTCTCAATTCATGAATTAAGCTCTGTCCATTTCCTTCATCATTATATCTCTCATTTTAGAGAATGTGATTTTTGATTACAAAAAATATATATATGTTATATGCACATATACACATGCATATATAGACATTTGTGAAGATCAAGTGCAACAAGGGATGGAGTTTGTTAAACTTGAATGTTCCTTTAGTCTGAATGTTACTATGAATAGACAGAGTAAGCAAACAAAATTGCCTGCTAATATTATCTTGCCCCACCCTCCCTGAGAAGAGAAATGCTCATGTTCATTAAGTCAAACCAGAACCTCTCATGGCTTTTACATATTTCTGTGGTTTGATAGATACTTCTGTTTCTGCCTGGAATATTCTTTTTTGTTTTTATTTCCAGAACAGAACCTTCAAGAGAATTTTATCTTTTTCTTCCCTGAAGCCTGTGTCTGACCTTTGTAACCTTCTACCTTCCCTAACAATACTAATCACCTGTTTCTGTTAGTGGAGCTGTGTGTACAAGTATATGCAGATGTATGTACAAATGATCTAGATATTTGACTTTTGAAGAAATCAATATCATTAAAATAATATTAATAACAGTAAAGGAAGTAATAATTACAGCAGTGGTTACTGTTTGCTGAGCACTTTCTATGTACCACTTTCTATGTATTGACTAAACACTTTAAATATGCTTTAATTATTCTAAAATATTATAAAGAAGTTATCATTATTCTAATCTTATAGGTAAAACAACACTAACCTAAAGGGAAGTAACTTGACCAAGGCCATACAGCTAGTCAGTGGGGACAGCCAGATTTGACTCCAAAGCCCATTATTTACCTACTAAACAATAATTAAAATGCAGAGGAAAAAAAAATCTTATTCCCCAGAGTAACATGGGAACTATGTGGTATCAGTCTGAATTTCATTTCATTTCCCATTTGCCATTTTTTTTCCTCTATTTGCTTTTCTTTTTTTTGGCATCTCGGCTCACCACAACCTCTGCCTCCCAGGTTCAAGTGATTCTCCTGCCTCAGCCTCCCAAGTAGCTCATATTACAGGCATGCACCACCATGCCCAGCTAATTTTGTATTTTTAGTAGAGACAGGGTTTCTCCATGTTGGTCAGGCTGGTCTCGAACTCCCGACCTCAGGTGATCCACCCACCTTGGCCTCCCAAAGTGCTGTGATTATAGGCATGAGCCACTGCACCCAGCCTTCTATTTGCCATTTTTATGGTGGCCTTAAACATGTTGCTTAGCATCTCTTAGTCTTCCCCTTTTTTTAATAGGTATCACCACCTTCATGTTAGAGGATGAAAAGTCCTTTGAATATGTTAATTCTATACTTTTTCCTTCTTCCCTCCCAAAATACCCAACTGTCATATGTAAAGACTTCCTAAATGATTAGGGTCACCTTTTTTTTCATTAGCTTGGTTTCACAGAGAATGCAGTCAGCTTGTCAGTGGAAACTATGTTATGAGGTGGAGATATTTGCTTTTATTTCTTATTTTTAACCTCATTTCCCAATTTGCTCCCAGGTTTTTTTTTATGTATTTGAAAAGCTGTTCTTTTTTCCTTCTTGTCTTCCTACTGAATTATACTTTAGTTTGTTTTTTCCAGGTAGGTTGCACTTTTTATGTCTATACTGTATTTATCCTTTAAAAGTGCATGGTACTATTTTGTTTATTTAACTGTTATTAAAATTGTTAGCATGTAATATTTGTCTACTGTGATGTAGGAGGGCAATGGGTAAAAGTGGAGGATTTATGTTCATTGAACACATGGTAGGTGTCAAGAATTTTATATGTGTTATTTCTCTTTATCAACACAATAATAATGTGAGTGTAAAAAATAGGGTAATATTAGTATTGCCATTTTACAGAAAAGAGATGATATAACTTGCCCATGCTTGAAAATATATTGTAAGAAAATGGTAGAGCTTGGATTTCAACTAATGTGTGTTGGCCGAGAATAGAGTTAGGAATGAAAACATGTAAATCAAAAGTCATTTATAAACGCTTTGAAAAATAAAATATATCTAGTGCTTGTATTTAATTCTGTTTTGTTGTATTTTTGAGATTAATTTATATACCATAAAAGTACATATTTTAAGTGTTAAGTTCGATGAGTTTTGATGCTTGTATCATGTAACCAAAAGCAAGGTGGAGAACATTTCTGTTCTCCAAGTGCCCTCTACCCTTTCCAATTATCCTTTGTTTCCTCCATTCTGCTCTTGAGCCTATCCACCTGAGCTTTTTATTTTGTTTATTATGTATTTCAGTTATAACATTTCCATTTGGTTATTCTTCATGTCTTATATTTCTCTGCAGAGACTTTAGTTCTTGGAAAAGCTTATTTTTTCCATTTGTGTCAAGTGTAATTGCTTAGTGAAGCATTTTTAGTATAGCTGCTTTAAAATTTTTCTCAGATAGTTCTGATGTCTCTGTCATCTGGATGTTGGTGTCTATGGATTGTCTTTTGTCTTTCAGTTTGGTATCTTCCTGGTTATGAGTGATTTTCTATTGAAACCTGGATATTTACATGTTGTGTTATGAGACTCTAGATTTTATTTAAACCTTTTATTTCAGCTAGCTTTTTAAAATGCCAGTCTGGCCAGGGAAAAGAGGAGATACCACTTACTTACTGCCAGGTAGAGTTATAAATCCAGGTTCCCCGCTCAATCTCAGTTGATACCTGAAAGGTAGGACTTCTTCCTTATGGCTGGGTAATAGTGAAAGTCCTGTCTACCAGACTTCCTCTGACACAATCGCAGGAAGGAAGGCTCACCTCTCATAAACTGGTAGAGGTGAAAATCCAGCCTTGCCATATCATCTCAGCTGACATTTTGGAGATGAGGAGGTACCCTCTTTACCAATTGACAGAGATGGAAACCTGGACTCCCTACTTGGCCTTCTATGGCATTCTCCTGGGAGTATTGGGGTACCTAAGTGCAGCCTGGTGAGGGTGTGAGTCTAGGCTTTACAATCAGCCTTTACTGATGTGGTGGTTGGGTCACATTTCTTTTCTGTAATGTTTGAGTAAAGCAGTTATTATCTACATGTTTCCTACCTTGCTAGGCTGTCTCTTTCCTGGTCCTTTGGTTACAGAGAGCAAGCTCTTGTATATTATTTTTTTTCTGTGCCCATAGCTCTTCCCAAGTTGCAGGTTTCTTAGTTCTAAGTCTGGGATATACGAGGCAAAAGGAAGCTGAGAGAACTCACCACCAGATTATTCAAGGTCCTTCAAGGTCTTTAGATTGTCTTCCTTCTCTTTACCATTCAGTTGTCTTATGTTTGTCTCATATATAATGTCCATCATTTTTAACTTTACTAAGTGGGATGAATGGAGAAAAGTATGTCTATTTCTTCTTCCCTGAAGGATGCAAGAGGAACTACTTTATTTAAAAAAATAAAGAGTAGATGATATGTAGTAAAGGAAAGTAATATTTCATAAAAACGTGGTTCAATTCATATACATAAAGATGATTGGTCATGGATTCACAATGTGAAATCTCTTTCTGTAGTATCATAGTTAAAAATATTTTTAAAGTCACCAGTGTAGACCACTTATCAATCTCTCAAAGTGATACCTGAATCCCTTGTCTAAAGCATCATAGAACTTCTGCATGTGTCTGCCCTTGTATTCTCCTCATGAATGAGAAGAGTTAATATTCATGCCTTGGACATCTTCTAAAGTCTGTCCCCACTTTACTGATTCTGCAATACCTAAGTTAAGCATTATTTTAATTTCCATTGTTTTAGGTTGTCTATGTATCAAGTGTAGGACAAGTGAATATTTGATGTGGTGATTAAACTTAAGTAGTCTTTGGAAAACTAGATTCCATTATAGCGAACTGTTTTTACAAAGATGAAATTGTTTCTGTAGACAAGTAAACCAGAGTGAGTGAGCATCGTGGGGCCCAGAGAAGACCATGTCCTTACACTGCTGCATGTGGTTTGAACGTCTGGCTGTGCTGAACAGTCA
Source organism: Homo sapiens (assembly GCF_000001405.40). Classification (NCBI taxonomy): domain Eukaryota; kingdom Metazoa; phylum Chordata; class Mammalia; order Primates; family Hominidae; genus Homo; species Homo sapiens. The sequence continues at coordinate 118,589,271 of NC_000008.11, read as the reverse complement.
TGTAGGTCCAGCTTGGGCAGCCACATCATCATTGTCAGGCTACTGTGGGCAGATTTGTGAGGACAATAGCACGAGTTTTGTGGGTTCAGTCTTTCAGTTTCCATTTAGTTTCTTCCCCTGTCTTTCTCATTGATGTAATAACTTCTTTTTTTCCAGTCTCTTCTTGCATGGAATAGGGGAGCCATCTATTATTGGCCACTTAGACTTGCTGGGGGTGGACATGTTCAGCTTTTAATGCTGCTGAATTACCCTTCTGGACATTTATATTTTACCCCTGTTTTTGATAGTGGGAAAAAGACCTCTATAGAAATTTTAAGCTTCAGCAAGTATATGTAATATCACATTTAGCTGACCAAGGAGAAATTTGGAAATCATATTCTGTCTCCTCATTGCCTGACCCAAGTGATAAAATTCAGCATAATTTAGCTCATTTAAATTAGCTGGGAGTGGGGAAGTACAGAATAAGTCAGAGGCTAGTCCTGCAAAGACCCATAAGTTCTTCCTTGATGTTGCTAGAGTAAAGGAGGCTGGGGTTATCAGGTCCCAGTGCCCTTCAGGTTATGGTTATACTCTACCCTAGAGCAAGGGCCAGCAAACTTTTTCTGCAAAGAGCCAGCCAGTAAATATTTCAGTCTTTGCAGGCCACGTGGTCTGTGTCACAGTTACTCACTGCTGCCATTGTAGCACAAAAGCAGACATGAACACTATATAGATAAATGAGCATGCCTCATTTATTATTTTCCAGTAACACTTTATGGACATTGAACTTTGAATTTCATGTAATTCCCATGTGTCATAAAATGTTTTTTTCCAATCACTTTAAAATGTAAAAACTATTTTGGGGTCACAAACCACATGAAAACAAACAGCAGGATGGATTTGGTCAATGGGCCATAGTTTGCTGACCCCTGTCCTAGAAGATATCTGCTGGGCAGTTTCCTTTGCCCAAGGAGATGTTGTGCTCCCTTTCTATTAGCTAAACCAAGCCTGTGTTCCTGAGACATACTTTCTGGTACAGTTGTTGTATTTTTATGTCAACACATTAATGACCAGACACACAGGAACACATTCCCATCCCCATTCATTGATGCAAAAGTTTTCATGAATGATCTGGGCACTTTTCTGGGTACCTTAGGACCCCAGCTAAGCAAGAAAGTTTCATCCTCAGGTCTTCAGAGTGTCATCTGGATTGATTACCTCTGATGTCAGAGTTTACTGATAATAACATGTATTCCTAAGGTATATTCCTAAGGTATATCTGTTATTCATACTATACTTATTCAGCTTTCTAAGTCATAATAGGAGCTGTGAAACCCAGACCAGAACATTTTACTAGGATTTCTGTTTTCTCTTTTAAAAAGAAGGGCTAAACAATCCTATGTTATTGGTTAAAATGGAAATGTGTCATTTTGCAGGGGTTCATCTGAAAGTTGTAGAAGACACGACTAACCATGGCTTAATAAGCAGAGAATTACTTTTCTCACAGACTCTCAAGTCCAGAGGAGAATAATGAAGAACAAAGTTCGAGTAGCCCAATGATGTCAGAGCCAATGTGACTATTATTCTCTTGACTTTTTTTCATCTTTGTAGCCCTGTGGTCACAGCATGTACTGTAGCAGTTCTAGATATCACATATGCCTTTAAGGCAGAGACAAAGGGGAAGAGTGATGTTAAGATCTTTCCTCTTTTGTCAGTTCCAGAACTGTTTGTTTCCCATCAAACTTCTGCTTATGTGCCCTAGGGAGGAATCTGTCATCAACCTCACTTGTAGCTGCAAGGGAAGCTGTGAAATTTGCTATTGGCGTTGTAGCCATACTTCAGTAGGTGGCAAAAATGAGAGTGTTGAGAATGTGTAGCCCATCAGAAGTGTCTGCTACAAAGAGTTACAGACTTTTTGTGATGTTCACATTACTTCTTGAGGGTAGTCTCTGCTGAATTCGAATCCAGAATACAATAAATGAAGCACCTATAATAATTAATATAATGAATTAAACATATTGGAGAGTGTTATGTGTATATTATATTAGGGAAGTGTTAAAGAAGGACCATCTCCTTCAGGAACTTTAGCTAGAAGCAAGACATAAACATGAAATTTGAAATAACCTATCTCAATTCTAATAACTAATGGTGGGGATTGGAGTATATTTGTTTTTAAGGTCACTGATTCATTTAGCAACATTTATTGAGGGTTGAGTATGTACAACTGTTTAGGCTTTGCAGGTGCAAAGATGAATAAGATAGTCTCTGCTTTGCAGATGGCAGTCAAATAAATCAGTAGTTTCAGGATAGCTTTATGGTTTTGTGATTTAACATTTTTGGTGAATTACACAATTAGATTGGAAGCAACTTTTATTTGCTTTTTTGAAAAATATATGTTACGCATCAGTACCGAATGGCAGTGAGTAGGATTCAATCAGTATCTTTCCATCATATCTATGCTCAGTCTATAAACAATGATTGAGCACCTACTGTAAGGTAGTTATGTGGCTACACACTACATTTGTAAAGCTCAGCAAGAAGTAGTCACTTCTTCTGGGGGCTCCTAGTCATAGATTTAGCAGACCTGTCAATAAATATTTGCAACACATGGTACATACACACACATACAGATCATATAAGAAAAAGAGGTGGCTGGGCAATGTAGCTGATGCTTGTGTTCCCAGGAATTTGGGAGGTCGAGGTGGGCAGGTCGCTTGAGCCCAGGAGTCTAAGACCAGCCTGGGCAACATGGCAGAACCCTGCCTCTACAAATAATACAAAAATTAGCTGGGTGTGGTGGTGCACACCTGTAGTCACAGCTACTTGGGTGGCTGAGGTGGAAGGAACACTTGAGCCTGCGAGGTTGAGACTGCAGTGAGCCATGATCACACCACTGCACTCCGGCCTGGGCAACAGAGCAAAACACTGTCTCAAAAAAAAAAAAAAAAGAAAGAAAAAGAGGAGAAGTGTTTTTATTGCTTAAGAGGATATACTGGGTGCAAGACTAGTTAAAGCTTTACAGTAGAAAAAAGAGAAAAATTAATATTTCCTGAAGCAGTTATCTATGCAAATAAGGGAAAGGAAGAGCATATGATGTAAAAGGTCAGTTCTGTCAAGGTAGAGAAGCACAACACATTTCAGGGCACTGCTTGCAGTTTCTATGTGGGGGTTCCTTGGTTGGGGAGCCAGCTCATTCTGAGGGGCAACTGGGAGTGTTTTCACAGTGTCTCTATTCAAGGCAAAACTCAGAATAGAGGAACATTAAAATTTAATAAGTCTCCATCCCTTGTTTCATGACAGAGAGTGGTGTGGGTGGAGATTGGAAGAACTGGAAGTTGGGTGGCTTCCTGGAGACTAAGATGCACTTGTTCTTGGGAATGACAGCAGATGCCAATGCACCCCTCAACTCTTCTAGCATCACTGTGAGCAGAGAAAACAAGGCCTGGCACTTCATTCCAGGTAGCCTGTTACTGTCACCTAAATCACATGAGAATGGCATCCCTCAGCCACTAAGCCTTGGAGAGCCCAGGCTCATTTCCAGCAATCAGCAATCCAAGCCCTGCTTCTGCTGATTAGGACAAGACCTGTTTTGGAGAACATTTCCTTTCCAGGAAAATTCTGAAGTAACCTCATACTTTTGAGCTATAATTTTTACCATTTTATTAAAAAATAAAATAACATTCTAGATGAAAATCACGATGATATTATTCATAAATAAACTCTCAAACCTTTGAATAAAAATATCTTTGGAACCTCTCTTTCCATTTATGGAGGTATTAGGGAAGTTAAAATGAGAGGGAGTGGGGTTTTTAAGTTTTTATTTTTTTATTGTGACAAAATATACATTAAATTCATCATTTTAATCATTTTTAATTATATGGTTCAGTGGCATTAGGCACATTCACATTATTGTATAACCATCATCACCATCCATCTCCAGAGAGTTTTCATCATCCCAAAGTGAAACACTATACCCATAACTTACCAATAACTTCCCATTTTCTCTCCCACAGCCCATGTGTAGCCATTGTTCTATTTTCTTTCTCTGTAGATTTGATTAACTCATATAAGTGAATCGTCCAATAGTTGTCCATTTTTGTCTGGCATATTTCACTTTAGCATAATGTCTTCAAGGTTCATGCATGTTGTAGTATGGATGAGAATGCCATTCCTTTTATAGGCGCAAAATATTTCATTATATGTATCACATTGTGTTTATCCATTCATGCATCCACAGGCATTTGGTTTATGCCTGTTTGACTGTTATGAATAATGCTGCTATGTACATGAGCATACAAATATCTTGAGTTCCTGCTTTCAGTTTGTGTGTGTGTGTTTGTGTGTGTGTGTGTGTGTGTGTGTGTGTGTGTATACCTACAAGTTGAATTGTTGGATTAAATGACAATTCTGTGTTTAATTTTTTGAGGAACCACCATACTGTTTCCCACAGGGGGTGTATCACTTGACATTCCCACCAGCAATGCACCTGGTTTTCAATTTTCTGGGGAAGTAGGTTTTTACACATGAAAAAAACATGGTGCCTTCAAAAGGGCATTTCAAAACAATGCTAAAATATGTGCATTTGCAGTGAAACATTTCTCTCTTAAATTTTTTTAAGAGCAATGTTTGTGAAATTCATTTTGGTTTTTAACTCTTCATTTTGAAGAATTCAATATTAATGACATTCAAATTAAGTAAAAGTGACAGCAGCAGCACTTCCCATAAAGACCACAAGCTGCCTGCGGTGTCAGTTCAATGACTAGGAATCCGTCAGGCACAGGAGTGGTGGTGAAGATTAGGGAAACGAGAAGAGGGTCTCGAAGCCGACCAGTGAGCTGCCAAGCCCATTAAATTAAGTAAATAACTTTAGGGAAAACAAGAAAGGGCAGTGATGAACACAAAAAAGAGAAATCAAAAGGGGACACCTTTGACACAAGCAAAGAGATGGAGGTCATGCATTGTAAGAGGCCATTGGAGAGTTGTTTGATTTGTAAATATTAGGGACATGAAATTTCAGGGAAAACAAAGCAAAGTCTATCAAAAATGGTTTTAAATAAATAATTCTAAGTACAAAAACCTAAATCAACTACTGGGGAGTTTGCAGTGGAGGAAGGAACAGCTATGGAGGATTAAAATATTTGTGTGAAAAATAAGCCTACGTGTGTGGAAAGTCAAAAAACTGTATTCTGCCTCCTGTTTATAGATACCTTACATTTTGAATGCCAAGTATTTACTAGCAGAGAAAAGCTTTCTTCTGATTTAAGGCATGATTGCGTAAAGGAAGGGAATTGCTGGTTCATTCTGCAGCTGAACAAGTGTTTCCTTAATGTCTCTTATGTGCCAGGTCCTGGACTCAGGAATGGAAGTCATGGAGATGAAAAACAGATGGTACCTGCCTTCCAGGAGCTTACAGTTGTGCTGGGCAAGGCAGACAGATCAATTACATGGACATTCTTAGTACTGTGAGGAAAATGAAGCACCAGGGGACTGTGCATGAGGGAGCATAGGGAATGGTTTCTTGCTGTGGTAGCCAGAGACTCCTAAAAGGCTTTCTGAAGAAGAGGTCTGAGCTGACATGAGGTGAATAGGACTTAGCCTCCCAAAGAGCAGGAGATAGGATTAGGTTGGAGTAGGACCAGCATTTCTAGGTGGTGGGACCACCGTGATCAGAGGTGAAGGAAGTATAAGAGTCAAATTTGGTGGGGAGGTGATAGGGGAAGAGAATAGGAGGTCTACCAGCAGTTCAGTGGTATTCCTAGGTCATGAATTTCAAGGTAGGAAGCAGCAGAGGATAAAGCTAGACAGAAAGATCAAAGCTACACATTTTTCTTTTCTTCATTAATGTCTGAATCCATCCCATGCCAATCCCCCATCTCCCTACACAAGCACACCTTTTAAAAATAATCACAACTTTGATGTATTTAATTGAATATTCATTGTAAGTAGGCCAGTCTTTGGAGATGGAGAAGCTGATTGATAATAACAGTAATTAGCTTCAAGCTCTCAGAGGCTTTGGCTACTAAGTTCTCTTTCCAGCACTGCCTAAAGTGGGCATTGTTGTTGGTTCCCCAGCATCCATTCTGCTACAGCCCTGTTGAGTAGCAGCAGTGTGGTTTGGGGAATTGACCTGAGCTGGTCAGTTGGTTTAAGGGTAATCCTATTTCCACTGCCAGCATGTTAGTTCAGTAATAGGCATGTAATTCACTCCTGGCCAATGAGAAAAGAGAATAAAATTTGAAGGAGGTTTGGGAGAAAAAGCCATAGTCAACCAAGCCCTTTCTGCTTCAAGATGAAAACTAAAGCTTGTAGTCTAGATGCTACAAAGGGACCCAGGTTCAGGATAAAGTCGGTGCTATGGATAATAGAATGGAGAAAGAAAAAAAAAAAAGCACAGTGCTTGATGAAACTACCGAGATGCAAATCAGCTAATTCTGAACTTGTGCCATCACTGGACTTCTTGTTCTGTCAGCTAATAATTTTCCATACCATTTAATCTAGTTTGGATTTTTCCATGTGTAATATGAAATCGTGTATACTAAATGGGCCATGATTTTTGTGACTTTTCTGTACACACCAGTATAGTATGCCCTTTTGTGAACCTAACCCATTTGAGCCTCATTTTCCTTATCTGTGAAATGAACATAGTTATGTCTCAGAGTTTTTCATGAAGATCATTTGAGATTCAGAACAAAGCCCAAAAGGGAGGTATGAACTAATACATGTTAAGTGCCCAGAGTGTACCACTAAATAGGAAGCTTAGAGACTAGGAGAAGAGAAATTCATAAATAATGTCCACATAAAGTGGTAGAAATAAGATCACGTGCATTTGGACCTTTGTGCAATCAGTTTGTTTTTTTAAAGAAATATCATTGAATATTTGAGCAGTATGTTAGGTGTAGAGCTGTTGGATTTGCTGATAGATGAAAGGAAAGTGATGGATCATAGAGTGATGTTAAGGATGTCTCATCAGTTTCTGTGTAACTTGCGAAGACTGAAACAGGCAAATTGTTTCTGCTGCAGTTTTACTTGTCTGACATTCATAAGAAAGGTGTGTCTAGGCTGCAGTTAATATTTGGGAGTCACCAGAATGTTGATTGGGAACATAGGAATAGATGATATCTATTAAGGAGGGAGTGGATAGTGGGAGGAAAACACCTCACTTCTTTTGGGAAGCCTGCCTCATCCCTCAGGTCTAAAGTACTCATCAGAATCCTGGCAAAGATGAGGCAAAGAGGAAACTATGGCCTAAATGGAGTGCCGAATAGAGAGTTGGACTTTTTGAGTCACGGAAGCTGGCTGGAGGGGAAGAATGCTGAGAAAGGGGAAAGCCTAAAGATGTTGGGTAAAAGATTATTGATGAAGTGGAGACCTGGGGAAGATGGGGGTATTAAGTATCTGGCCTTAACTTCTCTGTGAATAAAGGAAAGGGGATGAGGATAGGAGTTTACCTGAATTTGAAGAGTTGGGGTAACAGGGAAATGAAATAATTTACTACCAGAGAAGTCAAAACACACATACCTGCCATCTGCACACAGACATACATGGTGGTTTATGTAGTGGAATGCATGGATCTTACAACATTCATTGCTATTTATTTGATAATACAGGGTACATAGGGGGGCTCAGTAAGCGTTTGTTAGATGAATAAATATCCCCAGAAAATCAGCTTTAGGTTTTATTTGTGGAATATCTATGTTACAGGGCATGGAGAGAGTAAGATGCAAAAAACTGGAAGCCACTGGGCTTGATGCCCTTGAGCCCTCCACTCTGGCTTTTTTTTCTTTGCCATGTAGAAGTGACAGTTCTGTTTGAAAATCACCAGTCCTTTTGTTTGCCTCCTTTATTACATTGTGAGTTCTTTGAAGGTAACATCTGTCATATGTAAATCCATGTTTCCAGGATCTAACCCAGGGATGGCACATAGTAAGTGCTTAAGAAATATTGCTTAGATGAATGCAAGAGAGTGGACTTGAGTGGATGCCTAAATAATAAAGAAGGTCCAGAAGAAGAGAGGGTGAGCACTTTTCAGATGGAGGTAGAGATACAAACTAAACTGCAGGGTTGAAATAATTGCATGATTGCGTGTGTGGGAAGCAGTAACAACGTTGCCTGATTTGGTATTCTCATCTGTAACATTTGGATTTGTAAGTTGCTGAAAGTCAAACAACTTGGAATTGAGGGCTTCTGGATTTGTACCTAAATCTTGCTGATTTCCAAGCTCAAGGTTTCCCACTATACCGTGCTCCCTCCTCACCATATTATTTATCGTAGTAATCACACCACCTCTCGACTCATAGATGCCTCGTTTTTTTCCTACTTAGGCTTGATGAATATTTTCTGTCATGGACACCTTCTTTATGTGGTTTGTTTTCTGAGTTCTATTTGTTGCTTTTTCCTAGCTCTCCACTGTGGTTTGAATCCACGGGGTATTGATCACCCTGCCCATGCTGAAGGTATTAAACTGCAAATTGAAGGTGAAGGTGTGGAATCTCAATCCATTAAAAATAAAAATTTCCAGAAGGTGCCTGACCAGAAAGGAACTCCCAAGCGACTGCAGGCAGAAGCTGAGACGGCTAAGGTGCGTAATATTCCAGTTAATTACGGAGATTTGAAAGCTGCAGCCTTTATATGTTGTAGTCCAGCTACAGAGAAGAGCTGATAGTGCTTTCACTAATTACCATTGTATCTGTGGTCAAATGAGCACTGTATCTTGCGGATAAATAATTATAAATGAAAATATTAACTGTATTCCCTTTGGAATAAAATTGAAACACGTTTGTGGCCAGTCTCATAGTGTGAGGCTCTGAGGTTATAGAGAAGAATGCCCTGGACTTGAAGCTAAAAGATTCACCTGCCAGGCTCAGACTTACCACTCTATGGTGTTGGGAAAGTCATGTGACTTTCTGAGTTGCAGATTCTTCATCTACACAAGGGAATCATAAAATGACTTCTCTCATCAGGTTGAGCAGATCAAACGATTGTATGCTTGTGGAAGCATTTTATAAAAGCCCCAGTACTGCATGAGTATGAGAGGCTTGTGCTTACAGGTATTGTTAATTAGTAATAGCTGATATTTTATTAAATATGCATGTATCTCCCAGGTACTGTTTGAAGGACTCTTGATCTATTGACTTATTGTGTCCCTGTAACAATCTTGTGAGGTAGACAATAGTAAATAGAACCCTAAGTAGTGAAAGAGAAAATTATTTTATTCTGCTGTAGTATGCTTAGTTCTTTTCAGTCTTTAACCTAAACATAGGTAACAGAGAACTGACAAAATAGGCATTGGTGAAGAAGTACAGAAACTTGGATTCTGTGGGGTAGGTAATTTTTTAGTAAGGACAGCCTCTTCTAAAGGCTCCCTACAATGGGACTGGCACTATCTGGATATTTGTCTGAAATCAGTGCAGATGTTCATGTTGGGGGCACAGTGTTGTTGAAGATACTCATATTAGTTTTCCTCTTGGACACTGAGGAAATTAATCTTCATATAGTTTTGTTTCTCCCTTTGTGTATTCCCTGCAAGACAATTTCCTTTCAAATGTTGGTTGAGCAAATGAATGTATGCATGCCTTGGAAAGCAAATGTTGTAAGCACCTAAGAAAAATCTTAAGGAAAAAGGTCACCTTACTGTTGTACAATAACCACCTCCCTTCTCCTCCAAATAATGTCTTCCAAAATCAGATGTGAATTTTTTGCTTTATGTACAGTTTGGAATAATTACTGTTATTGCTTCTCTTCTTTAGTGTGGATAATTAAAAATTGTTGACATTAAGTATGTGTGTGTGGTAGGGAATGGGGAATGATTACCAAGATATATATTGCAGGCATTTTACGCTAGACATTTTAGCTAAGAGAAATGGCAACTCATAGGATATTTACTGGCTGATGATCAATGAAGTTTGGTTTGTGAACAACATTGGAAATGAGTGAACCCTGTTAAGAAAGCTAAACCTGATCAATACATGGGCATCTTGAAAGAGCCAGGAAAAAACGCCTTAAGGGTCCTCTTTAGGAAGATAAACAGACTTTCTATGAGTGAGATATTTTCCAAAGGATGCCTAAAATATTAAAAATTAGAGTAGAGAGAAAAGTTAACTATTGATATTTGTCTGATTTAAATTCAACTTTAAACATTTCTAGTGTGTATCTCCTATATTTGTAAAGATATTGGTAATATACAAAATTTGACTCAAATCTGATATGATTTTATTTCTGATTATCTTGAATATGTGAATTGTGAATCCTGAAATTTTGTGTCTTTGCCTCTGAAGCATTTTATAGTTCCTTTGCTGAAAACATACTTCAATGAGTGTGGATGTGTATAATGTGCCTTTCTTCTGGAACAAACTAATATTGGAAACCAGATTCATTTGAGTTTATGCAAATCATCTACAGTGAACACCCATCCCCAACAAATGAGGTTGAAAGGAGATTCTGGGTTTTTCACACTGCCATCATATTTAGGGGTGAACAGACTAGAGGCTTTAGTAAAGAAAGCTTAGACAAAGAATTTGTCCAGTTGTTTAAATGGAGGACGAGGAAACAACAGTGGCTGCTGGGGGAACAGTTAAAATTACTACAGTGTGATTACTGTGGATGCCAGCAGCATGACTGACCCTGAAGCTTTTGTACCTTAGACAACATGAACTTGTTTTGTGCAGGTACAAACACATTTACATTTTCCCTTCCATTGCATTTAGAGGGCTGGTAGAGTTGTAAGCCGTCTTCTCTTTTCTTGGGTGTATAATTGAATCTCCGGTAAATTGGCCTACTTTAAACCTACCTTACAAAACCTGTGGCTAGAAATGCATACCTCTAAAGCCATTCAGTAATGTAAATTGGTACAGCTTTTCTGGATGACAAGCTTGATAATAGTTATCAAAATTTTAAATGTGTGCCATTAGGGGGCCAATAATTCCCTCTGTAGGAACTTACCTAAGGAAATAATCATTCATATGTGCAAAGATGGCTACAGGAGAACACATTGAAAATAGCCCGAATGTTCATTCACAGGACACTGGCTAAAGAAACTGTGTATTAATGCAATGGGATATAATTTTTCCTTTATGAGGATGTAGAAGACCTGTATGTATTTATGTGGGAAAATGTATGTGATAATATTTTAAAGTAGAAAGGGAACGAGAAGGGCAGGTTATGACATAGTAGATATTGTATGTTTCCGTTTATGTAAAAATGTCTGTCTCTGTATAAGAGCATCACTGAGTCTAGGAGGGTTTTCCACAATTTGAGCAGCAGATTCTATCTGAAGTTAAAATTACGGAGAAAACTTTTACTTTCTGTACTGCTTTGCTTGAATTTTAAATAAGATATGTATTCTTTTAAGTGTATTTATTTTAAAGCCCTTTTCAGATTGTCCCATTAACTTTAGTAGCTCAACCATGACTTTTTCTGTTTGTTGGGTTAGTATTACGCTTTTAGGGTGCTGAATTTCCTCACATGGCTTCTAATTCTTGCTGGTGGTTTATTTGTCAGAGAAGTGAGTTATCGTGGGGTCTTTTGGCCACGTGTGCCTTGAATTGTAGAGCCTTCTGGTAAGGTGCTTTTGTATCTGCCTTCACCTGAACTCTGGGATGCGAGAGCTCTGACCAGGTATTACACTAATGTTTCGATTTGACATTCTCTCTGTTTGCTTCTGACTGATTATGCAAATCAAGTTCCTTCATATGCAGACTTCTCACTGGGAACCTGGTTCCAGCTCCTTAGTGTGCCTTTGGGCCCTGCCACTTTGAGCCCTGCCATGTTGGTCTTTGAAACCAATCCCTCAGCACACCACCTGTTCCAGAGGAGCTTAATGAGCTTATCTTTAACAGGCAATGCTAGAGTCTGTGTATATATGTGGATTGGGGGAGGATTGTAGCATGTGCTTAATCTACCCTGTTGACACTGAAATTTGTATTGCTTTCATAATTTTAAAATGTGTGTGTGTATCTGTATTCATTTTGGGCAGAATAATACTCTATCTTAGAAAGTGACATTTTGGGACCCTTAGCCCCAATTCCTCAAAACACTCAGAACCCTTATTCCAGAAGAAAAAGGTTGTCTGGCCACAAGTAGCCTCCAGCTCTTACAGACCAAAGAGAAACCAGTAGAGTACCCAGATCACCTGTAAGTCTTATTGGGAAGCATACAGTCTAGATGGAAATAAAAAAATGAATCCAGTTGAAATGTGGATCCACAAAAAATACTTACCAACATAAGTCCTAAATTCTTGTGAGTACTTGGAAACTCAGAGAGAATATGCATGCCATGCCACGCCACAGCTATAGTTACCAGTTTAAGAGTAAAAAACTATGTTTACATAGCTTTATAGGAGGGTACAAGCAAGAAATACAGTGGCAAAGCATTTTCATTGCATTGGGAGGTCCAGAAGTTATCCAAGTACACAGCTTCTTTTGACCCATCACCCACACAGCTGCCAAGTTGAGAGTCCAGATGAGGATGAGTCTCTTTGATACAAAGAAGGCACAGCCTCTTTTTTTCACCATTCATTTATATCCTTCTAGTCTTGTAGACTCAAGACAAAGCCACAGCTCCTAAAGACCAGGAGTGGTTCCACATAGCAGTTTCCAAAAAACCAGCCCTATGGGAGACTGAAGTCCTTCTCAGACAGGCCAGCCCTGAGATTCCTTAACCCTTTACTCACAGAGCAGTCAGAACAAGACTTGCAAGGGAGGGTACTCTAGCACAGGAAGAACTTGACCTATGCTGCGAAGTATGGATAAATTCCAATATGTAGCCCTAAGAATGGAGGGTGCCTTTAGCCGTGAAGTCTAAGCACTTTGAGCCAAGGTATGGCAGCAGAAATGCCCAGGTGTGTTCAACATCAGTCTCTTCAAGTAAGAGTTTGTGTGGCAGAAATCGAGTCTGGAACAATAGGCTGGGGCCAAACTGTGTGATGGAATTTGAATGCTGGAGTGAGTAGCATGGATTTACTTTTCACCTCCATTGTTCAATACAATAGCCACTAGCACATGTGGATATTCAGATTTATTTAAATTGAATAAAATGCAAAAATGTATTTCTTTGGTCATGCTAGCCACATTTCAAGTGTTCATTATCCCATGTTTCCAGGAGCTGCTGTTTTGGACAATGTGGACATAGAACATGATCATTATGGCAGAAAGTCCTATTAGACAGTGCTGCTGTAATCTGTGGGAAACCATTGAAGTTCTCTGGGTATAGGAATAAGATGAAAAATGGAATTGTGTTGATGTTCTGTCTGATCCTCATCCTTGGACCTGAGTGGACAAGGACTTCAGTCATTTAAAAAAAAAAAGTCGAAATACTCAGGAGTTTCTTTTGAAATTGATGTTCCCAAATGCTCTGATGATTGGAATTTGTATTTCTATGGCAATTCTGGCTGTGGAATAAGATCAGCCCATCAGTATCCTATCTGTTTCCTATCTTGGAATTCTAGAATGTGTCCTCACAAGTGGCCTAAACATGACATTGGGAATTCTTGACTTCTAGACTTGATTTTCTAGGTGTTTATGAGGAAACTTCACCTTGCTGTGTTTTTATGCCTGTCAAATAAGGGTTTCATAAGGTTGATAATCCTTTGTTTTTTCCTGCCACAATGCTAATTCCTGGAGTCAGAGCTTTGAGCGTTCCTTATATTTGCATGCCTCCCCTGTACCTTTCCTTTATAAAAATGTATCCCCATTTTACAGCTGAGAAACCCAAGGATGTAAAATGACTCACTAAAACTTAGTTTCTGGCTAATAATCTGGAGGAAGATGTAACTCTCTATGTCTAATGGCTCTAAATTCAAGGTTTTTTATGCTCCTAACATGAAATATACAAATGATCTATTTATTTGAAAAGAAAATATGGTCTGTTACACTGAGAATCTGGCCAACTAGGCAAAAGAAGAGGTTAAAATGCTGCATATATTAATTACTCCTCAGGGAGAAAACAGCAAATCTTGATTGCTGTATTATATAAGGGAGAAGCAATGCCAACATCTAAAACAGTGAATAATTGCTTGCAGTTGGCTTTGGGATGCATTATGTGAATCTTTGGCAGCAGATAGCCTTTTCTCATTAGGCTAATATTAGATTTAGTTTGTATTTCTTTGGCACAGAGTTAAAGGAGCTGGCCTGGAACTTGGTGCTGGAGGCAGGAGGAGGAGAAAGCTGGGTGCTTTGGATAAGCCACAGGCAGATAAATGAGAGTTGACTGCAGGGCAACTTGTGGACATTTGTGACAGTAAGCAGGAACCATTAATCTGGGATTAAAACAGAGCAAAAAGAACTTAGACTTAGGTTAAAAGATGAAGGGTTGACTGTACTTAACCTTGATCAAATTACATTGCTTAGCTGCCTTTGAGAAGGTCTGTTGCAATTTAGGGATAGAATGATCTAATTCTTGGCTATCTGTATTTGTTGGCTCAAGGAGCAAAAATGTCTCCAAACAAAGCTGCCAACCCAATATAATGTCACCCATGATAGGAAAGGACACAATGCATATGAAACATAATGAGGATGTACTTCTTAAGAATTCTCATAAGGGTCAGAACAAGAGACAAGCAAATATGACTTCATGCTATGTGAGTTCCAGGACCCCAGTACATGTATATTGAGTTCTTGGACAGGGCTCAAACGAAACTACAGTAAACTTATATCCGAAGAGGTAAGCTTTTATTACTAACATGTTAAGCTCTGAAAAGTATGACAATTAATATGATATATTTAAGCCATAGGTTCATTGTATAATCAAGAAAAAAGAAAACCTAGAGAGCATTTGACCATCTAATTTATTTTACAAGTTAGGGAGATGAGACTCAGATGAGACTGAATGACTTCACAAAGATCTTGAGGCTAGCAGTGACACAGTCTACCTAAAACACAGTTTATCTAACACATGAACAGTGCTTTTCACTCTTTTATGCTGACAGATCTATAGGAAATAACAAGTGCTTGGAGCCACTTAGTTAATAGTATTTGTCTAGTGGACGAAGAGTACAGGATATGCCATTTGACAATGTAAAAGGAGGGCGGTGTTCAGGCGAGTGTATCAGAGCCCACTAAATTCATTTGAGTTTATCCACCCAAACTACTAAATTACTAAAGTGATTCTCTTTGGAGATTATTGGTACTTGCCATCCCTTCTGCCTATAATGTTCTCCCCTTGATCATTGTTCAGCTAGTTCCTTGTCATTTAGGTCCTAGCTCAAATGTGCTTCTCCAAGAGGTCTTTCCTGACCACCCTAACTAAATGAATCCCTAGTCACATTCTCTGACATCACTTGGTTTGATGTTCTGCATATAACTTTTTCTGGTCTGAAATCATCTTGTTTGTTTTCTGTCTCTCCACAGAATTTAAATCATTTGAAAGCGATGATCTAGTCTGTCTTGTTCACTGCTGCAATATCAATGCCTGCTACTGTGTCCAGCACATAATAAAAAGATGAAATTTTTGATGAATGAATAAGTCAGTTCATATAATACAGAAGTCCCTTGCCTCTGGGTTTATGTCTCTTGCCTCATAGTTATTTGGTTATCTTTAGCTCCTCCACAAGTGAGCAGAGGATGTCTTACTGAGTTCTATAATGGTTGAATGGTTGATGATATCAAGGGAATGCTTTTCTGGATTGGTACAAGTGGCATATTAGCCACACAATGGACAAGGGATACTTCCAAAGCCATTCCATTACCCTTCACTCTTCAAAAGTTCACTCTAGGTTGTCACTGAGACCAAGAAAATTCCTGATTACAGTCTGTGGCAGTCATTCTAAACTGCACTTAGATTCATTGTGAAAGACAGTATGGTGATTCCTCAAAGACCAAAAAACAAATACCATTTGACCCACTGTGTTAGTCTGTTCTCACATTGCTATAAGAAAATACCCAAGACTGGGTAGTTTATAAAGAAAAGAGGTTTAGGCTGGGCGCAGTGGCTTATGCCTGTAATCCCAGCACTTTGGGAGGCCGAGATGGGTAGATCACTTGAGGTCAGGAGTTCGAGACCAGCATGGCCAACATGGTGAAACCCTGTCTCTACTAAAAATACAAAAAATTAGCCTGGCATGGTGGCAGGTGACTGTAGTCCCAGCTACTCAGGAAGCTGAGGCAGGAGAATCGCTTGAACCCAGGAGGTGGAGGTTGCAGTGAGCCAGGAACGCACCATTGCACTCCAGACTGGGCAACAATAGTGAAACTCCCCCTCAAAAAGAAAAGAAAAGAGGCTTAATTGACTGACATTTCTGCTTGGCTGCAACCATGGTGAAGGTACCTCTTCACAGGGCAGCAGGAGAGAGAATGAATGCCAGAAGGGGAAATGCCAGCTGCTTATAAAACCATCAGATCTTGTGAGAACTGACTCACTATCACGAGAAGAGCATGGGGGAAGCAGCCCCCATGATTCAATTACCTCCCACCAGGTTCCTCCCACAACACGTGGGGATTATGGGGATTACAATTCAAGATGAGATTTTGGGTGGGGAAACAGCCAAACCATATCACCTGGTGTATTAGTCCCTTTTCATGCTGCGATAAAGACATACCTGAGACTGCACAATTTACAAAAGAAAGAGGTTTAATTGTGAGACTTCCCTAGCCACGTGGAAGTGTAAGTCCAATCATGGTGGAAGGCAAAGAGGAGCAAGGCATGTCTTACATGTTTGGCAGCAGGCAAAGAGAGCTTGTACAGGGGAACTCCTTTTTTTAAATACCATCAGGTCTCGTGAGACTTATTCTCTGTCATGAGAACAGCATGGGAAAGATTTGCCCCCATGATTCAGTTACCTCCCACTATGTCCCTCCTGCAACACATGGGAATTGAAGATGAGATTTGGGTGAGGACACAGCCAAACCATATCATCCTGCCCCTGGCCCCTCCCAAATCTCATGTCCTCACATTTCAAAACCAATCATGCCTTCCCAACAGTTCCACATAGTCTTAACTCATTCTAGCATTAACTCAAAAGTCCACAGTCCAAAGTCTCATTACAGACAAGGCAAGTCTCTTCCACCTATGGAGTCTGTAAAATCAAAAGCAGGTTAGTTACTTCCTACAGGGGGACAGGCATTGGGTAAATACAGCCATTCCAAATGGGAGAAATTGGCCAAAACAAAGAAGCTACAGGCCCCAAGCAAGTCAGAAATCCAGCAGGACAGTCAAATCTTAAAGTTCCAAATGATCTCCTTTGACTCCATATCTCACATCCAGGTCACGCTGATGCAAGAGGTGGGTTCCCATGGTCTTGGGCAGCTCCACCCCTGTGGGTTTGCATGTACAGCCTCCCTCCTGGCTGCTTTCATGGACTGGCATTGAGTGCCTGTGGCTTTTCCAGGCCCATGGTGCAAGCTATCAGTGGATCTACCATTCTGGGATCTTGAGGATGGTGGCCGTCTTCTCATAGTTCTGCTAGGCAGTACTCCAGTAGGGACTCTGTGCTGGGGCTCTGACCCCACATTTCCCTTCCTCACTGTCCTAGCAGAGGTTCTCCATGAGGACCCTGCCCCTACAGCAAACTTCTGCCTGAACATCCAGGCATTTCCATACATCTTCTGGAATCTAGGTTCTCAGACCCCAATTCTTGACTCCTGTGTACTGGCAGGCTCTAAACCAAATGGAAGCTGCCATGGCTTGAGGCTTTCACCCTCTGAAGCGACGGCCCAAGCTCTGTGTTGGCTCCTTTCAGCTATGGCTAGAGCAGCTGGGCACCAAGTCCCTAAGCTGCACACAGCATGGGCACCCTGGGCCCGGCCCACAAAACCACTTTTTATACAGCCTACTCCAGGCCTGTGATGGGAGGGGCTGCTGTGAAGCTCTCTGACATGCCCTGGAGGCATTTTCCTTGGAGATGAAAATTTCCTTCCTCGTTAGTTATGCAAATTTCTGCAAATTTCTGCAGCCAGCTTGAATTTCTCCCCAGAAAATGGGATTTTCATTTCTATCGCATTGTCAAGCTGCAAATTTTTTGATGGCCTTATTGATCACTGTCAGCATTTTTGTCAAAGCTGTTCAACAAGTCTCTAGGGAGTTGCAAACTTTCCCACATTTTCCTGCCTTCTTCTGAGCCCTCCAACCTGTTCCAGCCTCTGCCTGTTACCCAGTTCTAAAGTCACTTCTACATTTCTGGGTATCTTTTCAGTAGCGCCCCACTCCTAGTACCAATTTATTGTATTAGTCCACTCCTAGTACCAATTTATTGTATTTATACAATACAGTTTATTGTATTATTGTATGCTGCTGATTAAGACATACCTGAGACTGTGCAATTTATAAAAGAAAGAGGCTTAATGGGACTTACACTTCCACGTGGCTGGAAGTGGAAGCCTCACAATAATGGCGGAAGGTAAGGAGGAACAAGTCATGTCTTACATGAATGGCAGCAGGCAAAGAGAGCTTGTGCAGGGGAACTCCTCTTTTTGAAACCAACAGATCTCGTGAGACTTATTCACTGTCACAAGAACAGCATGGGAAAGACTTGCCTGCATGATTCAATTACCTCCCACTGGGTCCCTCCCACAATATGTGGGAATTCAGGATGAGATTTGGGTGGGGACACAGCCAAACCATATGACCCGGGAATCTCATAACTGGGTATAATATACCCAGAGGAATATAAATCATTCTATTATAAAGATACACGTATGTTCATTGCAGCACTATTCACGATAGCAAGGATATGGAATTAAACTAAATTCCCATCAATGGTAGACTGGATAAAGAAAATGTGGTATATATCCCCATGGAATACTATGCAGCCGTATAAAAGAATGAGATCATGTCATTTGCAGGGACAAGGATGGAGCTGGAGGCCAATATCCTTAGTAAATTAACACAGGAACAGAAAACCAAATACAACATGTTCTCACTTATAAGTGGGAGCTAAATCATGAGAACACATGGATATATAGAAGGGAACAACACATACGGGACCCTGTGAGAGTATGGAGGATGGGAGGGGGTAGAGGATTGGGAAAGATATCTAATGGGTACTAAGCTTAATACCTGGGTGATAAAATAATCTGTACAATAAGCCCCCTGACACAAGTTTACCTATATAACAAACCTGTACATGTACCCCTGAACTTAAAAGTTAAAGTCTCTGATTGCCTGAATAAGGCCCTATGACTTCTGCTACCCTCTAGCGTTGGCCAAGATTTCAGATGGTGTGGCTCTTTCACCCTCCTCTGCAAGCTCTATTCAGGGTCCCTGGTGTAAGCATCAGCTGGCTCCCGTGATTTCTGCCCCATCTCCCTGATCTGGCCCAAACTTGAAGGAAATGGAAAACAGCTTCTTCTCTTTCTCTTTAAGTGATTAGGAACTCCTCACTTAAACTGAAAAATTGGATCACCAGGTGCCAAGTAAAACCTGAAATATTATTTCCAAGGCTGTATGGATTAGAAATCGTTTTCAAATGTTGATTTCACACATACCCTTAGATATATGCTGTATTAGTCAGCCTCAGCTGCTGTAACAAATTACTGGAGACTTGGTAGCTTAAACAAGAGACATTTATTTCTCACAGTTTTGAAGGCTGGGAAATCCAAGATCAAGGTGCCAGCTGAGTCAGTTCCAATGAGGATGCTCTTTCTGTCTTGCAGAGACCACCTTTTCACTGTGTTCTCATATGGCAGAGAGAGTGAGCTAAGGTGTCTGTTTCTCCTCTGTGTGGATGCCATTCTCATCATGGGGCCCTCCACCCTCATTGACATCATCTAAACCCGTAATTACCTCTCAAAGGCCCTACTTTCAAACAACACCTTATTGGGGGTTAGGGCTTCAACCTATCAGTTTTAGGAGGCACAAACATTTTGTCTGACTTATACAGATTAAGTATCCTGTATCCGAAATGCCTGGGACCAGACATGTTTTGGATTTGGGATTTTTTTTAGATTTTGGAATATTTGCATATTCCAAGTTCAGTATCTCATCCAAATGAGATATCTTGGAGATGGGATCCAAGTCTAAGCATGAAATTCATTTATGTTTCATATACATCCTATATATATAGCCTGAAGGCAATTTTATACAATATTTTAAATAATTTTGTGCATGAAACAAATTTTTGGCTGTGTTTTGACTGGCCTATAATATGAGGTCAAGAGTAGAATTTTCTACTTATGGCATGATGTCATTACTCAAAGTTTTGGGTTTTGGAGCATTTCGATTTTGGATTTTTAGATTAAGGTTGTTCAACCTGCACCAAATTTGCATTTTGGCCAAATGCCAAATGGCTGAGTGTTAAATCACTATTGGCTGAAGTTGAATATCACCATCATAAAACAAATATCTTAGTATACAAGAATAAATCTGAACTATTAATAAGAATACCTATTTACTACAACTTAATTAAAATTATACCAAGCAGAATTTTTTAAAATTGGCATTACAGAGCAGTGGTAATAATTTCTCAGCTGTCAGCTCCTGTGGTTGTTCTATTGCGTATTTATGATACTGAAAATATGCTTTTTCAACTGAGGTCAGTGAAGGAGCAAAATACGCTTTTATCAAGCTCTGCTATTACTGTAGTAGTGTTAATGGTGATATTCCCCCCAAGTCAATAAGCTTTCCTCCTCTCCAATAATAACTGACTAAAGTCAATAACTCCTGGACTTGCCATCTTGCTGATGGTCATGATGAAGTTTCATTGAAACAGTCCCATAAATTAAAGCTTTGGATTGTACAAGGTGATTTTTTTAAATTCTCAAAATCAGGCTCAATTTTGTTTTTCTCACTTGAGGGTTTTCTTCTTAAGCAATGTTTTCACAATATTCATTATAAAACATGACCCTCAATTCAGCAACCAGAATGATCTTGTTAATGTGTGAGTCAGATCATGTCCCTCTTCTGCTCAAAATCCTCTAATCACATCCTGTTTTTCTCAAATTAAAGCCAAAGTCCTTAGTGCCCTACCAGATCCTGCATGATCTGTGCCTTGGCAAGTCCCTCCTGTCATCTGCTACTAGGCTTTTCTATGCTCATTGCTGCTCCTAGTTCAAACCAGGTACCTTCCCACCTCCAAGCCTTTATACTGGCTGTTACCTCTGCCTTGAATCTTCTTTCCTTGGGATGCACAAGGTGCACCCCTTCATTTCCTTCAAATCTTTGCTCTAGTATCACCTCCCCAGTGAGGCTGAAATGGTCAGTTCTATTAAAATAGTGTCCTCTCTTCCAAGGCCCCTGATCCCTGATTCTGTCTTGTAATTTCTTTACCCCACTAACACACTCACCACTTTCTAAAACCATACATAATTTATGTTTATTATTATTTTAGGTCATCATCCACTAGAGTGTGAACTCTGTGAGGCAGGACCCCATGTTTAGTGACATGTCTTTGATACTAACAGCCATATCTAATACATGGAAGGACTCAACTATTTGTTTGAATGAATTCTTATAATAGGATACATTTAGTCTTCAACTGGCTGGTAGGCTATTAAGATATAAAACAAACTGGAAGGATTTTGCTGTTTAAATCACACCTACAATGTCTACATTTATTAGAAAGGGAATTTTCATAAAGCAACAGTAAAACCAAAGGACACTGCTATTTGTTGCTGATAATGTTACAATAGATATGATCAAATGATAATTAATTGCACATAAGCTCAGGGTTGCCACAAATATAGTTGAAATGACATCTGGCTACTTGGCCTGCCAAAAACCAAGGCTGAAGCCAAATCCCAATAGCAGATTTTTGGCCAAATACCACAACTAAAGCTGAACTTCAGTGCCTCTTTGTCCCTTAGATAATTCCTCAGTTTAGGTAGTAAGTATTCACATGTCTAACTTGTGTATTGTGTAGCTTATCTATTTTGGGAGATGGGAAGAATCTGATAGCAGCCTTTTCTCATGTTGTACTGAATAGATGAGGAAGGATTAACCCTACACATTGCCTGGGTGAGAGTAACATCTTAGAGGTTGTTAGTTAACAGGCCAGAACTAGAACACATGGATGACAGGAAAACATCAAAGCTTGCGTTTTTTTATCAAGCAGAAGGTGTTTATAGAGGAAATGTGATTTCACTATTTTTGACTTATCTTCAAATACCATAGTAAAGAACACAGGCTCTGGGGTCTGATATCTGCTCTGCCACTTACCCAGGACCAATTTCTTACTCTCTCTGCTTTAGTGAGTGTCTTCATCTGTCCAGTAGGAATAATAATACTATCTACCTCATGAGAGAGATGTCATTAGGATCATTGGAGTTTATAAGTGAAGTGTTTAGAATAGCATTTGACATACAGTAGGCACTATATGAGATTTTTACTATTGTTATTTTTGCTATCACCTTTATCCTCAGGAAATGTTTTGGCAAGGTGGTTTGGAAAAAACATGTATATATTTTTAGCCCAGGATTCAAATTGGCTGCCTGTAACCACATTGAATCCACCACCAAGTTTTGTTTGTTCATCCAAACTGAAAGTTTATTTTTTAACAGTGGAGAAACCCAGACATTTTTCTTTTAAAAGCTCCAGATTTCTCACTTCTCTTGAAAAATTAAAAGATCTGGAAATGATAAGCCTAAATATATACCTAATGATAAGCCTAAATTTGGAGTTGTCAAGAAGCTGCCCCCCTTGGATGAACAGTCTCTCTGGTTTGGATCTGCCTATGTCTAGTGCTCTTCACTCATGTTTCTTTCTAAGCTTCTATGGGCAGTTTCGTTTATGACCTGTGTTATGGAGGATCCTGACATAGTATAAAAGATATCATTTAACCCCCTTTTATTTAGTGAGAGTGGCTTTTATATGCTTAAAAATACACAAACTGTTCTAGATTCAAAAGTGTATATTAGGCTCCTTCTCTGGTAAAAACTATGTTGAGCAAGACAGAAGTGAGTTCTACCTTCACGGGGTTTCTGTTCTATTTGGGTAACCGTATCTCAAAAAAGTACTATAATGCGAATTCTAATATATATTTGGAAGGAAACCAACTGAGGTTTGAAAAACTGCGATCGAAAATAAAGATGGAGTAGAAGACAGGGGAATGAAAGAGGAAGGGTGTTTTCTGAGACGAAACCAAAATGTTAAAAAGGAGCAGCTGTGCGGGAAGATGGGCGCAGGATCTGCCTTTATAAATAACCCTGAAGTAGGAAAGGATATAGCCTACTTAGAAAAGAAAGAAGATCATCGTGGCAGGTTTCCAGATGGCTCAGAATGATATTGGGGAGATCATGTGGTTTCATCTGAATTTTACACCTAGTGCAATGGAAGATCAATGAAAGGTTTTACACAGAGGAGGGACTTATAAAGAGAAGACTCTAGCTGCTCCGCAGAGAGCTGAATAAGAGCTAGCAAGCACAGAAACAGGGAGATGAGGAAGGGATTTTTTTGTAGCTTACACAGTTGAGAGATGATGGTGTCTTGAGCCAGGATGGTGTCAGTCTAAATGGAGAGAAGTGGACAAATTTGACATCTATTTTCAAGATAGAATTAATAAGACATGATTAGGTGTAACCTATGGAGGCAAAGAGAGGAATGAAAGATCACTCAGAAGTTTCTGGTTTGAGCAGCTAACTGGATGTTGGTGTTATTTAGTGAAATAGGGAAAACTGGTGAGAGAGAGAGGGAGAATAAGGGATGCCTCAGTGTGGTGGGGGGAATCACAAGTTTCATTTTGGCCGTATTAATTGTGTAATTTCTTAGTTATAGCCAAGAGATGTCAAGTAGGCTGTAACTTGTAAATCTAGGTTTCCAAAGAGATCTCAACTAAAGATATACAGATTAGAGGTCACACTTGTCACACGAGGTGTGTGCATGTGTGCATGTGACAAAGAATGTAGAAACCAAGGGGTTTTCTGCTGGTCCTTGTCTCTAGGAGGTGGTGGCATCCCTTCAGTTTCCCTGCCCCTGCTGGTGCTACTTCTTTGATGATTATTATCTTTGCTCTGTCATCATTGGACTGTGAGTGGCCTAAGGGCTCAGCTGTTCAGTTTGAAGGGTAATGGCACAACATGAAAGGACTTGGCTAGAAATAGCTCATCTGGCCTTTCTCTTTCAGTCTAATTTTTGATCCTGTTCCCCAACCATGTTTACCTGTGGCTAACTGTTTTATACATCTAGTAAAAGGAGTCCAATGCATTTCGTAGGCAGTTGGAAAAGAGGAGGAATAGGGCTACTGGGATGAGCTGGTGTGGTCTTGGCTTTAAGGCTTATTAATTTCCTGTAGGAATATGAGGGTATATTTGCTTTTCACCAGCACTGTCGTGATAGTTATTAGTGGAGTTCACCAACATCCACTTCCCCTCCCCTCCTGGGTTCTTGGGATACTGTACTTCTCAATCTCCCAGAACGACTAGTTCTAGATAGTGGCCTGTGAGAGAAAGTGGCATGCTGCATTTACAGGCTGGGGCAGCAAAAACCCCAGTGCAATTTCCAACTTCCTTTTTCTCTTTGGGGAGTATGGTGGCCACATGTTAAGATGGCAGAGCCCAAAGTCAAAAGAGCTTCAATCACCAAGTCACTGCGTGGAAGATAGCTGTTCAGAAGCTGACTTATAGCAACCTTCGTTTAAGCAAGAAATAAACTTTCATAGTGTCCCTAGATTTCAAGGGATGTTTGTTACTGCCCCATAAGTGTAGCCTAACTAGATTAATCCAAGTGGCATCTGGAAACACTGCAATGCTGCATACTCTTAGGCTGTAAGCACTTCATAGGCAGGAATCTTGCTGAACCTCTGATCAAGTGCAAACCCCAACAAAGATGGGTATGCTTAACTGTTACTCTCCAGTCAGTATTGATCATGACTTTCTTTTTACCAGACAGAGAGACTGTCAGTGCTCTTTTCAGTCTGAACTACTGAACTAAAATTAAATTGCCATTTGAAGATTTTAGAACTTTTCTCCTGGGTCCCAGCAATTGTTTCTGATGTCAGGACATTCTAGGGCATGCATCTCTCTAGTGCCCCATTTTGTATTGTATGTAAGTGACAGCAATTAGCCACTGCTTCCGTTTACTTTCATGTGGTTCTTGCTTTCCTCTACCATGTATTGCTGGGTACTCAGCAGCTGTACCTGGTCTCAGTTGCTGGGCTTGAGACTTAGAGGTAAATATTGTTTTACCAGCGCCATTAGTGTATGTGTGTGTGTTGAGGAGTCGGCGGGCAGGTGGCGGGGGGTGAGGGGGGGATGGGTAATCTGCTTAAGCAATTATTTTGTTTTGAAGAAGCTGACCTATTTTTACCTCCTCTATGCAAATCTGGTATATGTGGCTTACCATTTACACATCAACTTTCTGAGACACAAGTGCTTCTCCTTGAATGACCCCTTCTCCTCTCATGCTTACTTGGCTAATATTTATCAGCAACATCTGGGGTTTAGCACAATGAAGTTATTTACAGCAGTGCTTATTAGTGCACTTCTGTGAGTCACAGGTGTTTCTAGCCAACTCTGCCATTTTGTTGAGGATGGCACCCTGTGGAACCCCAAGATTTGCAGCCATTTATCAGGAAGCAGAGGCTTGTGTGCATTGGTCAAAACTCACAGATAATAGAGGGAAAAGAAATGGTTACTGTTGAAATGGACATTAGAAATCATCTAATCCAACCTGTTCATTTTACTTCTGAGAATATTGACAGGCAAAGAAATGAGTTGACTTGCAGTAGCCTGCCGGAAGTGAATTATAGAGATGCAAGTAGAAATTGGAATTTTTCCTTCTCAGTCCACTATGGCTTTTGTTTCTTGGGACTTTATTCAGTACTTTAAGCAGGATATTTATGAGGGAAATGCTTTGTTTGTAGATTATTTCTTAAGTATTTTTTTCACTCAGGGAAGAAGAATATGAGAAATCTCAAGTTGTGTCTGGTTAGTTATTTTCAGTGTTCTGAGAGTTTCCCAACCTTCCTCCTGGAGTCCTCTTTAGAGCCATCACAAGGTTAGGGCAGAACAGGCCTTTAGCTTTATATTCTGGGTATGGATGGCTCCTGCTGACAATGGAATGAGAAGGGGACTGGCATCTCTGACTGCTGTCGAAAGTGATTCCCAGGGTCATGCATATTTTTCTACTCATTCTTTTAAAAAGTATATGTGATATTTGATCTATATATAACAGCAATGTAACATATGTTTGTGTGACTGGTAGTAAAATTAACACTGGTGAACCCATCACCAAATTTATGAAATAGGCGGCTTGCTTTTAAATTCATCATCTCTTGTGTTCATTGGATGTGACTGACTCTCTCAGTTATATCCTTTTCTTTTCTTGGTTTGCATTTTGTCTATCTATAAAATGTTGTTGCCTAAACATATGTACAATGTCCTCTATCTTTAAAATAGCCACAGTTAAAAGCAACCTTTTGTTTCTGTTTTTCACTTCACTCCTCAAATATAGCGATTTATAAGACTGTCAGCAGCCTTTTTCTTATGTTTCTATCATTCCCCTCCTTGGCAATCTCCATGAAGATGACAGCTCCTTATCTCCAGGCCTGACTTCTCTCCTGGGTCCTCCCAGTGGACAGGTCTACTTGAATGTACTCCATTTACATCAAAGGGCAACATCAAAAGGAGCAAAAGAAATTTGCTTTCTCCTTTGGCCACCATCCTAATTTTAAAAACATCCTTCCTTTTAATCCTAAATAAATATCTTCAGGGAATAATTTGTATATACTTCCAGTATTTACTGCATCGTGCATGCTGTGATTTGATCTGTGGCTACACTGCTGGAACTGTAGTCCGTAAAGTCAACAATAAGTTATGTTTTTTCATCATCATTCCCCTTTTTTGGTGCTCGTTCTTTGTCACTTTTCTGCAGAATTTTACATTGTGGATCAATTCCTGTTTTGTGTGTTTGTTTTTGGAAGTGCACTCCCTTCCTTCGTCTATGAGATGCTGCTGTAACCTGGTTTCCTGCCTATCTCTCTGACTTTTCCCTCCTTTCTTTTTTTTAATAACCTCTTTTACTTTTCTTTATTTCTCAAACAGAGTGACTTCTGAGCCTTTCAGCACCCCTCTTCTGGTGTTTCTTACTATTCCCCTCCTTGGCAGTCTTGATGCCAGTGACAGCCGATCCTTATCTTCAGGCCCAACTTCTCTCCTGAGTCCTCCTCCTTCACTTTCAGCTGCCTGGTGGACATTTCCACTTGGATGTGCTACAATTATGTTAACGGGCAAAATAAAAGAAACACAACAGAGGAAAGGTTATATCTCATCTTCAGGAACTCATAAGCCTTTGACACAAAAATCAAGGAGGAAAATCCAGTGTGTATGGTATTAGACGGCAGTCAAGCACATTTCTCATCCATCTCGTCATTCTCTGGGAAGGTCCTTTTTAAAAATGCTGTACATCTAAATTATTTGATTAACATTATTTTTCTAATTTTTTTCTTTTATACTCAATTACTGGATGTTGGTTTCTATATTTGTGGACTGAATAGAGATTGATTATATTTTATAGCTTTCTGAACAAAATTTATTAATCAGATAATTCCATGAACCATAAACTTTAACACACTAATTACTTTTACCTCTAGTCAGGTTGAGAGTTGTAATTTAACATTTGGCTTCTTTTTTATTGACGACGGTAGTTTTAAGACTGATGTGATTTGGCAGTGTCTGCATCCAAATCTCATCTCGAATTGTAGTTCCTATAATTCCCATGTGTCATAGGAGGGACCTGGTGGGAGGTAATTGAATCATGGGGATGGTTATCTCCGTGCTGTTCTTGTGATAGTGAATGATTTCTCACAAGATCTGATGGTTTTATAAGGAATCTTCCCCCACCTTCACCCTGTACTTTTCCTTGCTGCTGCCATGTGAAGAAGGACATGTTTTCTTCCCCTTCCACCATGATTGTAAGTTTCCTGAGGCCTCCCCAGCCATGCTGAATTGTGAGTCAATTAAACCTCTTTCCTTTTTAAATTACTCAGTCTCAGGTATGTCTTTATTATTGCATGAGAATATGAGAATGGACAAATATAAAGAAAATGATAAAGGTTAAAGTTTTGTATATTTATAAATGCTTTTAATTTCTATTTTAAATTAACTGTACAGAAGATCAATGCAGATAAAATTTAAAATATAGAGATGTGTTTTTCTTAAAAATTTGTTTTCACCAAATAGATTTATTTGCTATACATTATCAAAAGTTTCAATTTTTGTAATATTGTGGTCAAAACAGCATTATTAAATCATTAAATGTGTTCATTTTTAGTCTGTTTCCTTCTGTTTTTGTTTTGCACCCTGGGGAGAGGGTTTTGTGGGGTTTAAAGCTTACATAGTTTGGGAAATTTTCCTACAAAATTTGAAACATTAAAATTAGTATAGTGTGAGTATTATTTTAGAATAATAACAAAAATACAAATTTAAAAGAGCTGACAAATACCACAAACATCACAAAATACAGAAAAATAAGTTTTTATTATCTGAGTGACATAACCCTGTAAAACTTTTTGGTTTTCATATTTTGACTGTTTGCTCATTAACTGTCTCTTTCTAAAACAATAAGTTTGTATTATTTTTCTATATTAAGAACAGATAATGCAGTCTTTCCTCTATTGTGTTTGCCTAAAATTTCTTGGTATTACTGATATTTGGATTTATATCATGTGACCTCTCACATGCGCATATTCACTGGTTATAATAATGATGTAGGTTTGAGCCCTAAAATAGGAATTATTATACATTCTACCTCCTACTATTCGGTATGAAAGAAAAAAAAATAAGGTATGTTTATAATTGTACATGCTCTCTTGTCAAATATGTTCCACATTTCTCTTTTGTTATCTATGAGAACTAGGTTTTTAGCTTTCAGTTTTTCATGTCTAAAGAGGGAAGGATCTCTCAAAGCCTAGCTCCTGCTTCATTACATTTCAGAGCTTTTTTCCTCCACTACACACATTTCCATCCACTGTCTCCTGACTCTTAGTAAATCCAAATGGGTGGAAGGGTAGTATAGAAGTATTCTTGGAAGTCATTCGTACTCTCAGACAGCTAGTAATAATTCTACATGGCTGTCAGTGAACTATATCATACCATAAAGACTATATAAATGCATCTCACTAAACTCAAACTAAATGTGAGTCCACCTCAACTTCTCCTTACCTGGGTCCCCAGAATGTCTGTGGATTCTCTAACATTGCCTGACAATAGGAAGGCATGACTGAGGAAAGTAGGAATTTAAAGAAACAATTATCTTAATTGACTATGGATGAAATATCTCACTTTTGAAATTTTTGGAAATTTTGCCAAAATATCATGTGACTCCATTGGCAAGGCCCGTTCTCAGCCCTGAGCGAATGAGAAGTCTTAAAGCTTAAGTTCCCTGAGCCTCACAATATATTTGCTCCTTTTATCATAAATATACATAATGACTCCCAAAAAGCATTAGATTCCTGAATCTTCTTTAACTGTTTCTGATATAGTTTTAGTTTTACATTATTTTTGAAACTTTATTTTTAAATGTGTATTTTTAAATAAAAATATTTTGTTTATTGGCATCACCCCTGTCAACAAAGAGCACATAATCAATTTCAAATTGAATTTTTACAACACCCCATTAGATTTCTATACAGGAATATATTTTAATTTTAAAATGCATAATTTTGTATAACCATTCAGTAAGTGTTACACACTAGATTTTCTATGCATGTCACCTAACTTCTACACAAAGAAGAGAAGAGGAGAGAATGTTTTTAATTACAGCAAACACTTGTAGCAGTTATCAGAGACCAGGTGCTGTTCCAAGTGCATGTCACATATGTCCCCACCTCTAGTTCTGGCAGAATTGCACAAGAGATAAGCTAAAAGCCCTCCCACTACAAGTTCAAGAAATGCTAGATAAAATAAAAATCCTAATAAGTGTATGATGAGCCTTGTAGGGATGTAAAGCAAGTCAACAGATGCTCAAAACAAAAAGGAAACTGCAAATCAGAGAGGTAGATATGTGGGACTGCCCTGTGGAGCCCTTGCTAGAGGGCTGATATTAGGTGTTAATACTCATTTGTGGTTGGAGGTGGGACAGTTGGAACTGCCATCCCTGCATAAAATAGGAACTCTCAGAGGACTGTATTCTATGGGAAAGAATGATCTAAAGAGTCTGCCCTTGAGTACAGGAAAGCAAAAGTAACTTTATCTGTCTTAATCTGGGTTCTAGGTAGGGGGGAAAAAAGGGTCTTCCTGGAAAAACTTGAGTTCATGTACCTGTCTTCCTATGCACTCCAGGATCTATAAGCTGAATAATTCCTAAATTTGTGTTGTGCTAGTGATAGCCTTGGGACAGATGCCAGAACCAAAATCCACTCTGGAGGGAATCCTTTTGAGATATTATAGAATCATTAAATATCTCTCATTTTTTCTCCCCCTGAATTGGGACCCAACTAAAATTTAAAGTATTGAGTCAGGCAGCTATGAGTCAGAATTTCTATTCCTGACAAGTCTGGTTGAACAACGAACAGCATGAGTTTGCTAGCACTTGAGCCTCAAGCCTGATCCACTTCTTCATGAAGTCTTAGCTCAGTGTCGGCCGGGCGCGGTGGCTCACGCCTGTAATCCCAGCACTTTCGGAGGCTGAGGCGGGTGGATCGCGAGGTCAGGAGATCGAGATCATCCTGGCTAACACAGTGAAACCCGTCTCTACTAAAAATACAAAAAATTAGCCGGGCGTGGTGGCACGCGCCTGTAGTCCCAGCTACTCGGGAGGCTGAGGCAGGAGAATGGCGTGAACCTGGGAGGTGGAGCTTGCCGTGAGCCAGGATCGTGCCACTGCACTCCAGCCTGGGAGACAGAATCAGACTCTGTCTCAAAAACAAACAAACAAAAAAAACAAAAACAAAAGTCTTAGCTCAGTGTCACTGTCTCAGACCCCATGGATTGTATGTGGTCTAGCAGTGCATCCTTGCCAATATATAAGAATAGATATTATCAAGATGTTATATCTTACTGGTAAGATGTAACAATTCTAAAGTTCCATACACCTAATAAAATAGCCTCAAAATGTATAAATAAATTGAATGGAAAAATTCACAAATTTACAATCATAGAAGAAAGTATTAACTTCCTTAGTATTTGAGACCTAGGTAGACCACATAAAGAAAATATGAATAACAAAATAAAGAATCTTGATTTATTGGGCAAAGTTAGAACCCTGAACTAACAACTAAAAAATATACATTCTTCTTGTGCATACAAGGCAAAAAGTTTCAGGTGACAAAACTAAAGATAAATATGCTATAACCTAGAGATCCCACTTGCGTAGATATACTTTTTATATGGGAAAGAAGATATTTACAGAGATGTTAATTGTAGAATTATTTGTAATGGCAAAAATAGTAAAGAATAAATGAAATTTTCATGAGTAGAAGACCAGATAAGTGGATTGTTTTATTCATGCAAGAATACTAAATATTAGTTAAAATTATTGAACTAGAGTTATCTGACTCAAAATAGGTTGGTCTCAACCTATTTTGACAGTTGTAGAATAATATATGAAACATTATATTTATGCTAAGCTTAAAAAGGTAGAAAATATGAGTGTATATAAATAGAAGTTACAGGAACATGCTAAAATTTATAAACAACAATGTTAGGATTTTATTTCTAGAGGCAGGGTAATATGGAGAGCACAGGCTTTACAAAGGTCCTTGTGTTTGAAATGTTTTGTTTCTGTTTTTAAAAGATCTTGAATTTCATTAGTTATAATCTCAAAATTTGACAAATTTGAATGAAACCACAAAGATGCAAATATACATATTAGCTACATGAAAAAGTCTGTGTACCACTAGAACTCAGGTCACAATGTGTCTTTGGACTCAGATATACCTTCTGCCCTTTCCTACCTACCGTAGTTGAGGTCATCTTTAAAGACTCATTTCAGATGCTCTTTTTCTTTATAAAAGCTTCTCAGATCTACTCCAACCCCAATCAAAATGAACCTTCCTAAATGTCCCCTGTATTAGTCTGTTCTCACACAGCTATAAAGATACTACCCAAGACTGAGTAATTTATATAGAAAAGAAGTTTAATTAACTCACAGTTCTGCATGGCTGTGAAGGCCTTAGGAAACTTACAGTCATGATAGGCGGGGAAGAGGCATGTCTTACATGGCAGCAGGAGAGACAGAGCAAGCAAGAGCAGGGAAAACTGCCTTATAAACCATCAGGTCTCTTGAGAACTCACTATCACTAGAACAGCATGGGGGGAAAAGCCCCCAGTGATCCAATCACCTCCCACCCGGTCCTTCCCTTGACATGTAGGGATTACCGGCATTACAATTTGAGATGAGATTTGGGTGGGGATGTAGAGCCAAGCCATATCATTCCCTCACTCTTTGCTTGTTCCTCTGTTATGGCCCTTATGTCATGAGTAGGTGGACCCATGTCTATTTCTTTCTTTCTTTCTTTCTTTCTTTTTTTTTTGAGATGGAGTCTCGCACTGTCGCCTGGGCTGGAGTGTGGTGGCATGATCTCGGCTCACTGCAACCTCTGCATCCCAGGCTCAAGTGATTCTCCTGCCTCATCCTCCCAAGTAGTTGGGATTACAGGCAGCTGCCACCACACCCAGCCAATTTTTTGTATCTTTAGTAGAGACGGGGTTTCACCATGCTGGCCAGGCTGGTCTCAAACTCCTGAATTTGTGATTCGCCCGCCTCGGCCTCCCAAAGTACTGGGATTACAGGCATGAGCCACCGCACCCAGCCCCCATGTCTATTTCTATCACCAGATTGTGAGTTTCTTGAGGATAAACTCTGTGTGGCTTTGTTATCTCTGGCTATCAGCACCATCACACTTATTAGATTCTGAAAATAACATATAAATTATATTGACAATTGCAATTCAAAGAATCTTGGAGCCCCAAAATTACTTATTGGTGATAGCCAAAAGGACTTATGTAACATGTCATTTGCCAGTTGGAAAAGGTAGGTCAAAATGTCTAAAATATTGTGATTCATAAGTGATATATACAAAAGGGTCCTGACCAGTTCTGTCTCATGAGTCATGAAGAATGCCACCCTTCGTTCAATACATCATGGCCATATTAGCAATTCTAGAAGACCATGCTGAGAGTATAGGGGTGGCATTTTCAGTTCTAGAATTTAAAAAGATGAACATTGGATTATTGAGAATACAAAAGAATCATATACTAAGTGGGATTGTTTTCCATTTAAATCTTTGACACTTGTTTATTAAGGTCACTGGTTGATAGATTTCTGTTCCTTACATTTTAATGATGAGAATGCAGGTGAGGCATAAGAGTGAGGACTCCAAATGTAAATTCCAGACCTTTGTTCAGTGCTCTGTCCATAAGTATTTTGCCCTGGCATTCTCCAGTTCCCCATTCTCAGGATGTGACTTATTCCTCTTCTTTTTTCTAAGCCAGTTTAATAGAACATCACTAACGATAAGGATAGTCACTGGAAAGCACCAAATACCAAGGACTGGTAATTGTGCCTCAAAATTCACTTTACTAAGTGCAAATTGACACACTCCTCAAGGATCCAATTGTAACTATTACCCAATTTTACATTGCAGTTGGAAAGAGGCTTCATTGGTTGTGGTTGAGTTGTCTACAGTATAATAAATACTTTCTGATGGTTTGTTTCTCTATTCAGGAAGTGTAATGATAAACATACAACAGAGCCAGGAGCTGGTCTGCAATTCATTGGCACTACAGATTATTTAATAGAAACATGGAGATTTATAATGTGCTGATTTGCAGAGTGGAACAGACCTCTTATTTAAATTTTATGATATGAATATTTTTTAAATATTGATTTGGTTGTCACTATGGGCTATAGAATTCATTGGCTTCTTTGATTCATTAACAAAAGGCTTTGTATGTAGTGTCCCTGGGATAGTGTGGAGGAAGATAAGCCTGTTGTTGCATATCAATAACACAAAGTGATGCACTAGGAGAAATCCTGCTGGCTTCATTTGTAGGGGAAATGGAGAGGAGGAGTACTGTTGTTTTAGGGAGATGAATTCAGTATCTGTTTTTCTGGCACCCACTCAAAAAGAGAGAAAAATACCATGAGAAAACTGTGAAACTTGGCTAGGAGTGTTTTAGTTGTTTTATTAGCGATTTAAAGAAAACAAAGAACGGGAATCAAGTGTAAACATAAACAACATCAGGAAAGGAATTCTTCAGTATGTTCCCTGAAAAGATTTTTGTAAAAACTAATTTATAATTAATGGATGTGAGGAGGTACGCTGTGTGTGGCTTACTTTGTTTTATTCTCACATTTGCTCTGCTAACCAATAACAGATGGATATTACCCCTTTTGTGGTTGTTGAATTATTATTTTCCTTTATTTTCTTTCCAAACCCCTAACTGGTCATCTTGAGGTGTAAATGCCTTTCTCCCAAATGCACAAACATGGAAAAATATGGCATATTACTCAGGGTTCTCCAGAGAAACAGAGGAGTTAGAAATCCAAATCTAAATCTGTCTTTCTATTGAAAGACTAATTTAAAAAATTGGCTCATGTGGTTGACGTGTCTGAAATTCATAGGACAGGCATGCTGTCTGGAAACTCAGGCAGGATTTCTATGTTGCAGTCTTAAGGCAGAATTCTTTCTTTGGGAAACTTGTCTTTGCTTTTGAGGCCTTCAACTGATTGGGCGAGACCCACCCATATCATAAAGGGTAATCTGCTTTAAAGTCAATTGGTTGTAGATTTTTTTTTTTTAGTTCTTTTTTATTATTATTATACTTTAAGTTTTAGGGTACATGTGCACAATGTGCAGGTTAGTTACATATGTATATATGTGACATGCTAGTGCGCTGCACCCAGTAACTCGTCATCTAGCATTAGGTATATTTCCCAATGCTATCCCTCCCCCAACCCCACAGCAGTCCCCAGAGTGTGATGTTCCCCTTCCTGTGTCCATGTGTTCTCATTGTTCAATTCCCACCTATGAATGAGAATATGCGGTGTTTGGTTTTTTGTTCTTGCGATAGTTTACTGAGAATGATGATTTCCAATTTCATCCATGTCCCTACAAAGGACATGAACTCATCATTTTTTATGGCTGCATAGTATTCCATGGTGTATATGTGCCACATTTTCTTAATCCATTCTATCATTGTTGGACATTTGGGTTGGTTCCAAGTCTTTGCTATTGTGAATAGTGCCGCAATAAACATACGTGTGCATGTGTCTTTATAGCAGCCTGATTTATAGGCCTTTGGGTATATACCCAGTAATGGGATGTCTGGGTCAAATGGTATTTCTAGTTCTAGATCCCTGAGGAATCACCACACTGACTTCCACAATGGTTGAACTAGTTTACAGTCCCACCAACAGTGTAAAAGTGTTCCTATTTCTCCACATCCGCTCCAGCACCTGTTGTTTCCTGACTTTTTAATGATTGCCATTCTAACTGGTGTGAGATGATATCTCACTGTGGTTTTGATTTGCATTTCTCTGATGGCCAGTGATGGTGAGCATTTTTTCATGTGTTTTTTGGCTGCATAAATGTCTTCTTTTGAGAAGTGTCTGTTCATGTCCTTCGCCCACTTTTTGATGGGGTTGTTTGTTTTTTTCTTGTAAATTTGTTTGAGTTCATTGTAGATTCTGGATATTAGCCCTTTGTCAGATGAGTAGGTTGCGAAAAGTTTCTCCCATTTTGTGGGTTGCCTGTTCACTCTGATGGCAGTTTCTTTTGCTGTGCAGAAGCTCTTTAGTTTAATTAGATCCCATTTGTCAATTTTGGCTTTTGTTGCCATTGCTTTTGGTGTTTTAGACATGAAGTCCTTGCCCATGCCTATGTCCTGAATGGTAATGCCTAGGTTTTCTTCTAGGGTTTTTATGGTTTTAGGTCTAATGTTTAAGTCTTTAATCCATCTTGAATTGATTTTTGTATAAGGTGTGAGGAAGGGATCCAGTTTCAGCTTTCTACATATGGCTAGCAAGTTTTCCCAGCACCATTTATTAAATAGGGAATCCTTTCCCCATTTCTTGTTTTTCTCAGGTTTGTCAAAGATCAGATAGTTGTAGATATGCGGCGTTATTTCTGAGGGCTCTGTTCTGTTCCATTGATCTATATCTCTGTTTCGGTACCAGTACCATGCTGTTTTGGTTACTGTAGCCTTGTAGTATAGTTTGAAGTCAGGTAGCGTGATGCCTCCAGCTTTGTTCTTTTGGCTTAGGATTGCCTTGGCGATGTGGGCTTTTTTTTGGTTCCATATGAACTTTAAAGTAGTTTTTTCCAATTCTGTGAAGAAAGTCATTGGTAGCTTGATGGGGATGGCATTGAATCTGTAAATTACCTTGGGCAGTATGGCCATTTTCACGATATTGATTCTTCCTATCCATGAGCATGGAATGTTCTTCCATTTGTTTGTATCCTCTTTTATTTCCTTGAGCAGTGGTTTGCAGTTCTCCTTGAAGAGGTCCTTCATGTCCCTTGTAAGTTGGATTCCTAGGTATTTTATTCTCTTTGAAGCAATTGTGAATGGGAGTTCACTCATGATTTGGCTCTCTGTTTGTCTGTTATTGGTGTATAAGAATGCTTGTGATTTTTGTACATTGATTTTGTATCCTGAGACTTTGCTGAAGTTGCTTATCAGCTTAAGGAGATTTTGGGCTGAGACAATGGGGTTTTCTAGAGATACAATCATGTCATCTGTGAACAGGGACAATTTGACTTCCTCTTTTCCTAATTGAATACCCTTTATTTCCTTCTCCTGCCTAATTGCCGTGGCCAGAACTTCCAACACTACATTGAATAGGAGTGGTGAGAGAGGGCATCCCTGTCTTGTGCCAGTTTTCAAAGGGAATGCTTCCAGTTTTTGCCCATTCAATATGATACTGGCTGTGGGTTTGTCATAGATAGCTCTTATTATTTTGAAATACGTCGTCCCATCAATACCTAATTTATTGAGAGTTTTTAGCATGAAGGGTTGTTGAATTTTGTCAAAGGCCTTTTCTGCATCTATTGAGATAACCATGTGGTTTTTGTCTTTGGTTCTGTTTATATGCTGGATTACATTTATTGATTTGCATATATTGAACCAGCCTTGCATCCCAGGGATGAAGCCCACTTGATCATGGTGGATAAGCTTTTTGATGTGCTGCTGGATTCGGTTTGCCGGTATTTTATTGAGGATTTTTGCATCAATGTTCATCAAGGATATTGGTCTAAAATTCTCTTTTTTTGTTGTGTCTCTGCCCGGCTTTGGTATCAGGATGATGCTGGCCTCATAAAATGAGTTAGGGAGGATTCCCTCTTTTTCTATTGATTGGAATAGTTTCAGAGGGAATGGTACCAGTTCCTCCTCGTACCTCTGGTAGAATTCGGCTGTGAATCCATCTGGTCCTGGACTCTTTTTGGTTGGTAAGCTATTGATTATTGCCACAATTTCAGCTCCTGTTATTGGTCTATTCAGAGATTCAACTTCTTCCTGGTTTAGTCTTGGGAGAGTGTATGTGTCGAGGAATTTATCCATTTCTTCTAGATTTTCTAGTTTATTTGCGTAGACGTATTTGTAGTATTCTCTGATGGTAGTTTGTATTTCTGTGGGATCGGTGGTGATATCCCCTTTATCATTTTTTATTGCATCTGTTTGATTCTTCTCTCTTTTTTTCTTTATTAGTCTTGCTAGCGGTCTATCAATTTTGTTGATCCTTTCAAAAAACCAGCTCCTGGATTCATTAATTTTTTGAAGGGTTTTTTGTGTCTCTATTTCCTTCAGTTCTGCTCTGATTTTAGTTATTTCTTGCCTTCTGCTAGCTTTTGAATGTGTTTGCTCTTGCTTTTCTAGTTCTTTTAGTTGTGATGTTAGGGTGTCAATTTTGGATCTTTCTTGCTTTCTCTTGTTGGCATTTACTGCTATAAATTTCCCTCTACACACTGCTTTGAATGTGTCCCAGAGATTCTGGTATGTTGTGTCTTTGTTCTCGTTGGTTTCAAAGAACATCTTTATTTCTGCCTTCATTTCGTTATGTACCCAGTAGTCATTCAGGAGCAGGTTGTTCAGTTTCCATGTAGTTGAGCGGTTTTGAGTGAGATTCTTAATCCTGAGTTCTAGTTTGATTGCACTATGGTCTGAGAGACAGTTTGTTATAATTTCTGTTCTTTTACATTTGCTGAGGAGAGCTTTACTTCCAACTATGTGTTCAGTTTTGGAATAGGTGTGGTGTGGTGCTGAAAAAAATGTATATTCTCTTGATTTGGGGTGGAGAGTTCTGTAGATGTCTATTAGGTCTGCTTGGTGCAGAGCTGATTTCCATTCCTGGGTATCCTTGTTGACTTTCTGTCCCGTTGATCTGTCTAATGTTGACAGTGGGGTGTTAAAGTCTCCCATTATTAATGTGTGGTCTAAGTCTCCTTGTAGGTCACTCAGGACTTGCTTTATGAATCTGGGTGCTCCTGTATTGGGTGCATATATATTTAGGATAGTTAGCTCTTCTTGTTGAATTGATCCCTTTACCATTATGTAATGGCCTTCTTTGTCTCTTTTGATCTTTGTTGGTTTAAAGTCTGTTTTATCAGAGACTAGGATTGCAAACCCTGCCTTTTTTTGTTTTCCATTTGCTTGGTAGATCTTCCTCCATCCTTTTATTTTAAGCCTATGTGTGTCTCTGCATGTGAGATGGGTTTCCTGAATACAACACACTGATGGGTCTTGACTCTTTATCCAATTTGCCAGTCTGTGTCTTTTAATTGGAGCATTTAGTCCATTTACATTTAAAGTTA
Source organism: Homo sapiens (assembly GCF_000001405.40). NCBI lineage: Eukaryota > Metazoa > Chordata > Mammalia > Primates > Hominidae > Homo > Homo sapiens. The sequence continues at coordinate 118,550,681 of NC_000008.11, read as the reverse complement.
ATATTGTTATGTGTGAATTTGAACCTGTCATTATGATGTTAGCTGGTTATTTTGCTCGTTAGTTGATGTAGTTTCTTCCTAGTCTTGATGGTCTTTACATTTTGGCATGATTTTGCAGCGGCTGGTACCGGTTGTTCCTTTCCATGTTTAGTGCTTCCTTCAGGAGCTCTTTTAGGGCAGGCCTGCTGGTGACAAAATCTCTCAGCATTTGCTTGTCTGTAAAGTATTTTATTTCTCCTTCACTTATGAAGCTTAATTTGGCTGGATATGAAATTCTGGGTTGCAAATTCTTTTCTTTAAGAATGTTGAATATTGGCCCCCACTCTCTTTTGGCTTGTAGGGTTTCTGCAGAGAGATCCACTGTTAGTCTGATGGGCTTCCCTTTGTGGGTAACCCGACCTTGCTCTCTGGCTGCCCTTAACATTTTTTCCTTCATTTCAACTTTGGTGAATCTGACAATTATGTGTCTTGGAGTTGCTCTTCTCAAGGAGTATCTTTGTGGCGTTCTCTGTGTTTCCTGAATCTGAATGTTGGCCTGCCTTGCTGGGTTGGGGAAGCTCTCCTGGATAATATCCTGCAGAGTGTTTTCCAGCTTGGTTCCATTCTCCCTGTCACTTTCAGGTACACCAATCAGTCGTAGATTTGGTCTTTTCACATAGTCCCATATTTCTTGGAGGTTTTGTTCATTTCTTTTTATTCTTTTTTCCCTAAACTTCCCTTCTCGCTTCATTTCATTCATTTCATCTTCCATTGCTGATACCCTTTTTTCCAGTTGATCGCATCGGCTCCTGAGGCTTCTGCATTCTTCATGTAGTTCTGGAGCCTTGGCTTTCAGCTCCATCAGTTCCTTTAAGCACTTCTCTGTATTGGTTATTCTAGTTATACATTCGTCTAAATTTTTTTCAAAGTTTTTAACTTCTTTACCTTTGGTTTGAATTTCTTCCTGTAGCTCGTAGTTTGATCGTCTGAATCCTTCTTCTCTCAACTTGTCAAAGTCATTCTCCGTCCAGCTTTGTTCCATTGCTGGTGAGGAACTGCGTTCCTTTGGAGGAGGAGAGGTGCTCTGCTTTTTAGAGTTTCCAGTTTTTCTGCTCTGTTTTTTCCCCATCTTTGTGGTTTTATCTACTTTTGGCCTCTGATGATGGAGATATACAGATGGGTTTTTGGTGTGGATGTCCTTTCTGTTTGTTAGTTTTCCTTCTAACAGACAGGACCCTCAGCTGCAGGTCTGTTGGAGTTTGCTAGAGGTCCACTCCAGACCCTGTTTGCCTGGTTATCAGCAGCGGTGTCTGCAGAACAGTGGTTTTTCGTGAACCACGAATGCTGCTGTCTGATATTTCCTCTGGAAGTTTTGTCTCAGAGGAGTACCTGGCTGTGTGAGGTGTCAGTTTGCCCCTACTTGGGGGGTGCCTCCCAGTTAGGCTGCTCGGGGGTCAGGGGTCAGGGACCCACTTGAGGTGGCAGTCTGCCCGTTCTCAGATCTCCAGCTGTGTGCTGGGAGAACCACTGCTCTCTTCAAAGCTGTCAGACAGGGACATTTCAGTCTGCAGAGGTTACTGTTGTCTTTTTGTTTGTCTGTGCCCTGCCCCCAGAGGTGGAGCCTACAGAGGCAGGCAGGCCTCCTTGAGCTGTGGTGGGCTCCACCCAGTTCCAGCTTCCTGGCTGCTTCGTTTACCTAAGCAAGCCTGCGCAATGGCGGGCGCCCCTCCCCCAGCCTGGCTGCCGCCTTGCACTTTGATCTCAGACTGCTGTGCTAGCAATCAGGGAGACTCCGTGGGCGTAGGACCCTCCAAGCCAGGTGCGGGATATAATCTCGTGGTGCACCATTTTTTAAGTCTGTCGGAAAAGCACAGTATGTGGGTGGGAGTGACCCGATTTTCCAGGTGCCGTCTGTCACCCCTTTCTTTGACTAGGAAAGGGAACTCCCTGACCCCTTGCACTTCCCGAGTGAGGCAATGCCTCGCCCTGCTTCGGCTCGCGCACGGTGCGCTGCACCCACTGACCTGCGCCCACTCTCTGGCACTCCCTAGTGAGATGAACCCGGTACCTCAGATGAAAATGCAGAAATCACCCGTCTTCTGCGTCGCTCACGCTGGGAGCTGTAGACTGGAGCTGTTCCTATTCGGCCATCTTGGCTCCTCCCCTCCAGTTGTAGATGTTAACAAATACCTTTAGAGTAACATCTAGACACATTTGACCAAACAACTAGACACCATAACTTAACCAAGTTAACACATTAAGTTACCCATCACATGGGGTGTGTGTGTGTGTGTGTGTGTGTGTGTGTGTGTGTGTGTATGTGTGTTTTTAGTGTAAAGGGTATTATGAACACATTGTAAGTTATTAGGAAATTTGGAAAGGGAAGGAATCATATATCTATTACCCCACTGGAGCCTGTTTTGTTTTCTTCCAGTGTTTTTATAAAAGGGTATCTTTTAAAATATCGTGAACATATTTGCTATATGTTACAGCTTTTGTCTGTTGCTCATATTTGTCCCAGTTGTCAGAGCAAAAGCACTAACATGGGAACTTGAGGCCCTGGATGCTTGTCCATTCTCTGTGTAATTTCATTCTTTGTCTATTCTCTCACTAATTTCTTCATGAGTTGAGAAAGAAATAAGGTCCTCCTGGGCTGTGGTTTCCTTCTCTGTTTATGAAGAGTTGGGTTTGGTAACCTCGAGTGACCTTTTCAGCTTGAATATTTTATTAATCCAGGATGTCCTCAAGTGTGTTACATGTACCCCTCTATCACTATATGCCAGAAGGTTGGAGGTCGTGTGAGGATGAACAGTGTTTGATTTAGTAATTTAACATTTTGTATATTTGAAAAAAATAGAATTAACACATCAAATCTGGTTTTCTGTGGTTATTTCTTAGGACAAGGTGAAAACTAACAAAGGGAATTACTTTAAAGAAAAATACTAGAAAAATACATATTTTATATGGTATAGAAAAAAGTTAGAAATGACCAAAGTTTGGGATGTATACTATAATAATCTGTGAGTGTGATTCAGTATGCTCTCACCCTACCTTTCAAGAAACCCATAAAGACTGGAGTTCTCTTAGCAGACAGCAGTGTGGATAGATCATTGCTCAGTTAATACTTTGCCCAACCTGTATTGTACACTTACTTGTGCTAAGTACTGTGTAAGGTGCAAGAATCTTTGGGTAAATGAGATGTGGATTTGGCCCTTGGTCAGTTAGTCTAGTGGGGCAAGGGAAGTGTAAATGATTAATTACAACCCAATACTTTATCTACAGTAAGAGAAGTATGTTCTAGGGACCAGGCTGGGGATAACAGAGGGGAGAAACTAGCCTTACTCAAAGGACACCAAAAAAAAAGCCTCACTGAAGTCATTCTTGATTTGGCCAACAAATTGGCGATGGACATTCAGGTGCAGGGAACAGGAAAGAGGTTGTCCAGAGAATTTCAGCAGACTCATAGGTGTTTGCTGCTACATTTTTTTTAAAAAAGACGTGCCTGTGGAACATGCTGTTGTAAAACTTTTTCCCTGGTCACGAGTGGCAAGCTCGCACTAATCTTTCAGTATTCACAGGTTAGATTCTGTAATATTTGCCATCTCTGCGTTTATCTGTTACCTAACTTGGAGCTTCTATTTCTTTACTCCTGAATGAGTCTCAAGCAAAAGTCTGAATATTCTGTAAACATTCTTTTTCAGTATGGCTTTTGTCCTTCTTTTAAGAAAGAAAAGAAAAATGGTTTTCAGTGATCTTGGATGAGGGAAATCTTTGTATCCTTAATTAAATGCCTGAATTTGGTTTTGTGTTTGCTAGGAGCCTACTGTAAAGCAAACTGATGTGGCCTTCTGTTCTCTTCCAGGCACCAAGTGTTTGCTGGGCTCAGTTCCCAATGAGTCTGTGTAATGCATTCCTTCTGTCCCACCCCATATTGCAGATCTGTGGAGGCTGACATCATCACCTTGAATAATAAAGCTATTCCCAAATGTAACAAGTTGAAGTGCCTAAATGGAGGAATGCGGGGTTAGAGAGGTGCAGCGGGGCTTTCCAGTGAGTTCAACATTGTAATTGTGGTTTGCCTGCTATTAAAAAAATCTTCTAGAAATGTCTCATTGTAATTAACAGAGATTAAACATTTAAATTTAAAGTATTTTATAGGGCTAATTTATTGCTCCATTGCCATCTGCCCTGAAAGCAGATCTGTTGATCTGTTCCCTTGACAGCCAGTGAGATTCAAGTTTGCCTCCCCTCCCGGTGGGCCCCTTCTCGACCTTGGAAGCTGATAAGAATCCTATGGACAAAGCTCGGGTGGGCTGCCAGGAAAAAATGTTGGATTCAGTGTTATCTCTGGTTGAGAGCAGAATAATGCTCTTCTTTTCACATCAGGGCTGGGATTTACAGAAACCCCTCCCAATTCCACCTCTTCATTTAATGCTAAGTGCTACTCAACATTGTCCAGGTCTTGGCTTAAATGTTAATTGGTCCAGGAGCCTTGCCTGACCACCTAAGGCTTGGTTTAGTCCCCTTATTCTATTCTCTGATAGTACCCTGTGCTTTTCTTCTCATCACACCTGGGTTTCTCGCTGCACTGCAAGCTGTGTGAAGGCAGGAATGATGGCATTTGTTTGGAGCTTGCTTTGTGCCACGAACTATTCTAAATGTTTTACATGTGCTCCATGGAGAGGTATGTGACAGAGGTTAAGGGTCCCGGTTTTGGAGCTCGACCACTCACATAAGCTCTGTGGAGTAACTGAAGGCAGTACCTGGGCTCTGGCTTTGCAGTTGGGAACAATCAGCTCGGTCTCTCACTAGCTATGTAACTCAGGGAATTTCATCCCACCTGCCAGGCATGTAACCACAGATTAACCAAGACTCTAGTGGAAGCTTGACACATGTTAACTATATTTCATCTGTTCAAAGATGCATAATTTTTAAACCTTTTAACATTTCCGAAATTGGGAGGCATCTTACAGTTGCTTGCATATTATGATTTCATTGCCAGTATGTTTTTTCTTTTCTATTCCTAAGGAAAATGTAAAATAATGATGTCTTGGGTTCATCAAGATTCATTGAAGTATGTTATCTCTTTCTCTTTCCTCCACTTTGGGCGAAGACTATGGTGTTTTGAAGAAGTAGATACCCTAATTCAGGAGTCCTAATGATGACCTATGCATAAATACCTGTGTGGTGTTTAGAATTGCCTGGGATTCTTGTTTTTTGTTTTGTTTTGTTTTTGAGATGGACTCTCACTCTTGTCACCCAGGCTGGAGTGTAATGGCACGATCTTGGTTCACTGCAACCTCTGCCTCCCAGGCTCAAGCGATTCTCCTGCCTCAGCCTCCCCAGTAGCTGGGATTACAGGTGCCTGCCACTACACCTGGCTAATTTTTGTATTTTTAGTGGAGATGAGATTTCACCGTGTTAGCCAGGCTGGTCTCCACTTTCTGACCTCAGGTAATCCACCTACTTCGGCCTCCCAGAGTGTTGGGATTACAGGTGTGAGCCACTGTGCCTGGCCTGGGGTTCTTGTTTTAAAATATATGTGTGCATGTTTATACATGCATGTGTATACATGCACACACACATATTTATATAGTTTTGGACCTCATCCAAGGTCTACCGACTTGTAGTTATTTGACTGAGGCCTGGGCACTGGCATTTTATCAGTTGCCCTAGAGGGTTCTGTTGCAGCTAGTGTGAAACAATTTGAAAACCAGTGATCTCATTCGTCTGCTGTTGGCTTTAACTTCCAGTCACTACTTTGCCTTTTTATATTTAATTTCTTCTTCTCTTCGTTATATGTCGAAGCACCTAGCACAATGCCTGGCACATAGAATGTTCTCAAGAAAACTAACATGTTTCCTCATCCTTTCACCTTAATGTTTCTGAAATTGTAGGGAGGCAGAGTTGGAGGATGTGCTGAAGAAATAGTGGTGTGGTGAGATGAGAGCTACTGACTGAACTTTCTCCAAGTTGTTAGCAGGGAATGAAGGTTGAGAAGGAAGCAGGAAGCCAGACACCTCTGCTTGCATGGTTTTTGGCTGTCTCTGAATCTTGGCGGTTTTTCCCTTGGGTCTCTATAATGTCTATCAAGTACTTTAGTTTCAGTGTGATTTTCAAGGAATGTGACCTGGGGTGAAATCCCTGGAGCAACCGTGTACACTCTTTGACTGACTTTCAGCCCTCGCAAATCTAAACATCTTGTGCTTGGAAAATCCAGACTATAAGAAGGCCTTTTGATTGGCCTGTTTCTGATTATAGGTAAGTGTGACTCTTACCTCTGAAACCCTAGAGACACCTCTCATGTGCTTTCCCCACTTCCCAAGCTACTGCTTCCATTTGGCCCTATTGTGCATCCTTCAATCCTTCAACACCCTTTTCTGAAGGTTTTTGTGGAAGACTACTTCACTTTACCAAGCCCTTAGAACTTTGTATAGCTATTATTTTGCACTTAAATTATTCCAAAATATTGTGAAAGTGAAATATGACTCATTTTTGTGCCACCACATACTTAGAACACAAATGATGATATTTAGTTGAATATGTGACCAGGAAAAGGTTGGAATGAGTATTGCCATTTGGAGAAGAGCCGACGGACTCGCCTAAACCATGGAGAGTTTCAGTTTTGGGTGGGATGGGTAGGGTGGATTGGGAACAGATGGTGAAAGACAGGACACCAGACCCGAGAGCTTATACTTTGTTCTATATGCAGAGAGAGCCAAAAGATTTTTTTAGCAGGAGAATGGTGGGGTGAAAAGGATAATTGGGTAAGATTCATTTAGCCCCGGTTATTTGGCATGGAGAGACCCTGGAGATAAAGGAATGAAAGGTGAATATAAAGACCATTCTAGAAATGTGTGCTTGCCTAAGACTTTAAATGGTGTCAGAAGGAATGGGGAGTGAGGAATTAATGCAAATATATATTCTGAAGGAAGACTTTATTGGTGAAGGACAGGGGTATCTAAACTTTTGGCTTCCCTGGGTGACACTGGAAGAAGAAGAGTTGTCTTGGGCCACACATAAATACACTAATGCTAACGATAGCTGGTGAGCTAAAAAAAAAAAAAAAAAGAAAGAAAGAAAGAAAAGAAAAAAAAATCTCATAATGTTTTAAGAAAGTTTATGAATTTGTGTTAGGCCACATTTAAAGCTGTCCTCGGCCACATGCAGGCCGCGGATTGGACAAGCTTGCCATAGGATGTGGACTCAAGATTCCTAAGGTTTCCACTGTGAACTGAAGTAGGGAAAGAAAAGCTGGCTTTAAAAGGTGCGTTTTTGTTTGATCACTTTAGGCTTTGAAATGAAGGGAGCTCTTCTACAGAGAAATACTAGGCAACAATTAGAGACTCGGAATGAGTGACCAGTAGATAGATCAGTAATTGAGATAAGAGATTTGGAAGTTGTACACAAAGAGGTTTAATTGGCATCGTGAGTGTGGGAAGTGGGTTTAGGACTAAGTGCACATACTCTGGGGAATGTCCACAGTGAGGCGGGAGGCGGGAGTCAGCAAGTCTGCAGGACCCTGGGCGTGGAACAGACCTTTCAAGGGTCGATTTCCTCCCATCCTCTTAGAATTTTCTTTGGAGAGGGAACTAGGCTTTCAAAGATAACCCCCTTTTCCTTCATTTTTAGTGTTTTTAATTCTTATTTTTTCTCATCTTTTTCCTTTTTTTCATCCTTTCATCCTTTTTCCTTCCTTATTTTCTCGCCTCCCTCTTTCCTTCACTTCTTCCATTCCCTCTTTTATGTCTATGTTGGCTTCCTTTGTACTACTGTAGTGCAAAGATGCTTGGGAATTTAGCTGTAGGCTAGGGACAACCTTGCATGTAAGATGGTAGTGTAGATAGAAAGGAAAATATAGACAACCTTGGGAAGTCCGTGGTTCTGTTCTTTATTTTACATGCACAAGATTCTTTTGTCCCTCAAGGGTGAATCATTCCTCAAAATAGAAATAAAATGCATTTTGTTAAATGGTATTTACAGGCAGCTTATTACCTGAATGTGCACAAGTTTGGAAATTAACTTTCACTTGGATCTAGTTATATATAATCTCATAAAAGTGATTGTCATAAAATTACCTTTCCTTGTTCTCTAGTTTCTTGGTTCTGGAAGACCTGGGAAAGCTTCTCACATTCTTATGCAGTGATGTTGGGAATTGAAATCAGAGTGCTCTCCCCATCTCCAAATGCCCTTAGAACCACATTCCCTTAGAAACTGGAATTTAAAAGGTATATTTAAGATTATACCATTTTTAGTACGATATTTTAAATATTCACATTTGTTGCAAATATTGTGATCTTGTGAATATTTTAAATTATATCTAAGACATTTCATCATAGTTATTTTATTTTCAAAACCAAATACTATTTGGAAAATTAATGGAAATAGATGTATCTATTTTTTCATTGAGAATAAGAGGATCTAGTTATCTTCACAGATCTCAAAGAAAGAGTATCTTTTTGGTACTCTTATCTTGCTATTTGGTTTTCTTATCCTGCTATTATCTGGAAGTCCCTGACACTTACTTATTGTCTATGCAGCCAGGGTGGCCTATTTCTCACTGGCTTAATAGTTTTTTCATTCTTGCATGCAGTAAAATAGACTGCCCTTTTCAAAGGACATATGCCTACCCTCTAGGATTGCCTGCTCATCTCACCTTTCTTTGGTTTATCCCCACTAAGATATTTGGCACGGTCCTTTTCAAGAATCAGAATATTGCTGGGCACCATAGCTTGCATCTGTAATCCCAGCTACTCAGGAGACTGTTACAGGAGAATCACTTAAGGCCAGAATTTCAAGACCAGCCTGGGTAGCATAGCGAGACTCCATCTCAAAAAATTTTAAAAAGAAAGAATGAAAATACTCAAAGTCAACATGAGTTAACACATTTCTTGCCTTGATCAATTCGTACCTTTGTGTATTTTGTTTGTCAGTTACTGAAATAAGTATGTATATGTACTTGGTCATGGGTAAATTATAAAATAATGTAAAATTTTTTTAATATTTGAAATTTGTCTATAAGGAATTTACAATCTAATTACATGGTAATAACTTAGAACAGCAAACTGTTCCTGAAAGGCCAAATTCTGCCTCTTCCCGCTATTTTATAAATAAAGTTTTATTGGAATATAGCCACACACAGTCACTTACCTACTGTCTACAATTATTTTCATGCTACAGTGGCACATTTAAGTAATTTTGGCAGAGATTGTATATCCCACAAAGTCTAAAATGTTTACTGTTGGGTCCTTTATAGACAAGAGTTTTCTTGACTCTTAGCTTAAAAACACTGATGTGTAAGTCAACTGATGCCCAATGACTTGCCCAAGGTATGTGGATAGGCAGTTTCAGATTAGCTACAAATATATATAAAATATTTTATGCTTACTTGAGGAAGGGTAAGGCTTAGAGCCAGAAAGGCATGGATTGAAATCTCTGCTCTTCTCTTTCATTCTTGTATGACTTTGGACAGTGGCTTAAACTCAGAGCCCCAGTTGCCTCATCAGAAAAGTGGGCTCACTAGCTATCTACTTCCTGGGTCATAAAGATGTGATGAAATAACACACAATATAGTATACAATATAGGTACAATATAGTACCGAAACATACCAGCATGTGGTAGTTTTTCTTGGTTGGCTTCATCCTCTGGGAAAGACAGGTCCTTATAGCTCTAGGTTTACGCAATTCTGCCAGTTGAGATTTAAGAAACTCTTGTTCTCTCTCCCAGCATCATTTCATCTTCTGAAAAAGGATCCTGATTTACCCTGCTCAGGTCACATGTCCACCTCTGGGCCAGTCACTGCCCCATCAGGATCCTATGGCCTGATGGAAGGGTGTGTCCCATCAGAAAGGAATGAAGACAAAAAAATGACATTTCACAGCAGTGTACTTACCTTTGTTTGATCTTATCATTTGGCTCCTACCCAATCTTTGCATATATTCCAGCTTGAGATAAAAATTTTCAAGAGCTAAGGCCTAGAACATATGTGGCATTTTTTTTTTATGGCCAGTTGCAATGGTGCAGGCTTAAGGAGCAGAAAGGCCCCTTTATGTAACATCAATAGTGGCAACAGCAGCAGTTTATTTAATTCCTCTGATATGTTTAGAATTCTGTAAAAGACGCAGCCTGTGAGATTCTTAACTTTCCATCAACCTTGACAAACAGTAGGGGTGATTTTCACATAGCCAACACACCCCTGTATATATACACACCCAGGGTTATGCACAATTCACTGCATGCTGATATATTAGATTTCTCTTCCACTAAGAAAGCATATGGGAGTGCAAGGGAGACTGACAATATTACAGATGACCTTGAATCTGCTCAGGAAAAAGCAATCATAAAGCACTAGGCAACTTTAGCACTTTATTATAATTAAAAAATTACTAATGACATACCTCATCACTGATCATAATACTCTGGGGACCTGTGTCATGGCAACTGAGAACCACTACCCTGGAAGAATTTGGAGTCACCTTAGGATGATGAGAGAGACTTTTAAAATGAGTGACAATACAAGGTTGAGTGCCCATGAAATAGAACTGGCATCTGGAACAGCTGAAAGTGTGAGATTCTCATAGATAGAGGATTAATGTGTTTCTGGGCCTGTGTTAGTTATGGGTCTCTTGTTATAAGAAGCAGAGACTCCTGCCAGTTAACATAAGCAAAGAAGGACAACTTATTTTAAGGATGGGGTGGTATCCTATAGTACTCCATCATCTGAAACAACATCTTTCACATATTAAGTATGTAGTAAATATTTGTTGAATAAATGCATCATCTCAACCAGAAAGTCATTAGAAACCCAGAAAGTATTCTGTCTCCAGGTTTTTCCTCTGCTTCTATGTGCATATATCTTTTTTCCCTTTTCATCCCTGCTACTGGCTTCTCTGTTTCCCAGTCCACATGGCAGCACATGGCCACCCATGGATGGCACTTGAGTTTATACTATTCAGTTTTAGTTGTATAATGAGGCTGACTTGACTTCCTCATGCCCAACTCTAAATTCTGAAAAAGAGAGAATGTGATTGCCTGATGAGAGCTAGTGGCCCACCTGTGACACAAACATGGTGACCAGCAGTTCTTCCCCAGGACCCTGTGGCTCTGGGGTGGGGGTATGGGCAGCATTCTCAAATGCAAAGAAATTAATTTCAGACTAGGAAGAAACTCCCAAGAGTGTCCACTATGAGCCCAATCAGATAGATGTCATAAAAAATTCTAAAGCTAACTCTCCATGTACCAAGACAGGATTTTCTGGGGATTGGTGGTTGAAGCTGGAGTCAAAATAGTTCAGCCTCCTGATCCTGGGTAGAAGTCAGCCATACTCTTCTTCTAGGGTAATTATCACTCATGTTCTATGCCAGCCAAGAGAACACAGAATTGTCTTTAGCGAAAGTGTCAATTTGAGGCTTCCTAATTTTCATGATAGCAGCTACTTGGTACTGAATAATAATGGAATTCTATTCCTGGACTTCGTGATTCCATCTCTGAGCAAATGCAAAGCAGATCTTGGCAGGTATATCTATATATGATCAGCAATGCCAAGGCACTTCTTGCTGCTAAAGCAATGCAGCAGATGTGAGTGACATTTTTAGGCCGTTTGTGCTGAATGTAATAATGTTTTAATGTGGAATGCCTCACATATTACTCTTGGGAGATGGCTTGAATTGCTAGAAAGGGTCAATAGGTTTATATCCTAGTTAGGTAATTTGCTACCTCTGAAATATCAGGCAAATTTCCTAACCTTTCTGAGTTTTGGTTTTGTTATTTGCAACATGGAGATAATGATATTTTGGGAGGAAAAAAGAACATACAAATAGATGCCTTATATACTATACACAAAAATAAATTCCAGGGGAGGCAGAGCAGGATGGCTGAGTAGAGACTTCCACCAATTATCCTTCCTGCAGGAACACCTAATTAAACAACTGTCCACACAAAGAGCACCTTCGTAGGAACCAAAAGTAAAGTGAGTTGATGACAGTACCTGGTTTTGACTTTATATCACTGAAACAGGCACTGAAGAGGGCAGGAAAGACAGTCTTGAATTGCCTACACCACTTCTCTCTCATTCCCCTGAGGTGCCCATGTGGTGGGGAGAGAGAATCTGTGCCCTTTGGAGAGGGAGAGCACAGTGATTGTGGGACTTTACATTGGAACTCAGTGCTGCCCTGTCACAGTGGAAAGCAATACCAGGCAGAACTCAACCAGTGTCCACAGGGGAGAATTTAAACCAGCCCTAATGGAGGGGAATTGCCCATCCCAATGGTCAGAGCCTGAGTTCTGGCCAGCCCTGCCACTGTAAGCTAAAGGGCTCTGGGGTCCCAAATAAACTTGAAAGGCTGCTTAAGCCACAAGGACTACAGTTCTTGGGCAAGTCCTAGGGCTGTGCTGGGCTTGTAGCCAGTGGACTTGAGGGGCATGTGACCTAGGGAGACAATAGCTGAGGCAGCCAAGGGAGTGCTTGCACCACCCCTCCCCAATCCCAGAGAGAGGGAGAGAGAGAAAGAGAGACAGACAGACAGACAGACAGACAGACAGAGACTAACTCCATTTGTTTGGGAGAAAGTAAGGGAAGAGAATAAGGGTCTTTCCTGGTAATCCAGGGAATTCTTCTGGATTTTACTCAAGACCACCAATGTGGCACCTCTACAACAAACACAGCATTACTTGTTTGGGGTGCTCCCTAGTGCAGATGTGGCTGCAATGATCCAAAACTTAGATCACAACACCTAAGTCCCCTCCAATACCTGGAAAGCCTTCCCAAGAAAGATGAGTACAAACAAGCCCAGACTGTGAAGACTACAATAAAGACATAATTCTTCAATGCCCAGACACTGACAAGCATCAGTGTAATCCAGGAAAACATTACCTCAACAAAAGGACTAAGTAAGGAACCAGGGACCAATCCTGGAGAAACAGCGATTCCGGGTAACTAAAAACAGATATGTGACCTTTCAGACAGAGAATTCAAAATCGCTGTGTTGAGGAAACTCAGCCATATACAGGATAACACAGAGAAGGAATTCAGAATTCTATCAGATAAATTTAATAAAGAGATTGAAATAATTTTTAAAAAATCAAGCAGAAATTTTGGAGCTGAAAAATGCAATTGACATACTGAAGAATGCATCAGTGTCCCTTAACAGCAGAATTGATTGAGCAGAAGAAAGAATTCGTGAGCCTGCAAACAGACTATTTGAAAATACACAGTCAGAGGATACAAAAGAAAAAGAATAAAAAAGAATGAAATATATCTACAAGATCTAGAAAATGCCTCAAAGGGGCAAATCTAAGAGTTATTGCCCTAAAGAGAAGATAGAGAGAGAGGGGGATAGAAATATTATTCAAAGGGGGTAATAACAGAGAACTTCCCAAACCTAGAGAAAGATATCAATATTCAAGTACAAGAAGGTTATAGAACACCAAACAGATTTGACCCAAAGACTACCTCAAGACTTAATAATCAGACTCTCAAAGGTCAAGGATAAAGAAACGATCCTAAAAACACCAAGAGAAAAGAAACAAATAATATAAAAAGGAGCTTCAATGTATCTGGAAACAGACTTTTCAGTGGAAAGCTTACAGGCCAGGAAAGAGTGGCATGACCAATTTAAAGTGCTGAAGGAGGAAAAACTTGTATCCTAGAATAGTATATCCAGCAAAAATATCCTTCCAACATGAAGGCAAAATAAAGACTTTCCCAGACAAACAATAGCTGAGGGATTTCATCAACACCAGACCTGTCCTACAAGAAATACTAAGGGAAGTTCTTGAATCTTTAATCTGAAAGAAAAGGACATTAATGAGCAATAAGAAATCGTCTGAAGATACAAAACTCACTGTTAATAGTAAGTACACAGAAAAACACAGAATATTATAACACTGTAATTGTGGTGTATAAGCTCATATCTTGAGTAGAAAGACTGAAAGATGCATCAATCAAAAATAACTACAACAACTTTTCAATACATAGTACAATACGATATAAGTAGAAATAACAAAAAGTTAAAAATGGAAGTGGGGTGGGGAATAACAAAGTTAAAGTATAGTTTTTATTAGTTTTCTCTTTGCTTGTTTGTTTATGCAATGAGTGTTAAGTTGTCATCAGTTTAAAATAATGGGCAATATCATATGCAAGCCTCATGATAACCTCAAGTGGAAAAACATACAACACGCATCAGAAGGTACATAAGTCTGGGCCTCTGTATCCATTTATGTGTGTGTGTGTGTGTGTGTGTGTGTGTGTGTGTGTGTGTTTGTGTATCAGTCTACATAGCTCAATCTAAACTGATAGTAAAGTGAAAGGAACATTGTAATATAATGCCAGGTATTTTTAAATATATTACAGAGGTAACTAAATAGTAAATAGTATCTGTAAAATCTACAGGTAGGGAGAAAGGCAAGGAAAGCATTTTAAAGATTTTATCTTATATCAGGAGAGGAGGAAAGCTGTAAGGGAAAAGAAAACAGATAGAGGGGGTGTGGGCAGGGAATGAGGACATATTTGGTATCCTATATCCTAATAGAAAATTAGCATGGTTACCAGGATAATCACTAGTGGAATGGAAACAGAAAAGTAGAACTTAGAAATTAACTTGGGTACAGGGGAGGTTCCAAGATGGCCGAATAGGAACAGCTCCAGTCTACAGCTCCCAGCGTGAGCGACGCAGAAGACAGGTGATTTCTGCATTTCCAACTGAGGTACTGGGTTCATCTCACTGGGGTTTGTTGGACAGTGGGTGCAGGACAGTGGGTGCAGCCCACAGACCATGAGCTGAAGCAGGGCAAGGAATTGCCTCACCCGGGAAGTGCAAGGGGTCAGGGAATTCCCTTTCCTAGCCAAGGGGAGCCGTGACAGAAGGCACCTGGAAAATCGGGTCACTCCAACCCTAATACTGCGCTTTTCCAATGGTCTTAGCAAAGACCACACCAGGAGATGATATCCTGCACCTGGCTCAGAGGGTCCCATGCTCATGGAGCCTTGCTCACTGCTGGCACAGCAGTCTGAGATGGAAGTGCAAGGCGGCAGCATGGCTGGGGGAGGGGCGCCCGCCATTGCTGAGGCTTGAGTAGGTAAACAAAGCAGCTGGGAAGCTGGAACTGGGTGGAACCCACCACAGCTCAAGGAGGTCTGCCTGCCTCTGTAGACTCCACCTCTGGGGGCAGGGCATAGCTGAACAAAAGGAAGCAGAAACTTCTGCAGACTTAAACATCCCTGTCTGACACCTTTGAAGAGAGTAGTGGTTCTCCCAGCATGGAGTTTGAGATCTGAGAACGGGCAGACTGCGTCCTCAAGTGGGTCCCTGACCCCTGAGTAGCCTAACTGGGAGGCATCTTCCAGTAGGGGCAGACTGACACCTCATACAGCCAGGTGCCCCTTTGAGACGAAGCTTCCAGAGGAACGATCAGGCAGCAACATTTGCCATTCTGCAGTATTTGCAGTTCTGCAGCCTCCACTGGTGATACCCAGGCAAACAGGGTCTGGAGTGGACCTCCAGCAAACTCCAACAAACCTGCGGCTGAGGGTCCTGACTGTTAGAAGGAAAACTAACAAACAGAAAGGACATCCACACCAAAACCCCATCTGTACCTCATCATCAAAGACCAAAGGTAGATAAAACCACAAAGATGGAGAGAAAACAGAGCAAAAAGCTGAAAATTCTAAAAATCAGAGTGTCTGTTCTCCTCCAAAGGAATGCAGCTCCTCGCCAGCAGTGGAACAAGGCTGGATGGAGAATGACTTTGACAAGTTAAGAGAAGAAGGCTTCAGAATATCAGTAAAAACAAACTTCTCCAAGCTAAAGGAGGATGTTCGAACCCATCACAAAGAAGCTAAAAATCTTGAAAAAAACATTGGATGAATGGCTAACTAGAAAAACGGCATAGAGAAGAGCTTAAATGACCTGATGGAGCTGAAAACCATGGCACGAGAACTACATGGTGCATGCACAAGCTTCAGTAGCCGATTCGATCAACTGGAAGACAGGGTATCAGTGATTGAAGATCAAATGGATGAAATGAAGCAAAAAGAGAAATTTAGAGAGAAAAGAGTAAAAAGAAATGAACAAAGCCTCCAAGAAATATGGGACTATGTGAAAAGACAAGATCTACGTCTGATTGGTGTACCTGAAAGTGACAGGGAGAATGGAACCAAGTTGGAAAACACTCTGCAGGATATTATCCAGGAGAACTTCCCCAACCCAGCAAGGCAGGCCAACATTCAAATTCAGGAAACACAGAGAACACCACAGAGATACTCCTCGAGAAGAGCAACTCCAAGACACATAATTGTCAGATTCACCAAAGTTGAAATGAAGGAAAAAATGTTAAGGGCAGCCAGAGAGCAAGGTCGGGTTACCCACAAAGGGAAGCCCATCAGACTAACAGCGGATCTCTCTGCAGAAACTCTACAAGCCAGAAGAGAGTGGGGGCCAATATTCAACATTCTTAAAGAAAAGAATTTGCAACCCAGAATTTCATATCCAGCCAAACTAAGCTTCATAAGTGAAGGAGAAATAAAATACTTTACAGACAAGCAAATGCTGAGAGATTTTGTCACCACCAGGCCTGCCCTAAAAGAGCTCCTGAAGGAAACACTAAACATGGAAAGGAACAACCAGTACCAGCCACTGCAAAAACATGCCAAATTGTAAAGACCATCGAAGCTAGGAAGAAACTGAATCAACTAACAAGCAAAATAACAAGCTAACATCATAACGACAGGATCAAATTCACACATAAAAATGTTAACCTCAAATGTAAATGGGCTAAATGCTCCAATTAAAAGACACAGACTGGCAAATTGGATAAAGAGTCAAGACCCATCAGTGTGCTGTATTCAGGAAACCCATCTCACATGCAGAGACACGCATAGGCTCAAAATAAAGGGATGGAGGAAGATCTCCAAGCAAAGGGAAAACAAAAAAAAAAAGCAAGGGTTGCAATTCTAGTCTCTGATAAAACAGACTTTAAACCAACAAAGATCAAAAGAGACAAAGAAGGTCATTACATCATGGTAAAGGGATCAATTCAACAAGAAGAGCTAACTATCCTAATTATATATGCATCTAATACAGGAGCACCCAGATTCATAAAGCAAGTCCTTAGAGACCTACAAAGAGACTTAGACTCCCACACAATAATAATGGGAGACTTTAACACCCCACTGTCAACATTAGACAGATCAACGAGACAGAAAGTTAATAAGGATGTCCAGGAACTGAACTCAGCTCTGCACCAAGTGGACCTAATAGACATCTACAGAACTCTCCACCCCAAATCAACAGAATATACATTCTTCTCAGCACCACATCACACTTATTCCAAAATTGACCACATAGTTGGAAGTAAAGCACTGCTCAGCAAATATAAAAGAACAGAAATTATAACAAACTGTCTCTCAGACCATAGTGCAATCAAACTAGAACTCAGGATTAAGAAACTCACTCAAAACCGCTCAACTACATGGAAACTCAACAACCTGCTCCTGAATGACTACTGGGTACATTAACGAAATGAAGGCAGAAATAAAGATGTTCTTTGAAACCAACGAGAACAAAGACACAACATACCAGAATCTCTGGGACACATTTAAAACAGTGTGTAGAGGGAAATTTATAGCACTAAATGCCCACAAGAGAAAGCAGGAAAGATCTAAAATTGACACCCTAACATCACAATTAAAAGAACTAGAGAAACAAGAGCAAACACATTCAAAAGCTAGCAGAAGGCAAGAAATAACTAAAATCAGAGCAGAACTGAAGGAAATAGAGACACAAAAAACCCTTCAAAAAATTAATGAATCCAGGAGCTGGTTTTTTGAAAGGATCAACAAAATTGATAGACCGCTAGAAAGACTAGTAAAGAAAAAAAGAGAGAAGAATCAAATAGATGCAATAAAAAATGATAAAGGGGATATCACCACCGATCCCACAGAAATACAAACTACCATCAGAGAATGCTATAAACACCTCTACGCAAATGAACTAGAAAATCTAGAGGAAACTGATAAATTCCTGGACACATACACCCTCCCAAGACTAAACCAGGAAGAAATTGAATCTCTGAATAGACCAATAACAGGCTCTGAAATTGAGGCAACAATTAAGAGCCTACGAACCAAAAACAGTCCAGGACCAGATGGATTCACAGCCGAATTCTACCAGAGGTACAAAGAGGAGCTGGTACCATGCCTTCTGAAACTATTCCAATCAATAGAAAAAGAGGGAATCCTCCCTAACTCATTTTGTGAGGCCAGCCTCATCCTGATATCAAAGCCTGGCAGAGACACAACAAAAAAAAGAGAATTTTAGACCAATATTCCTGATGAACATTGATACAAAAATCCTCAATAAAATACTGTCAAACAGAATCCAGGAGCATATCGAAAAGCTTATCCACCATGATCAAGTGGGCTTCATCCCTGGGATGCAAGGCTGATTCAACATACACAAATCAATAAACATAATCCATCATTTAAACAGAACCAAAGGCAAAAACCACATGATTATTTCAATAGATGCAGAAAAGGCCTTTGACAAAATTCAACAAATTTCAACAAAAGTCACGCTAAAAACTCTCAATAAATTAGGTGTTGATGGGATGTATCTCAAAATAATAAGAGCTATTTATGACAAACCCACAGCCAATATCATACTGAATGGGCAAAAACTGGAAGCATTCCCTTTGAAAACGGGCGCAAGACAGGGATGCCCTCGCTCGCCATTCCTATTCAACATAGTGTTGGAAGTTCTGGCCAGGGCAATCAGGCAGGAGAAAGAAATAAAGGGTATTCAATTAGGAAAAGAGGAAGTCGAATTGTCCCTGTTTGCAGTTGACATGATTGTATATTTAGAAAACCCTATCATCTCAGCCCCAAACCTCCTTAAGCTGATAAGCAACTTCAGCAAAGTCTCAGGATACAAAGTCAGTGTGCAAAAATCACAAGCATTCTTATACACCAATAACAGACAAACAGAGAGCCAAATCATGAGTGAAATCCCATTCACAATTGCTTCAAAGAGAATAAGATACCTAAGAATCCAACTTACAAGGGATGTGAAGGACCTCTTCAAGAGAATTACAAACTACTGCTCAACAAAATAAAAGAGGACACAAACAAATGGAAGAACATTCCATGCTCATGGTTAGGAAGAATCAATATCGTGAAAATGGCCATACTGCCCAAGGTAATTTATAGATTCAATGCCATCCCCATCAAGCTATCAATGACTTTCTTCACAGAATTGGAAAAAACTACTGTAAAGTTCATATGGAACCAAAAAAAGCCCACACTGCCAAGACCATTCTAAGCAAAAAGAACAAAGCTGGAGGCATCACGCTACCTGACTTCAAACTATACTACAAGGCTACAGTAACCAAAACAGCATAGTACTGGTACCAAAACAGAGATATAGACCAATGGAACAGAATAGAAGCCTCAGAAATAATACCACATATCTACAACCATCTGATCTTTGACAAACCTGAGAAAAACAAGCAATGGGGAAAGGATTCCCTATTGAATAAATGGTGCTGGGAAAACTGGCTAGCCATATGTAGAAAGCTGAAACTGGATCCCTTCCTCACACCTTACACAAAAATCAATTCAAGATGGATTAAAGACTTAAACATTAGACCTAAAACCATAAAAACCCTAGAAGAAAACCTAGGCATTACCATTCAGGACATAGTCATGGGCATGTAGTGGCATGTGCCTGTAGCCCTAGCTACTTGGGAACCTGAGGCAGAAGATCCCTTGAGCCCAGGAGTTCAAGAATGCTGTGTGCTATGATTGCATCACTGCACTCCAGCCTGGGCTACAGAGTAAGTCCCTGTCTCTAGGGAGAATGACTTACCTGTAAGACCTGAAACTATAAAAATTCTACAAGAAAACCTAGCAAAAGCTCATCTAGATATTGGCCTGGGAGAATAATTTGTTATTAAAACCCCAAAAACAAATGCAACAAAAACAAAAGTAGACATATGGGACTTAATTGAATGAAAAAGCTTCTGCACAGCAAAAGAAATAATCAACAGAGTGAAGAGACAACCTACAGAATGGGAGAAAATACTTGCAAAGTATGCATATGACAAAGAACTAATATACAGAGCTTATAGGGAACTCAAACAACTCAACAAGAAAAAACAAGACAAAAAAACCCAAATAACCCTATTAAAAAGTGGGCAAAGCATTATCCTAAGTGAACTAATACAATAACAGAAAACCAAATACCAGGTTCTCACTTATCAGTGGGAGCTAGACATTGAGTACACATGGACACAAAGAAGGAAACAATAGACACTGGGGCCGACTTGAGGGTGGAAGGTGGGAGGAGTGTGAGGATTTAAAAACTACCTATCAGATATTATGCTGATTACCTCAGTGACAAAATTATCTGTACACCAAACCCCTGTGACACACAGTCTACTCATGGAACAAACCTGTACATGTACCTCTGGAACCTAACATAGAAGTTGGAAAGGAAAAAATAAAGTAGGCAAAGGACATGAACAGACACTTCTCAAAAGAAGACAAACAGCCAACAAACATACGAAAAAATGCTCATCACCACTGATCATCAGAGAAATGCAAATTAAAACCACAATTAGTTACCATGTGACACCCATCAGAATGGCTGTTACTCAGAAGTCAACAACAGATGTTGGGGAGGATGCAGAGAAAAGGGAAGACTTATATGCTGTTGGTGGAAATGTAAATTAGTGCAATCTCTAATGGAAAACAGTATGGAGATTTCTCAAAGAACTAAAAATAGAACTATCATTTGATCCAGCAATCCTACTGCTAGGTATCTACCCAAAGGAAAAGAGATTGTTATATCATAAAGATACCTGCACTCGTATGTTTATTGCAGCACTATTCAGCCTGAACAACACAGTGAGACCCTGTACACACACAGACACACGCATACATACATACATATCATGGAATACTGCTCAGCCATAAAAAAGAATAAAATTATGGCTTTTGCAGCAAGATGAATGGAACTGGAAGCCATAGTCTAAGTGACATAACTGAGAAACAAAGTCAAAACACTGCATGTTCTCACTTATAAATGGGAGCTAAATAATGTGTGTGCATTGACCTAGAGAGTGGAATAATAGACACTGGCAACTCCAAGGGGTAGGAGGGTAGAAGGGGGATGAGGAATGAGAAATTACCCATTGAGTACAATGTACACTATTTGGGTGATGGTTATACCAAAAGCCCAGACTTCACCACTATGCAATATATCCATGTAACAAAACCGCACTTGTATCCCCTAAATGTCTAAAAATAGAAAATAAATGTAAGAGAATGCAGTTTCAAACCTTGTGACAATGAAAGCCCAAAGGAAATGTTTAGGGTGCAAATTATAAGTCATTTCTGGTGCTGGCCAGGATAAAAAGCCCACCAAGTGGATTTCTCCCCTGATTGCGACTAAAAGTTCTGGATAAAATTTTGAAACGCAGCTGAGGCCTCTGAAAAGTAAATGAAACAGATTAAGAGGGAAGCAAAAACTTGAACTCCTGGTATAGTGTAAGTTCCTGGTTTTCTCTTCTTTCAACCTTGGCTGTGACATATGGGCAGCCCTAGTTGCTGAACTGTGTAGTGGTTGTCTGTGGCCACAACTTCATGGAGAAACCCCCAATTTCTTGCCAGAGGACCAGGAAGTGGCACCCTTGCAAGCTGGAAAGTGTAGGGTGTTGAATCTCTTCTTTTTTTCTTCCTCTTGTCTTTTTTCTCTTTCTGCCTTACGGCGGGGGTGGCCCTGCATGACACCATATTGAGGTCACAGAGGCAGTGCAAGCACCTAAAACTTTGAAAGAAAATTGTCTCTGAACAGAAAATTAGGAAAAGGAGACCCCATGGTCTGCAGAGTGACTGGGGCCAGTGGAGGGTGGTAATCTCTGTTATTTCTTTCTTCTGGTCTTCCTGCCCCTGTTGCACAGAAATACAGATAGCAGAATGTCAAAGTCTGAGAGAGACTCACTTTTCTGGGCAGAGGAAATGAGAAGACAGACTCCTGTCCTGATAGCTACATGGTTCTGGGCATTGGCCAAATCTCTTAGATGCCTACACCAAAAAGAATGAAATCTGCTCTATATGAATTCAAAATTGAGTAACCAGAAAAAATATACATGTATCAACACAATTCATTCAGGAAAAAGAAAGTTTGCATAACCTAATTATCATTGAAGATATTAGAACATGATTAAAGGTTTACCATTTAAAAAACATGTGGACCAGATTGTTATACAATAAGTTGTCTACATATCAGGAAGAAATTAATCCCTATGTTACTATTTCAGACTATAAACGAAGACAGCTTAATGTTAATCACAAAACATGATACAAGTATTATAAAGGCCAGGCATGGTGGCTCATGCCTGTAATCCCAGCACTTTGGGAGGCCAAGGCGGGCAGATCACCTGAGGTCAGGAGTTAGAGACCAGCCTGGCCAACGTGGTTAAACCCCATCTCTACTAAAAATAAAAATAAAAAATTAGCTGATTATGGTGGCGAGTGCCTGTAATCCCAGCTACTTGGGAGGCTGAGGCAGGAGAATCACTTGAACCTGGGAGGCAGAGGTTGCAGTGAGCTGAGATCATGCCACTGCATTCCAGCCTGGGCGACAGAGTGAGACTCCGTCTCAGGAAAAAAAATATATATATATATTATAAAGAACAAAAACTGTAGGCCAAAATCACGTGATTAAAAATATCAGCTAATCTAGCATTGTGTCAGTGAATAAGATGCAATAACTAAGTAGGCTTTATTCCAGGAATGGAAAGATATACCAGTCAGTGTCAGGAAAATTATCAATATAATTCATTTTTCTAACTACTTAAAGAATAATGTCAAATAATGTCAAATTATCGTGCTCAAAATCCACTTTCTAAGCTTCAGCAGATATCCCTAATTAAACATCTTATTAACTCAAGATTAAGTAGGAATAAGTGGGGATTTCAAAAATATAATAAAGACTGCTTACCAAAAACAAAAAACAAACCCAGAAACTAATATTGTCTTAAGTGGCAAAACTCTCAGATCATTTCAGCTAAAATCAAGAAATAGGCAAAGATAGCTGCTATCACTATTATTATTCAGCATTATTTTGGAGATTGTAATGTAGTAAAGAAAGAAAGTATAGTTTGTTTAAATAGTAGGAAAAAATACAATTTTATCATCACTGCTGATTATAAAATTGTATGCCTAGAAGACCTGAGACAGGCTGATGAAACAAAGTACTAGAATTAACAAAGGCTTGATCCATGGTAAATATACAAAAATCAGTGGTTTTCTTCTCTGTTAATGAAATGATATAGAAATGGAAATAAGGAAACACATTGCATTCACAGTTGGTGTCTACACTTTACCTCTGTGCTGTGGGAAGCTCCTGTGGGGTACTAAACCCAAGAGAAACATGATGAGGGTTGCATTTTGAAAGAAAGCTTTGGCAGCTCTGAGGAGAGTAGTTTGGAGGGTTGATACTGGAAGCACAGAGGCCAATTATGAGGCTCCTGCAATGATCCAGACAGAGACAATGTGGCCTCAAGCCAGTGACAGGGAGAATGAAGAGAAGGGAAGGATCAGAAATATCAAATGGAGAAAACAGAGGATTCATGATTAACTGATTGGAAAGGAGGGGTTATATGAGTATTCGGCTGGCAGATGATTATATGGTTTGGAGCTGAGAGTGAAGGATGCATTCTGAAAGACATTTGGATGTCTTCAGTGAGTTTGTTTGATATGACTAGTGCAGTTGCTGGACCAGTGTTTATTTCCATAGGAAACTGACTCTCAAATTCCTGATGTGTGGAATGTTTTCCTTTTAGCCCTGCAGATCAGCATACGTCTTCCTTTTTCTGTTCCATGTCTCAGAAGGCTGTGTCTATGGACTGTATGGAGGCTCCTTTCCCCTCTGGCTTCTGACTGCCTTTGACCTTGAGTGAACATTTAAGCCCCTGCCAGACTGTCTCTTCTCAAAGCCATAGGTACTCTGCACTTTCTGTTAACTGTGCCCTCACCTTGTCCCTTTCAGCCTAGGGGTATGAACAGCACTCTTCTGGTGCTCCACTTCACCTTATCCCTGCCAGCACCTTTCTAAATAGTCTTTTCATTAAATTCCTCCTAATCACTCCATTTGATATGCTGTTTCCTGCTTGCTAAACTTGGTCAGTGAATTGACTGCATCAGAATCACCTGGGTGCCTATTAAAACTACAGGTCTCTGGGCTTCATCCCAGAGCTACCAAAGCAGAATTTATAGAGGTGAAACCAAAGACTCTGCAATTGTACAACAGGTGATTCTGATCGGTAGCAAGGTTGGGGGGCTATTCCTGGTTTTCTTGGTGACTCTTTAGAGACCTCTTAATATCATGAGCCAGATGGTTGAGGTTAAGGAGCTCTGCCATTTGTCATTATGTGACCTCCGGCATAATTATTTACCTGTACAAACCTTGAGTTCCATAAATGTAAAGGGAGTTGATAGTTTCTATCTCATGTTGTTGTTCAGCAGCTTAAATGAGGTAATCCATGTAGAACAGCAGGATGCTAATAAGCTTCCAGTAAGTGTTATTTATTATCTATGGGTAGAATTCATTTAATCTTCACACACTCAAATTTTGCCAGCTTTAGGACAAATAAGACTTGGAGTCTGTAATCAGTCTTGTGAAGGACACAGAGAAGTAAAACAATTAACAATAAAATACAGTTAGATTCTTTGGTATTTATAAACTTCTAATTTATGAACTTTCACTGATGTCAACAAAGCTGGGTGACATTACAGATGTGCACCAGCTCTGTCCTCCATCTATGGGGTATGGTTAGCAGATGCATGTACAGTGTTGCTTTAAACATAGAAGCAAATGGATTTCTGAACCTAACTTCATAGAGACATGTTTTCTTATGAGCTGCTTTAGGAGTACAGAAGAGGTTGGGAGGAGCAGGGCAGGTTACAGAGTCATTTGTGAAATGTCAAAGACATTTCAAGCTTGTCTGTCCATTGGACAAGGAGGCAGTGGAAGTGTTTCAATCCCAGGGAATAGCATATGGGGTTCCCTGTATTGTGAAAACATGCAGTGACTGAGAATGGGCAGTTTGGTATGAGGAGAACACAAAGTTAGAAGCACCTGATGCACTTTTGGGCCATTCTTTCCTTCAACTAATATTTGTTGAGCTTCTATGATGGGCCAGACACTGCTCAGGGTGCTGGGGACATGGCCAAGTGCAAAATAGTGTCTGCTCTGATGACACTTGCATTCTATAGGGGTTTGAGTCAATGAAGAAAGATGTAAATGTCTAATGTGAAATGGTGATAATTGCCGTGGAAAAGTCTTATAAAGCAAGGTAAGAGGAAAAACGTGTATGGGGTGGGGTATGGGGAAATGATATAGAGTCCCCAGGGAAGGCCTGGTTAACAAACTAACATTTAATCAGAGACCTGAAGGAAATACAGGAAGTAGCCAAGGTGCTATCCAGAGAGAAATCATCACAACAGAGGAAACACAAAGACCTTGAGGCAGAGCATGCTTGATGTGCTGTAGAAACAGCGAGGAGCCTGTGTGGCTTCAGCAGAAAGAAAATGAGAAGAGTGGCATAGGAGACAAGATCAGAGAACTGGGTGGGGCTGTAGCTTATGCAAAGCCAGGGAGACTATTGTGAGCAGTTTTGCTTTTACTTGTGAGGGAGTAAGGCATCTTTGGGTTTTGATACGATTTGATTTAACATTTACAAAAGATCACTCTGGCTGCTCTGTTGAGAACAGACTGTCAGGGGAAAAGCAGGAAGCAGGGATCCCACTTAGGAAGCTGTTGGAATTATCCACAGGAGAGTGGTGACCCAGTATGGCAGTGTAGGAGGTGGGCAGATACTTGGTATGTTTTGAAGATACAGTAGCATTTTTCAATGATGGATCATGAGGAATAAGAAGCAGTTGACTCAAGGTTTTGGCCTGAGCAATTGGAAGGTCGGTTATTAACTGTCAAAGAACTGCAGGAGGAATAGGGTTGTTGTGTGATAATGGATATCAGGAACTCTCTTTAAGACATTCTTAGTTGGAGATGTTGAGCCAGTGGCTGAGTGGATAAGTCTGAAGTTCAAGGGAGAAGTCCAGGCCGCAGGTATATATTTGGCAGGCATTGGCACTGGCATATGAATGGTATTTAAAGCCTGGAGACTGGGCGAGTTATCCTAGGGGGAGGGAAGAGCAGAGCTGCAGTGACTGAATACTGCAGCATCCAATATTTAGAAATCAGGGAGGTGAGAAAGAAACAGTAAGGAGTCAGAGAAGGAGCAACCAGTGTGGTAGGAGGGAAGGGAGGTGAGTCATGTCCTAGATGCTAAAACAAGAAAGTGTTTTTAGAAGGAGCGATGGTGGAATCAAATGTTCTTGCTTTGTTAATTACGGCGCCTGAGAATTGCCCATAGGATTCAGCAATGTGGAGTCATTGGTGACCATGAAGAGCTCTCTCAGTGGAGTGGTCAAGGGGAAAAAGCCTGTTAGAAGTGGTTCACAAGAGAGTGGGTCTGGTGGATTTGGAGAACAAGAGCAAGAACAACACTTTCCAAGTTTTTTACTCTAAATGGGGTTGGGGTAGAAAAATTGGGTAGGAGCTGGAGGGGTATTTGGGGTGAAGGGTATATTTTTTAACATGGGAGATATAAAAAGATGTTTATATGCTGATGGAATGATCTCATCAAGAGGGAGAAATTGAGGACACGCGGAAAGAGTGAACATGTTGCTGGACAGTTTGACTTAAAGGAGCATCCACAGTGACAAGAGAAAAGGCAGAGTAAGTGGGTTCAGGGACAAGACAGGTGAGTGGTAGAGTTGATGGTGGGAGGTTAGGAAGCCTTTTCAGATGGCTTCTCTGTTTTCAGACATAATGAGTTTCCATTCAGCAGTGAGGATGGAGAGTAGATGCTACAGAAGGGACCATGAGTGATTGGAGTAGGAGCAGGTATTGGAGACGCCTGGAATACTAAGATCCCCTTGACTTGCTGGCTCTGAATTTCAAGGGAGACCAGTTGACAGGGTTGTGGATTATTCTGTGACCTTTTTCAGTTAAGTAGCTGTAGGTTTTGAGTAGAGAGAGCTCAGTTCATGGAAGATTGGGGTTTTGTCAGGTGTAGATGTCTACAAAATGAAAAAGGCATGTGCGAGAGAGGAAAGTATTCCATGTAAGAAGTTTAGCTTTATTCCCAAAGCCCTGGGAGTCACCTCTAATTGTCTATGTGATTTACAGAAATAGGCATGATAGCAGTGAAAAGGGAGAGCACTACACACCGTTATGATAGATTATGGGAGCTGATTCATGATTGCTTCCATTTCAGCCACTGTGACATTGGTGCTTACTTTCAATTTCATGGGCTATTTTAAGTCTGGACCTATCAGTAGACTTGTACCCTTTTGTCCACAAGCAAAGAACAACTTTCATTTCCGCAAGAGGTTGAGGGAGTGCCCCCCACCTCCCTCCTCCCCAAAGTCTTCAATAAACCATGTCAGCAGTCTGAAAGGTTTGTGACTCCCAGAGCTAATTTTCAAACTTTTGTGCATCACAGTGCACACATGTTGTGCCACGCCTTTGGTTCAACTGGGCCAGCTATTTTCAGATATGAAATATATTTTGTGAGTTAGATATATATCTAAAAAGTACATTTTGTAAAGCCCAATAAAATTGCATTTTCAGCTAGAGAAATGTCAAATATCAGAATGACCTCCAAGGACCAAAACAGCCTGGAACATTGTGTATTTTATTAAGTAGAGAGATCTAAACAAAATTCATTGTGTGGATACGTATAAATGTCTTTACACCAAAATAATCTATCTTGCAGTTTCTTTTTGGGATAACCTTCTTATGGCTATTTGTTTATGCCCCAAGGAGCAACAAGATGTCTTGTTTTTTTTGTTTTCATAATTTGTGTAAATAAGAAAAAAGAAATTAAAAACTGCTTGTTCCATTGAGCCATGTTGGGTTTGTTCAGATGCATTTCATACTTGATGATACATTTGTTTCTCAGTGTAACAAATCTGGAAAGACATGCTGACAAGGTTTACAATTAAACTGGATATTAACTTCTTTAATCTGCAATTGTCCTAAATAGATTAAAACTTCACAGTAACTTTGTGGAAACAGTGTCTCTTTCCTTGTGAAATGATTGTTTTCTGTTTTTCTTTGAAAACTCCATTAAAGCTTATGTTTGCTGACCGAGTATGATTATTTAGTACTGAACATTGCATCGGTCTTTCTGTGTGGGCACTCATTCTTAATTCAGTTTGATACATGAGTTTCTGTGGCTGTAAACCTAGCATCAATATGCTTAGGTCTCCCAAAATACTGCCAAAAACACCTTTTTCCCCTGCCCACAAAGCCATTCGGAGTGGCCTCTACAACTTGAACTAAAATCAAGTTGGATGATGCTCTTGGATCCTTCTAGCTCATCCTATCTCTTGCTCTCGTTTGATTTCTCTCTTTTTATCGTGTGTGTGTGTGTGTATGTGTGTGTGTGTGTGTGTATGTGTGTGTGTGTGTGTGTGTTTCACTGAATCAGTAGTTGTTAACTGTCACCACTGTGCTGGACACTATAAGCAATGCAAAGTTGTGGAAAGATACAGTTCTCACCCCCAAGAGCTCACAATTGTGGGAATGGTGGACAAATTGTGTTATGTTGTATTACCATATAGGATAGGGACCTTGTTAACCAGTACTTCCTTGGCACACTGTATTTTCTGTTGACAAATATATATACTTACTGACTGTAAGATTCCTTGTTGAGTAATCCTATATGGGTTTGAAAAACTAAGCAAAAATATCTCCCTACACAATGAAGGTGGAAAGCTTCTCTTTTGCATTTGCTCTGTAGCTTCTGAGTCTGGTTGAATGCCAACAAAATGAGGTGGCTGCAGTAATATGACATTTAATTACCTGGGAAGAAAGAAGCTTAATAAATCATAGGCCTTATCACTTAGCATAATTATTACCATTAAGGAAAATAAGGACCTGGATAGAGATCGTCAGCACAGCCCAGTCTTGGAAGAAGCCCGAATGTGTGTATTAAGCATAGAACGCGCTGAAGGTCACGCATCAGTCACTTCAGCCATACATGTGCATATCTGCGAGTATAACACTATCAACAATGACATTGTCAAATATGCAGGCAGCTGGAGGATAAATATGGAAGTAGTGTGAAAGGTAAAAGCGAGAATGGAAGAATAAATGACAGTGAGCACTTATCTCTCAATAAGAGAAATGATTTCAAATGTACCCTCCTTCAGGCCAGCTCTGACAGGTCTCTAATACAAAATCCTACATATAACACAGCCAGCATCTGAGAGTGAGAGCCCCTGTGCTCAGCCTCCTCTGCTAGCAAAGGGATGAAGGAAATAGACATGGCAGCCAGTGTTAAAAGAGCTTAGCTTAAAGGGAGGATCAAGGGAAATGTGACAGACAGTGAGTGCTGGGTAGAGATAACAGCTGGATGATGGATGTTTAGAAATGTGTGAAGAATTGGTCAATGCAACAAATAGAACGGAGAGAGGGAAAAACACTACAATTTTTAGATCCGCATGCACAAGGATGCTAGTTTAGACTAAAGAAGAAACAGACAGGCATTCTCACTGACATGGACTAGATGGCATGAAGGAAGAGAAATGTATACGTATGCATTAATATACATTTTAATTGTAAATCGACACAGAGTCCAACAAATCTTTAGTGCTTGAGCAAATAAGATTGACAAGACTGATGGCAAATCTGTGCTACATAATAGGTTTACCCTTGTCCTAATTATTTTTTATGGATCACCACCCAGAATACATATAAAAAAGAATGGCTTTAACCTTTCTCTCAGGCTGATTGGAGTTTTACTATCTATCTTTTTACTCTTCTCCTTTCTAAATCAATGAAAAAAAGTTTGTATAGGAAACAGTAAATTGAGCCACTCTGACCTTTGATATTTGGATAAAGCAAAAATGTAAGTGATTGTCTGTAGACATCTTATTGATGAGTCTCCCAGAAGAGAAACATAAGCCACCTGATTTTCTGATTACTTTTCCTGGGCATCTAGTCCTTTATCTCTTAATATTCTGCCATTGAGAGCCTGTATCTTCTCAATTGTGTTATGTTTTCAGAAACAGTTAATTCATGTACATTCCTTGGGTGAAATGTATCAGCATCTATATTCCACTGAGCATTTATATTGTAAAATTATCTTTTTTACCCGCTTTATCCTCATCCTAATAATGCGGAGAAAAATAGACTTCTGAGAAAGTGATTTTTCCCCTGACAGAAGTAATGGCTATGTTTTCAAGTATCTCACACCCGTACAGTATGATCTCTTACCATGCCTGCCAGTTCAGACCTTCCCAATGTTAGAATGTTCAGGTAGGCTTCTAAATGATTTAAATTGACTGTATTTTCTGAAAAGTCAGGAATTTGAAGATGGAAAGATATTTTTATGTGTGTTTTTTTCTTCTTTACTAAAAGCAGGTACTGTACTTCAGAGTATGGTTTTATGAGATAATTAAATCATTATATTCTAATAATGTATTTTAGAGAATAAACCAAGCAAGTTATAGTAGGAATGAACTCACCCTCCCCTTCCTCAGTTCCCCTCTCAGCTCTGTGATGCCTTCACTGTAGCATTGTCTAGTGTGGGACCACGAAAAGCTCTTTCATGTTGCTGACAATTATCTGCAATTATCAGTAATCACAGAAGAGGCAATTATAACTTATGGAAGCACCAACGTAATTATTACTTTTTTTTCAATGCTCTGAGCTTAAAGGTACTCTTATAGCTTGATCATAATGTTGCTGTGGCTTTATTAGTCAAATTATCTAGAATACACAGACTAGATGTTAAGTCATTTTATTTAGTTGTGACCAGTAATAGCAAGTTCTAATTTTAAAAGTTTACTGCTTTAGGCAATTTGTGGTTCTCCTTTTTAAAAAATGGCAGCATGTTCTTGAAGGCCATACCACAAAGCAGATCATCTTTAGGCAGATCTCTGTTATTGTAAGGGCTGTATACATAGTCATGCATCAGCATCCCCCAACTCAAAGATACGATCATCCAATATTGTATGTCACTTGCAAGCAAAGGTACAGCCATTTAACCTCAATAAGTCATCAAAAAGAGTAACATTATGCTCTATGTACTTTAGAATGGATGTAGATATATTGTACTACATTCATTAGAAAAATAGCCCTAGAAGACTTTAATTTTCTACTAGAGAGAAAAAATATAAGATTGTCAGCCAGACCTGCATTGAAATTCTGGTATAACTTAGGCTCACTCTTAAGCTTTTATTATTTAGGGTCTTCCTTGTTAACAATCAATATAATTTAAGATGTCCAGTGCCTGACAAAATGCCTGGAATATAGAAGGTGCTCAGTAAATGGTAGCTCACCTTATGTGTTGAATGTAGCTGGAAGAGATCCCCCTAGGTGGGAGGGCAGAAATTTAACTTAGGCATTTGTAGAGAACCACAGACCTCCCAAAGCTCCAGAAGGGTGTTGAACACTGAGGGTGCAATTGAGAAAGCAAGCCAGTGCTACCTCTCAGTTGAGTTTCTCTCATTCCCACAAGGCTTGCTTGTCAGTATAAATCAGGCTGCTCCTCAGTCCCCAATAACTGTTGACTTTTTTTCCCTCCTGCTGCTGATACTTAAGTGCATTTCCATGACTCCTGCCTCTTAAATCTAGCCCTATCATGCAAAGCTACCATCTTAAGCCCTTGGTTTCCACATTCTCTTTTAGGAGCTCATACTTTTCTTCTTTTCACAAGTATTTATTGAATGCATGCTGTGTACTCTTCCCTGGTGCCTGACGCTGGGGAAATTGAGATAAAGAAGACACAGCTGTGCATTCCAGGAACATGCATCTTAGTTTGGATATCTCAGAAAGACCTGGTGGTACTTAATCATGCTTGAAACAAACTTCCTATGCTTTCTTCAGGAGGTCAGAGGTGCTCAGCATGATGGTTGTGTAGTAGGGTGTGAAAAGCTTATTCCGAGGTGTGTATTATGCAGTCAGGGCTGAGAAGGGTGACTGGGGCTCGTATGTTGCTAGGTAATTCCCCTTTACTCCCAGTTTAACACAATAAACATTTGTTGATAGCATAGAAAGTATTAAGCAGGCACTGTGCTAAATTCTTGAAACACAGAGCTGAATAACAATCTCTGTAATTTTATAACTTTTTGGCATTGGGGTACAGGGAAATACTGGAAGAAGAAATGAGATAAAAGAGGTTATTATTCAGTTTATCAAAATACAAATATTGGCCCCATAACTAACAGGATGTAGATTTAATGTGAAGGGATATCGCCTTTGTTACTTCCTATCACAGGTTCTTGCTTTGCAGATAATGCTTTTTCTGTCTTACCTATCAAAAGAGCCCTCTCTTGGCTTATCTGTCTGTCATCCTCCCACTTGTTAAGTAACATGGGACCTCAATCATATAGGAAACCCATTCTGTGTATTTTGTTGCAGTCAAGTGCCCCCCATCTACAGTGGTAGGCATATGACTTATGCCTGGTTTTTCAAAGAATGCTATCCCTTTGGCCACAGTGATTACTTTTGAGGTAGACACAAGGCACAAGCTGGGCAAATTAGAAATCTTTATAGGACTTTTTGTCAAAACTATTGAAAGATAATTACCCCTTTTTCCTGGGGTTTCTAAGTCAGTAAAGAGTGAGTCTGAGCCTGCTGTTGGATGTCTTATTTGCCTGTTGGAGAGAAAGAGAAAAATAGAACCTGAATGACATTGTTCAAGGTCCCAGATTCAATCGTGACTGAAGACAACATTTCCAGTTACATGTGTGAATCAGCACCCTCCTCCCCCAGCCCATTCTGGAAGTAGTAGGTATGAGTTGATTTAGAGGTGGCTGAGTTGCAACCAAAATTATCTCTTACAAACTCACCCATTCAAAAGCAAAGACATTACCAAAAAATGCTGGTCGATCTTGTAATAATCTCCACCTCTCCAGGTCATATTGCCTTTGGAAGCCACCTAATGTGTGTGTGATTGCTTCTGATCTTTTATATGACAGTTCACATCCTCCTGATGGGCAGCACCAGCAGACTGCATGGGCCGTTGTGGTTTTTCTAATAATCCCATGTTCTGTCAGCACTTGGATGATACATTATCTGGGATTCTGACAGGTTGCCCTCATGGATGTGATATACTTCCCTTCCATTGTTGTTTTAAGCATTTCTCAGTCACTTATGTACCAAGAACTATTGTTAGAACTATTGTATCGTAACCTTTAAACCAATCTCCAGCTGTATGGGAGATGGTACTTTTACTATCCCCATTTTATAAATGAGGAAATTGAGGTATAGAGCAGTAAAATAATTTTCCCGGTTAAGCAGGTAAGTGCTACAACTGTGATTGACCTTTGAACCTGACCCCAGAGCACTGATGTAATCTGTCTGTACCCAAAATGGTTTCAGTTTATCTTTATTCAGGCGCAGTTCAAAGAATCTTATCCTTTGCTTTTTAACTACTCTATTCTCCCTGGTGACTAGGATATCTTATACCCCCTTTGAGCTAGGAACTCAGAAATGAAAATGATTTCTTCCCCACTGATTATTTGTAGGGAGGGCTACTTACCCCTAGAAGGAGAATAAGAGTCAGCCAAAAAAGGAAGATTCTCCATTTTCTTAGAACTGTTTTGGAATATGGAACTTGTAGAAATAGCACCTCTGCACAAATCCTGTTAGAAAATCAATAGATTTGTCTGAAATAGAAAACTATCAGCTGGGCACGGTGGCTCACGCCTGTAATCCCAGCACTTTGGGAGGCCGAGGCGGGTGGATTGCCTAAGCTCAGGAGTTCGAGACCAGCCTGGGCAACACAGTGAAACCCCATCTCTACTAAAATACAGAAGATTAGTCAGGTATAGTGGTGTGGGCCTGTAGTCCCAGGTACTCGGGAGGCTGAGGCAGGAGAATTGCTTAAACCCAGGAGGCGGAGGTTGCAGTGAGCCAAGATCGCACCACTGCACTCCATCCAGCCTGGGTGACAGAGTGAGACTCCATCTCCAAAAAAAAAAAAAGAAAGAAAGAAAAATATAAACAACAGCAAAGAGTCACAAGTTAGATTTAAGGAAAAGTGGAGTCAACAGGAAAAGATTATTGGAAACAACATTTACAGTCTAAGAAAGGAGAAATAGAAACTTCTGGGCCCTTTTAAGGACTAGTCTGCCCTGCTGTACCCAGGATAGCAATCTATATTCCCAGAGCTCCTAGGTTTCCCTGCACTGAGCAACTATATCCATTTCATATGAACATTGTAAACATTATACAACTTCTGTCCAAAAAAGTTATACAAAATTGAGATATCATCACAATAGCCAATGCCAGCACAAATGAAACAACTAGCAAACTATTGTAAAGCAGTTTTTAGATAGTACATAATACTAGGATATAAACTGTATAAGTAATACTTGCAAAGCAGAGGGCAATAACTAATAAGTGTGTGATACAGGTAAGGAAAGGTTGAAGAAGTCAGTGGCAAAATAAAAGATCCAACAGGAGGTGGCTCTGGAGATGTGAGTTGCTATGCATTTGAGATTTTCTGCAGGGCTCCCTAGAGAGTTCTCTCAGCAAATTCACAGGCCCCAGTGAGAATGGGGAATTTGGGAAGGCCACTGGAAATCACAGTTCTCATATATATCTCCATGGCTTACCCTTTAGGAGAGCAGGAATTTGGAACTGCTAGTCCTCTCTTAGGAGAGTGCCCAGAGAAGAATTCATCATTTAAATAGCTTCAGGGGTCAGCAGATCATGGGATTGAAGGCTGCAGAGAGGGCTGGGGACTGGAGTCTACCAGAGTCCAAGTCTTGAGTGAAGGCATTCAAAGTACCATGCCAGTTAAACACAGCCTCCTGTGGGCAGAATTTGGGATTTGCCAGTTGGTGATGCCGCGCAAGAGTGAGTAAAAAGGGATGGAGGTTTCATATACCAGAATATGAAGGATGGGAAAGGTTGGGATTGAAAAAGGAATTTGTCAGTGAGGAAGGTACCTGGGGTAGGGGTGGCCTAAGATAAACTGTGGTCCCTCAACAGACCCCTCCAGTCACCTTTAGTGAGGACAGCTTGAGTATGTCAGGCTCTGGGGCTTATGAGTTGTCCCTGTACTATCTTGCTACTCTGATCTGATGTAAGCAACTGTATTAGTCCATTCTCGCATTGCTATAAATAAATACCTGAAACTGGGTAATTTATAAGAAAAGAGGTTTAATTGGCTCACAGTTCCACAGGCTGTATGGGAAGCACGGCTGAGGAAGCTTCAGGAAACTTTCAATCGTGGCAGAAGGTGAAGTGGAAGCAGACGCATCTTACGTGGCTGGAGCCAGGAGGAAGAAAGAGAAGGAGGAGGTGCTAAAAACTTTTAAACATTGGGAGGCTGAGGCGGGCGGATCACGAGATCAGGAGATCGAGACCATCCTGGCTAACACAGTGAAACCCCATCTCTACTGAAAATACAAAAAAAAAAAAAAAAAAAAATTAGCTGGGCGTGGTGGCGGGCGCCTATAGTCCCAGCTACTCGGGAGGCTGAGGCAGGAGAATGGCGTGAACCCAGGAGGTGGAGCTTGCAGTGAGCCGAGATCACGCCACCGCACTGCAGCCTGGGCGACAGAGTGAGACTCCGTCTCAAAACAAACAAACAAACAAACAAACAAACAAACAAAACTTTTAAACAGCCAGATCATGAGAATTCACTATCAGGAGAACAGCAAAGGGGAAGTTTGTTCGCATGATCCAATCACCTCCCACCAGGACCTTCCTCCAACATTGGGAATTACAATTTGACATGAGATTTGGACAGGGACACAAATCCAAAGCATGTCAGCAACTAACCCGTCCTAAGTACAGATGTCCTTTCCTCAGTGCACAAAAAGACTATTTTACTAACGCTGTTTTCCCAATGTTAAGTTTTTTCTCTCACAAGCTGGTCTTAATCTTTGTTATTAACCACCACTTGTCCATGCTACAATTTAGTTCAAGGTAGGCATCTAATATTACCTATAATTGTCTCTATTTAATTATTTTATGTTGACTAAATTAGCATTTCATGTGCGAAGAGCATAATGATTCACAGATGGTATACAACCTAAATAATTGGTGAACCACTTTAAATACCTTATAGATAAAAAGAGAATGAATAATCTTTGAGAATTTGTTAGCCTTCCTCATCCTGTGGCAGTGAAGAGAGTAATGGAATGAGAATGTCTGACTTACAGATAGTGCTCAATAAATATTTGCTGTGAATGAATGGAAGTGGGAATATGAAAGGCCTGTGGGACCCCTTTTGGCCTTCTCCAGAGCCTGCTGTAAAGCTGATCTGAAAATGGGAATAATAACAGCTTTCTTCCAAAACTGCTTTAAGGAGGAATTGAGAGGAAGCATTTTGTAAACATATGGCACTATATAAATGTTCAAAATTTCTATTGTGGTCCCTCAGCCCATCTTAGGGAACTTCATGGTTAACCCATTAGAGAGTTGTATGGAAACTTAAAAAATCATTTTAAATGCCTTGTGATGGGGAGGGTTGCTGATCTCATGTACTTTATACAGCAGAGGCTACAAATTTGAAGTTTGGCAATAGGTGTGTTTGCCTGACCTCCCCAATGCTTTAAAAGTTTTATGCAAATTATATACCAGTATTTAATAATAAAAATTTCGCTTAAAATATGCATTTTAGCTGTTTGTTAGAAAATCAGGTTTTCTAGAAACTTTTGACCTGAATTCCCACAAAGAAATAATAGGCTGGGATGGAATAGTGATGGCTCCCTGTAGAACACTATTCCTTTTTGGTTAGCAATGATTCCCACTACTGCCCATTTTCCCCCAAAACTGAGGGCAAGTGTCATTTGCTGTTGATAGTCAAGCTTTGTTTTCCCTCCTTTTGGCCTCTCTGCTCATTTGCATTACCTGTCTAGTCCCCAGTAGACAATAGAGTTTGTGAACTCTGCCAAGGGGCTCTGTCACCACTACATCCACCCCTCCCCATATTCTCCCAACCCCAACTGTCTACTTGATTGAAATACTTGCCTTAGGGGCATTTTCTTATTTTCTCTCTGGAACAACCAAATTATTTCCTTTTTAAAGCAGAAAGAGTCAGCTTTAAAGACTGCTCTGTGTTTGATTTGGTCTTTAATGTGTATAGGAAGATGTACATATTTTATGGTTTGTTGATTGTTGGTTTTTCTTTGGGAGGGTAGGTGGCTGTTTTGGGAAGCATCCTCTTTAACAGGGTAGTTATAAGTTTACAGCTTAAGATGTACTCTGTTGGCCTTTGCAATCCCCACAGCTTTTCCTGCATCCTCTAACTTTTAATATGTCTTGATCAATGTATTCAAACACCATTTCCTTTAAAATGTTTTCAACTCTATTCATCTTTATTGGGTTTTTAAAATATTTTATTTCTAAAATTTCTCAAATCTCTTTTAGGCTAGTTGCATTTGGGATGGGCTGGTGATTTAATTTGTATGGGTTCTGGTTTTGCAAGAGAAAAATCAAATGACTAGTGCATGTCTGAAATGCATCAACTATGTAGTATTTATTTTGCCAAGACAATTTACTAGGCTGTGAGAAAAATAAAGATGATCCCTGCCCTCAAATTGTTCCCAGTTTAGTGAAAAAGATACACATATGACATAACTGTAAGAAAAAAAAAAAATATAAGTATTCAGTAATACTAAAAGTAACTTACCTTTGTATGGCTCTCAGTAGTGCACAAAACATCTTTCACATGCGTTACTTGATATAAGCAAGAGCTTTGCAGAAGAGGAATCATTAAAACTGACTGGAAGATTGGGAAAAGCGTCACAGAGAAAATGATACTTAAACTTGGCTTTGAAGAATAGTCTATAGCCTGAACAATGGAGAAAAGGGTTAGAGGTCACATTTCAAGCCAAAAGAATGACATGAGCAATGTCAAAGAGGCACAAAAGGGCAAGGTATGTTTGAGTGTGGCTAGTAGATTAGTATGAATTGATCTTAGAAATAAGGGGACAGTGTTTTAGTAATATTATTGCAAAAATGAGTGGGACTAAGTAATGGACAACTCAGAATGCCATGCTAAGGATTTAAGGACTAAAATGGAAAACTCAGTATTTCTAACAACAGTCTGATTTTATTTTTCTTTGTTGTGGTTTCATAAAAATATCATTTATTGAGTATCTGGCATGACCTTATTTTAATGCAAGCTGATATATGTTCAAATTATTCAGAATTTGTTCAACTGTAAGTGTCATAAAAGTAACTCAGTCTATTTTATGCAATCATAAAATAGATATTTATTGGCTCACAAAACTGAAAAAGCCAACAGAGCTCAGCCATGGCTGAATTCAGGACTCACTCCATGTCATGAATCCCATCTCCTAGGTCTGTTTTGTCTTTCTTTGCTTTACTTTCTGGTGCTATCTCTGCATATGGCAGTCCCCAGCCACAAATTCAATAGAAAAATGTCTCTTTCCTGGAAGTTCCGCCAAAGTCTTCAAAGTTAA
The DNA here is from genome assembly GCF_000001405.40 of Homo sapiens. Lineage (NCBI taxonomy): Eukaryota > Metazoa > Chordata > Mammalia > Primates > Hominidae > Homo > Homo sapiens. The sequence continues at coordinate 118,512,180 of NC_000008.11, read as the reverse complement.
GGAAACATTCTGATTGTATTCACTGGCCCAATTAATATTCATGCCTGGGAGTATTAGATAGGTGCTCCAAAAACAATATAGATCCTATTTCCAAATGAGGAGGAGTGGATGCAGAGTTGAAAGGTGAAAAAAAAAATGTTCTTTATAGTGCTCCAGTTTCCTTTCTTAGAAAAGTCTAACTACTGATTGATTGATTGATTTACTTATTTAGGGTTGGAGGTGCAGATTTCATTGACAATCAGAAAGGGCAAGTTTGATTTGTCTTTTCATCCTAAAAGTAGCAACAAGTGTTTGCAAAAGGCTGGCTCTTTGTTCAGTGCAGATTTGTATATGTCCCTCTTGTGTTTTACAAAATAAATGGGCACCTTTAATGTCATCACAATGGGAAATGATTTAACTACAATCACATTGTGTCTGTTGAATTTTCCACTAAATGATCTATATGCCATTGTGAAGCCCCATGCAAACCTTTATTCCACTGTAGATTTTGTGTTGCGTAGTGTTGAGAAATATTTTTAATGGTCTTTTACCCCCTTTACTTTAAAGCTTGCTATAGAAGCTTGAATGTAGGAAAATTCCTCTTCAGCCAGAACTGTAGAGTTGCTAGGGCCCCACCATTGTAACTGACAGCAGAGGTTCAGCAAAGTTAGTTCTGAGGTTTGCATTATCAAATCTACCCAGATTTTCCAATCTACAAAACATCTATTCACGTACATTTAAAAAAAAAACAAAAACAAAAACAAGAGGTTTCCAAATTTGTCAATTGACCTGCTAGACAAGGCATAATATGTTGCCTAAAATAATACCATAAACCGTGAAAAAAGTGGATTTGTCAAATCACCTACAGTTTTTAATGGTTTTCGCCTTCATATGAACATTTCAATTTCAATTGCTGTGAGTTCCTCTAAATAAGAATCGATCTTTCTTCCCCTTCCCATTCCCATCATTCTGAGTGATTTCCAGGGAAGTAACCAAATTAAATTAATCTCTGCAGCTTTAAGGTTGTATTTATTTATTTATTCTTTTCTAATTTGGTGAATATATTGCACTGACATCCCTTTTTTAAACAGTTCAATTTTCTTCTACCGTTCTAGATGAGTTGTCAATGATAAGCAAAGTAATATTTGAATTCCAGGAGGTTCTTTGTGAAGAAAAATATAATATCCCAGACTGTCACAGTCAGTTTACTTTTTAAATGACAACAGTGTTGTTATACCTTTTAACTTGAATTTCCTGAGAAACTTCAAGCTGTAATAGCATTAAACTTAGTAGTAAAGTAACCACATTCACAATTTCTTTGCTTGGAGGAAATGCATTCTCGCTACTTAATATTGTGAGTCATTAGCACTTTTAGCTGTTGAGCCAAGCTCTTGATAGGAACTTTGTGAATAATTGTTTAACTAATAAATAGTACTCTTTTGCCCCAGCATTTTGAGGGGGTAGAGAGGTACTGGGCATTGGGTTCCTAGTAGAGCCAGGCTGTAATACCTAAATCTGACCAACAGGTGCCACTCTCCAACAGATGATGCCCCCTTTGCTCACTGACTGTGACCATGCCAAGTTTACACTGCATAACCCTGGGGGAGGGTGTTGCCTTCACTTGATTGATGATATGAGTGGCTCCTCCTGGAATTGTGTTGCCAAACCCTTTTCTCAAAGTTCAAGATTGAGTTATGTAAATGAAATTATAAACCTACTTCATGGACAGTAATGGGACATTACAAAAGAAACCTCTATAAAACATGTGTAGTTCCCTTTCTGTTTTTAAAAATTATTGTGGTCCCGAACAATTAAATGAAATACCTCCTTGTTTCTCAGAGTGTGATCTGTATCAGAATCACTTGAGATGCTTGTCAGTGAAGGTTCCTGGACCCTACACTGAGCCTACTTAGGCAGATTGTGTGTGTATTTGTGTGTGTGTGTGTGCATGCATGTGTGCGTGTTTGTGTGTATGTGTGTGTGTGTGGTGGGGGGGTTGATCACCAAGCTTCTCAGAGATTTTTTTGTAATGTAAATTTGAGAACAACTGTTTTAAAAGATTACTGATGATTCTAAAGTATTAGCCTAGCACACATTTGGAAAAGTGGCTTTTCCATTAAAGTGAGGGGGTACAAAAAGGAAAGAGAGTGTATGTGAGTCTGAACTACTCTAGTGTGCACAGATAACTTTCACCCTCAATATTATCATCTTTAAATATCAAAAGTGTGCACAGATAACTCTCACCCTCAATATTGTATTTAAATAGCAATAGCAATATTCTTTACTATTATTAAAATCTGTTGTACGTTAACAATTACAATGTTATGCTTTAGAGTACAATCATGCTTTATTACACAGACATCACCCTTCCATCAACATTTATAATCTAAGACAATAGTCAGTGTTGGATATTTAGGACACATGTGAAGGACAAAAATCAAATAAACACTTAAATTATGTGTAAATGTTGAGACAACTTAAAGCTCTTAATGATGTAAAATTTTCATTGAAAAATAATAAACTAATCATAATCTAGACTCCACCATACAAAAGGAATGAAGCAAGGGGTATTATGTGTGTGATGCTACATTTTGAGTTTTAGGGAAGTAGTGTCCAGGATTTTAGCAAATCATATACATCTACACTTCAGAAGTAGAACCATTTCAGAAACAGAACATGTGTGGATGTGTTCATTCCTGCCCACAGAGTCAAAGCCTGTTTCATGAAGACACATATAATTTCTGTTTCTCGGGGAAGTGGTTTATGAAACCCTCAAGCTATTTTGTTGCATTTCTGCTGCCAGCCAGTCAGGCCCGCCCCAGTTTCCTGGCCCACCTGTACCTTGTCTGGCCTGTGAGTTTAATCAACTTAGATGTGGCAACTCTTTTGGCTGTGAGTCAGACCTTGAAAGTTAAATAATATTAAATTTTGGAGAGTTGGCCACATCCATTCACATAAGAACTTTTAAGGCTTTAATGTAATTATTTGGCACTTATGGGATATAAACACACACACAGACACACATTTGACTAGACACATGATCTTTTTGCCTCTTCAGAATGATCAACTCAGGATCACCCAAGAAAGTGATACATTTCTTTTACCAGGCAATTACTGAACCTTAAGGGAAGAAGGCTAATATTCTTGGTATATTTTTTATCATCCTCTTGCCTCCCAAGTGGCAAATGACTGTCAATATTTAGACTAGAGTGTTATTAAGAATATGAAATGTTATTATAGAGCAAATTTTGTGAGAAATTTGACCCATCACTTCAGTATGATACCAGACTCTCAATCATGTTGTAACATTAAAGTTCCATTTTTAGTGTTGCCTAGGCCTGGAATTATGTTCAAAGTTAAAGGATAAAATCAGTGTTGAGAAAACGCATTCATCCTTTTCATATCTCCACCTCTGTCATACTCCGCCTACCCTTTTGACTGCTCATGGGAATTCGGTTGAAAATAAAAGACAGTGCATGTTGATTCAGCTCTTGCTGTGTGCCCAAAACTCCCCATATTTGATGATAATGGAAATAAGCACCCCCTCTGCTGCTCAAACTAAGAAAAATTAATACAAAGAAGCAGCAGTTATGCAAGTGACATGGAGGTGAGACTGTAAAATGACACGAAGGTGTCTTTATCTTCTCAGACATGGAGAAATCATGGGTAATTTGAAATGACATTAACAACTTAAGGCTTATTATTAGTTGTGAAAATGGTCACTTCCTAGATGACCAAAAAAGAAACAAAACAAAAAAGAAACTTGTGAGAAAAGGCTGCTTTAGTCTTTTGACTCATTACTTTTTTTTCTCTATTTTTTTCTTATACTTTAAGCTCTAGGGTACATGTGCACAACGTGCAGTTGTGTTACATATGTATACATGTGCCATGTTGATGTGCTGCACCCATTAACTTGTCATTTACATTAGGTATATCTCCTAATGCTATCCCTCCCCCGACCCCACGACAGGCCCTGGTGTATGATGTTCCCCATCCTGTGTCCAAGTGTTCTCATCGTTCAATTCCCACCTTTAAGAAAAGGGAGCCCGGCACAGTGGCTCACACCTGTAGTCCCAGCTACTCATGAGGCTGAGGCAGGAAGATCCCTTGATCCCAGGAGTTCAAGGCTGCAGTGAGCTATGATGGCACCACTGCACCCCAGCATGGTTGACAGAGCGAGACCCTGTCTCAAAAAAAAAAAAAAAAAAAAGGAGATTATACTATCTAGGGGTTTGCTCAACCAAACAGTCATCACCTTCCCTTTGAAACAAATAATATCTGGCCTTAAAGAGTACCACCCTCCCTCAGGGTACTGGGGATTGGTTCCAGGAGCCCTGTGTGTACTAAAACCCACACATACTCAAGCCTTGCAGTCATCTGTGCAGAACCCATGTATAGAAAAAGTCGGCATCACTCTTCATAGCCACAGGTTTCACATCCCTCAAATACTGTGTTTTTCACCTGTGTTGGGTTGAAAACAAATCTGCATATAAATGGAGCAGTTTGACTCAAGGATCAGTTGTACTACTTTCATAAGTTTAGGTTGTTTTTCACTTGTTTTGGGGTCTAGGTCTCTATACTACAGCTAATATACAATTAACTTTAATTATTATTGATATCATAGTTCAGCATTTGAATCCCAATTAAGTCTGAGATCTTGAACAAATTACCTAGCCTTTCTGAGCCTCAGGGGTTTTTTCCATGTACAAAATAAGAATAATAGGGAGTGAGATGAGGTCATACCATGCTTGGTATCAGGCTCGGTACATCATAAACCCTCAATTGGGCTTTGTGGTAGATATTGTCGTGTTAAACTTACAAGGAGTTTCTAATCTAGTAATTAATATGGGACATATATACAGGTGATTATAATTTAATACATGGTAAAGTTCAGAGGAGGGAGAGATCACTCTAACGCAGAGGAGGCTGTGTCATTTCACCTGAGCTTTGAATAAAATGAGTAATATTTAAACAAGTCGGGGAGACTTTCTAGGTGGAGGAAATTGTACAAGCAGAACTGGAAAGATGGGAAGGCACAAGGTATCAATGAGGTGCTCAGTGTGACTGCGTTGTAGAATTCATGGAATGCAGTGACATAAGCCAAGACCGGGAAAAATGAAGTTGGTTGTAGCTAGACTGATTATGTAAGACACAGAATGTCTTATGTTCCAAAGTTTGGTCTCTAAGCCATGGAAAATAGATTTTCACTCTACTAATTTGGAAGGGTGCATAACCTGTTTATTTATGACCACCATACCCTCCCATGAGTGACAGTACTACTGCCAGACAGCTTCATGATGGCAGACAGTATGTGCCAGTGATCCAGTGGTTGAAGGTTCCTGATCAGCTGTGGACTTCTCCATCACCCAGCCAGTCACACTTTCCACCACACCAATGTAATCATCTAGTATGAGAAGCCATTATGTTTGAGGCTAAGTTAAAAGCTAACATGTTCTAAATTGGCTGTGGCTGATTATTTTGTAAATAGTGTCAGCCTAGAAAACTAACAGTGGAATGTGACTCTAGTGCCTGTCAGCCAACGCTGGTCATGGTATCAAATACACATGACTCTTCATGCCTCAAGTCATTTACTAGGTACTTTTTTTAATCCATTTATGGTTTGATAAACTCAGACTAAAAGGTTGTGTAACTTTTTCTAGTTCTCATAAACACTGTTGACATAGTAGGAAGATCAATCTATCCCAGTTTCCCTTCTCCCCGTGGAAAATTGGGAATTAGCACCAATACTTGCAAGACAGAGACTGTCAGAAGGGAATGGGCTCCTTCAAAATGGCTCATAGTTTTACCCAAATTAGAATTCATGAGATGTTTTACTTACTAGGGACCAGAGCCAGGTAGGAGTTCTAAGCTCTTAAGTACTCAAGCATAGGAAAGTGATTAAGTTATTAGGTTTCATAAATAAGATATCAAAAACTAAAGATAACAATGCAAAACCATTGGTTAGCAGGTAGATATAACCAAAAGTAGATAAGGAGTTAGGAGTTTAGGAAAAACAGGCTGCTGACCTTCAAAGCTGGAGCCTGGTCTCTTTCATGTCAGTGCCTCCTGATCCATACTGCTAGTGTATAGGGACCAGTGTTCTGTTAGCAATTAACCGAGACAATGAATGTGACTGCAGGTATGGGTACTAAGTTCTGTTAGAGACTAGAGCAATAAGCAAGAGAGCTAACTTTTACTAAAAGGTTCATTGTAGGGATGATAATCAGACTGGGATGATAATGGATGATATTATGTCCAGGGCACCAAGGAATATCCAAATTCTGTTCTGGGGCCTGAGGAAGATATTTTAGCAACTAGAAAATGGGAGGCATAGTAATGCATCACTTTTGGTTGTGGCTTCCCCACAAATCCTGATGTGGAGAGTTCTAGTAATTAAGTGAATTCACAAAAAGCATTCTGCTTTTCTAAGCTGGTGGACATATTAGAATTACATCGGGTATAGTTACAGAAAACCCAATTAAACAGTGGCTTAAACGTCTTACGAGATATGAAGCCCAGAGTATGTAATGCGTGACTGACTCACAAATGTACAGTATCTTCAGTGTCACAGGCTCCTTCTGTCTTTCTCCTCTGCCTTCCTTAGCATGTGGCTTTTACATTCCCATGGTTTCAGTTCGACTCATCATATTTGCATGTCAAGTCAGAAGAGAGGGGTGAGACCCAAGAGCCAAAGGTGACTTTCAGAAGAGTCTGCCTGCTTTCCAAACGGTTTTCATAGAAGCCAACCTAACAACTTCACTTCAGTCTCTCAGACCAGAACTTAATCATATGGCTAGTTGCAAAGGAGCCTGGGATGTGTAGTTTCCATGATACTGCCCTGAAAAAAAAAAAAAAAAAGAGCTCTGCCCATAAGAAAGGAGACAATAGATACTAAAGAAGCCAGCAGCACCAATTCCCAATGTGAGTTAAGTCTGAATAACAGCAGAACAAAGTCAGCCCTGAGACTTACTGAGCCTGTGCTCTTGCTTACGAAAACCCAATCTCAGATTCCATCGTGATGCCATCTTATTCCAACTAGTGCCAGATACAGAAGAAGTTGGAACCAGAAACAGAAAGAGGAAGCACATGTATGCCTTTGTATAAGTTTTCTGTGCCTACCTTATCAAGTTATCACAAATTGGGTAGCTTAAAGCAACAGAAATGAATTACCTCACAGTTCTGGAGGCCAGAAGTCCAAAGTCAATGTCTGGCCAGATCATCCTAAAACTTTTAGAAATAGCAAGTCAAAGCCACATCCCCCAGTCACACCAGCTGTAAGAGAATGATTAACAGCCAGGCCTGCTGTGCTTGTGGCTGGACCTTCTAGGGCTATGCTGTCTCTGGAGGCTCTAGGGGAGAATCTGTCCCTTGCCTCTTCTAGTTCCAGCAGCTGTTGGCCTTCCTTGGCTTATGGCCATGTGTCTCTGCTCTGTCTTCACTTTGTCTTCTCTTCTATATGTTTGTGTTTTCTCTTCCTTAGTCTGTCTCAAACCTCTCTATGTCTTTCTCCCATAGAGACACTTGTCATTGGATTTGGGGCCCACCAGGACAATCCGGGATGGTCTCATCATCTGAAGGTCTTTGACTTCATTGTATCAGCAAAGACACTTTTTCTAAGTAAAGGCACACTTGCAGGCTACAGGGATTAAGACATGGGCATAACTTTTGGGGGCCACTTCTCAACCCACTACATCCTCTGCTAAGCATTGAGTTTTGCCAGGTCACCCCCAACCTTTTAGAAATAGCAAGTCAAAGACACATACCCCAGACTGTCTCACCATCTGTGAGAGAATGATTGACAGCTGGGTCTCCTTGACTTGTGGCAGGCCCTTATTGGCTTGTTTTGAGGATTAGATGGACCTTGCACTTTATGTATTTATTAAAGAGAATCTATCCATTATTACTGTGTTGTTTTTCTCCGGGCTTCTTTATGATGCCTGGTCTAGGAGAGGAAGTCACAGAGAGGAGTTGGATGTGTTGCTGTGGGCTGAAGAAAGTAGTGCAAAAGTGGTTTGTAGGTGTTGGCCTTTTCTTCCCACTCAACTGTGGTTTCAGGATATAGGTGATAGTGAATATGAATTTCATAATATGCTGACAGGAAAAGAGGGAAGAGTAAGGGAATAGGGGATTCCTGATTTAAACAAAGCAGGAAATAGGAATAGGGCAAGGAAGTCATGTGACACAGGCTATTACTAGGGGGCGGTTAATCTACAAAACTATTACAAAATTTAGCCTTTGAGATACCCCAAAAAGAGGTTAAATAAGCAGGTTTGAGGTATGACCCCTACTCAATATGGCTGATTTGTAAAATGAGTGTTGTTGTGCCCCTCAGACTCTACAAAATCACCTCTGCAACCGTTTTGTGATGGGATTAATTTTTCTTTTAGTTCTGCTTTGAGTGTTTATTTTAACTGGATTTCGCCTGGGCAGAAAAAGAGGTGGTGGTTCTAACAGAGGATTGACAGAGAAAATGCGAGATGGAGGAAGAGCCCAAGGAGGGAGATGGAGGCAGAGTTGTAATCCCTTCTCCTGACTCCAGGTGGCGCTTGGTTTCTCACCAAGGTTTAGCCTCAAAACACTTTCTCAATTTCCTTAGAAAGGATGAAAGGCAGCGTAATCCTGAAACAAGTGGCCACCTATCTGTGGATTCTTTATGCTTTCAGGATGCATTTCAGCCTCATTTGAAGTTTTCTAGAGGGTCAGAAGGGCTTGGCGGGATGAACCTTAGAAGTGCTCTTACCCGTGAAAAGGGATCCCTGAGCACTGTTCAACTCTTCGTGAATGTTTGTTAAGTGAATGGATGACTCTAATGCCTTTCCATTAAAGGACCTGCCCTATTAAAGACCGATTCCCAGCCCCAGAAATAATCACTTAAGTTTCTTAATTTCTCTTCATAATGCACTACTGGTAGGAGAGCTCATTTTCTAGTATTACACCAAACTGCAGTGCATGATACATTTCCTTTCACTTGCAAGAAAGCCCTACAGACGGCATTAATGGATTTATTTTAAATTGCTGTTTGTGAACTCCAAATAATTATATAAAATTGTTTTTTAATGTTCGCATAATTTTTTCATCATTAAAAGCCACCAAGCTCTTTAATACTGAAGCAGAATCAACCATTGAACATAAAAAATGGTTACCTTGATGTGTCTAATATCTCTGCCTCACACACACAGACATTCTTTGCTCTGCATGGTTATTTATAGTGCTTGTCACATTAGTGGCTTTTTCTGGCAAATGTATTGTTTTGGCGTGAACTTCCATAAGGGGGGAGAAATCCTTATCCTGAAATTTCCTGGAAGCTAAGCCTAGGTACTTGGCCTGCCATAGAGAATTGGGCAAAGGTACTATTCTCATTTTATCGTTTGAGAGAACCTTGCTACACTTAGCCATTCCTCCCATTTTCAAAATCGTTCTCTGCATAGGCCATAATTCAGTGCTGCAAAAGCCTGCAAAATCTACTTATTAGGATCAAGGTGTGGTTTCAAGATGTTTTCTTCAAAATTATAGCGGTGGCTGAGGAGTTCAACAGATGTTTGCTTTGAATTTAATTTTACATTTTTATTCATTGAAAAATGTAATGAAAATGTGCTCTTCAATATATTCCAGGTTTGTATCCACTGGAGACTATTAGTGCTTTAACTTGCCCTGACTTTTACACAGTTATTAGAAAAAAGATTTTCCTGTCATTTCTATTTCATTAACACCTAACCTAAGATTGTAAGACAGGCTGGCAAATAATTGTAAATGATTTTTTTTTGTCTATGTGAATTAGGACATTCATCAGGGAAACAACATGCAGAAATAAACTAGTAATGCTAATAATATGCATTTGTCTAACATAACCCATGATTTCAAATTTCGTATTCATCAAAACAGTCTCACTGATCTTATGAATTGATTGGTTTTAATAATAAAAAGATGTTACAAGTTCAAATTTCTATTTATATATTGAACCTAAAAGATTGCTTCTCTCTGTTATAATAGAGTCCCTGGAAGATATAGTTTTAAAATAGTCTCCTAATAAATACACTAACAAACAGTTAAAAATGTAATCTTACTACAGAAAGTGAGGTCTGTACACCAGCAGTTTGGAAGCTTGTTAGAAATATACAAGCTTGGCCCCCACCCTAGCCCTGCTGAATCAGAATCTGCATCTTTTTTTTTTTTTTTTTTTTTGAGACGGAGTCTCGCTCTGTTGCCCAGGCTTGAGTGCAGTGGCGCAATCTCCGCTCACTGCAAGCTCCGCCCCCCAACGGGTTCGTGCCATTCTCCTGCCTCAGCCTCCCGAGTAGCTGGGACTACAGGCGCCTGCCACCACGCCCGGCTAATATTTTTGTATTTTTAGTAGAGACAGGGTTTCACCGTGTTAGCCAGGATGGTCTCGATCTCCTGACCTCGTCATCCGCCTGCCTTGGCTTCCCAAAGTGCTGGGATTACAGGCATGAGCCACCGCGCCCGGCCCAGAATCTGCATTTTAACAGGATCTCAGGTAATCTGTATGCATATTAAAGTTTGAGAAGCACTGCTCGGCAGTAAACAATAGAAGTCTCTGCTAATATACTTGCAGTCTACGGGACTAACCCATCATCATATGTGGTCACATATGGTGAAGGTGCTTTCCAAATGCCACTCAGAGGGCTGATGTCCAAGCTGGAGAGATTGCCAGGCCACATCCACAAAATGATGTAACAGGTCTCTTGGAGATGAGACATTTTAAAAATTTTTTTAATTATTTATTTTTTAGTTGACAAAATTTGTATATATATGTGGTATACAGTATGATGTTTTGAAATATATACACATTGTGGAATGGCTAAATCAAGCTAATTAACATATGTATTACATCACAGACTTATTTCCTGTGGTAAGAACAAATAAAATCTATCCGAGTTTATATATATTTTAGAAGGCTTCCCAGGCAATTGTTATGAACATCTAGTTTTGTGGAAAGCAAGACATTGAGAGAATAAAACAAGACATTGGGATATAAAACTGACAGTTTCTAAAGCTTGGATGAAGAGAGAATAGGTAAAGGGAAGGTTCACACTGAATAGAACAGCTCATGCTAGATTGGCTTGCAAACACCCAGTCCTAGTCAGGGGCCATATGAAGACAAGAGAAAATGGAAATGACAGAAAAAAGTGACTAGAGAGGCATTCCCCCCATTCCACATCTACCGGGTGGCTGTTCCACACAGACCACCATGCCAGGCATTGCTGGACAACGAGGTGAGTACCCAGATCCTCTGTCCTCTTACACCCTGTAATGTACTAGAGGAGACCAGAATGTCAACAACTCTAATCCAAGCAAGAACTAAATACATATAAATATAAGGTAAAATAATTGTATTCTGATCATAGATGAAGGAACAATTGATTATTTATTTATTTAAGACAGAGTTTCCCTCTGTCGCCCAGGCTGGAGTGCAGTGGTGCAATCTCAGCTCACTGCAATCTCTGCCTCCTGGGTTCAAGCGATTCTTCTACCTCAGCTTCCTGAGAAGCTGGGACTACAGGCACCTGCCACCACGCCCAGCTAATTTTTGTATTTTTAGTAGAGACGGTGTTTCAATATGGTAACCGGGCTGGCCTTGAACTCCTGACCTCAGGTAATCTGCCTGTCTCAGCCTTCCAAAGTGCTGGGATTACAGGCGTGAGCCACTGCGCCTGGCAGGAACAACTGATTTTGATTAAAAGAATCAAGAATGGCTTCACAGAAAGGAACCCATGTCTCTATGTCCTAGGCATGGTTCTAATCACATTTGAGAACAACTGATGTGGAAAGAAAAGATGGAAGAGGAGATTCAAGAACAAGTGCATGCCGGGCGCAGTGGCTCACGCCTATAATCCCAGCACTTTGGGAGGCCAAGGCGGGTGGATTACCTTAGGTCAGGAGTTTGAGGCAAGCCTGACCAACATGGAGAAACCCCGTCTCTACTAAAAATACAAAATGAGCTGGGTGTAGTGGCGCATGCCTGTAATCCCAGCTACTCGGGAGGCTGAGGCAGGAGAATCACTTGAACCCGGGAGGCAGAGGTTGCAGTGAGCCAAGATCGCGCCATTGCCCTCCAGCCTGGGCAACAAGAGTGAAACTCTGCTGTCTCAAAAAAAAAAAAAAAAAAAAAAAAAGGCAAAACTCAGGGGCGTGTATCCTGGGGAGCAGATCAACATCTTCATGTATGTGGGGGGACCGTACAGATCACTGTCTACTCTGATGTGGGAAGAGAAGAGGCATGTGGTTAAAGATGGCATAAAAGGGCACTTTGTTGTGCCGGCATAGAGGACCATGAAGCCATATTAAGGACAGTCTTCTGTAGATGTTGGCTACCCCTGACAACTCTGTTGATTCTCTTGAGGACTAAGAAGTTGGGGAAGTGAGCATCTTTAATTTTTTTCATTACTCAAGGGAAGAGATCCTTGAAGCTCTTGGCCTTCAACTTGGTAATCTTGGAGTCTATGGCCAAGATTTATAAATTATTTGTGCTTTATCCACACTGACTTTTTAGCAGCCTCCAGTTTTCCACATTTTTTCTCTAGCCCTGGCTGACTGTGTTCTCCTTGAACACATAGACATATGAAACTATTCTGAAAGCCTACATATGTTCTAGAAATGTAAAACAGTATTGAATAATATCTGCTTCACTGAAGCTGCAGATCCACTCTCTGAGATAGGCAGGAGAGGTATTATTACCATGTAACTTTGGCTTGAGGAGGTTACATGACGTTGTGGACATGTGGCTAATAAGTCTTGGAGCTGGAAATAGGTCAGGTTAATTGTCCTTGCCACAATTTTTTCACTTCCTCTTATTCTTTACAGTAAGTCACTGTTGTAATCATTAGCTCTAGGTAACAATATTTGCTCCTTCTCTCCCTCTGTGCCTGTAGAAGACTGAACTTTCTGTTCAGTCTGGTTGGGTGGTTCTGGCAAATGAGATATGATGTGTGTCACACTCAGGCTGGAGCAGTCAATTACCAATTTGAGACCAAGTACCCCCTTTCTCTATTTGTGTTCATTATGGAAGCCCATGTTAGGATGAGCCTCTGGCAGTCTAAGTCCTCAAGTGACTATGATAAATTGAGCCTCTATACTGGACATGTAGTGTCAGCAGGAAGTAAACTTGTGTTAAGTCGTACAGATGTGGGGGTTGTTCATTACTGCAGCAGAACCTAGCCTATTCTGACAGATAATAGCCTCCATCAAATTTCCATCTAGATAAGCCAGCATGTATTCACTGGAGAGTGCAGGGGGTGTAAAGTGAACTTGGTGGGGAGATAAAGCATATATGGAAAATACTTCATAGCACAAGACACTATACTGTCTGAGGAAAGGTTCTGTGTTTTGACTGTCCTCTAGGTCTATCTACCATTTCTATGATATATGTCACACCTAATAGGTGCCATGTAGGTATTTGTTGGGTGAATGAGTAAACATATACTTTTATTTTAATGTGAACTCTGTGTATTCTTTCCATCAAGATATATCTTGGCAATATCATTTTTTGTAATCATTTCTATTAATTTTCATATTTTCTGTGCTATACACCATAAGCCATGAAAATTCTAGGTGTGAACACTGACCTTTTCCAGGAATTTAGTTTGGGTAAAGTATATCTGCATTATTATTAAACAGCTAGCGTCATAGATTTTAGAGGAAGAAGAAAGGGGTGCAGTCGTGACATTATTAGAAATTCAGAGCAGTGATTTCGCATTCTGATTTGGTGATATGCCTGGAGCTATCCACATACCTCTAGCAGTGTTGCGAGGTAGTAAATGCTACAGGCATAACATGCCAACAAGCAGATCTTAAATAAAATATATTCGTGTATATTAACTTTCTTATTTTATATTTCATTGCAAACACAATCTCATTCTTCTCTATATTTTTTATACCATAATAATGGACCTGTCTTCAAGGGAACAGCATCTCGTTGTATAAACAGGACCCTTAAGCTGAGACTGTTCCTGTGACTTGGCGGTCATTGAAAAGATTAAATGGGTTGCAAAACACCGTCTTTAAAAGTGAAGGTAAATTTGTCTCAGCTGGAATCAGAAGCCAGCTGGGCCTAAGAATGATGTCTATGTCTACATAGCATATCCTGATATAACACATGCCTTGCCTTGTTTCAGTTCGTTAATTATCTGCTTCCTGTTCTTCTGTTTAATTAGTCCTGTGTTGTTTCATTCTTTCCACTTCCTGACTTTCTTCCTTTCTTTCATATTCTCCATCTGTTTCTGCCTTTGAAAATTTCATTTTGGTTTTTAAGTTTAATTGATGTCTCCTCTGACATCTCAGATTTCATTAGCATTTCTTACTAGATTTGTTACATTCAGTTTAGCCATTTTTACATGTCTGAAAACTTCTAAATCCCTGATCAAGTGTATTCATCCTCAAAATGGCATCTTTTTTAAAAAAAGTAAATAAATGTTCTCAAATGCTGTTCTTTTTTTTTTTTCTTTCCCCCCACCCCCCCCCGCAACTTAAGTTATTTTAGATTCCAGGGGTACATGTGCAGGTATGTTACATTGGTAAATTTTGTGTCGCTGGGGTTTGGTGTACAAATGACTTTGTTACCCAGGTAGTGAGCATAGTGCCCTATAGGTAACCTCCCCCTCCTCCCACACTCCCCTGTCAAGTCGGCCCTGGTGTCTATTATTCCAATCTTTGTATCCATGTGTACTCAACGTTTAGCTCCCACTTATAAGTGAGAACATGAGGCATTTGGTTTTCTATTCCTGCATTAATTCGCTTAGGTTAATGACCTGAAGCTGCATTCATGTTACTGCAAAGAACATTATTTCATTTTTTATGGCTGCATAGTATTCTATGATGTGTATGTACCACATTTTCTTTATCCAGTCCACCGTTGATTGGCATCTAGGTTGATTCCTTGTCTTTGCTATTGTGAATAGTGCTGTGATGCACATATAGGTGCATGTGTATTTTTGGTAGAATGATTTATATTCTTTTGGATACACACCCAACAATGGGATTGCTGGGTCCAATGGTAGTTCTGTTTATAAGTTCTTTCAGAAATCTCCAGATTGCTTTCTACAGTGGCTGAACTAATTTACATTCCCACCAGCAGTGTGTAAGTGTTCCCTTTTCTCTGCAATGTCGCCAACATCTGTTATTTTTTGACTTTTTAGTAATAGCCATTCTGACTAGTGTGAGTTGGTATCTCATTGTTTTGATTTACATTTCTTTAATGATTAGTGGTGTTGAACATTTTTTCATATGCTTGTTGGCTATGTATATCTTCTTTTGAGAAGTGTGTGTTCATGTCCTCTGCCCATTTTTTTAATGGGGTCATTTGGGTTTTTTTTTGGCTTGTAAATTTGCTTAAGTTCCTTATAAACTCTGGATATGACACTTCTGTCAGATGCGTAGTTTGCAGCATTTTCTCCCATTCTGTAGGTTTTCTGTTTGCTCTGTTGATTGTTTCTTCTGCTGTGCAGAAGATCTTTAATTAGGTCCCACTTGTCTGTTTTTGTTTTTGTTGCAATTGCTTTTGGAGACTTTGTCATGAAATCTTTGCCAAGGCCTATGTCCAGAATGGTGTTTTCTAGGTTTTCTTCTAGGGTTTTTATAGTTTGAGGTTTTATATTTATGCTTTTACTCTATCTTGAGTTGATTTTTGTATGTGGTGAAAGAAAGTGTTCCAGTTTCAATCTTTGGTATATGGCTATCCATTTACCCCAGCACCATTTATTGAATAGGGAGTCCTTTCTCCATTGCTTGTTATTGTTGACTTTGTCGAAGATTAGATGGTTGCAGGTATGCAGCTTTATTTCTGGGTTCGCTAACATGTTCCATTGGTCTCTGTGTCTGTTTTTATGCCAGTACCATGCTATTTTGATTTCTGTAGCCTTGTAGTATAGTTTGAAGTCAGGTAGTGTGATGCCTTCAGCTTTGTTCTTTTTGCTCAGGATTGCTTTATCTACTTAGGCCATTATGGGTTATTATTTTGTTCCATATGAAGTTTAGAATATTTTTTCTAATTCTGTGAAAAATGACATTGGTAGTTTGATAGGAATATCATTGAATCCATAAATTGCCTTGGGCAGTATGGCCATTTTAATATATAGATTATTCCTATCCATGAGCATGGAATGTTTTTCCATTTGTTTGTGTTGTCTCTGATTTCTTTCAGCAGTGTTTTGTCATTCTTATTATAGAGATCTTTGATCTTCCTGGTTAGCTATATTCCTAAGTATTTTATTGTTTTAATGACCGTTGTGAGTGGGATTGCGATCTTGATTTGGGTCTTAAATACTTGTGATTCTTACAAACAGAATTCTATACTCTTAAACCCCAAGTAGATGGCCTTGATATTATAAATTGTATTATTTCAAAACATAATTTCAAAAAGATTAATATTAGTAACACATTAGCCAACATTTAATGAGCACCTAAATGTGGCAGGCACTTTCCTAAATTCTCTCTATATATTATCTCATTTAATCCTTACTAAAACCCTAAGGGGTAAGTGCTATTATTATCCACATTTTACAGTTGAGGAAACTGTGACTTTGGGAAGTATCAGTCAGTAACCGTGGAGTTCATCCAGGCAGCGGGATCAAGGTTCCCATTCTCTTAACCAAAAATTAGACAAATTAAAGAGATAAGGTAAAAAAAAAAAAAGCCTACATGAATTAAGTGAAGATTAATTATCTTCCTGTAGTATCAAAATGCATTAGTTAGCCAGTTTTCAACTAGTCATCACATACATATTTATTTATTAGCTGAAGTGATTATGTAAAAATCACACTCAGCTGAACTTGGAAGAAAAGAGATGTTTGACAGGGTCAATATATTTGGAACTGTTTTTTAGACTGGGAGAGAAAGTGAATGCCATGATGTCATACTTCCCCAAAGCTTTGGAATTTGGGCTTCTGAGACTCATGTGCTGTGGCTTGCTTAATGTCCAAGATTCAAGTCAGTCCTATTTTGACAGGGGCATATGTCCCATGACAATCTGATGACTTCAGTTGACACAATTGCTTCTCTTCCAGTTTCATACGTTACTGCCTAAGCTCACCCTACATTCTTTAACACCTTCCACTAGTGAAAATAGTGATGGCAACTAACCTTTCCTGAAAACTTACTGTATGTCACACACTTGTGTCATGCACTTTATGGGCACTTTTTCATGTGATTCTTGTAAGTACTCCATAATATACAGACTTTCATATCCCCAGCCTGTAGATAGGGAAGGTGAGCTTAGGGAAGTTTATGAAACTTGCTTATGATGACACAGGTGACAGATTCAGAACTGGGTAACCCCTGTTTTCACCAGACATTATTTGGGGTAGATGGAAGGCATTCATTCATCAGATTTTTATTATACTATGCTTTGTGTGGGACACTATGCTGAGCACTCAGAGGAAGAAAATGGTTTTTGTCCTCACAAATGTGTAGAATAGATAGACAAGTACACAAAGAATTAAAAGATAAGGAGATGAAGGGTGTTGGGGAAGCACAACAGAAGGACTGACTAACTCCTTGAGAAACTAGGAAGAATCAAGACATTTAATGATTAATCAGTAATAAGTAGTAATTAACCAGGTGAATAAGAGGAAGGTGTTTGGGACTGAGGGAGCGCTATGTACAGAGGCACGATGTCCTTCATTGATTAATTCAGCAAATATTTTTTAGTACATATTTCAGTGAAGACAGTAGGGAATGCCCTTATGGACTCTATATTCCAAACATATAACAGCATGTAATGTAATTTCATGAAATGCATGACACATTTAGCACATAACTACTGCTGGTGTTTGCAAAGTGAAGACAGGTGAAGCTGTTGTATATATTTTCCTGTTGCTGCTCTAACAAATTGCCACACACATAGTGGATAAAAACACAAATTTATATCCTGTAGTTATAGACATCAGAAGTCCAAAATGGTCTTATAGACTAAAATCAAGGAGTTGAGGAGGCTACATTCCTTCTAGAGGCTCTGGAGAAAAAATTGACTGCTTTGTCTCTTCCAGCTGCTGAAGGACACTTCTGTTATTTGGCTTGCGGCCCCTTCCACATCTTCAGAGCCAGCAACATGGCATCTTCAGATCTCTCCTGCTCTGATGCTCCTGTCTCCTTCTTATAAGGACCCTGGTGCTCATGTTACCAGGCAATCAGTGAGCTCACTGCCCAATACACATAGAGGCTAATACAATACCATGGCACCAGCTTTCGAGAAGAGAAAAGCTTTATTGTGAGTAGTTGGCAAGGAGACAGGAGAAAATACTCAAATCTTTCTCCTTGAGCTGAAGGCTAGGGTTGGTTTTATTATAGGCATAGGATAGTGAGGCATGATCTGACTGGTTCCTGCCATCGGGTGATGCCAGGGTTCAGTCTGATTAGATCCTGGATCCTGCCATGTGGTGTCCACCTCCTATTTCAGTCCTTCCTCCTTGGTCTGAGTGTTCCACCCAAGGTTGCACACCTGGTTCATCTGGGCATGTTCAGGTTATGTGACCTTCAACTTGTGGGTCTGTGGCAACTGAAAGCAATTCACAATTTTGTTATGTAAGAGATGAACCAGAATGATCTGGTCCAGCTACAATCACATTGGACATGCACAGATAATCCAGGATAATCATCCCTCCACCTTGATCACATTTGCAAAGTCCTTATTGCTCTGGAAGGCAACACATTCATAGATTTTAAGGGATAGAACATGGATATTTTTGAGAGACTGTTATTCTGCCTATCACAGCTATAAGGAGAGGTAGAGGCAGACGATGAGCTTCCTTTAATTTATGAGGACCTGGGCTTTATTTAACAGAATCATGAGAAATGAGCAGAAGCAAAAGTAGGCCAGTGAAAGGAAAGAATGTTTAGAGTTTTGTGCTGGTGAGAGCTGATGAGGTCTGAATAAGGCAGTATGCAGTAGGAGTAATAGACTTGGGAGAAATTTAGCACATATGGCACTTGGCAATTAACTGGATAAGTGGATGAAGAAGAGGGAGAATTCAAGGGTGACCCTGAAGTTTTTCATATGGTCAGCTGGGAAGAAAATGTTCTTTATTTTTGGCTTAAAATAATGTTTTCTGAACTGTTTTGGTGTCAGCATAAATATTCATGCAAGTACAACATTAATTGTATTGACTTCTAACAAATCACTGGTTTTAGGCCATCCAGCTGGTTATTCATGTCCTCTGTTTCATATTTTTCTTTTCTCTGTTGTAGGCTAATACTTGATATACTGGGTATGTAGCAGAGATGCCTTCTCCAGTAAATTGCATTTTGGTGTAGTATCTTTGATTGGAGATTTTAAGGTATGATAATGCTTGACACACATCACTTTTTCTGGCTTTTAATACATTAAGGGAAGTAATTTTTATAAGTACTTAAAACAGTAGAATATTAGCTTTCATATATGGTTTATATATCGTAATTTGAACATACTAGGCTCTGAAGAGCTTGCCAGAATAGGTTAATTCAGAATATTTTTCAAGTTCCCTCTTTATGTCCAGTATCATTTTACATGCTTTTGTTAGGTAAGAAAGAAATATGTTTCTCTTCTTAAATAACTGGGGGATATACTGGGCCCACTGTAATAATACAAGTGACATAGCTGAAGAGATATACAAAAAGTATTAGTCATCTATGAGTAGATGTGAAACAGCAGAGAGAGCATGGCAGCAAATGGAGATAGCATGAGCAAAGAAATGGCTTCTTCAAATGAATGAATCCCCCCATCCCTACCATATCGAGTAACTTTTATCCATTCTAAGTTAATTTAAATATTTATTAAGTTCTTATGTTAAACACTTTATTTGTACAGCCTAAGAAGAATATGTGCAATACATGTTTCTGTCAAATAACTTGTATTCAGCATATATAAATAAGTCATACAAATCAACTTTTTAAAAGTAGAAACAACCCAATTTTTTTTGATTGGCAAAGATTCGAATGGACACTTCTAAAACGAAAGTATTGAAATGGCCAATAGGCATATGAAAATGTGCTCAACATCATTAGTCCCCAGGAAAATGCAAATCAGAATCACAATGAAATACTACTTGATACAAACTAGTATGACTTAAAACTTAAAAAAAAAAAAAAAAAGGCAACACCAGTATCAGTGATGTGGAGCAACCAGAACTTCATACATTGCGAGTGAGAATGTAAAATGATACAACCACTTTGGAAAACTTGGCAATTCCTCAAACTTAAACACACAGTAAATCAAACTTTATAGATACTTGCCAAGTGACTCAGCGATTCTACCACTAAGTATTTTCAAGAGAAATAAAAACATCCACACAAAGACTTGTACGTGAATATTCACAGCCGCTTTCTTCATAATGCTCCCAAAATGTAAACAATTCATATCTATCAATAAGAGAATAGATCAACAAATTGTGGTGTATTTATACAACGGGCTTCTCTACAGCTTAAAGAGAAAAGATTAGTTATATATACAACAATATGATTGATTCTCATACACATTGTGTTGAGTGAAGGAAGCCAGACACATGCACATGTTTACTGCATGATTCCATTTATATGATATACAAAAACAAGCAAAGCCACTCTATAATGATAGAAAATAAAATAGAAGTTACTCTGAGGGGTAGGGATTGATTAGAAGAAATAAGGCAACTCCTCAGGGGGATGGAGATGTTTTATATTTGATTAGGGTATTGGTTACATAGGAGAAAACACTTAGGATCTATACGTTTTACTCTAGGTAAATTTTACCTAAAAATAAAAATACTGTGTTAGATAACCAAGAATGCAATGATGAATAAAATAGATGAAGTGCCTGTCTCCATGAATTCTTTAGTTGAATGGGTAAGAAAGTCATTAAATAAGAAATCACTTGTGACATGAGTCTTACGAAGCCACAGATGCATAAAGCGAGGAGAAACACCTAAAGGATGTTAGATCTCCTGAGAGAGGTGGCATTTAAGCAGATTCTTTCAAGTTGAGGAAGAATGACTTAGATGAAAGAGCAAAGATGGAAAAAGTTTCCTAAGGATTTGGAAAGTGAGAAAGAACTCAGTTTCTTCAAGGAGCTGAAGAAGTCCAGTATAACTGGAGCACAGGGAAGACTGGGAAGAATGACAGAGATGATGCATTGGACAGGTGGACAGGCACCAGTCTGGGTATAGTCATGTTCATTCCATTAAGGGCTTTATATTTTTCCCCGGGGCAATGGGAAGACAGTGCTTGGTTTTACTTTGTAGAATTATATAACTGGTGTAGCAGAGCTGCTTGCCAGCATTCCATCAGGGTTCTTTTTTTTTTTTCCCACTTCTTTAATTGTAATAAAATTTTTAGTTGGACATAGCAACCCAAAGAAAAGGCTTCATTTCCCAGCCTCACTTGCAGCTCTGTGTAACCGTGCAGATAAACTCTGGCCAAGAGGATGCAGATGAAAGTGTTCTTTGGCAATTTCTGGAGGCCTTCTCTAGGAGAAAACTGGTGTATGCCCATTTTCTTCTTTATTTCCTGCTTCTTCCTGCATCCAGAAACTTAGATGTGGCCTTGGGCCTTGAAGATGCTGGTCACACCTGAGATCAGATCCTTTGGACTTCATGGAAAGGAATTGACGTGGTATTCCTGAGATGTGAGAGGGAGAAAGAGAAGAGAAGAGAAAATTACCTTTGGATTTGTGGTGGTTGTTGTTGTTACTCTTAGCTGAACCTAATCCTAACTAACATGGTCAGATTTGCATTTTTAAAGACTATCCTGGCTTTATTATTATCCCTGAACACAAAAACTTTATTCACATTTCCATATTTTGCATTCTCTTTTCTTTGTCCTTAGGGATGAAGATGATAAAAATGAAGCAATCCTTCATCAACACGAATAACACTTGGTAGTTTTCACTTTCAATTCCTGCTAGTGGCTGGTTTGAAGTATAGGAAAATGATAGACATGACCCACTATTATAAACTAATTGCCAACAATATGGGAACCACATCTCAATAAATAGGTTCCCTCCCTTTTATCTTGTATTGAGAAAAATTGATTAGCATCTTAAATAGGAAAGTTACGTGACTCTCATATCTAAACAGCTGAAAAATGTTAACATATGATAATGATTTGCTACATCAACAATAGCAGACTCTTATTTTTTTGAATGCTATGATAGTAAGAACTTAACAAATTTTACTCAATAAAGACCTTTCCTATCTGCCTTTTTCTATAGACAGGGGCTGTGCAGAGAAGTGGTATGTAAAGAGGAACATTCCTCCCTCATATTAATCTGAATTTTCTAGGATGTTTCAGGAGAGCAGAGCTGCTTCCTTTCCTTTTTTATACCCCCCACTCCAGAGTCCACCAGGATCTCAATATCCTAGTAATAACAAATAATTTGTGTAGTTGTTTTGAACAATTAAATCATGCTACTTCATTTCGGTGTATTAAACAAAAGGAAAAGCCAACATAAGAAACACAATAAAACAGAAGCCATTATAACAACTGGGCTTAGAACAGAAGGACATTACGAGCTAAAAATGTTTTAAATTAGTTTTTAATGTGAAAATTGGAGGCATTATAAATCCATCACATGAACAGTATTGTAATTTCCAGTCGACATAAAAAACATCCTGATAGGAAGGATTTTAAAGCACCGGAACAGGCTACTGAAAGAAATTTATCAAGGTGGTTTCTCTAGAGATCTTTAAGGGGGGAAGAAGCTTATCTATTTGAGTTTGTTTAGAGGAAACTTAGGAGGAGGCTAGAGGCTGAAATTCTTGGCATTTGAAGATTCCTTCTACTAGAATATTTTTAAAGTTGCTTACAAAGGGAATAACTTCATGACCTCAGATTAGGCAAAAATTCCTGAAACAAAGCACAAAAATGGCTAACCACAAGGAAAAATGATAAAGTAGATGTATTAAAATTAAAAGCCTCTGATCATCAAGACATGGCAGAATAAAAAGACAAGTCACAGGCTAGCTGAAGATATTTGCAATACATAAATCCAGCAAAGACTTATATCCAGAGTATATAAAGAAGTTCTGTAAATCAGTGAGAAAAAAGACAAACCCCCCAATTAAGAATAGTCAAAAGATTTGAACAGGCACTTCACAAAAGGGGGGTATTGAAATGGCCAATAAACACATAATCATTACTTATCACAGAAAAGCAAATTAAAAACAGAAAGAGATACCACAACCTCCTCCCCAGAATGTCTATATGGAAACAAATGTCAATACCAGGGTTTGACCAAAACCAACTGGAACTTTCACACATTTTTGCTAAAGTGTAAACTGGTACAACCTCTTCAGAAAACTGTTTGACAAGATTTTTGTTTTTGTTTTTATACAGTTAAACACTTAACTTATGACTAAGCATTCTGCTCCTAGGTATTTACCCAAGAGAAATGAAAATGTATCCAAACAAAGACTTGTACAAGAATGTCACAGCAGCTTTACTCAAAATACCTACAAACTAGAAAGAACCCAGGTGTCCACCAATAGGAGAAGGGAGGAAAAAACTAAAACCAACTTTGGTGTAGTCTCTGCACAGTAAGAATGAATTACTCGTGCGTGTAACAATATGGATGTTGTACAAAACAAAAGGAGCCAGACACAGAAGACTGTATGCTGTATCACCCCATTTTTGTAAGATTCAACAGAAGGCAAAAACTAAGAGAGGTACCAGAATAGCAGTTACCCTGGAAATGGGGGTTGGTGGGAGGGGATTGGGTGCCAAGAAACATGAGGGGAAACCTTCTGGGATGATGGAATTTCCCAAGGTCTTGATGGAGGCTGTGATTGCATGGTGTATACATATGCAAAATATTATTGCACTGTACCTGTAAAGATTAGTGCACCTTCCTGTTTTCATACCTCAAAAAAGTAAAAGCAATAATAAATTAAAATAAATTGTATATGGTGGTTCTGAGTCTCTTTGGAGAGTTGTCCAGTATTTCCATTAGACATACTCTGTAAAACATTTTTCTTTGAGCCCTTCAGATGATGCAACTTGTCATTTGAAAAAAAAATGGTAAAATTAATGAATGGGTGGGGTGTACACAATACATGTCTTATTAACTGTGTCCCAAAGAACAAAACGTGTTTGGGGTAAGGCTCATCATTATTGATAATGGTTATAAACCCACATTTGATAGTCTTATTTTTTTTTTTATTCCTGTACTAACTGGATGTCTGTGAATCCAGAGACCTGCTTTCACATACTTATGGAAGTAAGCATACTTTCATTTAGATTCACTAGCTGTATGTTGTACTGCACAGTGAATATGTCGCTGTTGTGGGGTAACAATGGATTATATTAATTATATATCGCTGGTGAAATTAATCAGATTGCAGGAATTGAAAATCATAGTGAGTTTTGTCAGTCTGTCTTTCAAGTTATAAAGCCATCATTTGTCCAGCCATGCTGGACCATATTGTGATCGAGAGAAAAGTGGACCTAGAATAGAAAGGATAGAGGTCAAATCCCAATTCTGTCGTGCATTATCTCTGAGCAAGTTACTTTTCATCCCTGAGTTCCATTTTCCTTTTCTCTAAGAAGGGACCAATAATCCCTAACTCAAGAGGTCATTTGGGAAACTGGAACAAAAGAATATTTGTGAAAGTGCTTAGCACAAAGCATAATACTTATTAGGTTAAAGGCTCAATAAAACTGCAGTCCTTCCTTTCAGTCCTTTCAGAAGCAACATGAGGCATCCAGATGTGGATTTCTTCTTTTTGCTAAACCGCTATGTTATTGGACACTCTCACCTAAGTAGCAGAAGCCTGGACTCCTTTAAACCTTATATGACTAGGGGAACTCTGAAATAATGAAGGTATCTGATGTACGTTCAGTGTGGCCTGGCTTGTCTTCCAGCCCCTCCTGGTCCTGGTCTTTGCTTATTCATTAAACTTAGTGTGCCTTCCCCTGAATTCCTTTCAAAGCTTAGTCATTTCCCAGAGGAGCTTAGTGCTCAAGTCTTATATTATGTGCCACATAATACACAATTGTATAAAATTGCTGGAAAACAACAAAAACCTATAGCCACTGACACCCTGAGGTGGTGGAATGGGTTGCCTTGGTGGGAAAGCTGACCATGTCCTAGCCCCGCCCTAGGTCCTTTATGAACACTTGTGCTGGGGATTCTGTTTGCCCCACCTAGAGCCACTCTGCACCCGTCTTTGCCCTACTTGGACCCTGGTAAGACCATGTCACCCACACTTCCCTGCCCTCTGACTTCCTATTGGAAAACACCAGCATGGGCAGGAGGAGAAAGAAGTTGGAATATTTATTCCCCTTACTTCACCTCTATTGGGCTGGGGTTTGACAGTGGCTGCATTCTGCTACCTGTGGCCATGGGTCCTGTCGGAGGGCACCTCTGCTCCAGCCACGCCTCTCTCAGAGCCTTGCTCTTCGGGCCTAGATGGGCTGTCTGCCTCCCACCATTGCTAGCACAGAGGTGCTTCACCTCCCCTTGTTGCTTTCCTTAAATCTTCCTGTACCTTAGTCAATACTGCCTACGGTATATTTTTTTACGTTATTTAGCAAATTACCACAAATTCTGTTGCTTAAACCAACACTGATTTCTTATATTATAGTTCTGTGTGCATAAGTCCAACATGGGTCTCCTTGGGCTAAAATCAAGGTATAAGCAGGGCCACTTTCCTTTCTGGAGGCTCTGGAAGGAATCTGTTTTCTTGCCTTCTCTAGTTTCTAGAGAATGCCTGCATTCTTTGGCTCCTGGCCCCTCCTTCTATCTTCAAAGCCAGCAATAGCAGTTTAAGCCTTCACGTCACAGCTCTCTAACCCCATCTTTTGCTACTCTCTCTCTCTTTTTTTTTTTTAGACGGATTCTCTCTCTGTCACCCAGGCTGGAGTGCAGTGGCGCAATCTCGGCTCACTGCAAGCTCTACCTCCCAGGTTCACGCCATTCTCCTGCCTCAGCCTCCCGAGTAGCTGGGACTACAGGCGCCCACCACTACACCCGACTAATTTTTTTGTATTTTTTAGTAGAGACGGAGTTTCACCGTGTTAGCCAGGATGGTCTCTATCTCCTGACCTCGTGATCTGCCCGCCTTGGCCTCCCAAAGTGCTGGGATTACAGGTGTGAGCCACCACCCCCAGCCTACTCTCTTCTTTTAAGTTTGGGCTTCCCCAGTAACAAGAGAATTTCTTCATCTTGAGGTCCTTAATCTTAATCATGCCAGCAAAGTTCCTTTTCCCATGCAAAGTAACATTCCCAGGTTAGAAGGTTAAGGATATGAATATTTGTGGGGGGCCATTCTGTTAACTACCTTCATGAAATTCTCGTGTACCTCATTGTGCCATCTGTTTCCTGCCAGGACCCTGACTGATACAACATTGTTCAATTCTATCCCATAGTGATTCTGTGATATGTGTTGTTTCACACATGAGGAAGTTGAGGATAAAAACCAGTCAGCTGTGTTTGGATTTGCCATACCAATATTGAGTAATTGTAATGATTTTGTTAGCTTTTTTTAATTCCCTTTTATCCTCAAACACTACTTTTAGTTCCCTATTCTTCATCGAAATCCATATTACTGAAATCAGAAAATTCAAAATTATTTATGGATTTCGGCTGCTAGAACTGCCCGTAACATTCTTTAAATGTTGCTAGCTGAAGGCAAAATTATTTAATTTATAATATGCATATATATGCATTTTGCCAATTGACTTCTATAGCACAAATGTCATAGTCCAGAATGAAGTTTATAGAAAGAACAAGGATTAAGAGGAAAGATAAAATCTCTATCAAGAACTTTCAATTTAGGAAAGCTATGGAATAAGGTGGGTAAAATTGTGTTCTTGTTTCTTTATCATCTCTGCCTTCTCTCACCATCCAGTCAGCCTACTTAGTCTTTCTTCCTCCTTCCCCCATCTCTTCCACCTTTGTCATTTGCAGGAGAAAAGTGTATTTAATGTGTCATTGCAGCTTTTGTGTGAATTGTTTTAATATGTTACCTCTCCCAGGAGTACTGACTTGGTGAAAGAAAAAAGTAGTAAGTCCTGGGTGTGGAGTGTGAAGGTGGGGGTCTTTGCAAACCAGGCCATCTGGTTTACTAACAGAATATTAGTGAATATTGCTGATCCTGTGTCATAGGATAACCAATGTATAATAAAATTTATGCTATGAAAAAGCACATAGAAGAGGAACAGTTCAAGTGAAAAGCCAGGGCTTGGGACTGCAGATCATGATGGTGCAATTGTAGACAAACAGGAACAGATTTCCAGCTGGGTGGTCAGGACCACCCACAAGCATCATTGGGTAGATCCATTACCATGAAAGCTGCATACGACCAAGGATCATTGGGTTTCTTGACCTCCATATTCTCAATGCCCAGAGCAAATATTTCATAAATATTTGTTAAATGAATAAATCAAAGAGAAAGAAGAGTGTGACATTTTAGAGTTTGTAACCACCCTTCTAGAGACAAAGGCAGACTGTTTTTTTTCTGGCCATCTTCTGCTTCTGTGAGAGCAAAGCACTCAAGAGTTGACAGAAATGTGCTGGCAACAGAGAGAGAGGTAAGGCTCCTTAGGAAATCATAGCTGTTGGTTTTATGAGGGAATCTCAACTGATTTGGTGTTCTGCTTGAAAAGAGGACAGTGGTATTTTTTAATCACTTTTTTGAGCTATTATTGACATACAAAAAGCAGTACATGTTTAATGTGTACAACTTGATGAGTTTGGAGATAAGAATATACAGAATATGCCTATGAAACCATCACCACAATCTGTGCCATAAACATACCTCCCAGTTTCCTACAGCCAGCCCGCTCTAATTTTTATTATTTTGTGATAAGAGTACTTAACATAAAATATGCCCTCTTAACAAATTTTTAAGTATACAGTGCAGTGTTGTTAACTAGGCACTGTGCTGTACAGTAGATCTCTAAGACTTACTCATCCTACATAACTGAAACCATGGGCACAGTGATATTTTGAACTACAAAGCTGTATCAATAATACATTTGTAATTTACTTGTAATAGAATATCATAGATCGGTTACGAATTCCACCTGGCCAGCACACCTAAGCTCATTCTTCAGATATGCACATGACCACCTCGTCCACATAATTGACTTCATTGATGTCTCTGCTCCCATGTTCCCTTATCAAATAAGTTCTCCCACCCTTTCCCCTTACCCTACTCTGTTGTCCTCATAGCATGTATCACTGTATGACATATCACAGGATGATTTTTAATTGTCTACCTCCACTAGAATGAACTTCATATAGCTAGACATTTTCTCAGTTTAGTTTCTTGTTGTGCACCTAGTACTGAGAACATTACTTAACATAGAGTTGGCGCTTGGTGTATATATGCTGATTGAATAAATCTGGCTTTGAATCTATCTGGGTGACCTTCTGCAGGTTAATCTCTCTGAACCTTGGTTTTCTTGTCAACGAAATGGGGGTAAGAATGACAATATGGTGTTATTCTAAAAATTAAAGCACAAATAGTATGCCAAAGATCCTGGCAGAGCATCTGACCCTGAGTACATCCTCAAACGTGAATTTCTGTACTACTGTCTATTATAATTGTGTGCTTTCTTCATGCATGTAAGAATTTTTCGATTATATAAAAGTATTAGTAGGCATTTAGGAAATTTGTTAATAGTAGTGATCTATATATGCATTGTAATACTTAAATTTCATCTTATTGACAAAATCAAAGTTGACTACTTACTACTAAATAAAATGTCGTAATGAAATTCACTAGATGGCAACCTTGGTCTCAGTACTGCAAGAGTTGAATGATTGACAGAAGTTCTTATTTGTTAAAGCAAATTGTAAATGACCACATTAGATGACACAAGCAGGGCAATAAATGTAGAAAGTGATTTAAGACAAGGTTCTTATAATGTCAGTCTTTTTTGGTGTACAAATCCAAGTGGTATGTTTCTCCATAAAAAGTACATGTTAATGCAAAATAGTGTCTCCTTAAAATGTCAAGTGTAGTGAATTACTAGGATGCTGCTGATGGTTTGTGTTTTAACCTCGAACACTCCCAGTTATTGTCTTGATTGTTACAAATAGCAGATATGTTTTCTGACACTATTATTACTTTATTAAATAATTTTGTTTAATGCCCTTATACCTCTTCCATGTCTTTCTAATAATTTATTCATGAGGCTCATCATATTCTGCATAAAGCTAGCATGATTATATTTGCACCTGAAATTTTTTTAGATTGAGATGGATGGCAAAGATCAGATACTTTAAAAATACTTTGCAGCACTGCCCTCTAATTGCCAATTTTACTGAATATAAAATGTATTTACTTTCTCTTCCTCGTGGCTTCCCTGGGAATAATACTCAAAAAGCCAGTGAAAACACTTCAGTACAGAGGAGGCTTCCAGGTAGGTCCTTTCTGGGCCTTTTCTCAAGGAATTTTATTGCAAAAGCATCCGAATGTCCTCATTATAGGGTGAGGTGACCTCTTCGGGTTCCCTGAATTACTGATCCATGGACAGCTTTAAAGCAAGCAATAAAATACGTACAGTCATCCTTCCATACCTGTGAGGGATTGATTCTAGGACCTCCCACAGATATCAAAATCTGTGGATGCCCAAGTTCCTCATATAAAATTGCATAGTATTTGCATATAACCTATGCACATCTCTTGTATACTTTAATCTCTAGATTACTTACAATAATTACTATAGTGTAAGTGGTGTATAAATAGTTGCTATACTGCATTGTTTAGAGAATAACAATAAGGGGGAAAAGTCTGTACATACTTAGTACAGACACAATTTAAAAAAAATATATATTTCCCGTCCAAGGTTGGTTGAACCCACAGGTGTAGAAACTACTGATCTGGAGGGTCAACTGTACCCATTTTCCTTCCTTTCCATTTGGCAGCCATTCAGTAAAAGTTGGAGTGTATGAAGTGAAGTGAGTTGGGACAAGTTAAGATGATTTTCCCTTCAAAAAGTCTCTGTAACTCTAGGGCAAAGATTGAAATGACTAATAATGCCCATTTGGGGAAGGTAAGTGTCATCTTATATCAAGGGTCTGACCTGCTGCATTAAGTGCTCATTTCATGTATTTAAAATTATAGGATTCGGCACCTATTGAATTAAAAAGATGCTCATGACCTTTGTTTTTGGAATGAAAATAATGGATGGTCATTTAACAGATGGCATTTGGCATCATACTTTGAGGAGTAATACTGCCTGGATGTGAATCCCTGCTCTTCCATTAATTAGCTGTGTAATCTTGCCTAATTTGTAAAATGGAAATAATTGTTGTAATCTACCTCATGGGGCTGTTGGGGAAATTAAACGAGTTAATATAGGTAGAGGTCTTGGAACCTTGCCAGACTCAGAGTAAGTGCT
Source organism: Homo sapiens (assembly GCF_000001405.40). Lineage (NCBI taxonomy): Eukaryota > Metazoa > Chordata > Mammalia > Primates > Hominidae > Homo > Homo sapiens. The sequence goes on along the minus strand of NC_000008.11, from coordinate 118,481,892 downwards.
TCTGTGAGTGTTTTCCAAGGCGAACTGCAGGTCTCACTTCCTCTATGGAAGCTTCCTGTCTCTCCCTTAAGTGATTTATTGTCCAAGCCCTGTATTTTGGAGTTTTATTATATTTAATGGAACTCTTTTTTGTGCCCCTGCTATTTTTTTTTTTCATTTAGGTAAGTCAGTTGTGCCCACACATTTATAAGATCATTGAAGGATGGGATTATGATCAACCATTTTTAAATCCCTCCTGTGTCCCCAGACCATCTAGCACAGGGCTGGTTAAGTCTTTGATTTCAAATCATTGGTGAAAATAGATCAAAATGGCCCTCCTCTACAAAGCCTGTTAGGATCTTACTTTCTTATTCCTTATAGAAAATTAACTGGTTCTTTCTTAGTCTTCCTTTGTCCCCTGAACTCCTCACTCCCTTTCTCCTTTCCTTCCTCCCTCTTTTCCTTCTTCCTACCAGTTTAGCAGCCAACCAGCTAACCTGCTATTCAGCAAATATTGTTTTAGCTCCTACTACACGCTGAGAACACTGCTAGGTGTTAAGTATTCAAATGGTGACCTAAATAGAGATGGCCTGTGTTTTCATGTGTTTTATATGCTGTAAACAAATAGTTTAGTACTAAATTAGAAATTGCTGTAGAATGGCTGGGCGCAGTGGCTCACACCTGTAATCTTAGCACTTTGGGAGGCTAAGGCAGGCGGATCACTTGAGGTCAGGAGTTTGAGACCAGCCTGGCCAACATGGTGAGATTCTGTCTCTCTACTAAAAATAAAAAATAAAAAAAAAATTAGCCAGGCTTGGTGGCACACACCTGTAATCCCAGCTATTCAGGAGGCTGAGGCAGGAGAATCGCTTGAACCCAGGAGGCAGAGGATGCAGTGAGCCAAGATCGTGCCACTGCACTCCAGCCTGGGCAACAGAGTGAAACTCTGTCTCAAAATAAAGTAAAATAAACTGAGGCTTGAAAGATGAGAATAAATTATTTTGCCAAGATCAATGGAGAAGAGGTTGAGAAAGGCCTGGGCAGATAGAGGGAATTGTATGGAGGAGGTGGCATGAAGGGGCCTTCAGGGAACTGGAGATGCCAGTGCCGCTGGAGCCAAGTCCAGAGGTGAGGGTCATCACATGCAGCCTTGCAGGCCTCATTAAGGGGAAGGATCTGAAGCATGATGGGAAACCAGGGAGACAGCTGAAGGGCTGCAGTTTCTGATGTGCATTTTTAAAATCATTCTGGTTGTTCCCAGGAGAGTGCTTTTGAGGGGGCCCAAGTCAGTGAAGGGGGACCAGTTAGGAGACTATTGCAACAGTTTATACCTCTGTCATTGTATTGAACACATTGGGTTACTTAATGATTAATTTGCTTGACCCTGTTGTTTGCATTACTGGGTCCAAACATAGTGCCTGACATTTGCAACTGCACTTATTTCTGTTAAGAGTTTTATAACTTTGCACTAAAATTCAGAAATTACATAATCAACTTACACTACAATATTTGATGATAAATCTGTAATTTTTAATACATGTTGTGTGAGATATGGTAGTACAGGATACTAAGGAGTAGCAAGGAGTGCTAAAGAGTGTTGGGGAGATGCATGCTGCCCTTTGTGCGATTCAGGAGGATTGCTTCTCTTCCTGTAACCTTCCAATTTGCTCACCATACTGTGGTCACCCACTGCTATCTTTCACTTAGGACATGTGGCATGATGCTGCCGCTTTCCACAGGCATCAGTAATCAAGTACAACATCCCTGCTACTGAAGCTGGAATGAAAGAGAAAACCATTTGCTTCTCCTTGCCCAGAAAATCATTAAATTACCTAATGCTGAAGTTTTCCAAAAGCGCATGCCTAATTTTTTCTTTGTTTTATATGCTTAGCTTTTGATGTTATTTAGATTCTGCAAAGATCTTGCCTATTGAATCTAAATATGATTCTGGTATTCTGTTTATAGTTTTCTCCTTTGCCCTCCTTCCCTCTTACCTTGTTTTCAAGAGATAATATGTGCAACTGTGAACTAAGAGGGCCTGTGATAGTGTCCAGGGATGTAGCAGTGATCACAAATGACAAACATACCCACTTTTGCAGAACTTACTTTCTAGAAGCAATTATATTAAAAAAAAAAAAAGAGTATCATGGCAGGGAAAGAGTAAGGGAAGGATTGCTGGTGCTCATGGATGCAGTAATGGGTCAGAGAAGGCTTTGCTGAATAGCTGACATTTTAGTAAATACTTGAAAAAGAATTAGCTATGAGAATTTTGGAGGAAAGTGATTGATGTGGTTTGGCTCTGTGTCCCCACCCAAATCTCATCTTGAGTTGCACTCCCATAATTCCCAAGTGTTGTGGGAGGGACCCGGTGGGAGATAATTGAATCATGGGTGTGGTTTCCCCCATACTGTTCTCGTGGTAGTGAATAAATCTCACAAGACCTGATAGTTTTATAAGGGGTTTCCGCTTTCACTTCTCATTCTTTCTTGCCGCTGCCATGTAAGAGGTGCCTTTCACCTTCTGCCATGATTGTGAGGCCTCCCCAAACATGTGGAACTGTGAGTCCATCCAACCTATTTTTCTTCTGAGTCTCAGATATGTCTTTTATCAGCAGTGTGAAAATGGACTAATAACAGTGATCCAGGTGTGGGGGGAACAGCCAGTGCAGAGGTCCTGAGGCACAGTGTGTCTGGCAAGTCACAGAAAGGGCAGAGAGGCCAGTGTGGTTACAGGGTAGTGAATTAAGGTACAGTGGTAGGAGATGTGATCAGAGAGACAGAAACTGAGACACAGATTGGGAAAGACATTGTAGTTTGCTGTAAGGACTTGACTTTTATTTTGAGAGAAATGGGGAGCCAATGCCGAGTTTTGTGCAAAAGAATTACAAATGTATTGACTGCTAACTGTTCATCAAATGACAGAGGGAAAACAACCTACCAAATCCATTTGTCTTGAAAATGGTGTCCCAGGTATGGAATAGAAATTTTCTGACACTGGCCTTGAGTAATTATGACATATTTTCATTGCTTGGGTAGCTTAATGTCAAATAATGGAGTGTCAGCTCTTCTCTAATGAGTTCCTGGAGCTCCCACTCACTGCTGGGGAGAAACAGCACAGATCATGAAAAGCAGATCAATGCAGTGGAGACTGTGATGACAGAAACTGCCCCAAGCAGCTAGTCATTAGGAAGAGACTCAACCATAACTGACATAGAGAGGCAGCCCAGAGTGGTGGTGAATAGCAGAGAGTCTCGGGCCAGACTGCCTGGTCAGTTCTGCCATTTGCAAGCTGTATGATGTTTGCTAAGTTAACTTATTTGTGCCTCGCTTGCCACAACCCTGAAAGGGGAACAATTATGAGTTGTCATGATGACTATTTACTATATCTAATGTGCTTTAGAAATGTTTTAAATAAAATCTACATACACTCCCTCCCTTTCCTTGGGTTTATGCAGCAGGTTCATTACTTTGTGGCTTAAGAAAATGAGATGGCTCTCCACACAGCCCTGTTGGCTCTTCCCTGGTTCCTGATATTTTCCTCTTTGTCTTTGGGTGGTCAGGGGCTCTGCAGTTAAGCCTGATAATTCAGGTCTCTCCTCTAGTCCTGATTGAAAAGTGAACAGCAGCTTTCCCTTAATGGGAACACTCTGATGGAAGAAAATATTTTGGCCAAGCCATCTTGCTAATTATCTAAGGCTCAAAGGAATTAAATTTCTGGTAGTTGTTGAGCTCACTGCCTTTTTATAAATAGTTTATTAAATTAATTTGATATAAAAGGATTTATATTTAGGTAATTGGATGGTGATTAGAATATAAATGAAGGCATATTGAGAACTAGAGGTGCAGAGTCAGGCAGGCAATATTATTGAATATATATAATTCTTTTTTTTTTTTTTTTTTTGAGACAGGGTCTCGCTCTGTCACCCAGGCTGGAGTGCAGTGGGGAGATCTCTGCTCACTGCAAGCACCACCTCCTGGGTTCACACCATTCTCCTGCCTCAGTCTCCGAGTAGCCGGGACTACAGGCACCCTCTGCCACACCTGACTAATTTTTTTTGTATTTTTAGTAGAGACGGGGTTTCACCGTGTTAGCCAGGATGGTCTCGATCTCCTGACCTCATGATCCGCCCACCTCAGCTCCCAAAGTGCTGGGATTACAGGCGTGAGCCACCGCGCCCGGCCAGTTCCCTGTCAGAATTTTCGGTCCCCACAGCCAGTATTGTAGAATCCACGTGGGAATAAGTCCCTGTACATATCCTGTTCCCAATGTCCATTGAGACTTACAAATGTTCAACTGATATTCAAACCAAAGTATCATTTGAGCCATACATATAAATTCAAATGATTAGAAAAACGGGAGAGCCACCAGCTCAAAATAGGAAAATGGAAAAAGTAAATAATTTGAGCCAAATATATCTGGGTTGTGTTAAAACAAAGGATCTTTTATCTTCAGCTAATTATGTGTAGCTGTCTCAGGGAACAAGCAGGAGTTGCTGTTTGAGGACTTGTGAAACAGCCATTCTGAATTGAACATCAAACCGGCCGCAGAGGTCGAGCGCAATGGCTCTTGCCTGTAATCCCAGCACTTTGGGAGGGTGAAGTGGGCGGATCACTTGAGGTCAGGAGTTCGAGACCAGCCTGGCCAACATGGCAAAACCCTGTCTCTACTAAAAATATAAAAATTAGTCAGGCATGGTGGTGGGCGCCTGTAATCCCAGCTACTCAGGAGGCTGAGGCATGAGAATTGCTTGAACTCGGGAGGTGGAAGTTGCAGTGAGCCGAGATCACAACACTGCACTCCAGGCTGAGCAACAGAGCAAGACTCCAACTCAAAAAAAAAAAAAGAAAAAGAAAGCCTCAGAATCAGCCAGTGGTCCATCTCGGTGCTGTAATTCACCCCGGTGAATAGAGAGGCCTGCTGAAATACGCAGGTACAGGAAGTGATGTGTCTGGATTGGAAACGGTTCATGATAGGCTCTCTGGAGGACTGTGTTTGTACCATTGCTGACAATTGGGAAGAGACAGTGGGCATTGCTCAAGAGCTGGCAGAGAACTACTCGAGCTAAAGAAACAAATGCCGTTTTCTGAGCATTAAGGTTACTTGGCAGAAATCTTTGATATTCAGGCTGCCAGAATGCAAACGAGGGCATGAAATAATTTTAGTATGTATTTTTAGTAATTTTAAGAACATGCCTACTATTGTCATGTTCCTAGAGCCACCTGTTCAAATTTGTTGAATTGAGATGGTAGCAATACAGCCACCTTTAGTCTCCTCTATCACTGTAAGCCCCTCCATGTGATTTCTGTCATTTCTCTTGTATTCTTGTGATGATGTCAGCCATGCGATATTTTGAAACTGGAATCTGGGAGCTTTGGAACTGTTGGGGGCTTTGGCAGAATTAAAGATGTCTCATCTTTCTGGACTAGACTCTACTTGGATTCTTTATTTATCTCTGTAAAAGAAAAATTTCAGGCACCAAAGGACAGGAGCCATCCAAAATAAATGTATTGTCCTTCCTTCCCTGAAAAAATGGAGAGTGCCTAGCAAAACCCAGATGCTGCCCACATTACTCCTGTCCTCTGTCTAAAGATGAGAATCTTCTCTTATTTGCATGGTCCAGGATGTGAGAACTGGCTCAGTTTACCTAGACTTTGAGGGGGATGGCAGAGGACACACCTGCAACGTGCAGCTAAGATTGTGTCTCTCCTAGTAGGTGATCAATCAAGTCTGGGGAAATGTTTTGACTCCTCTTTTCATTCAGGTCAGGAAGTGTGGACTCTGGTGATAAGTCACAATTCTCTTGATGTTTGGGGAACAGGTTTAATAATGACACCCAAGCACAGCCTTTGCAAACCCATGGTATTTAGGATACCATGTAGCAGATGTTTTATACTATTACTTAAAGAAATGATTCCTATGAAAGAGAAGGATTTTCACAGGCAATTTACAAACCTGACATTGCCTCTACCTATCTTCTTGCAGATACAGTTAGTCTTCTGGGAAGGGACATTGAGATCCTAGCAGTGCCTTGCTTGGGAACAGTGAATAATTTGTTAATCTGTTGATCCCATCTGCTTCTCCTGCAAAGAAGGAAAAAATTACATGGTGACGCTAATGGATCTTAAGCCCAAAACAAGATTTTCCCAAAAGGCTTCTATAACCAAATCTAGCCATACTTTCCTATTTTTTGATTCCAATTTTGTGTGTAGTAAGCCTCACTAACATTTATTAAATAATCCAACAAATGTTATTTAAGTCCCTTTGAGGCAGTAGACCACGGAGTACAGACTCTGGAGCTAGACTGCTTGGATTTCAATCCTGGCTCTGCAATTTATTAGCCTTATGATCCAGTCAATCTTCTTAAGCATACTATGCCTCAGGGTCAACATCTGTAAAATGGGGGTAATATTAGTGTCTTAGTCTGTTTGCATTGCTATAAATGAATACCTGAGGCTGGGTAATTTGTAAAGAAAGAGGTTTATTTGGCTCACAGTTCTGCAGGCTGCACAGGAAGGATGGCCCTGGCATCTGCATCTAGTGAGGGGCCACAAGCTGCTTCCACTCATGGAGAATGGTGAAGGAGAGGCAGTGTGTGCAGAGATCACATCGTGAGAGAGACAGCAAGAGAGGGGAGGGAGGTACCAGGTTCTTTTTATTTTTATTTTGTACTTTTTAAAGATGGAGTCTCACTCTGTCACCCAGGCTGGAGTGCAGGGGCGTGATCTCAGCTCACTGCAACCTCCACCTCCCAGGGTCACGTGATTCTCCTGCCTCAGCCTCCTGAGTAGCTGGGACTACAGGCATGCATCACCATGCCCGGCTAATTTTTTGTATTTTTGGTAGAATGGGGTTTCACCATGTTGGCCAGGCTGTTCTCAAACTCCTGACCTCAAGTGATCCGCCCACCTCAGCCTCCCAAATTGCTGGGATTACAGGTGTGAGACACCATGCCCAGCCAGCAGGTTCTTTTCAACAATTAGCTCTTGCAGGAACTAATAAAGTGAGAACTCACTCATTACTGCAAAGACAGCATCAACCCATTCATGAGGAATCCACCCATGACCTAAATACCTCCCACTAGTCTCTACCGAGAACATTGGGGATCAAATTTTAGCAAGAGGTTTAGAGTGCTAAATATCCAAACTACAGCAATTTATCTGTCTTATTGGGTTGATGGGAATAGTAAATGAATTAATACATGGAAAAACATTTAAAACATTGTTTTAAAGCTGGGCGTGGTGGCTCACACCTGTAATCTCAGCACTTTGGGAGACCAAGGCAAATGGATCACCTGAGGTCAGGAGTCCAAGACCAGCCTGACCAACATGGTGAAACCCCCTTTCTACTAAAAATACAAAAAAAAAAAATAGCTGGGCATGGTGGCAGGTGCCTGTAATCCCAGCTACTCGGGAGGCTGAGGTAGGAGAATCCTTTGAACCTAGGAGGTGGAGGTTACAGTGAGCTGAGATCGCACCATTGCACTCCAGCCTAGGCAACAAGAGCAAAACTGTCTCAAAACAAAAAAAATTGTTTTATTGTTTGGCACATAATAAGCACTGATTTAGGTGTTCATTAGATAATGAGGATGGTTATGCTTACAACAATATTGATGATAATGATAATTATGTTGGGCTTTGAATAAAAATAGCTCTAGACTAGGTACAGTGGCTCATGCCTATAATCCCAGCACTTTGGGAGGCCGAGGTGGGAGGATCACTTGAGGTCAGGAGTTCGACACCAGCCTGGCCAACATGGAGAAACCTTGTCTTTACTAAAAATACAAAAATTAGCTGAGCATGGGGTGGTGCGTGCCTATAATCCCAGCTACTCAGGAGACTGAGACAGGAGAATCACTTGAACCCAGGAGGCAGAGGTTGCAGTGACCCAGGATCACACCACTGAATTCCAGCCTGGGCTATAGAATGAGACTGCATCTCAAAAAACAAACAACAAAAAATCTACTATCAAGTGGCTAGTAATACTGTGTGGGGATATAACCAAGTCAGTGAAGATTTAAACCATCCCAGATTTGTTGTTGGATGGACCTGTGCAGTACTATAAGAGGATGGAGGAGACTTAGTGTGGGGTGATGGGAAAAATTCTAGAGAGTGTGCCATGTCAGCTGCACCTCATAGAATAAGCAGCTTATCTAGAGACAGCAGTGAGAGCAATGCTTCCCAGGCCGAGGAAATGGTATGTATGGAGACCTGTGCGTGAAGGTGCATGATGAGTCGGAGAGTCACAATTAGCAAGCATGTGGAGTGCAAGTGAGGAGGGTGAGGGATTAGGCTGGAGGAAAAAGAACACAAAAGGTCTCATATGCCTTGGTGGACAGTTTGGATTTTGTCTGGAAAGCCCAAAGCATGGGAATAACAGAGTCAGGGTGGCAGCAAATCCAGAAAATGAAGATTGGTGAAAACATCAGTGATTCTTAAAGCACTTGGATTTTCTCTATAAAGATGTGGTTGTGGGACTACAGGATCAGGGACTGTGCCGTGTTTTTAAGTCTAGAAGGAGTGCACAGAACATTTTCTTTAGATTCTCTATTACTAAGGCAGGAAACAGATGGCGTACTCACTAGGATTTTTGAAAATAAATGTTAAGAAAGGGACTACTTAGAGGTATAGGGAAGGTTTAGAAAACCACCAGGGGACAGAGCAAGACCCAGGAGGTAGCTGTAGAGGAGGTTACAGTGTGACAGAGCCTGGCTCAGAGCTGATGCCAGAAGGAGGTGCTGCCTAGTAGAGGACAGAAGCTGGAGGGAGGAGCCACTGCCAGAACTGCTTTGAAGCAGGCAGGGAGCGACATACCTTGGCCTCTCCCTTCTCCCCACTGCCTCACCTCCTGCCAGTGCTTCCAATTGGTTGACCCCACTGGAAGTAGGAGAGCAATGTGTAGAGGTCAGCCTCCTGGGACTCAGAGAGGGACTAAAAATATATCAGGTGAGCAAATGGGAAATACTGGGAAATACCTAGCACTCCTCCTAGGACAGACCATTTTGAGACAATTTTAAGCCTTTTTTTTTTTCCTGTCAAAATCTACAGCAAGGCAATAGCTGTGGATAAGATTGGCATTTGTGGAATTTTTCAAATTACCTTCTATTCTGAGTCAGCAATGTATACCAGGCTTTTTTACTGTAACCAGCCACTTTCTTCTATTAGGATATTCCAGTGGAAAACCACTGAATAAGTAGAATCCCTCCTGCTCTTCTTCCTTTTTAATTTTTTTAACATTTATTATAGAAAGGGCCTCATTCTGTTGCCCAGGCTGGAGTGCAGTGGTGCGATCATCACTCACTATATCCTCAAACTCCTGGGGTAAAGGGATCCTCCCACCTCAGCCTCCCAAGTAGCTGGGAATACAGGCGCAGGCTGCCATGCCCGGCTATTTTTTTCTTTTTAGAGATGAGGTCTTGCTGTGTTGCCCAGGCTTGTTTTGGACTCAAGCAGTCCTCCTGCCTCAGCCTCCCAAAGCCAAGGGTTTAGAGGCATGAGCCACTGCACCAAGCCTCTTTATACTTATTGAAACTCAGCTGTGTGACAGGCTTTCGAGACCCATTACCACACCTGACAACAGTCTGAAAGGTGCTTGGCATTATTATGTACTTGTACTCTTTTTTTTTTTTTTTAGATGGAGTCTCGCTCTGTCACCCGGGCTGGAGTGCAGTGGCACAATCTCGGCTCACTGCAAGCTCCGCCTCCCGGGTTCACGCCATACTCCTGCCTCAGCCTCCTGAATAGCTGGGGCTACGGGCACCCACCACCACGCCCGGCTAATTTTTTGTATTTTTAGTGGAGACAGGGTTTCACCGTGTTAGCCAGGATGGTCTCGATCTCCTGACCTCGTGATTCACCCGCCTCGGCCTCCCAAAGTGCTGGGATTACAGGCGTGAGCCACCGCGCCCGGCCTATTGTGTACTTTTTACAGATGAGGAAATTGAAGCAGTAATTTTCCAATGACACTACAGCTAGTAAGTAATGAAACTGGGATTCAAACTCAGTTTTGTTTTGTTTTTTCTATATCCCACTGCCTTTAGGCAGTAGATTTTCTTTAGGTAGATCTACCACCCTACTTTGTGGACTGTATCAGGTACCGGGATCTCCATTGTCATCACCATCACCACCACGGTCACCACCACTACTGCCATTACTATTGCCATCACCACCACCAAAACAAAAACAGTAAATAAATACCTAAGACCAAGAGCAAGTTTCATGGACACTACACCCAAACATCCTAAAGATGAGTTATTTTTGCTTAACTGTAGTTTTCTTTTTTAACAACATGCTTTAATTTTGGCTTTGCAAAGGGATTTTTACCAAGTTTCTTTGGCCTATTCTCTAATTTTGGCTTTGCAAAGGGATTTTTGTCAAGTTTCTTTGGCCTATTCTCCTGCTAATGTTTTCAGTGGTGACATTGGTTATAATTTGGTGCCATCAAACATTTCGATGGCGTTATTGGCTTACCCACTACTTTAATACTGTTTTGGTACAACTAAAATTTTTGCAATGGAGTACACGATGAAATTGCTTCATGCTAACCTTCCCCCTCACCAAATAATGGTGACTGCTAAAAGTCCTTACAACTGCAGACTAGGTAATTGAATAATTTGTATATCAAATTAAGGTCCAAATGATGCTTTTAATAGCACAATTACTCATAATAAGGAAAAGGTCAGCATTCACTAGTAATTATCTATTCTCTATAATTTTTAAAACATGAAAAAAAAAATGCTGTGACCAGCATATCCAAAGGGGAAAAGGCACTGTAAAACACCATTGGTATGAGAAAATCATGCTTTATTATTAAATTAGCAATTTCATTTGAGAGACATAATGTATAATTGATCAGCTAATTTGCCTGAAGCCTTTCATTTAAATACTGTATTTCACAGATTTTTAAATGCACATATTCTTTCACATTTTCAAAATCAGGCAACATTGTGTGACATAGTTTATTTAGCATCATTCTTTTTCTGTCTTAGTTGTACATAAAATTAATCCAAGTCTTAAAATCATTACTGTCTTATGTCAGATGAAATAGAGGATTCAGATCTCTTTAATTTTTCCTGAGAAGATACCCCTAAAAGACTACAAGAACTCTTTAGAGGGAGCAAATGCTGAATGAATACAGAAGAGTGAATTCACATATTCTAATATGTTCATTCACTTCCCTAATTTATATTATGTGCCTTATCTATGTGAGACACTGTGTTAGCATTTTATGGGAGTAATAATCACAATGATAAATAATATACCCTACTGCATTTGGATAGTGCTTTATAGTTGATCAGGAGCTATTACATGCATCAGCTTACTTGTTCTCAGAGTTAACCTTGGAAGATAGACATTATTTCTATTCTCTGGCTAAAGAATAAGTGACAAGCCTTCTGCAGGTTGGGCGACTCAGCTAAAGTCATTCGGGTCAGTGTTGACAGAGCCAGAACAAGAGTCTTTCAACTGCAGGTCTGCTCTTTCCACTATAAAAACAGAGGAAAGTACAAGTGAAAAAGAAGGGGCTTCCAAAGCAGCTAAGTTTAGTCCACCTTCTACTTCACAACCTAATACCTAAGCCACCCACACCAGGTTATCTATTGCTTTCCATGTTATTTTTTTATTACCTAAGTAATACATGAACATAAACCTCCTTTTTTTTTAAAAAAAAAAAAAAGATAACATATTGAGTGACAACACACTGTGTGTATGTGAGTGTGCAAATAGCTTTATAGCATAAGTGGAGTCATATAATAGTGTTTAGAGATTTGCTTTTCTCACACTATATCTTGGTGATCTATTCATTCATTCAACAAGTATTTACTCTTCTCAGCACTGAGAAATATTCATGTGTAGTTTTCTCTTTCTGTCTTACTCTCTAAAAGATGAGGAGTATTCCATTATATACATATATATGTATGTGCGTGTGTATATATAAAATTATGGTATCCATGTCATAATTTATTAAGACACTTCTCTGTCACTGGACATGTGGCTTCTTTTGAATGTAATTTCATTGCAATTAATGTTGAAATAACTACATAAAAATTATAGTACAGGCTGGGCATGGTGGCTCACGCCTGTAGTCCCAGCACTTTGGGAGGCTGAGGCAGATGGATCACCTGAGTTCAGGAGATTGAGTCCAGTCTGGCCAACATGGCGAAGCCCTGTCTCTACTAAAAATACAAAAAATAGCCAGGCGTGGTGGCACGCGCCTATAATCCCAGCTACTCGGGAGGCTGAGGCAGGAGAATCACTTGAACTTGGGAGGCAGAGGTTGTAGTGAGCTGAGATCATGCCACTGCACTCTAGCCTGGGTGACAGAGCGAGACTCTGCCTCAAAAAAAATACATATATAATATATTATATATAATAATATAATATATATAATATATTATATATATTATATATTATATAAAAATATATATATAATATATTACATGCTTATCTGTATAAATGTGTATACTTGTGGGCTAGATCCCTAGATAGGAAGGTTAAAGATAGGTGTGCTTAAATTTTCATTGTTTTTGCCTAACTCTGCAAAGGAAACTGAACCAATCATGTGACAGGCTAGGCAAATAGACTCTCCAAGAACTCCATTTATGAAATGGATGAAATAACACTTACCTCACAGTTCTGCTGAAAATCCTGCAGCATAGAGCTATGGTAGCCACTCTGCAGCATTTTGTCCTCTTCCATGGATAAGATAGGTCCACAAAAAAAGTACACAACAAGGTAGTAAAGGCTAAGGGGCATCTGAATGGCATGGGTAGTTTTAAAAGGTGAGAGATGACAAGGGGACTTCTGGCTGCTGTGTGGAGGAAGGGCGGAAGACTGAACCTTGACCTGCTAGTGGACAGGCAGAAATGTGCTGGGCTGCCTTCCAGGCAGAAAGAATAGTGCGGACCAAGGCAGAGAAAGGAGATGAATGTGATGGGAAAGGAGTAAAATCCAGCAGAATCCTATATGATATGATGAAGCAGCAGCCTCTCACTGCAACTTAATACTTTTGGATTAAAACTTTGCCTTTGCATCTCGTTAGTCATCAGCAAAATAAGCTACCGTGCTATATCTCCTTAGCTTGGCAATTGCTTTTTGTACCTCCCTTCTCTGCACAGTGACAAGAATTAATACACCCATGGATAAACTACCAAAAGTTGTGCATATTCCTCTAGCAGGGCATAGTGTTCATAAAAAGGTCAGTGATCAAGTTGTAACAGAGGTGAAAAATCTAGTATGTTGCCACAAGGAAGCCACATTTCAATTGAACTCATTCGAACAGCTGTGTGCCCAGCATTCTGCCAGGTGCTTGAGTCAAGGAGAGAAAAGAGTGAAAGGGACAATCAGGTTATAAGATCAACTCCCAGCTCACTGAAAACTTTCATATTAAAAATAGAACATTGCTTCATATCAACAGAGCTCTCTGAAGAACCGTGTGCCTCACTGGCTCTCTCTTTGCATTGGGTTATTTACTAGAGGCATTTCTGAGCCAATGGCAATAATAGCAGGGTAGTTGAAAGACACTGGCGTTTTTGGAGAGGATGCTGCTGCCAAGAGGAGTGGGTTTTTTGTGAACGTAAGAAAACTGGTTGGTTTACAGAGGCAGTTGGCAAAAAAACCCATCTCTCCTTGCTAGTTCATGTTACCACCTGGTGAATCTGCCAAAGATTATGATGATACACTTTTTGGCCAGCTTGCCACAGCTGTTTTTCCACCATTTATGTTGTTCATATTGTTAGGAGTGGGCCTGGGATGTGTATCTGCATATATACTTCTTGTGCTAGGGTACTCTGCTGTGTGTTACAGTTCACTGATTTCCACATTTGTTCTGTTGACAGACTATCTTGTTACGTGCCACAAAGTAAGATTTGTGGTTTGCACGAATGAGATTACTGAAGGAAAAAGAGGTGGTGTCTTGTAGCAGATTTCAATCTCCCATTGGATGGATAAAATGATCTGTGGCATGGTGCCACATTGTCCCCATCTTTATGCACTCGTGGTCCATAATGCCATGAGTCTTTTGATCTTGTCAAAGCCTTTTAGGCTCTTGAATTGACAGAGTGTCTTGGCGATTTCAATGTGTAATCTAAAGAGCCACCCTAAGTCACAAATTGATTGGCCCTGTCATCAACATACTGGGTACCATCTACTCCGCATTTTTGTCTTAGACCATAATTGACAGAGCAGGATTCAAACAGATCCTTACTAACTAGCACGTTTGACCTGTGCCAGTCTCCAAATTGATTAGGAGGTGCCAAGCCCAAGGCTTTCCTAGAGTCGATATCTAACAAGCTTGTAAAGTAAAGGACTGCTGTCCAGACATCTTGCTATTGTGTATTTTATGCTGAGTTTCCGTTGTGGCAAAGATCATGGCCACATGTTCTGCAGGGGTGCACAAAAGATGACTTTTCTAACAGAATCTGGATCAGAGGGCTTAACTTTAAAGTAGAGGTAGCACAGCTTTTGAAATATAAAACAAAAGCAATAATAAAAATAAACATTCATGTAAAATTTTCTATGTGGGAGGCATCAATCCAAGCAGTGTACGTGGATTATATCACTTAGTTCTTCAACAATCCTATGAGATAGCACAATTGTTCCCATTTTACAAAGGTAACAGAGGCATACTAAGAAGATTTGTTCTGAGTTATGTAGGTGTCAAGCTGGGATTTGAACCCAGGCAGTTTGACTTTAGCATCCCCAAACTATAATTGGTCATGAGGGTCCAAGGGGGTCCAGAAGTAGTTGTATAAACAAGAAGTTCAGGCAGGAGGCAGAATCATTTCATGGCTGGACCACTGCCTCTGAATAGATACTCAAGAAAATGCAGTCCTGTCATTTTCTGTTCCCAGCTGCCTGTTATCCTCTTTTGTGACTACTACTAGTAATCATTGATTACCAAAAATGGTTTGTGAAGCAATCCAATTAAGTGAGCCAAGAATTACATGTCAAGTGTTACCATCTTTATTTGCTTATGTCAAGTGGAGTCAGAGGCTTTCTGTGATCAGCAAAGCAAGTGAAAAGTGGTTAATTTCCTTTAAGATTTGTCAAAATTTGTGGGCAGGGAATCTAATTTTCGGTTTAATTTTCCTTCTTAACACACAACGTATTTTTTTTTCTCTCTCTCCCTATTACTGCTAGCCAGAACACATCATTTGTAGTTTCACTTTACTTGAGTGTTAGGCTAATAATATTAATATGAATCCTTCTCTCGTCTTATCTTTAAGTAATTTGTAAAGGATGGTCGGTTACAGACCTGCTTAAATAGATGTCAGCCATTTTGTAAAGATACCTGAAAAAGCAAAAGATTTTAATTAAATTGTCTTTTAAGATATTTATACTTACCCCACTTGGGTGTTTTTTGTAGTTAATACTTTTGTGTTATTTATGGTATGCCTACTATAGGCTGGACATGGAGGAAGTGAATAAGGGTGAATAAAAGCCCTAAACAGCTTTGAGTTTTCTCCTATGTAAAATGAATATACTAACTACATATAATTATGTAGTGTAATAAAATGAATATAGTAATTATATTTATTTCATAGAGTTGTGGTTAAATCATATAGTCTTCGTAAGTGTCTTAGTATAGTGCATGTGCTAAGTACTCAACAAATGTTAGCTGTGGCCACATGGCTTTAAGTTTGTCTTGGCTCCTGATCCCATACACTGGATCCAGCTGACTGGCCTGGTTCAAGGCCTCTCCTTGTTCTATAGGCTATTGGACCTGCCTGGAGACTTCCTTTTTCTCTTTTACATTGCCCATGCCTGAACTGTGAGTGTTTTTAATCCTATACTGAGATTTCATCTGTGATAACACTATGCTACGTGTTAGTTATGAGTGTAATAGAGTATTTGTTTGAGATGAGATGTGAGATGGAGAATATCTTCAATTCCTCATCTAATATGCTAGTTTCCTTTTAGTTACCACTAGGTGATCAATGAAGCCTCTCTTAAAAAGAAAATAAAGATCCATCTGAGAAACTAGGGCTATACCTAGGATGACCAACTAATCCCAGATGGATTTTGTGTTGAAAGTTTTGAGTCCCAGAAGCTCCCTAAGGTATCCCCAGGACTGCCTCACTTTTAAAACTCGAAGTCCTAGATTCCAAGAATGTCCTTGGTCCTGTGTAAGCCAGGATGGATGGTTATCATATGCATGGAATACTAAGGCAGTCAAGAATTTGCCCGTCATATCTTGTTTGTATGTAATTGTTTGCCATAATTTAAAAAAAAACTATTCCATTTAACATAAAATAACTGCCTTTAAAGTTTGGTAAAAGAGATAAAGCTGTTACATAGCTTCTCCTAAGGGCAGCCCTTGACAGGGTCATGAGAAATCTATGTCTTACCCTTTGCTGTGTGTGTGTCCGAAGTCATATATAATTAAACAGATCTAGAGACTGTGCAGGACTGTTTGAGAATAACAAGAAGACAACTGACAAATGAGAAGTCCCTTTTATTGATTTAAAATGAGAACAATAACTGGCAAGCAGACAGATGCCTTGGGTTAGCTGATCATCTTCTTTTAGCCCCTATAAAAAATGTCAACCTAGAAAATAAAATAAATGTTGCTTGTTCATCATGGTACCAGAGCAAAAAAAAAGTTGAGTAATCGTATTAGGAAGACATCAAGTTTTATGAGTTCCACTCACCATCTGAAGGTACTTCCCAGTTCAGTGGTTCTCACCCTTGGCTGTGAAGTATAATCATTGCTCCTGGGTCAGCTCCTCCCTTCCCTCTTCCCCCACCCTACCCAGAGATTCTGATTTAATTTGGTTGGGGTATATTTTAAGATTGGGGTATATTTGCTCCTTTTAAGAAACTCTTCAGATTATCCTAATTTTCAGCCAGGGTTGCAACTAAGGCTGTAGGGATCACTTACCCTGCAGGCATGGAGAACCTCCTCTGGACCAGGCACTGAAAACCATGCACATTGCCTCTGCTTCAACTCCACAAAGACCAAACCATTTAGTGAAGACAACACAGCAGAGTATAGCATCTATTAATTTATGTTTGCAGTCTCATGAGTATAACCCAGACCATTTCAATAGGACTTGGGAGGAGTTCCAAACTGTTTCTTATGGTGGGATAAATCTTTGAGTGGCTAATATCCTCCATTTATAATTGATTATTAGCCCCAATTTTAGAAATTCATTGGCAAATCTTGCCCAAATATTTTAGTCTCTATAAAAAAAAAAGAGTTGAATTTTAAAGGGGACGGCCCACTAGGAGCCTGTAACAGGAACTATGTTTGCTCAAAATAAACCAAATAATAACAAATAGAGTTTTTTCTGTGTATCCTTTATGCTACTTTCAAAAGGCTTTCTCTTTACCTTCTTGACTTTTGGAAGAAGCATATTATTCTTAGTGAAATAGTCAGCATTCCACTGGTTAGGTTTAAATTAGTACCATTTTCCCAAGTATAAATAGCTCTCTTTAGTTGACCTAATTATTTCCCTGACTATGAGAAATAAGTTTCTGACTACAGTCAACCTATAATACGCTTTTCCTGGACCCATCTTTTCTCTGAAGTGTTCTCTGGTGGTTCTGGTCCAACTGTCGTGGGCGAGTGGAAATAGAGTCACTCTGCCCCTGCCATTTCTCATTTACAAGATTCTTGAAAGCGAATGACTCAGTCATGTTACACTGTTTTGCAACACAACCAGTTTAGGTTTAGCAAAGTTAGCCGCATCAGCTATATAAATATAAAGCAAGTGCATTTCTTTACAATGGTTATATGAGGGGACTTCTCCCAGCCTTTGTTTATTTATTTATTTATTTTTTGCAAGGCCAGAAGGTAAAGGACAGTATATAATTGAAGGATCAGCTGAAATCCTAATCCTTTTAGCAACACTGTTGCTCTTATGAGCTTCTCCTGTAAGCTGCTTCTAAAATATTATTTTCATTTTTTAGTTGTGGAAACTCAGACATAGTCTCACAGAGAGATTAAATGACCTCCCTAAGGACATTCATTGCGAGTCAGAGGTTGATCCAGTAATCTAATTAAGGCCCTATAATTCCAGCAGTGTTGCCAAAACCATACTTTTCCCTCCTCCTCCTGCCAAACCCAGTAATTGAGTATGATGACCTGCCTGCCCCCTTGTGCTGAAGGCCGTCTGATCCCCCCCAGCTGAAGCCATTTGACCACATTTAAAGGTTCCACCCAGGCCAAGCGTGTGGGATGTTGGTCATTAATCAGAGAGAATTTAAGGGACCCTCATCAGGAGTCAGATTTTGCCACCTGGGTTTTTTCCGGCTTAGCCTTTGTTGGAGCAGCCTAGCCCCATTTTGTAACGTGGTACTTGTAATTTCTGTTCCCCTTCATCAGGATTCTCCCATTCGTCTTCCAGTTCCTGCAAGGCTGGGAGAGCCCTGCCTTGGTGCCTGTCCCACCTTCCCAGAGCCCAGGTCCTTTCCCCAAACCTGTGCCAAGCAGTGGGAGCCCGGTTTTCTCCTGCCCACTCGCCACCTGCTCAACTTCCCACACGATGCTGAATGTCACATGTGCCACTGCTGTGCTCTCTGTGATTCCTGGATGAATCCTTGTCTTGATCCTAGACTCCTGATCTCCTAACACCTGCCTGAGTCATGGCGTCTTACCATGCGCCTAGCAGCTATGCTGCACCTGCCTGCCTGGACTTCTCCCCATTCCCTACTGCTGGGTCAGCCCCACCCCAACGAGTTCAAGGTTCTAGCCCCACCACCTGGGAAGTTCTAGTTTCTTGGTCTGGAAAGAAGCCATCCATTCCCCACACCAGTTGAGGATTCTATTTGGGTTCAGCACTTTCCTTCACTTTTTTTTTTTTTTTTTTTTTTTTTTGAGACGGAGTTTCGCTCTGTCGCCCAGGCTGGAGTGCAGTGGCGCGATCTCGACTCACTGCAAGCTCCGCCTCCCGGGTTCACGCCATTCTCCTGCCTCAGCCTCCTGTGTAGCTGGGACTACAGGCACGCGCCACCATGCCCGGCTAATTTTTGTGTTTTTAGTAGAGACGGGGTTTCACCGTGTTAGCCAGGATGGTCTCGATCTCCTGACCTCGTGATCCGCCCGTCTCGGCCTCCCAAAGTGCTGGGATTACAGGCGTGAGCCACCGCGCCCGGCCCACTTTTTATCTATTTCTTATAGAACCTAACCTTTTTATCCTAGCACACGGGGATAACCAGAAATTGCCTTTATGTCTTCCCATGTGGTCCTTGGCCTCTGTGCTTTGGATTTTGAGAATGGTCCTCATTTCTCATCCTTACTTTCAGCTGTGGTGTCAGGTTCGCTTGCTTGCTTCCTTGCTTTTTTTCCTAGTTTGATTTTGTGGAGGATTCTATTTGATCCATCTTTCACTGCATTGATCTAGCCAGCAGATGGATGGATATATGAACAGACAGGTAAACAAACACACAAACATTCTGCTTATTTCCTTTTTAATGATCCATGGTTGCCAGAATCAGAGTATCCGGCTTGTGTGAAACTGAATGGTGTATCTGTGTGTGTTACCACTATCCCCTGCACAGTCCCTTAAATATAATTGACATTCAGCACATGCCTATTATTAATAATAAAGCAAAAACTACTGTTGTCTTGTCAAATTCAAGTTTGGTGTCAAAATGAAGGAGAGATGTGTGCAAGCTTAACAGAATAACCATATCCTTTACTTTGTGCAGGAAAAGAAGCAAGACAAGGCTATTAAAAATCTCTGGAAATAAGTAACATCTTTAAAGGAATCATATAATCAGATGTGCACATAATACTGAATTGTAGTATTTGAAAATACTAGGAATGAGAGAGATTTGAAATAAAGGAGGCTTAGGAAGGAACAGACATGGGACTATAGTAAAATTAGAATCATTTAATGCCATGTACCCAAAACTGACAAAATCAAATGCAGGTATTCTACCATTTAGTAAGTCCTTATGGACATTTAGGATGTTTCCAAGTTTTCCTTTTTGAAAATACCATAGCAATGCATGCCTGTAGTGTCCTTTTAAACATATGTGCCTGTGTTTCTACAGTATAGAGGCCTTAAAGTAGAATTGCACATTATAAACTTTTAGAAAAACACTAATTTGCCCTTCAATAAAGCAAAACTAGCCTAACAGAGAGCATGTTTCCCCGATGGGTATTCTCAGTCTTCTCAGTGCTTGCATATTTCTTAGGTGAAAACTCAATGATTGTTTTTCTTTGCACGTTTCTGTTTACTAGTGAACATTATGCATCAATTGAAAATAAGGAGGTGAATCTATATGTTCCAAGATATAAAATATAGCTAAAACTTATTAAGTAAAAACAAGTTGAAAAGTACTGTCCCGTATTTATAGATGGCCTGGACTCATAGAAAACTATTTTACGTATGTACATACGTAAAATACAAAGGAAAGAAAATGTGCCTAAATGTCTACCTCAAAGTCATGATAGTTGCTACCTCTGCTGAGAAGAACGGAATTGGGAGTATAGCATGAAAAGAGTGTTGAGGTTCTTTGTACATCTTTGTTGTTTAAATTGTTACAGTGAGAATACATTCAAGAATTACCATATATAATTTTTAAAATATTAATTGAAACATCCATAGTATAATGTGTTCTGTCTTGGCTATCTGAACCTTTGTTAAAGGACTGCTAGAATAGCCAATTGTATAAAGCAAACATTTATATAATCAGCAACTGCTATGTGGCAGACCATGCGAAGTATGGAAATGATGGATAGAACTGTGTGTACCCACAAAATACTCAGGGTTCTGTGTTGGAGCAGATAGTTATACAAATAATTAAGCCTAACTGGGAAAGGCACTCTAATTGGAGAATGTTACCAAGAACTGTGAGAACAAGGCAGAGGGAGTTGGGGAAATCATCTAATAGAGGTTATATTTAATTTGAGGCTTGAAAAGTGTGCAGGAATTCTCCAGGTAAAGAAGGTGGAAGTGACATCCTAACCAGGTAAACCATTATGTGCAAAGGCAGAAAAGGGGCAGGCATTTTGGTGGCTAGAGAAATGGTTCCGAGAAAGTGATGAGTGATGTAGCTGAGAAGGTAAGTTGGTGCCGTCATGTCAGTTTTGCCAGACGGGACCATAGAAATGGGTCCGTTTCATCCTTGCATCACCAGTACCCAGCCAAGCACAGTTTGAGAGAACACCTGTGTGTGTGCATGTGGGCAGCCTTGTTATATGTGAGCCAAACTGTCTCACTATTCATGGTCTCATCATCTCTGCTCTACTCCAGCTTTTTCCGCCCTTCTCCTCTGCACTTCTCCCTCCAGTAATGTTCCCCTCTCACCATCTTCCAACTCTCTCCATTTTGTGATTTCTTGTTTTTATTGCATTGATATTCTCATGCACCTCTGTCCTAGAGATACCCTGTTTGTCTATCTCCTCCCTGATTCCATGTCTGCATTTCACATTCACTTGTGCAGACAGTAGGTTTGGTGCCCAAATCATCTGATACTTTTCTCTATCCTTGCAATTCTACTGTATACTCACTCCTCTTACCTAAAATTATGTTTCTCTCTCCTCCTGTCTCTCTGAGACTCTAAGCCCCAAGCCTTGATTTTTCATCTTTGTGTCCCAGCAAATTGCATGGTTCATGGCAAACAGTAAGTGCTTCATAAATGTTAAATAAATGAATTAAATTGAATAAATGAACCTTCCTTCCATTTAATGGTGGGTTTTTATACTTTACCCATCAAACAGTACAATGCCATGTGTGATTATAGGACATGACAATTATGTGGTTATAGGACCATGTGAATTATAGTAATTCATAGAAGAAAAAGAATAGTAGGAGAGGGAATGGATCCTTTGTGAAGGACAATACTGTATTAGAATTCAGAACAGATCAGAGGCCATATTATCATTGGAAGTAGAAGCTTTTTAATAGAAATGTGTAGTTGTGATAGGAAGTGACCCTAACCACCTCATTTTAAAATAGACAGCCCCTTACAGTGCCTCTCCCATTGGTTCTGGTCCTGGGATTTCTCATCACCCGGTTTTATTGCCTTCCATGGCACTTGTCACCACTGGGTTGTTGGCTCCTTAGTGTCTGCTCTTGTGTTAGAATGTAAGTCATGTGTGGGCAAGTGTCTTGTCCGTGTTTCTCACCAGTGTATCCCAAAGTGCCTTGCATGTAGTGGAGACTTGATGAAATATTACATAAAGTGAATGAATCTTCTAGTTATTCTACAGAGAACGGTACCTAACCATTTGTCTTCTGCCTGATAATAAAATGTCATCATTTTTAAGTTTTCTTCTTTTAAATTTCTTAGGAGTTAGTAGGGGCCACTTACTAAACAAATTCAAAAGTCTTTGCATGTACCTGACCCCAAATAGTCATCCATAGTTATTAGTAATTGCTTGTTTTAAGTGGCTTTGAAATCATTTGAATTATAAGATGCAGTGGCGTATACCTGCTTTTAATGCTACCCTTCTGTCCATTCCTTCACTTGGAAGTAGTTTTTTAAAGTAGAACATGAAGAAAATGTAGAAGTGCCACTGAATATTTTAACCCTATAAATCAGAATGCATTGCAAATAGGAACTGCAAAGTTAATGTGATAGATTAGAAATTATTCTTTGAGACCAGGTGTGGTGGCTCACATCTGTAATCCCAGCACTTTGGGAGGCTGAGGCGGGCAGATCACTTGAGGTCAGGAATTTGAGACCAGCCTGGCCAATGTGATGAAACCCCGTTTCCACTAAAAATACAAGAAGTAGCCAAGTGTGGTAGCAGGCACCTGTAATCCCCGCTACTCAGGAGGTTGAGGCAGGAGAATCACTTGAACCGGGGAGGCGGAGGTTGTAGTGAGCCAAGATCATGCCACTGAACTCCAGCCTGGGCAACAGAGTGAGACTCGTTCTCCAAAAAAAAAACAATTGTTTGATACCTTTCCTGGGTAGCAGATTTTTTTTAAAAGCAATATATTAACGTTGTAAAAACTGAAGTCATGAACTGAATAAACACACACACACACACACACACACACACACACACATATATAGCTGAAGACTTTACTATTTGCTTTGAACAATGGGGCAAACAGCATGAAATTAAGTGTCAGGCACATTAAATCTACAGATTTTCAACTTTTTATATGGTCACTTTTGAACGAATAACAGTAACTTGAAAACTAGTTTGACTCTAAAACAAATTATGGCCTAAAATACATTTGATAAGTAGAAATAATATGATTGAAAAGCTAGCTAAAATAGAGGTTGGCATTACCTTGCTTGCAGTGTGAAAGATTTTTGCTGCTTCATAATCAATAATCCCAAATGACTCTGAAATCCCAAATGACTTCGCTGATGAGTAAAAGGTACAGAAAAATAATGTAATGGAGGAACAGAGAATCAGTGGAAAATGAGTTTGGAATCTTTTTCTGAGCATTTCTTTAAAGCATCAGAAAAATGTCCTGCACTTGATTCTCTCTGATCTGTATATCAAATGTGAAGCCCAGATATTTTTATTATTAAGGTAATGTGCTTTCAAATCAAAGGGGTCAAGAAGTGCAGAAGATACACCTTTGAACCTGCAGCCTTCTTTTGCACCTGTTCAGAAGGTCAAATGGCTAAAGGATCAAAATTAGACCCCAGAATAGAAATGGAAAATAATGTGCATGCAAAGACAGAAGATGAGTGTTTTTAATTTAACAACCTGGCTACATTGAAGAGGAAAATGGAAATGGAATTAAAAAATGAAAAGGGAAGCTTATTAAAAAGAAAAAACGGGAGCTAGAAAGGATGAAAATGTGAAAGAGGATTTTAGATGGTGTTTTGTGGAGAAATGTGATTTAGTTAAGTAGGAAAACTGCATTTGTGGTGTGTCTTTTAGTGTCATTGTTCATTCACATGCACTCTGGGTGATGTTTGTCAAATGGGAGAGTTTTTCTGCTTCTGGTTTGTTAAGCACTTCCATGGGATTCAAGATTTCATTTCCACAAATAGAATTCAAGAGCCAAGTGAGTATTGCTCAGTGAGATTCCAGATTTCTATTTATGGTCCTGAATGATCCTCCCTAGAGGAGGCCGGTCACCCTCAAAGACCCAAAGGACAAGTCATATTGGAAGAAAAGGCTGAGCAAATGAAAGTGCTTCCACTTGGCCAAGACATGTGTGTGCTGATTGGGAGCTGGGATTCATGTTTAATTGGATATTTGTGCCCCATCAGCATGGATGCTGACATTTATCTTTCTAATAATAAGAGCCAGCTTCATGCCCAGGCCAAAGAAATGACCAGGATATTGTACAGTGTTTCTTATCTTTTCATACTGTTTTCTGGAAAGGAGCTATCAAATGGGAACCATCAAATCCTACACATTTTTGCTTTCCTGTGGGTCTGAGTGAATTACGCCCCAGGGAAATAACCAGTCTGGCTTGTTAAGTAGCTGCCGACATAATATTTCTAAAAACACATTTTAATTCTGATTTCCACCTGCCCCATATGTCTTCAATAAAAGAATGTTAGTAGCAGGGATGATTGCTTCAGACCAGGAGTTGAAGACTAGCCTGGGCAACATAGTGAGACCCTGTCTCTATTTAAAAAAAAAAAAAAATCTGGGTGTTGTGGTATGAATCTATAGCCCTAGCTGTTCAGGAGGCTAAGGTGGGACGATTCCCTGAGCCCAGGAGTTTGAGGCTGCAGTGAGCGATGATCATGCCACCGCACTCCAGCATGGGCAAGAGAGTAAGCCTTGTCTCTAAAAAGCAAACAAAAAAAAAAAAAAAGAGAGAGAGAGAGAGTTAGTAGCAGTAGTGGAAGTGGCAGCTGTACCAGAAGGAAGACTAATAACAAAATAGTAATGGCAAAGAATACTATTTATTAATTATCATTAATTGTCAGTAGTATCAGGGACTGAACAGAATGTTTTACATTTATTTTCTAATTGAATTCTTATAGCAAACATGTGAGATAAATGTATTTATCCCCTTTATCTTGATGGTGAAGCAGAGGCTTAGAGAAATTAAGCTACCTGCTTGTGAGTAACACAGCTAGTGAATGGAAAAACCAAGCTGCAAACCTAGATCCATGGAATGCCATTTGAGCAGAGTCAGGCTGAGTGTGTGATGTCATACAAACTTCCTTATTAGATTTGTTGGTCTGTTTAGCTCACACTTGTGAATAAAAAGTGTACAGTGACAGAAAGGCTTCTTTTGTGTTATTCACACTAAACTCCATATCTAATACAATGCTAGGCTTTGAACAAGTATCCAGTAAATATATTTGAATGAATGAATGAATGGAGACAGAGCAGACACATTCCTATATTTTAATACAGATCCACAAGGCCACTCCTGGGCTTTTTAAGTTGCTCACCTTTGTCTTGACGTGAAAACCCTGCTCTACTATAAAATTGGAACAGGAACAGATACATGGAGAAAAGGTTTTATTCTGTACTCTCGCTTCTAGAATGTATATATCATTAGGAAACATTATGGACAATGGAGAGAGCTCCATACTTATTGTATAATTCATTCTTCTAAAGAGTATTCATTAACCCCCTAGGTGCTAAGTGCAGAGAATGTTGTAGTAAATAGGTGTAGGAAAATATCAGATCACCATAAGGGATATAGTGAAGACGGGATGTGTTAAAAACATCTTGGGGATTACTTAAGATTACATGATCAAGGAAGACGACCCTGCAGAAATGATGTTTAAGTTGAGATCTGAATGATGAGCTGAAGCTAGCCACAAGAACATCTGAGAAAAGAGCTAGCTTTCATTACTCACCCTAAAGTAAGGGTGGGCTGTATATGTTAGAGGAACAGAAAGAACAGGACTCTCTTATTCTTGGAACATCAAGACCATGACAAAGAAGAGTAGAAGATGCATTAGGAGAGAGGGCCTTGCAGGCTTGGAGTTTGGATTTTATTATAAGTGCAAAGGAAAGCCACTGAAGGACCCAATCAGGTTTACATATTTATAAGTTTACTCTGATTGTGCTGTGAACAATAGACTGTAGGTGGAAAGTGTGGAATTTGGAAAATAGGAGGTTATTGCCAGAGTCTAGGTGAGAAATAGTTGCCTTTGAATGAGGTGGAAGGAATAAAGGTAGAAGTGAATGTGTGCATCCTAAAGATATTTCTGGGTATACCCCCACAGTCTTGTATGTACATGTATGTATGTATATATGTATGATGTATGTATGTATAAGGATGATTACTGGGATTTTCGTCAGGATCTACCAGGATGTAGAAACTGGTGGGAGAGCAGATTTGAGGGAAGTCATGAATTTTGTTTTGAGCGTGTTAAGTTTGAAAGTTCTGTTTGTTGGACAGCCAAGTGGGATATCGAGTAGGCAGCTGGTAAAGATGGAGAGGGAATTAAAGAGAGATATTGAGAAAGAATAATAAACTTGAGAGTCATTTGATTTATTGACAATATTTAAAGCCAGTGGGACTTGAAACTACCCCAGGAGAGAGTACAGATAGGAAGTGAAAGGGATTCCCAAACCAAACCCCAAAGCATACCATTTAGGTCAAAGAGGAAGGTGGGACAAAGAAAGAAGGACTAACTAGTGCGGTAGAGAGAAAACCATTTTATGTTGTGTGGATTTTACCAAACTAAAAATAAAAGCTTTTTTAAATATAGATATTCAATCTGGAAGGTCCAATGTTTAGTAATAGGCATTCTAGAAAGGAGAACAGAGTAAACAGTAGAGAGAGAGAGAGAGAGAGAGAGGTGTGAAAGCCAGGAGAAGAAAGTGTCTCAAGAAGAAAGTGTGTTCCATTGTGTCAGAGGCTACCAGGAGGCCACAGGAAGGAAGTTGTAGTCTTGGAAGAAGTAACACTGGAATTAGCAACCTGCGTGTCTCAGTGGCCATGACAAGAGCATGTCCAGTGGGAGGATGAGGAAGGAAGCCAGCTAGAGTGTGGGGAGACAGCGTGAGCTACTGAAACAGATTCAGTTAGCTCATACAACTCTTCCAAGATGCTTTCCTATGGAGAAACCAGGCAATGTTATTCATCCTCAAAAAGGAGGGAAATGGTGACACTTTTCACAACATAAAGAAACCTCTAGGACAATAGGCTGAGTGAAATGAGCCAGTCACAAAAAGACAGAATGGCCTGAATCCACTTATATGAGGATAGAGTAGGCAAACTCACAGAAGCAGAAAGTAGAATGGTAATTGCCAGAGGGAATGGGGAGACAAGGGGACAGGGAGTTATTGTTTAATGGGTGCAGAGTCCCAGTTTTGCAGAATGGAAAGAGTCCTGGAGATCAATGGTGGTGATGGTTACACAACAGTGTGTACTTAATACTACTGAACTGTACAATTAAAAATTATGAAGATGGTAAATTTTGTGTTATGTGTATTTTACCAAACTAAAAATAAAAACTTTTTTAAATGTAGATACTCAATTTGAAAGATCCAATATTTAGTAATAGACATTCTAGAAAAGAGAGCAGAGTAAACAGAGTAGGGAATATACTTTAAAAACTAATAATGCATGATTCACCAAGGCTTGATCTTTAAGTTGAAAGGGACTACTGACTACCTCTCAGAAAGAGTGAAAGAAGACCCATATCTAAGCACATTCTCATGAAATTTCAGAATATCAAGAATAAAAAGGTCCTTAAAGCCTTCTAGGGGAAAAATGTAAGATATCAAAAAAGGAATGAGAATCAAGCTACTTTGGATTTCTCACAGCAACATTTGAAGGAAGAAAACTGTGGAGCAATGCCTTCAAAATTGTGAGGGATTGTTTTTTCAGCTTAGAACTCTAGATCTAGCCATTTTATCAATCAAATGTGAAGGTAGAATAAAGACTTTTTCTGACATGCAGGGACTGAGAATGTTTACCCCCAAAACCATTTCTTAGGAAGTTGCTTATGAATATGTTCCAGCAAAGAGAAGATGTAAACTAAGAAAAAAGGAAGATTGGGATCCAGGGAACAGTTTATCCATCCATCCATCTATCCAGGGCAGCAATGGAGGAAAATATGTAATGGCCCCTTTGTAGCAGGTCTGGGGAGCAGCCAGTGTAATCTGGGGTAAAGAGAACTCTATGAGGTAGATCTTTGGGAAAAACAGGGAATTTGGTAAATAGATAATATGATTAAAATCTTTGAAAAAATTGATACCAACAAAACAAGAGAAAAAGAAATGAAATTAAATACTCCAAAGTGGCCAGGCATGGTGGCTCATGCCTGTAATCCCAGGACTTTGGGAGGCCGAGGCAGGAGAATGGTTTGAGCCCAAGAGTTTGAGACCAGCCTGGACAACATAGTGAGACCCTCATCCCTACAAAAAAATAAAAACATTAGCTGCATGGGGGCATGCACCTGTAGTCCCAGTTGCTTGTGGGGCTGAGATAGGAGGACCATTTGAATCTGAGAAGTTAAGGCTGCAGTGAGCCAGGATCACACCACTGCACTCCAGCCTGAGTGACAGAGAAAGACCCTGTCTCAAAGATAAATAAATACCCCCAAATACTCTAACATTGCATAAGAATATTTGCTCCGAATATGAATTAAACTGTGGCATGAATTTAAGCAACTGCTGGCATATGAAAAAAGAAAGTCTATTTACTTTTAAGGCTGGGAAACTTATTTGTGATTGTTAGTGGATATGACACTGGACCACTGAGAATGTGATAGAAGAAATAATCATCCAAACCAGACTAATTAGCCCAGCATTGGAATAGTATATGTAATCATAAGCTAAATGCTACTTATTGATTTTTTTACCTGTGACTCAATTTACCATCATACTTGGCATAGCAGACCAAATAGAGGTCTTAGAATAGAAAATATTGCTGTTAACCTTGACAATATATAATAAAAGTAATATTGTAGATGACAGAAGGTCAGACTTTGAAGGCAAGGAACAATTATAGGAAAAAAATTTTAAAACCTTATTTGGAAAATCATATAGATTTAAATACATCATTTAAGGTTAAAAAATAATAGATGAACTAAAATTAGTAATACTGTCACAGACATTCAGAAGAAGAGACAAGAGGAGGAAGCTAGCATGTGTCTGCTAATTCTTGATCATTCTCATTGTGGTATCAATGGATAATCCTTTGAATATGATAAATTAGAGACTAATAAGATAAACCACTAAGAGGTTACCCCTGGAAATTGCACCTGAAGTTGGAGAAGGGAGATGTTTGAGTTAGGACCATGTTAGGGTTATACTTTGAAAACAAGATAGTTTCCAGTCAGAAGAGATGGGACAAGAAGTTCATGTTTTTTACTCTGAGCCTTTTGGGATAACTTATTTTTTAAAACCATGTGCATACTTTCTTTTATATCAACAAAAGGGTTAGAAATAAACAGGATAAAAAGTGAATAATAGAATGACTATAAAGGTGTAAAAATTGCTTAAATAATTAATCAAATGAGGGCCCATTATTATTTATTAGGAATGTGGTTGTAAAGATACATGCATGGACATGGATTCTGGAAAAAGTTTATATAAATAAAAGTAATTATGCTAATGAGGCAAATTCTCAGCAAAAATTTTTTCTAATTGTATGAAACCTAGTATTTGAAGAGTAAATACAAATGTATAAGAATATGTATAAAGTAAAAAATCTATTATAATTCATTTACCTCTAGCTTATCCCCTTCTCACTATGTTGGTGGTGAGATTTTCAAAGCTCTGTCAATCTTAGATTGCCAGACTGTTTTGTCTGAATTGAACAGTCCATCTGAACTGGAGTTTGCTCCTGTGTTAATCACTTCTGGCTGCCATAATGAGGTACCACATACTGGGTGCCTTAAACAACAAAATGTATTTTCTCCCAGTTCAAATGTCTGGCAGTCTGAGATCATGGTGCCGATGTGGTTTGATTTTGGTGAGGGTCTCATCGTGTCCTCTTTTGCACAGAGGCCACCCTCCCTCTGTGTGGTGGACAGAGAGCGAGCTCTCTGAGGTCTCTTATGAGAACACTAATCCTATGTATCAGGGAACTACCCTTTATGAATTCATTTAACCTTAATTACTTCCCTAAAGGCCCTGTCTTGGAATACAAGTTGGGACTTAGGGCTTCAACATGTGAATTTTGGGGAGACAGAGATATTCAGTCCATACCAGCCCTGTCAATTTATTCATCATTTGGCTGAATTAACAGATAGATAAATTGTTTTAACACCAAGAAATCATGGACCTGGGGTTGGGGGTGGCTAACTTTTAAAGCCCAAGAATGCTAGTATTGGAAACTTTGTATAGACCACCCCCTACCGTAATGGATTCCAGAGTTCATAGGCTCTCCAAGCCCCCAAATCCCTACTCTGCCCTACTAAATACAATTGCAGCAATATTTTCTAGTGCTTCTGTTTTTAACACAGTGCCAACAGCATGGTGACCGTAACATCCCTTGGGCCCATCAGCCCTCTCTTTTCTATAAAATGATCCAAATAAAACACTTAGACTTTTGATTATTTGATTTGATCTTCACAACACTTTGTAAAATGGGCAGAGTAGGTATTTTCTCACTTTAATAGTGGTATAATTGAGAGACAGAGAGATTAGCATTGCCCTATTGTATAGTGCAGGAAATGCACCTCCTTCCACGATAAGGTGAGTAGAAAAAGCCCTTGAGTTGGAGTCATGTGGCTGGTCCTGAACCCAGCTCTGCCTTTGGCATACCCAGATTAGGACAAAGTCAGAGTCATCTTTGATCAGGTTTATCTTAATTCATTAAGGAAGCAAACTAGCACTGGAAACCTCAGTAAGATAGCTCGCATCTCTAATCCATATTGTTCTCTCCTGTTTCTATCAAATTAGAGTGCTATCATGACGTAAGCATGAAGTTTGAAATTACTGCAGACCTGGACTGAATGCAGTTCTGAAATTCACTAGCGGTGTGACCTTGGATGAGTTACTTTACCTTTCTAAGCATGTTTCTCTACTAGCAGTAATACCTACTTTGCAGGTTGTCAGGAAAATTCAAGATGATTTACGTAAAGTTTTTAAGACAACTCTTCCCATGTTTTGTGGGAAGAATATCATTAGAATGATATCGAACATGATGTCTGGAATGGCATCAGTATACTTTTAAGCCACATCCCTGAAGCTAATTTGGTCAGGCTTGACCACACACGTTCTCAGAAGGGTTTCAGAAAAGCAAAAGAAGAGTGCAAATGCATGCCAAGCCTCTTGGAAATATATCTCAGAAACCTGGCCCATCACCACCTCTGCCACATTCTTTTAGTCAAAGCAAGCCACATGGCTCCCTTCTACCACCCAGACTCAAGAGGTGGAAAAATAGATGCCATCTCATGGCAGAGGACCTTTAGTCATATTACACAGGGGCATTTTTGCACTGAGGACATTTTTTGTCATCAATCTACCACATTGTTATTCCAAAGTAATTGTTGTAGAAATGACATGATGATGATGATCAATAACAATTTTTATGGTTCGTTTTTGTTTTCATCTTTGCTTTTGTCATGCTTTCATTCATCGAACATTCACAGAGGGATTTGCCCCTTGGTATGTGCTCAGGGCATACATCTGCCTTTGTGTCACAGCACCTCCCGTAGAGTGTGCTCATCTATGTGGATGAGCGATAGGTTTTCCTGCTGTACTAAGACAGAGCAGACACAAAGTACAGTGTGATCCTCTCCCTCCATATTTCTCTTGACAGGCTGTGCATTCTGGGCTGATAGGAAGAACAGGCCTTGATAACCAGAGCCATCCAGGCTGCCAGGACGTCTTGTTTCCTGTTGAGTGCCTGAGCACATCTGCTTATTCCCTCTATGAGTTTTTATTGTAGACACCCTGATGCCCAGCAGCATGTGTTTGGGGGCCAGCAGATCTCACCAGCGTTGCATACAAGCATCCGCTTCAGAGCTTGTGAGCAGTGGCATTTACACATCTGGATAGTGTGCTTTTATAAATAGCTCCATGAGGTGCCTGGGGAAGCTGCACTGTATCTTTGGCATGGAATTGGGACACCTTGTACATGACTGTCCCTGGAAATAGAGGACTGCTTATTCTGAGTTTCAGAGAGAAATAAATGACAGGACTTACCACTGGAAGACATAAGGTGATACCGTGTCATTGCAGCAAACCCAGGCCTGAATAAAGAGAAACATACCTTTGCCCCTCTTAATTTGGTATTTTTATTTTTTCCATTTTCCCCCTTTTTCTATATTTTCTCACCTTTTTTTTTGTTGTTTTTTTTTTTTTTTTTTTGAGACAGTCTCGCTCTGATGCCCAGGCCGGAGTGCAGTGGCACCATCTCTGCTCACTGCAAGCTCTGCCTCCCGGGTTCACGCCATTCTCCTGCCTCAGCTTCCCGAGGCAGGCTGGGACTACAGGCGCCTGCCACTGCGCCCAGCTAATTTTTTGTATTTTTAGTAGAGACGGGGTTTCATTGTGGTCTCAGTCTCCTGAACTCGTGATGTGCCTGCCTCGGCCTTCCAAAGTGCTGGGATTACAGGTGTGAGCCACCACGCCCGGCCTATTTTCTCACTTTTGTCCTCTTCCTATGCCTGTGTTTTTCACTGGTACCTTTTAATCCTCTTCCTTTCTTAACAACTGTTTTTCTTTCAATCTTAGCTGACTATACCTAACACCATCTCACAATGCCTACAGCTCAAGTTGGCTGGAATCCAAAGACTCTGCCTCTGTAGGCTGGTGCGGTGGCTCACACCTGTAATCCCAGCACTTTGGGAGGCCAAGGCAGGTGGATCACGAGGTCACGAGTTCGAGACCAGCCTAGCCAACATGGAGAAACCCCATCTCTACTAAAAATACATAAAATAACTGAGCATGGTTGTGGGCACCTGTAATCCCAGCTACTCGGGAGGCTAAGGAAGGAGAATCGTTTGAACATGGGAGGCAGTGGTTGCAGTGAGCAGAGATCACGCCATTGCACTCCAGCCTGGATGACAGGGCAAGACTCCATCTCAAAAAAAAAAAAAAAAAAGACTGCCTGTGTCCATGCTGCTGCCCCACTGCTTCCCCAAGCCAGGCTTGAGAATCCAGCAGAAGAGGATGCCGGTGCTATTCAGGAGATATTAAGATACACTTTCGGTAAACATTATATGTGGGAGGCACTATTTAAAGTACTTTAGTTAAACCATTTCTAATCCTTCCACAAACTATAAGATAGGTATTATTTGCAGTGAATTTAGAAATACGTTTAGAAAGGTTCAGTGACCAGCCCAAGGCCCACAGTGCTAGTGAATGCCAGAGCCTTCAACCCAGGTCTGCATGATTCCAAATGCCAAGTTTGTTTTATCACATCACTCTCTGTGTCAGTTGAAAAAGAAAAAAATTGAGGGTCAGAGATGTGAGCTGTCTTGCTAAGAATTATAGTGCTAGACTGGCTCTGCATTTTTGGCTCAATATAGGAGAAATCTAATCGGAGGAAAGGCTGTTTTAGTCCCAACCTGGGAATGTCAAGAGCGCAGCTGGGACCTGAACCAGTTTTCTGACACTCAAAGGATGTAGGATCTGTGATATATGATGGCGGAACAGACAGTTCTTTCATTTGTTCAACAGATAATTATTGAGTTCCTGCTTTGTGCCAGGTACTGTTCTAAATTTTGAGATTCTTTGCAAATTAAGAAAGACCCTTGTCATTGTGCAGGTTGCAAGCCAGTGGGAAGAGACATATAATAAACAGTAGAAAAAATAACAGAATTGTATAGTGTGTTAGATGATACTTATGATGGAGAGATAAATAGTGGAGCACGGTAATGAGTATAGGAAGCTCCAGAAGGGAGTCTTGCATTTTTAAACAGGGAGATCAGGATAGGACTTATTGAAAATGGAGCATTTGAACAATTCTCAAAGGCTTTGAAAGAAGTGAGGGTATTAGCCATGTAGGTATCTGGGAGAAGGGTATTCCAGCAAAGAAAAACACAGACATAGTTGGCATTTTTGAGCAATAGGAAGAAGACTGGTGTAGTGGGAACAGAATGTATTAAGGAAAGAGTAATAAAGATGACATCAAAGAGGCTGGGCGCGGTGGCTCACGCCTGTAATCCCAGCACTTTGGGAGGCCGAGGTGGGCAGATCACGAGGTCAGGAGATCAAGACCATCTTGGCTAACACAGTGAAACCCCGTCTCTACTAAAAATACAAAAAAAAATTAGCCACGCATGGTGGCGGGCTCCTGTAGCCCCAGCTACTCGGGAGGCTTAGGCAGGAGAATGGTGTGAACCCGGGAGGCGGAGCTTGAAGTGAGCCGAGATGGCGCCACTGCACTCCAGCTTGGGCAACATAGTGAGACTCCATCTCAAAAATAAATAAATAAATAAATAAATAAATAAATAAATATTAAAAATAAAAAATAAAAAAATAAAATGAAAGATGACATCAAAGAGCTGGGTAGCTAGATCAAGTGAGCCTTTGTAAGTCATTTTAAAGATTTCAATTGAAGGCTGGACACGGTGGCTCACGCCTGTAATCCCAGCACTTTGGGAGGCCGAGGCAGGCAAATCACGAGGTCAGGAGTTCGAGACCAACCTGGCCAACATGGTGAAACCCCATCTCTACTAATAATGCAAAAAAGTTAGCTGGGCGTAGTGGCAGGTGCCTGTAATCCCAGCTACTCAGGAGGCTGAGGCAGGAGAATCTCTTGAACCTGGGAGGAAGAGGTTGCAGTGAGCTGAAATCGCGCCATTGCACTCCAGCCTGGGTGACAGAGTGGGACTCAGTCTCAAAAAAGAAAAAAAAAAAAGATTTCAACTGAGGGGAAGGAAGGAAAGAACAGGATGACCTGTTTGTTGTATTAGTACATAGATGCAGGAATCTAGGTGTGGCATGACAGTGTTTCCAATCAGGATTGTAGCAATGTTGGTAATGAAGAGATTGACATCTGGATACATTTGAGGGTAGAATTATCAGGTTTCCCTAATAGATTATATGTGGAGTACAAGAGAAAGACGAAAGTCTATGAAAAATCCAGGATGCAGGGCCTCCACAGCGGGAAGCATAGAGTTTCTATGATATGAAATGTAGGCTACAAATGAGGCATTTTTAGGGGGAAGAACAGGAGCTCAATTTTGGACATGTTGAGTTTGATATATTTATTATATGTAAAAATTAAACTGAAGTCATCAGTTGCATATGTATATATGATTCTGTAGTTCAGGAAGAAAACTGAGCTGGAGGTATAGTTTTGGATTCCTCAGCCTACATCATGGTAAAAGAAAACCAAAAAACAAGCCATGAGACTCAATGGAGAGCCCTGATACGACATGTGAAAAGGAGATTAGTACAGTGGGCAGTGAGATTTGTCTTGCATTTACCCAAAGGCAAAACTCAAGAATCAGTAAAAAGATGATGAAGATCTGACTTTGACTTCCATATGAAAGTACGTTTTGAAGCATTAATGTTTATTAACAATGGTGTGGCCTATTTCATAGGATACGTTTTCGGATGCTGTGGATTTTCTGGGAAAGTGCTGAATCTAGATCAGTGTTTTTCCAAATTTTATGTAGCTCAAAAAAAGAGAAGAAAAGAAAAAATAATCATTTTAAATTAGGAGATTGACATTTTGTCTTTACCCAAGTAAAGTTGTTTACACACACAAGCCTTGATATATTCATCATAATTTAGGTTTACTAACCCCCATCTTAGATGTCTTAAAGTGGATTGGACTCTTGCATTAGGTTTAAACTTGAACCCACTAACTACTGAGAGTCCTTGACAACTTTTGGAGTCTGTGGTCACAGCATTTAGAAATTTTAAAGTCCATTAATAATATTCAGTGTGGGCAAATTAAGAGAAAAAAATCCTCTAGTCTTATCTCCTTTAAAAAAAAAAAAAAAGACACTACAACAGTGATGTCTTTAAACAGTGGTTCTCAAATTTATGGTCCCAGGACTTTGTCGCACTCTTAAAAGTTTTTAAGAACCTCAAAGAGCTTTTGTTTATGTAAATTATGCAAATACGGGAAAATAACGAATACATTGGTTAATAAGGATTTCAAATGATGAACTGACACCTGTTACTTGTTAATCATAAAAATTTAGGCTTCGATAATCCATTCCGTTTTCGTTGTCAACACATTGAGAATACTGCCTTTTGAAGGAAATATGAATAAGCTACAATTCCCAGTAAAGAAGACTAGGAAATGAAGGGTCTAAAATAGATCCCCTGTGCAGAACAGACGAAAAAACTAATAATGCCTCACTATATGTTCAGAAAAGTTATCTAAGTTGCTTACACATTACTGGTCTTTAGGGGCTCTTATACTATCAGAAGAGATTAGCATCAAAATTTGAAAAGTAAGAAATAATCCAGGTGATATTAAAGCAGTGGTTAAAGATGGAAGAATGTGAAATAACACTATACGCATTTAATTATTCTACTGCTTAGCAGAAAAGGTTCAAGTCTATTTTGGAGAACTTAAAACTTAATGTTTAAGAGTTCTTTTCAGTTAAACACAAATGCACTATGTATATTTATCTTTCTTTCACCTAAGGGGATATGTATTCTTCTTTTACCTGTTAACTTTCTGGCCATGAGATGTCTTCCCCTTAGGAGGCATGAAGTTTAAGAGTTTTCTCTGTCATAAAATATTTAGGTCCAAACCCATGAATAATCCCTAATATGTAGATTTTATAGACCATTCGGGAAACAGCATGCAATAGACAAGATATGTTTTTAAAATTTTCTAACCACCTCTTTCCATGAAAGGATTAAGGTGACAGAAGAAGACATTATTAGTACTTTAAAATTAATTAATTCATATATCAAGTATTCTATGAGCTAACCATTTTTCCTGATATTTAGTGACCTTTTTTGGGTGAATGAGCATTAAAAACTGCTAAAGTAGACATTAATGGTTTGTTGTGTATGTGTGTGTTTCCTCCTTTTCCTTCTTTCTCTCTCTGTAATCTTGAGTAAAATGACACAATAAAAGTTAATAAAAGAGAGGACTGGGAACTAAAGAAAGGACATTGCAAGATAGTAAGGGAAGAAATAGGCAATTCTTAGAGCTTGCAAACACTTGCTTATAATGATATACTAAACCGCTTTCTGAAATTTGGCCATAAAGCTCACTTTGCCCTGCCAATGAATGTAAACAGTCTAAGCATTCTCTATTTTTTGATAATCAACCAACTGGGCTCACCTAGTTAAGAGTTTGTACAACCATTGGGATCTTACAATTGCAGTGTTCTCTTATAAATCAAAGCCCAGTAAATTAAAAGAAAATTTATATTGTAAAACAGATAAGCTAAAGGATAGTTGAATCACAAAATAAAAATTTAACTTTAAAGGCATTTTGCAATATGTTCTTTCAATTTCAACCTTCTTTAAGGCATTTAATTATTCTGTTACTTAGCAGAAAAGCTTCAAGTTTACCTTGGAGAACTTAAAACTGAATGCTTCAGAGTTCTTTCTAGTTAAATACAAATCAGAATTACTGTAAAACATAGCTGAATTTATTATATGAGTAAATAAAAATAGAAATCATTTACCAAAAAAAAAAAAAAGTAATTTGCAAACAACCATTCTCTCAGGAATGTGTATTTTGCATAAAGTTAGTTCTTCCTGTAAAACAGAAAGGCATCAGAAAGGAAAAGCGTCTGAAATTCACTTTCAGATTGTCTGTAGCAAGGCCAGGACCAATTCAGAAAGGAAATGTCTGGAATTCTGCTTGGTGTCACTATGCATAGGGGTTAAGATAACAAACTGCCTCGGGCCTCTTTCAGGGCAGCAAAATAAACCAAAATTGTCTCCAGGGTTGTAAATTCAGAGAATGATGTGGTAGACATGAACATTGAGAAAAAGAACTGGGGCAAATGTTTTTTTAATGTTTGCCATTGGGCAGGATGTTTTTTTCTTATGAGCTTACTGTTTCTAGTAAAGGTGAAATGCTTTATTTCTTTGCTTTATGGACTATTATTATTTAGGCTTAGGCCCCTACTGCGGGAAGAAAAAACCCAGCAGCATATCAGAGAAAGTCATCCTCTAGGGATGGCTGTGAAGAGAGTGTAGGTGTTGGATGTTGAGGAAAGGAGACGAGGCGGTCGAAGGCATTGACAGCTCTGCCTCTCTTTTCCTGCCTTCAGTGGGAAAATATGTTGAATTCAAGTGATAAGGTTTAACATGTACTTCTTGTTGTTCTAATTGTACGTGGAAGTGAAGTGTAAGCTCTTTAAAGGAATCAGGTTATGCCATTCACTCCCAACATTTGGTAGCTGTTGGGGATGGAGGAAATGTTGATGGAAGGGGGAGTAACTGAGATTGACCCTGGATGCTACAAAAAGAGAAGTTCAGGCAGAACAAATCAAAGTCAGCTCTGAGAATCCCAAAAGAAGCAGCAGACTGGGGTAACTGGAGTCATTACAGCTCTTAAAGTGTGGCAAACTAATAGTAATTTCATTAAAATGCCAAGGCTGAGAATCACCTGATAAATGGTATCAATACTTTTATTACCATCTGATTAAGAAGAGACAAACAGTAGGAATCTTTATTACCCTCATTTTACTTATTATGTCTGTTTACATGGAGGCATTTTTGTAGGCTCATACCATCTTAATTTTTTTTTTTGAGACAGTGTTTTTTATTTTTTGAGACAGTGTTGCTCTGTCACCCAGGCTGGTGTACAATGGCACGATCTCTGCTCAAGGCAATCTCCACCTCCCAGGTTCAAGCGATCCTCCTGTCTCCCGCGTAGCTGGGATTACAGGTGCATGCCACCATGCCCAGCTAATTTTTGTATTTTTAGTAGAGATGGGGTTTCACCATGTTGGCCAGGCTGGTCTTGAACTCCTGACCTCAGGTGATCTGCCTGCCTCAGCCTCCCAAAGTGCTGAGATTACAGGCATGAGCTACTGTGCCCAGCCTCATACAGTCTTAAAAATCTATGCCTAAAGTTTTGAGTATATGCTCTTACTAGTATATGCCTAGTAAGAGTATATGCTGAAGAATAAAGCAAAGCAACTCCTTGAGTGTTAACCTCAGAATCTCTGAATTTATGATAAAAGGAAAACTTAGAACAAAAGCATACATGGTGGGCTGGTGAGGATGCATTCTGAGTCAACTTAGTGTGTTTGGGTAAATCTCCACCTGAAGCCCAGCTGAGGCTGAGCGTCCTCCCTTTCCCAGGATATGAGCAAGTTAAAGAATGTTCTTCCAAGAAGGAAAAAGTTTAATATATTGATGTATAAGCAACTTTATCTTTCTGCCTTTCCCTTCCTAATTTACGCCTCTGTGACTGGTTTACAGGAGTTTTCAAAAGATGTGATTAGCTTTACTTGCAAGAGTTTCAGGGTAATGATGTGTCAGCTATAAACTCATTCAGCTAATCCGAAGGAACATTTGTAGAGCAGGAAAGAACTAGATTCAGAGGTGCTGACTTGTGAAACATGGTGGTAAGTGATTTCTAGCTAAAAGATCTAAAATTCTAGCTTCCTAGTTGTGCAAAGGAAAGGAGGTGATGATGAGCAAAGAGAAAAAGAAACCTAAACATCATCAACAATAAAAACATTTATTCATTTATACCCTCCATGCCCAACGTCTTCCTCTCTCATCAAAATTAGGCAAAGTCAATATGGTTTCCCACAGATGTTAGAGGGAAAATGGCTGCAGCCCATTACCCCAGTATGAAGGGCTGCAGGCATGTTTGATTAGGAGCCATGTAGGCATAACACACAGCAGGGTAGAGAAGCAAGGGCTGAACGTGAAAGTCACTGCTGATTAAATAGCAAGCTATGTCTGTGAATGCTGTTTCATTTCATTAATTCATTCACTTAATCCTTGTGGATGTACACGGGATCTACTGAAAACAAGACACTCTGGGGAACACAAAATTATAACAGATCTCACCCTCCCATCTTCACCATGTATTCCACTTACTAGGATTGCAAAACAATTTACCCTAAAACTTAGTGGTATTAGACAACTGTTTATGATGCTCATGGATTATGTGGGTCAAGGATTCACTCAGGGCACTGCAAAGATGGCTTGACTCTCTATTGTGGTATCTGGGGGCCTTGGCTGGAAGATTTGAAGGCTGGTGGCTGGAATCATCTGAGGCTTGTTCATTCATTTGTCTGGTGGTTGGTGATGACTGTCAACTGAGACCTTAGCTGGCAAATTGACCAAAATTCCTACACATGGTCTCTCCATGTGACCTGGGCTTCCTCACAACATGGTGGTTGGTTTCCAAAGGTCAGTGCCAGAGAGTGAATCAGGCAGAAGCTGTTTCTTTTTTATGACCTAACCTCAGAAGTCACATAGCATTAATTCCACTGTACTACATTGGTCAGGAAGGTCACATAACCCTGCTGAAATGGAGTAGGAGGGAGCATCAACCCCACATATTAGTGGAAGAAATGTCAGTCCCATTGAATGAAAAGCAGATACATATGTATGTATATATGTCTATATGAAAACATACATATATGAATATATGGACATATATAAAATCATCTTTGGAAAACACCATCTACCACAATTAATAAAAGAAAAATATCACAGTACAAAATAAAAAGTGATCAGCATTGTGATTATTTTGAAAGCAATGGCCCAAGGACTCATATGACTGGAAATATACGAATAAAAAAAAAACACCTGAGCATTGTGCTTTCCAACCTTGAATCGCTTCCGTATTACTTCCACTGTTTTCACTATGACTCTCTCACCATCTGCACCATTGTTTCTTTATTTTTTTATTAAAAATTGGCCCAAGGGATAGTTGTGTCTTTAAACTCAAATTTGTTTAAAAAACAAAGAAGATATTGCCACAGAAAATAAAATTTATTTTGCCATAATTATTTGCCATAAAATAAAGGGTAACTTTAAATACACTAAAAAGTTTTTAAAAGTTATTAGATGCTAGATATACTACCTTTTTTTAAGATTCTGAGACTGAAGCAAGCCCTTTCTTTGTCAAGGAAACAACAACAACAACAACACACATGTCAGCAGGTGTTACAATCACACTCCTACCAAATGAAGGCTCTCCTTTTGCCTTAATCTGAAAGATTTGATAGAGAAGTGGAAGGAAATTATGCGTATGGAGAAGAGCAGGGATAATAATGGCCACGTCCTTGTACCACCCAGGAGCCTTCAAACAGCTGCCAATATGATAGCCTTACTTTTTTTGGCAAACACTGATCCAACATGATAAAAATTCTAGATAGTGAAGCATTAATCTGTCTAAAACCAAATTCCTGGGATCTCTGAGGGAGACCATCAGAGCATGGTCATCCCATGGGCATGAAATTGATGCTTATTCACTAATAAATGTATTTGTAATCCATCATTTGTCAAAGGCTAAGCTTTTCTCACTCCCTGCGTTTTTATATGTGTGTGTGTGTGTGTGTTTGTGTGTGTGTGTGTGTGTGTGTGTGTGTGTGTGTGTGTTTTC
This sequence comes from Homo sapiens, assembly GCF_000001405.40. NCBI lineage: Eukaryota > Metazoa > Chordata > Mammalia > Primates > Hominidae > Homo > Homo sapiens. The sequence continues at coordinate 118,440,653 of NC_000008.11, read as the reverse complement.
CTCATAAATACTTCCCTGAAAGATCCAGTGAACAAAAAAAAGACCTTGACTAGTTGGCTTCTGTATAAAGCCTAACTGCCCACATTATCTTATTACCATTCTCCACATCCTGGTGGAATTGACTTTTTGCTTCCCCACTTTGGTATAACTAATGGTCCTGGACATTTCAGGGCCACCCTAAGTCCAGAGCCCCCAGGCAGACTTGCAGTTCTTAGTATACAGTTATCTAAATCCAGTAACATTCGTTCCTAAAAATATTATTAGCACTTCCTGGAGCCAGTGTTGTGCTAGGCTCTAGAAATGTCAGGGACAGCGAGAGATAAATACTTTCTTGGAATACAGAGAAAGGCACTTGGGGCCAGCTGTGTCTCCCCTTTAATGTAATTAATTGCTTAGCAACCCCATTGTTTTTTGCTAGAGTATTCATTAAAAAACACTACTTCCTAGGGATTCCTTGGGATTTTTTCTTAGCAGAGATGGTTAGATCATTTTCACAGCTTCTCCACCTGGACCTTTCTTTGTGCTTTTCAGCAGTATTGAGAAGGTCTACAGAGGTTAGGAGAAAGACAAGAACTAGATATTTATCTTCAGGGAATCCAGTCTGTAGCCTTTAACACACTCTAAGACTTTTAACTATAGTGTCTTCCTAGGCATGGGGCCAGCATTGACAGATCTTCCTTCTTTATTTATAGTCAGCTACGGTGAAGCTATCTAAACCGGTGGCTCTATGGACCCAGCAGGATGTCTGCAAGTGGTTGAAGAAACATTGTCCGAATCAGTATCAGATCTACAGTGAGTCATTCAAACAGCATGACATAACTGGTAAAGTATGCAGTATCCCAGATATTTCACTCCTTTTCTTTCTCCCAGTCACGATAGCCTTTCCCATACCCTTACCATGAAACAACATCTTCCTGCTGAAATTTTCTGGCATGGGTTTACTTCCAAAGGGGTGATAAATTCCAGATCCATGTGAGCCATGCTATTTAACAAACATACATGGTTATTATAGAAAACTGTGGATTTTAGCATCCATTGTAAAAGTATATGGGAATCAGGGTGCAGGGTTGGGGGATCCTAGAGAAAATAAGAGCATGCCAATCATAGAGAAAGGAAAGAAGGAAGTCTTTCACATGAACTTGGCTACAGGATCACTATGTAGATCTTCCAAGTAGAAAAGGTTTCTAAGTAGGAAAATGCTTTTTAAAAAATGTCTAAGATAAAGTATATTGACTTCTTTGGGTGAGCTATACACATGTATCCAATCATGTGAAAGAGTCCATGGTGGAAAGTCGGTTTTCCTGACACTCCTGTCCTCTGGCCATCCATTTCCCTGTTGACCACCTTCTTGTATCTGCACCTAGCAATGTTCCAAGTTTCTGAAATGGAATATAATAATACTAACTCTCTGCCCTTGGGATGAATAGTTTCAAGGCACAGATAACGATTCCATTTAGATCAAGGGTATTCAAATATTATACGTGGAGGTCAGTAAGTACTTGAAAGCAGAAAATAGGCCAGGATAGTGAACCATAAAGGGGCTTCAGATCAAGTCTCTCAATTGGGGGATGGAGTGGGCAAGATGGAGCAAATATGCCCACCGTGGAAGCCCATCAGAGTAAGGGGGCTTTTCCAGACCTTGCCTGCCCTTTCACCCTAAGATCCTGCTTGTATGTGGGCAACACTTCCCTTTTCCCTGCACAAACAGTGCAGTGAAAGATAGGACTGAGGATACACTCTGTAAACCAAAACTGTGTGGCTTCAAGGGGGAAACAGTGTTAAGAAGTCATTTCTAGTCCAGATCTTTTTTTTCTGAGAAAATGCTTTCACTCTGGTGGTAAAGTGACTTGTCATGAAATAGCTCAGCATTCTCGATGACAAACCTCTTTCCAAACCCACACTTTCTGTCATGACAAATCCTAATCTCTCTTGTTCTGTTCACTCCTATTACTTTAAAAAGGGACTTGTTAAGCAGAAAGTATTTCTTTTTGCAGTTCAGCTCTTAGGCTGTAGCTGTGAGATCTGGGGCAGGTCAGTTCACCTTCTTAGAATAGGTCTCAGTCGATGGTTTTCTATGTGTGTTTCATGGAGCCCTTGACTGCCAAAGGGATGTGGGTGTGCTTTGGGTAGAGGCGGGTGCGTGAACCAAAACCACTCCCTTCATGTCTGTTGTGTATATTTGAACCATACAGAAAACTTGATTGATTTTGAAAACTTGATTGATTAAAAAAAATTTTTTTTAAACATTTAAGCACTAAATGTTTTAAAAAAAATGCTGAGCTAGATGATCCTAGATTCCTGCTGACCACATTGATATGTCTAAATATATAGGGAAAACACCCAATTGTAGCTCAAGTTGAGTTAACAAACAAGAGAGTAAAATCCTTCTATCTTAAATATAAAAATGGTCCTTTATGCATTTCCTCTCTGTCACTCCCAACTAGAGTCAATGGCCCTTTTGGATGAAATCTCAGAAATTCGGAAGGCAGTGTGGGTACTTAGCTTCGATTCCAAGTGTCTACATTCATTTTCTTAGTTCCTCCCTTAAGAGTTTAAGAAAAGCCCATCTAGGGTCAGTTATTCTACTCCTAACTGTAATCAATCAGTTAGTAACCATTTGCCTGATTATGGTAGCCTTCATCAGATAATGGCTGCTTAATGTTTTTTAATGCCTGTGCGATAGTAATGGCAAAGCCTTTTTCATGATCTTATTTGAAAGCAGTGTTATCTTTTATTAGGGGTGAGAATTATGAGGTCCCCTTGAGGGAAGGATAAGCATTTATAATGGTTTGAAGAGGATGAGCCTTACAGTCCTCAGAAATAAAGATTCATGCATCAATGCTTATGGAATAAATGGTCCCACTTCCCAAGGTTTTCTGCTAAGTGACATGAGGACAGGAGTGTGGGAATGAGGTATGCATTTAAAAAAGTTGTCGTATGCTTTTGGTGGCAGACTTGGTCTTCATGAAACATACCAGGTATTGGGAAATCACTACTTTCTTGGGATCTTGGGCAAGCTGCTTATTAACCTGGGCAAGTTACTTAACCTCACTACCTCATCTCCAAAATAAAGAAAATAGTACCTGGCTCAGAGAGATGTCGTGAAAATTAAATGAAATAATATAGGTAAACCACTAAGCTAACCATTTCTTGACTCCTTTTACATGTTGGCATTGTGCTATTAGTCATGTCAGGACTCACCTGGAAGTGTCGAAAAACATGCTGTTATTTCCTTTTAAGGGCAGCCTATTTTCTGGCAAGAAGAAGAAAGCAGGGAATTACTTGGGGACTTAGGGAACAGAGAGAATGATTTCAGATTAACTTTTGGTCTACATCTTTTTGACATTCACCTATTTGAAGCCTCAGAAGACAACTCTCTTCCCCTGTTCTCTGGCCCCTGCTTCTCTAAGAGTGAATGCAAAATACCCAAATGATCACAAGTGCCAAGTGGCCAGAAAATAGCTTTCGGGACTTCAGCCAGTGTGCATTTACCAGCCCTATGATGCTAGAAGCTGTGGGAATCCCAATACTCTTGGAGGCTGTGATGAACAGGGCAAAGAGGTTTGTAAAACTCAAGATGTGATGACAGAGCAAACCTCACCAGGGTGTGCAGACAGTAGAATGACTTAAGAGAGGACAGGGGAGTGGTTACAAGTACCAGGTCACAGCCCAGAGCTGCATCGCAACCTTGTGATTTTGTAAAGGTTGCTGGGTGCATGGCAGCTTGTCACCTGCAGAAAAGGAGATGCTAATAGTATCTACCTCATAGTGTTGCTATGAAGGTGGTACACAGTCACAGTGAGCATACAGCGCATGTGAGCTGCTGCTCTTTTCCAAGTGTTGCCCTGATGGTATCTTTGATAACAAAACAATACACATAATGTTGAATTCATCCAGCTTTATTATCCTGGGAAAGGAGGGAAAGAAGCATCTAAGGGAAACAAAACATTCTGGGCTGGTAAATATCCTGTGCTAATCTTTAAGGCTGCAGAAAAGATTGTTCATGTATCTCTTATTTATGCTTAGATTCTCCTGAGTGCTGCTGTTCTTTTATTTTTCTTAAAGCAAGGATCTCCTCTATCATGCTCATTGAGGAAGCATGTTATATCAGTGTTATATACAAACATCCCTTGATTTAGAGGCACATGGTCCAGTGACGGTAAATAAAAAAGACATATATTAAATGGAGAGAAAAAGAAGAAGAAAACAGAGATAGGTTTTCTGATCATAGGTCTGAGTCAAATCCTCCCTGCTGCCCTCTACACCAACCTTTGACATGTAATAAAAACATAATGCCACACGTTAGTTTCTTGTCAGTAAAATAATATTTATCTTAAAGAATTTGGGGGAAGATTAAATGGGATGATGAATGTGAAGGGCCTAGCTTAATGACTGACATATAATGGGCATTCATTCATCCATTTAGGAAGTATTTATGGACCATCTACCATGTACCAGGTTTTCAGAATACAGTGGTAAGTAAGATAGTCAGTGATCCATGTAGGAAAAAATTGTGCTTGCATGGAAAACTATGCATGGTCATCTATAGCACAACATTTTGGGTTATCTAATTCTTTGATTCTAGGGAGCAATTTTATAACTCTGTGAGTTGTAGATAACAGAGGGTAATACAATATAATTTTTCTCCATTGACATGTAACTTCTGTTCCACAGAGGTTCAGTTGACTTGCCTAACCACTGTGGATAAGGTGAGTTTTACCTCCCATTTACACATTTATTTCAGTCTTCCTGATCTATAATTGTGTCCGCTGTTCGGATTCTCCCTTGAGCTGGTTGTAACATCTTGCCAGTTTCCTCATTAATAAGTTAAATTAAAATCTTAAAGATGCGTTCACTTCCATATTTGTATGACAGTCATGATTTTAACCTTTTCTGAAAATTACGCTTTAACCTCAGTAGTGTTTAAATTGTCTGTATTTGTTTTTACAAAGAGTTCTACTATATGAACATTTGTTTCTGTGTTTATTTGAAGAACTTTAAATTCTAAACAAAATTTTCCCTTAGGTGCTTCAAAGTCTAAGAAAACTTTAGACATGTTTTAACTTATCAGTGTTCAAAATCTTTTGCAATATCAAAATTTTTGATAATTTTATTGTGCCCAGAAGATACCTGCTCTTTGGTGGCAGATGTGTTTAATCAGAAGAGAAGCTGTAGTAATCCCCCCTCATCTGCAAGGGAAACATAGCAGGACCCCCAGTGGATGCCTGAAACCATAGATATTACTAAACACTATTTATATAGTGTATACATACATACCTATGATAAAGTTTAATTTTTTTAATTAGGTTCAGTAAGAGATTAACAAGAACTAATGATAAAATAGAACGATTAATAATAATATACCATAATAATAATTAGGTAAATATCTCTGTCTCTTGAAATATCATATTGTACTGTACTCATCTACTTTTCAGACCACAATTGACCACAGGTAACTGAAACTGCACAAAGTGAAACCGTAGCTAAGGGGGCTGCTGCTGTGCTAATAGCATTAACTCCCTGCAGAAGCACACTTTTTTTTTTTTTTTTTGAGATGGAGTCTCACTCTGTCGCCCAGGCTGGAGTGCAGTGGCGGGATCTCGGCTCACTGCAAGCTCCGCCTCCCGGGTTCACGCCATTCTCCTGCCTCAGCCTCCCAAGTAGCTGGGACTACAGGCGCCCGCCACTACGCCCGGCTAATTTTTTGTATTTTTAGTAGAGACGGGGTTTCACCGTTTTTTTAGCCGGGATGGTCTCGATCTCCTGACCTCGTGATCCGCCCGCCTCGGCCTCCCAAAGTGCTGGGATTACAGGCGTGAGCCACCGCGCCCGGCCAGAAGCACACTTTAAAAAGAATAAGACGGTTAGAACACTGGAAAGGCATTAGGATATATAGACTGAAATCATGAGGTTAGGTTTAAAGGAAAGAAATTTGCGTATGTTTCTGTGCTTGCAAGATTCTGTCCCTAGCTTTCTGAGGCCTGGCCTGGAATGCTGATGAGGAGGCTCTTCTGGGGCCAGGTGTAAGCTCACAGGCAACTTTCAGATTCTGTTATGCACAGTCAAGTATCTCTTCAGGTTTGAAGTTTCTTCCTGTGGTGGTTGCTAACATCACTTCACCTCGTTTGGCTTCAAATCCTCTATCTGTGAAGGGTTCCTTCCCCTGCCAACTTTAAAGGCTTGTTTTCAGAGGTGAAGCACTCAGAGCTCCCCAGAATATAAAATATTTTTTAAAAGCTGCTTTGAATGTATAAAGGGTTTCCTTGGTCTACTTCATGGACGAACCATGGGTATCCTTTAGATGTCTACAAGAACAAATAGTTGTCATATGAGTATCGCTTACAAATGATTCCTATTGACTTATTATATTTCTAAATGATCACCTACACAATAGATGTATGCCTCTGTTCTGTTTTTTTATGCTGCAACTGTCACCCACTTGTACTTCTTTTCCTTTTTAAAAATATTCTGCTGAGATGTAGCACCTTGAAATTGGGCAGTTCTGAATATGCTGTTGAGTAAAGGGAAAATCACTATCTTTTTAGGACCTTTGGAATGTGGCTCCATGCATTTGCTAACGTTGTTCTCTTCAGGGCTGATTTTTCTGGGCTGTTCTACTCCTCTATCCTTCTGTGATTGTCTTCCAATTCTTTTATTATGGTTAGAGTTCCCTGTAGAAACCAATGGGGTGTGTAGCTAACAAGTGTCAAAAGGAGTAGAATAATTACTTTATGTGATGTACTTACGAGAATACTACTTAGTAGAATCCAGTATAACCAAACAAAATGTAAACGTATTTAACTATCCAGTGTGTCAGCTACACATTTTCTCATCTTTATCACTTCTGCTCTGGATATTGTGATCTACTTTCCTATCTCTTTGTATTTGTTTTTTCACATTTCTTTTTTGTGTGAACTGCTCTATACTCTTATTGAAACTTGAGCATAATTTTATATTTACATAGTAAAGTTTCTGATATGATTAGAACATAAGTTGTTTCTCCTAATTTTCCAGTAGAGCCATTGATTTTTCATTTTAACCCCTTTTAATGGAACACTTACTAGCTTTCTAAATTATAAACTTACTAACTTTAATATACATGAATTATTTCTCAGCGTTCTTAAAACAAGGGTACTGAACTTCGTTTTCTTGATGATTCAGGGGAAAAGAATTCTGAGTGTTGGAAAGGACTTTAGATGTCTTCCAAGGATTTATGGGATCAATTTAAGAAAAAAAAAAAAGACCCTTTCAATGAGAAATAAACACAAGTGGAAGGTCAATGGACCACAAAATACCAGCTCCATTCCTGATAAAAGTCTTTGGAGAATGTAATTTATATCTGTAGACAAATTTATTTACTAAGAATGTTTCCTCTCTAAATGGATCATCCCAGTCACTGGCACAACTGAGCACTGCCTCTTTTAAGGCTTGGCAGAAAGCAGACTACGTCAGCACACAGGTCTCAAGTGAGGACAGAACATGGGACTGGGCTGAATGAGTAGCAAATGGAGGACAGGAGAGAGGCCAAGAGCGTTAGTCAGGGAAGTCCCTCCACAAGGGAATAGGAAGAATGGAGGCTGAGTGTCCCCCTTACAATATAGGTACATGTCCCCCTGTGTTACCCTTTCTAACATCCCTACTGTGTAGTTGGACAGCCTTTGCTTCAACACCTCCAGGGATGAGCATTTTATAGTTTTAAAAAACAGTCTGTTTTTCTGTTCAAGATGTTGGATTATTGTGGTGGTGATGGCGGCAGTGGCAGTGGTGGTAATGGTGGTTGTTGTCAGTGGTGGTGGTGCTAGGGGTGGTGGTGATGGTGTTTGGTTTTGCCTATACTCCCTCCTCCTCTAAGCTGAAGGCCCACTGAACTACTTTCAAGGGTTGTCAAATGTCATACTCTCTACCTTCTTGACACCCACCCATTCACCTGAATAATTCCAGTTTTCCTTCTGGCTTGAGTTTTAGATACCACCTCCTATAGAAAGCCCTCCTTAGTTCTCTTCATCTGGGTTGAGTATCTCATCTCTAGTTCCTAGGATAAGGCTCTATTGTAAGACTTATCACAGTAAGTTGGTAGTTGAAAAGTTTAATAAGAAAGTGTATGTTGAAGTTTGACTGAAACACACCCCTAGGTCCTGTTTAGGTTCCCAGGTTAGAAACTCTTGCCAAAGAAAGCTCTTGATGACTGCCCCCATTAGATTCTTGCTTCCTGGCATCAATGAAGTATAATGCTATCTTCCAGTCCCTTCCTTTGTTCTAGTGGACTATTTATTGGATATCCCCAAATGCCTCCTCCCAAGTTCCTATTACTGAATACAACATGTCCAGGTTTCAGACACACACAAAAAATTACAAAGCATGCAAGAGGTAAGAAAATAACAAACTGAAGAGACAAAGTAATCATCAGAACCAGATTCAGATATGACACAGATGTTAGGTTTATCAAATAGGAAATTTAAAATAAGTATGATCAATATGTTAAAGGTACTAATGCAAAATGTAAACTATATGCCAGAACAGATGACTAATGTAACAGAGAAGTGGAACTAATAAACAATCAAAAGAAAATACTAGAAATAAAAAACACTGTGATAGCGAGTAAGAGTGCCTTCAAGGGGATCATCAGTAGACTCAACACAGCCATGGAAAGAATCAGTGAACTTGGAGGTAAATCAATAGAAACCACCCAAACCAAAATACAAAGAGTAAAATGAATGAAAACAACAGAGCAGAACATCCAAGAATTGTGGGACTATATTAAAAGATGTAACATATGCATTACTAGAATATCAGAAGAAGAAGACAGAAGAATAGTTCAAATAGTAATGACAACAGATTTCCAAAACTAATCACAAACATTGAACCACATATCCAAGAAGTTCAGATAACACCAACAGGATAAATATTTGAACTACTTTTCTCAAACACACACACACACACACACACACACACACACACACACACACGACAAAGGTAAAATTTTGAAAGGAGTCAGATTTTAAAAACAAACAACAAACATCATGTACCTTAGTTCCAGAGAAAAGATAAGAATTCCAGGACACTTCTAATGAGAACCTCTTAAGCAAGAAGAAAATGAGTGAAAACTTTAAAGGGTTGAAACAAAAAAAAAATGACCAATTCTATATCCAATAAAATTATTCTTCAAACATAAAAGAAAAGTAAGGAAAGGCTTGCCCAAACAAACAAAAACTGAAGCAATTCAGTGTCAGCAAACTGCCCTGCAAGTAGTGATAAAAGTTCTTCAGGCAGAAGAAAAATGATATAGATCAGAAACTTGAATCAACAGAAAGAAAGGAAGAATGTCAGAAAATGAATAAATGAAGGTAAAATAAATTCCTTTTTTCTTATTAATTGATCTAAAGGCTAACTGGTTAAAGCAATAATAACAATAATACACTGGGTTTTATACCATATAGATAAGTAAAATGAATAACAGCAATGCCACAAGGGATGGAAGGGAGGAATAGAATGCTTTGTTATAAGGTACCTGCAATACATGTGAAGAATAGTGTTATTTGAAGGTGGACTTAGATTACTTAAAAACGTATATTGTTAACTGTAAGGCAAACACTAAAAATTTTTTTATAAAGGAAAGATAAATAATGTGTTGAGAAGATAAAATGAAATGGCCTCAAATACTCAGTTAAAATCAGAAAAGGTCAAAGAAAAAAGAGAGAAACAAGAGCAATGAATAGAAAAGTATAAAGATGGTAAATTTTAAGTCTATCAATAATTACCTTAAATGTGAATAGTCTTAACACACTAGTTAAAAGACAGAGATTGTCAGATTAGGGGCAAAAAAAGCCTAACTATATGCTCTCTAGAAGAAACACACTTTAAGTACTCAGGTTAAAAGTAAAGTATTGGAGAAAGATGTATTACACTAACACAGTCAAGACTCTTATAGTAGTTATATTGAGTTGAGACAATGCAGACTTCAGAACAAGAGTGAAAAGAATAAAGACGGCAATTAGTCTGAGCGTGGTGGCTCATGCCTGTAATCCCAGCACTTTAGGAGACCAAGGCGGATGGATCACAAGGTCAAGAGATTGAGACCATCCTGGCCAATATAGTGAAACCTGTCTCTACTAAAAATACAAAAATTAGCTGGGCATGATGGCATACACCTGTAGTCCCAGCTACTCGGGAGGCTGAAGCAGGAGAATCGCTTGAACCTGGGAGGCGGAGGTTGCAGTGAGCCGAGATCATGCCACTGCCCTCCAGCCTGGCAACAGAGCGAGACTCCATCAAAAAAAAAAAAGGCAATTACAGAATGATACAGGGTTACATTCTCCAAGAAGACGTAACAATTCTAAACATTTGCACTCTTAACATAGAGTGTCAAAATATATAAGGTGAACACTGATAATATTCAGGTAGAAATTGATAAATTTACCATTACAGTTGTAAAACTTCAACATCACTCTCTGATGATCTGAACAGCATTGTCAATCAATGTGACCTAACTGATATCTATAGAACATTTTATAGAATGTATGTCCAATATACATTCTTCTCAATAGATGCAGAGAAAGCATTTGACAAAATTCAGTGTTGATCCATAATTTTTAAAAAACTTACCAGAAAAGTAGAAATAACAGAAATCTTGATAAACAGCATTTATGGTGAACGTACAGGTAACATCATCCTAAATGGTTAAAAAACTTTTTTCTATACAGAATAAGACAAGACCATTAGCTTTCTTACCTTATTTTTTTTTAATCTATTTTTGTATGTGTGTGACAGAATCTCACTCTGTCAGCCAGGCTGGTGTGCAGTGACACGATCTTGGCTCACTGCAACCTCCGCCTCCCAGGTTCAAGCGATTCTCCTTCCTCAGCCTCCCGAGTAGCTGGGATTATAGGCATCTGCCACCATGCCCAGTTAATTTTTGTATTTTTAGTAGAGACAGGATTTCACAATGTTGGCCAGATTGGTCTCAAACTACTGACCTCAAGTGATCCACCCACCTCAGCTTCCCAAAGTGCTGGGATTACAGGCATGAGCCACCACACCCGGCTACTTACCTTCTATTAAATATTGTTCTGAAGACCCTGGCCAGTGAAATAAAGCAAGAAAAAGAAATAAAGACAAAAAGATTAGAAAGGAAGAAGTGAAATTATTTTTATGTATAGATCAAATGGTTTATATAAAAAACTATGAGATCTAGAGTTGGAGTGTTGTCTAGAATACATGGAACCAGAAGTGTTTTCAGTTTTGTATTTTTTTGGATTTTGGAATATTTGCAGAATACATACCAGTTGAGCTTCTCAAATCCAAAAATTTAAAATCTGAAGTACTGCAGTGAGCATTTCCTTTGACCTTCATGCTGGTGTTCAAAAAGTTTTGGATTTTGGAGCATTTCAGATCTTGAATTTTCAGATTAGGGATGCTTAACCTATATGAAGAAAAAAATCCTACAAGAACTAATAATATAACTTAGTGCGCAAAATACAAGATTACTATGTAATAGCTAAACAAAATATATCTAAGACTACACAGAAAACTGTAAAACATTGCTAAGAGAAATTAAATATCTAAATAAATGGTGAGATATCCCACACTTGTGGATTAGAAGACTCAATGTTAAAATTATGTCCATTATTCTAATGACCTATAGATTCACTGCAATCACAATCAATATAACACCAGATTTTTTAAAATAAAATGAACACATTGATTCTGAAATTTGTATAGAAGTGCAAAGACGTTAGAGTAGTGAAACTCATATAGAAAAAGAACAAACTTTTGAGGACTTGCCCACCTAATTTTAAGACTTACTATAAAATTACAATAACCAAGGTAATATGGTACTGGAATAAAGACTAACTTGTAGATTATAATAGTAGAACAAAATAGAAATTCCATAAATATACTCACACATATATGGCCAAATGTTTTTCAAAAATTGTACCAAAGCAATCCAACGAGAGAAAGGGTAGTCTCTTCACTACAGGGTACTGGAATAACTAAATGAACTTCATTTAGTAAGATAAGTGAACTTCAACTCCTGCATCACACTATACACAACATTTAATTTGAAATAAATAATGGACCTAAATTTAAAACTTTATAGAAGGAAGCATAAGAGAAAATTTCACGACCTTGAGAATAGGCAAGGAATTATTATATATGTCCCTGGAAGCACCTTAGTTTAAAAGAAAAAAAATTGATAAATTGGTCTTTTTATTTCTTTTCTTTTTTCTTTTCTTTTCTTTCTTTGTTATTGTTTTTGAGACAGCGTCTTGCTCTGTTGCCCACGCTGGACTTGAGCTCTTGGCACAAAAGATCCCATGGCCCCAACCTCACATGTAGCTGGGATTACAGATGCACACAATCACACTTGGCTTCTAAATTGGTCTTTATCAAAATTAAAAGTCGTCTGCTTTTCTAAGAATCCATCAAGGAAATGAAAAAGCCAAGCCAGAGACAAGAAGAAAGCACTTTTATTATATATCTAAAAAAGAACTTGTATACAAAATACATAAAGAACATTTAAAACTCAAGAAGACAACCCAATAATATGGGCAAAAGATTTGAAATGATACGTCACAAAGAAAATACAAGAATGGCCAAAAGGCACATGAGAGTATGCTCAGAAATATTAAGTCATCAAGAAAATCCAAATAAAAATCACAATGAAATAATACTTTACACCCAGTAGAATGGCTTAAATTCCCATACCAAGCCATACCCAGTGTTGCTGCGGACGTGGCACACATGAATCTCTTGTATGTATGTTGTATGTGAGTTTAATATGGAGTCACCTGATTTGAAAATGTCAAGTTTCTTATGAAGTTAATCACAAACTTATGAGATGATTCTGCAGTTCCACTCCAAGGTATCTACCCAGGAGAAATGGAAACGTATGTTCTTAAAAATTCTAGTCCAATAATTTCAAAAGAGATTAGAATAACCAAAAATTCTAAACAACCCTTATATCAGTCAAGACGAGAATAAATTGTATGTTCACACCAAAACCTCTACTCAACTATAAAAAGGAACCTACTACTGTGCACACAATGTGAGTGAATCTCACATTGTGCTCGGTGAAACACGTTAAACCCAAAAGGGCACATATTATGTGATTCCAATCATATGAAATTCTAGAACTTGCAAGATTAACCTGTAGGGATAGCAGTCAGATCAGTGGTTGCCTGGAGTAGGGGGTAAAAGGGAATTGACTGTAAAGGGGAATGAAGGAGGTCAAAATGTTTTGTATCTTTGTCAAACATCATCTACTTGATATTTCAAATATGTGGGATTTATTGTATGTAAGTTATGTCTCAGTAAAGTTTGTTTATAAAAACTTGTGTACTTTTCCATTTTTTAAACTACATACCATTCTTAAAATGAAAAGATGAACGTGTTATCCTGCATTTTTTCCATTCTGGCCATAGGATCATTTAGATTAAAGATGGATAGATGGATGGATGGATTTGGTTTTATATTTATCCATGATATAGATACTTATAGAGAAATTGAGTTTGAAAATCCATATTTGCATTTTGTTTTTCACTGAAAGAATAATCTGAAGATACCAAAGCATTCTTATAAAGAAAGGCACGGTGTTGCCTGTTGTTAGGAGATGACTGCTGACAAAGGAACAATACTCTCTTCTCTTCTCCTTGAGATTCTGCTCGTCTGAGTCTTCATCAGTGCATCCAAGACTTTTGGATTTCATAGACAAGTTAAATTGCAGAAAGCATTTTTGCAAATGACATAGAGTTGCCACCTTTTGTATTTTGCTCATTAATATTTTTTAATTAAAAAGTACTCTCACCACCATTTTATAAACCAAAGGAATTTTAACACAAAATACTCACGATTTCAAAATAGATTTTTGCTTGAAGAAAAACATACATTATTTTTATTTCTCCCATTTTCATCACAGAACAGCACCAATTTGTAGGCTACTGTAAGTAAACTACTGCTCCAAGGACACATTCATCGATACTCTAAATTCAAAATTTATTTAGTGATAGTATTTGACAGGAAAAGAGTGGAAATTGTCACCAGATGAACTATTTGTTTCATAAATCATAACTAGAAGGAATATTCTTACTATGGGAGCAGCCTTGCTTTAGAAAATCCCTGACATCCTTAATAATGCCCATGGTTTCTTGGAGGCTTTCTATGTGCAGGATGCTCTGCTGAGAACCACATGGACTGTAGTTCTGTCCAGTACATGTGATGCCTGTCCAGTACCTAGAACTGTGCCTAGAACTCCTCAGTGTGAAAGAGTTAGTGGCTTTCAACAATCTTGCAAGCTGTTACAGGTGAAGAAGTGAGGCTCGGAGTTCAATGGGTGACTCAAGGTAATTAGAGGAGCTGAGCACTTACCATCAACAGGACCCACCACACAGGCTTGTTGGGAGGATTAAGGAGTTAAAACCCGGACAATATTTAGAACAGTGCCTAGCACATCAAAGGACATCAAGAAATATTACCTATTATCATTACTAGTCAATAATTAGTGAATTGATAATCATTTAATGACACCACTATGAGCCAAACACTGTGCCAAGAGAGATAGACTGTATCCCATTGCTGTGAAATATTTTATAGAAAAGCATGGCATCGTGATGTCAGACTGCAAGGGACCTCCTTCTGTCTCCTTTTTTTCACATGAATAAACAGAAACCCAGAGACTAAACTGATTTGTACAGGGGCACCGGAAAATGTTCAAAGCTCAGTGACATGGCTGTGGGAGAACAGGAGACCCATTCTTATGAAAAGTCCATTAGGTTACCTCATTTAGAAATAACCAGAGTGGGGTTCTGAAATGGACAAGACACTCTTTTCATGAGTGTGTTTTTCCAACCAAATTCGAGGAGCAGAATGAAGCCTTTATAGCAAAGGACTTGATCTCCTACTGCCTCACCTTTGACCAGATCCAGTTATTTTTTCCCCTGTCTTTATTCTGTTCTCTAGTCTCCTGTGATAATGACACATGATACTAAATCAAATATGATCAGACATCTGCATCTGCTTACATTGTGAATGCTGAGCTTTATACTCTATCGGAGAAACTAAGTCAATTAAGTATGATCCATTCTGTTGTCCCTGTTTTAAAAAACTCCTGTTTCCATTTGATTTCTTTCTTTCTTAGACAGGGTAGGAGTCTCACTGTGCTGCTAGGCTGCCCAAGCTGATCTTGAACTCCTGGGCTCAAGCAGTCCTCTTGCCTTAGCCTCCTGAGTAGCCAGGGATATAGGTGTGCACCATCATGCCCAACTCTGATTTCTTTTTTATTGATGACTTGTTAATTACTCTGTCAGTTTATTTTTTGGTTTTGCATGTTTTTGGAAAGCACTGGAGTCAGATTGCAAAATTGGAGATGCCCTTTCCCCTTGGTTTTGCTCCCATTTTCTGTTTAAAAATTAATATACCACAGCTGGGCACGGTGGCTCACGCCTGTAATCCCAGCACTTTGGGAGGCCAAGGCGGGCAGATCACAAGGTCAGGAAATTGAGACCATCCTGGCTAACACGGTGAAACCCTGTCTGTACTGAACACACAAAAAATTAGCTGGGCGTGGTGGCGGGCGCCTGTAGTCCCAGCTACTCAGGAGGCTGAGGCAGGAGAATAGCGTGAACCCAGGAGGCAGAGCTTGCAATGAGCCGAGATCCCACCACTGCCCTCCAGCCTGGGCGACAGAGCAAGACTCTGTCTCAAAAAAAAAAAAAAAAATTAATATACCACATGCTCTCTTCCTGTCAAGTCAGAGTTCCCATCCTTACAGAGCCTGCATGTTATTGGGAGATCAAAAATTAGACCTATTAGAGGCAATCAGCTAAGTAGACCAATGACTCTTTTCCTTTAGATGGCGTCATTTATGGTGAGGAGCCTGATGTCATGTGTTATTGATGGAGGAAACTGAAGTCCACACATGTAGGATTGATGATATTTACAATCCTGTGGCACTGTTTCAGTAAAACACAACTATCTTCAAGAGATCTTGGCCAAGATCCTTTTAGGACACTACGTTTGATCCCCCATGTTCCCTGTTGAAATTCTTATTAGAGATATTTTTCAATTCCCATATTAACTGTAGGGTAATGTTACTCTTAAATGTTTAGAATACTCTTGGCAAGCTTCATATCTTTGATACCTATGAAAGATGAGAGAAAGATTGGACTGTGGTGACCTGCAATAGAATACATTCCATTCATTATTCACGGTGTGTGACCTTCGCCAAGTATGTTTAACCTCACTGAGCCTCAGTTTCCCTTTCCCTAAAATTAAATTATGATAATACGTATCTTATAAAGTTGGTATTGGCTATTATTATTGATCCGTAGTTGCAGGAACTCCACATCAAAGTTTGTGAGAAAGCACTTTGCAAGTGGTAAAGAATTATAAACATATATGTGTTACAGATATACATTTGTATGTAAAGAATTATATAAATGCGTAGATATACACATATACTTATGTGTGTAATTTTTGTTTTTTTATTGTTTAGAAGCATCTCACTAATCTAGTTAAGGCCCTAAAACCTAGCAATTAGTGATAATTTCTCCAGCCCATGAAAATTTTGCCTTGCCCAGTGTGTTTTTTAGTAATAATGATTATTTTAAATATCAACCCATTTCCTAAACATATACTTAGCATCGAATACTCCCAAGATATTTCTCTAGTAACTCAAGGTAGAAAGAATTCAGAAGATGTGATTCTCGCCCTTCCTTAAATTATCATCATGTTGGGGAAAACCATATATCTTAAAACATATTTATTGAGGGTTTATATGCCAGGCAATCGAGGAAGTATTTTTCGTATATTGTTTAATTTTATCTTCACAATAACCCTTTAAGGTTGGTATTATTATTAATATTATTATCATTTGACAAATGAGGAAAGTGAGTTTCCAAGACCTTAGATAGCTTTTCACATGTTATACAAGCCCAGAGGTGGCAAAAACAGTATTTTAACCCAGGGCTGTCTGAATCCAAAGCTCATGCTTTGACCTGTACACTCTGAGGGATAACATCTTATATGTGCAGGTAAGTGATATAAAAATAAGCATGGGGGTGGACATGCTTATAACCCTAATAAGACATGAGAAGGAACTCTTGTCTATAAGCCTGGTTGACTGGGAAGTCTGCTTAGAGAAGGCTGGATTGATGCTGTGTAGAATTTTAGAAGGTAAAGCCTCTCAAGATAAACGTTAAACTTCTAAAATCTCTGTGTGTATATATGTTGTTTGCCTCTCAGTGAATTTAAAAAGAAAATATAACGTCCTGTGAGCCATGGACTCACCACTTCAGGGCCTCAGACCCTGCCACTTCACCCCCTTGTGTGTTACCCGCCTGAGTCCCGAAGACATTTGGGTATCTATACCCTCAGGAGGGAAGAATAAAGGAGGTGAAAATGGATCAGAAGAATAGGTTGTGAGCTACATTACAGAATGCTTTGAGGGCCAGGCTAAGGAAATCAGATTTTTCCTCTCTTGGGTATCATTCAATACCCTTTAATGAGACGTGACATGTGACATCACGGCTCACTGCAGCCTCGATACCCTGGGCACAAGCCCCAGAGCCTCCACACACAGCCTCCCGAGTACCTGGGACTACAGGCGCACACTACCACACTTGGCCAAATTTTTTTGTATTTTTATTTGTAGAGGCAGGTTTTCACCGTGTTGCCCAGGCTGGTCGAGGAAAAAAAGATGTTCCCTTTCCCAAGGCCAGTGACCTAACTGTGGTCTTCTCCTTGCCTACCGTCCCTTGCTCCTCCCACACCACAGTTCTTTTCATCTGTTTCTCCTCTGGGTCTTCAGAATGTCTCCCTCCACTTTTGCATTTCAGTTTGAAGACATGCTGCATCCTGTATCCATCTCCTCTTCTCTCTTCTTACTGCCACTTTTCTGGTCTAAATTTTCACAGACAGAACCATTTAGTCTCTCTTCTTCCTATGATCCTGCCTCATGGCTCTCTAGGAAAGTATTCTCTTGTCTTTTTTAAACCGGACTGAACCAAACTGCTTCCTGCTTATTGAGAATTAATGCCTACTGAATAACGTCACAATTCCTAAGTTTGGCTTATGAGGTTTTTCGTCAGCTTCATTTTAACCATTACAACAATCCATCCTGTCCTGAAACCACAGCACATCACTCTCATTCTTGCCTCAGTATTAGCTTCGTGAACTTTTGGTCATTTTCAGGTGCTGACTGTAATTATTCCCCTCCTCCCTACCCTCTCTGGACCTCTCCAAGCAAAACTAATTTTTCCATTCTGTGTTTGCTTTACATTTTACACAATTAATAAATGACAGCTATTATTGTTAGTATTATAACATTTATCACGATATTAAAGTTATTTGGTTCCATGTTTATCTCCCTCCCACCAGCCCAGAAACTTCTCTAAGGTAGAAATTGTGTCTGATTTATCTTACTATCTCTAGCTGTGTTAACCCAGTGCCTGGCATAAAGTAGGCATTTAATAAGTGTTGATTGGATTAAATTGGGTTTGTTCTTCCTTTGATAGTCTTAGCACTGAACTAAAAGCCTTTCTTCATTTCTGTTGATAAGAATACTTTGATTAGTCTTTCAGTTTCCTGATTTTGCCTCCTTTTCATGAAGCTCATCCTATACTTCCCTATCTGCAACTTCTTACACTTACATTCCATTGATGTTCCAGTCGGTCTTCCTGTCTTGTTCTTGGAGAAACCCCATTTTACTTTTTTAAAGAACTCCTATTTTGGATCTGCACTAAGCCCCAGAATATCATCTTCAAGTGCGATTGAATGACAGTCTCCAAATTTTGTAGCATCCTGAGCCCCATGTTCCCTTCAGCAGTTCTTCCCAGGATGTTGTGGTAGACTGTGTCAGAACTTTGCTCAGTGCCAAGAGTGATTGTCGCAGTGCTGTGAAAGCTCACTGAGTCTGCTGAAATTTAAGTCAGGTGCTGTTTTGTAGGGTGGAAGCAAATATCCTTTATCTAAAAAGCTTCTATTTAGGGCAGCAGGAAAGAGGCCCTAATCTGTCACACCATAGGTGCATTGAATGCAGATTTCCCTGTGTTACACAAGTAACAAAGTGAAATACAAATACAGTGTTTTGTTTCATACACCCAAAGTGTCCACATTTGGATAGAACAATGCTATTAATAGATTTTGGTTTCCAGCCGTTTGTGGCAATTTAGCTAACCCTAAAACTACCTTGGTGACATTGATAGATACAAGCTCAGCAATTACAACTTAAACAAGAGCAATGAGAATAGTAAATGGCTAAAGTATGATTACATTGAGCCATATAAAATTGCCAATATTGAACAATTTTGACTAGCAAAAATGGCAGTTTCATTAGATTTGCCATGAAATCAGAATAATGCATTTTATTTAAAGGAAGTAGAAAATAAGTAGGAGCATAATATTTATTGAGCATCTACTATATGCCAAACACAGTGTTTAGCACCATTTATGTATTAAATCATTTAATTTTCATAAAATGTCTAAGATGTGTTATCCATCTCATTACACATGAGGAACCTGAGGTGTGAAAGTTATGACTTCCCTAAGCTCACACAACTAGTAAGGTAAAATAGGTAAGACCATATTAGGAGGATTCTTCTAAACTGGGTTTAGGCAAACTTTTTTTGTAAAGGACCAGATAGGAGAGCCATTTGGCTTTGTAGGTCGTAGGGTCTTTGTCACAACTGCTAAACTCCATGTTTGTAGTATATAAATGAAAGAAGTGGTTGTATTCCAATGAAACTTTATTTACAAAAACAGGTGGCAGGCCAGATTTAGCTCAGAGGGTCGTAGTTTGCCAACCCCTATTCTAATCTCTTCTTCCCTTTGCCCAAATCAAATCTGTTTCCTTAGTGATATTTATAAAAGAAATTTAGAATTCTTTTCTAAAAATGTGCTACTTTTTTTTCCTTTTTACATACTAAATGTAGGAAAATTAGAAACTGTACATACACAAAAAATAAAAAATATAAAATTCCCCTCTAATTCTTACATCCGGAAATAATCTCTTATGTAAACATTTTGACATCTATCCTTTCAGATAGTTTTCTCTATACGAATATTTATTTCTAAGAATGGCATCATACCTTAAAGGGGTGGCATAGTTCTCTCTCTTCCACTAAAAAATAAAATACATTGTGCATGAATTTCTGTGTCAGTGGTTGAATACAAAATATGTTATTTGACTGTTTGCAGTTATTCCCTGGATGCGGTATATGTGTCTGTTTTCCAGATACATTGTACATCTGGTCCCATGTGCTTCTCCATTCAACCCCTGTCCCCGCTTCTTTGGCTGGGTCCATGGCCCAGATTATTAGGTTGTACTGTGAATTCTTCTACCTCCTACCCTCCTATATATACACACACAAACACACACAGAGGCACATGCAAAACATAGCACCACAAACCTTCCATCTCCACATCAATTAGCCCTTAGTTGTAAGAGTCCCGATTTTCTTTCTCTAGCAATTTGTACCTTGATAGTTATCAGATTTCTTCACTTTTCCCATGATTGTGGCCAGTCACCAGAGTGAAAACAGACCTAGGTAAATGAGCAGCAGAAGAAATCATACGTCTCCAAGGCCCTGTCACTGTCCTCTGTAGATGCCACCCTTGAGGGCAGTGTAATTTCTTTGAAAGTTTTCTTTCTGTCAGCCTCTCTCTTCTCCAAGGTTCTTCCAAAAGAGAAGCTTGCACAGCTTTTCTGCAATTCATTAAATTTTCAGCATCTTTCCCCAGTGGTAGGTACACAGCAGGTAACATAGACAGGAGGACATTAGAATTCCTTCCAAGGGAGCAGTTTCAAAAGGTCACATGTTGCCACAGTGTCCTTCTATATAAATCTTTCAGGGGATGGTGAAGCATGTATCTAGTGGGGGAAGATAGGACTGCTGTAGTTATTCCATAAGGATCTTAACCTTAAAACTTCCACTTAGTAATACATTCACAGTGATGATCAGTTCAGCACATAGAAAAATGGGGACAAGATATACTTACCTTTGCAAAATGAGCTCCCACTAAGTTCAAGTAAAAGAATAGCCTCTCTCCCAACAAATGAAGAAAGCTACAGAGCAAAGGATGAAGTGATGGCTGGGGCTGAAAAACGGTACCACTGTAGAATATAAAAGGGAAGCCACTTAGTGTCTCTAAACAATTTCCTGAACATACTCAGTTAACTATTCTGAGGAAGTCCCCAGAATCTTACAGGTTTTGTTATCCACAAGAAATTTCCCACTGATATTTGTATCATACTTGAACTTTATAAAGTGATATTTCACACACATTTTCAAACCTCAGACCCCTGTTGATAGAATATTAGTGTGAAACTCTTTTCAAATGAGGAATCTAGAAGCTCAGAGATATTAAAAAACGACAAAAAAAAGAAAAATTGACCCAGACCCCATAGCCAGCAGATGGCAGTACTCAGCTCCTCTGACACCTAAGGCTTTTTTTTTTCTGCTTCCAGTTCAAGGACAATTCCTTCCATCATTTTTGCTTTGTCAATTAAATACTCAGCACATTCACAGTTGACTAGAATAGAGCCTTCTATGCTGTTAACATGCAAACTAGAGGGGAAGACTTTTGACACCAAGAATGAGATTGTCCTAGGAGAACCAGGAATCTAGAATGATGTAAATTATGTCAGGCATAGTCATTCCTTATTAATGTGGAAGATATTAATCACCAAGAGAAATTGTTACCTTTAATTAGAAATAGAAGAGAAAGGAAAATTATACAGTAATCCTTTTTTGAGATAATTAGCAAAATGTCAGGGACAGATGGACTAGAAACAATGGAAAAACATATGTTTTACTGATGTTTTTCTTTGATCATGTATTGGATGCTATAGTGGCAAAAACATTTCCTGGTTGGAAAAACTATCCTTGTCCTTTCTTCTGCTTTTTATTTAAGAAACTGGCTGACTTTTCTTTTTTTTTTTTGAGACGGAGTCTTGCTCTGTCACCCAGGCTGGAGTGCAGTGGCGCAATCTCGGCTCACTGCAAGCTCCACTTCCCGGGTTCATGCCATTCTCCTGCCTCAGCCTCCCGAGTAGCTGGGACCACAGGCGCCCGCCACCACGCTCTGCTAATTTTTTGTATTTTTAGTAGTAGAGACGGGGTTTCACCGAGTTAGACTAGCATGGTCTTGATCTCCTGACCTTGTGATCCACCCGCCTCGGCCTCCCAAAGTGCTGGGATTACAGGCGTGAGCCATGGCGCCTGGCCTGGCTTTTCTTTTGGGGAGCTTTTGCAGTCTATATCCCTTCTTCTTTATCACCTCTGGCTGCACACATTTGAGTTGGATGTTTTTAGTACATTTAAAAAGAAAGGCTAGGGAATAAATTGAATCTACAAACAGGTCTACTCTGTTTCTTGTAAAAGGCATCAGTAGAAAAGACTGCTGCATAAACCACTAAGGGTGAAACCAGGCCAGGCTCGGAAGGTAATCGATAGTATAATGCTTTGAAACTTCATAGTTTAAAAAGATAAATGTTACAAGTATGCATTCGTTTATTTGGACGCACTACCTCAATTTTACAAAAATCGTCCTATTCCACAGTAAACCACACAGACGGTAGGCACGAAGGAATAGGGATGAAGTTGATGATGGGCAGAAAGAATATAAAAAAAGAAAGAATGAGCCAACTGGAAGTCAGCTGTGCACCAGCCAAGAATATTCGATCAGGTCATACATCTGAAATGGGGCTCAAAGGCCTCATGTCCAAAACAATGGAGTTTTAATAGAAAACCAACCTCTCAAGTATGTTTTAACACTAAGATTCTAAATTGGGCATTTAGGAAATGAATATTAAAGAAATTGTTGTTAATGATAGATTATTATACAAGATGGCATGGTGAATTGCCCTGTTCAGTAATTTATCTAATTTTGTTTCAGTACCCATTTATATCTTACAGTGTTTGAAAATAATAACATTTCTTTCCATTGCATGTGTTCTGTGGTTTGGATCTTTAATTTTTAGGGGATTTTCTTTTTTTATTCTGGCCATGTGTTTACTTACTGAATATTTTATCATTATCTCTATTGAAGTTTAATTATTTACTGATTAGCTAAATAATTTGTAATTTATTATAAGTTGCTAATTTACAGATCATTCATTACCTACTAATTGTTCAATTATCTTTAAATTAGTGTTCATTAATTTACTCAATAAACATTTGCTGAGCTATTACTAGATGGCCAGCTCTATCTACTAGAATGGAAACACAAAGAAGCCTAAGAAGGAATTTGGGCTCCTTCTTTCAAAAAGCAACTCTTTCTGGGCACAGTGGCTCACAACTGTAATCCTAGCACTTTGGGAGGCCAAGGTGGGAGGATCACCTGAGACTGGGAGTTCAAGACCTCCCTGAGCAACATAATGAGACCCTGTCTCTACAAAATAATTTTTAAAAATTAACTTGGCATAGGGGGGCACACCTGTAGTCCTAGCTACCCCGGAGGATGAGGTGGAAGGATCACTTGAGCTTAGGAATTTGAGGTTACAGGGAGCTGTCATTGTACCAGTGCACTCCAGCAATAGATACTCTGTCTCAAAAAAAAAACCAAAAAACAAAAAACAAAACTATTCTTCTGGAAACAATAATCTTTAGCACAAACACATGTGTTCACTACATTTCTTCATTAACCTAGTTTCACTTAGCTCCATTTATAAAAATTAAAAACCGGGGTGATGTTCAGAAATTTTTATCTGCTGCATTTTTTTCCCCAAGTTTGCTCACATGGAAAAAAAAACCCTCTGGAATATCTGGAAACACTTTGAGAAACGAAAATGCAAAAAGTTAACTGAATCATCAAAATCAGATTATTGTAAAATCACAAATAACATATGGCAAATTACTCTTCAAATACATATAGATGCTAAGGATTGAAGGGGTGGAAGAAGAGAGTTGGATGAAAATACTGGAGGAAAACAAGCTTGGATGCACTGAATAAGGTTAAGTGGGGTTCAGGGATTATACTTGGGTTCCATTGTGCTGGTTATCGTGAGTAATACTGGTCAGGCTAATCAAGCCCAAATGAATGAAATTGTGTACCATTGGATGGTTTGATTTTCACGTAGGACAATTCCTTCTATCTGGAATTTTGACAGCTGCAATATTTATTTCAACTAGCAAAGTGTTATTTCAGATGAAACTAGTCTTTGTTATTTGATTCTGCTCAAGTTTAAAGATTTTCTTGATTCCACCTGACTCTCTAGGGCATGTTAGAGATATACTAAGTAAAAGTGTGCTGTTATGGATTATCCTTTGCCAGAATTTGGGTCATATGCCCTGAAAAAAAGAGTTGATGCCTGTTAGCCTAAATTCTTTCCCAGGTCCAATTAACTTATTGTAGTAATAGTTAATAATAATAACAATAGTTAATATGGTTAAGGATAACGTAATTATGAAGCTCATCACTTCATATAACATTTTCTCTGTTTTCCTCTACATCCAGCATTTATGTTATGCTATGATTTAGATGGGTGGTATATACTGCAAGATGCCTCCTTGATTCTACTTCAGTAGGAACTATTAAACTATTATTGGAACCCAGCTTCCCTAATCTGATAGAAAACCCTATTCTCCTTTTATAACACTGAGCACTGATGTCTGTTCTTCACTGTGCTGTGAGAAATGTCTCCAAACACTTTAAAGAAAAAAAAAGGGGGAAAGCCACGCTAGATAAATGAGAACATCAAAACAGTTTAGTTTAGACAATTTTAATGGAAGATCCATATGAGTCATCATCTGAGGCCTCAGGCTCTATTAGTCTGTTGAAACCCTCTCTTCAGTTTAGCACATAACAGGCAGATCCCAACCTGTGAGCTGCCACTTCTGCGTGTGGAATGTGCCCCGGAGGTTTGCTTATTTGACTTATGTGGGCAGATTAGATAGCTCACTCTTAAAACATACTTGGAAAAGAAGCCTGTTTATCCTAGAGGAGAATGGTTACTTAAGACCATAGACTACAAGGAAATCTCCTAATTCTTTCAAACCCTCAGTAAGAGTCAGCTGCATGGTATGCTCATCTTGAATAAACAGTAGAATCTCCAGATTCTCATGTAGTCAAATAAATCTTTTTCAATTAATTACACGCTTTTGTCAAGAAGTATCTTTTTCCCTTCATGTCATTTTTAGAATATAAAGCAACTGATTATTGGCAGTAGTCTACACACACACACACACACACACACACACACACACACACACCTTAGGACAAGGTTATTTATTTACTTTTTTTACACTGGCATTTTCTCCAGTTGGTTGAAGGAGGTAAGTCCTAACTACAACAGGGTTCGCATGGTGGTGTGGTTCATTATTTGTGTCTTATTTCATATTAGAGGTGCCAGTTGAATAAGAAAAGATCTTGGATGGAAGCAAAAAATACTTTTGTAAACTAATTTTTGGCAGAAATGTTTATGAAGACTTTGTTCCCTTTGCCTTTTCTTCTGAAGGACAGGAGCTGGTGATGGAACCTTTCAGTTGTGTTGTGCAGTTGTTTTGAACTCCTCTAGGGGGAGCTTTCACACAGGCTAAATGTAGGATACTCGCCCTGGAGGCATGACTTGGGATTTCAGTGGGTATCCCTTATCCACCCAGTTATTCCTGGGATAATTCTCCTTTTGATAGGCAAGCTTTACTGTTTTAATTGTCACGAGGAGGAGGTGACAGATGACTAATCACAATCTTTTGAAAAATTATATCAGTTTGTATGTGAATGTAAATTAATCAGCTTCAGTATTAAGTGTCCCACTCTGTGCAAAGGAATGTAAATTAATCAGCTTCAGTATTAAGTGTCCCACTCTGTGCAAAGGGAGGGGTCCTTCTGGTTAGTGTCGCCACTAGGTCAGGAGAACACCAGAAGCTGGGCTTTAGACTTGTACTTTTAATTAGAAAATTCTTTGCGGATAGGGTTATTCAAACCTATCTCATACTGCCGTACAAGCAATGCCAATTTTTTATGACTAATATGAAAGGGATTACTGCCATCCTTTACTAGGCTTCAGAAGATAATCCCTACCCCACCACCAAACTCTTCCCCTTCATCACAAGTCTATTACAATGATGGAATACATATTTAGCCTCATTTTAAATTTCTGGATATAAGGACTGGCTAAATCCTACTCAAAATGAAGAGGAAAGATAAATTAATACATGTGCTTACCTTTCCTTGAAAGTAAAATTAAAGTAGATTGGGTATAAAGAAAACTATCTTTTTTTCTCAACAGATGTTAAAAGATTATTTCCTATTTCTCCTTTTTTAAAAAAAAATTAGATGTGGTACATTGTCACTAAAATGTGATTTTTGGCAGGTGACTGCTCTAATTCAGCTTCCCCATTATCCATGGAAGGAAAGATGAGACAAAAAGATGCAGAGTAACACTTGTTATGGTTCTTGGAAATACAATGCCCTTTCATAAGAAATACAATTATTTAAAGGAAAATGATTCTTCTTTTTCAAATGTCTAAATACAGTGGGAGGATTTCTGTGGAATATAAATATTTGCTAACTCTTTATATACGCATGCGTTAACCAAACACCTGGTAAATATTGCAAAGTTTATTAATAACTTGCAAAATCTCCAAGTTGGGAAATACAGCTATGCCATTATGATCAGTCATTTGGCGGATAGTCAAGCCTGACAGCAATTGTTTAATACCTTTTTACCCATAAACACTGTGATTCACTGAAAATATTCAAGATTTCAGCAGATTTTCCTCCCACCCCCGACCCTGCACCAAATTGCTCAATTATCTTTCATAATGGGTTCTATTATCTTTCAAATTTGAAGTAATAGAAATGACTATAAGCAATGTTATAAAATGTGTATTTCGTTGACTCCCCCTGTCTAAGATCCTTTCAAGAGCTATAGCTTCTTCTTTGCCTTCTTCCTATATTTACTGAACACCTATTACGTGCTTTAAACTGGGCTACATGCCATAGAGCCTGGGATGAAGGGTGAGAAGTAGTATGACACAAGACACTTGTCTTCAGGGATCTCAAAATATAGGTAGGGAGAAATGAAACCCAAAAGTAAGTTAAATAGATCTCAAAGCAATCTACAGTTAATTGTCAAGAGAATTATATATGAAATGAATTCTATAAGAATCCAGAGATAAGACCATTGTGGATGCAGTGCTCTAGGCTGATTCTAAGGTTGCAGAATTTAAGCTAGGCCATTAAGGCTATGTAGGATTAGGAAAGGCAGAAAGAAGGTAAAGGACATTCTGGAAGGAAAAGGCAGCCTAAGATAAAATAGCAGATTAAATATGCCAAGTGTATTAGAGACAGTCCACACAACTCTATGATTAGAAACACAGTGTTTTTATGAGGAAAGCACCTTGCAATAAAAATCTTTATTGTACTGTCTATTGCTACTGAAATGGTACATAACACACACCCTCCAAAATGAGTGGCTTAAAACAATAAATAATTAATTAGCTCACAAGTTTGTCTCCTGGTGATTTAGGCTACATTTGCTGAGTGGACCTTCTGGTCTTGGCTGGGCTCCGTCACTTGTCTGTGAGGCAGCTGGCTGTTGACTTATGTAGGACAGACTCTACCAGTATGTTGGGAACAATTGGGGTCCTCTGCTTTGCTTCTTGCCCTCCAGCAGACCGGCCCAGGTATACCTTCTCATAGCAATGGTGTGGAGGTGCCAGAGAAGAGAATCCCAATCTTGCGTGTCCTTTTCAAGCCTCTACTTGTGTCACATTTGCTAGCATTCCATTGGCCAAAGCATGTCACATAGCTAGGGCCCCAGTACCACCCCACTGCCAAGCATATTCTGTACATCCATAGTGAACTGTTTCAGCTACCTATTGCTGCAAAACAAAATGCTCCAAAACTTAGTAGCTTAAAATGACAACCATTTTATTATATTTCCTACATTCTGTGAGTTAAGATTTCAGGAAGGATTTGGCTGAGGAATTTACTCATCCTAATGATATCAGTGGTACCTCAGCTGGTAGGTGGACTGCCCTAGAAGGTCCAAGACAGCATCCAGAGTAAAATTAGACAGGAACTGCATGGCCTTTTCTGACCTAGTCTGGGAATGTATGCAGTAACCTTTGCTATACTCCATATGTTAGAGCAGACACAAATCCTCCATGCTCCCGACTTCCAGGAGAAAGGACACAGACACCACTTTTCTATAGAAGGAATATAAAAGAATTTTCAGACGTCTTCAAATCATTGCTCAAGCAACGAACTGTTTCTATTTTATGTATAAGTTATTCTTAGCTCCTCGGAAGACCCTCCCACCCCAAGACTCATCTCATTACTGTATCAAGCTCAGACACAAGGTCCAGGCTTGTTATCTAAATCAGGTACTGGTTGAGATGAAATTTCCAATAAGATGCCATTCCTTAGGTATAGTTCCTCTCAATCTGAATATCAGTGAACTATCTGTCCTCCAACATAAAATGAAGGAATAGGCATAGGTTAACCACAAAAGACACAGGTCTGTGTTAATTCTGAAACCTCGCCAGGCCCAGGCTACCAGCTATGATCACGGCCCATTACTGCTTCCTGGGAATGATTCTCTGTGTTTCTTGGCTTTACCCTCTAGGTGAGGGCTAGTAAACTTTTTCTATGAAGTGCTAGATAGTAAATGTTTAGGCTTTGTTTGCCACATATGGTCTTTGTTGAAATTTATTCTTTTTAAAACAATCCTTTAAAAATATATAAAATCCTTAGATCACTGGACATACACAACCAGGACACTGCCCAAATTTGGCCCATAGGCTGTAGTTGACCAACTCTTGTTGTAGACTTGTTGTTATACCATTTGAGTCATTTTTCCTTTTTCACAAGAAATAGCCTCTGTTTATAGCTGAGTAATTGTCACACAGTGTTTTTAGCCCTCCCCGTAGAATTTCAGGAGTTCAAAGCCCTCTTTTATACTGTATCTAACCCTTTTAGTCCAAGCTGTCAGTATACTCTTTCAATACAGTTCTCTTTAAAACTTAGTGGATTTTCCAGGAATCTTATTGGAATTCACTCTATTAGACAAAGAAACATGCATAAAAATCTTCAAAACTCCTTTAACTATTGTGGGTCCCCTGTGAGACTGCTTTGGGACAATGCCCTTAAGATTTTTCAAAGCCCTACTTTTAAAACATAATTTATAAGTCACACTCTTTTAAATCCCTGTGATGCTTTTATTTTTACTAGAATGATCAATGACATACTCCCTTAAATCTTCTGACATGTTAAAAAGTAGTTTCATCGTCATACCCTGAGTCCACACTCACTGTGACCCTACATCATTCTCACAGCATCCTGGACTTGATCTTCTTGCCCTTAATTAAAACCTTTGTTACTTTGATGATGTTTGCTGGGAAGCAGTGGAGTTAAGAAGTAGTTTTATTTTTGAACTAAGCAAGGAGTAAATGCCTCCTTTATTTCTTTCTCTAAATTGTGCTTGAAAATTGCAAATTTCCTTTTTTAACTCATCTGTCTTTTCCTGTAACGTACAAAACACAGTTCAAAGAAACTTTTGATATTCTTCTGGAAATGTACTTAGATTCTTCAAATCATTAGCACATTTTATGTTTTCTAAAATACTATACTCAACAGTGTTTCTAAAATGTCTACCACTTATAAGTCTTCTTTCCTCTAGCCTCCAATAATACTTTTCTTACTTACTGATGACATTTTCCTCACTTTTCTCACTGAAAGATTCCTCAAGTTTTTCTCATCTTTTACCCACTGCCTCATGTCGAAGTTAATGCCACCTGTTTAGGTTTTAGTTTATTAACACATCACTTCTGATAACAAATTCTGTCAAAGTTATTTATTGCTATATAACAAAGAACCCCAAAATGTTGTAGCCTTGAAAAGGAGCCATATTTTCATATTGCAGAGATTTTTATCAGTAAGGAACTTCAGATAGGCTCTGCTGAGTGATTCTTCTGAACCTTGTAATGTTAACTGAAGCCATTCTCGGGTATTCACCTGGCCGACAGACTAAAGCCTCACTTAGCTATATGGCTCAGAAGATTTGACTTAGCCAGAAACATTTACCTGCACATGGCCTTTCACACATGACTGTCTCAGGATAATTGAGCTTCTTCTGTAGTGGGTATCTTCCTCCTAACATAGCAAACACCCACAACTACCAGGAAGATGGTGATTGGCTTTTGTGGACAGCAAAGTCTAATAGTTAAAACACAAACCCACTCAGATCCAAGAAGCAGGAGATATCGTCCCTAACTCTTGATGAGAGAAATGTCAAAGTATTCAGGTCTGTGTTTTAAAACCACTGTATGGACCATTAATGCAAGTAATATTCCATATGAGAAATTTTTCATAGCCTTGGAAAAATATCTGGACTTGAGCTTAGACTGACCCTACTCCTTTGTAGTCAGTGAGAAATAGGACAACTCTCTCCCTTTCAACCTTCATTTTCTACAGTCTCTTTCATGCATTTTCATTTGTTTATCACACATCCCAGTGTGTAAACAGTTTTGAACATGTACCCTTAATATGTGTAAATAGCCTTAGATATACTCTTTATCAATAAATAACCTCATTATTATGTTCATGGAAAAACATTTCTAAATAGAAAAATAAATGGATCTTGAAAGACAAAATATTCTTAAATATCTTGCAAATTGTGATGTCTTCATATTATTGCTAGCTAACTTTTTAAGCCAAAAAGATATACGTGTACTTTATGATGACATTCATAGTTAACAATGGTGGATAAAATAAACATATAAATTAGTCTTTCTTGATAATTTTGAATGCAGAGGCCATCTTCTTAAAGAGTGGAACATTA
Organism: Homo sapiens; assembly: GCF_000001405.40. NCBI lineage: Eukaryota > Metazoa > Chordata > Mammalia > Primates > Hominidae > Homo > Homo sapiens. The sequence continues at coordinate 118,409,872 of NC_000008.11, read as the reverse complement.
TTGTTGCTTTTACATGATTAGTGCAGCTAATTAAATGTTTTACTTTGGAGTGAAATGTGCCAGCTTCATTATCTTACTGGTTTTCAAGAACTATTTTAACTTTGAGTCTATTTTATGTGAGCCAATTTAGTCAAAACTAGATATTATAAGCCATTTAGCCAGGTACATGTAAGTAGTACATCCCAGTACTGATCAGGAGCCAGTGAGTGTGGCCAACACTGCCTTCACCTTAAGCCTGTGGATTTATCACCTCTCTTGGGAATACTTTATACATCCTGACCTTCCAACTAATCTTATTTCTTTAGATAAAAAGTAAATAAATTTTAATATACAGTCTATTTCCTTGTCATATCCTAATGAATCATCTGGCACTCCCACCCCCCACCCCCAACTCCAGGGTACAAATATACACCATAATGAAAGCGGTGAAGCAGTTGACATAGGGGACATTCAATAAACATATATTGGGCTAATAAATCCTTAAAAACCAGAATGACACAAGTAGGTACTCAGTATTTGCTGAATGAACAATGAAATTGCTCCATCTGTAGCAAAAAGAAAATTGTAGAAACACAGTTGTTCTCAAAAACTCATCTCGTCAATGATCTAGTCAAAACATTGTGGAAGATTAGGACTTATTTTCCTATAAATTGCATTCCCACTGGAGGCTAATTTGAAAAATTAACTTTCTGTATCAGTGAAGATTAACAGTTTTTCCTCCCCTCCACACCCTTCCCATTTGTAACTTCATCTTGATTTCTTGGATATTACATTTCATAACAGCCCCATAAATAATTGAATTTTTTCTTAGCCGGGCATGGTGGCATGCACCTGTAGTCCCAGCAACTCGGGAGGCTGAGACTGGAGAATTGCTTGAACCCGGGAGGTGGAGGTTGGAGTGGGCCGAGAGTGCACCACTGCACTCCAACCTGGGCGACAGAGTGGGACTCTGTCTCAAACAAACAAAATTAATTTTTTCAATAATTAGCTAAGTTGAGTTAGCAGGATTAATATCTTCTTTGCTCTTTTTAGTAGGAGAGCTAAGGCAAAGTGAGCTAAAGGCCACATAGAGAAGACAAAACTACCCTGGGATTAAATTTAAAAATTCTGACGCAGAGGCTTTTCCTATGTTCCTTTGAGCCACTATGGCCTTTTGATCTTTGTTTGAAGTAAAATAATTCTTGATGGTTAACTGAGTGGATTGTTTTTTAAATTAGCAAATAATGGAGCTTTTAAAACTAAAAGCAGTTAGTATTTATTAAGAATGATGTTTTATGGAATAGAGTTGCTAAAACAAAACAGCTTGTTAAGTTGGAAGAACCAAGATAGCAGACTACCTTGCTTCTTCCAGAATCCTTATTAAGAAGGTGAAAACTTGACTATTCTGTCCACCTCCGACCCAAAGCAGAACACTTCTCTCTGAAAGCGATGGCAGGTAGTGGTTAGATATGGAGGCTGATGATCCTGTAGAATTTGGAATAAAGTTGCAGAGTGGGGAAGACACTCACAAAGAACTGCTGAGCGGGTTTGACGTCTAGGTGAGGATAGAGACCATGACTTAACTTGTACTGGCAACAGTCTGCACACTATTGAAATTTCTCTCCAGTGGTGTGTAGATTGAGAAAGCAGATGGTGTAGTCTTTGACATTTATCTGGTCTTTTGTAGCATGTATACAAGGGGCACTGAGTTTGAGGATACTTATCAAGGGAGTCTGGTATGGAGTTAAGTGTAGGACTGGAGTGAAAAAGTGAACTCGGGAGGAAGTGTATAAACTTGGGTAAAGAGGAGGTACAGGGAACTTGAGTGTGTATACAGTGAAAGGACAGGATTAGCTGGAGTGAGAACAGCTGGTCACATAGGAGGTTGTGATAAAGTTTCAACTTTAAGAGCTCGAATCATTCACAGTGAGAACGAAGTCCAGAGTATGGCTATGGGGGTGGGTAGTTGAAAAGGGTTAATAGTAAGATAGTAGGTTCATTTGTATGATAGAGAGTAGGATTGAGATTAAAATGAGTCTGTGATCCATGTTCCTCAGGGAATGTGAGTGACTAACTGAAAAGCTGTCAAATGAAAAAAGGGGCAAAGGTGCAATTGGAGGAAGGCATAACACCAAAGGGAAAGGATGTCTTTTATGATAATGGGTTGATAATAATCTGGAAGCAGCAATGGGAAACTGTCACCAAAAATCACCTGGGACCCACTTCACTGACTGTCTTTCCAAATGACATTTGTCAAAGAGGAGGAGATTCCTAGTTGGTTAGTTTAAAAATAAATAAATAAAGGCTGAGGCATTTGTCCATACATAGTTCTTCCTAGCTTAATGAATGCAAAAATAGGGCTAACCTCCTTCTTCTACCAACATTTTCCCCTCTGGGTTTACTTGATCATTGTGTGATTTATTTTCCTTAAGAATGCATAGTGTTACCTGCATATGAAAAGATGCTTAATATATATCACTAATCATTAGAGAAATAATAATCAAAACCTTGATGATATGTCACTTCATGGCCATTAGGATGGCGACTATTGAAAAACAGAAAATTACAAGTGTCAACAAGGATGTGGAGAAATTGGAAACTTTGTCTACTGTTGAGATTGTAAAATAGTGCAGCTGCTATGGAAATCAACAGGCGATTCCTCAAAAAATTAAAAATAGAATTACCATATGATCCATCAGTCCCATTCTTGAATACATATTTAAAAGAATTGAAACCAGAACCTTGAAGAAATATTTGTACACCCATGGTTTTGTTGTTGTTGTTGTTACTTAATAGTTTTTTTTTATTTCAATAGTTTTGGGGGAACAAGTGGTTTTTTGTTACTTGGATAAGTTCTTTAGTGGTAATTCCTGAGATTTTGCCATGTTTATTGCAGCAATATTCACAATAGCCAAGATGTAAAAGTAACCCAAATGTCCATCAACAAATGACTAAATAAAGAAAATGTGGAGACACACACACACACACACACACACACACACAATGGAATATTGTTAAGCTTTAAAATGAAGGAAATTCTGTTACATGCTACAACATGGGTGAACCTCGAGGACATTATGCTAAGTCAAATAAGCCAGTCACAAAAAGACACATACTGCATGATTTCACTTATATGAGGTACCTAGTGTAATCCAACTTAAAGAAACAAAGTATAATGGTAGTTGCCAGGGCCTAGGGAGTTGTTATCCAGTGGGCATAGAGTTTCAGCTTTGCAACATGAAAAAATTTTTGGATATTTGTTGTACAATGATGGTGAATATAGTTAACACTACTGAGTTGTCCACTTTAAAATGGTTAAGAGGTTGGGCCAGTACCTCATGACTGTAATCCTAGCACTTTGGGAGGCCGAGGCAGGTGGATCACCTGAGGTCAGGTGTTCGAGACTAGCCTGGACAACATGGCAAAACCCCGTCTCTACTAAAAATACAAAAATTAGCCAGGTGTGGTGGTTGGCACCTGTAATCCCAGCTACTCAGGAGGCTGAGACAGGAGAATCACTTGAACCCAGGAGGCAGAAGTTGCAGTGAGGCGAGATCGCACCACTGCACTCCAGCCTGGGTGACAGAGCAAGACTGCATCTCAAAAATAAATTTTAAAAAATAAAAATAAAATGGTTAAGATGGTAAATTATGTTATATATTTCTACCATTAAAAAAAAAAAGAATCCATAGTGTTTGTTTGAATCTAATTTCCTGATAAGAAATATTAGAGACAGGCATGTCAGGGAGGGTCCTATGTATTTATCCTGTTTAAGACTCTTCTCTTTTGTAGTAGGAGGAAAATACTTAGATTTGGTTCAATCCAGCTTATATAACCTGGTTAAACCAACATTTCTCAGCCTCCTGTTGTCATTGAACCTTGCTGTATTCTTCTGTGGAAAATATTTTTTATGACTGGCCATAGAGAGAAAACCAAAAAAAAGTAAACAATATTTTTCTTGTTATCTGTTTGCACATATGATTTCCATCTACTGTTAACATTTATTTACAGAAAATATTATCTCCACCTAGGCTTTCTTTATAGCCTGGAAATATGACAGCTGAGAAGGGACATCATAAAGTCTGTGACACCATTAGTGGCAAGGACCCAAAGGGGTTTTAAACTTTTTCACACTTTCAAATTCTAGGACAAAATGGTTTATCTTTCCTTTCCATTTTTTCCCCTCCTTTCTCTCTCCCTCCCTTCCTTTTCTTTCTTTGTTTTCTGGTATAACTTATAAATAGTAAAGTATACAAATCTTAGGTACAGCTCAATAAATTTTTACAGATGTGCATACACTTATGTAAACCTTACTCAGATCTAGACATAAGACTATTTCTAGAACCCCAGCGGCTCCCATGTGCATCCTTCCAGTTGACGTCTTCCAAGGTAACCACTATTCTAACCTCTGCCACTGTAGATCGCTTTTGCTTTTTCATTAACTTTTTTTATACCTGGTTTTTTTCCACTTAACATTTCGTCTTCAGATTTATCGGTGTTGAGTATGGCTGTAGTTTTTGTTGTTCATTGTTGAAACATTCCATTGTGTAATTATATTTTAATTTATCCATTCTATTGCTGAGGGACATTGGATTATTTCCAGTAAAGCTGTCATGAACTTTCTTGTACATGACTTCTGGTGAAAATGAGCACTCATTTTCGAAATGGAATCGTTGGGTCTTGTGTATATTTAGCTTAATAGATACTCCAAAGTTTTCAAAAGAGATTATTTCAGTTTATGCTTTGACCAGTATTGTAGGATAGTTCCAGTTTCTCCACATCCTTGTCAACACTTGGGATTGTCAGTGTTTTTACTTTTATCCATTCTGGTGCAGTTGTAAGAATAATCCATTCATGAATTAAATAAGACAGTTTTAAGATGAATGAAAGAAAGTACAGGTTCAGGAAGAGCTTATAAGGGTACCATTAGTAGGCTGGGCATGGTGGTTCATGCCTGTAGCCCCAACACTTTGGGAGGTTATGGTGGGAGAATTACTTGAGCCCAGGAGTTCAAGACCAGGCCTGGCCTCACATAGCAAGACCCTGTCTCTTAAAAATAATAAAAACATGAAAAGCGTATTACAAGTAGAAAAAAAAGTAATGGACTTGTAGAGCTGATATTTCTCTAAGTAAAATCCCCAGATGACCCTTTCTCAGCCTCATTTATGGTGCTTGTTAAAGCTACATTTTCCCAGGCCTCACACTAGAGTCACTTAGTCAGAATTCTGGCCCGTGAAATCTGCATATATACCACTCCTTTGGTAACTCTTATGGCATTAATGTTTGTATGCCACTACTTAAACTTTTTAATAACACAAACTCCAAATGGAAGTTAAGAAAAAGTGGGTTCAATCTATGATGACTGCATTTTCAGGCAAACAATCAAGGTGCTTTGAAATCAGGACTGTCTCAGACTATTTCAACCACCTATCACATCAAATGGTCTAGCATATGGGTAATTGGAATTCCAGATGGAAAAAAGAAAGAATGAGACCGAAAAAGTATTTGAACTTTCTTCAGGAGGCCAAGAATTTTGCAAAATTATTGCAGATATCAAAGCACAAATCCAAGAAACTCAGAGAATACCAAGCAAGGTAAATAACAAAAATCAGCTAGGCATGGTAGCTCATGCATGTAATCCTAGCACTTTGGGAGGCTAAGGTGAGATAATCACTTGAGCCCAGGAGTTCTAGACCAGCTTAGGCAATGTAGTGAGACTGCATCTCTACAAAAAGTTTTAAAACTTAGCTGGGCATTGTGGCACATGCCCATAGTCCCAGCTACTTGGGAGGTTGAGATGGAAGGACTGCTTGTGCCCCGCAGGTCGAGGCTGCAGTGAGCCAGAATCAATCGCACCACTGCACTCCAGCCTGGGGACAAAGCAAAACCCTGTCTCAAGAAAAAATAAAGGTACCAAAAATCTATCAAGCAAAACACATGACACTGAGACTTATATTGCTGGAAACCAAAGGCAGTATATTGTCTCTATTGCAAAGATATGGAAATACCTTTGTCATCAAGAATGCTATGGCCATCTAGATTCAAGTTAATCGCTCTTTTTTGTACAAGGATGACAATGTTGTTTCACTACCTCTCCAGAGCTTCCTCTCCCTCTGATTTATTTCTCTGGTGCACTTCATTGTATTATGTCATGATAGACCTGACAAATCTCATTCTTTAAAGTTGACCCTGTAAGGTCATGTTCTCCAGATATTCACAATCTATTTTAAGAAACTAGGGTTTTGTTTTGTTTTTGTTTTTAGTTTAATGCAGCTCTTACTAGGGCCTTCCTGTGTGGCAAGTACTAAGTGTATATGGATCATCGAATTTAATCCTCATTTTCATGACTACCTTGTTAAAGAAATACTACTATAATTTTTTTTATTTTAGAAACTAAGGATAAAGGAGCTTAAGATAATGTTCCAATTTACCAAGCTAATAAGTGAAACAGCTAGAATTTAAATCCAGGGATTCTTATTCCCTAATCCTACTCTTACCCACTCTGCCATACTGCCTCTTATTAAAAAAAAAATACACCACACACACACAGACTGTACATAATATTTATAAAAGTATATCAGACTTTATTCCCCCTTTTCACTGAGAATTAGTCCAATTTGTGCAAGTTAGGACATATTTTTGTTCCTTTCTCTTTGTTTTCATTAGCCCAGTTGCAACAGTGACCTGGTTGAAATTAGGAAATACTCTTGAATTTGAAGAAACTGAACTGCAAGGCTGTCATGAAGATGCAGCATTCCCTTCACAGACAGATATTTGTGATGCCTTATTTGTGTGAAGATATGTGATAAATCACGAGAGAAGCTTAGTACCCAATTCACAGTGCAGGCTGTGTGGGTAGACTCTTGACAGGGATTTGGGTAAGTTTTAGATATTGCTTATCAGCAAGTTTTTACCCAACTTCACTATGTATTCTGGCTGGCTTCTCTATTTTGGGCAACATGCAGCAACTAGTTTTTAGCATCAGATTTTTTGTGTGTGTGCATGAAGAAAAACAATAAAAGATCAATAAGATGATGGCTTACCAAGGATTTGTGTTATCAGAGGTCATATAGTAGAATCTGAAGATGCTTAATATTTTGGGGTAATTCTGCTCTGATTGTCTTAGTGAATGCCAGCGTCTGTTCTTTCATGCTTTTACATTATCAGACAGGGCTCCTTCTGCCATATCTCCTCCCTTGCTTTCTCCCAACACACACAGGAGAATATTTATGGCTGCCCATTGCTCTTAACTAGAAGGAAAACAAGGCCAGGAATCTCTAAGGGTTAAATGACATTCCATAGATAAAAGGTTGGGGTGTTATCCACACAATAACAGCCTTCAGTCTTTGACCCCATAAGGGGCTTTTCTGGCTAGAGCAGTCCCCTTATAAGCCTCAGTCCTTGGACATTTTGTCACTGTTTACATTTCTATGCAGAAAACATGGAAAAAGTGTTTTCTCCATGATGTTTCAGTGTTATTTCTCCATCTGCCTTTTCTTTGCATCTTACGTATTTCTCTCTCATACTTCGATCTTGCCTTTTATTAAGGGCTCTGCTCCTTAAATGTTCTTTTTTAGTTTCTGTACTTTATCAAAACCTCAGAAGTACCTCCGGTGACCCAACATCTCTGGCATATTAAATCTGAGTGTCAAATGCATGCACTTTCTTTGATATATGATCTAATAAGCCTTTTCTATCTCTAATTTCAATGATTTTGTAATACCAAATTATTTCCTTTTGTGGTGTGTGATTTTTTTTCTTCTCCTCTAACTTCCCTAAGTTCAATAGGTTTTCATAATTAAATGCAGTGGATTGTTTAGAATAAAACCTTGGAAACATGCCTTTTTCTTATGGAAAGACAAGGAAACTGAGCTCTGTAAATCAGAATATTAAGCTTAACATATAATTTATAAGGAAGAAATAAAGGAAATGTAAATCACCCTCAAGTAAGCTCACTTTCATCTTAAAAATTAGATTGAAAATCGTGTGGATACATGTGTAAGTTATGAGAAGACATTCTGAAAATAAAATCTCAAGGTTAAATACAGAAGCACATTTAGTAGATATTTGAGCAATCTCCAGTATCTTCAAAGGTTGTGTATGTGTGTTCAATCCCAGCAATGCATCCCATGACTTAACTCACTTTAAAAGTGAGTTCTCACATATCTAAAAACTCCTCATGAGTTTTTAAATTTTTTGATCTTTTACATGAAGCCCTTGGCTGGACACAGTGGCTCGTACCTGTAATCCCAGCATTTTGGGAGGCAGAGGTGAGAGGATCGCATGAGGCCAAAGTTCGAGACCAGCCAGGGAAACATAGTGAGACCCTGTTTATACAAAAAAAAAAAAAAAGAAGAAGAAGGGAGTCTGTGGCACACACCTATAGTTCCAGTCACTTGTGAGGCACAGGCAGGAGGATCACTTGAGCCTAGGAGTTCAAGGCTACAATGAGCTATGATTGCACTACAGTCTGAGTGACAGAGCCAAACCCTGTCTCTAAAATAAATAAAGCCCAGATCTGTCATAATCCAATGCAGAAATATGTAGGACCTGAGGCGAAAAGGAACCAGTAAGACTATTGCTTTACAATCAAAGAAAATCTGAAATGTTATAAATTCACACTTTCAGCCATGTTCAGTTTTCAAAGTACTCTATGAATAAGGGAGAACTCTAGGAATATTTTCTGCAAACACATTTTCTTTTCATTAGAAGCAAGATACAGAAATGATCTGGATGCTTTGTATTGGGATGATTTGGCACTGGAAAATACAACCCAAACCAAATAAAATTTGATATTCAATTAGAAATTTGTGGTTTTAGACCTAACAATTCTATAACATCATTGTAAGGATGGTGCCATCTAATTGTTCAGTTTAGGCACATTTTGAAGCTATTCTTCACTGTAATAGTGAAGTTGTAACATTTGACATCTTTATGTGGAAGACTTAATTTAACCAATATAGTTTTCATTGAATTCAAGCTGTTGATGTTATGATAGCAATACATTTATCAGTTATAAGATTTTTTTTTCCATTCTCAGTTCTGTTTTTAGTGGCTGATCAGTATTCATTGGAATCGGCCTTTCTTTTGACAAAGGCTGTCTCCTGGCGTGTGAGGGTATGTGTTCTCACAGTCACAACATGGTGGAGTGTGTGTTGATTTACAGATTGTTGTAGCTGAAGGCATGTATCCTGCTATGCTCCATTACTCTGCATGCAAAGGAAAACATTTCAGTTGTAAAAAGCAAGCTGACTTCAATTGTTAAAAAAATGTAGCTTCTGCAAGGGTCAGAGGACAATAATACAATTCTCTGTAACTTTATTGTCTGTAACTTTGACTTATTTATGTTTCCAAGTGTCTCCTGATGTATGGAAACTCATTATACAAAACTTACATCTACAAAATGAGAGATCAGTGAATTACTCTGTTTTTGTTACTCTCTTGTCCAATTCATACATTTTTGTAAGAAAGTTTCTTAAAATCATGTTCAGTGTCATATAGTGATTAGAAGTATAAGGTTTGAAATCTGGTGGTCCTAGATTTGACCCACGGCATCGCCTCTTCTGGCTGCGAAGTCTTTGTCAGGATCCTTAACCAGTTTGCTTTTGTTTGCTCATCTGAAAAGTGAGAAGAAAGTAATTGTGCCTACCTATGAGAATCTGATGGGATAATTCGTGTCGAGCACTTATCACAGTGCCTGGCATAGAACAAGCCCTCTGTAAAACAGTTTACACATAAATGTTTGTGTGTGTGAAAATATATGCATGTGTATACATACATAGGTATTTATGATTTACATGGTGCTCAAGTACATCATGCACTGTGATTATATAGTGCTCATAGTGTTTTATGGAAAATGAGGCACACATAAAATCAATAGATGATACACACAGAATTTTTAGCAGCAGATTTATCTTACTAATTATGTATTGCAGAGGCCACTATTCAAAGTCTTTCATTCCTCTCACACACACACCTACTAACTATAGAGACAGGTAACCTAGAAGCCTGCTAAAGGGTATAGTGAAGCCACCTGGGCTGTTTTAAAACCATCACAAACAATATGGAATGTTTGTGTCTGACAATCGATTGGGTACCCCTTGACCCAGTGAAACCCTGCCAGTGCTTTGGTTCCCCATGAAGCAGGCTCAGAGAAGGAAATCTACTTTCAGAAGTTTATTGGGTGGTGTCCTCATGTTCAATACTTGTGAGGGAAATGAAAGAAGCAGGATTGGGCAGAAGAAGTTGGGCTGTGATTCAGCCACAACGAGACCTCTGCCAACCCCACAGGGAGCTCTGAAGCTAAGACTGCCCTTCAAAGTTATCCTGAGTTGGAACTAGGGTACCTGGGGCAGGTACCTTCATACCTCCTGCCTCCCTCATCTACCAGTCGTTGGATGCAGGCTACTCACAGGAAGAGAGACATGACCTTGAGCAAGGTGGCTCTTCTTAGATCCAGGAAATTCCCAGAAGGACTGTCAGCTGTCAGCAGCAAGCAGCTGGGGAGTTCTTTAGTCCTTAAGGAGGATCTAAGTGTCACCACATGAAGTCCATACCAATCATTAGAACTAATTATTGCTGGGAATTGTGGTTTGATTCAGCCTAAGTTATCTGAACTCTACTTTTATCTGGTCTTTCACACTTTTTCATTCTTTTCCACCCTTCCACAGTCATTTATTAAAAAAAAAAAAAGAAAAAAAAAATTTATCGGGCCTGGTGTGATGGCTCACACCTGTAATCCCAACACTTTGGGAGGTGGAAGCAGGAGGATTGCTTAAGGCCAGGAGTTTGAGACCAGCCTGGACAACATAGTGAGACCTCATCTCTACTAAAAACTTTAAAAATTAGCAGGTGTGGTGGCCTGTGCCTGTATTCTCAGCTACTCGGGAGGCTGAGGTGGGAGAACCACTTGAGACCAGGAGGTCAAGGCTGCGGTGACCTGTGATTGTGCCACTGTACTCCAGCCTGAATGACAGAGTGAGACCCTGTCTCAAAACAAAAACAAACACACACAAAAAAAACAGCTTTATGGAAGTATAACTGATACACAATAAACTGCACATATTTAAAGTGTATGGTGAGTTTTGACCTATGAATATACCTGTGAAACCATCACTACAATCAAGGTAATGAACATGACTATCACTTCCCAAAGTTCCCTCATTTTATTTTTAATCCAACTCTCTCTTCACAACCTTTCTCCCCCAATTCCACTGATCTACTTTGTCAAGCAGTTAAGTTCGGTTTTTCTAGAACTGTATATAAGTGGAAGTGATGGTACTTTAATGAGGCCTCAAAATAAGAAGATAAGGAAAGATTCTCTTTCTTTCCAAAAGTTCTCTTCATATAAGCAGAGAAAGACCAGGCAGCAGAGGGGATGGAGAAGATAAGCTTTAGATCTGGAAAAACAGTAATCCAGAATTCTTCTGTCATTTGCTATCTATGTGATCGTAGCCATTTTATTTATTTATTTTTTATTTTTTTATTTTGTTTTTGAGACAGATTCTCATTCTGTTGCCCAGGGTGGAGTGCAGTGGCACGATCTCAGCTCACTGTAACCTGCATCGGCCAGGTTCAAGTGATTTTCCTGCCTCAACCTTCCTAGTAGCTGGGATTATGGGCATGTGCCACCATGCCCAGCTAATATTTTTGTATTTTTAGTAGAGATGGGGTTTCACTATGTTGGCTAAGCTGATCTTGAAGTGCTGACCTCAAATGATCTGCCCGGCCTCCCAAAGTGCTGGTATTATAGGCATGAGCCACCACACCTGGGCAATAGTCATATTATTTAAATTCTCAAGCCCTGGCTTGGCGTGGTGGCTCACACCTGTAGTTCCAGCACTTTGGGAGCCCGAGGCAGGTGGATCACCTGAGCCCAGGAGTTTGAGATTAGCCTGGGCAACATGGTGAAACCCTGTCTCTACTAAAACAAAAATTATCCAGGCATGGTGATATGTGCTGATGGTCCCAGCTACTGCGGGGCTGAGATGGGAGGATCGCTTGAGCCCAGGAAGTCGAAGATGAAGTGAGCTGTGATTGCACCACTGCACTCCAACCTGGGTGACAGAGCGAGACCCAGTCTCATTAATTAATTAATTAATTTGCAAGTCCCATTTTCCTCATTTTTAAAATGGGGATAATAGTTGAACCTACCCAGAGGGTTGTCACAAAGATTAAGGAATGAGAAATTGTTCATAGTTATACCCAGCCCAGCATAATTCGAATGAATTGTGATGATAATGTTTTTATTATAATACTGATGATGTGAAAGGTTTATGGTTCAATTTCAATGTAATTTCTTTACCTATGTGGGGTCAAACAAAAGATATCTACCCTAGGAGAAAAACTCAGTTATCGAGTGACCTAGACACGCTAGACTCTTCACTGTTCCACAATCTGTAGACTTGGGGTTTCTGTGCTTCAAGGACCTTATATTGCAAGGTGTGTTCTAGTGACTCCACCTTGCCAGATTTATCAGCACTCAACAGACAACCAGTTGCTTTTTCCTGAACCATACTTCTCTGGGATCTCATTCTCCCAGATTTTTTTCCATGTCTCTTGTCGCCCCTTGGGAGTGTCCTTGTTGGTTCATCTCACTGATCTACCCACTCAGGACCTCAGTTCCTCGAGGGATGTCAGTCCTAAGACCTGTGATCACACTTGCTTTCTTCTTGCCTGTGGGTTTGTATGTCAGTTCTAATGATGGTGGCTCCCAAGCTAAAACCTCAAACCAGACTTCTCCTTGGAGCTCCAGCCTGTATAGCAACATGCCCACTTTGTATTTCTATTGAATATCTCATAGATGTGGGCAGTTTGGATTTATTACATGTCCAAACCACAAGTATTGTTCTTTTTCCTCGTCCTTGCTCACTCAATCTTCCCCATGGTAGCAGTTGCACTTTCTTTTATTGCCCAAGCCAGAAACATGTGTCTCACCCTTGGCAACTTCTGTCTTGCTTCAGATACCTCATTTCTCACCAAGTCCTTTAGATTCTGCATGCAAAATTTCCCCTCTCTGAGTATCTTCCTGTTACCACCTCTCTAGTAGAAACCACCATAAACTATGGGCTCAACAGAAGCTCTAGGTTCCGAACTGGTTTCTGTACTTTAAAAATCACCTCGGTTATCAACTGGCACATGATAAGTCATTAATGGTTTATTAAATGAATGCTGAACTAAACAGGCGCAGCCTTCCTAAGTAGAAGTAGCATGGTTCTTGTCTTTGCTCTGACAATTACTAGTCTTACGACTTTGGACAAATCTCTTCACTTTTCTGGGCCCATTTCTTAACTTTAAAATGAGGATGATAGTATTCTCCCTTTCTCATAGAGCCATTTATTCACTCAGGAAAACTTTAATGAATATCTACCAATTGCTGAGTGCTGCAGTTACTGAGATAAATACAACCCATGCTTTCTTCATAGAGAGCCCAGAGTTTAGAAGGAAGAACAGGCATGTGAACATATTCATGATTATATTATAATCGAGTAGGTGTAACAATGGAAGCCTACACAAGGTACACCTTTATGTAATGTTTAATTTGAAATGAAGGCATTGAGTCAGGTATTATACCAGACACTTTCTAATTTACTGCCTAATTTAACTTTCACATAGAAAACTCAGAGTGATTAAAATGATAATTATCATTTTACAGATGAGGAAACTGACTCAGTGGCATTAAATAAGTTACTCAAGCTCACAGAGCTTGCATGTGGAGACACCAACCTGCAAACCCAGGCTTTTTACTCCAAGTTCAGGTCTCTTTACTCACACGAAACAATACATAATTAAAATATAAGTTATTGAACACCTTATTGCTGGAAGAAGAATGAATGGACACTGAACTGAAGCATTTTATAACCAAATCTAAATCAGAAGAGAAAATTATACAAAAAAACTCACTTTTTTCTTCAACTTTCTCTTTTTTTCTAACTTTTTCTGGGTCTATTTTTTTTTTTTTTGAGATGGAGTCTTGCTCTTGCGATCTTACTCACTGCAAGCTCCGCCTCCTGGGTTCACCCCATTCTCCTGCCTCAGCCTCCCGAGTAGCTGGGACTACAGGCGCCCGCCACCACGCCCGGCTAATTTTTTGTATTTTTAGTAGAGATGGGGTTTCACCGTGTTAGCCGGGATGGTCTCAATCTCCAGACCTCATGATCCACCCACCTCGGCCTCCCAAAGTGCTAGGATTACAGGCATGAGCCACCGCTTCTGAGTCTATTTTTATGATTCTGATAAATTATAGAAAGAGTCTTATTGATTATAGTATGTACTTATTGGTACCCACAGCGAACAAAGTGTTACTTAAAACAATGGCTTGAACTCTTTGAGGTTGGAGAACCTTGTACATGACATTTTGGTCCCTGAACACTGGCCTCAGGGTGTTTGCTAAAGAAAACCCAAGTGAACATTGCTTTTACTTTCTTTCTAAATAATTCATGAAATTTTTAGTGGCATCTTGGAGTCTTAAGAGACAGCTCAATTTGAGAATCACTCTACGTATCTGAGATACACGTTCTGTAATAATAGAATTATGAAAAGGGAAAGAAGGACATCTAAGTGGCCTGGGCCTTCAAGCATAAGTCGTGAGTGAGCAGTGAATGAGGGAGTGTGGTACATAGGCTTTGGCATTCATGCGAGTGTTTGTAAATATAAATTGGCATGGATGTACCATACATTTCACCTGAGGGTATAAAGGGTCACATTGCTGACTCACCTGTAGCTAGCCCTCAGCTTTTGAACCCATTATCATCCATTGCTAATTTATATTATGTGCCAGGAACTGTGCTAAGTGCTTTTCTCTGTATTAATTAATTTAATCTTCATAAATATTCCTATACTGTTAACATACCCACTGATGAGATGGGAAAACGGAGACTTAAAGCAGGGTAAGCAACTTACTGGGTAGTGTGTCATGGTGGTGATTTGCACCCAAGCAGACTCCACAGAGCATCCCCTTAAGCGTCGTAAAGCCATTTGTCCATCTTTGAGAGCCAGCCAGTGCCCTTCCCAATCTTCAGGAGTTATCTTCTTCATCATGGTATGAGCTCGACTTCCTTCTCTCCTCATATGTTTCTCCCATCTTCTTCCAACTCCAGCACTATAATCTCTGGGATAAAAGAGCTGAGAGGATAAAGCCATCATCCAACTATGTCTCAAGTTCCACAGTCATTGGCACCATCACTAGCCTGGGTCTACTAGGTGACTGTTGCAGGCCTGTAAGTCTTTTGGCAAAGTCAGGATATTGGCACTACAGACATGGTAAACCCAGTCAATTCAAATATACATGAAAACGCAATATGGGACTGTCACTCTTAAGCTCTGCCACATTCTCTAATGTGGTTTTCTCTCAACAACATTTATTTTGACACTGCCCAAATATTATTTCACTAGTTTATTAAGCAATGTCCAGGATTTTGGCAATACATAAATGAAAAGATACACCCTTACTTTCAAGAGCTTGTAATTTGAGGAGGGAAATAGACATCTTTACTCTAGCACTTGCCACCTTGTATTTTGCCTGTAGGTTCCAAGGTGAGTGAGGAAGAACTTGCTGAGCATCTAAGACCTGAACCAACCCTTGAAGCTCATCAGACAAGAAGGGAGGAAAGATATTTGAAGGCTGAGCATGTGTAGAGATGTGGATAATGGAAATCTGTTCATGTTCCTTATCTCATTCCAACATAGCTTTTAGTATGTAACCTGCTGACATCAAATTTTGGACTTCAAGCTTGATGAGCATATTGTTACTTTCTTTAAGGAGCAAAGGGAACATGATGTAGATGTGTGTTTGTATTGTCTCTTCAGCACTGAAGCAATGCCAGTGTCAATCCATATTTATGGCCTTGGTTTCCTCAAATTTTTGTCACTTATCAAATAGGGGAAATTTAGCCCACTTTTATTACTCTTTTATTGATGAAGCCCCTGAATTTAAACTTCACTTGAAGTGCTACAGTTATGGGCTTTGTGATCCTTTCAGATCAAATGCATGGGGCCAGGCTTGGTGGCTCATCCCTGTAATCCCAGCACTTTGGGAAGCCAAGACAGGTGGATCACCTGAGGTGAGGAGTTCAAGAACAGCCTGGCCAACATGGTGAAACACCATCTCTACTAAAAATACAAAAAAAATTAGCTGGGTGTGATAATGGGTGCTTGTAATCTCAACTACTTGGAAGGCTGAGGCAGGAGAATCACTTGAACCCAGGAGGCGGAGGTTGCAGTGAGCCAAGATTGCATCCCTGCACTCCAGCCTGGGCAACAAGAGCAAAACTCTGTCTCAAAAAAAAAAAAGAAAAGAAAAAAATGCATGGGTATTTTTGCTTGTAGAACTGAGTCAAAATCCCTTTTCTCTAGTGGTGGCTCACACCTGTAATCCCAGCACTTTGGGAGGCCAAGGCCAGAGGATGGGCCAGGAGATCGAGCTCAGGTGATTGAGATCAGTCCGGGCAGCATAAGGAGACCCTATCTCTACGAAAAAATAAAAAATCAAAATATATATATATATGTATATACACACATACATATAAAACAAACACCTAGCCGGCCATGGTGGTGTGCACCTATAGTTCCAGATACTCTGAAGGCTGAGGTAGGAAGATTGCCGTGGTGAGACATGATCACACCACTGTATACCACCCCACATGACAGAGCAAGACCTTCTCTCGAAAAGAGAAAAGAAATCCTTGTTCTGCTACTTGTGTGTGTTTTTACTTTGTCTCCATGAGCTTCTATTTCCTCATCTTTGACATGGAGGTAAGAATACATCCCAGGGTGTTGCTGTGGATTAAATTGAGACAGTGGGTAGAAAAGAGCCTGACATATAGTGGGTGATTTTTCCCAAAAGTAAGTGTTTTGTTGTTTTGCCTCCTCAGCAACCTGAGTCCTATAAACCCCTATTACTGAGGATTATTCTGGCCCTTGAGTTAACATTTGGTGAATCACTTGGTTGGAAGCAAACTCCTAAACCAATGGTTCTCAACCAGGGGTAGTTTCACCCTCCAGCAAACCTTTGCCAAAAATCTGAGACATTTTTGATTAACACAAGTAGGGGTAGGGAGTATTATTGTCATCTAGTAGGTAGAGGCCAAGGATGCCACACAGCATCCTGCAGTGCATAAGGTAGCTGGTATCACAAAGAATCACCTGGCCCCAAATATCAGTAATCCCCTGTTCTAGATAAAGTGAAGCAGAAAAGTTTGTCTATTTGCGTATCATGTTGATGACTTTTGAAATTTGACATGTGATAAATAGAGTTGCCATTTTCTTTTTACCCCTCTATCATTAGAAAGATTTCCCAGGGTCACCATCAGGATCCCACCCTTTCGGGTGCTCCCATCATAGTTTTGGAGTGAGCTACACAGCTCCCCATAGGGTCTTGGGTGACCTCTTACCTTTCTTTAGGTCTGCTTCCTGAAGACAGTGACAGGTTTTTGTTTTTTGTTTTTTGTTTTTGTTTGTTTGTCTTGAGACGGAGTCTCGTTCTGTCGCCAGGCTGGAGTGCAGTGGTGTGATCTCTGCTCACTGCAACCTCTGCCTCCCAAGTTCAAGTGATTCTCCTGCCTCGGCCTCCCGAGTAGCTGGGACTACAGGCGTGCACCACCAGGCCCAGCTAATTTTTTTGTGTGTATTTTAGTAGAGACAGGTTTCACCACGTGGGCCAGGATGGTCTCAATCTCCTGACCTCGTGATCCGCCTGCCTCAGCCTCCCAAAGTGCTGGGATTACAGGCGTGAGCCACTGCGCCCAGCCAACAGTACTTTTTATTGTGCTTACCGCTGTGAGTAGTTACTCAGCACAACATGGGGAGAGAGGGTGTCATATTATTCCCATTTTGCCAGCGAAGAAATGCAATCCTAGACAGGTAAATTATCACAACAATGACCACGTAGCTAATGACTGGCTAATCCAGCCCTGGGCTTTCAACTCCAAACCCAAGACCTCTTTTTTTTTTTTTTAACCAGAACTTTCCTAATGCATCTCATGGTCTTCATGGTCATGGCTACAGAGTTTTATCACATTATTGTTTTTGTAGCTGTTTAATACCTGCTGGTCTTACATTTCTGGGTAATTTTTAAGCTCCATGAAGGCAAAAGTATGTTACTGTCTCTTCTATTGAATATATCTGAAGCTGTGATAATACTTGTTAATTTTTCTACCTAAGAAATCCCTGATACTGATAACATTTATCATTTAAAAGTTTAAGGAAATACAAATCCCTCAGTATTAGAGAAAGAATGTCAAAGTAGACTTAAAACTTTTTTGAACAGTACTTTGGCTATAGGTACTGGCTCAAATTGATTCACATGTAGGAACCAGCATGCCCAGTGCCTGTTCTCTTTGGCATGTGAACATTGTCCTTATGTGTTTAGTTGTTATGACCACAAAGTAGAATATTGAGGGGCAAGAAGATGCTTGTTAATAGACACTTAATGCTTCTTGGCAATTAATTTAAAAAGATGTCTAATGCCCAGTGGATTTCTCACCACCTAGTGACACTTAATAAACAGAGAATCCCAAACCAGTGCATACAAATGCAGACAAATAAAAGTACCTA
Organism: Homo sapiens; assembly: GCF_000001405.40. Classification (NCBI taxonomy): domain Eukaryota; kingdom Metazoa; phylum Chordata; class Mammalia; order Primates; family Hominidae; genus Homo; species Homo sapiens. Next base: position 118,391,341 of record NC_000008.11, on the reverse strand, counting down.
GAGGTTTTGTCTACCTATCAAAAACAGAAAAGACCTTGAAGGTTGTTTATTTTATCATAAATCTTCCATTATAGTCTCCATTATGTTGGTACTAGACTTCTTTGCTTGAAAAATCTGCTCTGAGGTACAAGGCAAGTAATTACTGAGTCTTCCCAGGGACTAAGACAAAATTCCCAAACAAAATCTTTTAGGGTTTTTAAAAATTAATTTTTTGGATGGGATTTGGTAATCACATGTACTAACAAACGCTGTAGAATATTTAACCTTTAACATACTGTGTGTGAGCTGTGTATTCCTTCTCGGAGAGCTAAAAACAATGCAGGGTCACATTTTCTGTTTGAAAAGCACTGTAATATATTTCTTTCTGAATTTATATTTCAGGTGGGAATTAATGTTATTCCAATTTTCTCCTATTAACCTGAATATATTCAGCCAAAATAATAGATTGTCTAAAATAGTATTTTTACCCAAGACAGGTAAAAAAAAATCAATATAGAGTTCCCATCAGTATGGTAAATTACAGTAACTGCAGTGCAAATTTCCATTAACCCTTCTCTTCCTTGGCCCAGAGAAGGGGCCTTCAATTAACTGCTAATCATCTAAATGTAACCAAGTGAGTGACCGGACTTGACGGTGGGCAGCGCTCTCAGGTAGAAGTGAGAGGAGACTTATTGGTCTTGGAAGGTTTTGTGTGTATTCTTGCCAGGAAATGAGGCAATGGGTTGGCTGACCTTTAAGTCCTTGCTAGCTCTGGTATTGGGTGATTCGTAGTCACCTTCAGGAAATCAGAGGTTGGGCTGGGGGTCACTTAAGCTGGATTTGCAATGCATCTCTAGGTTATGAAAAATGAAGGGCTAGCTCAGACTTGGTCTTGGTTGGCTATTGATTTAGAATAGGCTACACAGAATGGAATCACAGAACTTGGTGGAGTCCACTCCTAAAGTCAGCCGAAACCCTGCAAACAAGGCTGCCTGAATTCCTTTGCACTGAAAGTTGGAGGGACATGGAAGAAGGAAGGTTAAAAGTTAAATTTGGGCCGGGTGCAGTGGCTCACGCCTGTAATCCTAGCACTTTGGGAGGCTTAGGCAGGCGGCTTACGAGGTCAGGAGATCAAGACCATCCTGGCTAACATGGTGAAACCCCGTCTCTACTAAAAAATACAAAAACATTATCCAGGCATGGTGGCGGGCACCTATTTTCCCAGCTGCTTAGGAGGCTGAGGCAGGAGAATGGCATGAACCCAGAAGGCAGAGCTTGCAGTGAGCCAAGATCGTGCCACTGCACTCCAGCCTGGGTGACAGAGCAAGACTCCATCTCAAAAAAAAAAGTTAAATTTGAAAGTAGCAACTTGTAAACCAACTATGACCCATATATACGTAATTTGTTTGGCTATGACCCATATATACGTAATTTGTTTGGCTCTCATAGTATGGAAAAAATTAGCCAATTTTAAATTGGGAGATTTCATAGAACTTCTGGATTTTCACTTGTATCTAACTTAAAAATAAAAGAAGTAGCAATACTTAGCTTGTATTCTATCATAGCAAGAATGTATTGGAATTGCCCATTTTAGGGAAAAAATAATTTGTCCAGTCCACTACCGTCTATCTTTTTTTTTTTCTTTTTTGAAATGGAGTCTTGCTCTGTCACCCAGGCTGGAGTGCAGTGGCATGATCTCGGCTCACTATAACCTCCTCCTCCCGGGTTCAAGTGATTCTCCTGCCTCAGCCTCCCCAGTAGCTGGAACTACAGGTGCATACCACCATGCCTGGCTAATTTTTGTTTCTTTTTTGAATTTTTAGTAGAGACAGGGTTTCACCATGTTGGCCAGGCTGGCCTCGAACTCCTGACCTCAAGTGATCTGCCTGCTCCCAAAATGCTGGGCTGCGTAGGCTCCCAAAATGCTGGGATTACAGGCATAGGCCACCGCACCCAGCTTCAGTCTACCTTTTCTTAGTCATCCCTTAGGGCAGTTCTCTTCACCCAATTATGTTATCCTGACAAAAGCATCTGAGTTTATGACCTCTGGTATAATTTTATAAGGAGGTTGCCCTGATGCATCAAGCATACATAAATATGCAGTCAGATTAAGGTGTACTTCAAATAATTTGTAAGAAATTCTAACTAAAATACATTTACCGATGATTAACTTTTTGAGAACCAATTACTATAGGTTCATATCATTCTTACCCACTTACACCATGATAGGCTTTTGTGAAATGCTGGAGAGGGATGGCAGTACTGTGACTTAACCGAGAATCCCTCATAAACTAGGATGTTTAAGTCAAGATTCTCTTGGTGCAAGTGGTACAAGTGAGCTCAACTAGCTTATCCCTGTCCACTGCCACATATTGACTCACATAACCAAGAGTGCAGGGGTATCTGACTTGATGCCAGGCTGTATTTGAGAAACCAAATAATGTTCTTTCTCTCTCTTTTTTTCTCTGACTTTCTCCTCTCACCCTACTTTACTCTTTCCCAGCTCTGGTCTCTCTGTTGGCTAAATTCTCTAGGAAATTCCCTCCATAGGGTGGTAAAGACAGCCACTAACAGCAAGTCTAGCATTATATTGTCCCTTGGGACATAGTTGAAGATAGAAAGAGAACTTTCTTCTTAGTGGCCATAACGATCCCAGCAAAGAAATGTAGATATTCTGGTCTGGGTCACATACCCAGGGTTAATTTAACAAGTATCTTTTTAGTGCCTACGTTGAGTAAGGCTCTAGTGAGGTGCTTGAGAACCTCAAGGAATCCCTGCTTTCATGGAGCTTACTTACGTTATGGGAAGGGGTGGGAGTGAATCCAAAGACAAACATAATAAGCAAGAAAATTATATAGTACTCTAGAAGTAAAAAGTACTACAGGGAAATTGCTTTTAACTGTTAAAAACCCCACCAGGTGAGAAAAAAGCCGCTCTCAAAAGACAAAAGAGAGCTGCTTTTATCAGAAATAATCAGAGATGTAGTGTAGGCAAAAATGAAGTGCTTATTATATTAGTTCTACAAATGGAGGGTTTTACTATTGGGAATATCATCACTTGTGTCTCACCTCTGCTGCTTTGTGGTGGAAGGTAAAAATAAAGAAAGAGACTAACGCCAAGCATGAAATGGCGAGTATAGCCCAGCAGTAACTCCTTGCTGCGGGTTTCACACCACAGTCATATAGAACTTCTGGTTCTTCGGTCTCCATCTTTGCCTATGCTGTTCCCTGTGCCTTGAATGCTCTTCCTACTAACCATCTTGATTTTTTGTTTTTGTTCAAGGTTGCCAGATGGGTTAAATGCCCCTCTTATGGGCTTGCAAAGAACCTATGTTTGTCCCTCTGGCAGGGAAATTATCTTATTTATCCTTGTCTACTAGTTTCCAGTAGTATAGCTGGTTCAGTCCATGGTACACATACAGTCTATGAATCTGTTTGATGGCTACTTTCAGAGACCCATCATTTCCCTGTCGTTCTCCACCAAGTGAAACATTACGCCCTTGTGCATAGTGATGCTATGATAATGTTCCCACTGCTTGCATTTAAGCCCTCAGAGATGAAGACGTTTTCCTGACCCTCAGCCTCTCATTTGCTCATGAGTTCTGTTCCCTTTGCAAGAAGTGGCCTTGAGGAGTATATAGGTTTGTGTAAAGAATCTCTGGGTGGCAGTTTAGGGAGATGGTTCAGAGCATGGCTTCTGCCTATGTTTGTATCCCAGAACTGCAGGTTATTAGGTATAAGGCCTTCAGCTGTTTTATAGCTCTTAATAATAGATAATAATAGTACCTTCAGAAAACTGTTGACAATGACATAATCTATGTAAAGCTACTAGGATAGTGTTTAACAGAGTAACTGCACCATAGACATTTGATATTATTACAATTATGAGGAGGAGGAGGGGAGTAGGAGGAGGAGGAAGAGTAAAAAGAAGTGGTGGCCAATCAAGGAACAGTAGTATCCAAATTGTGTTATTGTGGTTCCAAGTTGCAAAAGTCCTATGTATGTATTATTTCATTTGACTCTCATGGTCATTCTATGAGATAGTGTGGTTTTCATCCCCATTGAAGAGATGAGTAAACTAAGACTCAGATTGTGCTTTCCTAGACATTTATCTACACCTGTTAGCTGTGATCCCATGCTTTTGTGATTTTGCCTCTCTGTTTCTTTGTTCCCAAAATTCCAATTTTGGAGTAATGGCATGATTGGAGAAACATAAGTTTGGGCTAGGGGACACTGGTTGTATGCCCCATGCCTGCTGCTCTGGACCAGCCAGACTGGGATGGAGCAACAGGCATTTGCTTGGTGCATGACCCAGGCCTTTACCTGAGAGCAGTTTTGGAGCTAACCCAGTGCACAAAGGGCCATTTATTTGGGGAACTGTCCAATGATCTATTTCTGGCAGAAAAGAGGCGTTGTAATTCATCCTATTCTGGGAAAAGTGGCACCCCCCAACCACATGCAGTGGCACTAAGATTTCCCAATAGGACAGGGTCTGAGGCCACTCTTGGCTCACCTCCAGCTTCCCCTGTCATTTCCAATCATGCCTTATGACATGCAGTCATTTATCTTGAAAAGTTGTGCCAGGCTGTCTGTTGCAATTCTCTGAGCAAAAGATGAAGGGCACCTGGAATAGAGACCAGAGACCAGGCTGGGCTTGAAAGTCGGAGACATGGTCTAGACCTAAGTCTCTACCTCATCTTCTGTGCTGTTTTAGGCAGGACACTTTCTCTGTGCCTCACTTCTCCATGAGGAGCACAATGAACCCTGTGCCGTAGTCAGAAACTCAAATGTTCCTTTCAGCTGTGATAGGCTGAATAATATCCACCCAACAGCATCAGGTCCTAATCCCTGAAACCTGAAAATGTTACAAGGACAAAGGGTCTTTGCAGATGTATTAAGTTGAGGATCTTCACAAGGGAAGATTATCTCAGGTTGTTCAGATGGGCCCCAAATCCAATCCCAAGTGCCTTTGTAAGACAAAGGCAGAGTGAGATTATACACGCGCAAGAGGAGAAGGTGATAGGAGAATGGAGGCAGAGATTTGTGGCCACATGCAAGGGGGTACTGGCAGCTGGCAGAAACAGACGTATCAGAGAATGTTTCGTGTCCTACAGCTTCCAGAAGGAGTGTGGCCCTTCCGACACGTTGATGTTAGCCCAATGGAACAGATGCTGAACTTCTGACTTCCAGAACTCTGAGGAATAAATTTCTATTGTTTGAAGCCCCTGTGTTTGTGATAGTTTGTTATGGCAACCATAGGAAATGAATAAACTGCTCTGTGACTCAATTATCCCTCACCTTTTCTTGCTGCTCATCTGCTCAGCAAGGTTTCTAGTCTCAGTTGGTGTGTGTTCAAAAATAGAAAAAGGCACTCATCTTTCTTTAAGCCTCATTTAGTCTCGTGTTCTCTATTGCTTTCAATTGGCATGTGTTTCTGTGGTCACCACAATGAAATGGAGCCTCTTCCCTCTATATGTTCAGTTTCTTCTTCTTGTTTTAACCAACAGCTTCCAATCAAGTCTTTTACATCTTTTCTGATATAAGTAATTTAGTAGTCTTGAGAGCATCAATTTGTGGTAAAGAAGATTACCTTTATGTTAATTTAGTAGCACTAAGGATATGTGCTCAGTAAATACTTATGAGCACTACTGCGTGCCAGCACACAGGCAGCACCAGGGAATCCTGGGGGTAACAGGGCACCTGACAGGAGAGACACCCCCAGCATGTTAGTGTTCTCCAGAGAAACAAAACCAAGAGGGTATATACACAGTATGAGCATATGTATACACACATATACATATACATGTACATACAGAGAGAGATTTATTATAAGAAATTGGCCTGTGTAATTATGGAGGCTGGCAAATCCAGAATCTGCAGAACCAGTGTCCCAGTTGGAGTTGAAAGGCTAGAAGCTGCTGTAGAACCAGGAAGAGCTAACATCCTAGTTTGAGTCCAAAGGCTGGCAGGCTACTATAAAATTAAGAACCAATGTCCCAGTGCAAAGGCCATCAGGCAGGAGAATTCTCTCTTAGTCTAGAAAGGGTCAGCATTTTGTTCTACTCAGGCCTTCAACTGCTTAGATGAGGCCCACCCACATTATGGAAGGCAGTCTGTGTTATCCACTTCACCAATTTAAATTTTAATCCCATCCCCAAACACCCAGAATGATGTTTGACTAAGTACCCGGGCACCTCATAACCAAGTCAAGTTGGCATATAAAACTAACCATCACACTTGCTCTTGTATTACTGCCATTCTAGTGGAGCACACACAGTCATGCTTTTTCTATGTATGCTCAAGCTTCAGATTGCGGCAAAACTCTAATTTTCCAAGACTGCAGCAGAGTACCATGTTCCTGCTGCGGGAACATCCTCACTGAATATTCCCTGGCCCGAGCCTCTACAAGGAGTTCTGGGGAATGTTTTTAGCCCTGAGGGCACCTAATAAGGCTAAACAATACAGAACTGGGTTGTAAGAGGTCCCTCTGATTTCTCTAAGTTCTGCCAGGATATGCCTATGCTTACCTTACCCCCAGACAACTCAGAGCTTTGGGGTTCGAGGAGAGTCTTGAAGGAATAAGAGCATTCAAGAAAAGAAGAATATTTTAATTGTTTTTTCTTTGTTTAATTCTGTCGTGTTTATTCTTCTGCATATCCCAAGTGCTCTCTAAAGAAAAAATAGCAGTAATGCTACCAGGATTTCCTCCTTCCAATGCATCCTCTCTCAAGCAGTGACTCAATTTCTTGCTCGGAAATGGTGCCTCCAGCCATTGGTGGCTCAGGTTGAAAATGTGAGTCATCTCTGATGTCTGTCTTTCCCTCAGACCCCACTTCTGGGCATTGTAAAGTTATTAAAAATATAGCCAGAGTTTTACTATTTCTTATTACTTCTTCCCTGCCACCCCAGTACAAAGACACCATTACCTCCTGCTTAGATGACTGTGATAGTCCGCGGACTCCTCCTTGCTCCTACATATACCTCTGCCTCAAATCCATTCTCCACATAGTGACCAGAGGGATTCTTTTAATACCTGATATCATGCCCAAGTTATCCTTGCTCAAAACTTTCCATATTCAGAAGAGTAAAATCCAAAGTCCTCTCTAGGGCTTCTGAGGCCCTGTGTGATCTGACCCTGTCTTCTCTGAGACCTAATTTCTGACCATTCTCTTATCTCACCTGCTCTGCCCTAGTGACACTAATCTCCCTGTCATTCCTCTAATTGCGTTGACACTTCTATTCCCTCATTCTCCTTTCTGGTTCCAGCCTCACCCCTTCAGAGAGGCCTTTCCTATCCTAACCACCCCAACTACAATAGCCCTCATCTTTTTAATAGGCGTCCCTGTCTGCCCCTTCATTCTGCTTTTTCTTCAGAGCACTTATGACTATCTGGGATCATATGTCTGTCTCTAGATCTAGATCTAGTTGTCGGTTTACTTGTGTGTCACCTTTCTCCCACACTGAATGGTGAGCTCCATGCAGGCAGAAGACACTACTTATCTCCATATCACAGCACCCCAAATAGTGGCAGGTACATAATGGTGATCAATAAATAATTAATAATGGAAAAGAGTAAAAGGCAGGGAGTAAGAGCAGTGTGAAAAACTTTAAGCTTCTTCTAACCTCAAGAGTCTGTGAGTTGGTGAAGGGCCCAGCAGCCCAGGTCACCTAATTACTGTTATAACAAGTTTGATGGTATCAGGCAATTCAGTTGGTGCTTCTTGTTTGAGATTGAGTTGATTTTTCACTCCTTGGTCCTTCTCTGTATTGGCAGAGGACCGCAGAGCAAGGTGGCCAAGAGACTCCTGTGAGCAGAAGCAGGGAATGTTCACGCTGGGACGGTGCTCCTGTTGTCTGTCTACGATGGCAGCCCCCCTTTTCATTCATGTGGCAACTTTAAAAAAATATTTGCTCTATCAGGTTTTGTCTAACTCTTGCTTCCTCCTTAAGTCCTAGGTTACATGTTCATTACTCATTAACAGCTTCCTGGTGCCCAGACTAGGTTAGATCACCCTGTTCTGAGCTCCTATATTTGCCTTTCTTAGCATTCATCACATACTCGTAGACATTTGCCATGAGCTACCTTCCTTGTCAGCCTGAAGGCTTCAAAAGTGACCCTGTCTGCTGTGTTCATCACTGTACCCAGGGGGAGTGTCAAAATAACAGAGGCCTAGTGAGTGCTCTATAATTGTTTGTTGAACTAACAATTGAATTTTATGATAAACAACAAAAATTAACATAAATTATAAAATAATTTGATGATTGCTTATCACTTCCTTGATACCTCATCAAAACAGTACCACACTTATTTGGATGTTCGTTCATTTTGTATTCAGCAGGAGGTGGTGGAATAGGAGATTAATGGGACATTTACTCCTAGAAATAATTTAATTATTACAAAAATTTTCCAGAACCATCAATCTGTAGAAACCATCCAAAGAAGACCGTGAATCGGATTTTGTTAATAAAATTTTTGGTATACAGATCATGATCTTTTCTAGAAGTGATTTTATCAGGAAATTTTAAAATAAATTTTATCCTTAATCTTTCTTGAAAACTAACCCTTTTATTTTCCTACCAAGGAAGATAAAGCGCAACTGAATATAGAGTGGGAAAAATTAGAACCAGCTCTCATGTTTTAAATATTCTTTAACTTCTCAATTTCTCTTCCAACAGAGTAGAAATAATTATATTCTCAGGATTTGGATTAAATAATTTGAACAGTTGGACATTTAATATGTGAACTGTTCATAAGCATGATTGTATCACACAGTCGGAAAATGAATAAACTTTTATAACTGACAGAATTTTCTGACTCATATATTTAAACCCAATGCTATTAACCCACCAAAGTAGAAATAACATTCTAGTAGGGCTATGTATCCATACTTTGACCAATCAGATGCATTTTTGGAAAGGCTGGGGCTACAGGTTTACAGGAAGGCATCAAACAAAGCAAAGTTGAGCTGCATGCACTGGAACAAAACCCTCGCTCTGATGCCTTAACACTGTGTTCTAACGATGGCCCAGCCAGCTTAAGACAAAAGCAGCCATGTGTCTTATCAGTGCCTCAGCAGCTCTTGCTAGGAAATGCCACAGCTTGTGAAACCACAGCCCAAATAATTGGGAACAGAAAGGAGGGAGGGTGATCTACATTTTTATGTTGGGAGGGATTAAGATCATCGGAGCTTCAGGGAGTGTTTTATGCAGTATTTATAAGTTTATGACATGTATAAAGATGTAGATGTCTGTTATTTGGAGGCCAATTATCCATATAAATGATATTTAAGCTGTATTCTTTGTTTTCTGAGTGAAACTTCTGGACTAAGGTCTGACAGTGAGCAGAGCATTGGACTGCAGGGCTATCCTGCAAGCCAGGCACTCAGGCTCACCTCTCCTTAGCATTCCTCTACTTTTTACCTTTGTGTGTGCCAGCAGCCAGAAATGGGGAAAGGAAAGGAAATCTAAAGCCATCTGTTTGACTTCTTGAAAACATGTAAATTCCAGTCACAGGGCCAACTGCTGCTATAACAGATTATCACAAACTCCCATGGCTTTAAACAACACAAATTTATTGTCTTACACTTATCGGGGTCAGAAGTCCAAAAATGGGTCTCACAGGGCTAAATTCAGCTTCTTAGTGGAGCTGCTTTCTATGGGGTGTGGGAGATAATTCATTTCCTTGCCTTTTCCAGCTTTTAGAGGCTGCCTGAATTCCTTGGCTCTTGGCCGCTTCACTTTGACCTCTGCATCCATTGTCACATGTCTCTCTGGCTCTCCCTTCTTCCTCTTTCACTTCTAAGGACGCTTGTGATTAGATTGGACTCACCTGGATAATGAAAGATACTCTCCCATCTCAAGATCCTCCTTACCTTAATCACATTTGCAAAGTCCCTTTTGTCATGTAAGGTAAGAAATTAACAGGTTCCAGAGATGAGAACATGGACATCTTTAGGGGCCCATTAGTCCACCAGCCATAGAAAGCAATGGAAATTACTCGAGTCTGATTTTGTCCTTTCCTTCCTTTTCTCATGACCACCAGAATCTGCCTGGTGTTTCCAAGCCTGAGCTGTAGTTATGTAGGATTCCCCTTACAAATGCAGGTTCCACTGAATCTTCAGACCTCCACCCCCAACCACCGCACATCCAAGAACTCACTTCCTCTCCAGGCATTGGCCCAGGGCCACATCTATATTAGTATAATTCTCACTAGTGTTTCTTATTAAACATCTCACTTCTGGGCACATGTTGGGAGGACAATTGGTGGCCTTTTTGTGGGTGGAAATGTTCATGCAACTAGTTCTGGCCAATGATTTATAAATGACTCTAAGCTGAGCATTTCATTGATGGCATGAAGATCTTCTAGCACCTTCTCTCCTCCCTCTTGTTACATTGATCAGCAGCATTCAAGATGGGTAGACTTGCAGTTAACATGCAGAATAAACTGGAAGTAAAGTTTGTTGTAGCCACTAATATGTTGGAATTGTTTTTTACAACAGCATATAAACTAACTTATCCTGACTGATGCACTTAGCAAAGGTTAAAAGGAAGGAAACTAGAAGCATAAACAACACAAGCTGCTGCTAACTGGTTTTCTCCATTCACCTGTCTCCTTGTGAAATGTATATGATAATATACCTAAAGACATCATTCGTCACATGTAATTGCCTCTGTCTCTTCTTCATCTGTGGAAATGAGAAAAGATCTGCAGATGTGATGAGTAGGAATGTCGGAGAAGAGTAGTGGGTGGTGCTATGGGCATTTAGCAATGATCACTCTTTTTATTTTTTGCAGTAAACCCTCAAAATGGAAATATGCTTATTTTAGGGCAAGCACAGAGTGGAGGAGAATTTGATGGAAATCACAGTAGGAAGAGAAGTATACAGGGAAAGAAAGGTTGAAGAGAGGCCATGCCAGCTGACCATAGCCCAGGGTGTCTGCACACTGCAGGCACTCACACCTCTAGGTGCCTTGTTTTTGAACTCTTTGGATGCCCTTTTACCCCACTCTTCTCCCTCTCAGCCCTGCTAGAACCCTTGCATTAGGCCAGTAATTGGGATTAAGGCATAGCTCCCAACAGCTAGAGATGGAACCTCCAGCCCAGTGCCAGGGGTACAGCAGGAGTGTCAGTTGCCTGCAGATTAAAACTGGACTTTAAATGCATATTTCTCAGAAATGTTATTATATCCTGTGTTACACATTGCTAGAGTTTCTGTATATACCACTGTTAGAGCATCCAGTTCTTCAGCTGGGTTGTAAGTGAGTTGTCAGTGACTTGGGCTCCTGTGGGCCAGCCTGAGAATCCAGCCCCCAGTGAAGAGCATTGTTTCTATGGCAACCTGCAATTTGTGACCCAAATATCCAGGTTAAGGTTTTCCTATTTTATCTAACTGAATGTATGAGTCACACATTCTAACTGAATGTGTGAGTCAGTGGGGTTTCCCAATGTTCAATTAAAAGTTAGGGTTCTCTTTTAAATATGTGTATTTTTTTCACCCAGATAATCCATTTGTGTCAGCAATAATAATGGAAGACCTTTATTCTAAAATGTCTGTGTTTAGGTAGAAACTTCTGTGATGGCAGGGTTAGTCAAGACCAAAATGGACATCTTTCTTCAGCAAGTAGTTCATTTGCTTTTCCTTTTATTTCTTAAAACCCTGCAGGGCGAGCCCTGCTGAGACTTACTGACAAAAAGCTCGAGCGAATGGGGATTGCCCAGGAGAACCTCCGGCAGCACATCTTACAACAGGTGCTCCAGCTGAAGGTGCGAGAAGAAGTCAGAAATCTACAGTTACTCACACAAGGTACCCTATTGCTTCCTGATGGGTGGATGGATGGGGAGATTAGAAGAAAGACCACCTTACTATTAGGACAGACAGGAGTCAGGGAGAATTTGTTATTGTTTCTTCACAGAATTTCCATCATAGAAAATAGTATACAGATTTAAGATTACTTCCCTTTGAAAACTTTTTTCATAGCTCACTAGGGAGAAGGATGCACAAATAAGTAATGGATGAGCAAACAGAATTACCTGAGCTAACTTCAAGGTGGTCACGTACAGTTGTATGGATTGTGTACTGCACAACCCCAGAGAATACCAGTCACATCAATCAGGGTACGATTGCACTCACTAGAGTTGTATAATGTGCAGCCTGCACAACTGTACAGTCCAGCTGTAGCTATCTTCACCTGCGCCAATTGTGAGGGCGCTTTAGCATTTGAGTGATTCAATAGTTACGATGACCAGTGATATAAGTGGAGTTTTTGTTGTATTTTTGTTTTGCTTTTCACCGGTTAGTGGGAGAAAAACATTTTAGATATGTATTACTATACATGAATGTATTATACACACACACTTTAGAGATTGTAAGAACCCCATTTAGCTTCTTGAAAGTGGAATAATTTTTATAATAGACTATAGTGAATCTAAAACTACACTGTTAAGAGTATATAATTCTTAACAGGAATTATAAATAACTTCAATATGATGAGAGCACTTAAGATCTCAATAACTGTGGAAGTGACAAAATAAAGCTAGAATTCGAAGAAAGCCTTAAGTTACACTATATGTAACTGATATGTCTACATGAGATTTGGATGCTATCAACCTTCATTGGCTATAAACTTTATTTGTTTTATTTTAGCGTCCATTGTACATCGTTTTAAATGAAAGGATGATAAAATATGTGTTTTTGAGAGCCTTGAGTATTTGTCATTCTGCAGAATATTGTAATTGCATGCATACCGATATTGGAGAAATCTGGGTCAGCCAAGTTTCATGTTATTGCATTTAGATTAACCTAGTAATAGTCCATTTGCCTAGAGGAAATAATGTGCTCCCTGAAAGATGACTATTCTAGAAGGATAAATATAGATTTCAAGTGATCGTAAAATAGTATTGTTTGTCTCATATGCATTATTTGCATTTTGTCCTCAGAGATTTCCAATGGTGAATTTACTGGTATACTAAGTGATTTAAATTTGAATGTGAAATACTGATAGGCTTTTAAGCTTCTTTTAAGAAGTAGATAGAAATACGAAGATTATGATAAGAAAGTCTGTCACAGTGCTATTTGGAAAACGGAAAATTTACAAGCAACCTAGAGGTCCAGCAATGTGAAAAGAATCAAGTAATTCTGCTTAAATTCATAAGATTCAGTATAATGCCCAGTTATTAAAATTACATCTTTAAAGAATACATGACAACATGGGAAATTACGTAAGTCATACAAGGTGGGAGGAAAGGTCATGTGTAAAATTGTATGCATAATATAAGCCCAATTTTGTAAAAACCATATATTCTTATATGTACAGAAAAAAAGGACTGCAAGTAAATATGCCAACCATTTTAATAAAGGATCTCTCTGGATTGTGGGATAAGTGGGTGACTTAAATTCTTATTTTTCTGTATTTTCCAAATCTTCTGCAAATTCATATTACAATTATAATCAGAAAATACACATATGCATTTTTTTAAGCTTCAACCACAAGCATAGCTGCCCAGCTTCTGTTTAGTGTCTGGTTTTTGCAGCTCATTCTTTTTCCCTCTGGTGATGATCTATATAGAATGAGACCTAAACTCACATGTGACGCATTATGTGTGCCTTTGACTCTTTTCCTCTACTAATGTCAGCCTGCAGTGTGTTTGCTTTGGAGAATCATTTTCTACAGCTCTCATTGCCCTAGATGCATAATATATAAGATTTTTCCTAAGATAGTACTCAGGTCTATTAAGCTAAATATACATACGTGTTCTGGGAAGATAATGCCCAGTTCAGTCCTTTGAATTCAGTTGTTGTTGTCACTTTCTTGAGCTTTGAAAAGCTGTACATTTTTAATTCTTTCATTCAGTTCCCTTTGGAAGGCCGCATTGTTCTCTAGCTCTTGGGTATTTTGTCTGTGCTGATATTACCTTTTTTATTGCTTGTTCTTTACATAGGTTTTTGGTTTTGGTTTTGGTTTTTTCAAGACAGAGTCTCACTCTGTTGCCCCAGCTGGAGTGCAGTGGCGCAATCTTGGCTCACTGCAACCTCCACCTCCGAGATTGAAGTGATTCTCCTGTCTCAGCCTCCCAAGTAGCTGGGATTACAGGCATGCACCACCACACCAGGCTAATTTTTTGTATTTTTAGTAGAGATGAGGTTTTTCTATGTTGGCCGGGTTGGTCTCGAAATCCTGGACTCAAGTGATCTGCTCACCTTGGCCTCCCAAAGTGCTGGGATTACAGGCGTGAGCCGGTTCTTCACATGTTAATGCTCAAACTCATGTTATGTCAGGCATCCTTCAGAAAATACATAGCCTTATTGAAGTAATAGTTTCTTTTTTAAAAAAAAAAGGAAACAAAATTGATAAGTTGTTTTTATGTTTTATGATTAATAGTAGAAGTTGTAAAGACAGATTAGCGTTAAAATATTTTGGGTCTAGGTTTGCTATAATAAAAATATTAGAATTTCATTCCACTCAGGTGAACTTATTAGTTTAAAATATATATCATATAGAAATTCACCATAGGGGTAACAGATGTTTCAGTAATGAATATTTGATTCTTCATCTCTGTAAATATTACTCAGCAGAAACAATATGCTGAATAAGTACAAACAAAGACTTTGGAATGTTTTTGGAAATCCTTGGGCTTCCCTCTTAAAGAGGGTGAATCACAGTTCTTATCCATAGAGATGGAGTATCCTTCCATGGCTCACGTGGGGCTGTCACTCTGGTGTAATGCATTTAATTGTTTGTTGTTGATGATTATCTAACATGTTCAGGCTGCGGTAACAAAATGCCATAATCTAGGTAGCTTATAAACAACAAAAATTTCTCTCTTACAATTCTGGAGGCTGAGAAGTCCAAGATCAGGGCGCCAGCAGATTCAGTGTCTGATGAGGGCCCACTTCCTCACAGATGACCTTCTAATCATTGTAATGTCACATGGGGTGGGATATCTGTGGGGCTGCTTTTACAAGAGCACCAATCCCATACATGAGGGCTGCACCCCCGTGACCTGATCACCAAGCAAGGGCCCCACCGTCCAATACCATCACCTTGGGGGTTAGGATTTCAATACATAAATTTTGAGGAGACATAACATTTAGACAATTGCATTAATATTTAACAAATATTTACTAACCAACGCATTTTAAGAAGAGTTATCACTTTCAAAGTCCATTTTTGAGGAAAGGAATTTATTTTAAAAATGATTGCGTTTCTTAGGAGTTTTCTTCTTGCCTTTGGAGGCAATTTCAAAATATAGTTTCTTGGAAACAACTTAACTGTCCATCTTGAGGGGAATAGTGAATTAAATAATGGTACACCCAGGCATTGGTGTACTCTTAGCTACAAATACGAGAATGAAGAATACTAATATGGTAGGATCTCTGGGATGCTATGAGATGAGAAAAAAGTAAGGTGCAGAACAATGTATACTATATTTGAACAATGCGTATAGTATGCTACATTTGCCAAAGAGGAGGAAATAAAAATGTATATCCATATGTGCTTTGTTTTAAGGAAATGCTGAATGATGTACAAGAAGCTAATACAAGCTGCACCTGTGGGACAGGGAATATGGTGGATGGAGAGAGGGTGTGTGCCTTTTATGTCACTTTGTTTGATGAAATGTATGAGTATATTAACTATTTAAAGGAATAAAATTTTTAAAAAGAAACAAGAAGGAAAAAGGGTGAATTTTGGCATCAGACAGGCCCAAATTTTAAATCCTGTACCTAACACATTTTGCTGTGCTCACCAAATAGGGATGTTGTAAGAATTAAGGGAGCTAAGATATGTAAATCACTCGATACAGTATGATAGTAAATGCAGAATATTGTTGGCTATCAGTAATAGAAGCCACGCAATTTAATCAACCTCATACATTTATAATAATCCTTATTTTTATAACATCTTCATAGAGATATAATTCACATAACATACAACTTACCCACTTAAGGCTTAAAATTCAGTGATGTTTAGTGTGTAAAGAGAGTGGTGCAACCATCACAATAATTTACATATGCGTATAAGAGAGGATGAAGAGGTTAAGTAATATACTCATAGTCAGACAACTAGTAAAAAGCATAGCACAGGTCTGTCTGACTCCACAGCAAACTTTTACCCATTACGCTTTATTGCCTTTATTATGTCAAATGGGCTAATAATTTCCATCTCCAGGTGGTTGTTAAATGAGATTTTATGTAGAAACCGTATAATAGAGTTCATTGCATATTCTATGACAGAGGTTGGCAAACCTTTTCTGTAAAGGACCAGTTTGTAAGTATTTTAGTCTTTGCAGCCATATGGTATCTGTTGCAACTACCCCCACTAGGCAAAACCCAACCATAGACAATACTTAAATGAATTAGGCATAGCAGTGTTCCAATACAATTTTATTTACAAAAAGAATTACTGATACACATCAAAGGAAACAACAGAGTGAAAAGACAACACAGAATAGAAAATATATATAAATCACATATCTGAAAAGGGGTTAATATCCAGAATATATAAGAAACGTCTATAACTCAACACAAGGGGAAAAAAAAACAAGCCAAATAATAAAATAAGCAAAGGATTCAAATAGAGAGTTCTCCAAAAAGGGTATGCAAATGGCCAATAGGCGTATGAAGTGATGCTCAACATCACTAATCATTAGAGAAATGCAAATCAGAACCACACATCATCTCACACCCATTAGAATGGCCACTACCAAAAGAACAGAAAATAACTAGTGTTGGC
This sequence comes from Homo sapiens, assembly GCF_000001405.40. Lineage (NCBI taxonomy): Eukaryota > Metazoa > Chordata > Mammalia > Primates > Hominidae > Homo > Homo sapiens. The sequence goes on along the minus strand of NC_000008.11, from coordinate 118,374,632 downwards.
AAGAATGTAGAGAAATTGGATCCCCTGTATACTGTTAGTGGGAATATAAAATTGTATAGCCATTATGGAAAACAGTATTGAGGTTCCTCAAAAAACTAAAAATAGAGTTACCATATGATACAGCCATCTCACTTCTGGGTACATATCCAAAAGAATTCAAAGCAGGATCTTGAAATAATTGTACACCCATGTTCAGTGCAGCATTATTCACAATAGGCAAGAGATAGAAGTGACCCAAATGTCTATCAACAGATGAACGGATAAAGAAAACATGGTATATATACAAAATGCAATATTATTCGGCCTTTAAAAAGAAGGAAATCCGACCACATGCTGCATGATAAACCTCAAAGACATCGTGCTAAACAAAATAAGCGAGTCACAAAAGGACAAATAATGCATGATTCTACTCATATGGAGTATCTAAAATAGTCAAAATCATAGAAACAAAGTAAAAAAGTGGCTACAAGGGCTTGGAGGAGGAGGAATTTGTGTTTCATGTACAAGTTTCAGTTTTGCAAGATGAAACCTCATAGAGATCTGGTGCACAACAACTTAGATATACTTAATATGACTGAACTGTGCGCTTAAAAATGGTTAAGATAGTAGATTTAGTACTATGTGGTTTTTACCACAGGTAAAAAAAAAATTGCTAGCCCATTGTTTGTGGACCCCTGCTTTACGAAGTAAAAAAATGCAAGCTTTTGAAATCATCATCAAGATTATTATTTTTATTGTTTTATTTTCTCATGCTGTAGTGTGGAACTATTTTTGGGGTGTCCCTTTTAGTGACTTTCTTGGCTGCAAATACGTAGAAAGTGTAAAAATATATCAGCAACTATGAGGGTTGGGTAAATTCAGGCAATAGAAAACAGTGGCAAGTAAGGCAGATGTGAGTAGTAGATGCTACCATCCTCATATGCCTTCATAATTATTCCCTATAAGATGAAAAAAGAATAGTATGTTTGTTTACCAGGGCCAGTTATAGCTCATTAAACATTAGTGTTTCCTGAAGAACTTTTTTCACATTGTCCAAATATATGTGTCAAATTTTACTTGGGAATTGCATAACCAGATGGACTTTCCCAAAGCTCTGTCTTTTGGAACAACAAAAATTAGAAACACTACTTTCTAATCCAAGAAGACTTTTTAGAACTATATGTACGGACTAGCTATTTTAGTCCAGTCACCTCCGCAATGATACTTCAGCAACTCAAGTAGGCCATCTGAACTGAAGTAGGCCATCTGGTCCACCACCTTTCTTAAAGAAGGAAGTCTTTGTAGAATGGAGCAATAGACTTGTTGAGATATTGTCCAGTCTCATTTTGCAGATTTGGGCACCAAGACCCAAAGAGGATTAGAGGTTTGTTCCTAGTTACACAGCTAGTTAGTGGCATAACTGAGACTAGATTGCAGTTCTCCTCATTCCCATGCCAGTATTCTTTTTATCTCATTGTTTTTATTAAGGTATATTCTGTATTGCATACAGTAAAATTCACCATTTTTAGTGCACAGTTATGCAAGTATTGGCAAATGCACACAGTTGAATAACTACCACAACAATCAAGATAGAAAATTTCTATTTCTCCAGAAAATACTCTCCCAATGCTCCTTGGTTGTCAGCTCCTTTTATTACTACCAGCCCCTGGCAACCTATGATGTTTTCCATCCCTACAGTTTTGCCTTCTCCACAAAGCTATATAAATGGAGTCATAGTGTCTGACTTCTTTGACTTCTGGAGATGGATTTAGACTTATCAAAGCTGTGATGTGTCATCATCCCATTCACTTTCATTGCTGAGTATTCCACTAAATGTATTAGGTTGGTGCAAAAGTAGTTGTGTTTTTTGCCATTATTTTTAATGGTTAAAAACTGCAATTACTTTTGCACCAACCTAATATAACCACAGTTTGTGTATCCATCCCCCAGCTGTGGGACATTTGAGTTGTTTGCAGGTTTGTTTGACACAAAGAAAGCTGCCATAAGCACTCACACATAGGTTTTTATTATAAACACTGATTTTTATTTCACTAAAAAAGTAAATATCTAGAAGTGGAATTGCTGATTGGCATCTTAAATGTATGTTTGACCTCATAAGAAACTGCCAGAGCAATATTCTTAAGATGGTGGAAAAAGAAGAAAAACAGAATTAGAGACTGGCTTTAATACATATGAAAACAATGGGAGATTTCTGAAAAAAAAAAAAAAAATACTGCATCTTTGTAGAAGTTCTACCTAGTGCTTCCTGGAGCCATCAGTATCATTAGGGGCCCCAATTTCCTGAGAATCTCAGGTCAAACATGTTTACTGTTAACTCATTTATTCAAAGCAAATTTTCTCAGTATCTATTGACCAGGCAATAGGATATGTCTTTCTACAAGTGACATTGAGAAATGCTTCCTTTTGTCTCTCTTCTGAGGAAGAGAATCTTCTTGCTCCTGAGAAAGAAAACATGAGCCAGTCAGATTCCTTTTTATGCATATGTGAAGAATGTCTGATGTTCTAATTTTCTAGTATGTCTCAAATTATGCTACTTGAATTTCCAGGCTCTTTCATGCCTTTTATTTAGTTGAGGCTTTGGTGTTACAAATCTGATGTTCACATGCCAGTTCTCTTCAACACAGTTCTTCTGCTTTATCATTGGATAGCATGAGCTTTTCCTTGCCTTGGTGCTCACATGTTCCATGTACAGGATATTGACTCTCTCAGTTCTCTTTCTAATGGCCTCTCTCAGGCTGTTGGCAAACTGCCCTCTTCTGCCACGTCCCAAATATTGATTCCTCCTGGGGGTAGGTCCTCTTAGTTGTTGGCATTTTGCATGCTGCCTGGACAATCTCACCCTCTACCGCTTAAGCATCCCCTACTTCATAGTGACTCTCAGATTTACGTTTTAGACCTCTCTGAAACTACAGATTCTTATTTTTCTCTCTCTAAAAGATGTGTACCCCTGAATATTTCTCTGACATCTCAAATTTAAAATATCTGAATCTAACCCATTATCTTTTCTACCATCTCCCGAGTCTGTTCTTCCTCCTGTGTTGGTTCTCAAGGTTAATACCTCCATGACTCACGCTGTCACCTGTCATGGAAGGCTCAGAGTCACCTGTGATTACTCCGTTTTCCTCATCACTCACATGGAGTCCATGACCAAATCCTCAGAGTTCTGCTTGTGAAGTGAGTTTCCCATCTTTCCCAGCCTTATCTCTACCCTAACCACTGTGTTAATTCATTCCTCTTCAGCTCTTTCCCAGGCCATTTGAATAACATTCTAGTTATCATTTGATCTGAAGTCTCTGTCCTGCTCCCTCAATTCTACTTCAATTAACTTCCCACTTCTATTGCCAGAGTTAAATATATTTCTGACAACATTATTTCCATCCTTAAAACATTGAATGGTTCCCAATTACCTACAGAATAAAAGTCAAACTCTTCAGCATCGCACAGCCATTCTAGGCATTTCATGGATGTATTAACTTTGGACAAGTTGCTTGTCAGAAATTAAGATATCTTCATTATAAAAATGGGAATAAGATCTATTTCACAGGATTGTTATGAATATTGTATAATAAAACTCATGAAAAGACATAGCCTTGATGAAATATTAACTCTTCTGAGAAGACTTACCTCATCTTTCAGGCAGAACCAATCATTCTCCTATCCATCTGCATTTCTTTTTTAAAAAAAATTTTATTTAAGTTCCAGAGTACATGTGCAGGATGTGCAGGTTTGTTACATAGGTAAACGTGTACCATGGTGGTTTGCTGCACCTATCAACCCATCACTTAGGTATTAAGCCCGGCATGCATTAGCTATTTTTCCTGATGCTCTCCCTCCCCTCACCCTCCACCCTGACAGGCCCCAGTGTGTGTTGTTCCCCTCCCTGTGTCCATGGGTTCTCATTGTTCAGTTCCCACTTATGAATTAGAACATGAAGTATTTGGTTTTCTGTTCCTGCATTAGTCTGCTGAGGATAATGGCTTCCAGCTCCATCAATGTCCCTGCAAAGGACATTATCTCATTCCTTTTTATGTCTGCATAGTATTCCATGGTGTATATGTACCACATTTTCTTTATGAAGTCTATCATCGATTGACGTTTGGGTTGACTCCATCTCTTTGCTGTTGTGAGTAGTGCTGCAGTGATTATATGCATGCATGTGTCTTTAAAACAGAATGATTTATATTCCTTTGGGTATATACCCAGTAATGGGATTGCTGGGGCAAAGGATATTTCCAGTTCCAGGTCTTTGAGGAATCACCACATTGTCTTCTACAATGGTTCAACTAATTTGCATTCCCACCAACAGTGTAAAAGCATTCCTGTCTCTCCACAACCTCACCAGCATCTGTTTTTTCTTGACTTTGTAATAATCCCTGTTAGGACTGGCGTGAGATGGTATCTCACTGTGGTTTTTATTTGCATTTCTCTAATGATCAGTGATGTTGAGCTTTTTTTTCATGTTTTTTGGCCACATAAATGTCTTCTTTTGAGAAGTGTCTGTTCATGTCCTTTGCCCACTTTTTAATGGGGTTGTTTGTTTTCTTCTTGTAAGTTTGTTTTCTTCTTGTAAATTTGTTTAAGTTCCTTATAGATTCTGGATATTAGACCTTGGTCAGATGGATACGTCGGAAAAAATTTCTCCCATTCTGTAGATTTTCTGTTCACTCTGATGATAGTTTATTTTGCTGTACAGAGCTCTTTAATTAGATCCCATTTGTCAGTTTTTACTTTCGCTGCAACTGCTTTTGACATTTTTGTCATGAAATCTTTGCCCATGCCTATGTCCTCAATAGTATTGCCTAGATTTTCTTCTACAGTTTTTGTAGTTTGGGATTTTACATTTAAGTTTTTTGTTGTTGTTGTTGTTGTTTTATTTTTGTTTTTGTTTTTGTGGGTTTTTTATATTTTATTTTTTTTGAGACAGAGTTTTACTCTTGTTGCCCGGGCGGGAGTATAATGGCGTGATCCCAGCTCACTGCAACCTCCGCCTCCTAGGTTCAAGCGATTCTCCTGCTTCAACCTCCTGAGTAGCTGGATTACAGGTGCCCACCACCATGCCCAGCTAATTTTTGAATTTTTAGTAGAGATGGGGTTTCACCATGTTGGCCAGGCTGGTCTCAAACTCCTGACCTCAGGCAATCCACCAGCCTCAGCTTCCCAAAGTTCTGGGATTACAGGAGTGAGCCACTGTGCCTGGCCTACGTTCAAGTTTTTAATCCATCCTGAGTTAATTTTTGTATAAAGTGTAAGGAAGAGGTCCAGTTTCAATTTTCTGCATATGGCTAGCCAGGTTTCCCAGCACCGTTTATTAAATAGGGAATCCTTTCCCCATTGCTTGTTTTTGTCAGGTTTGTCAAAGATCAGATTGTTGTAGGTGTGCACTCTTATTTCTGAGTTTTCTATTCTGTTCCATTGGTCTACGTGTCTGTTTTTGGCCCCTCTGCATTTCTTAGCACTTTGTTCAGACTAATAATACTGTATTCATCACATAGTATCCATTATTCTTCCATCCGGTGTGCTCCACACTTTGTGTGAGGTACTAGAGATAAAAAGGGAGTGCCCATTCTAGCAATAAGGATAGAATGATGTATGCCATCATAGAGACACATGATAGTATAATGATGGCACAGAGCTGGAACTCAGCCTCACTTGGGAATAGGTGGGATAAGGAAGACTTGCCAGTGCTACAACAGATGAGCTAGTTTTTAAGGGATAAAAATGTTAACAGGTGCACAAAGGGTGGCAGAAAGGGAAGCCTGTATAAAAGCAAGGTAGTGCTTTGTCTTCCTTGTAGACTATGAGCAAACTTCAGTTGTGTTCTAATTTTACTTTGCATAGTGCTAGCGAGAGGTGGATCCTCTGTATGTTTTTGCTAATATAAATTTAATTGTTGCCCTTTTCTCTCATTTTCTTCCTCTATTTCATTTTCCACTAAATCTTCTCAAAGCAGTGAATGCAATATCAATTTTCATGGATTCACAAGAAAATAAACGTAGCTACAAAGCCATTTTGAATCATCTTTCACCATGAGCAACATTACCTAGGATCTCCTTTTTTAAGAATCTCTTCATTCCCTTGTGATCTTTTTCTATTGACCCATCAAGTAAAGACAATGGCAAGGGCTCTTAAACATAAGCCACTCACCTGCTTTGAGTGGTTTCATCTAATATTTTCAGTCCTTAAATGTTCTCCTGAGTGACACTCTCCAGTGATTGTTAAGTGAACCTTCTTCTATGACCATGAGCTCAGCGGCTAATGGTAGATAAGGATTTTGGATGAGTAACCTAATAGGAATCTGAACAGATTATTCTTCTGTAGCTAGGGTCTTTTGTTACTACTTCTTCATTCAACCTTATTTGATTATGATCTGCGAATCACGTGTCCCTTCTCAATTTCCTCCAAGTCCACATTTTCTCGAACTGCTACCTCCTTAAGATTTCCCCCGACACATTTCAAAATCTTCGCACCCTTGCAGAAATGTTGTGGCCAGGAATATTTCTAATTTTATCAAGTCTTTAAGCCATCAGAGAAATTCTCCTTGGAATGAGCTTTATATTTAAAGGCCAAAAGACATGTTTTTTGAGGGAATTATTAAAATCATATGTCAGTTTATCAGTAGCAGTTAGAATTATGAGATGTATATCCTGATTAGCATCTTTTCCTGTTTCGTTTTTATTCTGGGAATCCATTAGGTCATTTAATCCAAGAAGGAGTTTTGTTTAAGGCTTGACATGGACTCATGATTCTTGTCTGTTACATTGTTCATGGTAGAAAAATATCTGCCTTTTGTAGCGCCCCTAATGGTTCCTCTAGCCAGCATATGGGAGACATGTCTACACATTATTTGTCTAATATGGACTTTTTCTATCAGGAATGATCCTTGTCATTGCTGCTTCACAGCTCAATGTTTTAAGTCATTCTTTGCATACTGATGAGTAATTTTAGGGAACTTCAGAGACTTCAAAAATGCTTCATGTCTGCCCCTGCAGAACTCACCAACCTCAAATGCATTGACCACTTTGCATTTAAATGTACTAGGTGAAACAATATATGTGATATCTCTTGTTTGGACAATTTAAGATGGTCATAAGGTTGCATTGTTATGTCACCTTGACCTTGTGGCTTGACTGTGGATTTGAAGGATCTTAAATTACTAATGTTACATTGAAGAAAGATGAGTTACAGGTTTTCAACAATTGATATTGGTTTTATTCTTGAGGATAAGTATAGACCCTACAGTCTAATATGTGCGGTGTTCAAATGTCCTATGGGATTTTTAGAGAGTCAGTTGATTTAGAACATTGACATGTGGACTGGATAAGAAGAAATCAAAGCCACTTTCAGAGATGCACTGAGATGTTCTGGCTTTTCTAAGAAGAAACAGAAAAATATGCCATCTGTGTGCTTTAGGACTTCTGTCCCTAATATTGCATATTAACTAATTTCTCTGTGGCCTTTTTTGGGGGGACCACCAATTCTCGGTGTCTGGCAAAAACCCCTGTACAGTGTAGATGTTCAAGCCTCCCATTGTATCAGAATTTCTACATGCCAATTCTAGAAGGTACCATGTGCATAGACTACACTGTGAATGGACTCTAAAGTTGTGCAGCCATTGGTCCAGTCTTGAGCCCCAGACAAGAATAAAGCCTTCTATCCTTATCCTTCTCTGAAATAATACTTCCATTCTTAGTATCCCCCTTTTCATTTTGTTCATTTTTATTTTATTTTATTTTATTTTATTTTATTTTATTATTTTATTTTATTTTATTTTATTTTATTTTATTTTATTTTATTTTATTTTATTTTATTTTATTTTATTTGAGACAGAGTTTCACTCTTGTTGCCCAGGCTGGAGTGCAATGGCGCGATCTGGGTTCACTGCAACCTTCGCCTCCCAGTTTCAAGCAATTTTCCTGCCTCAGCCTCCTGAGTATCTGGGATTACAGGCATGTGCCACCACGCCCAGCTAATTTTGTATTTTTAGTAGAGACGGGATTTCACCATGTTGGTCAGGCTGGTCTTGAACTCCTGACCTCAGGTGATCCACCCACCTTGGCCTCCCAAAATGCTGGGATTACAGGCATGAGCCACCGTGCCCAGCCCTCATTTTGTTTATCTTTTTACAGTAGCAATTATACAATCATTTATTTAGTAATTCAAAAAACATTGAGAACCTACTAAGTGTCAACTACTATTTATATGCTGTATGTTAGGGATACAGGGATGAATATTAAATTCTTGCCTTTGAAGTCATGTTAAGGAGACCTATATGTAAAATATTATAGCACAGAAATGTCTGAGGTGTGACAGAAGTGTGGATGTTTGCAGTGTCATATAGGAAGGGTATCCAGTCTAGAAGAAATGTGTCAGAAAAGGTTACAAGGAAAAGTGACCTCTGAACTTTGCCAGCTATTAGTTAGCAAGATGTGTTTATTTCCTCTTTAGTCATCAAACACATATAAAATTGCCAAAGTGTTAAGAGCTCTAGAGAGGTACAGCATGTTGTGATAGTATATTTACTATAAAACCGTGTATTTGCTGAGTGCCTGCTTTGTGTCAGGCCTTTACTAGCTTTTGGCAAAATATGATAAGCAAGATAGATATGGTTCTTATATACATGGATTTTACATTTTAGTGGAGAAGACACTCATCCACAAGCAATCATAGTAACATGGTGGCTGATATGAATGGGGTCATTAATTATGCTTTGGGGAGCAAGTAAGCAGAGGGACTTCTCTGGCTCTAAGGGATCAGGAAAATCTCCTTCAGGAAGCTGAGATCTAAAAGAGGAAGAAGAGTTAGCCAGATTAGGTGGTGCTTGGCGACTATAGAAAGAAAATGTCCCAGTTGCAAGGAACAGACTGTTCTGAGGCTGTATTAGGGTTCTTCAGAGAGAAACAACCAATAGGGTATATATAGACATATAAGAGGAGATTTATTATGGGAATTGGCTCGCATGATTTTGGAGGCTGAGAAGTCCCACGATCTGCCATCTACAAGCGGAAGAACCGGGAAAGCTGGTGGTATAATTTAGTCAATTCTGAAGGCCTGGGAATAGAGGGAGCTGCTGGTGTAAGTCCCAGAGTCTGTAAGCCCAAGAATCAGTAGCTACAGTGTCCAAGGGCAAAAGGAGATGGATGCCCCAGCTCAAGGAGAGAACGAAACAAGTTGTCCTTCTCCACTTTTTTGTTTCGTTCATGTTCTCAACAGACAGGACAATTCCACCTACATGGGTGAGGGCAGCTCCTCTTTACTTAGCATGCTGATTTAAATGCTAATCTCTTCTGGAAATACCCACACAGGTACACCTAGAAATAATGTTCCACCAACTATCTGGGCATCCCTTATCTCAGTCAAGTTGACACATAAAGTTAACTCTCACAGGGGTGAAGGTTGAAGAAGTTTGGTGTGTTCCAGGAGCATGAAGAAGCCTAATATAGTTAGAGGGTTAGGAGTTGGTCAGAAGGGAGGGAAGATGGCAGGAAGTGAGATTGGAAAAGTAAGGAAAGGACTGGAATGTGAAGTGAATGCCTTATATGTTTGCTTTTCTCAAGGAATCTAGAATTTATCCTGAAGACAGTGGCAACTACAGAAGGGTTGTGAATCATAGACTGTCCTAATCAGATTTCTATAACAAAAGATGAGAGGATGCACTGGAAAAGCAAAGACAGGGGGCAAGACATCTAGTTAGGAGGCTGTTGTGGTAATCTACACAGGATATGATAACAACCTGGATGAGGGTGGTGGCAAATGAGGATGAGGAAGTCATCCTCATCCCCAAGAGAAAAGGAGACTAGACAACCCATGGTAATAGATTGAAAAACGGTAAAGGAGAGGGTTGTAAAGATTCATCCTTCACTCCTCTTCACCACATTCTCCTCCCCCAAATTCATGACCTTCTTGCAGCAGAATTGTTTTGTTTTACTTCTTCCAAATGGAGATTCCCAGACCTTATCTTGAACCTGACAAATTAGACCCTCAGGCCCAGGCACTGGTATTTTTCACAGCTTCACCGCAGTTGACTTCTGTGCATGTGAAAGCGTGAGGGTCTGCTGTCCAGCTCTATGCAGATTCAGAGCCCACAGCACTCCACGCAGCACTCAGAGCACAAGGGAGTATCTGAGTCAAACTCCTTTTGGCCTTAAGGAGTTCGCTTGTCATAACCAGGTGAATTCAGAAGGAGTTTTCAGCTCTTAGGGTTCCTAAAGGTATCCTATCTTAAAACCCAAACTAGGATGGAGCCCATCTAACACTATCACCTAAACTTGCAGGTTATGTCTTCAAGACCTAAGAAAGTAGCCCACCCTCCATAGTTCTCAGGAGACAGCACTGCTGAAATTCCACCTCCTATTTCCCCAGAAATATGAAATAAGTTTTCTTAGGCAACCCCCAAAGGATAATAAACAAGTTACTTTACACAGAGACTCTACAATTTCCTGTGCTTGGCAGGTATAAGGGCAAAGTTATCATGGTACTACCTCCTGTGAATAAAGAAGAGAGGAAGAAGAGAAAGAAAGATAGTTGCTTCAGCTCTAAAAGGTCGGTTCGGGGATTCGTATTGGAAACCATTAAAGTCTCAGAGTTAGGTAGCAGTTTTCTGAATTATTAATATCTAACATTAGCATTAGATACTAGTTTTTATTTCTATATAAAGTTTCCCAAATCTTCACTTTATCACCAGTGGAAGTCTGGAGCTAATACTGATTGTGGACCTGTGTACACACTTCACATTTTATTAATAAATTCTGCATTTAGTTCACACAGTAATTTTGCAAAGTAGATGTCATGGACTGCATTCTACAAATAAAGAAAAGGAGGCCCAAAGAGCCACAATGCCTGCCAAGGCCACACAGCTAAAAAATATTATTTCTATTAGTCTGAATTCCTGGAGAGCCAATAAGAATGTATGTATGTATAGAGAAGGAAATTTATTATAAAGAATCTGCTGATGTTATTATGGAGGCTGAGAAGTCCCAAGATCTGCAGTTGGCAAGCTGGAGACCAATGAAAGCTAATGGTGTAGTTCCAGTTCAAATGTAAAGGCTTGAGGACCAGGAGAGCAGATGGTGTGAGTTTCATTCCAAAAGCTGGCATGCTCAAAACTCAAGACGAGCTAATGTTTAAGTTCAGGTCTAAAGACAGGAAAAAAAAACCCAGTGTCTCAGCTCAAGGCAGTCAGGCAAAAGGAGTTCCCTCTTACTCTTACTCCTGGGAAGGCCAGCCTTTTTGTTTTATTCAGGCCTTTAACTGATTGGATGAAGACCATTGACATGGGGAGGGAAATCTGCCTAACTCTATTTACCAATTCTAATGTTAATCTCATCCATAAACACCCTCACAGATACACCCAGAAAAATGTTTGACTAAATATCTGGGTACCCTATGGCCCAGTCAAGCTGACACACAAAATTAACCATCGCAGTGTGTAAGATGACTAATTGCCTCCAAAGCCCATGCTCTTTCCACTCCCCTATCTGCCTGCTGTGAAGTATTTCTTATTTCAAAAATACATGTTTTTCTTTTGCAAGAAACTCAAGATGCACTTAAAGAAATTAACACTTGAGACTATTCAAATAAAAGATTTAATAGCTTGCTTATCAAAACATAGTTATCACCCTCCATCTTCCATTTTGCATTTTTTGGGCTGCTAGGAATATGTGGTGTATGGTTTTGCTGAGATGTTTCCTGCATACCTGAGCTATTGGGTCCCTAAGAAATCAAATTTGTTTGTTTTTCAACTTGGCATCATAATGAAGCAGAGATGTCAGCATAGCATTTCTTAGTGCTGCCAATATCTTGAGTAATCTTAATCTTGTTAGATCAATAATGTGAAATTTTGCTAGTTGCCATTTTAATTGATTTAATTGAAATTGATTTGGCATAAATGAGTGGACAGAAATTTATTAACAGTGACCATGAGGGTTTGAAGTATCTGCTATGTAAGAAGTATGTGACTTTGATTTATACATCTAAAGGCTCCCTCTTTCCAAGTTCTATTAGAGAAACAAACCTAATGTTTAGTCCTAAAAACTATTAAACATTGGTGAAGGTAGTATATGGAGATTCTGAAAACTAAGTATTTGGGTATTCATTTCAGTTTATCCCATTTCTATCATGTGGTTGGTTGTTATAATTCACAGTTACTGTAAACTACATATGTGTGCATTTATCCTTATGTCTATGTATCAGAAAATTTGATTTTTCTTTTGTCATTTGTGTCCCTAAAATTCAGACAACACCACAGAAACGAGGAAGAGATGAAATAATAGAGCAAATTTTATTGACCTTTGTTTTATATATTTTTTAAATTAATTCTCTCCTAACACTTGGATATTTGTTTTGTTACGGAAAGAGTTTTACTATAATAATTTTGGTCTATCAGGATTTGACATGTATTAAAGCATAAATAAATGGTCTCTAATTTTCTTGCTATTTTTGAAATTTTAAATATGCACTACCTTTTGTGCTTCCCTGTTCCTTTTCTTCTCCTTTTCTTTTCAATTCTCTTCACTGTCCCTCCCTTCATCCCACTCCCCACCCCCACCAAAGTGCTCTATCACTGAAGACCTTCCGCAGCCCATGGAAGAGCTATTAGAAATTTATTAAGAACCAATTTCTGCTTCTTTGTCAGGGACAATCATTTGTTTTAGAGCTGATTTTCTGCCTTAATTAAATGAAAATGTCACTCTGTCAAATGAATTCATTTATATTTATTAATCCAGTTCTCCAGGCTTGAATTTTCTAGTAGGGACTTGGGCTCATCATATTTGCTCATAGAATAAACTGAAAAATGTCTCTTACATCAATTTAAAAGACTCACAAATTATTGCTCCACCCTGTATAAGTACTATATAAACAAAGCTGTGATTAACAAATGTGTGAATGATTTTCTTGTGTAGATGCTATCTAGGTGCATATAAATATACATATTTGGTTATGTTGTTGCACACACGTGCGTCTGTGTGTGTTAGGGCAGGAAAGTGATGAATATCCATTACTGCGGTGCCTTAGTACTTTAAGAAAGTGTCAAAGGTAACATTTTAGCCACCTGTGTGTTTTTATTTGCCTTTTCAAAATGCTAATTGATGATGCAAAGTTTAAGTGCTACTCAGTCTTTCCCTCCAAAAATATTAAAGGATTACTTATTGAGTATGGTCTTTGTATCTAACATTGTAATAGGTACTTAAAAAAATTAAAATGGAATAAACATATTCATTCACTCATTGAACAGCTTTTTTTGAGTTACCTACTATGTGTCCGATGAGGTAGTGGGAATCAGTGATGAACAGTGCATCCTGAATCCATGCTTTTATGGAGCTTACAGCATCTAGCTCATAGTAGGTACTTGGCAAACTGAATGAGCAAATTAGTGAATTAATTAATCTTGCAAGAGAAAGAGACAGCAGACTGATAATTATTAAGTTATTAATTGCATTAAGTCCTCAAAGGAGAATGTACAGACTTGAGATTGTATAGTGGGGACTCACAAAGGCAGGAGTTGGAATCAGGGAGAGTATTTACAAAGAGGGAACAATGATGTTAAGATATTTTGCTAGAGCAGGGGGTAGTTGTGAGGTGACACTGGAGAATTTTGCCAAAGCTAGACCACCAGAACATTTAGGTCATATTAAACATGTGGGCCTTAACCCTAAGAACTTTAGACACTCGTGGAAGAGCTTTAAGCAGAGATGTGACATGATCAGGTTTCATTTTGAGATTTAAACCCTTCCAGAAGGCCAGCACACTAGTTCTTTTAAGCTTTCTGCTCTGTTTCTCCAGAACACATACTGAAAGGGGTAATATTACCTTGAATTCTTCAAGAAAAAAACAAATGCAATTAAAGAAATTCTTACTGGAATGGTAGAAACTGGCACTGATGCCTCCCTAGCACGAGTAGAGTTTGCTTTAGACTTTCTGGCCATCTCACAACCATAAATGTGAACTCCTTAATCATCCACCCTTTGTGGCAAAATCCCCGTGGGTACCCACAGCATCTTCGAGGTCCCTTGTATACACATTACCATTTTCCTTCCTATAAAAAGCATACTTTCAACTCTACCTTTTTGTTTTGTGTTTTGTTTTGTTTGTTTCGTGGTTTTTTTTTTTCTTTTACCTTAAGTGGTCTGGAGAAAAAACTTGTTTTAGAGGACTGCAAAATTGAGTTTCCAACAATGTAAACAGTGACTTCATAAAATAGGCAGTTTTAGTCTTTAAATAAACCATTCTTTTGTTTTCCTTTCTGTATCATAATAAGAGTTAAAATTATGGCTTTGCAGTTTCTATTGTACTGGGAGTCGATTGGTCCCTTGAGTTAACCTGGCATTCAGGTCAGGAATTGCCAGTACTTTTGTTTCCTCATCTTCAGAATAGCTTCTGGTAGATACTAAGATTTGTTACAGTAAAGATATTTGAAATACTTATTACTTAGACTCCAGGGAGCCCATCCTATTCAAGCCTTGGTCTTAGAAGGAAAAGGTTGAGAAAGAGTTGAAGAAGTCCCTCTTTATCAGTGGACTTCTTTGTGTATTGATAAAGATGACCACTGCCCAGGTGGAGCAAAAAGTGATCTCCTGAGCAGGGTAGGAGAATGGCTTTGACCCAGAGCTCCACCTCAGACCATGTAAGGTCAGCTCGTAGAGTATTCAGTTGAATAAATGTTTGCTGAACACTTATTATATGCTATATATAGGACCCTTCAGCCCAGTAAGTATTGCAAAACCTTAGAGCTTTAACTTCTCCAGTTTTTATCGGAATTGGTCCACACCCCAGGATACTTAGCCACACATGAGGCCAGGGCAAATAGCAACATCAGTGATAATCACTATCATTTATTATATGTTTATTATGTTTTAGCACTGTTCTAAGCACTTTTTTAGCACTGTCATTTTATCCTTATACCTCTGTGAGATGGGAGTTGTTATTATCCCTTTTCTTCTGCAGATCAAACAGCTGAGGCACACAGAAGTTAAATTATTTGAACCCAAGTCACACAGTATAAGAAGTGATGAAGCAAGGATTCAAACACAAGCTCTCTCCAGGAGCGCGATGCTCTTAGATACCATGCTACGTTCGTTGCTATAACTGCATACATTGGGAATATAGTATCTCATCATTGCTTTGTGCCAGGTGCTAGAGTTACAACTGGGAACACAATATAAATGGTCCCTGTCCTAACTGGGTTTGGAACATGGTGGGAGATTATATTAGTCGGCTGGGGCTGCCATAGCAAACTACCGCAGACTGGGTGGCTTAAACAACAGAAATTGATTTGCTTGCTGTCCTGGAGGCTAGAAGTCCAAGGTCACGGCGTTGGCAGCATTGGTTTCTTCTGAGACCTCACTCCTTGGCTTGTCTATGTCCAACTTAACCCTGTGTCTTCACATGGTTGTCACTCTCTGTGTTAGACCCAAGTCATATTGGATTAGAACTTATCCTAATGACCTCATTTTAACTTAATTGCCTCTTTAAAGACCCTGTCTCCAAATATGTTACATTTTAAGATACTAGGGATTAATATTTTAACATATTAATTGGGGGGGCAGGGAATAATTCAGCCCATAACAGAGATAGTTGTTAAAGAAGGAGAATACACACATATATATATATACACACACACACACACACACACAGTTTAATGCCATACCCTGTATCAATGATCCATTATAACTACTACTTAAGTGTTTTCTTTAAAGACTTGTTTTATATCTATAAATGGTCTAACATGGGATGTGTTAACATATTTTCATTCTCTGAATACCACCATTCTCTCTCATCCAGTGAATTGGATATACTTTCATCCCTGGAGTATCCATATACTACTCTGAACATGCTCAGCCAATTAGCAGTCTTTAATATTCTAAGTTCAGTGTGCTCCTAGGTTATATTTATTCTGCTTTGGCCTCTCTTCCTGTCATTTATTTTGTCATCTGGTGATTGCTTTTGATGCATAATGACAGAAAAGGTGTGCAGGGGATAGTGCTAAAACTACAGTAAAGAAACAAAAAAAAGTATAATTATGGGATGTTAAAATTCAAGGCTTATAGAGACTCAAATTTGCTTTTAAAGTAATGGCTAAAGAAGCAGAAGATAATGGTAAGTAGGAAGTTAGGAATGATCTGGACTTCATGAAAGGCAACATGAGTATCACTACCATCTGAAATTGGCCGCTGGTTGTTGGAAAAAACCTATGGTGAGAGGGCATGTGAGACTTAATGCGATTTGAAAGAGTGGTTACCATTGTCCAGTACCAAGTTGTGTTAATACAACTTACATACTGCTAAGTTGTATTAAGGGCAATAAAGGAAAAGTATAAAATACAAAGAGCAGCTCTAAGTTAGACTGGGGAGTAATAGTTACCTTTAAGTGGTAGTAAGAAGGAGAAATGTGGTCTGGCCGGATGAAGTATAGGAGAAGAGCAAGCATATAGTTGGAAAAACACATACTAAGCTCTGAAACAGGAAAGTTTGTTTTGTTTTGTTTTGTTTTCAGAAGACAGGGCCTCGCTCCACTGCCCAGGCTGGAGTGCAAAAATGCAGTCACAGCTCACTGCAGCCATGACCTCCTGGGCTCAAGCAATCCTCCCACCTTAGCCCCTTGAGTAGCTGGGACTAGAGGTGTGCACCACCACACCTGGCTAATTTTTTTTATTTTTTGTAGAGATGGTGTCTCACTACATTGCCCACACTGGTCTCAAACATGGGCTTAAGGGATCCTCCCACCTTGGTCTCCCAAAGTGCTGAGATTACAGGTGTGAGCCACTGTGCCTGGCCTGAGTTTAGCATTCCCTAGGAACTGAATGAAGGCCACAGGTTGAATCACAGAGCCCAAGAGAGAGTCATGTGGCTGGGACACAGGCAAAGGCCAGGTCCTGTGGAGCCTCAAAGCTACATTAAGGATTTAGAATAGGATCCAAGAAGTGCAATGAGAAGCCATTAAAGAATTTTTTTCAGTTTCTTTATTTTTGACAACAATATTTATTTTGGGGGTACAATGTGATATCCATGTATAGATTGTAGAATGATTAATTAGGCTAATTAACATATCCATCATCTCACGTACTAATGGTTTATTTGTGATAAGAACATTTAAAATCTACACTTTTAGGCCAGGCACAGTGGCTCACACCTATAATCCCAGCACTTTGGGAGGGCAAGACAGGAGAATCACTTGAGGTCAGGAGTTCACCTAAAGTAATATGGTAAACCTTGTCTGTACTAAAAATACAAAAATTAGCTGGATATGGTGGTGCATACCTGTAATCCCAGCTACTCAGGAGGCTGAGGCACAAGAATCGCTTGAGCCCAAGAGGCAGAGGTTGCAGTGAGCCTTGATTGTGCCACTGCACTCCAGCCTGGACAACAGAGCAAGACCCTGTCTGAAAAAAATATAAATAAAATCAACACTTTTAGCAATTTGAAATATACATCATTATTAACTGTAGTCACCATGCTGTACAATAGATCACAACAATTTATTCCTTCTGCTTAGTGGGAACCCTTTGATTATTTCTCCCTTTCAATTTAAACAAGGGAGTGATGAGATCCCATTTACATTTTCAAAAGATTGTACTGACAGCTGTGTGGAGATGGATTGGATGAGAGCAGAAATGAAACCAAGGAGGTCAGATAGTCCAATTTTGCAGAAATGTAGAAGTGAACAGGCGACAGTTAAAACTGAGGTCATAGCCAGAGCGAATGGGGGTGGATCTGTTTGCAGATAGGATCAATAGAACTTGGTACTGGATTGCATTTGGGAGGAGAAGGGCGCTTTAAGAGTGAGTGCAGGTGGTTGGCCTGAGCAGCCACAAATGTGGAGGCACCTGTGCTGAGGAAGAAGAAGCATGAAGCAGAGAGTTGTCCTGGAAATGAGAGAGGTCAGTTTGAGACATGTGAGGTTTGAGGTCCCTTTGAAACACCCAATAAAGCAGTTAGATGTCTGAGTATGATGCTCCAGTGAGGGACCTGTATGAAAATAGAAACCGAGCAATCATTAGAATATCTGTGTCAAGTATGCCATCGGAGTGGTGCGGTCACTCGATCACTAGACATTTCCGCCTTTCACTCACATTAGGTTTTGTTTATCATCAAGTAAGAGAGCTGAAAGTGCAGGCTCAAAGTATCCTGTGGGTGCTTCCCTCCCTGAGCTGCAGGTGGGCGTTTATATATATCATGGGTCTCTTCTCATGAAGGTTTGTTCGCATGAATATCAGAAAAGGGCTTGAGAGGGAAAAGCTGTGCTAAGAAAGACTACGAAACAGCATTGCAGGGCCAGGTGGTGCCCTACACCGGCTTCCATTTCCAGCATTACTTTTGTCAACAGTGGAATAAACTATCACAGAGTGGCTCACCATGGTCTTGGGAGTCGAAGAGTCTAAGTTGACCTCCCAGCACTGTCCCTCACTCCCTGTATAACCTTAGGCAAATGACAGATCTCTCTGAAAGTAAGTTTTCTTTTAAGTAAAATGGGAGCACATATACCTAGCTCAGAGAGTTGCTATCAGGATTAAAAGGGATATTTTTGCAAAGTAATTATTAGCACAGATCTCAATAAACAGTATATAGTAAATGGTTCTACTTCTAAGAACACGTTCTTTGCGGAGATTAATGTAAGGATGAAGAATGTATTTTATAAGGCTATTCTAATAAATCAAACACTGAAATTTTGTGAAAATTCTCAAGCCAGCAAGATAAGAGAGGGGATCATTTAGGGTATACAGCTGTATCACTTCCATTAAATTGCTTCAGACACATGCTAGATTTTTTGTCAACCAGAATCACAGTCAAAGGTTGTACCAATATCTAAAGACAGTTTTCAGCTTTTGTGAACAAGTTTAGTGGGTGGTATATATAAGCTTCTATATACAGATATGCATTTGGATCTTTTTAATAATTTCCTTTGATCAGACTGAATAGCTGGTTGGAGAATCATTTCTAATGTTTTAGAAAATTTCTTTCTGTGTACATAAAGAGGATGTTTTACAGGATAGAGAGGATTTTTAGTTTTTTCTGGGACTGGAAGAATCCTCACCACTACTACCTCCAAACTGTCTAGTCTATCCCTTTGCTCTATACCTTTGCGTTAATTATTAGTAGTTCCTTATTTTTTAATAATTTTTTTTCCATAAGCTTTTGGAGAACAGCTGGTATTTGGTTACATGAGTAAGTTTTTTAGTAGTTATTTGTGAGATTTTAGTCCACCCATCACCCGAGCAGTGTACACTGAACCCAGTCTTTTATCTCCTACCCTTCCCCCAAGTCCCCAAAGTCTATTGTGTCATTCTTATGCATTTGCATCCTCATAGCTTAGCTCCCACTTATGAGTGAGAACATACAATGTTTGGCTTTCCACTCCTGAGTTACTTCACTTAGAATAATAGTCTCCAGTTCCATCTTGCTGCGAATGCCATTAATTCATTCCTTTTTATGGCTGAATAGTATTCCATCGTATGTGTATACACCACAGTTTCTTTATCCCCTTGTTGATTGATGGGGATTTGGGTTGGTTCCATATTTTTGCAATTGCAAATTACACTGCTCTAAGCATGCATGTGCAAGTATCTTTTTCATATAATGACTTCTTTTCCTCTGGGTAGATACTCAGTAGTGGGATTGCTGGATCAAATGGTAGATCTACTTTTAGTTCTTCAAGGAATCTCCACACTGTTTTCCATAGTGGTATTTTTAAATGTTCTGCTGAGAAATATTTATGGTTATTATCCAAGTCAGTATTTTTACTAAGTACCTGCTGGGTGCCAAGCACTCTCTGGACTCAAATGAACAAAGCAAGGCAGACTCCTGTTATTTCTGGACTCTGCAAATGTGATTTAACTGGAGGACAATACAAGGATATCTGTGATTTAATTCTCATTTGAGCCATATATAATTAAGTGCTCTGGAATACCTCTGACCAGTAGAACTTCTGAAATGATGGAAAGGTTCTAGTTCTGCACTGTTCAGCATAGCAGCCACTAATGACATGTGGCTATTGAGCACTTGAGTTGTGGTCAGTGTGACTAGGAACTGACTTTATACTTTATTTTAATGTGAATAACCAGAGGTGGCTTCCAGCTACCATACTGAAGAGCATAGCATCAGTAATTCTGAGGAGGGATGGTGTGGACTCCAAGAATTCAGGAAGGAAGAAACCTGAGCTTAGAAATAAGGAGGAAACTGGAAGAAAACTCCATTTAGGGTGGTAGCATGAGCAAAGGCTGGGAGGAAGGAAAAGGTATATGGTTTATGAAAATTACGGAGGAAAGGAAATTGAGGGAAACAAGATGAGAGAGGCTTTCTGAAAATAGGAAGAAGGTTCTAGAATCTAGACCATTCCTCTACTTTACATGTTTGTTGTATTTTACTAGCACCAAACCTCTCATTATTTGGAATAGTGGTTGCATAGTGTTTAACTTTTTTATGCCTTTTATAAATAATTGTTTTCCACAGAGTCATCATTTGCAATGTACAAGTTGTTTGTTGAAATTTTTAATATCAGTCAGATGGGAATCTAAAGAGAATTCAAAGAAGCCATTACTTAGCAGAGGTTAAAGGAACTCAAAAGGGTTGTTAAGTCACCCAGGAACAAGCAAGGCAGAGGCCTAAGTGGCAAAAGTGTGGGAGTGTGTTAAAGAGCTCTGAGAAGAGCTGGAGCCTTGGAGGAGGGGTCAGATGCCTGCAGGGAGGGAGGAAACATTTCAGAGCAGGGCAGCCAATGCCAAAACTGTCAGGCGCAAGCGGGGTGGGGAGAGGAAAGGATAGCCTCACCTCTCACCTCCTGCCTCCCACTGATACCACTCACTGGCTAAATGCATCCAGAAGCTAGAGGGCAAGGGATGGCAGGCTGCATAGTCCACAGAGCCCAGCACTTCATTGGCACAGAGCTGGACTGAAGAGACAAGAATGGATAGCGAGGGAGGGGTGGGGAAAGGAAATGGAAATAAACAGCACTGTTATTTTCCCCCCTTAATGTTTAAAAAAATAATAATGTCTTAGTTTCAGCTGCTATAACAAATCTGCCATTTTCTGGGTAACTTAAACCACAGAAATCTATTTCTCATGGTTCCAGAGGCCGGAAAGTCCAAAATCAAGTTGCCTGCAGATCTGGTGCTTGGTGAGGCCCTTCTTCCTCATTTGTAGACAGTTGCCTCACACGGAGGAGAGCAGGAAAGGAATTTCTCTTCTGTCTCTTCTTACAAGGGCGCTAATCTCATTCTAAAGACTCCACCCTTGTGACCTTGTTACCTCCCTAAAGCCCTGTTTCCAAATACCATCACTTTGGGAATTAAGGCTTCAACATATAAATTTTTCTTTTGGTGGGGCACAAACATTAAGTTCATAGCAAATGCTAAAAGGAAAACCAGTTTACTATCTAGTATGTTGGTTAGATTATGACAAAACCATATAATGGTATGAGATGCAGCATTGAAATTACATGTAGTAACAAGAGAACATGCTCACTAGATATTAAGTGAACATATGAAAACATCACATACAAAAAGATCAAAATATTGTATTTAGTAGTGTATATACAATAAAATATAAATGTATATTATTTTCACACAAAAAACTGAAAACATACAGCAATATTTTAACAGTGGTCTATCTGGATGGTGGTTTAACGTGATTTTTATTTTCCTTGTATTCTCTCAGGTTTTCCAAATTTTCTAAAGCAACATAATTATTTTTATGATCTGGAACAATGTTTCTGTTGTTTTTTGATATACCTGCAGGGCTATATTGAGTAGAGAGAGGTATATGGCCAAGTTCCTTTTTATCAGTCATTTGCTGGCTCTACGGTTAGCATAGGTCTTTGCATGTACCCCTTTCTACAGTGACCAGGCACCTTAGCTGCATTTCTTAGTGCATTAAAAACGAGACAAGTCAATAAAATGCTCTTCTTTAAAAATATTCCTTTGAGAAACCGTGAGGTACTGGAGAGTGGCCTGATTTCCTATTGATCGTTTTATTGCCTCAATTATTTTCTCAAACACGGTTAGTTAATTCAGATCCCCACCAACCACTTTTCCCCATTGTCTGTTACATTTGGTCTCTGTTAAATATGAATCTTTGGTGACACTTCCATTACTAAACTGACAGTTGCATAATGCTTTATTGGCATCTGTAAGAATGGTACATATTTCTTAGGAACTATGGAGACGGTAGGCTTCTTTTTTTTTTCTGAACCACCTAAGCATAGCCAGTTGTGTGTGCTCTTGTAATTTTAATCTTTAAAACAGCAATCCATCTGTTTCACGGTTTTATTCTTTCCTAATAGAAAGAATTTCCTCTTACTGTCTTACTGATCTACAACCATTTGACCATGATGGACTCTTGTAAATGGAATTATCTGAAGTGATTTGATGACTTTTCACATTAGTTTTCATTTCAGTAAATCCACTCCCTCTTCCTGGCTTGCTTTTTAACCTCCAGCTGCTACCCAATTATTAGTTGTTGGATGACTGCTTCAACAGCATTACTGTAGTGCTTGCTTGTAGCAGACATTAATAATACTAAGCAGTTTGTAAATGTGCACAGTGTTAAACGCATGTAAGGATTGTTTATAACTCTAATCATAGTTTTGCTACTCGTAAGTTAGGATTCTTGTGGTTGCAAGGAACAGAAATCAACTCAAGGTGGCTTCAGCAAAACAATGGGCCAAATACATTGGTTGGATAATCCTAATACACATAAAGAAGGAGTCTTCACCAGGGCTTCAAGACAAAGAGCCAGCAAGGATTCCAGAAGAATGAGAACTGTGAACTGGAAAACCAACAAGAATTCAGACAATCTGCTCTCATTTTCTCTTGTTTCTGCTTTTCTCTCAGTCTACTTCTTCATTTTTTAGACACACTCTGCAGGTTGATTCACAGAATGGCAGAAGGTGACTTCCTACTCTTTTCAAGTTGACTGGCTATGCCCAGAGCCCTCAGAACTCTCTCAAGTTCTCTCTCAATTTCTCAACTTTCTGCTCCCAGAAAGGAACTTGGGCAAGCTCCTTTCTTTTCTTAGTCTAACTAGTGTATGTCAATCCTACATACACATACATAACCTGATAGCCTTGCTATCAGGTTAGGGTTAACATACACTAGTGAATGGTTAAACCATGACAGACCACAGCACAATGAGGTAAATGCTGTGATTGAGGCAGCTAGAGAGGAAGTTCTGCCACTCCCTACTGTAGGACCTTGGGCAAGTTCCTTTCTTTTCCTAGCCTCACTTTCCAGTAAAATAAAAGGAGAAGGTTCTGCCGCTTCCCATCCCAATTCCAAATTCCCTGGACAGGAACTCTAATTGACCCAGCTTTGATCTAATCAGCAACAACTGTAGGCAGAGTTGAGAGGTACGTCCCTCACTGCCTGCAGACATCCCATTTCCCCTGTGATCATTTTGAGAGGATCAGACCATTTTACGAGGTGTCAATCATAATTAATGTGTAGTTGATGCCTTCCTTGTACTTAGTATATTACAGAGATACAAATTTGCCAAAGTAAGCATCTTTTTACATTAATATTTAGAGGAAGAAGAACCATATAGCTCATAAGGATCTGGCCAGGGAAGAAGTAGATTTTGGAGACTCATGTCCCACGTGGTGAGAAAGAGTAGATTTTGCATTCTTCACTTAAGAAATTGTCATAGAGATATTTCAGGGAGATGATGGGATGTGATCAAAAGAACTGAAGTAAAATATCAGAACTAGGAATGACACTGAGAAAAGTAAAATAGAAAAGGATTAGCTTATAAGAGGCAGGCAGGTTTCCCATTGTGAATATGGCTGTTTGGGTACCACATTTATTAAGAATCTACTATGCTATGGTCTATACACCAAAGCACGCATATTTTGTGAAGCTTGAATCCTGGACATGAGAATATCTGTTTTGAAGCAACCAAAATACGGTTAGCCTTTCTGTGTGGGCCTTATTGCATTATATCCCCAAATAAAGATATATAGGTAGTCATTCACTTAATAGACATTTGTCCAACACTGCTAAGCCTCAGGCAAATCCTAGGCACTGTGGTTGTCAAACAGACCTTTAAATGAGTATTAGTAATAATTAAGCTCTGTGGCAGGCACTTCGGTCAGCACTTCACATTCTTTTAACTCATTATTCTCAAAATACACACCAGGAAGTAGGTTCTTCTGTAATTTCCATTTTATAGAGAAGAAACAAGGCACCAAAACACAGGAATGATGAGGGCTGGAGCGTGACCTCAGGTCTACCTGACTATAAAACCCTTGGTTGTATTGATTTAGTTAACATTGCTATCAAGTTAGGATTGACATACACTGGTGCATGGTTAAACCATGACAAACCACAGCATGATGAGGTAAATGCTGTGATTGAAGCAGCTAGAAGAGGAAGTTCTGCCACTCCCTACTATGGGACCTTGGTCAAGTTCCTTTCTTTTCTTAGCCTTACTGACCTGTAAACTAAAACGAGTAAAGGACTGATCTTACAGGTGATTGTGTGGAGTAAGAGAGCTGGTAATAGGTGAAGGGCTCTCACAATGGTAGCTTTTGTTTTTGAGCCAGAGTCTCACTCTGTTGCTCAGGCTGAGTAACAGCTCACTTGCAGCCTTGACCTCCTGGGCTCAAGCGATCCTCCTACCCCAGCCCCTTGAGAAGCTGGGACTACAGGCATGTACCACCACGGCTGGCTAGCTTTTCAATTTTTTGTAGAGATGAGATCTCACTATGTTGCCCAAGCTGGCCTCAAACTCCTGGGCTCAAGCAATCCTCCCAGCTTAGCTTCCCAAGGTACTGGGATTACAGGTGTGAGGCACAGTGCCCAGCAGGTGGCTCTTGTTATTATCCACAAAGTGCTCTGTACTGTGAAAACAGGTACTGCCTGAGTCTCTGAGGACTCAGGGAGGAAACGAGCTTTGATGCATCTGATGTTGCTAGGTAAAGAGACAAAGGTTGGACATTCAATGTAGAAGGATCTATAAACAAAGGCTCTTCATTTATTCAATGCACATTTATTGAGCATGTACTATGTGCCAAGCACTGAGCTCAGTGTGTTAGTTAGGGGTAGATAAGCACAGCACCATGGAAGCCTGTAGAATGTTCTAGAGTCTGACTTTAAACAATAGAAGAACCTGAGGAAAGTTGCCAGCAGGAAATATCTGTGAGAATAGTTATGGACATGACAAACCTAAGATTGTCTCAAGGAGACAGCAAACCAATTTCCTCACCAAGCCCTTTCAAAGTTCTGTATTCAGCAACTGTTTTATCACACCTTGTGCACTGAGGGGTTACCCCTCCATACTTTTTACATCCACCTGTGTCTACACACTACAAAATAAATCACTGTCCTTCATTTTCCAGGATGACACAGCTGACTTTTCATATATCTCGATGAAGGATTATTCAGTTATACAGAACATTCTTCAACTGGAGATAGCTTGAGAAGGGGTAAACAAAAGGTGTTAAGGCATATTAAAAATTGGCTTATTCTAGTGGCAGTTTGTCATTTTTCAATTTGGCATCTTTCCCTGTTCTTTTTTCTACCATGAAGATCTGTATGACTCTTGATTCAGAGGGGATTTTCTTGTGAGGTACCTTTCTCCAAGCATATGGATAAAATTGCCAGGTTTAATTGAAGGCTGTTTAGAGTCTTGCTCTATTTACAGTCAAAAGCAGATCACTTCTGTTCTTGGCCTCGGTCCTAGACTCCCAGGAAATTAATGGTGCCTCTTGGCCTGTGACAGTCTGTGTTTACTTCCTGGAATTGGCTTCTGGCTTTGATTGGCCTTGAGTGTCAGGGCTTCCTCGGCCCAGGTGGGCCAACTCCACTTGGGACTGTTCTGGTTCCCTCAGGCTACCTTTGTCTGACCAGCTCATCCTATAGTCTCTGAAGCCACAGGATTGTTGTCTGTGCCTTCCTGTGATTCATAGCACGGAGCAAAGGATCAAAACAGCTTGAGCTGGAAATAACTTCATTTACTTTTTTAAAAAAGTAATAAGCGGGCCGGGTGCGGTGGCTCACGCCTGTAATCCCAGCACTTCAGGAGGCCGAGGTGGGCAGATCACGATGTCAGGAGATCAAGACCATCCTAGCGAACACGGTGAAACCCCGTCTCTACTAAAAACACAAAAAAATTAGCTGGGCGTGGTGGCAGGCGCCTGTAGTTCCAGCTACTCGGGAGGCTGAGGCAGGAGAATGGCACGAACCCCGGGGGGCGGAGCTTGCGGTGAGCGGACGTCACACCACTGCACTCCAGCCTAGGCAACAGAGCGATACTCCATCTCAAAAAAAAAAAGTAATAAGTGGTCAGGAGCAGTGGCTCACGCCCGTAACCCCAACACTTTGGGAGGCCGAGGCAGGTGGATCACTTGAGGCCAGCAGTTCGAGACCAGCCTGGGCAACATGGCAAAACCCTGTCTCTACAAAAATTTAGCCAGGCATGGTAGCACATACCTGTAGTGCCAGCTACTTGGGAGGCTGAGGTGGGAGGATCACTTGATATTGGGAGGCAGAGGCTGCAGTGAGCCGAGAGGGCACCGTTGCACTCCAGCCTGGGCCACAGATTGAGACCTTGTCTCAAAAAATATAAAAAATAAAAATGAGTAATAAACACAGTTGTAGCAGTTGATGTGTCCTAAGCACTGTTCTTGTTTTACAGGTAAGGAAACTGAGACACACTAAGGTTAAGGAGCTTGCTATACAGCTGATCACTGGCACAGCTGGGAAACTAGCCCCGGCAGTCAGATTCAGTGCGTGCAATGTTAACCCCTGACTGTGCCACTTTGCCATGCTTAGAGGTAGCCTAGTTCAACCTCTTATTAGATAAGTTATTCTATAAAAAAGCTCTTAACACACAGTAAGAGCTATGTAAGAGCTAGTTATTATTACTAGTGTGTTTGATGATGGTGAAAACTGAAG
This sequence comes from Homo sapiens, assembly GCF_000001405.40. Taxonomy (NCBI): domain Eukaryota; kingdom Metazoa; phylum Chordata; class Mammalia; order Primates; family Hominidae; genus Homo; species Homo sapiens. The sequence continues at coordinate 118,347,754 of NC_000008.11, read as the reverse complement.
CCAGACAAGTGATGGAAGTTTATCCATTTAGTCCAGGATTTCACAAATTGTATTCTGTAGAACATTTGTATCAACAGGATGTTATAAGTGTTCTTTTTAAAAAATATTATAGTCAAATAGGTTTGGAAAATATACATTTAAAAAACAGCCTTTTATAGTGTAGTACTTCTCAAACCCTTTAATATGCTAATATGCATTATTAATCTTCAAAAAGCTGTAGTATCCAGACTTTTCCCACCTTTCCCCACATTTTACACATATTTGAGACCATTGTGGAGAAAGCAGTTAACATAGCAGGCCTTAGATTGTTTTCCTTAGAAGGTTGTGATTGCAAGGTTGGCCCCTGCTGGTGTCTAGAAAACTTGGGTTTTGGGAGGGTTCCCACACTCCCTAACCAGAATGGTTCACTGTGCCTGAACTGTTTGTATAAACAGTGTCATTTATGCTGAACACCTGCTTTCCTTCTGGGAGCCTAGAATTTTGGCACATGCTAGGAAGGATCCCCACTAAAAACCTTGGACACTGAGACTGGGCCCAGTGGCTCATGCCTGTAATTCCAGCACTTTGGTAGGCCAAGGCAGGAAGATCACTTGAGCCCAGGAGTTCAAGACCAGTCTGAGCTACACAGCGAGACCCTGTCTCTACAAAGTAGTTTTAGAAAATTAACCAGGCATGGTGGCACGTGCTTGTAGTCCCAGCTATTCAAGGTGGGCCATGGGGGTAAAGGGGTACTAAGGCAGGAGGAATCCCATGAGTCCGGGAATTCGGGGCTGCAGTGAGCTGTAACTGCACCACTGTACTCTAGCCTGAGCAGCAGAGCAAGACCCTGTCTTTGACAACAACAGCCACCTTGGCCACTGAGTCTCTGATGAGCTTGCCTCATAGACATTTCACATGTGTTGTCACAACTCCTTGTTAGAGGAATTCAACACATCCTGTATGACTCTACTAAAGGAAGGACTCTTGTTGGCTCATGCCTGATTTTCTCTGGACTCTGTCCCAGGTGCCTTTTCCCTTTGTTGATTTTGCTTTGTATCCTTTTGCTATAGTAAATCTTAGCCATGAATACAACTATATGCTGAGTCCTGTGAGTTCTCCTAGTGAATCGCAGAACCTGGGGTTGCTCTTAGAGACCCCCTGTCACATCCAGAAAATTATTTCCCTCTCAATGCCGTTTAACATCTCATGGGTCATTTGTTCTACAGCATGCAGCCCTGAGGAGCTGTTCAATCCCACAAGTTAGAGGCAGACATTAGCCCACATAATTATTCTGGGCTTTTGGTGAAAAATGTTAGGGTTCCGAAGGCTCATGTGGAATAGCACTTTCTTCCTGCCTGGGACACATAGATTGAATATATATTGAGAGAGCAAAACTGACTAGTACATTTCTACCACCTTTCTGGAATATTCAGTTGGGAAGGATAAGCCTGGAAACAGTAGCCTCAAGACATAACCATCCTTTATGTTCTTCCATTTTTAGATTTAGCTCTTTAGCCCATATTAAAATTATTTGTATAAATCTATATTACCATGTGTATGAAATTATAATAAAATTACATATATAATTTATATAGTTTTATAAAGTTTGTTTACTACATCTAATCAGAAAACCCTACTAAAGGGATTATATGGCTTTTGGGGCCTCATGCCGGAGCCTGTGACATCCCTCGATAATTATGATTTCCCTGAGTTCATTTTACAGAATAAACAGATGCACCAAGGGTCTCCAGAGAGCAAGTAGGCTGCTGCGGTGCAGGACAAGCCAAATGGAGACGGTGGTTAGCCCCAGCATCTGTTCTTTCAGCACCTTTCCTGGTACTCCTCCTCCTCCACATTCTTCATGGCTGACTTGTCTTCCTTTTATGTGTTTTCCAGATGCCAAAAGTTATATTTGCATATCCTCTACCATGGGTGGGGAACTGTGTCTCCTGCAGTCCAGCCGGCTCCACTTTACTCCCCTACTTTGTATGCCTAGACTAACCTACCCTGTCCTTTGACCTTGTTTTCACTGCTCTTGACCTGTTGCCAGTTAATACAATCTTACTCCAACAAGCCACCAGGGACTAGTTGGTTTAACTGGCTCCTTGCCCCATTGGCTAGTTGGACAGATAATTCTCTAAGCAGTTTGTCTTCCTCACTGTCTACACCCCACGCTTATGCTGCATCATGCCTTCATTTATGTCTTTCTTCTATATCTTTGTCCTTTTTGACCTCTCCAAATCCCAGCTCAGGTTCCACTCTGTCCTCTGAGAAATTGGCCCTCCTCATTGTACCACTACTAACCTTTCCAGACCTGTGCATTCTCATCAGTATCTCTGTCTCTACCATATACCTTAGCGCGTATCACTTTATTGCTTATACAGTCATGCATTGCTTAGTGACAGGAATATGTTCTGGGATATGCATCATTAGATAATTTCATTGTGTGAGCATCGCAGTGTGTGCTTACAGTAACCTAGATGGTATAGCCTATTACAACCCTAGGATATGTGGTATAATCTATTGCTATAGGCTGCAAACCTGTACAGCATGTCACTGTACTGAATACTATAGGTAATTTTAACACAATAGTTAGTATTTGTATATCAAAATATGTTTAAACCTAGAAAAGATAGAGTATAAATGCAGGATAAAAAATAAAAAATGGTACCCTCGTATAGGGCATTTACCGTGAATGAAACCTGCAAGACTGGAGGTTGCTCTGGGTGAGTCAGCGAGTCAGTGAGTGGTGAGTGAATGTGAAGACCTAAGACATTATTGAACACTGCTGTACACTTTATAAACACTGCACACTTAAACTACACTAAATATATAAAAATATAATAATAGTACTGTAATGTTACAATGGTGATGATGTTACTAGGTGATAAGAATATTTCAGCTCCATCATAATCTTATGGGACCACCATTGTATATTGATTCATTTTTTACTAAAATGTCATTATGTGGCATGTGACCGTACATCCAAGACCCAGTGATTGAGCTCCTGCTGAGAGCCTTTCATTCCACTAAAAAATGGAGATACCAAAGAGAATAAAACAAGTCCCTGCCCTCAAGGACTTTACTGTCTAGTCGAGCTATGACATGGTGTGTTATCCTATTCTTTATCACATGCTAGTGCTATTCTACATGAGAGCTGGGAACTCTTCTTCTGTTGTTTCCATTTCCAGAGTGATGAATGATCAATAGGAAACAATGGTTAAGAGCTCAGGAACAAACCCAGTTCATATCCCACTTCTGCAGTTTACTAGCCATGTTAGCCTCTATTTCCTCATCTTTAAACTGGGAATAGTTATATCTACCTCTTACAATGTTGCAAGGGCTGACTTTGATAAAGTTTATAAAGTGCTCAGCACTGGGCTAAGCATATACTAATCACATAAGGAGAAGGTAGCTGTAATTCTTACGAAGTTGGCCTACGACACAAGCCTTTGTGGTATTTTTCCCTGGAACTGTGACCTCAGAGCAGCCCTGGGAGATGTTTCCTAGTGGACAAGGTCCCAGCATTGTACTGTCAACCTTCCCACATTAGTTCAACCTGAGCAGGATAGGGGGAGTTAAAACAGAATGCAACAGTGAGTCAGAAAGTCAACAATGAATGTAAAGACCTACAGGGCTTCCTCTGCACAAGGGCATGGATTTCCACATCCATGTTTGGATTGAAGTTTGCTGTCCCTCGCTTGCTTCATTTCCTGGCAGTCACTAGAGGCAGAATGGAAGCTGGAAGTCAGGAAGGAATTTCCATGTAATGACCATGTACTATGTGCCATATATATATGCACATTCTCAGTCTTTACAACATCCCTGCCAAGAAGATATTCTTATTCCCACTTCACAAATCAGATAGCTGAAACTTAGAGGTTAAGTAACTTAACGGAAGTTGCACAGCTAACCCAATGCAGATCCAAAGCTTGTGTCCATTATATTGAGTGCCCCTCAGTAAATCAAATCCATGGAAGTCCTGACCTAGTCCGGCCTGATCTGTTTGCATTTCCCCCTCTACACAATACACTCCTTGGCCCAAGGGGTCTGTGGTAGAGATGGAAACTTCAGTGAGCTTGCAACTCTATTGTTCTAATACACCTCTTCAGGGCCAGGATGAGGTAAGGCAAGCAAAGTGCTTGGCACAAAATGTAAAAAGGCACTTACTCTTAAGTTTATGTATGTACAAGATCACAAATTTGCTCACCCTAATCCCAACCCAGCCCCTCCTGTTGATTGTCCTGAGATGTGACTGCTGGGATACTCTAGAGGAAACCACAAAGATCTTCATCACCATGTTAACCGAAATAGGGCTGGGACTGGCTTGCAGGCTGTTTGATACTACTCCCCTGTCAATTTTTGCATGTTGCATTTCTGGTTAGCATCTGTCCCCAAAACGATTCCCCCCCTCCAAAACTACCTTTTATTATTTTTTCCACCAGATTTTCTCTCCAAAACTATCATGTAGCCACACAAGCAGGAAGAGAAAGAGATCCCTGAGATCCTCCATCAAGGCTGGAAAATTGGTTATAACCAATTTGCTAACTCCACTCTGTTGGAAGTGGCTGAGTAGAGGAGAACTGGGGAAAGATTGGTGCACGGGGTGAGCAGGACCTGCCTCCTGCATGGGATGTGGGGAATTGCACTTGCCATTGTTGGAGCCCAGGCCAACCCTTCTCATCTTACAGATGAGGAAACTGAGGTCTTGAGAGGGGAAATGACTTCTGTGAGCTCACTTAGTTGGCCAATACTAAATTAGAGCTAGAACCCTATTTCCTACTCCTAGCACTTTTTCCACACTGGGTCAGGGAAATAGGGTCCACCATATACATTCTTATCTTGACTGCAATGCTACCACCTCCACCACCAACTCCTCAAAGGAGGCACCATCCTGACTATAGCTGTGCCCATTTTTCTGTCTGTCAAAAGCCTGTTGATGTAATTGAATACCAGCAATGCAGTACATGGCCCACCTATATCAGAAACTTCTAGAGTAATTAATTGAAAATGAAGGTTCTTGGGACATCTCCTAGTTCTTCTGAGTCAGAAGGTGATTCTATCACTAGCATTTGAGAACTACTAATCTGGATTTGGGACTGTTTATATCAGTGACTTCTTATTCAATTTGTGGGATTCTTTTTGTTTTTCTTTCCTTTGGGGCATTAAGTCAGTACTTCCATCGTCATCTTACATTTCTAGTTCTCAGTCAAGTTCAACAAGAAATGAAACTCACTATATTCTTTATCGGACTGTAATTTGGCCAAGATAGAAATGGGAAAAGGGAAATTTCAAAGTAGGAGATATTCGATTTTCTCTTGTGGGCATGATAGAGTTATGTAGAAAGATCCCTTATCTACGATTGGTGGGTTTCAAGTCTCTTATCAAAGACAGTGAAACACTTTTAAGATTGTTATTTTAAGATGTAGGCAAAATGTTTCCAAATATATGTCAGTAGTCTCTTAAAACTTTTTTTTTTTTTGAGACAAAGTCTTGCTCTGTCGCCCAGGCTGGTGTGCAGTGTGGCATGATCTCGACTCACTGCAACCCCCACTTCCTGGGTTCAAATGACTCTCATGCCTCAGCCTCCTGAGTAGCTGGGATTACAGATGCCTGCCACCAAGCCTGGCTAATTTTTTTGTATTTTTAGTAGAGACGGGGTTTTGCCATGTTGGCCGGGCTGGTCTCGAACTCCTGACCTCAGGTGATCTGCCCACCTTGGCCTCCCAAAGTGCTGGGATTACAGGCATAAGCCACCACACCAGGCCTCTTAAAACTTTTTCATAGGAATTTTGTTTAGTGCTTTAAGCAGAGAGTACACAATGGTGGGCATGGGCCATTTCTGTGAATACGCATGTCTGCCACACAGACGGTTTCAGAAAATTTGAATTAGTTGCCAATATTTAAAACCAGATTTCAACAATTTAAAATATAAATGTTTATCTTCTGTTTTAAAAATTTAAACTATTTTGACACTGGGCCTGTCATATACTGCCTGTTTGTGCCCTCCCGAAATTGATATGTCAAAACACTAATCCCAATCTGATGGCATTTGGAGGTGTGGCTTTTGGGAAGTGATTGGATCAGTGCCCTTATAAAAGCGGTCCCAGAGAGCTCTCTCACTTGCTTTCCACTACGCAAAGACACAAGGAGAGGTTGGCATCTGCAGCCGGCACCAGAAACTGACCACGCTGGCATCCTGATCCCAGACATTCAGCCTCTAGAACCATGAGAGATAAATTTCTGTGGTTTATAAACTACCCAGTCTGTCTGTGGTGCAGCCTGAACAGATTCAGACTGGGCCACAGCCACACAATGCAATAATCTGGTGCACAGAGGTGGTCTCTTAGACTATGGCATATTAAAGATGTTTGTAAATTATTTAACATTTCTTTACTTGAGAGGTGGGGTCTAGGTATGCTCCTCTTGGATCTGGAAAGGCTTAGTGACTGCTCTTATCAGTGAAATACGAGAGGTGAGGCTAAGCTAGGCATACACTGGCTCATTTTCTATCTGTTGGGACATGTGTTCAGGGCAGTGAGGCACCATGTCACAAGGCCAGCTACCCTGAGACCACCATGCTGTGAGAAGACCAAGCCACATGAAGAGGCCCTAGAGGAAGAAACACCATGTGGAGAAAGACAGAAAGGTCAAGGAGCGCTAAGGTGCCAGATACACAAATGAAGAAGCCATTCGTTTTTCATCCCCATGAGGTGATGTCATAAGGATCAGAAATAAGCCACCCAGCTGAGCCCTTCAGGAATGCCTCACCCACAAAAGTGTGAACAAAGTAAAAATGATTGTTTTAAGCCACAAATTTAGAATAGACAACTGAAACAAGAGAATGCCTTTCCAGTGCGCTCTGTTCTGATCCCCATTCCTTCCTCTGGCTTTACTTCAATTGTTTTACATCCTGGCTCCTATAGGAATTTGGGTCATAATGTTTATTTAAATTTCAGTCTGGAGAACCTTGAATTGTGTATACTTTTGGAAATTAAAATTTTTTTGAGACAGAGTCTCACTCTGTCGCCCAGGCTGGAGCGCAGTGACAAAATCTTGGCTCACTGCAACCTCCACCTCCCGGGTTCAAGTGATTCTCCTGCCTCAGCCTCCCAAGCAGCTGGAACTATAGCCATGCACCACTACACCCAGCTAATTTTTGTATTTTTAGTGAAGACAGGGTTTCGCCATATTGGCCAGGCTGGTTTCCAGCTCCTGGCCTCAAGTGATCCACCCACCTTGGCCTCCCAAAGTGCTGGGATTACAGGCATGAGCCACTGCGCCTGGCAGGGAATTAAAATATTAAAAATAATAATATACATATATACATATATGTATGAGTATATACATGACAAAATTAAGTTGTAAGGGCAAGAATGATACAGACAGCAAATAAAATGTCTACTTGAAATACTTTACCTCCATGGGCCCCCTTGGCAAGGTAAAGAGAGCATAAGGTCAAGAATTTGTCACCCCTGGTAACTGGTTTTCTTATCTATATAAAGGCAGCTCCCATTCATCTTTGACATGGATGAGTCTATGAATAAGACAGCTCAGCTTTTGTGTTTTTCTTTTGGGTGTATATTTGTGTATCTTTTAACGTTCTAGAAATTTATTCCATGGCAATACAGCCTGTGGGGCAAATGAAATGTCTACTTCTTTGTTGAAGCCTGTGCCTTATTCATCTTGTTCCTCCAGCTCTCAGTAAATGTTTGTTGAATAAATGAATGAACAAAGGAATGTGTGTTAGTCACCGAGGGTACAAAGACAAATGAGACACGATCCCTGCCCTTGAGGAGCTCACAGTCTATTGAACACAGGCAGCAAATTAAATGCCGGTCATGCCGCCTGGGTAGCACATTCTTTTATTCAGAAACACCATTTCATCTGTGCTTGGCCTCTGTTCACACCCATACCCAGATGAAACTACAAGATGTGTGAAAACGTGCCCTGGAGGAGCCCTGACAGGGGCAAGGGGCTGCAAACCACCTGCTCTGAAGAGACAGCCTCTCAGTGTTGAAGTGAGTGCATAGGGAGGAGAAAGAGAGGACTGACCCATCGCAGCTGCAGGAACAGAGACAAAATTACTCAGAATCACCCTCAGGGACCCATCAGAAAAGCAAGAACAAAATCACTGCCGCATCATTCCATCAGGCTGTGCTTGCACAGACCACAGAAACGCAGCGAGGCCACGTGATCAGCACCACTCCTCAGAGCTGCGGCGGCAGCCAAAAGATTTAGGATAGACACCAGAGTTTTGCTTGATTTTTTAACAGAGATATGAGGAAGGCCCTGATTGTAATCAGCCTGCTCCCCTTCCACCTACCATCCCCATGCATTTCGAGGAATTGTCTTTTTTCTTTCTATAGTAGGTTTAGCAAAGTGTCAGCTTGTGCATTTTTCTTTCTCTCTCTCTTTCCTTTTCTTTCTTTTCTCTTTATTTTTTAAGACAGGGTCTCACTCTGTGGCTCAGGCTGGAGTGCAGTGGCACAATCAGAGCTCACTACAGCCCTCACCTCCCCAGCCTCAAGTGATCCTACTGCCTCAGACTCCCAAGTAGCTGGGACTACAGGCATGCACTACCAAACCTGGCTAATTTTTTATTTTCTGTAGAGACAGGGTCTCCCTATGTTGCCCAGGCTGGTCTCAAACTCCTGGCTGGACTCAAACAATCCTCACACCTCAGCCTCCCAAAATGCTGGGACTACAGGTGTGAGCCACTGTGCCTGGCCCCCTTTCTTTCTTTATGAGGTTGTTAGTGAAACAGGACAGAAGAGAAGCAAAGATCTTTGTTTAATCTTAGAGATAAGTGGCGGCTCATTCTTGATTCTCCCAGTGAGCTAGAGTATCGATGTCAATATATTGATATGATCAACATTTTACGGAGTGTTGATTAACATTCATTTGGGTTTTGGAAGATTTCTATTTGTTTATGTTAAATAACAAAAACATGAGGTTGTCAGGAAATTGTTAGGTAGGGATGCCTTTGCTGCCCTGTTAATTTCCAAGCAACAGGGCTGTGTTCTAGCCCAGGGAGGCTGAGCTGTAGTTAGAAATGACTTTCTGTGTGCAAAACAGAACTTGGTGAAATACTTAACCAGTAGTTAATTTGCTGCCTTTGCTCAATAGATTCTGAATGCCTTCAAGTAGAAATCCCAAAAGAAAAGGTAAAAACAACAGCAATGGCAACCAAACTCCTCTCTTCCTCATAGTCTAAAAGTATATCAGCATCTTAACATTTTGAGGAGAAAACATTATCTTTATCAGCGTTCATTTTATTCTTTAACACATTGTTTTTTAGTCCGTTTCCACATTGGAATTCAAAAAGTAAACATAAACTCACTGTCTTGGTAATTAGACCAAAGAATAAGAATTGATATCAAATATTATTAAAATTAAATAGCTGCAGAAACTATTAATAAAAAGTGGTTATTAACTTGCACATCTTATGTACTGACTGCATACTTCATCCAGTTCTAGCTGAAGAGATCCACTTTCAAAAAGGGAAGAATTTATGTCTTTGGGAAAACATTACTTGCTAATCTTTGTTTCTGTCCTTTTAAGTTTCACAACCTTTCTTGTATCTGTAGAGTAGTTATACATTACGCTTAGCTGTTGAGTGTTTTCTGTGTGATCTGCTATCCTGATGATTTCAGTACATTTAAATCTAGAATCTCATGGCCCAAGACTTCTGTCTTTAGATAGGTGCTACATTGTTAAGTGAGTAAAAGCTGTACAGTAGTCTCCCCTTATCTGTAGGGGATACCTTCCAAGACCCCTGGTGGAAGTCTTAAACTGGCATCCTATGTATAGTATGCATTAATTTCTTTTTGTTTCTTCACAATTTAATGGATAGAAGATTTGTTCTTACCACAGATCTTAGCAACCTCAGCATACATTTTTTTTGTTGTTTCCTTATTAAGTTGAGAACTTTCACTATTTCACTTAAAGGAATCAATGTACGGCTTCTCTTTGGCATATCCTGATTGCTAGCATCACTACTCTTGAGCTTTGGATCAATTACTAAGTAAAATAAGAGTTACTTTAATAGAAACACTGCAATATCAGGACAGTCCATCTGAGAAGCAAGACGGTGACTAAGGAGGGAGTGTCTACAGTGTGGATACACGCTGAGTTTATGTCCCTCTTTGGGACAGCATGTGGGAGACCATGAGATTTTATCATGTCCTTTAGAATGGTATGTAACTTAAAACTTATGAATCGTTTATTTTTGGAATTTTTCATGTGATATTTTTAGGCTGAGGTTGACCCTAGGTAACTAAAACGGCAGAAAGCAAAAATGTGGATAAGGGGGCACTACTGTATTGCCCACCCTGAAGGACATGACTAGAAGGTGAAATAAAGAAAGCATGACAAGATAGCATGCTTGGTCTCCCTGCTTTGGAGGGGTCTGAATCAATCAATACCTTAAAACCCAGGGCATGTACAGGGACAGTGATGTGCAAAAGCTGAGCTGGCGTGTGACATGGATTACTGGTTCCAAGCCAGCAATTACTAGGACCCGCTTTGTTTGCATAATCTTGTCCCGTAATCTGGAGCACTGAAAATTTCTCTTTTTTTTTTATTTCTCTCTTCCTTTTTTTTTCTTTTTTTAATTATACTTTAAGTTCTAGGGTACATGTGCACAACATGCAGGTTTGTTACGTATGTATGCATGTGCCATGTTGGTGTGCTGCACCCATTAACTCATCATTTACATTAGGTATATTTCCTAATGCTATCCCTCCCCCCTTCTCCCATTCCACTACAGGACCCAGTGTGTGATGTTCCCCACCCTGTGTCCAAGTGCTCTCATTGTTCAATTCCTACCTATGAATGAGAACATGCAGTGTTTGGTTTTCTGTCCTTGCAATAGTTTGCTCAGAATGATGGTTTCCAGCTTCATCCATGTCCCTACAAAGGACATGAACTCATCCTTTTTGTGGCTGCATAGTATTCCATGGTGTGTATGTGCCACATTTTCTTAATCCAGTCTATCATTGATGGACATTTGAGTTGGTTCCAAGTCTTTGCTAATATGAATAGTGCCACAGTAATTAGAATGGCAATCATTAAAAAGTCAGGAAACAACAGGTGCTGGAGAGGATGTGGAGAAGTAGGAACACTTTTACACTGTTGGTGGGACTGTAAACTAGTTCAACCACTGTGGAAGACAGTGTGGCAATTCCTCAAGGATCTAGAACTAGAAATACCATTTGAACCAGCCATCCCATTACGGGGTATCTACCCAAAGGATTATAAATCATGCTGCTATAAAGACACATGCACTGAAAATTTCAAATGGAGACAGTATGGGTGGAATTCCTGAAGCATAAGGCCCTTTCTTCCTCAATTCATTAAGATAATTCTATCATGATAAAAATCATAGACTCAAAAGAAGCTTTGAAAGGTTGTATTGTCCATGCTCCTGATTTTAGGTAAAACCATGTATGACCTATCCATAGAAGAGAGCAATTATGCTTGTTTCTAAGCTTTCGAGAAAATGATCATATTTAGCCGTCTCTGACAATGTATCCTGATGTTTAATTACCTTTTCTAGAAGGAAACTCCTGGTATTGTTTTAGAGTTAGTCAGAGCTGGGTTCAAATATCTGTGCCGTCACTCTCTGATCATGTGACTAGCATCAGATTACTGATGCCAAATCTTGCCAAATCTTAATGAACTAATTTGTAGCATGGAAGTAACATCTCCTTACATCATGAGGTGGTTTTAAGGAGTAAAGGAAAACGTGGGCTGGGTGTGGTGCCTTATGCCTGTAATCCCAGCGCTTTCAGAGGCAAAAGCAATGGATTGCTTGAGCCCAGGAGTTAGAGACCAGCCTGGGCAACCCCGTCTTTATAAAAAGTACAAAACTTAGAGGGCTAGTGGTGTGCACCTGTTGTCCCAGCTACTAGGGAGGCTGAGGTGATTGCTTGAGCCAAGCAGGTCGAGGCTGCGGTGAGCCATGATCATGCCACTGCACTCTAGCCTGGGTGACCCTGTCCCAAAACAAAATACAAGTGCAGTACCTGCCATAGAAAAGGCCCTCAGTGCATATTACTTCCTTGTTCCTATTTTACCTAACCTGACATCTCATATTGCATTCCTGGTGCCAGAGGAAGAATGTTCAATGGCTAACCATTCCCTAGGGTGGTAGATAGCATGGCACAACTGAAAGATTCGGCACACACTTTAATGATAAACTGGCATGCCACCCTCAGAATAGCAAGATAAAAGGGGAAAGCATTTAGTGTGTCACACCAGGTTGTGGGAGAATCAGTAGTTCCTGAAAATTCTTTGCTAGGTACGATTTGACATTGTACTTGGGACTTCGGACAAAGTAGCTTTATGTCAAGTCCCCTAAATAGTGAGGGAAGACAATTTCTTGGAAAACCAACCTCAACTACTTTGCAGTATTGGGTGAGAGAGTGGGAAACATGATCCTGGTGGAAAGCTGCGAGTTACAAGCACAAATGGCAGAGGAGGGAAAATCTGGATTTGTTGGTTGAGACAACAATAGCAGTCCTGGATGAGCCACATTGGGAGCATTGCACAGTAGGTAGAGGACCTTTGAGGTCTTGCATGTGTACTCCTAAGAGATGCAGGAAGTTCCTCCTTTAGTGGTGGCTGTGCCTTCACTGGGGCTAGGACGTTTCTGGACCCACAACTGCAGTGTGATGCAAAGACCTTCAACATGACACAAGAGAACATATTTTAAAAAGAGATCTAGACTTGAAAACTGGTCTCCATGAGCACAGTAAAGTTAACTGGAACTCTCACACCACGTGTTTGGGAAGTGGGACTCGCTGAGAAAATGTTAGAATAATTTTCAAATATATGAAGAGTTACAAAGAGCAATGATTGCAACTTCAAAGAAAGGGAGAGCCGGGCATGGTGTCTCATGCCCGTAATCCAGCACTTTGAGATGCAGAGGCAGGAGGATGGCTTGAGACCAGTTCGAGACCAACCTGGGCAACATGGTGAATCCCAATCTCTGCTAAAAAATACAAAAATTAGCCGGGTATGGTGGTGCATGACAGTAGCCCCAGCTATTCTGGAGGCTGAGGTGGGAGGATCGCTTGAGCCTGGGAGGTTGAGGCTTCAGTGAGCCATGATCGCTCCACTGCACTCCAGCCTGGGTAACAGAATGAGACCCTGTCTCAAAAACAAAAGAGAAAGGCCGATTCCAAATGATGCTCAAATTATGGGAGATGTGATTCCAATTTGATTTGAGAAGAACTTCCTGACAATAAGAGTTATTTATTAAAAATAAAGAGGAGGGTAAGGGAGGAGAGGGGGAAGGAATGGGAAGGGGAAGGGGAAGAAGAAATTGTGATGAATCTCCTACATATCTTAGATACAAAGGCAGGCATCTCTTCACTATAAAATGAGCATAATCATTCCTGAATATCAAAGAGCTGGGTTTTATCTTTCCATCATTGTTTCATGCACCAAAGAGATACTGTGTACATAGCTTATGCCAGGTACGGTGTTGAGGTCTAGCATGATAGGAATGACAGACACAGGCCAGGTACTCAAAGAGCTCACCGATTGGTGCCTGATGCTCAATAACGGGTTGTTAAATAAATGTGTAAATAGAGATGTGTAAACAGATAAATTAGAATACAATGACATAAGTATTAATAGCTTCTTCCATAGTACTTTGTTTATATTTCTAACTGTGGGAGTGCTTTGCAGAAGATGTGCTGTTTGGGCTGCATCTTGAAAGAGGATTATTGGTTTGCAGGATGGGCACTGAAGGGGTGGGACACTCCCCTCCCACACACACACACACACACAGACACACCCCTGCCCCCCGCCAATGTGCACACACACACACACACAGACATACCCCCTGCCAACGTGCACACACACACACACATATCCCCCACCAACGCACACACACACACACAGACATACCCCCGCCCCCCGCCAACGGGCACACACACACACCAGAGGCATGGTGCCTGGGCTATTTGATCACTGAGTACAGTGTGATTGGATTAAAGGTTATACCGTAAAGGTTGAGAAGGTCAGTGATCAAAGAGGAGGCTAGAGGAGAATGGGGTACATAAATCCTGGTCCTTTAAAGTATCTCTTGAGCTCCTAGTGACTAACACTTTACTATAAGTCAAGTCCTTCTGTATTGAATACTCCCTTGATCTGTCCTGAAAATGGGACACTCCTTCTTGGCCCTAACTTGTAAATTAAAAAAAAAAAACAAAAGAATCATAACTTATTCTAAAAGATAGGTGTGGGTGAGGAAATTCTTCAACTAGGGAATATTTTAACATCAACGTCAGCTATTCATGAACATCCCTTCTTTTTCAGAAGTGATACACTTGGGATCATGATACAGAAAGCTGAGCAAGCCTGGGCATTGGCTTCTACCCAGGGAGTGGTAGAACTTGGTGTAGGAAGTAGATGAGAAGGGTTTTTCAATGAGGTTGGAGCGCCATAACACAGCAAACTTGTCACTGAGCCCCTGTCAACTTATTTTGTCGCATAAAAATCTCAACTGTGCACAGAGAGGAGGTGACTGTTGGAAATTAGAAGTTCAAGGAACAAGCCTCTGGCAGACACTGGCTTTTAGAACTTAGGGTCTCTCCCACCAGGAAAATATGTGAGTGAGGGAAGGAGAGGCTGGGAGCTGGAGTAAATCAACTCAGAAAAGCCTTCCCTGCGATAACTGTGTGTGAGTACCTTCTATTTTTCAGGCACTGTGCTAATGCTGGAAGGCAAATACCACACATTCCCTGCCTGCAAGAGTCCCATGTTTTCCTCATGAGACAGACATTTCCTCGGGAAGACAAATTACTAAGCATGAGATAAATATGAGGTCACTAGAAGGGCCCCTAACTTCCCTTAAAAGGGAGAGGTTCGGAGGTCAAGAAGCAGGGGACTCCAGAACTGAGACTTAACAAGGGAAAGCATTCCAGAGATGGTGGTGAGATTCAAGAAATGGACTTGTTTGGTATGGCTGGAGTTTGTGGTTTGTGATGGGGCAAGTATGAGGGCTAAGACCGAAGTAGAGAGAAAAGCAGAAAAGCATATGTTACTCCAGTATTGGAATGTCAACAGTAAACCCTCACAGCCCTACAAGGGATGACGCTGTGGCAGAGCACCCAGTGTCATGCGGCTGTGAGCCAAGGTCCCATGCCCTCTGCATGCACACACAGGCCATCATCCCAGGGCTCCTTCCTATCACTGCAATGCTTATGCTGAAAAAAGCAGGGATGAGCACAATTGTAAAGAGTAATCAGTGTTGTGACTAAATAAACGAACGACACCTGCACATCCTGTTTTGGGAAATGAGTCAAATTAGTGAAACAAGTTGAATAATCACTGCCAATGCCAATCTCAGCCACTGCAGCGACGCTGGTCATTTCTAGTTTTAATGAGTGGCTTTGTGATCAGTGTTCATTCATATGAGTGAAGGAGAATTTTAGGTTTATGTTTTATTTTCAGTCACACATGTAATACGTCATCATTGTCAGGGAATTAAATAGTTTTGCAAAAATAAAAAACCTAAGGTTACTCTAAACATAGAAATGACTGTTAATATTTTGGTGTTATACACTTTCAGCCTTTCAGGAGTACATATATTTACAAAAGCTATTATTTCTTCTCTTAGTTTACATTTGACTTTTTAAGTTTTTTCCCTTTGTCCCCCTTTTTTTTGAAGGGGGAGCTAGTTTTGCTATATGGCCTGAGTTTTTCTTTGATTCCTTTCCCCCACCCCACCTAGGGGATTTGGAAGGTGTGGTACCTGTCTTAAGTTCCTCTGATAGTTACTATCAGGTGTTTAAGTAATATTAATACATGTTTAAAATCTATGTTCTAAACCTCAGGTTTCCCCAATTATGAATAGTGAGGACAAACAATCCATTGATTCACCCCTGTGTACAAATAAGAAATTACCATACTTTCCTCCTCCAGCTTCCCACGAATACCACCTCAACCTCCCAGTTTTTGTTGTTCTAGTTTAAGATTGTTGTCCCAGTCTAGACTAATTGAATTATTGATTCTCACATGTGTGGACCTCTTGTTTCAAGATTAATATTTACATTCTTCTTAGAAATTGTTATTTTAAAATGTTCATGTGCCTCCATTTCCACACTCTTGGTTAATCTCAGTTATCATGGAGAACATTGGCGATCTAGAGCCCTTCCCTGGCTGAAAATATCTTCTTGCTGCCTTCACTTACTATGGACAGCTTGGGCTGATAAAAGAATTTAGGAATCCTAAAATCACCATTCTCCCTGAAAACCGCATAGACAAATGTCATTGGTATCTTGTTTTCCAGGGGCCCTATTTCTTTGTCCAAGATTTTGAGAAGTGTCTTCTTCTTAGAGTTAATATTCAGTAGATCCAAGTGTTTTTCTATTTTCAGTAAGTCCATAGTAAAAGCCTTTTAAACTGGAGATATTTTTTCATTTAAGGGAAATTTTCTTCCATATAAATTTTTGAAATGGTTTCTGTTGCCTGGGTTCTAACTACTTCCTCTTCTGCTTCCCCTGGTGCATCTGCTGTGTATACTAAGTCCATGTTCTTAGTCCATCTTTTTTCCTTTGATCACTTTCACTTGCCTTTTTCCTCCCTCTGAACTCTGGTGACTGTCTCAAGTTTGTGCTGACCTTTTGAGTTACTAAACCAGATTGATTTTCAGCATCATCTCAGGATATTTTTGCAAATAGAGATTTCTTAGCCTGACCCAAGACCCACTGAATCAAAATTTCCTACATTTGACCCTAGGAATGTATATTTTATGCGTCTTTCCCTACCTTCATATTCCTTCTTTTTTTTCTATTTTTATAGAGTTGGCAGGTACACGTGCAGATTTCTTACACACATGTGTTGTGTGGTGGTGGAGTCAGGGCTTTTACTATACTTGTCCCCCAAATAGTGAACATTGTACCCGATAGGTAATTTTTCAACCCTCCCCTTCATATTTCTCATGATCATGTCGCTTGGGAACCACTGTCCGTCCCACTTTTCTAGTTTAATCTGTTTCATTAAGGGATGATTCTCCTCTTTACTGCTTTTCATTGAGTTTTAAATTCTGCAGTGTAATTATTTGCTTACTTATATTCCTTTTTTAAGATAAGATACCTTTTTATCTCAATCTGTTGCCTCATTACCTGTCTTTCAGCAAGTTTGTGGTTTGAATAATTACTTTGAGGATACATTAAACTTTTGTATTTCTCTTGTGATCAGTCTCTTCCAAAGTATATGATTCTTTAATCTTTTGTATGTTATGTTTATTTCCTCCTTTTGTGTTGAGGAACTTTCTTCATTCCATGTTTGGGACCTACTTTAAAACTCACTCTTCAGTGGTATCTTAGGTGACTTCTCTGCATTCCCAGGCACTCTTAAGCTGTGATCTGCATGATATGTATTCACATAATAAGTTTTGTCATTCAGCCGCCCAAGGAACATGGAGAAGAGCCAAGTTTGTGAGCAGCCCCAGCAATAGAACTTTGCCTTCACGTTTTTCTACATATCCAGGAACTCTTGCATCAAGGCCTGTGTCTCCATATCTTCTGTATACTTAAATCCAACGTAGCTACATCTTGTGTCTTACATGAAATGTCTACCCATGCAAATTAGCTAGAACTTGCATGAGTTGGGATGATATCCTGTCTAGTTCCAGAATGGTTGTTCTATTTCTTTCAGAATGGCTACATTGGTGACAATTGGGTTAGAGAAAAATTGTGTGATTGAGCCATGTGCATTTTATTCCCTACACTACATGTTCCATGTTGTTCCATACAAGCGAGTTCTTCTTCCTCCTACAAACTGCCCTTACCCCTCCATCTCAGCCCTCATTAATATTCTTAATATGGGAGAGGTTCTTAATATGAACCTCTCCCATAGATGTTGGAGGAAGTTCACAAAAAAAGTCAAGTAATAGCCAAAACTGTACATAAACCCATCATTCATCTGCAATTATGATGACATAAATTGTGCTATATCTGTGCAATGGAATATAAACCCTAATTAGCCACATGAATCAATATGAATAAATGTGAAAAAGAAAGTTGAGCAAAAGAGTCAAATAATGGAAAACATGCAGCAATGACCCATTCAGATGAATTTCACAAACAGGCAAAGCGACGCAGTACATTGTTTACACTAGAGATATCTACCTAGGTGGTAGAAGCGTTTTTTGTTTTCAAGTGGATAATGAACACAAGTACAGCATAGTGATAATCGTAGATGGAGAGTGAAGGGCGGGGATCAGGGAGATGCACTCCAGACCTTTGAAGATGCCACTGATGTTCCACTTCTGAAGGTCAGGAGCTAATGGACAGGTGTTTGTTTCCTTGCAACTTTTCATAGTAATACTAATTTTTAAAATGATTTTTAAGTTTTGATATAACTTAATTTCATTTATAATAATTTTAATCATAATAATTTTAATAACTCCTTTATATATGATCATTTATAATACAAAAAACCTAAAAGTAAAAATTAAACCATGTAAGAGAAAAATTTGCCAAGGCTGGCCACTCACTGTTCCTTCTGTGGGCCACTCCACTGTGGCCTTAGATGACCTTATGTCCAAGATAGGGAAGGGGTTTCTGCAGAGTACCATGTTCCTTCCACTCATCTATGTTGCCCAACTTCCTAATTTAGTGATTTTTTTTGTTTACTTTTCCAAAATTTCTTCCTCTTAATCTTTAGCAAACAACTGTGCTGCACTCTTAGGAGGTGACGTACATGTTTTTCCTCAATTCGAGGCTGTTTACGTGGCATCTGATGCAGGTTTCTAGATGCTTATAAAATGCCTTTGTTGAGCAACCTACTTTAGCGCTGAGGAGAAGCTTTTTCTTATGCCTCCTCCTCTTTGGATTACTGAAGGGAGGAAGATGGGATGCTTGCTTTCATGTGAGACCTTCCCTTAGAAACAAAAAAGATGGCTAGTGTTACACATAGGATGATATGACCAGTGATATGACTATGAACAAGGAAGAGCATCATTTCAAGCAGCACTGTGTGCATACCATAATACCTACAGATGAGAACAGTGAGGCTCAGTGAGTTCCATGACTTCTCACTGTTGATGTCAAGGGCAAAAGCTAAATTCAAACACAGCCCGAGATCCACCTGCTATGCACTACATCACACTGCCTTATACTTTAAGTCTGTGGTCAATGGAGGTTGAAGACACTTTCAGTCATTCATCATATTTTTGTTGCGTACCTCCTATGTGCTGGGCCAGGATATCGTCACACTTAAAATATAGAATAGAACATGGGCATTAAAGAAAGAATTGCACAAATAATTATTAAATAACAGTTGTGAATGAATTGCTTTATAATTGTACATAAGGGGGGAACCTAGATTACCGGGTTATGGAAAGGATTTATTAATGAAGTTGCCAATAATCTGAAACAGAATTGAAAAACCAGGAAAGCAGAGAAGCAGGGAGAATAGCAGTGTAATAGAGGGCACAGCCTGTAGGAAGAGCCCAGAGACTAGAAATAAGTTGGTATGAAGAAATTAGCAGAAGCACATAGTAAGGAAGGCCCAAGATGGGAAGCAATAAAATTTGTAACCTCTCATAAAGCTACAATCAGGATTTTGGTTTCAGCCTAAAAGTAAGGCAAGTTTCTGTGGGGTTTAAAGAAGGGAGGAGGCACGGTCATGTCTATTGGTTGTCTACTGAAAAAGGTGAAGAGAGCAGACCATGTTATTCCTGAGCCAAGATATAATCAGGAATTACTGACATATATGAACTGTTTGTTACATTATTATATATTTGCTTATAAATATATAGTATCTATAATAAGACTCTTTAAACAGGTGAAAATATGTCACCCACAGTCTGCATTTTGAAGATCGAAAACAGATCTGGCAAACCTTAAAAGCAATCCCTGGCATTCACAACTTTTCAAGCTCAAGATTCCTCTTCTGAATGGGAGATGTCAGGACCTTGGTGCAAGCCCCATCAATCAGGCCATCTTTGCCAGTCAGACTTGCCCACCCTTCTGCCAATAAAAGGTTGGGGCCTTCAACCCTGAATACTCCTTAAGATCTTCAAAGGGCCACAGATATGTACCATATGGCAAAATAAATGGGTCTTTATTTTAAATCAACATTTTATTATTATAGAGCCTTATTCCATGATTTTGAAAGGACCCATTTAGAAGTTATTTTTAAGTATCAGAGAATTAATTTCAATGAAACTTCACTTGATTTCCCATCATCTTTCCCCTCTTCCTCGACATTTATCCATTGTTCTTCCATATACTGGGAGACTGCTGATTGTTCTCCAGAACAATCCCATGTGGAGTAACTAATGGTTTAATTGACACCTGTTTATAGGGTATCTATGGCATGGGGATACTATGTCTTATGCTTTGGATGTGAATGACAAAGACAGATGAGTCAGATTTTCTGCTTTCAAGAGAATTCAAGCCTCGGAAGAGGAGATCAGAGCATCCCAAAACACTGTGATGAAGGGCTACAGAGATGGAGAACACATTCTGGATTTTCAGAAGCAAGAAAGAAGCCAGGAGGACTTTCAATTATTTGGATCTCTGTCAGTAGGAATTATTTTTTCAGGAGGTCGTTTAAAAAACACACACACACAGAAACAAAAAGCTGCAAGCCCATGCTCCTGAAAAATCAATCACATTAGAATTCTAAGCAGTCCATTCTTGTATTCCCTATGTAATTCCCTCACTGAGTCCATCTTTTTGAACAAATCTCTGACGTAGTAGTGCATCTGTGGGGGATCACTCATGTGCATGTCAGCAGGCCACTGCATGGTTACTTTACAGAAGGGACCAAAATAGCTATTTTCTAGTTGCTTTCATTGTTGACTTGCTTCACTGTAAATGGGATATAAAGCTGGCTATGTTAAGCTAATTATACGTAAGCATTTATATTCTGCTGCTAAATGGAATCATGTAGAAGGCATCCCCCTGTCCCAAAAGAATGGAACATGTAACCATAATAAGCATTTTTTAATTAGATGAAGCACCTTGCTGCCTTTTATGGAGAATGATTTATTAGGCCAGTTTTGCACCCCATTGCCACAAAGTATCTGAC
Organism: Homo sapiens; assembly: GCF_000001405.40. Taxonomy (NCBI): domain Eukaryota; kingdom Metazoa; phylum Chordata; class Mammalia; order Primates; family Hominidae; genus Homo; species Homo sapiens. Next base: position 118,326,715 of record NC_000008.11, on the reverse strand, counting down.
GAACCAGGAAAACATATGTGGGTCCTGCAGGATTAAATTTGGTTTGATACTCAGGATAAAACCCCAGATACCTTAAAGTAACAATTCCTTAGTTGGGGGGCTAGAGGGAGGATGGTGATCTCTACTAAGCATCAATTCATATACAGATTGATAAACTTTTAAATTCCTCACAGATACACATTCCTAAATAAGCTGAAATGGCTCTCTTTCCCTGTTCTTGGGTACTTGTCATCCTCCTGGAAATCTAAAGCAATGTAAGTCACTCAGTCATCAGAGCAGACATATAGTATAACCCGGGATATACTTTGGGTGTAAAAATAGATAATCTTCCCCAAGCCTTCCCCTAACTTGGGACCCTGAGTTTTTGGCTTCTTTTAGGAGGTGACATTTCACTACTTTCCCCTAAGTCATGGTAATTTTATGTCAATCCTGGTCCTGGAACCGTTGTTCCTGAGTTCCTTATGAGAAAACTTAGTTGTCATTTGCATTTTCAATCCCTGCAATGGATTGGCAGGCATTAGAGAGTTAATCCATCCTCTAGCAATAATTCATAAGTATATACATATATGTATCCAATTCAACAGTGGAGCAGGGCACTATTATTAAGAAATTGAAGCACCAGGTGTGATTAAGTAATATCACACATTTCATTCTCTCTAATTTCACATCATTCTTCAGCAGCTGAATCCATGGGCTTCCGGCGTGAAGTCAGCCAGCACCATGCATTTTTAGTATGCTCAGCAGAGCGCTGGCAAAATGTTTCCAAAGTAAGCCGCCCTGCTGGGCTGTTGTAAGTCAAATCTGGTTTTTGCCTCCAAATTATTCAGTATTGCTAGACCTGGTTTATTAATCCATTCATCTCCCTAGAGAGTAAGACTTCTGGTACTTTTACATCATTGATGTTCAATTTCAGCTAAAAATACTTTCAAAAATAGAGAGGACTACAATCAAGGATAAAGAAACAATTAGGTTGCCAGGGGCCTGGGGTTGGGAGCAGTGAGGAGATGTTGGTCAAAGGGCACATGCTTTCAGTCATGATAAGATCTGGAGACCAAATGCACAGCATCATAACTATAGTTAATAATACTGCATGGCGTACTTGAAATTTGCTGAGAGATCTTAAGTGTTCTTGCCACACACACAAAAAAGATAACTGTGTGAGTTGATAGATATGCTAATTAATTTGATTGTGGCAAGCATTTTACAAGGTACACATATGTCAAAATATCACATTTTATACCTTAAATATATTTCATTTTTACTTGTCAATTATACCTCAATAAACCCGGGGGAGCAAAGAAATAATTAGGAGAAGTCTTCACAGCTTCCTTCTCACTCTCTCCCCTCGTTTCTTCCTTAGTTCTCCTTCCACCCCAACTCTGCTTCTAGGATTAGGAGTTAGAAATGGCATTAATACCTTTCCTTTGCAAGCATGTCCCAAGAAGCTACATTTGTGGCATTCCTGCTCCTATTTAAAAAATGAAATTAGGGTAAGGAGGCAATTCTCAAATTAGGGTTCCATTGCCACATCTCTGCTGTTTAGCAGCAAATAGCTTGGGCTCACGAGACTAAAGCAGTATCCCTGTGTTGAAAAGCAGGCAGTAGTCACATACATACCCAGCATACCAATAAGCACCAGCATAGATGCAGGCTCTGGAGAGAGAAGAGTAGCCATCTCTTCCCAGTCATGTTTGCTCTTCCTTTGCAACAAGAGGCAAATCCCTATGACCAGTTGTGAGTCAACTGCATAGCATGGTGTAGGTTAATTCATTCCACAAATACAGATTGAATAGCCATGTGCCAGGTACTGTTCTAGGCAGCACTGGACATACATGATCACTACTCTGATGAAGCTTATCACTGTCTGTGACATGACCTCCGCTTACTGCACCATTCTCATCTTCTCCCCCAGTGGACTCTGTTAACATCAGGCATATAGAATCACTTGCGGTCCCATGAACACCATGCTCTTTCCTGCTTCTGTTTACTTTGGCCCATGCGACTGGGCAATCTTCTTTCTACCCATTTGTCTGTCTAACTTCAATTCAAATGTCAGGTCTCACTTCCTCCACATGCCTTCTCTGGGCTTACCCCTACTTTAAGTTCACAGCAATATCTTCTTGTTTTTCATCCCTACTATAACCTTTTCAAGGGTAGGCATGGTGTCTTATTCATTATAGTTCACCTTCTGTTTGAGATGTAGTGGGTACTCAATAAATATTTATTGAATTAATTATTAAATTCACTTATATCCTTGAATACAGTCCACATGCACTCGTTTGCCCTCCAGGTAATCCTTGTAAGACCCACAAGATAGCTGTTAAATAGAAAGCAGAAAAATTGTGACATTTATAATCTTGATCACCTTAATTGTAGTCAGAATTAACAACTCCGTGTACTTTCTTATGAAAATCACCTTCCCTCCCTGGTATGCTTTTTAATAAGAATGGAACCCCTTGGCAAAATTAAATTGGAACTGTTAGAAATATTAGGTGGTTCTTTGTTGAAATCTTTTCTGGAGAATTATTAAGCCTGTGCCTTCCTTACCGAATACAGATTAAAATTTATTTTAAAATAAGGAGAAGAAGAAACAGACATAACTATTAAAAATAGACATGCACATAGATAAAAGTTAGAAGGAATCGGCAAAAATGAATGAGCTTTCTTTGGGTAATGGGATTAAGGGTACATTTTCCTTTTGTCAAAATGTTATTTAGTATTTTGTAATTTTTAAGGAAAAAGTATTAAAAAGAAAACAATAATCTTCTTGAAAAAAACCTGTATGTATAGGAGGTTTTTATTTTACTCATATGAGTCCAAGTGAATTAAAGGTTTCCCCTGTGCAAACAAGTATTGCCAGTGATGTTGTGTTGTACAGATTTTTTTTTGAGACAGGATCTCGCTACTATTATCCTCATTTTACAGGGAAGGAAAGTGAGGCATAAAGAAGACAGGGTCTCACTCTGTCACCCAGGCTGGAGTGCAGTGGCGTGATCTCAGCTCACTGCAACCTCTGCCTCCCAGGTTCAAGTGATCCTCCCACCTCAGCCTCTTGAGTAGCTGGGACTACAGGTGTGTGTCACCACACCCAGCCAATTTTTATAATTTTTTTTTTTAGTAGAGATGTAGTTTTGCTATGTTGCCCAGGCTCATTTCAAACTCCTGGCTTCAAGCAATCCACCCAACTCGGCCTCCCAAAGTGCTGGGATTACAGGAATCAGCCACCACGTTCGGTGTAGATTTTTTTAAATCTCAGGACTTTTTTCAGCAAGATATCCATGCATTCATTCAACAGATATTAGACATCCTATGTCAGACATTCTACTAGACATTTGTTTTCTCTGTATTAATAATATGATGACAAATGCATGCAGCACTTGTCACCTCCCAACACTGTTCATTCCCATACATTAGATCTATCTCTCACAATTTATAATATAAATAGGGCATATATATTTGTTAAACAAACACTAGCTGCTGTAACAAATATATTCCAAAAAGTTAATGGCTTAGTTCTTTCTCATTTAACAGTCCTAATCAAAGGCTGCAGGTCAGTGGGTGACTCTGTTCCACATTTAGGACTCCAGTCTGACAGCAGCTCTACCATCTCTAATGTGCCATTTTTGAGATTGCTCCAGTCCTTGCCGTTCCAGCCTGACTAAAGGGCCTTCAACAAGTAAACACAGGTTACAGACATCACTTGTGTTTACATTCTGTTGGCAAGACCTGAATCCCACCTGCTTCAAGGGAAGTTTCGAATTATAGTCTTGTCTTATGAAGGAAAGAATGGATTTTGGTGAGTAGCAGTCTCTGCCACAACAAATATTTTTAAATTTTTTTTAATTTAAAAAATGATGAAGATGTAAGATTAAAAACCTAAGGCTCAGAGAGGTTGACTTGCATAAAATCACCCAGCTAAACGTGAACAGTTAAACAAGAACTGGAAGTGGGGCTCCTGAATGCTAGATCAATGTCTCTTCCATCACTTGGATAGTAAAATACTGGCTTGGTGGAAACTTTACCCATGGATACCATGTGTACTGCCTACGTGAATGTGAACTGTTATACCACAGCCCAGGATTTTATATTCAGGTCTAGCTTTACTTGGTTCAGCCTACGACAGAGAGAAGGGTCTTTTTAGTACATGAAGAAAAGCTAAATGCTGTCTTGTAAACATTTTAATGTAAGTAATGTGTTTGGCTTTCCACCAGCTCCAGAACATGACTGAGAACAGACTAATGAAACCCATACCTACGTTAAAAGCTGATGAACTGCCCACAGGCATGTAGCCAGGGATCTCCCTTATAACTTCAGTTGCTCCCTATTCAGTGGTTCATTTAATGAATATTTATGAAGAGCTTATTATGTGGTGGGCATGCAGCAACAGAGGGGACCCAGACAGACACAGCCCCCATCACTATGGAGCCCACTACAGACATAAGAACCAATAAAATGATCACAAATTGTGACAAAGAATGCTGAGAGAGAGAGTAATTGTGGGAGGCCTATTTCAGAGACACCTCTGAGAAGGCATTTCTGAGGAGGAGGTTTTTAAGCTGAGTCCCAAAGGGTAGAGGAAAGAGTAATTGTGGGAGGCCTATTTCAGAGACACCTCTGAGAAGGCATTTCTGAGGAGGGGGTTTTTAAGCTGAGTCCCAAAGGGTGGAGGAGTCAGTAAGGTGAACAGGAGGGATAATCTTCCAGATTGCAAGACAATTTGAATGGCAGCTCTGGGGGAAGAAGAATGTGGCACATTGAGGAACTGAAGGCATTCTGTGTGGCCAAGGGTATTGAGTGAGTAGAAAGTGTTCAAGTTAATAACAACTAAAGTATTTATATTTAAACCTTACAATTACCTGTGAGAGGGCTTATTATTATCATCCTCATTTTACAGAGAAGGAAACTGAGGCATAAGGAAATTAAATGGTTAAATAGCTTGCCTAATGTCACATAGCTCATAAATAGGAAGGCCAGGATTTAAACCCAAGGAGTGTAGCTCCAAAGTTTACCCCTACACACTGCATTATGCTGTCATACTGCCATAGGAAGACTCAAAACCTTCCACTATCTACGAACAACTTTTTCTTTTCATTTTTTCTTTTGAGACAGAGTCACACTCTGTTGCCCATGCTAGAGTGCAGTGGTGTGATCTTGGCTCAATGCAACTTCCATCTCCTAGGTTCAAGCAATTCTCCTGCCTCAGCCTCCCGAGTGGCTGGGATTACAGGCATGTGCCACCACGTCCCGCTAATTTTTGTATTTTTAGGAGAGACGGGGTTTCACCATATTCGCCAGACTGGTCTTGAACTCCTGACCTCAAGTGATCTGCCCACCTCAGCTTCCCAAAGTGCTGAGATTACAGGCGTGAGCTACTGTGCCAAGCCTACTTTTCTTTAAAAAAAAACCAAAAAAAAAAAAAACAAAAAAAAAACACCTCTTTTCCCTTAGCAAGGGATTCTTAACCTGAGATCCTTGGATCCATTCCTTTCTCAAGGAACCATGGAAAGAATTCAGGAGGGCTGATGAAGAATATATATATATATATATATATATATATATATATATATATATTTATTATCTATGATATATATGTTATATATATCATATATATTATATATGTTATTATATATGTATTCATCAACTTCTTGCTGAAATTCAACTTTTTATTACAAATGTAGGGTACAAAACTCAATATTCTTAGCAATACATGTGACTTTGTCACCAGGTCACAGGTGATTTTTTTATCACATAAAGGTTGCTGAAGATACCTAGAGATATCATTTGTTTGCACTCATCACTACTTCCAAATATGGTATTATTTCTGCCAATAATTAATGCATTGACAAAGACACACATGCATTGTTCTGTTATAGATTTTTATATATATATATATATTTTTATTATACTTTAAGTTCTAGGGTACATGTGCACAATGTGCAGATTTGTTACATATATATACATGTACCGTGTTGGTGTGCTGCACCCATTAACTCATCATTTACGTTAGGTATATCTCCTAATGCTATCCCTCCCCACCCCCCCCACCCCACGACAGGCCCCGGTGTGTGATGTTCCCCTTCCTGTGTCCAAGTGTTTTCATTGTTCAATTCTAACCTCTGAGTGAGAACATGCAGTGTTTGGTTTTTTTAAAAAACTATTTTGGTCAATGATTTTTCAATATAACGAGTTGATTTTTGTAATTTTCTATTTTCCTTTTTTTGCATTTAAAAACATTCTTGAAAGAAACAAACAAAAAAAGAAAATAAAAACATTCTTGAAAAGAGACCCAGAGGGTTCAACAGACTGCCACTGGAGTTCATGGCACAAGAAAACATTAGGATCCCTTCCCTTAACCCTTTCTATATTTAAGCTTTTGCCCTCCTTTCTCACAAAGCTAGATTTCTAGAGTCGTCCATGTGAATTTCCTGTACTCTGTCATGTCCCATTTGTTCCACAGTCTGATGTTTTTGGACTTTCACTCTCAACTTTTTTTCACAAGATAGCCATTCTAATATCACTGTAGTCCTCTGAAGTTAAATCAGTACTGTTGAATATTTCCTTTCCATGACATCTGTAGAATTTTGCCACAGTTGATCGCTTTATTTCTTCAAGGGGCTCTCTTGCTTCAGCTTCAGGAAATTCACTCTTCTTTTCCTTACCTACTCTGCAGTTTCTTTACAGGCTCCTCCACTAATCTCTCTTTTAAAAGTAATGATCCAGTATTCTCCTTGGTAAACCACACCTACTCCTAAGATACCAAGTGCACCAATATGCTGATGATTCTAACTCTAGCGAGTTCTAAGCTTCCTTCCTGAATGCCAAGCTGTCCAATGAAGATTTTCACCTTTCTATCCCAGAGGCATCTCAAACTCAGACACCAAATTTAAACTTATATATTATCTCAAACACCAAACCTGCGCTTTTCTCCTGCATCTATCTTTTGATTATTGCCATCAGCCTCTTCCTGATCACTCAGGATTACCCTCAGTTGCTCCCTCTTTCTCACCCCTACTTCTGCTGAACACATAGCTCTTCCTCGTCTGCATCATGGAGGAAGGGAGTCTTATCTGGCCTGAAAATGATGTGTAGCCCTGGGAGAGAAGCAGGTATTCTAAGTATAAGGGTTGGAGCATAATATCAATTTATAACCCCTTGAATTTGCTCTGTAGTTTTAATTACTTGGGCCACAACTTCTGCTAGGAATTTGATAGCTCAGTTATGAATGAAAATTCAAATGTTAGTGGTTTCCTCTCCTTCTCAGAGTGGAGCATGTTGAAAAACAAGTCACCTTTTTCTGCCAGTGTCACACAGAACTCCTTCCCTTGCTGACTAGGAGTTTCTGACTTTTTCATGATTGGAACAGGGTGAAGGGAGAGAAGTGGGTCAGGAAGGTTCTTACTTGATGAATACTGTCATAAGCTGACCCTTGTTCTTGAGGGGTGGCAACTGTTTGTTCTTTGATGGTTTCTTTAGACACTGCCACCATCCCACCACCCCCATTAATGGAGGTGACTCACCTATGGCAAATGCATCTGTGCCCTTGTACAAGTTTATGTTTCTGGAATACTCATGGTAGATATTTATGAACTATACCTTATGGTTTATACTCATAGTATTCCAGCAATGCTCCAGCTTTATGGCTGAGGTGTGTTTTTACTTTTAAGGAGCCTCCCTGGATAGCCCTTCACTTCTCCATACTAACTTTCTCATGCAAGGTGGTCCAGCTCTTACCCACAAGAAATGCTGCTGTAGCCCCTTGCCCTGACAAACCTGGGGACAAACTGTCCCCAGCATCAAAATCTCTCATTTAGTCTGCCACCAGAGCAGTTAGCTAGCCACAGCTTCAGGCTCTTTAGATTTCTCACTTTGTCCCTCAAGCTCCTAAAGACACATGTCACCTTGTTTGAGGGTCCCTTGAAGCCCCCTCCCCAGGGTTGGGGTCAGAAAGGAGTGCCTTCTTCTCTCCCTCAAGCAAATACAAGCAATTTAATATTTTTTTTATTTCAATAGCTTTGGGAATACAAGTGGTTTTTGGTTACATGGATGACTTATATAGAGGTGAATTCTGAGACTTTAATGCACCCATCACCCAAGTAGACTACACTGTATCCAATATGTAGTTTTATATCCTTCACCCACCTCCCACTATCCTGAGTCTCCAAAGTTCTTTATATCATTCTGTATGCTTCTGTGTATTCATAGCTTAGCTCCCACTTACAAGTGAGAACATATGGGTATTTGGTTTTCCATTCCTGAGTTACTTCACTTAGAATCATGGCCTCCAGCTCCATCCAAGTTGCTACAAAAGACATTATTTCATTCCTTTTCTATGCCCAAGTAGTGTTCCATGGTATATATGTATATATATATATATATATATATATATATATATATATATATATATACACATATATCTCCCATATTTTTTTAATCTACTCATTGGCAATTGTGAATTGAGCTGCAATAAACATATGTGTGCACGTGTCTTTTTCATATAATAACTTCTTTGGGTAGATACCCACTAGTGGGATTGCAGGATCAAATGGTATATCCACTTTTAGTTCTTTAAGGTATCTTCATATTGTTTTCCGGAGAGGTTGTAGTAAATTACATTCGCACCAGCAGTGTATAAGTATTCCCCTCTCACCACAACCACACCACCATCTATTGTTTTTTGACTTTTTAATAATGACCACTCCTATAGGAGCAAGGTAGTATCTCATTGTAATTTTAATTTGCATTTTCCTGATGTTTAGTGATGTCGAACTTTTTTAAAACATTTGTTGTCCATTGGTACATCTTCTTTTGAGAAGCGTCTGTTCATGTCATTTGCCTACTTTTTGATGAGATTATTTGTTTTCTTCTTACTGATTTAATGCAAGCAACTTAAGAGATGAAGGATTCTTGCCCACTTTTCTTTATCAAAAATCTCCCACTAAAACATTTTCATTGAAGTATAACACAGAAAAGTACACCTATATTAATTGTACAGTTCACCAAACTTTTACAATTTGAATACCTATGCAACAAGCACCCAGATCAAGAAATAGAACATTACTAGCACCCCAGAAGCCTTTCTTGTTGCACCCTTCCAGCTACTGTCCCCCAAAGATAAATGCCAAATTCTAATAGTAAAGAGTAGCTTCAACTGTTTTTATACTTTATATAAACCGAATTGTACATTATATACTCTTTGTATCTACCTTCTTCAACATTTTCATCATGAGGTTCATGTATTGTCTGCAGTTCTCGATCATTTATTCGTTACTCAAAATTGTTCAACATGTGAGCATCCCACAGTTTATTTATGCATTCCATAATTCTCGTATTTAAGTAGTTTCCAGTTTGGGACTACTCTGACTATAACTGGACACGTCTTTGGGTGAACATATTTATGCATCTCTGGTGACACATACTCAGGATGGGTTTGCTGGGCCACAGGACAGGTAGATTGTATTAATACTAATTTGCTTGGGCTACCACAACAGAGTACCTTAGACTGGATAACAACAGACATTGATTTTCTTACAATTCTGGGGATTAGAAATCTGAGATCTAGGTGTCTGTAGAGGTGGTCTCTCCTTAGGCCTCTCTCCTTTGCTTGTAGATGGCTGTCTTCTCCCTGTGTCCTCATATGGTCTTCCCTCTGTGCATGTCTGTGTCCAAATTTCCTCTTCTTATAAGAACATCAGTCATACTGGATTAGTGCCTATCCTAATCACCTCGTTTTAATTTAATTACCTCTTTAAAGTTCGTATCTCTGACAGGCACGGTGGCTAACACCTGTAATCCCAGCGCTTTGGGAGGCCAAGGCAGGAGGATCACTTGAGGCCGAGAGTTCAAAACCAGCCTGGGCAACAGAGTGAGACTCCATCTTTACAAAAAAAAAAAAAAAAAAACTTTTTTTTAATTAGCCAGGCATGGTGGACAGAGCGAGACCCTGTGGGGGTTAGGATTTCAACATAAGAATTTTGCGGGGAGTGGACACAATTCATTCCATAACACATATGTTCAGCTTTAGTAGAGTCTCCCAGTGCCGCCAAGTGGTTGTACCAGTTAACACTCCTTCCAGGAGTCAAAGGGAGTTCTAATTGTTCCACATCCTCCCCAAATACTTGATATTTTGTGTGTTTTAAATAAATCTTCCTTAAACATAAGCTCCAAATTTTTGTTTGTTTGTTTTGAGGCAGTCTTGTTCTATCACCAGACTGGAGTGCAGTGCCATGATCTCAGCTCACTGCGACCTCCGACTCCTGGACTCAAGCAATTCCCCTGCCTCAGCCTCCCAAGTAGCTGGGACTTACAGGCATGCACCACCATGCCTAGCTAATTTTTTTTTTTTTTTTGTAGACATGGGGTTTCACCATGTTGACCAGGATGGTCTTGATCTCCTGACCTTGTGATCCGCCTGCCTCAGCCTCCCAAAGTGCTGAGATTACAGGCATGAGCCACCGCACCTGGCCAATCTCCCAACTTTTATATGCTCTTGATATGGCTGAGGGTCAAGATAATGGAACTGGTTTTCACACCACCTCCCTTGCAAACCTTGTCTGGTAGTCGTCTACCTTCTTTCAGTATGTGGCATCTGTTGCCTTCAAGTCTCAGGGAAACTTTCCTTCGAACAGCATGTGAGAGAGTTCTAGAATTTTTGCTTGTTTTTAATGCCATTACGCAAAAATAAGCTGACAATGTTTGTATGATTCATTTTATTTTTGAAATTTGTCCCTTCTCCGGCATTTCAAGAGTAATTCACATCAAAAAGAAGATGGTAACAGAAATCTCTAAGCAGTTAGATCTCTTCATTCTGATGTTGGGACTGCAGCTCTCAGGGGGAAACCTGGTAATAACTCCATTCAGCAGATGCTGCCCCCACCAACCAGCACCCCCTAGAAGTTTCTAACAGTCCCACAGTGGTGGACGCTTCTTCAGCCTGCAGCAGTTTTTCCTTCCTCAGCCCCTTCCTAGGTGGGTAGTTCAGCTTTGGGTTCCCTCCACTGTCCCTAATGGGAGGCTTCTGGAAGTTTTTTTTTCTAACCTTCTGATGGCATCTAAAATGCTGTGAGGTTTATTCCAAAATAACTATTTTAAGACACTTATCCCGAGCCCTCAAGGAACCACATATGAGTAACAAGTCTATGTTTCATCACTCTCACTTCCCATGATCCCATTCCCAGTGCCTAATTCATGACAGAATCCATGGCTCTCTCTTGGCTCAGAGAAACTTCTTCACCCCACAGATGCCTTACAAAGGATAAGGTGATGGATCTCTCACTCTCTCCTGGGAAAATCTAAACTCAGGAATTTAGGAGATCTGGGGGAAGCTATTCATGCAAATTAGGGTAATTGCCTATAATTTCAAGGTGAATATCTATATTGACCTGATATTTTGATATGTGGTTAAGTTTATCTTTAGGTTTCAGAGTTTTAAAACTCGAACACAGGAATGAGACTTTGCACTTTTTGGGAATTTTGTTATTGTTATTTCAGATGAGCTACAAAAAGCAGTTGAGAAATTAACAGCATTCACCAAAAGCAAATGGCAGTGGTTCCATGTGAGCATGTCTCCATAAGAATGAAACACCAAGCCAGTCCTCTAAAGCTTTTGGTCAGAAAACAGAGGAAAAGAATCTTTCCAAGAGGCGAGATAACATAGTTATCAACTAAGTATGAGTAGGAAGACACTAGGTAAATATGTACGTGAAGTTAGTTTTATTATTCTACTTACTGCATAAGGCAGAAATAAAAAGTTTTTAAGAAGTTTCTTTTCTTTAAAAAGAACGCTGTTGGACATTTGTCCCAGAAAAAATAAAAACCTATGTTCATACAAAAACCTGTATAATAATGTTCATAGCCGCTTTATTTGTAATAGCCGAAGACTGGAAACAATCCAATATCCTTCAGTGGGTGTAAGGTTATCCTTCAGTGGGTGTAAGGATGTACAGTGGTACATCCACACCATGGCATATCATTTTGCAACAGAAAGGAACAAACTACTGAAACATGGCAACAAACTGGAAAAATCTCAAGGGAATTATGCTGAGTGGAGAAAAAGCCAATTTCAAAAGGTTATATACTCTATGATTCTATGTGCATAACATTCTTGAAATAACAAAATTATAGAGATGGCAAAAAAAATTATTGGTTGCCAGGGGTCAGGGATGGTGAGTGAGGGATGGATGTGGCTATGAAAGTATAGCACAAGGAAATCCTGTAGGTAATGGAACAGCTCTGTATCTTTGTTACACAAAGCCACATATGTGATAAAATTTCATAGAAATACACACACACATACAAACACACACACAAGTGCTTGTAAAATTGATTGATTATATAAATGTGAGTTTCTTCATTTTGATACACACAGGACCTCCCTGTACACTTATCTGAAACTTCCTGTGAGTCTATAATTATTTCAAAATAAAAAGTTAAAAAAAGAAGAAAGCTGGTATATTTTATATCTTCAGGTTTCCACTGGCAACCACTGAGTCACATTACCCTGCTTAACAAATGGTATTTCCATTTTATTTTATGCTATAGAATTTATGAATTAAAATAGTTTAGCAGATACAGAAAAAATATATAGAAAATGCCAAGCCTATATTTGTTCCTTGATTTTAAGTTAATGAGGATAGTGAGATCTGAAATTAGGAACATTTAAAGATGTTTAGAATTACACTTTATTTTACATTTGAGCAAGATTAAAGACACAAATCACCTCCTCAAGAACCTTTACTTTAAATATCTTTCAAGTAAAAATTCAGAATTATTCATCAGCATGAGATCCCCCCATCTCCTCTCTCCCTCTACACACACACACATACACACACACAAGCACATGTCAAAAAATAGCCAAATTTCAATACTAGATAATCACCAAATTTCTATCAGAAATGAAAACCTTTATGCATTTCAGCGTTTTTTCTTTCCATTAAATCATAGAAACCAGGGTAAATATTTCAGACTTAGGAAAAAATGCAATAATGGGATCACAGGAGATGTTCTCTTCAGAGGTATATAAACTAACTGTCTCTGGTTCACTTCTACCCCCAGCCACCACTATCTGCTTGGAGGAACCATATTGCTTTTTTTAGTCTCTTGTTACACATTCTGTCTGCTATACCGAAAGGTCCCAATATAGCATGCTTTCTATAGACAGAAAGAATTCTTTGTTAATTTCCACATACTTCTTGATAAACTTTAGCACTTTGGGGTTGCCAATAGAGTCACTGCAGGTAGGTACCTGCAGGAAAGGAGGAGGGAAGATTGGCAGGTCTCACATTCACATCCTGGAGGAACTCCAAAACGACCACTGCAGCTGTTGCTTTGTACGTGGCCAAGTGGAGAAATACAAGTGAGGAAAATCCAGAATAAGTTATCTCAAAGTATAAATTATCAAGTTGCCATCAGGTTATATAATTTTCCTCCCTGCTGCTCTCACAACTGCATGCCATCAGAGTTTTGAACTAATATGTCAATATAGGGGCATAACGTGGCTTATATTCCACATGGATTTCTAGTTTGGATGTGTGAGTGTTTAGAAGAGAAAATTCCTTCCTTAAATCCCACAGCAGATATGTGACAGAGAGGGCATCTCTTAAATACTTCCATTAATGGTTTTGTACCAGTGGCTCTTGATGGAGGGAAAACTCCAATTTTGAGACCTATGTAATATAATCTCCTCTTTGTGGATGCAAATTCTCAGTTTTTCTATGGTTGTCTCCCTACCAATGTGGTTTAGTCATCTTAAGAAAGGACAAGATTCCTTAGTAGTAACTATGGGAATACTGTTATTTCATTTAATACCAAGTCAAGGTAACTAAGCTTCCCTTGCTCAGTCTCTGTGTCATCTATGAGTTTAGTCTGGGAAGATCAGGGATTTTGAAGTTAGCCCTTTGAACTTAGCTCTGATTCTTACTAGATGATTCTTACTTGGACTCACTATTAACCTTTCTAAACCTCAATTTCCTCAATTGCACACTTTAGATAAAATCATTATCCAAAAGGTTGTTGTATTAGATATAACACATTAAAAATACAGAGAGCCTGTCCTGCATGGATATTCACTCTACAAGTGGTTTAATAAAAGCTGTAGTTGGAGATGGCCATGGTGGGGATGGTAGAACCATATTTAAATGAGGAGGAGAAAAGACTACCCCATATCAAATGATATTCTAAGACAATATATAAATAAATGTTGTAAAGACTATAAGAGTTTAGACAACAGAACAAAAGAGAAGAGGAAGTGGCCCTGTAAATATTCATGAGATGGGACATGATCTGGGTCTGGAGGGATGTGAAGATCAGAGGCATGGAGGGGATGAGGATGGCCTTTCAAGTAAAAATCAGCAACAGAGGCTGGAACTGACAGATTTTGTCTATGAACTTCTGAAGCATTCAGAGACAGGCATAGTGTAGAGCAGCAGTCAGAGGGTGTTTATATTTGATGCAAGAACAGATAAACAGCCAAAAGCTCTGCAAAGCTATATAACATGATAAAAGTAGCAATTGCTAAAGGTTAAGAGAGCACTGCAGGGTGTGTAGGGAAAGGGAGAGACCTCTACATGGTGATTAAAATAATCCAGATATGAGATGGTGAAAATGTGTAAAGGTGTAGTGATCCCAGGAATGAAGAGGAAATAGCAAGATGTGGGCACATTTCTAAGGCAAAATAAGATTGAGGAGGCCAACTGATGTCAAGCCCAAATATGAGAAGAATCACAGGATGGTAGTAAAGACGGAACACTGAAGAGAAGATACATAATTAACTGCCTTTTGGACCTACTGAGTGTGAGGTCATAGTAAAATATAAAACCAGCAATAATTGACACTGTTGGAGATATGATTGGAGGTGTTTAAGGGAATTAATTAGAGAAAAAGCCTTCGTGATCAAAAAAGGATGGTGATTATTGAAATCAAGTGAAAGGGTAGCTTTTCCAGGGAGAGAAAATAAAGAGCTGAGGAAAACAGAGTTTCTGAGAAGGATGGGTGTGCTGCAGAGACGGAAGAAGAAAAATAAGCCAACTAAGAAAACCAAAAAGAACATTCTTTTCTGAGAGACTTAATAAGGCCAAGGCCACTACATAGACTCCAAGTGCATATGAGCCTCAGAATTTATGTCTTGTTTTCAATCACCTAGACCTGCTTCAAAGTTCATCTGAAACTTTGGATAAGCCTAGCATAACTATATGTTACAGAGATGCTCTAAACAGGGATCAGCAAACTTTCTATAAAGGGCTAGATAGTAAGTGTTTCGTGCTTTGTAGGCCAGAGAGTTTCTGTTGCCATGACTCAACTCTGCTGTGGTAGCACAAAAGCAACCACAGACATATGTAAATGAATATGTGCTTGGCTGTGTTCTAATAAAACTTTATTCATAAAAAAAGGTAGTGGGTTAGATTTGGCCACAGGCCATAGTTTGCTAACCCTTGCTCTCAAATGTATATGACCCTAACCCAAGTTTCATTTTTTTTCTTCAGAAATCCTTTTATCATATAAGGAAGCAATACTGCAATAAAAAGAGCAAGGATTTCGAAGGCTGCAGATTTTCCCTGCAGTCTGATAACAGCTACTAGGCTCTGTATCAGATGCTTTGAGCAGTTTGCTAAATCTTTCTGAGCCTCACCTTTGTACTTGTAAAATGAGACTAATTACCCTGACTTCATAGAGCTGTTGTGAGAATTAATGAGGTAACAGAGAACATTTAG
The DNA here is from genome assembly GCF_000001405.40 of Homo sapiens. NCBI lineage: Eukaryota > Metazoa > Chordata > Mammalia > Primates > Hominidae > Homo > Homo sapiens. Next base: position 118,311,011 of record NC_000008.11, on the reverse strand, counting down.
TGTATTGTGGAGACTAGCCAAATGCTTATTCCTATAAACATGCATTAAAATCTTTCTACTATGTCATAGGTGCCATTCAAGATACAGAGGATACAAAGATAAAAAGATACAGACCCTGCCCTCAACAAACTATCTATCTGGTAGGAATATTAGTTAGGGCTCAGGTGAAGGAAATAGAAACCACATGAGTTATTTTCAGCAGAAAGTAGTTAATATAGGGAATTAGATGCTTAGGAAATTGTTGGAAGCGCTAGAGGAAGTCCAAGTTCTTTGCTGGCATTCTAGAAATGACTTCTGAACAAGACCACCCGTCTGACATTGTGAGGACAGCAACTCTCTCTCTGCCTCAACAAGAGAAGGTAGGCATTCAGGAGAATCCTAGGGAAATCATTGAAGTCAAGAGCATACCCACCTTAGCAGTGATCCAGGGATCAGAAAACCACCAGCATTGCAACTGCCTCTGGATACCCATGTAGTCCTGGCTGTTCCTCAGAGCTCTGCCACAGAAAACTCAGTGTCTTTCACAGCTGTGGATGTGCAGCCTCCACCTCACTTTCTCTATCCAAATCTCAAAAAAGACAATCTAATTTGCTGAACCTACAATCTAGCTGCAAAGGAGTCTTGCAAATTTAGTTTTTGGCTTTACAGCCTCTTCAGTACAATAAGGCACACTAGAGACAGACTGGAATAGATACTGAACACCACATACTCATCAAGGTAGAAAAGCAAGCAGATAAACCAACAATATTAGGTCTGAGGCATGAGTGGAAAAAAAAGGAGACCAAACAAAGGAAACAGCACAAAGGAAGGAGTGATTTTTTTGTGTGATTAGAGAGGCAATATCTGGGGTTGAAGGATGAATAGAGTCTAAAGAGGCACATAGAAGAAAAACATTCTAAGCAGGAAAAACAGCATCAGCAAAAGTGTTAGTGCCTCTTCCTGTCCTCATTCTTGAAAGTGACAACAAACATCTTGGGTGTCAATTTCCTGTTCTATAAGGAAAGTAGGGGAAGCTGTAAAGCTTTCTTTCCTTTAATAATTATTAAGTACCTTCAATGGTCTCTGCAACCAGAGAGTATGTTTAAAGAATGCAGGTCTGTTTTGTGTCATGGATACAGGAATATGCTGAGAGGAGCACAGTAGGGAGAGAGGAATTAATGTCCTTAAGCATGAGCATAAATTGTGGCAACACAAGACAGAAAATATGGGACTAATGTCATCAGAGACCCAGGAGCTAAGTGAAGATGGTAAGGGAGGCCTTCATGGAATTTTTAAGAGAAGGAGTAGAATTCTAAGCAAAGATAACTCTGTAAGCAAAGGCCTATAGGTTGGATTTTTTAGGCTTCTGAATATATAAGGGAGTAGTCATATTCAAGTCTGAAAAAAGAACTTAGGAATAATCCTTTAAGTACTAAAAGCAGATCTACCATTTGATTCAGCAATCCCACTACTGGGTATCTACCCAGAGGAAAAGAAGTCATTATATGAAAAAGATACTTGCACATGCATATTTGTAAGAGCACAATTCACAATTGCAAAAATATGGAACTGGCCCAAATGCCCGTCAATCAACAAGTGGATAAATAAAATGTGATAATACACATACACACACACACACACACACACACACATATATATCTCAAATATATATATACACCATTGAATACTACTCAGCCATAAGAAAGAACGAAATAATGGCATTTGCAGCAACCTGGATGGAATTAGAGACCATTATTCTAAGTGAAGTAACTCAGGAATGGAAAACCAAACATTGTATGTTCTCACTCATAAGTGGGAGTTAAGTTATGAGGATACAAAGGCAGAAGAATAATACAATGGACTTTGGGGACTCAGGAGAAAGGGTGGAAAGAGGGTGAGGGATACAAGACTACACTTTGGGTGCAGTGTACACTGCTCAGGTGATGGGTGCACCAAAATCTCAGAAATTTCCACTAAAGAACTTATTCATGTAAACAAACACCACCTGTTCCCCAAAAACCTATTGAAATAATAATAATAAAAGATTTAGGAATCAAGAAAGATCTTATCCTTGAAGTCTTTGTATTACCTAAAATTTGGGCTTTTCCTAGAAGTAATCATTTGAATTATATTGATTATTTCCAGAAGCATGACCATAATCAAAATAAATTTTAAGAACATTTATAGGATGGTGTGACAAGCAGGGTGCAGAATAAAATGGGGAGAGGCTGGAGGCGTGTTAAGCAGCTATTAGAACTTGCCATCTGTGCAGTAGAGGGGTCTGAACTAAGTTGTGATGGAGAAAGTAAAAAAAAAAAGTCATGTGTACAACATATTCCTTTTTGAAATGGAAGGCATTTTTTTCTGATTCAAGCCTGAAAAATAAGTAACATCGACTTTTCGACATCTTTATTTTCAAGAATTTTACTCACACATTTAGCTGGGAAAATATTGTGTGATGATGGCCCTGATGCCTGGTAGAAGGAGTGAGTATTGCTCATATCTCAGCACCAACATTTACCGGTTCTGCTGGGGTCAATTACTTAATTTCTGAAATTCATTTTCCTCCCTGCAAAATGGGAGTGAAGCAGTGCCTAATGCATAGGGTAGTTGTGGAAATTAAATAAGATCATTTATGTAAAGTTCTCAGCACAACACCTTGCATATAATAAGTGCTCATACAGTAAGTGTCTTGGTATCATTGCCATCGTCATCATCACCATCATCACAATTATTATGTGAGGAAGGTGAAATGAGGGGGTGTAGAAGAGTGGAAAGAGGAAGACTTCAGAGCCAAACAGCCTGTATCAGGTTCCCAGCAAGAAACAAATGGAACGCTCAAATGAGTGAGTGATTTGGAGAATTTAATGAAGAAATGACTATGTTTACAAAATGAAGGACAAGCTGTAGAGAAACAAAAGGTTAGCATACTACCTCATCCTAGCTAGAGAGGAAAACAGGAATTACCAGTTATCAGCATGAGGCCTGATGTTCTCTCTAGCAGAAGGGGAACAGTTACAGGAACTTGGAAGAAAACAGTCACGTGGAAAGAGGGCTGTCATAAGGGCTGTGACCTTTGGTCAAGGGCAGCAGCCATGGCCACCTACAGTGAAGGAGGCCGGGGGAAGAAATACCCTGACCTCGCCTTTCTCCTTCTTTCCAGTCTTCTCCCAGCACTTCACATTGGCAGAACCCAACCCAAACAAAAGCCAGAGGCAGAGCATCCCTCTGTACAGGTCAGCATCTAGGAGCGCAAAGCACGATGAACAAGTGTATAGAGCCAAACTGTACAGAGGAATAAACAGAATGTATTTAGCACACACACCCCCAGCTTTGAAGCTGCATTGTAACTTTAGGCAAATTGCTTAATTTCTCTGAGCCTCAGGTTGCTCACTGTAAAACAAGGGTAACAATAATAATTATGCAGGTTTATTGTAGGCATAAACTAAGTTGATGTCTGAATTATGCCTAGCAGAGCCCCAGGCATGTGGTAGACATCAATTAATGTTCTCTAATCCCACCCCCAGCTGATGACAGCTCTCTTCACTTGTGGCTGCTTTACAGCATTTATGAGCTTCCCAGAAGCAATGTTTCTCATCATGTGGTCCATAGACCATGTGCTTTAGAGGCACCTGGGGTCCTTTTGAACAGATAGCTTATGGCCCCCACCGCATCCAACTAAATCATGAGTGGAAGGATATGAATCTTCATTTCAGACAAATTTCCCCAAATGATTTTCACACACAACAACATTTGGGAGCCACCATTCCAGAAGTCCACATTTCTAATTGACACCCACTTGAATAAAGTATAGGTGAGATTTATGTATGCTTGGCAGTCATTAGGTGCAGTTACAGCCCATCAGCTCCATGAAGAGGGGCTAGCAGACTAGGACACTAATGGCCTTTCTTGTGATGTTAGGTCATGCTGGTTCTCCATTTTACTGACTTTATTAATACCCAAGGAACAATGTTCCCAGGCTTTTAATTAAAAATTCCCTAACATTCAGGCTTTAATCATTTTCTAGGTTGGATATCAGCTTGGTCAGTGGCCAGATCTTACCCTGCTTTCAGAGAAAACTTAGTAGGCAAAGCAGAAGCTCTTAAAAGGAATAAAGCTTTTTGAAAGCTTCACAGATGAGGATACGTCAATTCTAAGTATAAACAGGAGAAGGCAAAAACTTAGGATAAGATCGGAAGATCAAGGACCTTGCTTTAATGAAGTAAGGAAAGGTACCAGAAAGTTCATCAGCAGTCTAGGACAGACACAGAGCTCATGATTTGGATCCTGAATCGGTTAGGATTCAGCTGCAATAAGCACAGACTCAAAATAGCAGCAGCTTAGACAAAAGAGAATTTTATTTGCTGCTCATGTAAAATTGCAGAGGTAGGAAGAGCAGGGCTGGGGTGGTGGCTTTACTCCACAGAGTTCTCAAGGACTCAGGTTCCTTCTAGCTTTTGGTCCTGCCCTCCTTAGAATGAAGTCCTTGTTCTCATGTTCCAGGATGGAACTCCAGTGGTCACATTTATGCTCCAAGCCACAGGAAGAAGAGGGGAAGAAGTACAGAGGGTATGGAACAGCTGACTTTTAAAGAAGGTTTAGAGTCATCCATCCAGCACATCTGATTCCATCACTTTTGCCAGAACTTGTTCACATGGCCATGCTAAACTACAAAAGAGGCTGAGAGGCAGAATCACAGCTAAATATTCATATTAGATGGATTATATATTGAGGACAACCAGGAGTCACTACCACAGGTTCTATGGCCTAAGAAACTTTGAAACTTCTTTCTCCAGTAGAAGATTCATCAGTGAGGTTCTAGTCAGGAACACAGATGCCACTCCAAGTGTTTTTAAAAGAAGGAACATAATGGAAGGAATTGACAGCACAAATGATAAAAGAGCTGAATATTGAAACTTCAAAACTGAGGCAGCCCAGAAATTAGCAACAGTAGGAAGTTTCTACCTTCCCTGAAGCTGGAAGGACAAAGGACAAGGCAGAACCTCGAAGTAACAGGCTGCCTGGCAGAACTTGGAACCCAGTGGACTGTTGTAGTAGGAGCTGGAACCAGGAGGAGATGCAGCCACTGCCAAAGACGCCACCAGAAGCAAAGTGATATATAGAGAGGGATATTCCCTCTTCTGTCCCTCGGCCTCCTTCCAATGCTTCACATTGGCTAAAACTACCTGGAAGGTGTAGCGCAAGGGAGTCTAGGCAATGTCATCCCAGGCAAACAGAGTAGGCAAAGAAGGAAAAAGCACTGATCTAAAAGCAAACAGGTGAGTGACTGGAGCAACACCCAAACCCAAGTTGTGGACCTGGATAGATTAGTAATCACTGGGACCTTTCTAGACATTATTTCTGGATGAAGTTGATACATTTGTAAAGCAAAAGAGTGTCCTTCTGTGGAAAGCAGGGACTCAAACAGATACTGGTACACCAATGTTCACAGCAGCATTATTCACAATAGACAAAAGGTGGAAACAGCCCAAATGTCCATCAACAGACAAATGGGTAAACAATATGTGGTATATACATACAATTAAATATTCAGCCATAAAAAGAAATAAAAGTCTGATTCATGCTATAACAGAGAGAAATCTTGAAAACATGCTATGTGAAATAAACCAGATACAAAAGGACAAATATGATTCCACTTATATGAGGTACCTAGGTTAGGCAAATTGATGGAAATGGAAGGTAGAATAGAGCTTGTCTGGGGCTGGAGATTAGGGAGCAATGGAGAATAATTATTTAACAGGTTCAGAGTTTCTACTTGGGATAAAAAAGTCCTGAAAAGGGATAGCAATGATGGTGGCACAACACTGTGAACGTACTTAATGCCACTGAACTGGACTTTTTTTTTTTTTTTTTTTTTTTTTTTTTTTGACAGGGAGTCACTTTTGCCCAGGCTGTAGTGCAGTGGTGCGATCTTGGCTCACTGCAACCTCCGCCTCCCGGGTTCAAGCAATTTTTGTGCCTCCGCCTCCCGAGTAGCTGGGATTATGGGCGCCCACCACCACACCTGTCTAATTTTTGTATTTTTGATAGAGACAGGGTTTTACAATGTTGGCCAGGCTGGTTTTGAACTCCTGATTTCAAGTGATGCATCCGCCTCAGCCTCCCAAAGTGCTGGGATTACAGGTATGAGCCACTGCACCTGGCCTGAGCTGTACATTTTTAAAAGGTTAAAATAGTACTTTTTAAGTTTTAAAAAGTTTATATTTATTTGTGTATTTATTTATTTATTTATTTATTTATTTATTTATTTATGAGATGGAGTCTCGTTCTGTTGCCCAGGCTGGAGTGCAGTGGCACAATCTCAGCTCACTGCAACCTCCACCTCCCGGGTTCACGCCATTCCCCTGCCTCAGCCTCCCGAGTATCTGGGACTACAGGCGCACACCACCACTCCCGGGTAATTTTTTTGTATTTTTAGTAGAGACGGGGTTTCACCGTGTTAACCAGGATGGTCTCGATCTCCTGACCTCATGATCCACCCGGCTCAGCCTCCAAAGTGCTGCGATTACAGGCGTGAGCCACTGGATAAGTCATTTTTAAAAAGAGGTTCTTATGCTTTTCAAATGTATTTACTGATTGAAAAATGCTTCTGGAGAAGATGAATATTGGTAATGAAATAATAGAAGCTGACTAATGGACAAAACAGTGGGATCAAAAGACTAGGAAGACTTAAAGACCAAAGCAAAACCCATCTCTGTTTCTAAAAATTGTTGTGACATTTCAAAACACTTTCTCACAGAAGAAATATTATCTCCCCATCTCCCAAACTGAGCTTGATATGACCATGAAGCATAAGCATAACTTAGTGTGAGAAAGCGAAGGCAAAATAAAAAATTCAGGAAGAATCGAGTGTCCTCTCTTTATAGGGAGCACCTGAAGACTTGGAATAGGTAGCTTCACCAAAGAATAGGAGAAGAGCGGAGAACCCGGGCCCACAAGGCATCCTTTGAAGGATGAAGACAACTAGGAAGGCTCGATTTCTGGGTACCATGTGAACAGAGAATAGAGGGGAGTCAGGGAATACTCAGCTGTGTCAAAAGCAGCCCATAAATGTCATCGAGGATAAGCACTCGAAGATCGTTGTCGGGCTTTTATAGCCAACAATGCAGAAGGTCATTGCCTGCTTGGCTAAGACCATTTCTGTGAAAAGAAGAGGATTTTAAACTGGAATGGGATGAGTAGAGCAGCCTTTTCTGCATTTCTTCCTTTGCTGGCTCAAGAGAAGCAGAAACAAACCCTATTCCCAGAACTATGCTGACAACATTGATGATGGCAGCACACAAATTAGGAGGTAAACAAAACGCCATGTTAATTTCAGGCTCCATTAGAAACACAGTCAGGAAAAAAAAAAGTCAACGTCTGCCAAACAGAAAAGGTCAAAATTAGAAGAGAAAGAAATTTTGTTTTTGCGATCCTAAGAAGGCCCTGCCAACAATGAAGACAGAGGAGGATTTTGTTTCCTCTTTCTCTTTTGTCAATCGTAGAATTCTGAAACAAATGCTCTTGGTAATGCCTCTCTAATCAGATACGTGAAGTAGAATATGGGCTGCATGTTCTTTCTTCCGGTAAATGAAACCATACAGTATTTGGGATATCACCACAGGATTCCATTCCAGAACTGTCTTCTATCTGTCCCTAATGTACAGTTGTTGTTCTTGTTTATAAGAACCTCCAGTAATGCTTATGACTTTGGCAGGATGCATAAGTACCATTCATTTGAAGACTCCACAGCTTAAGTTGTCTCTGACATGAAATTGGCACAACGTGTCTAAGAGACCTCAGGCCCTTTAATCCCTTTGTAGAATGTGTTGCATGCTCCAGATCAAGTCCAGGAAATGCACACATATCCTTCTCTTGCTTTCCTGTGTTGAAGGGGATGATACACAAATGAAAACATATCTTTTGTAAGTTATTTTTAATGTGACGGCAGTGAGCATTCTGGGTCTTTGATGATGGATGAGTCTTCACTTGTAAATTTAAAGCCATATGTATTAACTTAGTTTCCTTCCAGGCATTTAGTATTAGTGAATATCACATACGGCTTTATAATGCTCCAATAACAGATGCCTAGTTGCACTTTGATTTAATATATGCTGGGAGAAAAGATATATGAGAATTTCACTATAATTTTTTGCCTAGATAATAGGTCAGAGGTTCTATCCCACCTGGAGGTAAAGGATTGGTCTTACTGATTTCTTGGACTTCTCTCTGGATTTTATGAGTCTATGCTATCTTTTTCCCAGAAGCATTAAGTTTGAAGACTCAATCACCAAGTGCAATCAAAGCTACCTTTCCTCCCCCCAAAATTAAATAGACATTTTTAAACACACATACACATTTCAAGATCAACAGAGTTCCCTTTTGAGCATGGAAATATAGCCATTGCTAAATTACGTTACTGGACTGAACTCCAGGTATTAGTTACAGTGGAAAGTAAGAGATTGTAGGAGACTCTTTTCTTAGAACCAGGACATGGATTATGGCCTGGATTTAATTAACTGTTGCTCATGGCACCATGCAGGCTGACATTTAATTATATTCAGTTTAGCCCTTTATTATATATCCTCTCGTTATTCTCCAAATGTTCTAAATATCCTGGTCTTGTTTTATCTAGCTCTGTTGTAAGCTCTTTGAAATCAGAGCTAATGTCACACAGTACATACTCAATAAACACATTATAAATGAATTTATGAGCAAAGAACTAAATGAATGTGGCTACAAATTCGAGATGCTACTGTTCACAATACAAGATGCGACCTTAACAATTCAAGAAAAGTGAACAACTGAAGGTGAGGGGGTTTCCCTGTTGTTCCCTGAAAGGCATCCAAATTCTCCTGAAGCTCCCATGAATAAGATGGAGGTTTAATTTTTCTCTCTTTGGTCCTCTGCTCTTTTAATCTGCTCCAGCAAAAAAAAAAAAAAAAAAAAAAAAACTCTCAAAGATCTGGCGCTAGAAAATGTTGTGAAGAGTTTTACCTGAATCTAGTATCTGTGTATTTATATACTGGTCTTATTATTGTCCCTAGCCCGAGCTTTCTAAATTTTCTCAGTTTTCACTGCCATCTTCTCAGTGTATTATCTTTGCCTTCTTTGTGACAGCCTATTAAGATACCTGTTTGAAATGAGATGTTTCTAAAATACTGGTCATGGACTCTACCTGTAAGGAATTTCTGTAAGAATAACATAAAGAATTAGTAGCAATGATTCCATCTGAGAAGTGTAGAAATGCAGAAGAGGAGAATGTTGACTTTTATTCTGTATTCATCCATATGGATCACTTCTGTTCAGGAGCCTGTAAGACTTTCATAATTTAAAAACTAATAAAAAATAAAATATATCCATCACGACAGATGTCATTTTAGCAGTTCTGAAGAATAATTCATGAACTATTAAGGCAGTTTGCCTATGCATACATTTACCATAAACAGAAGTACAACTTGATTGTTTTAAGAGACAACGCTTAATGAATCTAGTCCTCCAGCTTTCAGAGCAACTTGTGGGTGTCCATGATTAAGTACTGGTTAGTGATTCATCCTGGCATTCATTTATGGGCTTATGATGGCTGAGCTGCTTTTGTATCTGTACCTTTTGGCTTTGAACGGCCCACCCTCAGTGAGCATTTTAATAAGGAAGAAACTGTTTTAGTCAATGGGTCAAGAGAACCATTTCCATCGTGACAGCTTTTTGAATTTTTCCTTCACATTTTTATTCTAAATGGTGTTCACAGTTGTATAATAACATATGTTGCATGTTATAGGTCCCCATGTTGACTACAGCTTGCTAGTTATTCACATCTAGTGACCCCACCACCTTTTGCTCTTTGCATTTTCAAAAAGTTTTTCTTTCTCCTTAAGGTTTTTATATAGTTTTTGTCCCAGGGTTTTATTCCCATCTTAGTCTATATAATCCTGCTTCTAATTTGTCATCAGCATTTCTACTCTGGCTTGTTTTGAGTTTCTGCAAATGGTTCAACTATTACCAGTCATCTTTAAACCTTTTAACCTTTAAGAAATGCTTACAAGTGCATAAAATTATTTGACTCCATAAATGAATGCTCAAAAATGCATGCACTTTTTATAACCATCTTTATGCATCATGTTAAAATAGGTAAGATGTGTTTACATTGTAGAAATCGAAGGTTTAATTCTCAGTAGACTAAATGCATACATACTCAGAAGAATATACAATTTTATGAACATGCGCTACCTATCAGTAATCTGTAATATTTAAGAATTAACAAAAAAGATGTGAAAGAGACTGGCTAGATAATCACTTAGGCTGGTAGTTCTTTAACTCTAATGTACATTGGAATCGCCTGAAGGGCTTGTTGGAACACTGATTGCTGAGCCACTGATCTGGTAGGTCTTCATTGGAGCCTATGAATTTTATTTCTAACAAGATCCAGTAGATTCCAATGCTATTGATGTGGGACGACACACTGAAAACTACTGCCGTCCTATTTCTCATCCTGAGCACTCAGAAAGACTGCATTTCCCAGCCTTTACCACTTCTCAACCTGACCATAAAATTCCCTGCATGGTCCTTCACTCTCTGTTGCCCCTTTCCTGGGCACCTCTGAAGGCCATGTATTGAAGATGGCAACTTGTCAAGATGGAAGGTGTCTAAAGATGTCTTAAGTGGATTTCACAGAAACAAAAAATAGAACAGAGAATAGGAGAAACTAGGAATGGTAAAAGAAGGGAGGAATAGGGAGAGATTTGTTAAAGGATACAAAATTACGGCTAGATAGGATGAATAAGTTCTAGTGTTCTATAGCACTGTGGGATGACTGTAGTTAACAATAGTATATAGTTTCAAATAGCTACAAGGAGGATATTGAATGTTCCTAACACAAAGAAATTATGAATGATTGAGGTGATGGATATGCTAATTACCCAGATCTGATCACTATATATGTATTGCATCATCACTGTGTACCCCATAAATATGTACAGTTATTATATGTCAATTAAAAAAAAGTAAAGAAAAAAAAGGAATAAGCCTTTGTACAACAAGGAACTGAGGTTTAGGGGCAGCATTGACAGACTTATCCCAATACCCATGATTTTCATGTCATCATGAGATGAACCATGCCCAGCTTTGAGGAAACTTTTATGATGTAAATTTGAGACGAGAATGAATCAATCTACCATTCACTACCCTACAACAACAACAACAAAAAACTAAGTTGGTTTAGGTGGACTCAGCCTACAGCCATATGTCTGTAGGCCATGAAGAGATTTTTGCCAATTCTTGCTAAGATCTCCTAAATCCATCTTAGTATATTTTTGGGTCATCTTTCATCTGAACTTTTCCAACTGCCTGCTCCTTAGATTCCTATATTATTTTCTCAAACTGGTTCTACTCACATCTTTTCTCCATGTTGGATAAGACCAAGGTACTTTTCCTCTCACTCAAAACCCATTCATTACTGGACAGCTCTGCCTTGCTTCCCTCTATTCCCCCCTTACCTTGTTCTGCCAATAAGATCATCCCAGAGTTTCTGACCCTATCTTGATTGGGACAGAATTCTCCCTTAGGCATCTTCAAAGTAAAACCACTGGACGTGTAGAGACCCACGTCTTTCATCACAGTCATATGTTGTTGAGAGCAGAGAGCCTGCCAGATAATCCCTGTTCCTTAACCCTATAGCGAGTACTACTTTTGCTGAATCTCTTACCTGCCTGCTTTCTCTGAACCCTGCCTAAATGTTCATGCTCCTCTTCGCTGCCTCCACCAACCTTACTAAATGTGACCACTAGCCTACTTGGGGACTCTGAGCTCCCAGGCTCTGGTACCTTATTTATATATCAGTTCCCTCTAGACCTTCCCATGTATCATACCCTATGATTAAAGGAGTCGCTAGTCAAACTTCCTTCTGTTATGCAAATGCATTATCATCACCCCTTTTGATGTCTCCCACACACAGAAGTGGACAAAAGGCAATGACTTTTCCCAGATATAAGAACATGTACCTCCTTTAACCCCTTTACTGCTCCACACTACCTTATATGAAACCAAAGCCCAAAGATTATATAAAAATAGACAAAACAGTGCTTATTATTCTGTTTATAAGCAAACATGTAAAAGATAATTTCAGTGTTAAAAAGAATACACCAACAAAATGCTTCAAAATACCAACTACTGTTCAAATATCATCTCAATATTCTATTACATATCAATTTATAGTTATTTATTGCTATGTCTTTTAAATATATTAATATTTACCTGCTTACTCTATTGTACATTTATGCTTCATTTATTGAAACAATTCAAGCAAGTGTTGCTTGCAATTTTTGTTACTATAAATAACAATGGGATGAACATCTCTATGCCTAAATCTTTGTGCATGTACCTCATATTTTTAGGTAGATTCTTAGCAGGTGAATCCCTTGGTAAAAGTGTGTAAACAATTCAAAATTGTATAAACAACAAACTGTATTTAAAAAGTGTAAATGCTGCAAGAAGTAGCTAAAATAATTAGTAATGGTTATGTCTGGGTGGCAGTTCACTAGGATAGGCAGAAATCGGGGATCAGAATCAACTGGGATTATCTAGCCAGTCTCTTTCACATCTTTTTAAAAAAAATTCTTAAATATTACAGATTACTGATAGGTAGTGCATGTTCATAACATTGTATATGCCTCTGAGCATGTATGCACTTATTCTACTGGAAATTCAACCTACAATTTATATAACATGCAAGGGTAAACACATCTTACCCATTTTGAAATAAACACAATGCATAAAGTTGTTTATAAGAAGTGCATTTTTGAGCATTCATTTATGGAATCAATTTTATGTACTTGTATTTCTTAAAGGTTAAAAGGTTTAAAGATGTCTAATAACAAATGAACGATTTGCCCATTTCCTATGAGCCGTGCATTCAGCAAGGAACTACATATGTATGTTTGACATTCACAATAAATACCAGGTAGGTGTGACCACACCCCACCTGTCGGGTAAGAAGGCTGAGGGCCAATGGGAGCATCGCAAAGCAGGGAGCTGAAAGAACCTTCTCTCCAGCTTCATCTCACTGCTTTCCACTGCATTTAGGCTTTCCCACATTCATTTTTTCTGCTTCTACAATGCATAATGCTGTTTTCTATTATTAGCACTGCATTTGACTTGTTCTGTTTCTGTATTATGATAAAAATAAACATTACATTATTTAAAAAATTATTTTTTTCAAAAATTATTTGTCAAAATTATGTGATTGTTTTCCCAAGGCATAATTACATATGTAAAAAAAAGTATGTGAACATTTTAGAGAATCCATATTCTATAACCATGTGAACAAACTGCCCTTCTGAAAATTTATAATAATTTACAAATCTCTTCCCTCAGGAGTGTGTAACACTGCCGTTCCTGTGACAGCCTCTACCAAAAAAATTTTTTTAATCTCTTCTAATTGAGAATACAATTTTAATTGGCATTCATTTTACTAATAATGTCGAATTGTTTTTACATCTTATTTGCTGGCATATATATATGCTTTTTAAATGGACATACCAAAGTATGTTTATCCAATGTATGCTGCTCCTGTGAAATTAGTCCCTTCGGAAGGTGGTGTCTCTATTCTAGTGACGTGACCTTCCCTTAAACATTTGGGTAACTCTTCTTTTTGAGTGACCATCAGGGCTTTAGTGACATTCTTTTGGATAGTCTTAGGATCAGTTATATCATCAAGTTGGGGACAAAAATGCAGAGCAACTGCATAGTGATAACCTCAGTTTTCTTCTGTGGCACATAAACCAGTCATGAAATCAACTGTCAAAAAGATGTTCTAGTTACATGGTGAGCCATGGTGAACATGGATGAAATAAATGCCTGGCTCCTGAAAAGCACCAGTCATTTGAATACATCCATATGGAGGGCTTATCTCTACACTTACCTCATCATTTCATAGACAGGCCTCATAGTTAATATATCTATATTAATTAATAGTTGTCTATCAGTCTGCACATCAATATGCCATGCAACCTTAAATATGCAGCCATATACATCAGACACTTAGAAATCGGATCAAGATTGTCAACTAGCATGTTTTAGACCAGAATGTCATTCATTCTAAGGACTTGTATCTGTTTTGTACACTGTTGTATCCTAGGCACTTAGAACAGTGCCTAGCACAGAGTAGGTGGTCAACAGATGTTTGTTGAATACATGATGAACAAATGAATGAATGAGTGAGTGAATGAACCAACACTTAATAATTAGGCATCAAGACCAGAGCTTAGTTTGCCTTATTTTGTAGGATAACACAAGATGGCAAATGCATTTTGATAATAGGTGATGAATACACAATAAAGATAAATTGGCATGGTAGAAAGGCATGTTTCTATTCCAATCTCGGCTGTGTCAGCAAATAGCTGCTATGTCATTCTTTCCACCAATGTTGACTGGGTACCTACTATGTGCCTTGCACTTCACCAAGTGCTGGAGATATGTGAAGAGTGTAACACATGCAGGCTGTGCCTTCGGGGAATTTACAATCCAGTGGGAGAAAAAGATATTAATCAAATATTCCTGGAAATAAATAGGGAATTACAGATTTTCTTAAGTGCTAAGCACATAAGAGAAGAGGCCAACCTGGCATGAATGATCAAGAAAGGCTTCCTTTTCTGAGGAGGGGATATTTGAGCTGCAGCTAGAGGCAGAGGGAACATTTTGAACACAAGTTCAAGCAAAAACTGAAAGCATTGTGCATTGAAGAAATCAAGAACAAACAAGTGTAGGGCATCACAGAGAGGGTTTGGAGAGCAGTGAGATAGCTGGAGAGAAGGTTCTTGTAGCTTTTTGTTTTGTGATGGTCCCACTGGCCTTCAGTCTTCTTACCAGTGATGTGGGCATGGTTATGCTTTTCTGGTAGGTTTATTGTGAATGTCAAACCTACATATGTAGTTCCTTGCTAAATGCATATCCACAGGAAATGCTCAGTTACGGTCATTTTACTGTTTTTTCTATTACCTATATTTTGACTTCATAAAAGCAAGATCTGGATCCTATATTTTACTGAATTGCCTTACTTCCCATCCCAGTGTGAACTGCTTAGAAAATGCTCAATTGACCAGTTGCAGTGGGTCAGCCTGTAATCCCAGCGCTTTGGGAGGCCAAGATGAGATGCACACTTGAGGCCAGGAGTTCAAAATCAGCCTGGTCTATATTGTGAAACTTCATCTCTACAAAAGAAAAAATTAACATGATTGGGTAACACACCTGTAGTCCCAGCTACTGGGAAGGTTGAGATGGGAGGATTGCTTGAGCCCAGGAGGTTGGGACTGCAGTAAGCCACGATTGCACCACTGCACTCCAGGCTGGGTGGCAGAGCAAGACCCTGTCTCAAAAAAAAAAAAAAAAAAAAATCAGTGACAGCTGGGGTTATCATTGCACTTATTAAGCAGTCTTCTGTGTGCTAGGATATAACTTATTTTTCTCACCTAGGCTTTTATTTAATAAAAATTGCTGTGGATTTACAAAACTAAATTGAGTTTCCAGCATCTGATACTTTCATATGTAGAATTACACATCATTATTATCCACTGATGTTTCAGATTTGAATGTGCAGTTTGGACATGATCTTATCTTCATATTGGCAGAATATTGGTTAGTTCAGAGGTTCAAAGCATCTCTAAGCTTTAGAATGATAAAAAATGTTATCTATACATATTGGATTGCAATAAATATTTGCATCACAGCATTTTTTGATAGCAATGAGAAAAGTATATACAGAGATTAAATAAATGCATAAAAATAGCCTTTCACCAATAATTTGCAGCTCAAACAACAAAGCAATAATTTAGAGTTCTGACCTTGTAATTCAGCTGATTAGAAGAAATCAGTTCTTTTTAGTTCATGTTGTGATGGAGAATTCTAAGTGAATTGTATGCCAAAAATTGACAAGTTCCATTCCCTTTGTATCTAGATGACTTGTATGTCCTGTTTTCCCAATTTTCACGTAAAAAAAAAAGAAGTTTGTTTTCTTCTTTCTAACTGCCAGCACTGTGAACTAAAGCGGGATCCTCCCCATTTCCTTCTCCATAATTATATAATACAGTTCCTGCTTTCTAAACTTTGTTGACAATTCTGTTGACAGTACACACAGAGTAAAATACATCCCAGTCTTCCTTAACTAGATGAGCCTAATCACTTGTAAAAATTCCCGTTAATCAGATTAATGTACCCAGATCCAAGCAGATGCTCAGAGAGCACATAACAGGAGAAAGGATGTACGAAGTATCACTTTTCGTTGCATGACCCTACATGATTCTTTTTTATTTTCTGATTATTGACAGTAGATGTGAGATAATATTTATACTCTGCATATTGCAAGAATTTTAAAAAATATTTTACTTTTTATGTTTTCATCCTTCTGCTTTTACTAAGAAGTTAAGTTCCTGTTTATCCCACCACTCAGTCCCTCTTACAAATACAGTTTTGTGTGCTGGCCTATTCATAAATTATTAATGTCACACTGAAAAATACCTTTTGGAAATGGACCCCCTGACATAAAACTATTGGTGATTGAGGAGCTTCAGGGCACGTGAAGCACTCCCAACCCGACTGGTGAAGAAAGCTGCTGAAGCTCTTCTTCCTCTGGTGAAACAATTAACTTTATGTTCCATTTGCTGATGACGCCGCATGCCTAAATTGATCATGTTTTTTAAACCCATGCCAGTCTTTTCAGCCTGCTCAGCTCAGGGGAAAGTCAGGATGTACAGTCAGGCTCCAGTGCTTTTGGGTAGAAGTGAAAAGATTTGCACTCATTGAGCAAGAAAATGGCATTCCTGGCTGTCAGTGTGGAAGGAAGGGCTTTTCTCTCCAGTGCTGCATGGCAGACTCTCTGCTCTTGTCCCTGAATGTCAGCTCATGCCTCATTGCTAAGTAAGTGTTTTCCCCACCTAACCTGACAGGTAGGTGTCTGACATGACAGCAGGCTGCCATCACACTGGGGAGCAAGGATACCCCAAACTTGGAGCCAGTTCTGCTAAGCTAAGTCAGTTTTGCTAAATGTTACTTTGATTTCAGTGTATTATTAGCTTTGAGATATGCCTTGAGTGCCTTAGAGATCCAGTGTGAGAATGGTTCGCTAGAGCTGGCTTCTGTCTGATGACTGGTAAGGGGTACCACATTTTTCCCACTGGCATTCCAACCCCTTCATCTCTTCCTGCCACATCTTATCCATCAATGGGAATCAGGTTTTGCCAACAGACTGGTTATGAAAGGAGTTGGGATTCCTTGAAGAAGTGAGCTTTGAGCCCCGAGAGTAGGGGATATCACTTTGAGAACTATGACCTGCCTGTACATTGGGGGTATTGGCATTTTGCATCTTCAGCTGGCTTCTAGCAACATACATCTGGTTCCAATTTTCACCACAGTGTTAAAATTTTTAAAAAATAAGTAAATAAAGGCAAACTGGCTATGGTAATCCTAAAGAAGATATAATTTCCTAAGAACATAAATTGCTGAGGAAAACCATGTATTTTTAAACCAAATATAAATTGACTTCTGTATGTTTCTGTTTTCAATGTTATATATTGTCTTTTCATTAGCAAATATTGGTTAAATGCCTAGCCTGTGTCACCACTAATGTGGGCAAAAAAAGACATTTTTCTGGCCCTCAAGAAGGTAACCATCAAAGTAACTTTCCCTTCAGTCATCATGAATCATCAGAGTTGGTTGTATTAAAAATCCACAGCTGAACACTTTACACTCACTATTTTATCTTGTCTAAATCTCCCTGTTGTAAATTTCAGCATCTCTTGTATAAACTTAGGGGACTAGGTCTGGGTAATCCTTAATGTATCTGGAAAACATTCAGCTGGTTTCTGCCATTAGCACTTATGTGGTCTTAGAGATGTTGCTTAATGTTTCTGAGCTTCAAACACAGCATAAGAAAAAAAAAATGCCCAATTTGCAAGGTTTGTTATTGATTTTTTTTGTTTGTTTGTTTTTTTATTATTATACTTTAAGTTTTAGGGTACATGTGCACATTGTGCAGGTTAGTTACATATGTATACATGTGCCATGCTGGTGCGCTGCACCCACTAACTCGTCATCTGGCATTAGGTATATCTCCCAGTGCTATCCCTCCCCCCTCCCCCCACCCCACCACAGTCCCCAGAGTGTGATATTCCCCTTCCTGTGTCCATGTGATCTCATTGTTCAGTTCCCACCTATGAGTGAGAATATGTGGTGTTTGGTTTTTTGTTCTTGCGATAGTTTACTGAGAATGATGATTTCCAATTTCATCCATGTCCCTACCAAGGACATGAACTCATCATTTTTTATGGCTGCATAGTATTCCGTGGTGTATATGTGCCACATTTTCTTAATCCAGTCTATCATTGTTGGACATTTGGGTTGGTTCCAAGTCTTTGCTATTGTGAATAATGCTGCAATAAACATACGTGTGCATGTGTCTTTATAGCAGCATGATTTATAGTCATTTGGGTATATACCCAGTAATGGGATGGTTGGGTCAAATGGTATTTCTAGTCCTCAGATAATGGAATGAAGACTAAATAAAGTCTAGACTAGCCAAGAAGTAGAACTAAATAGAGGTAGCTATTATTATATTGTTGTTTTTTCTATGAATCTGTGAACACTGCCTTTGATCCAAGGTCTCCGGAATATGTGTGTGTGTGTGTGTGTGTGTGTGTCTGTGTGTTTGCAGTTTTGGACATTACTTTATTATTATTATTATATTGTTTATTTTTTCATAGGTTATTGGGGTACAGGTGGTGTTTGGTTATAAGAGTGAGTTCTTTAGTGGTGATTTGTGAGATTTTGGTGCACCCATCACCCAAGCAGTTTACACAGCACCGTATTTGCAGTCTTTTATCCCTCGCCCCCTACCCCCTCCTGCCCTTTCCTGCAAGTTCCCAAAGTCCATTGTATCACAGAATGCATTTTAGTAGGCTTACCAAGATCCCCTGATTCTAGCATGCAGCCATTTATAATGGGCAATAGAATTCAATTTCTAAAGCATCGCCTTGTAGCACTTTTCCTCTTTTATATACTCACAAGCAGAAGCACAGATAAGAAAAGAAACATACTATTTGCTTTCACCAGGTGAAACAGGAGCATGCTTAGGATCCATTGCTGAGTGCCTAACAGGGTGTTGGCAATGAGTCAGCTGCTTCTTGTTGCCCTGATACCTCCTTCCAAAGTCACTCTATGGAAGTCACTCTATGGAAGTAACTTTGGGAGGAGGTATCAGGGCAACAGGAAGCAGCTTGTGGCTTCAACCGAGAAAACACATGACAGTTTACATGGGTCTTTCATGTTCCTCTAGCTTTTCTCTTCTGTGTTAGAAAAATGACAGAGATTTTTCTGCGAACTAAATAATAATAGATGATAATAGGGAAGCTTCAGGAAGTTAGTAAATATTTCCCTTCAGAGCTGAGGACTGGCAGAAACCAGGCCCCTGAAACATCAGCCAGACCCTGGAAACTCGCCTGATTTGGGCTCAGTAAAGATATGAAAGAATAATTAGACCATAAGGGGAATTCTGTGTTCCATTCCCCAAGGACAATGATTACTGACTTTCCATGTCATTCTTTTTTCCACTTCCTGTTTTTTCCCCCTTTGAGAACATTGTTTACTAAATGATGGAAAAGAATAGAATGGGAGCACCCAGGCAGCCTGGGCCATAGGACTGACCTGAGGAATGCCTCTGCTTTTTCATTTGCATCCACCAGTTCTCCCTCTCCTGCAGGCCTGGATGGGGACTCTCTTTCCCTTTATCTCAACAGGCGAATGAAAGAAGTTGAGGGTTTTTCCTGTGTGTTATTAATCTAAAGAAAAAAGAAAAGGTGTATGTATAAAGATAACATGAAGTTTATTTGTTAGTGTCCCTAAAAATAAACACAGTGAAACACTGTCAAAATAGGAAAAGACTTTTAACATTTTCATTGTACTAGGAACTGGGCACAATTAAATTGAAATATAAATTTGTAAGCCAACATTTCAGTTAAGCTGCTTATGAGAATAATTAGGCCAGTGAAGCGAGGAGCAGGCCAGCCAAGGAAATGGTGAGTTTGGCTAGAATGCTCTCTCTGCAAGTATATGTTCTCTCTGTAAGAGTTGTAAAGGCATGCATTTAGTAAATAAAACAGTTCTACACTGAAATTCAAAAGACACTGGAAAAAGACTAATTATTTTTCATATTTATATATTTGCAGTCATAGAAATCCTGAACTGGAAGGGATTTTAGTAAAACCCTTTCCTAACTGGTCACCACCAAGTTCCCACTCAGAACTTAGTTTCCCTATGAGTTTTACTTTTTGCAAGATCCCCTTTACAATTTGAACTTAAGTAGTAATTAACTTGATTTATCACTAAGTAGAAACATGATCCCTGAATGGGAGCAATGGATTAGCATGAAATAACTAGTGTTAACTCTTTCAGTTAATGTAATTTAAGCAAAAAGCAAATAAATGTGATGTTTTGACTAATTTGTGAATCATATTATGGGTTAATATGATTTCTTGGCTTTTTCTAAGAAGGAAAAATAGTGCGAGGAGACCCACTGCTACCTTTGAGGGCAACCAGTGGGTAGCCATTGTTTATTCCAGCCCACTTACTGTATGGTGGGTTCCATGGTTCAAGACCAACACACTACAGTTTAAGGCACAGTCAAGGCTAGAGTATAGATCTCTCAATGTCTAGTCTAGCACCCTTTTTGTTTAACTACACTGCTACTTAATAAACTTGTGAGGCTGGAGAGTTTTTAATGCCATTAATTGCAAGATTTTGGAAGTGTGACTGCATTTGAAAGACCATAGAAATAGCACTGTGGTAACCCATTTTCCTCTCTGGATTTTTCATTACATTTTCTTAATATCAAATAGGGCATTTTTTATTTTTGGTCTTATGTGCAGTGCTGTTATATAAGGTTATAATTTTTACTTAGCTGATCCTTTGCAAGCTTACAAGTCATTGAATCTTCCTTATTTGAGTCTTTTAGTGTGAAAAGTGCACACCCAAACCCTTCTGTTTGATCATAGAAACAGACAAGACCTAAAAAGGCTCAGAAGATATCTCTCTTGAATGAATAATTTTGTAAATTTGCTTCTTTCTGATTTGGAAATGTAGTTAGATCTTTCTGATCTAGTTACATTTGGAACCCAAGTCTTTACTCTCTGTATCTCAAAAGAAGCTGGCAGGTAACTCAAATGCACAGTTGGGGACTTAATAAAGCATATTTTTAAATTAATTAAGAGCACACTAACTTTAGAACTATGTCCTTTCAGAACTTTAGGGAGAATGCAGTTGGCATCAAAAAAATGATAACAAAAAATACAGTTACCAAGAATTAGAACAGGTGGCAACAACTTAAGTAGAGTGTCAGCAGCCCTGATTCTGGTTAGCACTGCTGTAAGCTAGAAGCCAGCACAAATGATTGGTCCATCACACATGGCAACATCATATTTTTAAACCACCTGAGCATGCAGTGAATGTGAAGAATGTGTTACCTTTGTTTTTAAAAGCCCTTTGGAGAATGTGGGTTTGCTGAATGCCACCTAGACCCTTCATATCATTCAACTTGCATTTGGAAAATAGAACATTTAACTGCCTGCCATTTTGATCTGCTGCTGCCAAGGAACCTATATGCTGAGGCTGCTTCAGGGGGACATTTGTGTGATCTAGCAGGTGTCTCTCTTTGAACCTATTAATTAGGAAAAGAGCAGAGGCAGATGTGATATATTAGTTGGCCCTAAGATGGATTGCTCTGAAAAATCTCATATTGGCAAGGGTGATTCAAGTTGCCAGGAATCCAAAGTTTGCTGTGTGACATCCCCAGAAGTCTGATGGGGTTTGACTGGTTTACTCCACCAAATGAAACTGCTGAGATGACTGTCTTGAGGTGATTAATAAAGTGCATAAATCTTAACTATGGGAAGAAAAGAAGATGAATTGATGGATGCACATATTGGAAATGTAATGAAACAAAATTGAAGCTACCAGGATTTGCTAATATATTACAGAAAAACAATACTGTGTTTATTGTTCTTCACTGGTCTTATTTTGTTGGCCTCAATTCCAAAATGACCAGGAAGACATGTTAGGTTTTATTTTTCATTTTTCTAGCATGGGAGACCTGAACTGGCAACAAAGTGGGAAAGTAATAATGACATCATATATATGTGCCCCTGGTATTTATTATTTTTTATTTCTCTCATGTTAATGAGGCTAAAAAATTTTTAAAAGATTGGTTCAACTTCCATCAAAGCTGCTATTGAATGCTGTTAGTAATCGTATATGAAGTTTCAGTAGTTTTTGAAGTAATTAGAACCTTGGAGCAAATAAATACTAAATGGACTCTCATCTTCAAAGTTATTTTTTCTAACTAAATAGCTCTGTTCTTGTATAATTATATACTAGTCATGAAATTAAAAATCATTTTAAATGACTAGATGCTTTTTTTAGAAGTGTTTGTTTCTTGCTAGTTATTGTGGACTAATTGTAGTTTATGAGGGTCTTCAAAACATCTGAAATTGCTGCCTTAGATTTCTAGTCTCCAAAGGTTGCAAACTTTAATTCCAATAGAAAAATACAATGATGAGGAAGAGTGTGTAAGGCAATCAAAATTAGAATTTTTGTGATTTTGAAAAAATCTGACTTTTCAAAGATCATAACAGACAGTTATGCAGGGTGATGGCATAAAAAAAGCTTTATTACCACGCGAACCTGAATTTGGCCCCAGCTCCACTAGACACTGTGACCTTTGGCATGTTATTTCATTTCTCTGAGCCTCAGTCTTGGCACCTGTAAAATGGGGATAATAAATAAGTATATTGCAGTATTGTTTTGAGAATTAAAGATAATATCTACAAAATCTTTAGCATGGAGTCCATCATCATAGTTAATAGCTAGTATTATCGTCACTTCTTTTCACCACCATTGTAATTTTTATGATATAAAAATTTACTGCTCATAGGCCCACGCTTGGTCTTCAGGACAGTCAGTCCATGACACCTTGTACCAAGGTTCTTTTTTCCAATGGCAAGTTTGTATCAGAACACGGGATTTAAATTAAACAATCCAGAAAAGCAGAAGCTTTCCATGTCATTTTCCTATCCTTAGGGGCAGCCATCAGGTTAAGCATGGGTAGAAAGTATGACTGTTTAGGCCACATATTTATTAGGGGCTTTTCCATGAACCAGCAGGCTCTCAAGAGCCTATGCACTCATAAATTCATGATGGTCCACACTTTGCCAATATCTCCCTGGGGCAACAAGGAAAACAAATGAAGTGAACAACAATCACAGAAAACCAAACCATGAAATAACAAGGAAAACCCTCGAGATGAGCCTCCTAAATGTCCCTTTCCCCCTAGTCCTTTCTTTCTTTCCTCTTAATTACAAATTGGTATCATGAGTTATACAGGTGAGTAAAAACCGGGCACCACGTGCTTCTGTCAGGAGGCAGAGATGATGAATACCATGTTCAGAATTTCTCTCTAAGTCCCGGCACTATCCCAAATATTTTTATCAATAAAAGATTTTCCTTTACTCGCCCTAGCTCTTTGCTCGGACTTCTTATTTTTCATTTTGCTGTCGGTTTAAAGAATATTCTTCCTGGCCGGGCGCGGTGGCTCACGCCTGTAATTCCAGCCCTTTGGGAGGCCGAGGCGGGCGGATCACGAGGTCAGGAGATCAAGACCATCCTGGCTAACACGGTGAAACCCCGTCTCTACTAAAAATACAAAAAAATTAGCCGGGCGCAGTGGTGGGCGCCTGTAGTCCCAGCTACTCGGAAGGCTGAGGCAGGAGAATGGCCTGAACCCGGGAGGCGGAGCTTGCAGTGAGCCGAGATAGAGCCACTGTAGTCCGGCCTGGGCGAAAGAGCGAGACTCCGTCTCAAAAAAAAAAAAAAAAAAAATATTCTTCCTTACTCAGTTTCTTGTTTCTAGGTACTAAGTTTGTTGTTTCTTACATTCCAGGCACAAAATATATATATTATCTTAAAACAACTTAATTTTACAGCTGAGAAAAAATGTGTAGGGTCATAGGAATAGTACGTGCTAGAACAAGGCAGGAATGAGTGAGGTGCTTCAGTGCACCTTCAGGCACATGAGAGCAGGCTACTTTCCTAGATGTAGTCAACATGATGGGTACAGATTTGTGATTTCAGATGAAATTCCCATTACAGAAACCAAATTTTGATTCTAAATGTAGATGCTGTGGTGGGCGTTTAAACTGTTTCCTTAACCTGACTTCTCCAAACCTCCTTTACCATTCTCAATGGAATCTACCTTGTCCTACTAGCACATAGGTGTTGATGGAGAGACACGAATCCAGCTACCTCTCATGCTTGTTTTCTTCCTCCCCTGATCAATCCCCTCCCTATTCAAAGCTTCATGGTCCTACCACGCTGGCTTCCCAGCTAAAGGGAGCATGGAGAACCCTGCCAGTTTATGACACATCGCCACAGGGGTAACGAAGAAAATGTTCTCATCTCAATAGGCTAAGGGAGTGGTAGTGTTAGCCTTTATTAGCTTTATTAAGATGCTGGAAAGAAAAAGAGGTTGGAAGGATTTCAGAAGAAAGAAGGAAGAGAGATTGCTGAGAAACAGGAAACAAACCATGCTCAGAGATGAACAAGACCCAACAAAGAAACAAGCATTGCCATCCCTAACTGCATCTCAGAGAGAAGTGCCCAACACAGCTTGCTTTCTTTTTTTTTTAATTATATTTTAAGTTCTAGGGTACATGTGCACAACATGCAGGTTTGTTACATATGTATACATGTGCCATGTTGGTGTGCTGCCCCCATTAACTCGTCATTTACGTTAGGTATATCTCCTAATGCTATCCCTCCCCCCTCCCCTCACCCCACAACAGGCCCCGGTGTGTGATGTCCCCCTTCCTGTGTCCAAGTGTTCTCATTGTTCAATTCCCACCTATGAGTGAGAACATGCAGTGTTTGGCTTTTTGTCCTTGCAATAATTTGCTAAGAATGATGGTTTCCAGCTTCATCCATGTCCCTACAAAGGACATGAACTCATCATTTTTTATGGCTGCATAGTATTCCATGGTGTATATGTGCCACATTTTCTTATATATATGTTCACCCCTTCTCCCTGACCAGGCTCAGCAAGGCACTTAGATAGCCAGCCAACTCTTTGGTCTTTCTCTAAGTATCAAAGGTTCTCACAGGGTCAGACTTTTATAGTACTTATAGCTACCAATTACTGTACACCCATCATGCACCAGATACTGGACTAAGTCCAGGACATATAGTATCCTATTCAGTCTGTTCAATAGCTCCATGAGATTGCTAAATTATTATCCCCAACTTACAGAAAAGAAAACCAAGTCACACAGTTAGAAAAGGACAGATCTGGTATTGAAACTGAGCCCCATTATTTCCAAAGCCCATGTCCATTTGTGCTATGCCACATTATCTGAAGCAAGAGTTTTTCAAGCGTGCTGTTGCACAATAGTGGGCGTTCATTGAAGGGATGGCAGTGGGGTGGGAAAGAGGTCATTTTAGGGAAGACTGTTGATGCCACAGTGACCTGAGAAAATGGCATCAGTTCCTTATTTTTTAATGACAACATTCATATTTTATTAAATATAACAAAGCTTCAAACTGCTATATGCATTATTTAGCTTTTTCTGTTTACCTATTTCTTATTTTAAAAATCCCTATATAGTCTCCAAAGTTTATATGATCACTATAACATAGGGACTATTGGATCTCTCACGGAAAGTTGATTTCAGACTCATGGGTACCCACTGTGCAGTGTGGGTAAAATGGATTTACAAACCATTCAGAGTTAGGAAATCCAACCCAGAATTCCACCCATGTAATGCATAATCTAGGCTTTTTCTTCTGGCTATTAAAAAAAGAAAGAAAGAAAGAAAACGTGGCCAAGAGCAGAAAAAGAAAAAAAAAAGTTGAATGGGGACTCAGGAGGAGCCTGCCTGGATATAACAGAGTATAAAAATGAGAGGGAACTTCGGCCGGGTCATTTGTCTGCCTGGGACCATATAGTTTCCAACAACAGATGAATTTTGATTCACTGCTTCTTCTTCTTTTTTTTTTTTTTTTTTTTTTGAGACGGAGTCTTGCTGTGTCACCCAGGCTGGGGTGCAGTGGTGCCATGTCTGCTCACTGCAAGCTCCGCCTCCTGGGTACACACCATTCTCCTGCCTCAGCCTCCCGAGTAGCTGGGACTGCGGGCGCCCGCCACCACGCCTGGCTAATTTTTTGTATTTTTAGTAGAGACAGGGTTTCACCGTGTTAGCCAGGATGGTCTCGATCTCCTGACCTCGTGATCTGCCCGCCTTGGCCTCCCAAAGTGCTGGGATTACAGGCGTGAGCCACAGTGCCCGGCCAATTCACTGCTTCTTTAAGATTCTCCTGTAGCCCATTTTCCAGAAAACAATGATGCTGTATGTATATATGTCACCTCTGGCAATTGCAAGAGCATTTAATGAATTTCACATCACCATTTCCAGTCAGTCTTGATGTTCCATTTTTGTCTAGATGGAAAGAGTAAGAGGGACTATTTCAGATTCTTTGTGTATGAAGATTAAAGGGGACAGGGATATATCAGGCAGGCAGAATCACTCACTTGTCAATCTGTGCAGATGTTCAAAACAGGATATTCTGATTCTTGTCCAATTCAGTGTGAAAATTTACAGAAGCATATTGTTATATTGTTAGAAGGGAAGTTATGAAGCCATCCCAGCCAGTTCTGCTGCAAGCCAGGTGCACACCCAAACTGTAAAAGACAAAGGGATTGGCTGATTGTTTCATCTGCCTTTAAAAAATGCAAGAAACCTGGAGCTTTCTTCATTTTATCATTAAGGTGGGCAAAAAGTGGCCATCGGGGTTATCATAATGGATCCAAAAGAATATACATGGAAGGGCATTATTTAATGAGCTTGGTGGAAGGAAGATTTGGCAGTCTTCGGAAGTTACCTTTATTTTATCCATTTTATTGTCGTGAAAGCTATGACTCAGAGTCATCTTTGCTCTTTGAAAATGAGTCCACACACCTTCTAGAATGTGATACAGTTTATTCTAGGGTGCCAGAGGACTTCTATATACCAGAAACCATTATTTCTCCACGCTTAGTATTTTTGAATGGGAACATGCTGTAATACGTGAAGTTTCTGAATGAAACTCCTAAATAATGAGAATAGAACCTTACTCTTCAAGCCCAAGTTCCCCTGTTTAATCCCATATTCATCTGCTCAATCTCCTCTATGCATACATTTGCTCTTTAAAGTCTTTGCCCATTCTGTTTCCCTCCATCTGCCTAAGTTCTAGCCATGGTACAAGACATAGTAGAAGCCCTTCCTCTTTACAGAAGGCTCATCACCAGATCCCAGGATGGATCTCCCTTCCCTGGAGTTGAGCACTTGCTTGTTCTCACTCTTGTGTTTAGCTTTATCTTGCAAATTAGTTCAGGTATGGCTTCATCTTATGTGCCGATTCAGATTGGGAATGGCCAATTAGAGGAGGATTACAAGGCCACTTACAGAGTTTGTGGGAAGAATGCTGTGATGGATTAGTCGTGTCTCTCTTGGGCATGGCAGCAAGGAATGGAATATTAAGGCTACGTACTCCCTTCTAAAACTAGCTCAGAAGTGCCTAGAAAATAAGAATCTGTTGCCTTGGGTTTTATATCTCATGCATGCCTAATTGCTCTGACCTCATAGGAGAGGTTCAGATCATATTCATTGATTGATGAATATGACCAAAAGGTGCCATTAATACGTTAGGAATAAGATCTAAATGAATCTGGAAAGCAGTATTTTGGTTTTGTCAAGAAACAATATTTCCTTGTATACATATGTAACAAACCTGCACGTTGTGCACATGTACCCTAAAACTTAAAGTATAATAAAAAAAATTAAAAAAATAAAGTACCAGAGAAGTACTATGTATTTTCCTCGGTGAGTCCTGGTCAGCTATTGAGATCATGTGAAATTCCACATGCCACTATACTTAGAACTAGATTTTATTTGTGATATGTCTAGGCCCATCGGAATTTTTCTTATTTCTGTATTTAATCCATGAAAGCAATTGTAAAGTTCATTCTACCAATGTCTAATTTGGGTTTAAATGATATAATTAAAGGAATAAAATAAAATATAAATAAATACATATGTATACATACAGCTACACACACACACATATCTATACATATATATAAATATTATGGCTGATATAAAATTAAAATGAAAAGATTGCAGGGAACCACAGCTAATAAAAACAGTCTATGTGATAAAATGTCATAATTGCTTTAAAACCTATACATCTTCCCTGTATTTCTAGTCTGAACAACTGGATGGTATCAACTTAAGCATCTGTATCCTGATCCCTGTCCAGTTTTAGCAAATTCCAATCACATTTGAGGTTCATTTTCATTTCATAAAGAATAACCACCACCACCACCACCCCAGCCCCCCTATAGTTACAGCACTCACTGCTGAGGTTAATTGCAATTTCAACTTCAACAATTTCTTGAAGCTTAAAGCAAGATATTGTGTGTTTGAAAAGCAAGAGAAATAAATTACAGGAGACCAGAAGGTAGGGTTTACACAGAAGTTACCCTTCCTTTGGACTGCAGAAGGAATAGGCAGGTGCTGGAGCTTAGCTTTCAACCAACACCAGCCTATACGAGAGCATTGAGAAGGAGAAAGCCTTTACCTACCTTGAGCCCCATGTCCTTGGCAAAATGGCGAAAACAAGGCACTTGCACTTAAATGACCCAAGTTAAAAGTTCCTCTTAGGTGTTTGACCTTAGATATATGGTATAGCTGCTCCAAACCCAGATTTCCCCTCTGAAGAAAAGAAAAAAGGGAAGTAATCATTTTTACTTACACCATAAGGTCATGATGGTCAGATGAGAAAATGGAAGTGAAAGGACCTGATGAACTGTCACTGAGGCAAATTAAGTTATTACCATCCAGTGTCATTCAGCTCCACTTGGTTACCCTCGTCTCCAAATAATTTGCCTTAAAACAGACATCATTAACATCTGTCTTCAGTGGTTATTGAGCTCATTTCTGCAGAAAGCACCTGAAGGATGCAGCCCCTGTCTGTAATAGTGGCTTTCTATCCCTAGCTGGGGGAAGCAGAGATAGAGTTTGAAATGACCCACTGGTAAGAACCAGAGATCTTAATGTAAAGAAAATAAATGAGCAAATTTTGGAGAGGGTAAAGGACATGTTAGTTTAGAAATTGGAGAAGGGCTTTTAACCATTCCTGGAATCATACTTGGTAGAGGACCTGCATTTAACTTGACCATGACTGAGGCTACTCAGCACTCTACCATCTTGTCTCAGAGCCTGGTTTAGAACTATTCCCCATGCCCACACAAAAGCAGGTTTTGAGCAACTTCTGGATTTATCATGCAATTTAAAGGGAAAACTGGCATGTAGATGACACATTCTCACTACTACTTTCTGGTCTAGGGATTGTCACTTTATGCCAAATGTCAGCAGACCTATTCCTAAAAATGTCTATATCTATTAAAAGTCATCCATTCATTCAGCAAATATTGATTGTATACCTGTTCTGGAGTCAGCACTGTGTTAGATGACAAGTCAGGAGTGAGCCAGAAGGAAACAGTCACTGTCTCATGGCATCTGCATTCCAGGCCCTCGGAGCCACTGCACACGGAAAAGCCATCGAAGGAAGGGGATCTCCTCCCCACTAGACACATGCACTGCTACAATTTCAAAGAGCGCTGGGTTCTGGACTTCATGGCATCTCAGTTCTTTCCTTCTTACTACTCATCATGTGATTGTTCTCATTTTCTATTTCCTAATCTGTGAAATTAAAGGCCAAAATGAGTTATCTAAGGATCCTTTCAATTCCAGAATAACACAATTTTTTGACTTTAGGAAAATGTGTCTCGGTTTCCATATTTCTAAAAGAGAAATGATGATATTTTCCTTGCTAGTACAACTAGCTGTTTCTGAAATTGAATTCAGATAATATGTGAATGAGTTTTAACAATATAAAGAGTCCATGTAAACTTAAGATTCTACGAAGACTATGATTAGGATATCATCATTAATATGGGACAAAAAAGGGCAGCCTTGCCATTTCCGCTTGAGGACGCAGAATACACTCTGGT
This sequence comes from Homo sapiens, assembly GCF_000001405.40. Taxonomy (NCBI): domain Eukaryota; kingdom Metazoa; phylum Chordata; class Mammalia; order Primates; family Hominidae; genus Homo; species Homo sapiens. The sequence continues at coordinate 118,280,899 of NC_000008.11, read as the reverse complement.
CACTTAAACTGAAAGCATGGAGATACCTGCCCCCATGCAGGTGGCTGACGTAGCCTGCAAATATTAAGAACTCTTACTTCTAGAGAAGCTCCCCCACCAAAATGCTGGAGGCCCAGTGCATATATAGTAATAAAGTGGAGAAAAGTCTCAGTTGCCTAATGAGAAAATCATTACCATCTATGTGTGTTCCCTGGAAGCTAGGCTCAAACCAGTTTCTCATTTCTGAAGAATGCTTTTCTCCTTCCCTTTTGCTGCTGCCTGGAGCTTGCTTTTGGAAGGTAATATACCATTGTTTTATTTCTCCTAAGTTTGATAGTCCAGAGTCATGGCTCTGGACTATCATGTATCATGTATGATAGTATTTAATGGCTCACTAAATACTATCAGCAACATTCAGGCCACCTTCGCCATATTTCTATTAATACAGAGTCTCCCTGGAGGCATCAGTGATGATAACTTTGTCCTTGATTCTATCTCACACTCAAGCTTATCCCTGCCCATGTAGCACAGAGTGGTCAAGGCAGCTGATTGCAGATAAGTTCAGTGCACTTTGAGTGACTGTGCTCCTCTCCAAATTGCTTGGCAACAAAATGGCACTAAGGGAATATTTTGTATTTACTGTGACACAATAACAACTGGACTAAAAAGAATATTTTGACTAAGAACAAGGACATTATGCTATCATTTACACAGGGGTTTGCTTTTGGAATTCCTTGGTCAGCTAAAGAAAATGTTATGGCTACTGGTGTTCTTTTATCTGAGCAATTGCAGTAGAACAAATCTTAAAAGCATTTATTGGACTCTGTCTCCCAATTCCCTACACATCACCACCACCAAAAGCTCACAATTGCCAGTCCCATTTGTAAGTGGAGAGAACGTGCAATAGTCAACTCTGAATCTCAGTAGTGTTCTTTAGAAGGGAATCATTTGCAGACCAAGAAACTTGCCAACATAGGGCATGTGCGTCCTGTGTTTTTGTGTGTTGTCTGAACTCAAGTGACCTACTTCACCAACTACCTCTTCAGTAAAGTGAATCCCACTGGGCCAGGCTGTTCATCTCCCATAATTTGCCCTGAAAAGAAACATTGAAATCTCAGATGTATGGGAAACAAGATTGTGCTGCATAGAAATCAGCAATAATGCATCAAATATGCATGTCCAGATTATAACATGAAAATAGACTTCTCACTCATTTCCTCTTATGCATATAAAGCACTGACAATGCACACCACAATGTCAAAACAAGGAAGTGGTGGGCATATTCACGATTTCAGTTCTGTATGTGACAGCTGTATTCCTGGCTACAGTTCAAAGCATAATTCAAATGTGGGCCAGAAATGAGTGATTCAAATAAAGTTTTAAAAGATACAGCATTTGCATCACTTCTCACGTAACCATGTCTTCTTAATGTTAATCACAAACATTAATGAGAAGATGGTGATATCTGATCATTACCTCATATTAAAAGACACCCAGGCACACCCAAGTTTGATCTAGATTTCCATTCCAGTAAAAAGCATGGGAAGGTGTTAGGGTATTTTTTTTTCATGTGTATTCAATTAATAATATAAGACTACTTTCCTGACCAGTAGAAAGTTTTTAAAGTAGCAGAACTAAACACCACCTGATTGTAATTTATATTTCAGAAAAATAATTGTTATGCTTTCTATTCTAGCAAAGGGAAAAATTGTCAGGGGTGAGCAATTGAGCTTTTTGACCACTTGGAATTCATCTTCGTTTTTGCATCGGAGGCTGAAGCAGCCCCAGACCCAGATGTGCAATTGGTTTCTGTTCAACTTCAACTCCTTTGGGGAAATTACACTGAATTGTGTAATTTTTTTCCTGAATGCCCAGATTATATAAACACACCCATTTCATTTTTAATAGCAGAGCTAGGGAAGCCCATTGGGAAAGCATGTTAATACTTTTTTCTCTAAATTGTATTTTGGGGCAAACCTTACACAAAGAAGGATTTAGAGCCTTTTATCACCTCGAGTATGACAACATCTTATATGAGCCACTTTGCAAATACGCATGGCTACGTGTAATGGAAACAATGCACCTTTACTTCCCTTCGCTTTGTACTGCCATATTCGTCTCTTTGATCATGTATGAAGCCTCAAAATAGAAAACTTGCCCAACTTAGTTTTGCATGTTTGTTTACTGACCCTTTAATTTTAGTCATGCAAACTCTAACCCCTTCTCATATGGCTTGAGAGTGGGCTGGCTCTAGGTATGTTACTCCAACCTGGTTTTGAGCAGAAATGGTTATGTTCCACTGGTGAGCACTTAACAGCAGCAAATAGTCAGTGACCAATGAAACTGACCAATCTGTACTTAACAGCAGCAGCTAGTCAATGACCAGTGAAAACTGGCCCGTGTCCATGGTTATGGTTTGTTCTCTAGGCTTCCCAGATGCTGAAGCTTTCTTGAATCCACTTTAAATATTCACATTCAGCTACAGAAAGGAGGACGTGTGGAAAGAGAAGAAAAGAGAGTCTTTTTCTTAACCCTTTGTCAGTGATAAAGCACAGTGATAAAATAAGGTTAGCTTATCCGTGGCACTCTTGGGTTGTTCATGAGAATTGGCAAGGTAGTCACCTTCAATAACAGTTTAGGCTCAGCCTGCAGGGCTACATGGGCTCTTGCATAAATAGGCAAACTTCATGAGATTTACTATGTGAACCAACGTCAGGAGATTTTTATGAAAGACTTAATTACTCTCACAGGTTTAAAGAGTGTTAAATCTGAGATATTTGGTCAAAAGTAAAAATGACAATTAATGAAAATTGCTTGCCACTAGAACCCAAACAAAGGCTTGCTTTGAAAGCATTTGTGTTATCACTGTTTATGTTTTCCCACAATCTGGACCCTTTCTGGAGTTTGCTACCATGTTTGCTAACAGAATGTGTGCTACCAATTAGCAGAATTCTAACCAGTGCTGGGTAAATAACTACATTGTTTGCTGTGGAAATTACCATGAAAGAGTAACCAGGATTGTTTTTCCCAGCTCTGAGAAGAATTACTCAGAGCTCTCTATCTGGTGAAAGACAGCCTGATTTAGGAGAGAGGGCAGTGACTATGGAATTAGATGGGCAATGTAATAACCTCAACATGTAGTCTCAGGTACCTCATCCATAAAATGGTAGTAGTAATAACTATTTCATGGAGTTATTATAAGGATTAAATAAAGTCAGTATATGAAAACTATATACATAATGGACAGAAAGTATTTTTTAGGATTAATTCCTTTTGTTTCCCTGATTCCTAAATAATATCATTTGAGAGTAGAATTCTGCTTTCTTTTTTTTTTTTTTTACTCAGGAGACATACAAATCAAATATATTACTTTTTCCTCTTTGTCCCAGGCCTGCATAAACCTGTTAAAACTACATAAGGAAATGATTGCATCAAAACCAAAGTATAGTCTTCTGTTTCTGGCAAGATGAATAACAAGACGTTTACAGAAAACCCTTCCAGTATGCACTTAAATATGCTAGACCATAGATACGATGACTATGATGATAAAAGATAGATGATAGATAGATAGAAAGATAGAACAGTCAAGTCAGGAAGGATCCATAAATCTCTACTTCACGGAGATAACAAACACTGGCACTAGCATTTTGTGACCAAGGTTTTTGAACTCGAACTATGCACCATGTGGGAGAGAGATGGACCAGAGTTAAGGCCTGGGTGGTGAGTGGAATAGCAGATTGAATCAGCTGTCCTTCACAAAAAACCAGAAAGCTAGGAGTCCAAAGGGTGAAATATAATAGGTGAATTAGGAAAACAAAACAAAACACAGACTGCTTGTTTGTCATGATTCCAGGTGTGGAGGGTACCTGTAGTCTAATTCCTAAGCTTGTGGAAAAAAAAACTGGAGAAAGAGAGACTTCAAAAACTGCTCAAAAAGTCATGAAAGAAACTGTGTGTGAGTGGCGCACACCTATAATCTCAGCACTTTGGGAGGCCGAGGTGGGTGGATCACCTGAGGTCAGGAGTTCGAGACCAGCCTGGTCAACATGGCGAAACCCTGTCTCTACTAAAAATACAAAACTTAGCCAGGCATGCTGTCACATACCTGTAATCCCAGTTAATTGGGAAGTTGAGGCAGGAAACTCACTTGAACCTGGGAGGCAGAGGTTACAGTGAGCTAAGATCACACCACCGCACTCCAGCATGGTTGACAAAGCAAGACTCTGTCTCAAAAGAAGTCAAGAAGAAATATAGAAAAATGAAACAAATACTACAAAACAAAAAAGTTGTAAAAACAAATCCAGATATTTCAGTCAATAAAATCAATCCAACTGTTATTGTCCTCTCCCATTAAAAGACAAAAGTTGTCAAACCAGATTAACCCACATATCCACAATCAGACAAAATCCAGCCAAATGTTGTTTATGGGACACACAAAATGGTTGAACCTAAAGGGTAGAAATTTTGTATTCCAGAAAATGAAGAACCTTCCTTAATATAATAATATCAAAAGACAGAATTAAAGGCAACAAGTAGTATACTAGAGAAAAAGAAGTGTACTGCGTTTTCTTCAAAGTTAACATTCTTCAGGCAACTATAATGTTGAATTTATGTGTACTGAATCACATAGCTCCAAATATTTAAGACAAATTAACAAAATTACAACATATACAGAAATGCACAATTCTAAAATATAGTAGGAAATTTTTGTTTTTAGTAGCATATAGAAATCTAGAACAATGCAAGGAAGAAGGTTGGCCTTATATGGAACACTATTCCAACAACTGGAGTGTAGTTATTTCTCTGAGGGGGACATAGAAACTTTATAAAAATTAATCATGTTCTGGAGCATAAGGTTTCAACAAACGTTGAAGAATCTATTTTGTATACACATGCACTCACATGTTCATCACAGCACTACTTACAATAGTGAAGACATGGCATTAACATAGGTGCCCATCAATGGTGGATTGGATAAAGAAAATGTGTTACACATACATCATGGAATACTTTGCATCCATTAAAAAGAATGAAATCATGTCCTTTGCAGCAACATGGATGTAGCTAGAGGCCATTATCCTAAGCAAATTAATGCAGGAACAGAACCAAATATCACATGCTCTCACTTCCAAGTGGGAGCTAAATGCTGGGTACTCATGAACATAGAAATGGCTACAATGGACATTGGGGATTACTAGAGAGGAGAGAGAGGGATGGGGTCAAAGACTGAAAAATTAACTGTTGGATACTGTGCTCACTACCTGGGTAATGAGATCATTTGTATCTCAAACCTCAGTATCACATAATACACCTATGTAACAAACCTGCACATGTGCCTCCTGAATCTAAAATAAAAGTTGTAATTACTTTTTTAAAAAAGCAGATTTTTGCATGTGAGTGAGTTTTATCAAGTATTCCATTCCAAAGCATGTAAATTATTTTAGATAATAGAAAAAGAGAGAATTTCCCCAAACTTATCTTACAAGGGCAGTATTAACCTTGGATCCAAAACTAAACACAAGCAGTGTAAGAAAATAAAATTACCTATTATTCAAATACTTAGAACATTAACAAGTAAACAGAATGTTAACAAGCCATCCTAAGAATTGGTTTTTTAATTGATAGAGCTAAATTTGGGGTTATCCCTGAAAACAAAATTAGAAAATTGTTCATCATATCAACTTACTAAAGGAGAAAAACTGTGTAATCTCAATAAATATAAAAAAATTATTCTATAAAGTTCTACAACCATTCATGATAAATTTTTAACAAAACTATGAATAGATTGGAACTTCCTTAACCTGATAAAGTATGTCTACAATAGACATAGAGCAAACATCACTCTCAATGGTGAAATATTTTTAAAAGCCCCTTCAAAATTATGAACAAAACAAGGATGCTTGCTATCACAACATAGCATAATATCAGTGTAATTTTGGAAGTTCTAGCCTATAGAAACATGGGATAGAGCATAACTTGTACACCAGGAGACATGCACAAGAATATTCATAGCAACTTTGACTTTCATAGCTGTAAACTGAAAATTACCCAATTATCCTTTGACTTAGAATTGATAAATCAATTGTGATGTCTTTATAAAATGGCCTCCTATATAGGAGGAAAGCAAATGGACCATATCTATGTGTTTGTCCACATGGATGAATACTGTGGAGCAAGAAAGCTAATCACAGAATACACATACTGTAACATTCCATTTATATGCAGTTTATATACAAAGTTTACAAATAGGAGCATTTTAATGTATATTTGGAAAGATATATGTATGTAAATTGTAAAGAAAAGTAAATCATTAACACAAAATTCAAAGTCTTGGTTACATCTGAGGAGAGCATGGGAGGGATGGAATCAGGGAAGGGCTTGTATACAGTTTTCTCTATGTTAAGCTCGTAATAGATACACAGGCATTTATTGTTCTTAGCTAGACTCTACACTCTACATTTTGTATTGTCTGTCATTTCGTAATGTATAAAACAAAACATCATTATGAATGTGGATGGAATACACATTCTTCCTTGATATGTTGTCCTATTTCTCTGTCAAAAGCATCATTTCTCGAAAATTGCCAAAGCCATATGCAGGAAACCTCACAGAGTAATGACTTCAGTATTTTCCTTTTGTGCTTATTTGGTCAAATAAGAATTTGACCAAATTCTCCTATTTTATTTTTCTTCACATTCTTCTGTGTCCACACTTTTACTTATACTGGAATCATAGGTTCATGTCATGCAGCACTCTTAACTATATGCTCAACTTGGTCATCTACAAATTTCTTCCCTGAGCTACTTCCTTGTCTATAAAGCAGAAAATGTAATACCTGCCTCATACTACAGGAGTAAAAATTAAACAAAATGATATCAGCCTGTAATTTAGTGAGCACCAAATAAACATTAACTAATATTGATTAAGAAATGCAATACCTTACGTTGAGTGCAGCGCAATGATGGGCACAAAGTAGACACTGGATAGATCACAGCCACTCTTAGTGTCATGGATCCAGGCCTTGCTTGTTTTACTTTTATCTTGATCTCCTGGAGACAACTGTTCCTACCTGAGGACTGTACTTGTTTCCATGATGCTATTTCCACAGGATACATTCCTTGAGGCAGGTTCTCCAGTTTCCCATCTGTGTGCCTGTACTCACTAATACAGCTCACTGTTGCTGGGGTTCAGAATGTTCACTGGATTGAATCAACCCCTCCGCCCTGCCTTCCTTTAAGGCCATGTATTGACAGTCTGTTTCACAACAATCCTTATCCAATGTCTCAGAGTTCATCATGGGGCCACTCTGGGAGGGTCTCCCGAACTCTGAGCTGTACCTTCCCCCATCTCTTAAGCTGTTTAACCAGCTACTTTGTCCAGTCTGTTATTGTGGATCTTTCTCTTAAATAAAATTCAGTGGGGAAACTTATATAAAAGCTGCTATTACACAAGTGACATATGAGAGATCTTCAAAAATTATTTTTGTTTCACTCCCTGATATGGTTTGGCCGTGTCCCCATCCAAATCTCATCTTGAATTTTTGCTCCCATAATCTCCATGTGCCATAGAAAGGATGTGGTGGGAGGTAATTTAATCATGGGCGTGGTTACCCTCATGCTGTTCTCGTAATAGTGACTGAGTTTCACAAGAGTTGATGGTTTTATAAGGGACTTTGTGCAGCACTTCTTGCTACCACCATGTGAAGAAGGACATGTTTTCTTCCCCTTTGCTTCCCATTCTTCTATGATTGTAAGTTTCCTGAGGTCTCCCCAGCATGCTGAACTGTGAGTCAATTACACCACTTTTCTTTATAAATTACCCAGTCTCAGGTATGTCTTTATTAGCAGCATGAGAACAGACTAATACAGTAAATTAGTATGGTAGAGGTTGTGCCGCTATAAGGATACTTGAAAATGTGGAAGTGACTTTGGAACTGGGTAACAGGCAGAGGTTGGATCAATTTGAAGGACTCAGAAGAAGACAGGAAAATGTGTGAACATTTGGAACTTCCTACACACTTGGAGAGCTCAGGAGACAGGCAGATGTGGGAAAGTTTGGAACTTCCTAGAGACTTGATGAATGGCTTTAACCAAAATGCTAATAGTGATATGGACAATGAATTCCAGGCTGAGATGGTCTCAGATGGAGATGAGGAACTTGTTAGGAACAGGAGTAAAGATGACTCTTGCTATGTAAAGGGACTGGCAGTATTTTACATCTGGCCTAGAGATCTGTGGAACTTTGAACTTGAGAGAGATGATTTAGGGTATCTGGCAAAAGAAATTTCTAAGCAACAAAACATTCAAGAGGAAGCAGACCATAAAAGTTTGGAAATTTTGCAGCATGACGATGCAACAGAAAAGAAAACCCCATTTTCTGGGGATAAATTCAAGCCAGCTGCAGAAATTTGCATAACTAACAAGGCGCCAAATGTTAATCACCCAGACAATGGGTAATATGTCTCCAGGGTAAGTCAGAGACCTTCACTGCAGCCAGCCCCTCCCATCACAGGCCCCAGGCCCAGAGGCATAGGAAGGACACATGGTTTGGTAGGCTAGGCTCAAGGCCCCCACTGCTGTGTGCTGTCTCAAGACTTGATACCTTGTTTTCCAGCTACTCCAGCTATGGCTAAAAGGGGTCAAGGTACAGCTCAGGCTCTTGCTTAAGAGGGTGTAAGCCCCAAGCCTTGGCAGCTTCTATGCGGTGTTGAGCCTGTGGGTACACAGAGATCAAGAATTAAGGTTTGGAAACCTCTGCCTGGATTTCAGAGGATGTATGGAAATGCCTGGATGTCCTGGCAGAAGTTTGCTCCACGGGCAGAGACCTCATACAGAATCTCTGCTAGGGCACTGTGGAAGGGAAATATGGGATCGGAGCCCCCACACAGAGTCCCCACTGGGGCACTGCTTAGTGGTGCTATGAGTAGAGGGGCACTGTCCTACAGACCTCAGAATTGTAGATCCACTGACAGCTTGCACTGTGAGTCTGGAAAAGCCACAGGCACTCAATGCCAGCCCATGAAAGCAGCCAGGAAGTGGGGGGCTGTACTCTACAAAGCCACAGGGGCAGAGCTGCCCAAGGCTGTGGTAGCATCAGTGTCTTGCATCAGTGGGAGCTGTATATAAGACAAGGAGTCAAAGGAGATCACTTTGGAACTTTAAGGTTTAATGACTGCCCTATTGGATTTCAGACTTGCATGAGGCCTGTAGCCCCTTTGTTTTGGCCAATTTCTCCCATTTGGAGGTTGTATTTACCCAATGCCTTTACCCCCATTGTATCTAGAAGTAACTAACTTGCTTTTGAGTTTACAGGCTCATAGGTGGAAGGGACTTGCCTTGTCTCAGATGAGATTTTGGACTTGGACTTCTTAGTTAATGCTGAAATGAGTTAAGACTTTGGGGGACTCTTGAAAGGATATGTTTCTATTTTCAAATGTGAGGACATGAGATTTGGGAGGGGCCAAGGGTGGAATGATATGGTTTGGGTGTGTCTCCATCCAAATCTCATCTTGAATTGTAGTTCCCATAATCCCTGCATGTCATGGGAGGGAATTTGTGGGAGGTAATTTAATCATGGGGACAGTTACCCTTATGCTATTCTCATGATAGTGAGTGAGGTATCATGAGAGCTGATGGTTTTATAAGAGGCTTTTGCTCGGCACTTCTCTCTCCTGCTACCATGTGAAGAAGGACATGTTTTCTTCCCTGTCCACCATGATTATAAGTTTCCTGAGGCCTCTCAGCCATGCTGAACTGTCAAGTCAGTTAAACCTCTTTCCTTTATAAATTACTCAGTATCAATTAGCAGCATGAGAATGGACTAATATACCCCCTCTTAGCCTCACATTCTTTCTATGCATTCAAGCAGTTTGCAGAATTCCAACAATGAATTCTGTAAGAAGAGACATAATAACTTCCCCATGCTCCATTTGGTTTAAACTTGGAGCTCCTGTGACCCTCACTTACCCAATAATTATATTCAAATGATGCAGTAACCCCTTGGACTTCTCATGTTATAAATATTTTATCTTATCTCTTCTTTATGCTTGTTTGTTATTTATTCATTTGCTATGCATTCTTTCTCACTGTGATATAGGATATATGTGTTGTTGTCTTTTGGATTATAAGATCAAATGCATGATCTAGAATATGGTCATAGATGTGCAGATGAGATCACTAGGAAAGATTGTCTTATGACTGTGTCATTAATTTCCCCTGTAATATCCAAGCACTGGAAAGTACTAAAAGCACACATTATGTTCTGTGACTCCCCAACTCCCCCTAAAAAGCCTAAATAAAAATGAGGAATGTTTTCTTTCAATGTGCTACATGTACAGCAAAAGTAAAATCCAAATAAACATTTACAAGAGAAGGCTGAAAACTCAAGACCATCATACCCTGTGGGGAATTTACAATCTAAATATAACAAACATATAGAGTGAGATAGGAGAAAAGAAACGGGATGGTAATGATATTGCTGGTACTAAAGTCTATTCAGGAAATGGAAATATATAGCAAGAGGACTCGGCTACTTCTTGGGCATTGATCAAAGAAAAATACACAAACATATAAAAGGAAAGAAAAGTCGTTTTATTTTATAACATTTTCCTTCTGATTCTAGGTGATTATATAGCTAGTCTACTCTTCCACCCCCAAGATTCTGGGGTATTTTGGCTAATGTTATTTGCAATGTCCATAAACTCAGAAGAAGTTAGTATTAACAGGGATATGAAAGAACCTCCAGTTATTGTGCAAGAAACCTCAAATCCATTTAGGGAGCAGACAGTTCATAGGAATTGTGAAGCAGCTCAGCCATGTTTCTGTGATAGGAAGTAACAATTACTGCAGAAAACTCTAACTTATTTTCTCCTCTTCCACCATCGTTAAAAGCAATCACATTCAAAAAATAAAATTTATTGTGGCAGACACTAAATATGTCTGCTGACCCCAGTTTGCAAGCCTAACAACTCCCATTGCACAGATGAGATATGACTATAGTAGTGATGATTTACCTAGCCAGGGTTGCGCACATTGGGTGGAGATGAGTCTTGGATCCAGATCTGTACACAAAGATGGATTCCATCTGCAACTAGGAAGGAAGGGGGGTGCAGGTGTTTTATGCAAACAATTCTTGCTAACTGGAATAAAACAAATTAGATGAGAAGAATGTAGAAGTTTTGTAAACACTACCAGAGTATTGGGGTCAATAAAAGAGACCAAAAACCTGATTGAATAAAACGTCTTGCTTCCACCTCATTGCATCCTTGTCCATATTGATCAGCTGTAATAGAGCATGACAGAAGGTATTGATTGACTGAGGCAACTCTCAGGTATTTGGAACCTGAAAGCAGCCATAGACTATCAAGAAGGCAATGCTCTATGGAAGCCTAAAATTAGAAAGGTTAAGTGAAAAGGGGGCCTGGGCATAAGGTGTTCAATATCTACATCAATCTGGCAGATGACTTACTTGAAGCAGAATGGGCCTCATTTTCTTCACATATAAGTTACAAATAAACATGTTGGTTATTGTCTTATAAATAGCTGTTGATAAAATGCCTGCTTAAAGTATTTTCCTAGGTTTCTATGATATTGATTTCTAAAACATTCTCAAAAACAGCGAAAGCAGGTCGAATGCACACTTCTACATTTGTTTCCTGCTTACACACACACACACACACACACACACACACACACACACACAGAGAGAGAGAGAGAGAGAGAGAGAGAACAAAAGCAAAGAAGAATGTGAAAGGCATAAATCCACCAAGACATGGAAAATAATAGGAAAGAGGACAGTGCAAAAATTTGGAGAGCTGGAAGGAAATAGATACATTAGCAAGATAATGATATCTGAGCTAAAATAAAGAAGATTATTGGAAAGTTTGAGAAACAATCAGATCCCCACATCCTTTCTTTTACTCTCTATATTCAGGAGACTACCACGCTCACACTCGGGTTGGTGGCTGAATATTTATCCTAAAGAAGGTAGAATAGAGTCTCTGAGAATGGAATTCACCAGTCATATCTGAGAGCAAGGCTCCAGGAGAGACTTCCCCAGGAAGATAAAATTGATAAAATACCAGAATTATGGAGCATGTTCTTTTTTTTGAGACAGAGTCTGGCTTTGTTGCTTAGGCTGGAGTGCAGTGGCACGATTTCAGCTCACTGCAATCTCCACCTCCAACGTTCAAGTGATTCTCATGCCTCAGCCTCCCAAGTAGCTGGGATTACAGGTGAGCACCACCACGCCTGGCTAATTTTGTATTTTTAGTAGAGATGGGGTTTCACCATGTTGGCCAGGCTGGTCTTGAACTCCCAACCTCAGGTGTTCTGCCTGCCTTAACCTCCCAAAGTGCTGGGATTACAGATGTGAGCCACCACGCCAGGCCCTGAATTATGGAACATGTTGAGAGAGAATTTAGACAACTGGTATAGAGTTTGGGGCTGAGTTGGTGATAAGTATTTAAAAACCAAACAAATTAAAGAACAAGATTATCATTGCTTCCCAGAAAAACAATAGTCATGCAGGAAAGGAATTATGATGATAGTTTACTTCATTCTCAGCCTTGGATAGCATTTAAATAGTCAGTGCTGAAGAGTAAACACTAAATATTGATTTAATGAAAATTACTGTATTGAGATGAAAGTAGGGAATGGGAAGGAGAACGTGTGTGATAGAAGTGGAGGGAGGAAAGTTAAATCCTCTGCTTTCATAGTGAGAAGTAGCAATCATTTAGAGATATGGAGAGATATGCCAAAATAATCAGTTAACTAGGTTAGGGAGCAGAAGGAGGGATGTTGTAGGATTTCTTTCTTTCTTTTTTTTGTTTGAGATGAAGCCTTGCTCTGTTGCCCAGGCTGGAGTGCAATGGCATGATCTCGGCTCACTGCCACCTCTGCCTCCTTAGTTCAAGCTATTCTTCTGCCTCAGCCTCCCAAATAGCTCAGATTACAGGCACCTGCCACCATACCTGGCTAATTTTTTTTATTTTTAGTAGAGACAGGGTTTTGCCATGTTGGCCAGGCTGGTCTCAAACTCCTGACCTCAGGTGATCCACCAGCCTCAGCCTCCCAAAGTGCTGGGATTACAGGTGTGAACCACCATGCCCAGCCTTTAGGATTTCTTTATAGCAAACCTTGTAGAGAAGTTTGATTCTTTTAAACTGTAAGCCTGTATATCTTTAAATACACACACACACACACACACACACACACACACAACAGATGGGAAATGCTGGCAAACTGTATAGCATAATAAAGGTTTTCAAACTCATTAATAAAAATAAGATGGAAATATGTGCTAAAAAGCCAAATCAGTGAGAATATTTGACTCAACACCAGAGGTGAGGAGGAACCAAGAATTTGTTTCTCCCCATCTCATCTTTCCTAGCAAACCCACTCTGTCCACATGCTATTGAGGTGATGCCTTCATGTTGAGCTGATGAAATGATGTACCCCAGCTTGGGAATGGTAGGAACCATATGTCTTTGGCCTTCTCAGAGCATTTTTTTAAACAGGTTTTATTTATCCTCCACTCTTGGTTTTATTTCTTTAGGATAATTTTTGATCTTTCAGGTAGCAAAATTATTTTCTGAGAATCATGGCATCATAAAGACTTGAGAAATTCTTGGGCATTTATGAAGTCTAGTAACCTACCTTCTTCAAAATGAATAGGGTATATATATGCCTTTTTCTTAAAAAGGCTGAGGTGGAGGAGGGAAGAGTAAATTGCTCATGTACCCTAGTAACTTACATTATATGATGTTTTATGGTCTTCATTATGGAGCTCTATGGGTTTTGGCTTTTTAACTGACAAGTACAAAATGTATATGTTAGTACAGCATGATATTTTGATATATATATATAAAACAGAATGGCTAAGTCAAGCCAACTAACATGTATTATCTCACAGTTACCATTTTTTGTGGCGAGAATGCTTAAAATATACTTTCTTAGCAATTCCCAAGGATGCAATGTATTGTTATTAACTGTAGTTACCATGTTGTACAATGGATCTCTTAGATTTATTTCTCCTGTTAAATTAAATTTTTTATCATTTGACCAGTATCTCCTCAACCCCTCCACCCCCTAGCCTCTGGTAACTGTTACCTTTTTACTCTCTACTTCTATGAATTTCCATTTTTTTAATTCCACAAATAAGAGAGATCATGCAGTATTTATCTTTCTGTGGCTGTCCTATTTTACTTAATGCAATGTCCTCCAGGTTCATCCACATTATTGCAAATGACAGGATCTTCTTTTTTAAAGACAAATAGGATTGCATTGTGCATATATACCACATTTTCTTTATTTGTTCCTCACTGACCAACACTTGGTTTGATTCCATATCTTGCCCTTTGTGAATAATGCTGCAATGAACATGGGAGTGCAAATATATCTTCAACATACTGGTTTAATATCCCTTGAATATATGCCCAGAAGTGGGATTGTTAGATTATATGGTAATTCTACTTTAGATTTTAAGGAAGTTCCATACCATTTTCCATACTGGTTGTACTAATTTACATCCCCACCAACAGTGTGCAAGGGTTTTCCTTTCTCCACATCCTCACCAATATTTATCTTTTGTCTTTTTAATAATAGCCATTCTGACAGATATGAGGTGTGATATGGTTTGGCTTTGTGTCCCCACCCAAATTTCATCTTGAATTGTAATCCTCATGTGTCAAGGGACAGACCTGGTGGGAGGTGATTGGATCATCAGGCAGTTTACTCCATACTCTTCTCGTGATAGTGAGTGAGTTCTCACAAGATCTGATGGCTTTATAAGGAGCTCTTCTACTTTCACTCACCACTCTGTCTTGCCTGCCACCATATAAGACATGCCTCTTTCCCCTCTGCCATGATTGTAAGTTCCCTGAGGCCTCCTCAGCCCTTTGGAATTGTGAGTCAATTAAACCTCTTTTCTTTATAAATTACCCAGTCTCAGGTATGTCTTTATAACAGTGTGAAAATGGACTAATAAAAGGTGATATTCATGTACCTTATTGTCTTATATTGTATGATGTCGTACAGTCTTGGATATGCAGCCCTATGGTTCTTCACCTTTTTTTCAATCATGTGACTTTTAATCTCATTAAACCTGTAAACCTTCCCTTCAGAAAAATTCCTATATACAAATTTTACATATACTTTAAGAGAATCACAGGTTCTCTTGATGCCCATTCATGGACCACTTAAGTATCCATGAGCCTATTATAAGTCTGATCCCTATTATTTATCATACTAGATTCTAAATTAGTGTTGAAATAAATGACTGAATGATCCAAAGAGAGGGAATCTAGTTCCAACTGATTTATTTGGTGAAAACAAGGACACACAGCCAATACACTATTTTATCTTACATCTTTGATATTCCTCTTGGAATAAGGGTAACTCATTCTGGATCACTTTCCTTTATTGCATTTTGGATTGTGTCTGTGCTTGTATTCACCTCCATTCATCCTGAAGCAATACATAAAGAATGTCTTCTCTACTGTTTAAACTCCTGAATTTCCATCCTCAACTTGTAAAAAAATCACCCTCAACAGTATGTCTTGCCATTCTAAAATAAATAAATAAATAATGCTTTATTATGCCTCATTTGTTCTACATATTCAAGACTGCCATATGGCTTCAATGGATGTCTAGTGAAAATATATCTAATATCTCATAAAACCTACATAAAGATGTCAGATGCCCATAATTAAAGATGAATCCTCTTTGAGATATTGCTTTACCAATTAGCCACCTGGAGCTGTCTGGCCAAGTCCTAACCAATTAGCCAGTTGTGGGTGTTTTGAAGATGTACAAGTCCTAAGGAGAGTTGGGAATACTTAGCAAGCTTAGTAGCGATGATAGTGCTAAGATAACTGAATCCAGGATGTTCTCATTATGAAAATGCCTCATTGCAGTGCAGTTCCACTCCCTCAGGAAATCACCATTGGAAGTACCTGAGCAACATTACCTGAGCCCTGCCCTTCGCAGGATAAGAGAACTCGCAGTCACCATGTAAGGAGCAACAGAGTAGATAGAAGTCTTGAGAAGGTGCTTGCTGAATTCACCTTGCTCTGTTGGTGATCTCTTCCTTTCTATAAAGGACAATCATGTCTCAGTTTAGGTTCTCCACTTGCTATGCTGTCACATCTACAAAATGTCATTGTCACTCCCTTGTCCAACAGTTCTCCAGCCAGGTAGGAGCCACTGAGTGATATGTAACCTTTGGTGTGCCTTGCCTCTGGGAGCAAGTGTAAGACAATGCAGATGCCAGGTCCCGTTCCCAGAGACTTCCATCCTCACTCTAGCACATTTACTTCATGTTCTGTTTTCCCCTGGCATTTCACCTTCACCCATTTCACTCTTGTGCAGATGGCAGCAATATTACTTTTCCCTCTAGTGGTTTTCCCAGCCAGCTTTAGAGAACCGTCAGCTCTGAGTATCCCAAAGACTCTGTGACAGGTTACCAGGGCTTGCAGAATGTTTTCTAGAAAAACAATTTTGTCTTCCCTTTTTGGCTTTAAAATCAAAAACACTACTCCAGTACCTGATTATTCATGTCATTAAAGTGGAATATGAGAACATTCTTTAGTGCAAAAAATTTTGTAAAAGATGGCTAGCAGTCCAGGATTTGAGAATATCCTTTAGTGGGACTTGGGAAGGACAGAGAGAGGTGGAGGAGGATATATGAGTATTTGTACTACATAAACACATTCAGAGGGTGGTAAAGATGCCAATACAACAAAAGCTACAAGGATGGTTATCCAGGAACTATTTGCCTTATCTTTATAGAGTTAACTAGAAGATTGTGTTGATGCTTGCAAGTGTTCTTAAGAAATAGAGTAAGAAAGTTGGACATGAGACCAAAAATAAACCTAAAGCTTATGTTTAGAAACAACAGAATGTTGTACTATTTCAATTGCAATGGAATACAACTATGCTTTCACGAAGTAAAGGAGGTCTCAAATTGCATGATGAAAACCATCATCTCATGGCTAAGGAGAGGAGTGTTGGGTGCATTAGCAGTTTGTGGAAGCTTTATAAGGACTGTTTATGCGTTTACTGTCAGCACCTTGACTGAGAGCACCATTTCCATCTCCACTGCCTGACCACAGGGCCAATTGCTGTCCACATCACTAGAGCTGCCTATATGTGAGCAAGAGTGATTATTCAGCATCTTCTGGGCACTTACATATACAATTCTTCCATTGTATTTTCACATAGGCTCCTCTCATGTTTGTTGGAGTCTTTCTTCTGTAATTGCTCGGCCTTCACCATGGAATTCTTAACATTCTAGAAGCTAGCAGCAATGTCTTTTTTTATTTTTTTTACTCCCCATCTTTCAGTGACATTTAGGGCAGCAGTGTGAGTAAAAAGCCAGCCTGTAAATGTAGATATTGACTCACTAATAGATTTTTTTCTGGGGTACATTTGTCTGTGCCTCTAAACCAAAATCTCTTATTTAACTTCAGTAAAACGTGTGTCTGAAGAGTTTCACATTTCCCAATATCCAATACTTAAAACAATGCCAGACCCCTAAAAGCACCTGATTTTCTTGTTCTAGTTTTGTTCTACTACATTTGACAGTGAAAAATCTCATCTTTCTCTACCTTCTGTTATTGTTTTTATGTGTCCACACATAAGGATTAAAATGAACATTTATTTGAATACTTCACTTTCGTGAGGTTTTATTCTTAAAACTTTACAACTTGTCTTCCAACCGTCGCCTAAATGAAGTAGAGACATTTTGCAAACAGGAAAACTAAGAAAGGGCATTTCACCCAAACTGCTTTAAAATATCAAAAAATATAGCTGGAGAGGGAATGAGAGATAAAACAAGGGTGGCAGGCACTGATGGTTGTTGAAGCTGGGCAATGGGCAATGTGGGTTCATAGTACTATCCTAATTTTGTATATGTTTGAGAGTGTCAATAAAGCAAAAGTTTTAAAATTATAAAAATAAAACTAATGAATTAAAGAAAACTTTTCAGAAGAAGTAAACCTCTTCTATGTCTAATCTTGGGTTAAAGTTATTTGAGTGCCTCCCCCAGTATAGAAAATACTCATAACAACTGAGCTCTATTCTAGAAGCCTATTAAAACCTTGGGTAGTATGTTTCCAACGATTATTACCTACCATGGCCCTAAAGTCTTCAGATCTCCCTTAGTTTTCCTCCTGAGTATTCCACAGAAGCCTATTTTGTACCCCAGGAAGACATAAGGAGAAGTCATTTCAATGCCATGAAATAATCTTTGTCTTCTGTTCAGTTGTGATTATTTTCCAGTAACTTTTCTTCATTGTAAACTGCTTCTTTTCCATGTTGTCTGTGCCGCCACCTCATTTTCTTGTTGTTAACTGAAGAATTGCTCGCCTTTATTTAGACTTCAGATGGGCATCTGCTTTATACTGTTCCATCTGTTCTGCATTGTAGTTTCTTTGTAATATATTAGGTGCAGGGTAACATTTAAAGAGACAGTCAAGTTAGCATGGCCCTTGAGGTTTCTTTCTCTTATGGGGAAGTTTCCTAGACTGTTAACAGAAATGTAAATGGTGTTTTGTTTCCATGCTGAAATCACTTTGTATTTGAAAATGTGTGAAATTGTTTCTCTTTTATTCTTTTTTTCTTGGCCTTGGTGTCATCTCAAAACTAAGTGACTTGGTCTCCCTGGACAGACTGTGAAAAGTCAAACACCTCCACACCAAAATAACTGGTATATAGTGGGTTGAAAATTAAAAAGTTCCTGTGGATTCACCTGCCTCCCTTTGAGACAAGTAGTGAGTGGCTGTTGATCAGATGAAGGAGAGTTCCAGCCTGTGACTTCTGAGTCAGTACACTGGGATTCAAATCCTGCCTCTGTCTGTATTCACTTAACTTGATTTCCTCCAGATTTGTTCATGTTGTTGCAAATGACAGGAATGCATTATTTTAAGGCTGAATAGTATTCTATTATGTATATATACCACATTTTCTTTATCCATTCATCTATTGTTGGATACTCAGGTTGATTCCCTATCTTGACTATTGGAGAAAAAAAAAAAAGATGTCAATTTAAAAAAGAAAAGAAATTGCAAATCCTACCTCTGCAACTAGACTCCACCAGGTTCAGCTCTGTGCTCCATAAAATGACAGGACTATTACCTACCTTGCAGTATTGTTGTAAAGACATCCTTTGAAAAGGTTCCAGTATAGGACTTGTCACCTATTTCAAAAACTTTATAAATGGTCACTAGCTATCATTACTATTAACTCTGCCAGTCACTGAGAGCATGGGAAAGTAAAAAAAAAAAAAAAATCATGTGTTTTCTTGGTTGCCAAATTAAGTTGAAACCAATTTTCACATTAACAGCAGGCATTTGCTAACTAAGAAAACACAGCTACCAATGATGTTCCAAAAGATGGTCTTTGAGTCTGACGATCATTTAATGTGTCATATTCAATTTGGGTGGAAACTTTTGCTGAAATGTGAGAGTCTTGTTGAATTTAATTTTTCCTTTCTTGTCTCCCCAAGTGTCATTATGTGTATCCTCAGAGGTAGAAGTTTTCTGACTGGGGCTTGGTTAGGACAGAAATTTCATGCTTTGATTTTGCTTTGTGTTTGAGGTTAGCAGTGAAGAATTCAGGAGAAGAATTGTTGGATGCTCTAGGGAAAAGTGTAGACGTCACCTTAGTTCTGTTATCTGTAAAATTGAAAATGACAAAGTACAGCAGTGCTAATAAGTGGTGCTGTATTTAGTTGAGCTAAAAAAATAATAATAATTCACTACTTCTGAGGAAATCGGAGCCTTTGATGAAAACAGCTTTTTGACAAATGAAAAATTTTAAGACTAAAATTTTATTGTAACATCTGTATTCACTCATTTACGCTTTTAACAAACGTTTGTTGAGCATCTTCCCTGGGCCAGGCACTTTGTTAGAGACTGGAATACTAAAATGAGTAAGACTGTTGTGAAAGGAAAGAGAAGGCTCAATTTAATTCTATAATTTGATAAGAGTTTCAGAAAGGGGCTGATTGCAAATGTATAGACTGGATTTAGATGAAGTCACAAAAGATGGTGCAGTACCTCAGGGGTCATAACAGCGGGGAGCTGTTACCACTCCTTGGTCTAACTGAACAAAGGGAAGGGGTGTGTCCTTCGACCTGGAGAGAGACCAGTATGAAGAAAGTCACCTCTGGGAGATGCAGGCAACACAGGATAGCCTGCCAAGGAGGTGGCTAAAGAGGATAGACTCCAATGTCACTCTTCTCCTGCCTTCTGAAACTCCTGCTGGTACTGCCCATCAGCAAATCCCCACTGGGAGGTAGAAGGAAAGGGTAATCATTAGTACAATTCACAGAGGTCAGGCCTCCAGGGCATGCAGCAAGGCAGAAAAGTTGGAGAAGGGAACTGGAAAGAGCAAAGGGAAGAATCCAGCACAACTAGGAACTCCCTCAGGATACTCTATACTTGGTGCAATGGTAGAAGACTGACACACAAGCAGATACTTTTTAATAATCCATAGTAATTAACATACTGATATTTACAAAATAACATAATAACATAAGAGCCCAGATAATAGAGCTACTAGCTTCAGTATTAGAGGGCTTTATTCTGCATCTCAAAAGATGAGTATGAGTTTTTCTGCTGATGGGAGAAGGAGGAAGAATATCATAAGGGACAAAAAAAGGCAAATCCATAAATCACATAAATATATAAAGCTTATTTAGAAATCATCAGGATGACCAAAGCATAAGGTATATGGAACACAGGTATATGGGTTTGGGATTTTGTGAGACTTTGTTTTGATTGTTGGAGAATATTACCCAGAACCACCACACCATGTTTAATACGCAAGTATAAGCTACTTGTGACCTGCCAGCTTCCTGAGAGGAGACGTCTGTTTTGTTCACCACTGTGCATGCAGCACCTAGAATAACATTTGGCATGTGTGAGGAGCTCAATAGCTACTTGGAAAATAGATGAACTGGCAAACAAAAGAACTCCTCTATCTGAATCTAAGTCCCATGTATTTATTTTAATGTATTAACATTAAACTTGAAATGTACTAGCAACCAATACTATGTTGATTCTTCCTTTTTTGTTCTAGAAATAAGCAGGTCTAAAGAACGGTGGTTTTGTGAAACAGGTACAAAGTGGGGAGTAAGGACATCTCTTTTTCACTGGAAACATCATTTAGCCTTCTGTTTCTCAGCTCTCCTAGTACAGTAAAATTGAACTCTCTCCCTCAGCTATCTCCTGAGGTAATCATGAAAATCAAATGAGATCAAAGGGACCTTGACAGGTGAAAAGTGCTGGACAGATAGGATGCAGAGATGCCTCCTCCTTCAGCAACAATAGAAACTGAGAGGGGCCACATAAGCGAATTTTTCAAATGATTAAATTGTGTTCCACTAAACCAGGGTTTCTCAGTCTCATCACTGTGCGCACTTAGGGTCAGAGACTTCTTTGTTATGAGGACCTGACCTGTGCACTGTAGGATGTCTTGCAGCATCCCTAGCCTCCACCCACAAGATGCCATTGGCACTACCCCACTGCCATTCCCAGTTGTGATAAGCAAAAATGTCTCCAGGCATTACCAGATGTCCCTTGGAGGGCAAAATTGTCAAACCACTGCATTAAGCATTCTTTTTCAATCTTAACCATTCTATGGAAATCTTTCTAGAATATGTTGGTCACATTTCTGGCCTGTTAGACATAGGCTCCTGGATTGTTAAGCTAGAGTACTGGCTGGAACAGTTATAACAGCTTCAAGACCTGTTAGAATGATTTGCCTACATCTCTAGTCCACTATGCTTCTGTAGGTCCTGTGTCTGTGTTTCACGGTTTTTGTTTTCACTCTCACTCACCCTGTGTGGCTGATAGCTGTCATTTCCGTATAAGTATCAAAGTGTACTAATTTGCTATTTCTAGTCTGCTGAGGATTTTTAAAGTGGTCAGCCAGCTTTTCATAGAACACATCTAAAATGAGAATCCACAGTCCCTGAGTTTGGGCCTGGGTGTGCAGGGGCCTGGCAGATGAGCGTGGTTTATTTGAGTCAAGCAGAGGCCTTCTCATTTCTCAATTCTCAACTCCTTTCCTCTTAGAGGCTTCTGCCAGGCAAAGCTGGTATCACTGCGATTACTATTAATGTCACTTTATGGTGTTACCTATATCGACTTTCCCATATCCTCAATTTAGAGTAAGGGACAGATGGAACGTCTGATAATAGTTCAAACATTCCCATCATTTGTAAACAGACCTTTCAGGGAGTAATTAGTCTTATTTTGCCACCACCCTTTTTACTCCTGCTTCCATGTAGAAATCATATGAGGGGGGGTAATGGATCAGGTATATGATCTATGAGGCTACACAGAACCTGGTATAATCTAGGCCAATAAGATATTCTTTGATATTTTAAGTAAAATTCAGTGTATTAGCACCTAACATAGTGGCATGGTGCCAGGCACATAGTAGGCACTCAAATAATAACAATAATTGTGGAAGGAAACATATGAATGAATGACAGAAATATAGTCTAACTCCCCAATCACCAATATGAATAAACTCATGTAAGGTGTGGCAAGCCACAGATAAGGACTTCAGAAATCCAGATGAGGAAAGTGGTTTATAATGAAAGCACAGGCTATCTTTCATGTTACAGATAGAGAGAGAACAATAATAGTCTCAGAGGGAGGGAAAATGAAATGACTAAACTTCAGCCCATTTCCTGTTCTGCTGCAGTTCTCTTTTAAATTCACAGATTGGGAATGGCCCAGTACATTCCGGCTCTTAGCACATACTCACCTCCTTTTATTTTCTCCATTGCAAATGCTTGTGCCTTTCAAAGGACAGAGAGAAAGGTCAAGACTCTCAGCATCTGCCTGACACCGGTGGATAGAATCTCTGGTATCTCTAATGGTCTGCTTAACCAGGTTGTTAGGCTATTTCTGTCTGCCGTAGCAAGGAATATTCCCTCATGCCAGAATAAAGCAACCTGTAGTGGAACATTGACCTGAATGGTGAGCAAGGTCAGGAGAAAGCATTTTATTTAAAAATGGCTCTGTACATAATAAAAAAGGGATCAGTGTCTAATATGACTGAACATCGGGAGAAGAACAGCATTTGATTTGCTGCATTTTTTCAAGGTCATGACTGGTCTTGACAGTCCCTATTGGTGACAGACTTCCAGATGGTGTGATTCTGGACCAGCCAGGCCTTCCCCTCGAGAAAGAAGGCTAAGACTGATCAGTTTCCACCACCCAGCAGTATGAAGCCTGAGACCATCCTGGTAGCAGATGATCCTCAGAGTTGGGCCCAGAATGCAGGCTAACCTGTGAGTGTCCCCTGAATTGAATGACCCAGGGATGCTGTAACTTGTACTTGCAGATTCCGTATGGTCATTTCATACGGAAGGAGGAGGAGTTCTGTTGAAGAGAAATCAAGACAATCTGACCTGACCAGAGTCAAGAAAATAGCCAGTCCCCAAAGATAAAGAAATTCTTGGAACACAGTAACCCTCTATTGGTATTTTCAAAAAGGCAACATTAGTCACAAAAGATCTCTGTGTGTCTCTTGGATTCTGCCGTCTCAGCATTTCAGATAGGTCACTGGTTAATGGGCTGGGTTAATGGTTCTTTTTTTATTATGGTGACTTTTAACCACCTTTCTGGCAGAAGGTGTCTGATTAAATCATGGACAGCTGTGGGTTAAAGATACTACTTCTCTAGCATTTAGTTCCCCTTCAAACAGAGCAAGAATGACAAGGAGGGAATTTAGAACATGGTGGGTATTTAGCTTTGTTTTGTCTACTTTCATAACAGAGAGCAGCCATCAGTGGTTCTGAATGTCTTTTCTAATTGGATGCCTGCAGGGTCTGGTATGCCTACAATGTCTTGAGGCCAGTGTGTTTGCAGCATGAGCAAGCAGTAGAGTGTTATAAGATGACTTGGGCTCAAGTAGAGCTCACGATTAGTAACCTAGTAGGAAATGAGGAATGCAGAAGTTTAGCAAAACAGGAGTGTTACAGTTGCTAAATTCTGGACTGAATTCTTGCTATCTGCTTGAATCCAAAGTATCCTAAAAGACTCTATGAACCAAGAATTCCGTAGCTAAAAAGAATGTGTGCGTGTGTGTGTGTGTGTGTGTGTGTGTGTGTGTGTGTGTGTGTATCTTATGCAGATATATTACATTAAGAAGGTCCTGTTGCCCATTTTATAATCATTTATCAAGTTCTGCTAGGAGCTGGCCATTTACATATATGTGATTTAAGAGAGTTTTTTATACTCTTTTAAGATTTGAATCATTATCTTTATTTTAAAGATGGTAAAATGGGAACTTCTTCCCCATTAGTACTTTACGCACTTTGAACTGAAACTTGACCTATACTGAGGCTTTATTTGGGAATGGCAGAGCTAAAATTGGAGAATGGTTTTTCTGATTCTCTTTTGTTCATTTTATCCTAGATAAAGTTCTTCTTATATTTTATAGGTTAAATTTATTTTTGAGGGGTAGCCTGGGAAACTAAATACCAGGAATAACACTGCTTCAATGAGGAAATATGTTCTCACAGCAGTGTGAAAAGGAGTCATTAAAACATAACCCATTTGTAACTTGTAGGCTAACCACATGTATTTACACTAGTTATAGGGAATGAGCTCTATATGTAATAATGTAGGTGCACATATCCATGTATATGGTTTATTTATGTACCATTTATCCACCATACACAGGAAAATTTTGTGAAATAATAAATATTGAAAGTGGGCAAAGGACATGAACAGACACTTCTCAAAAGAAGACATTTATGCAGCCAAAAAACACATGAAAAAATGCTCACCATCACTGGCCATCAGAGAAATGCAAATCAAAACCACAATAAGATACCATCTCACACCAGTTAGAATGGCAATGATTAAAAAGTCAGGAAACAACAGGTGCTGGAGAGGATGTGGAGAAATAGGAACACTTTTACACTGTTGGTGGGACTGTAAACTAGTTCAACCATTGTGGAAGTCAGTGTGGAGATTCCTCAGGGATCTAGAACTAGAAATACCATTTGACCCAGCCATCCCATTACTGGGTATATACCCAAAGGACTATAAATCATGCTGCTATAAAGACACATGCATACTTATGTTTATTGCGGCACTATTCACAATAGCAAAGACTTGGAACCAACCCAAATGTCCAACAATGATAGACTGGATTAAGAAAATGTGGCACATATACACCATGGAATACTATGCAGCCATGAAAAATGATGAGTTCATGTCCTTTGTAGGGACATGGATGAAATTGGAAATCATCATTCTCAGTAAACTATCGCAAGGACAAAAAACCAAACACCACATGTTCTCACTCATAGGTGGGAATTGAACAATGAGAACACATGGACACAGGAAGGGGAACATCACACTCTGGGGACTGTTGTGGGGTGGGGGGAGGGGGGAGGGATAGCATTAGGAGATAGACCTAATGCTAAATGACGAGTCAATGGGTGCAGCACACCAGCGTGGCACATGTATACATATGTAACTAACCTGCACGTTGTGCACATGTACCCTAAAACTTAAAGTATAATAATAATAAAATAAAATAAAATAAAGAAATGTTAATAGCAGCTGTCCCCAGAAGAATTCAGGGTAACTTTATTTTGTTGTTGTTGTTGTTCTTGTTCATCTAAATTTGGAGGGAATGGAGCATACCTTATGGTTTTTTTAGAAAACATAACTTATGAAATAAAGGGTAAGGTCCACACCTGGCTCTTTTTAGATTCAGAGATGTATTTGATTTTTCCCTCCTTCTGTAGTCTGCCCCCACGGTCTGTATTGGTTTCATCACAGTGATGCGGCTTAAGCTATGGATTTGAAAGTGATTCTGTGAGCTTATTAATTTAAAGTCTGTGCAGGTGTCAGGATTCCAAGGCATCGACTTAAGAGAATCAAGCCACATCATGATAATTAGGATTGAGGGGACATTTGGGAAAGGCATTGGGGAAAGAAATAAGGGAAACCAAATGTAAGGAATAGAAACGCCTGATCTGTAGGACTCTCAAGCAGGAGGCATTGGTTTTAGGGAATGGGTGAGCAAGTAGAGAGGTGAAATCAATGTGGGAGAGGAAGAAAAGGCAAATTTCAGAGCATGAGAGGGCCCAGAGAAAGATGGAAAATCACAGGCCAAGGAGATCAAGGAGGGACAAGTCCTGACCTGAATGGTGGAAAGCTGAAGGAACAGCACAGCCGTGCAGTGGGCCCCGGAGTGTTAGAAAGGCCTGTCATGTGGTGTGGCCATGTAGGAAGCAGAGGGACTCTCATGACTCATTTGTCATGGGAAGAAATAGGGTGAGGAAGGGGGAAGTTTGTGTGGGAGGAAGGAGTGAGGCCCCAGGACAGAAGGAATGGAAACAATTTAGATGCGTGTTATTAATTATTGTCTCCAAAAAGCCTGGTGTGGCGAGATGGATGATGACACAGGAGATATGACTTAAGATCACTTCCAGCATAGCTCGCTGTGTCTTTCTACGCGGCATGAATCAAAATCTCTGGAACTTTCTCGTTTCCAGCAAGGAGGCTGCAGCACTGATAAAGGCTATTGGGAAGATTAAGTGTTACATCACTGCCATTTTTGCAACTGTTCTTCACCCTCCTGTCAACCCCCGGCTGAAAGACCCCAGGGTGGAAACGTTCACTGCAGCCTAATACTTGACAGATAGGGAATTGACTCTAGAATGATTTTTCAAAACTTAAGTTATGTTCTGAAATAAGTGGTTAATGGACCTATTCCCATCACCCTCCTCTACGTCTTTCATCTTTTGTGCACAACAGATGTGGCCAATTTTCACACGGATGAAATCTGCTTTGCTTGAAGGAGCCTATGGTTTAAGTATTATTATTGTTATGGTGGTGGTTGCCAGTGTAATTTAGAGTCCACCCATGTCTAAAAAGTGTTTGAGACAATTTTCTTGGATACAATGGACCCTTTCAACAAGAGTGAAATGTAAGAACTTTTTAACAGAAGAGATAGTTATAAACTGCAAGCCCAAGTGTTACATTTCTCATTCTGGGCATTTTCTTCTTGGTGCTTAGCAGGCACTCAGTAAATATGTTGGAATTAAGAATAAGTGGGTTTTGATTTCGCAGAAATCACCTCTGTGTTGCCTTTCAATGTTAAATCCATTGATAAGATTGTCTTCCTTTTCTGGGACCTGACCTTGGTTAAAGGATAGTTTAGTTGGTTAACTCACATTTATGCAACTAACTGAACACACACTAAACTTCAGAGATCGTGCTGAGCACAGAAAATGCACCACTCTGACATGCCCTCATCTTAGCAGCAGCAACATCAGGAACACAGTTTCCTAAAATGCCTGCCATTGTCAGCATTGATACTAAAGACACACTGATGGCCTGCTGTTTGCAAGGCAACTCACTAGGCCCTGAGATACAAAGAGTTTATAATATATCCTCATAAATACAAAAAGGTAGGACATTCTATTTAAACATAACAGTACATAGCACACAACATTATAGTTTAAGATAGTTTACTGTAGATAATTTATTTAATCATGGTACAGAAATTGTATAGAATATGTATTGCCCCTATTCCCATTTTGGTAGTAAGAAAACCAAATTCTACAACTCAGAACTTGGGAACATGACTTACTCTAGATTTCACCTTCATGCAAAGAGAGAGCTAATAGTACACTGCCTTTCTGCGAGTTTCTCATTGAAATGCCAACCATACCTACTCTACTTAGTTTTGCTAGAAACGAAGATTGGGAACATTGAATGTGTGTGATCTTTAGCTGGCTCATGAAGAAATATCCAGACAGTGTTCCATCTCTCACTAAAGCAGCCACATTGGCTGAGACATTCTCCTACCTCTTTAAGGGGCTTCAGGTCTCCCCAGCCAATGCTGTCTGTGATGGACCCTGGCTCAGCTCAGATTCTTTCTGTGTGGGCTCCCTCACCACTTCTCAGCAGTGGTACCACACTCCACTCATCTCACTGCCATACTCAGCAGGAATGCCCACAGGCCTGGGACTGCTGCCGGGACTGGCAGAGAAGCCAGGTTCTTACAAAGGATAAAAGGTGGGACTTGCCTTATCCCCCACAGTTGACTTAGATTTCAGCTCTTTGGAGGGAGGACAGAGTGCTTGGGCCACCAGTGAGCTCCCAGCGCCTTCTACACTCACTGCCCATAATAGGCAGTAAATCTGTGTTTGGTAAATGAAAGGTAGGGAAGACAGGAAAGGGTGGGAGGAGATAAAGTGGGAGAAAGAGAAAGAGGAAGGAAAAGAGGGAATGAGGGGAGAGAAAGGAGGGAGGGAGTAAGAAAGAGAACTGGGAAAAGCAAGAGGAGAAAAAAGAAGGGAGCAAGAAAATGAAACAAGCAAACAAAGGCAGCTATCAGGAAGTGCTGAACTGGATGCGGAGCAAAGATGACTGCTAGTCAAGAGAGCACTACCAAGACAGGAGAAAGATGATAAGGTGCTCCTCCTGGCTCTGCCAATGACAAGCTGTGGGACCTCGGACAAGTCACTCATCCTTTCTGGACCACAGAGTAAGACCTCATTTGTAACAGGAGGGATCAGACTAGATCTTTGGACAGACCCCTCTCTACATGAGCATCCCTGTCTCCATCCTGGTCCTCCAAGCATTAGCAAAAGCTACCTTGCATTCAGCACTCTGGCCCAGACCCTCTGCATTTTCCCCAGCCTTCATTTCTTACCAGGCATAGAAGTACTCTAAATGAGCATAAGGAAGAAAACACAACTACAGTTTTCATAGGAGCTAAACTGCAGAACACAGACAGGATTCTAGAAGGACAAATCTTATTTCATTTAGCTTCTTCTTAAAGCCAAGATACCTGCAAATTCAAACCTTAGGTTCTGCCCTCTGCGGCACCCAGGCAGAGCCTGACTAGGAAACTTCAGAGAGGAGAATGTAAAAGGAAATGTAGATATTTATAATTGAAGTATCTTTCCCCTTGGGTATTTCTCTTTCTCTTTTTTTTTTTAATGAAAATTCAGTCAACTGAATATTTTGTTTCCCCGAGGAAGACTCCTCAGCTGTCGATTATGCTGAGCACACGGGAGAAGCTCTAACAGAAGATGATGCCCGCTCTTGGCTAATGATCACCTTGTTCTGTATCAGTGAGAGACAAGGTCTTTGAGGTTGGCCCCCTTTCAGCTGTGAATTAGGTATTAGGTACGGAATATAGCTAAAAGCATTTTGTGTGAGCCTGCAAACCAAATGGTTGCTGGACCCAATTTTGTACAGGTATATCAAATAAATTTAATTTCCCCATTGAAGGTGCTTGCTTTTAATTCTGGGGCCAGCAACGCAGAACAGTTTTGCAGATTAAATTTCCATTCCGAGAAAGAAGTAGTCAGGGATAAAACACACGTAACCCAAAAGCAAAAGGTTTACAGTGCACACAGCAAAGGTGGGGGCGTAAAAAGACCTGGTGAACACTAGACGGACTGGAAAACTTCGGGTGCAAGATTACCTTTGTCACCTCATTTCAAACCTCATAGTCACCTTATTTATAACCAAAAACCAGGGCGGGCTTTGATGCCCTGATTGCAGCAACGGGATTCTGCTATCATTTGAGATGCCTGGTGCTTCTCTGTGTTATGTGTGGACTGAAGCTTAGCTGCCCGGTTTTACAACCACTACTAGAAAATGCACCTGAATCAGGTTTAATTCTAAGACCAAACTCAAGGGTTCTTAGTAATAATCATAGATCACTTCCCTCAAAAAGCCTTTCCTGATTTCTGCTCCTCACCCACGACCACTTGACCACTCCTCCTGTTTCTCACTCACGGCACCCCTATGCACATACCTATGACCACAGCTATCGGAAGGGCTAGTGTTGCCTCAGGATTAAGCTGTGCAACCTTGGGCAAGTTACCTCTGTGTATCTTGGTTTTTGCATTTTAAATGGCAGTAATAATAGGGTGGTGAGGAGTGAGTGTGAAGGACTTAGAACACTATAGGACAAGGTAACTATTTAGTAAATATGGCAGTCCTGTGTAGGACAGACTCTCTTTGACTCCCTAGGATTTACCCCAGTGCCTAGCATGTTTCACAGCTTAGAGGAAAACAACATTTGTTGACTGACTTTTGATCTCCATTTTTTGGTGAGATGCAGTGGCTTACACCTGTAATCCCAGCACTTTGGGAGGCTGAAGCGGGCGGATTACTTGAGGCTAGGAATTCAAGATCAGCCTGGACAACATGGCAAAAAATACCAAAAATAAAAAAAAATAAATAAATAAAAAATTTAGCCAGACATGGTGGCAGGCACCTGTGGTCCCAGCTACTTGGGAAGCCAAATCGCTTAAACCTATGAGGTGGAGGTTGCAGTGAGCCAAGATTGCACCACTGCACTCCAGCCTTGGTGACAGAGTGAGACCCTGCCTCAAAAAAAAAAAAAAAAATCCATTTTTGCCTTCCTGGCATTTTATACTTTAATCCTTGGGGTATTTGGGGGCATTCACCACAATTAACAAGTTTAGATTGGTTCTATTTGAGTGTCCATGCTGCATGCCAAATACTCTTTCAGGTACTTTGTATAAAATATTCTATTTCATTCTTACATCACTCCCTTATTTTTCCCATTCTTAATATTAGGAAAGTGAGGCTCTGAGAGTTTAAAGAACTTGCCTAAGGCTGGTAAGCTGGTATTTGATGAGCCAGGATTCAAACACAGGACGTCTTATCTCTATTCCATGGGACTCCTGCACATACCAGGGATCTGGTAATTCAATGACATGTTGGCGTGCCCTGCCTGGCTCTGCCTACCCACGCAGACCACTCTCCTCACATGATCTGGGAAATTCCTAATTAGCCTGACTGGCTGAGCCTCCCATTCCAAAGGCCAGAAACTTAGTCTAAGTGAAGACCCAGGTGAGATCTGCTCAGCCTGATCTCCAGCCTCCCATGCATTCCCGCCCCCAACATCGGGGGTGTGGATTCACCTGCATTCACTCAGAGGCTTCTGCCTGCTGATGGTCACCCAAATAGTGATGAGGCCAACAGCACTCTGGATCTTACTTAATGCCTTCTCCAGGAACATCCACCTATGACTCCATCAGAAGTTCATGATGTTGTTGAAAAATAATCCCATTTACAGTTTACATTGCATCTAAAATCACTCTAAGGGCCTGTGGCTGCTGCTTAGAGCAAAAGCAAAGGAGGCCTGTTTTCTTACAGACAATACACAGGAATCCTGGAATTATTGCATGTCTTTTGTTAGTGAGAAGCTACCTGTCATTAGAATTACCTTTCTTACTTTCTAAAACACAAAATCTTTTAGAAGATACTATTGTATAGGGTATATAAAATAACTTGGGAGACCAGAAACCACAGCTGAAGAAAATTGTGTGTGATGCATACGTACATAAAGTCAGCTCTTCAAATCCGTGGGTTCTGCATCTGTGGATTCAACCAACCATGAATCAAAAATATTTGGGAAAAAACTTCCACAAATTTCCAAAGATCAAAACTTGAATTTGCTGTGTGCCAAATACTAGGTTGAATCCACATGAATGAAATCATGTGTAGGTATTGGATTAGGTATTTATTATAATCTAGAGATGATTTAAAGTATATGGAAGTATGTGCATATACTGGAGGATGTGCATAATATAAGGATCACAATGAGCAGTAATGGAAGAGTACTTTTTAGTGTAAGAAAATGATTAATCATTTGGAGTTAGGCTATATTTGTGGTAAGCAAGCACAGTTCCTATAGTATGTAAGTTTCATATCTTTCATTTCCAAATACTACATTGAATCCACATAAATGAAGTGATATGTAAGCATTGTATTAGATATTATAAGTAATCTAGAGATGATTTAAATTATACAAGAGGATGTGAGTAGGTTATATGCAAATACTGCATTGTTTTATTTCAGGAACTTGAGCATTCACAGATTTTGGGATCCGTGGGGGATCAATGACTCTACAAATACACACACACACATGCCTTTTATTTTATAAAATGAAATAACTGTTAGTTTATGTAGTATTTTGGCAATGGCAGCAATTCTGTTCAGCTGATGGTCCCTAAGCATGAACAGATTCTCATAAATAAAAAGAGCTCATAGCTGTATTGATCTTACACTGCATTTGTTTTAGAGAGTTGAGTATTTT
Organism: Homo sapiens; assembly: GCF_000001405.40. Classification (NCBI taxonomy): domain Eukaryota; kingdom Metazoa; phylum Chordata; class Mammalia; order Primates; family Hominidae; genus Homo; species Homo sapiens. The sequence continues at coordinate 118,248,785 of NC_000008.11, read as the reverse complement.
AAGGTGGTGTATGTTAACAAGTTGAAAGAGTGCTTTTATAAGAATGCTTTCTGGGGCTTTTTGTCAGTTAGTGCTGATCGCATTTTAATTGGCTTCCATTTGTTCCATTTGTTTTCAGAAGAGGGTGTACATCTTCTGATGTATAAAAAAAAAAGTCATCTATTCAGTAATCATTTTTTTTAAATAGTGGCCAAAACAGACAGTGAGCTAATGCCTAATGAGCGAATATATACTCATGATTGCCATAAGATCCTTTCTGTGCCCATGGCAGACATCAGACATCAATCTGAGCAACATTAGCATTCTTCTCAACACCACCCTCCATCCAGCCTCCTCCAATCCATCAGTGTTGACCACCAGCTTGACTGCTGGACTAACAATCCTTTTGTCTCTCCACAGTCAGAGCCAACGTTTGTATGAGAGTAGCCAAGAGCAAGAACAGGACTCCGTGTGTAATGTGGCATAATGAAGATAGAAATATTTGCTGTGGAAATCACACCACATGATCCCTATATTGGGAACAGAAGTGGAATAGTAGTGTTTTGTATAAGAAAATGATTAATTATTTGAAATCAGGCTATATTTGGGGTAAGCAAAGCACAGTTCCTACAGTGGAAGAATTTCATGTCTTCCATGGTGAAATGATCCTACCAGTCCATTTCCAGAGACCCTGTCCCTTTCTGCAGTGTCTTTATCTCTTACCTGAACTTTTACAACGATTTCAATTAACAGTGAACTCTGAGAGCAGGATCTGTGTCTGTTTTCTTTATCCCTGTTGTATGTGACTGTCTGGCACCATTTGGCATAGTGACTGAGCATGAATGAATTAATACCCCCAATAAGCTTCCTGCTTCTAGTATTTTTTTCCCATTTTAATCTGTCTTAATTTATAAGATTAATAAATCTTTTCTTCATTTTTAATCCCAGCACTTTGGGAGGCCAAGGCAGGCAGAATGCCTGAGCTCAGGAGTTTGAGACCATCCTGGGCAACATGGTGAAACCCTGTCTCTACTAAAATACAAAAAATTAGTCAGGAGTGGTGGTGCGTGCCTGTAGTCCCAGCTACTTGGGAGGCTGAGGCACAAGAATTGCTTGAGCCTGGGAGGTGGAGGTTGCAGTGAGCTGAGATCATGCCACTGCACTCCAGCTTGGGCTACAGAGTGAGACTCCATCTCAAAAAAATAAAAATAAATAAATAAATAAATAAAATTTTTAAAGTTTTTTTTATTTTTAATTGACACTAATTGTATATATTTATGTAATACAATGTGATGTTCCAATACAAGTATACATTGTGGAATGAGTAAATCAGACTAATTAACATATCTGTCACTTCACATACTTATCATTTCTTTATAGCGAGAACATTTAAAATCCATTCTTTTAGCTACTCTGAAATACATAATATGTTATTATTAACTATAGTCACTATGCTGTATAATAGATCACCAGAACCTAATCCTTCTATATAACTGAAACTCTGTATCTTTTGATCAATGTCTCTCCTTTCCCTATCCGTGCCCCTCCTTCTCCCCAGCCTCTGGTAGCCATCATTCTATTCTCTGCTTCTATGAGTTCAACTTTTTTAGATTTCACATATAAGTGAGATCATGCAATATTTATCTCCCTCTGCCTGGCTTATTTCACCTAGCATATGTCCTCTAGGTCCATCCACGTTGTTGCAAGTGACAATGTCCTACTTTTTAAAGCCTGCCTCCAGTCTTGCTTCCTGTAATCTTATCCTCCATATTCAGCCATATGCAAATCTAGACACACCACTCTCCTGCCTAAAACTTTGTCTCCTTTTCACCTACTGAGGGAAACCCAGCTCCTCTTCAGTCACGTTGCCAGCCAGCAAAGCATTGCACGTTACTATCTAGTAACACCAAATTATTTGAAATTTCTCATGAACGTAGTTTCTGCCTTTGAACCTCTACACATGTTGTTCCCTCTACCTGGAAATCCTTCCTCATCTAACTCTAGTTCATCTTTCAAAACTCAGATAAATCATCATTTACTTAGAAATCATTCCCTGTATCCCAGAATTGAGGGTCAATGCCTCTTCTCTAAAATCTCATATCACTCTACTCATATTTATATCATAGCACTTACCAAATATTAGAATGATCTATTTTTATATCTCCTTGAAATGATATGATGTTTTTTCTGCATGTTACAGAAAGTCCAACTCAAACTGGAATATATGAGTACACATAAGTGAAAAGAGATAATGCAAGTTTAAAGTACAGTTTGATTTAAAGTTTCCTAGATTATTAGGGTTTCATTTTCCTGTGTTTCCCTTGACCCTGTCTTCCTGGCTAACTTAGATTAATGCCTTCATGATATCAAAATGATTTCCACAGTTCCAGCACAAGTTTCTTCACTGATATCTTGATGAAAAGAAAAAATGTCTCTTTCTTTTACAAGCAGACAAAAGCTCCACACTTCCTCTCACTGGATCAGTGAAAGACTGGTGCCCATTCCTAAACCAATCACTGATGCAAAAGAGATATGAGTGTCATGATTGGCTCAGACTTTATGGCTGGAAAGTTCAAGTCCTTGCAGGATGGTGAAAAGAATAACAGATACTTTGGAGGCCACTGACAACTCTCCTGTTAGACTAGGCTCCTAATGGTCATGCGTTTCCTGCCATATTCATCTACGGGTTCCCAACATGTAGCACAGTGTTTGATACCCACATAGTAGATAATCAACACACATCTGCTTAGCTGATGAGAATTGAGCCTGCCTGGAACTGAAAATCACATTCTATATCCACGCTTCCCTCTCCACTTTAGCTCTGAAGTGCTACCACCGTGCTGCCTACCTCCTGCAGCTGCTTCTCAACCTTCTTGTAAATGAATCCTTCTGCCTAAAATGGGTTTCCATTTGTCTTAGACTAGGTTACATTTTCTCAATCAAAATTCAACTTAACCCCTCCCCTTCCAATCCCAGAAAGATCTGCCTGTTTAGAGGTACTCTGAGACTTCCCTTACAACTGGAAAATTCTGTGATAAATGCAAGAAGCTGTCACCAGAAATGATGGAAACATCAAAAGAGAATGTTTTGCCAGTTAGTCCCTTTTTATTAAATATTCCCTGAAGGCAGCTACTATGTATCTTTTGATTATTCCTATAAAAGAAAGAGTATAACCAAGTAGAAAGAGACTAGACTTTGGAAACAGGTCTGGGTCAAATTCTGGTACCACTACTTCTTCACTCTATGAAATGTTGCCCAAATGATTTAATCTCTCTGAGCTCAGATTCCTCCTGTATAAACGGGAATAATAATCTCCACCTCCCAGGGTTATAAGAGTTACATAAAATGAACCGTGTAACGTGGCTGGGACAGTTTATGGCCAAATTGTTACACTCCCTTCCTCCCCTTGCGGCATCCAGACTATATTACCGGTAGGCCTAATGTTTTTGGTTCCATAATTCCCATCTTCAGGTGATCTAGGCTGTTGAATAAGTTCACTGTTGCTGGAGAAGCTCTTCTGAAAACTGCTCTGACCTCAGTGTCTAATCACAGAAACTCGAGGCTTCTTAGTAAACTTTGATATCTTGTCTCCAAAAAACATAATTATCTGCCTACCTTGGCATGCCCTGGTTTTGTTTGCCTGGTGAAGCAGAAAATAAATGGCTTGCCAGCGGTGGTCATGATGAAGACCTAGATATTAAATAAGATGGGTGTGAAAGTCAGGATTGCTGTGGATTCAAAGAAGCCTTAAGTATTCTCAGAGTTCCCTTAACTCTGGGCTTCCACACATGCTGCCTCTGTGATATAAAACTCACCCTCCTCTCCTATTTCCAAAAATAAACCCTATTGAGAATGTGTGCCAGGAAGAGAAGTTGTCTGTAGACCTTCAGATTTATCCTTGGACATCCCTGTTTATAAAACCCTACACAGGGCTAGTGTCTGGTATTCCTTCAGATATTTATGCCTTCTTTTGGTTTCTCTCTATAAATTCTCCTTCTCCTTTCCTAGTTTTCGCTCTACTTTCCTTCTGGGCACAAAACAAAATTCCTCTTACTATCTCACTCAGGGCATTTTATCATCAACTTTTATGGTTTTGAGCACTAGTCCTCATTCTACCCTGTAGAGCTCATCACAAAATTTTATCCAACAAAGATGGTTCCCTCTTTCAGAGGAATTTTAATTTTAGCTACGATAATCATTATTAACAACATATGTATTTCATCTATCAATGTGATTAGATTTTATTCCTTGTGAAAAAAAATTACAGAAAGGGCCACACCATGGAAAGGACTGCAAATGTTTCAAAATCCCAGTGATTAAAAAAGCCAATGGCATTATTTGACACCTGAATGGAAGAAGACAGATATATAAGTGTTCCTTGCAAATGGATTTCTAGCAGGGGAAAAGAGATCTGGCAGTTCCTAGAGACAATGGTCTTTAGCCACCCACTAAGACTAGGTTCTGAAGCCAGGCTGGATTAAATCTTCAATCTGCTCCTTACTAACTGTGTGAATTTGGGCAAATTTTTAAACTGTCTGTGCTTTAATTTTCTAACCTGCTAATATTGATAACAAGAATACCCATCTCAAAGGGTTTTTTGGAAAGTTAAATGAATTAGCACCTTTATATATGCGCAGTATGTACTCCAACAATGGCTGCTGGTTGAAGTAAATCAGGGATCAAAAAGTCATGATGTGGTCATGATGAAGACCTGTATAAGATGGATGTGAAAGTCAGAATTGCTGTGGATTCTAAGAACCCTTAGGTATTATTCTCAGGGTTCCCTTAACTCTGAGATATAAAACTCGGCTTCATCTCTTATTTCCAGAAATAAACCTTGCTGAAACTGTGTGCCAGGGAAGAGAAGTTGTGCATCTTGTGGGAGCCAATGAAAGAAAATCATTGTCCCAATGTGCCATTTTCTCTCTCTTCATGCAGATTTCTTTCTTTTGGTAAATACAACTGCCAAAAGCTCAGCTCTTTAAAGTTTTACACCTCTCCATTTCCATGAGAAGAACAACCAGAAGACTTGTGTCATCTTTCAGGGACATAATCCTTCAAAGTTTCACACTCTGGGTATGTGTGCAGATTACTGAGACAGGAAAACATGACATATATCTCCAGGATTTTTAAGTAATTTTATATGAAGTTGTTTCCTTCATATAAATGGAATGCAGATCCACTGTAGAAAGTCTAGAATATGCAGATAATAAGCAAAAGAAGAAAATAACAGTTATATCCCGTGCCAGCACCCAGAAATAACAACTGTTAATATTTCATTGCAAATGCCTTTGATCTTTCAAGTGTATATGTGCACCTGAGTATATAGTTTTTTTTAAAAAAAATGGAGTGGTACAGTGCATGCAGGTTATCTTTTTGCATCTCAGGTGCACAGAGTTGAGTTAGCAGTGCTACTTGATTCATGGCATACCATTTTTTCGGCTCTTTCAAGGGACTCTTGTGGATTTTTCCCCTCCTTGTTTTCAAATTTCACATCTGTTCCCTACCCACTAATGCAAAAATGCCAATACATTTGATATATTTTTAATATATACTATTGAGTGTGGATATATATGCAATCCATACAAATGATATTGTGCTCTAAGACCTCATCGTTTTTCATTTTTATTCAACACTGCTTCTGAAATCTAACCATGTTACTATGTGTACATCTAGCTCAAGGTTCTATTTGATGCCTAGCATTCCATCACATTTTACTTACCTACTACCCTAGTCAAATACATGTGGGTTGCCTCATATAAATAACTGGGAAGAATTTATCTGCTTTAGACCAAAGATGGAGCTTCCTGGATCATAGAGCAGGTGAGGGCCTCCTTTCACTCCATGTTGCCAGATTGTAGCCCAGATGGGGAAACCATTGTCTACTCTCTGCAGAGTGCATGGCATTATCCAGATTTCTAATTTTGGCCAATCTGATGGATGTAAAGTTGTATCTGACTGTTTTAATGTGCATTTTCTGATAATCAGGGACTTTGAGCATAGTTTCATACTCCTTAGCCAGTTACATTTCTCATTTTGAGAGAAACCTGTTTAAATCCTTAGATTTGGAGGCAGGAGTGGGGATGTGGCAGGGGCAGGGAAGGTGGTCATGCCTTTTTTTTCTGTTTATAGCAGTCCTCACTTGTCTGTGGGAGATATGTTCCAAGACCCCCCAGTGGAGGCCTGAAACCACAGAGAATATCAAACCCTATGTTTGTTCCTCAGAATACCTACCTATAATAAAGTTAATTTATAAGTTTAGCATAGTAAAAGATTAACAACAACTAATATAATAGGACAATTATAGCAATATACTATAATAAAAGTAATGTGAATCTCTCTCTCTCTCTGAAAATATCTTATTTTACTGTACCTACTGTACCAAGGATAACTGCAACCATGGAAAACAAGGCCTCAGATAATGGGAGACTAACTACTGGTATTTGTCTGATTTTCTTGTGATTCAAGATACCTACTTTAAGGTTTTCTGGCCTATATTTTGACAATCTGTCATCTTTGTGTTAACTTTCTTTCTTCAGTTCCTTTGCCAAATGTAAATTCTTAATTTCTCTTTTATCCATACAGTTTTATTATTTACACTTATGGGGCCAAGCCTGTAATTCCAGAACTTTGGGAGGCCAAGGAGGGTGGATCACTTGAGCATAGGAGTTTGAGACTAGCCTGAACAACATGACGAAACACTGTCTCTACAAAAAAATACAGAAGTTAGCCATGGTTTGGTGGCATGTGCCTGGGGTCCCAGCTTCTAGGGAGGCTGAGGTGGGAGGATAACCTGAGCCCAGGGAGGTCAAGGCTTCGGTGAGGCATGATTGTGCCACTGTACTCCAGCTTAGGCAACAGAGTGAGACCCAGTCTCCAAATAAATAAATACACATATTGCATATATCACTCAAATATCATTGTTTTGTTTTGTGTGTTGGAGGAATATTAGTAAAACCTGGTTTATTTATTGCGGAATTTCTTATAACTGGAATGTTTATATACATTGAAGCTATTTAAATTATTTTTAGAGTACTTTGTTGATACCATACCATTTGATTTTTATGAAAACTTTGAAGAGTAGGTGAGCAGGTATCCCCATTTCATGGATGAGGAAACTGATTTGACTTAGATGTCGTGACCTGCCCAGATTCACAGAGCTCATCCGTTGCCACGCCACAACAAACAGGCAAATCCCTTGTCCCCTAGGCCAGCAGTATGCTTATCAAGAGTTGGGATTATTTCCAAAAAGGTATAATCATCTTAAACTTCTCCATGAAAAAGTCACTTACCACTTAAGAAGATAGTCACATCAAAATGTTTGTTTTGATAAGTATGGATTGACTTACTACATTGGTCTAAGAAGTAAGCTCAATGGTCTTAAAAGAGGCAGAGGTGTTAGTGTGCTAAAAGGCAACTCATCTCTCTGAACACTGTTGTGGGAAATAAGTTTTTTTAATGAGTCCTGTTCTGAAAGTGATGAGTACAGATAATTTATGGTTTTCAAGGTAAGCCATTTTCTACACCTGCCCTCAGATTACACAGATAGAATGAACCATTGGGCCAAGAAGAACAGAAACTTGAGTATGAAGAATGGGAAGTAAGAAGAAGTTTCTAATCACTCTCGCATCAGGAAATGTCCTCCCGGAAAATGAGTATGTAGTTAACTTTGACCTCGGTGCAGACCATAAAGACAGATGGGAGAGAAATATTGGACTCTGGTCCCTAAAATCAATGAATACTATCCCAGGGATGGCACTAATGAGCTGGGGGTCAGGTGGTTGTTTGTAGGGGAAGGTAAAGCCGAGCTCTTGGCTCCTGCTGGTAAAGGAAAAGGTGATTGAATGATGGGGTGATAGAGGGCTCATTCTTCAGTGTAATCTTAATTACATTACAAAATGCTGTTCATCAGCATTTTGTGGACAAGGAGAAAAAAGCTCAGTCAACTGCTGGTTGACTCTTTAATCTTGGCTTGTCCTTCAGCACCACGGGCAATCTCAAGCAAGACCTGTGTTCTCTGACTGAGCATGCCTCCCTCGTAAAAAAATTCCTTTTGCATAATCCAATTGAGCAACGCTTGTAGTCGGCACTTTAAGAAGAATCAGTATTTTAAATATTTGCCAAATGAGCTCAAAAGATTATAATAACAATAATTATAGCTTCCATTTACTGACTACGTACTAGGTGCCAAGCATTGTGTTTAACAAGCACCATTTCAATTACTCAGGGGGAAAAACCCTAGGGTACAAATACCATTATTACCTCCATTTTGCAGATGAGGAAATTGAGGCTTAGAGATGTGGAATGAGTTGCCCGAGGTTACAAAGCTCATAACTGGCAAAACCAGAATGCAAATCCAGAACTGTCTGACTCCAAAAATGAATTTCTGTATTCTTAAATTTCGTATGAGTTATCCACTGCTGCTTAACAAAGTATTCAAAAATTTAGCCACTTAAAACAACAAACGTTATTATATCTCATGGTTTCTGAGAGTCACAAATCTAGGAGTGGCTTAACTGGGTGTTTCTGATGCAGTCTTTCTTGACGTTGCAGTCAATGTGTCAATCAGGGCTGCAGTCATCTGAAGACTCCACCAGAGCTAGAATATTTGCTTCCAACATCACTCACGTGGCTGTTGGCAAGAAGCGTTAGCTCCTCATCATGTGGGCTTCTCTACAGGGCTGCTGAGTTTCATCTATAAATAAAGATACCCTACAGGGATTTTAATGAGGATCACCTGAGATAACCTATGAGCTAGTGAGAGGTAAGCTGAAGCAGGCTGCACAAATTTTGGATAATATTATTAATGAATTTATTGCCATCTTGCCTAGGATATTCAGGAATATGGAGATATCCCTGACTCTTCCAAAAGAATGACCAAGATCATGCCTAATTACCTCCATGTCCTGGGAAAGCCCCGCTGTAATGGAGATGGCATCTTCTCCAGGGCTCTATAGGGTGGAGAAGATGAAGAAACCTGCACACAGCCCCCATGAAGATTCCAGTGTTGTGGCTGGGAATCTCTGTCTCCCTTTATGTTGGCTACATGAAAAAAGAGTGTTTGCTTACAGAGACCTGGTGGCCATTAGAAGGTGAGCACCCAAACCCTTTGGTATCCTAGCCCACATATCGAGATCCCAACCCTGGATGGGAAGAACAAATGGCCTGGGTAGAAAATAAATCCAAGGCTAGCCTAAGAGCAGAGTATGATGGAAAGTCTTTGGTGTAAGAAAAACCCATCTGTGCTCATATTTGCTGGGAGGAAACTGGTGCCCATTAAGGTTGTGTAACCTGTAGAACAAAATATTTTGTATGTAAAGCAGCTAGAAGAGTGTCTGGCACATAATAGGTACTCAGTAATAGAAGAGTCTTGGTAGTTTTGTTATTATTGTCATCATTCCAACTTCATATGGCTGTTTGAGGATTACTATATGCAATTATTTGTTTAAAATCTTATCGTTCATTAGATTGTAAATTCCATGAGAACAGGAACCTTGTATAGCTGTCCTATTTACTACTATATTCCTAGTGCCTAACAAAGAGAAGATACTCAGCAAATATTACATGTATGAATATATCTAAATGTAGAGCTTTGTATGTACTAGGTGATCCATGGTTGATAATTATCAGCATTATAATCATCACCATACCATTCCCATTACCATTATCATCATCATCATCACCACTACCATCATCCCCATCCTCATGGCATAAGAATACCCTGGTGTGATAATTCAACAGTGTTCTCAGTGTATGACAATGAGACTTAATTTCTTTTCCACTTCAGGTACTTCTGGTTCACAGAAGAATCTGGGTGTTTTCTTTTTTTCCATGGTAAAAAAAGACCTGCTCCACCATATTGGTATAATGTTGTTATGGCTTGAGGAAAAAAACTGTATTCCTAAAAAATCTTAACAAGCCCTGTAATCAGATTCAACGCAAATCTCTTGGAGTGATAGTCCACTGGTGTTGAATCCCATCTTCACTATTTTCTTTGTGGCCTTGGAAGAGTTACCAAACCTGTCTGGATCTTCATGGCCTCATTTCTAAAAGGACAAAAGTAAAAACTAACCAAAATACTGATAAGGCTATTGTAAAGAAATAACAGATGCTTTTTGTCTAATCTCTTGCATGTGTCCTTTCCATGGTAGATGTTCAAAAATATTTATAGAATGAATGTGTTGACTAGATGAATGATATAATTTATGTCTATAGCTTCACTACTCATTCCAACAGCTGAGTCAGCACAAGGAGATAGCCTTTGAAATTCTAGGGAACTCTGAAGGGTTGGAAGATGTAAGTTCCAGGACTCGCTGTGACTTTGGGCAAGTCCTGAGATATGATTCAGGGTCTCAAGGGTCTTATCCACATAATAGGAGGAAATTCCGTTTGCACAACAATGAGAATGCACTTACTGCCACTAAACTGTATGCTTAAAAATGATTACAATGATAAATTTTAATTGATTTTATCACAAAGGAAAATTCTGGCTACTAGAGTACTAGCTTTCTGGATACTAAGACTTGAGACCAAAAATATTGGCTAGCATGTATAATCCCTTACTTATGCCAAACACTGGTAAAATGTCAGATGCATGATCTCACGTAACCCTCTCAGTGGTCCTGTGAGTGAGATATTATTACTACCCCCATTTTATAGATGAGGAAACAGAAGCTTAATGAAGTATTTCTAGAGCTGGAGTTTAAAGCCATGTGTGTCTCTTTAGAGAGCTCTTGTGCTTTCCTACTTAATATTCTGAAGTTCTTTTTGTTTGTTTGTTTGTTTTGTTTTGTTTTTGACAAATAACCAAATCACAAATGTAGGCAGCTCAAATCTTGGTCACATGAGCTTTGATAGAGAAGGTGGTATGGAGACCTGATACAGTTTGAGAAAGGCCTTGTTTGCTTCCATTCTTTGAAGCTCGCAGTGCATTGGAACAGAGGGAGAAAAGGAAGGAGGAGATGGAAGAGAGGCAACAGCAGAAAACAGTGCCAAGATGCAGTTACCAATATATTTCTGAATTTTTTTAATGTTTACATTTGATTCTTATATTTGCATGATTTTAATGACAAAAAATACTTTATTGGGCAAAGACATCTGAAGTCCCAATCAAGGTCCTACAAGATTAGAAAGCCTGAGCTAATGGCTTTCCAGCCTTCTGCCTCCAGCTTCCCACCTTCCAATTCCTCTCATAGTAAGAGGCCCTGGGTGGCATTGTGATATAACCTCAGCTGGCTCTTGGCATTCCCATAGACAGGGCTTCCAGGCTTCTCTTCTTACAGCTGGGGAAAGGAACAGCAAATCCAAGACTCTCATCATATTATTGGTTTGACAACACATAGCTATTAGGACCACAACCCAGGAAGGGTTGCTCCTTCGAATCTCCTCCCATGGACTTGACTGATTCTTAAAATAGTTGCAGTAGTCATAGTTATAACAATAACAGCAGCTGATACATAGAGGGCTGATAAATATGCTCTACGTAACTCATTAGTGTATCCCAACAATTTGGTAAGGTAGGTACGATCATTAGTCATTTTTTTCCATCTTTTTTCTCTAAGAGACAGGGACACCTAGAGTAATTTATCCAAGGTTACAAAATTTTTAAGACATGGAGGTGGAATGTAATCATGGACAATGTCAACCATTTATGGAGCATTTACAGTGAGATTGTTGCAAGGATTGAATGGAATAATTAACCATCTAACCCAGACCCTCACACCAATCCTGTGGACATGGTATCATAACCACCATCCTCAACTTACAGATGGGAAAGGCAAGACTTAAGGAAGTCAAAGAACTGGCTGCTATTACACAGTTCAGAGGTGGCAGAGCCATGGGGTCAGTCTTGTGCCAAAGCACAAACTATGTCCCTTCTGCCCTTTGGTCTTCTCAGGGCTGATTAGAAAACGAGAAGGTAGATTTCCAACTTTTTGCAGCATGACTTTACCTGGTCTCCTTAATAGTGCCGTGCTGCGAGTTTCTGTTGTTTCTGTTTTCATCCAAATAAAGCATAAGAGAAGTTCCAGCCTCCTAAAGCATAACATCACATCTTAAGGGCCAAATTTGATAGTAAAATATATTGTTCTATTCAGTCTCCATATCAAATTTCTTACAGAAGATGGATGTCATTTGTGCTGCCTTTTGTAGGCACAAGTTGCAACTGCTTTTCAGCAATCATTTCTTATAACAGTGCAGAACAATTCCAGCCAGCCCAGGCGAGGTTTTTTTCCTAATTCTGTAATAATCCATTATTTTATATTTATTCCATCAGTTTCAACAGTTCACAAGAACATCTATAATCTTAGATCCAGTAATCAACTGTTCCTGAATTGCCCCGTCCTAAATTTAGGCCTCACACTTGGTAATTTAGCTAGAGAGTTTCATTGGTGAGTGCCACTCTTTCACGGTTGAGGCAAAGTGCTACTATTTGGGCTGTATTTAATTCTTATTATTTAGCAAGTTGAACTGTATACCACGGAGTTTAATAATGCAGGGTGTAATTGCTCTAATGCTATGAAGGCACATGGCTGCTGACTTCCTCAGTCTTCACTAGGTCTCGCTGGCAAATGAGATGTTGCTGCTCAGTGAGGCTTCTCTGCTTCAATATTTTAAGAAAACAAATATCGTTGCAGTGTGGCATTTGTAGAAGAATCTGTTAAAGGGCTGAAGTAGTCACAAGCCAGAGCTACTCATAACTGCGAATATTCATTAATTGAGGAATTCCTGAGTGCTTGACAATGTATGTCAGCTTATTTAATCTCACAACAACCATAGAAGGTGGGTCCTATTACTACCTCATTTAAGAGGCTTAAAGAGATTAGTTTATAGCATATCACATAGTCCGTGGCAGAGAATCCCTGCTCCAGGATCAAACGTTTGCAAATACTATTGCGTTGTTTTCCCAGGACTGCTTTCAGTTCTTTTTGCAGAGCATTAAGGAAAGAATGAGAGAGACAGAAAGCTCCACACATTCTTATGAAGAATAAAGAAAGTCCCAAGTGAGCTGTGAATACTGGATGTTTATTTGCCTGTTTCCCAGGTGGACTGTCATGACACTAATCACCAGTCATGGTGGTCCTTGTTTCTTTTGCCCCTTCCACTCTTCAAATATGATCTCAACAACTGAGAACAAAATGAATTTCACTCTGAAGTATAAAGTATCTTATTGAAGCTTTATCTATTCCCACTGCTAAGATCTCTTTCACTTTGTAGTAAGATTGACATTTGATTGCATGATGAAAACGACTCCTCCTTTATCAAAATGTTTAAGCTTTGAGGGCACCAGTATACATGTTTTTAAAAATAGACTTCTCATGCTTGTAATCCCAGCACTTTGGGAGGCCAAGGTGGGCGGATCACAAGGTCAAGAGATCGAGACCATCCTGGTCAACATGGTGAAACCCCATCTCTACTAAAAATACAAAAATTAGCTGGGCATAGTGGCACATGCCTGTAGTCCCAGTTACTTCAGAGGCTGAGGCAGGAGAATCACTTGAACCCGTGAGGCAGAAGTTGCAGTGAGCTGAGATCACGCCACTGCACTCCAGCCTGGCGACAGAGCAAGACTCCGTCTAAAAAAAAAAAAAGACTTATAATAATCATATGTATTTAAAGACCATATAAATGTATGTTATTTGTTAATGGACTGAGAATGGCATCTTACCCTAAATTTGAGGTTTGAGGTTTACACATCTGAAACAACAGAGCAGATTTCAAGAAAAATGACAATAGAATTGACAGTTTATTTGGATTATACCTTCTGATTACCAAGAAGTGGATAAAAATTCTAAAATGTAACATACTTACCTAAACATAACTTGGAATGCATCAGCCAAACAATGAACATTTTGAGAGTATTTATGTAAGAAAAAGTGGATAAAAATCAATTCTGCTTCTAAAAATATTTAGAAATCCAAAAAACTTGGCCATAGCTGCTAAGAAATTATTCATTTTTAATGTTTCATTTTATAGAAATAATTAAATTTTATTATGACTTACTTATCTCTAAAAAACAACAAAAAATAATGACTATATATAATTTGTATTATTTATTGCTTCCTTCAATAAGTATTTCTTTTTTTTTTTTTTTTTTTGAGATGGAGTCTTACTCTGTCACCTAGGTGGGAGTACAGTGGCATGATCTTGTCTCACGGCAACCTCTGTCTCCTGGGTTCAAGTGATTCTCCTACCTCAGCCTCCCAAGTAGCTGGGACTATAGCCACCTGCCACCATGCCTGGCTAATTTTTGTATTGTTCAGTAGAGACGGGGTTTCACCATGTTGGCCAGGCAAGTCTTGAACTCCTGACCTCAAGTGATCCATCCACCTTAGCCTCCCAAAGTGAATAAATATTACTTAAATGCCACATCAGGAAGACAGCAGCAAGTGAGATGCAGTAGCTGAGTACATTCCACTGGGGAAGACAAGTTCTAAATGCAAAACCAAATCAGTATGTGTAATTTCAGATGATGATAAATATTATGACAAACATAAAGCAAAGTTAGGAAATAGACAATGCCTTCTTCAAGGAGAAAAGTAGTCAAGGAAGGCCTTTTAGGGAGGTAGAATCCAAGCAGAGACTGACAAATGAGAAAGAGTGTTTTAATCTTTTTCATGTAGTCTTCACCAAAAAACATCGAGAAACCACCAGTCTTATCTAAAGGAAAATAATTCTCCCCTAATTTCTGCCTTGCCATAGTTTTTCTAGTTTGTCTTTCTTTGGAAAACAATTCTCTAAGATAAAAAGATCTCAGTTCATCTTTCCTTTAACATTACTCCCAAAGTGAGGCCAAACCACTTCATTTGTCCCAAAGGTGAGCCAAACTTGAGCAGCTCTACTGTGGGAACCAGTTCTACTCACAACTAGCTGGCAACCTCTGTTTTTGAAGGCTGCCATTTGAGTGGAGCTACCCCATCCTTTGGACTCGTCAGAGACCCCTGTTCTCATGGGAAACAACTTACCATTTCAAAAATCTACATGATTCCCTAACCCAGCTGTTTTACCAGAATGATAAAAGTGCTATGTGGGCCTTTCCTGTTCTCCAGACTGGGAGTGAGGAGTTCATATGCTAACCTAGAAATAATACCTTGTGCTGCCATCTGGGGCTTCACAACCTCTTTTCCCAGCCTTTAGGGAAAGGAAGAGAAGGCAAGGAGATGCCATTGGATGGGATTCTCCTAAAAGCCAGACACTATCCCAAGCACTTGATACCCTTTATTTTATATAATCTACCTGGGAGCTCAGGAATGTCCTCATTTTACAGGTGAGAGAAAACTGAGGCCCATAGTGCTTAAACCACTTCTTTTAAGTTACCCAGTTCATAAGAGGTAGACCTGAGATTTTATCCCATTTCAGGTTCCAAAACTATCTTCTTTCTACTACAGAGGTCCGGGAAGATGTCAATTACTCTTGAATTCCAAATAATATATGGAACTCTCCACTGCTCAGCATATCCAAAAACCTACCTAATTGTCATGGTCAGTGCCTTGCATGTGGGACATCAAAGCCACAAATTAAAGTCTCAGCCAAAGAAAGTTACAGTTTCTAGAAATATAATTTCCAATAGGAGAAGATATTTCAGGCAGTAAACTGACTGCCTTAACTGTGGGTGCCAAAACCCTTTGGGGGATTTATCGAGAAGTTGAAATAAGAAACAAGACAAATACATTGAGACTTCACTGAATTCCTCACAGTTTGGGAGGAAGAAAAATATTATTCTCTGGAAATGGAAAAAAAATAGATTCATTCCTCTCTGCTATTACATGGGTCCAGCTGAGCAATAACGCACTGTGAAGCCAAATGCTCTGATCGGTTTCTCTGAGCTGTTATTAAAGTTTGCAAAATATTGCTCAGATTCTTTCTGGCAGAGTTTCAATATTGTCTATTTAAGCTGGAATTGGGCTGGTACCGTTCATTTCTGTTAAACCTGCCAAAGCTGGTGGTCCCACTGCACAAATCTCCCGGCGCCACAGCCTTCATCCTGCAAGGCTGGCAACACCCTGAGAGCCTACACCCTCTGTTGGCTTTCTGATGTGACTCAGGTCAAGAATAACTGAATCAACCTTCCTCCCCTTTCTCTTTGCCTCCCTTTCTCACCCTCAGCACACCACACACATACACACACACACGTGCACATGCACACGCTGGCCCTTCACTTGCAGGAGGAAAGAAAGGAGCTATGCAGAACAGTGCATCTGTCTGGGAAGGTGTTAACTCTGCTAAAGCTGGAGACTCTCAGCCTGGTGTTCTAATAAGGACATGAGAACTCTTTTCCTCTGCTGATATAGCAGATGCTATTACCCTCCAACAATCTCCCTTACCATTCCCCAACTTTGCCCTCTACCCTCACTTCAGCCCAGCTGAACCTGTTCCATGTCCTCAAATACCCCATGTTCTTTCTTGCCCTGGGCTTTACTTCTGCTGATCCTCTAATGGGAATACATTTCCTCTCTCCCCTTCTGGTAAACTCCAGTTTACCCTCTAGGTTGCAACTTGGGCAACATCCCTCTGATCCCCCAGGATGATTTAGATGCCCCTGTTATGTGTTTCTATGGGGAGCTTAAGCTTATCTCATCTAATCACAACCTTGATTTTAAGTAAATGGTCTCCTGAACACAACTACCAGCTCTGAGACTCAGGAGGAGGCCTGTCTTATCCTCCTCATGTAGAACAGTGGGGTAAATGCTATAACAGAGGGACCAAAAAGATATATGAAAGCTCCAATACACTATACTTTTATTTCTTGCACAGATAACATTACGAGGCAAGTGAACAGATAGGCAGGATGGTCTGAACTTCTGCCATCATCAATAAGTGGCTTTCAAAGTCTTCCTAAAGACTTCTCCATTCAATCCAGCTGGAAAGTAAAAGAGTATGAAGGAGTGCCTTGCAGAAGGCTTTTTTTTTTTTAGACCAGTACTAGAAGTGTGTACATCACTGTTGTTCACACCACGTTCTCATGGCAAGAACTCAATCACATGGCCATACCAAATTGCAAGCGATGCTGGGGCATGTAGCATCTGGCAACTACTCCTAGTAACAGGTATGCAGAAGGAGGATCATAAATTTTGGTGGACAGGTAGCCTCTTTCCTACATCCTTCTATCCTCAGTGCCTAACACACAATAGCCAAATAATAAATAGTTGCTAAATAAATCAATAAAGAGTTTTAAAAAACTTAGGGCATAAAACATCACCTTAATATACTCCAAGCTGTGATATAGGACTGTATTCTCACAACTGCTTTGAATAAAGAACTGCAAACTACCAAAGGTCAGACAGGCAGTAAAAATCTCAATTTCCTTAGCCACTTTTATTGTTCACTAGTTGAATGACAGTGCCTGGCACAATACCCAGGATATAGGTTCTGTTCAATGAATATGGGTCGAATGAATGAATTATTGGAAATCATAGGTTATTGAGATTAGAAGTGACCTGAACATAACCATGGTTTTATTATGCTTGCCAAGTGATCTGTCAGTTCCCCCTTCCTAGGAAGTGCATCACTCCCAGAGTTAGCACCTGCCATCTTAGGTCAGCCCTGACTCTAGGAAACTCCTTTCTTCCTTTGATCTAAAGCCTGGCTCCCTGCTGTAGCACAGAGTTGAAAGAAAGAAATTCAAATATTTTATCATCTACTCTGTGCCAGGCATTGTCCTGGGTGCATTTATGTTATTTCACTTATTCCCCATAACAACTCAGAGAAGGAAATTACTGCTGTGGCTCAGTCCACCCTCTTCCCTGCCTGGATTGCTGCCTTATTATTAATAACCTTCTAATTGTGCTCCTTGCTTTCACTGTTGCCCTCTTATAATAAGTCTGAACCTAAGATTATCTTTTTAAATTGTGAATCAAAAGTCATCACTTCTCTGCTTAAAACCCCACACTGGCTTTCCATTGCACTTGGAATAAAATCCAAATTTTTTGTCGTCACCCACAAGCCCACTCGATTGGGTTCCTTCCTGCCCCTCTGATTTGGTCTCAGCCACTCTCCCGCTCGCTCACTGTGCTGCAGGCACACCAGCCTTCTTTCCTTTCTTGAATACCTCAAGTTTATTTGCACTCCAGGGCCTTTCCACTTGCTATTTTCTCTGCCTGGAGCCCTCTGCCCCCAATTCTTTCTTGGGCTGATTCCTTGTTGCCATTCAGTTTTCAGTATAAATGCATTTTTCTCGGTGAAACCTCTGATTGTAGAATGTAGAGTAGTTCTCCAGTCTCAACTTGTCCTTCTGTCCCTATAGGTCACACAAATTGTGTGTTCTCCAAAGGAGCTCAAACCTGACTGCATACATCAGACCCACCAGGGAAGCTTCCAAGAAACGTCATTATCCAGGAAGCTTCTCTAGCAATTCTGATTTCATATGTCCTCTGGATTGTTTAGGAATCAGTAGTTGGAATAGCTCTCCTAAATGATCCTGATGTGTAGCCAGTCTAGAAAACCATGAGTCCAATATTTCTGTCTGGTTCTGTCTGGGATAGAATCCCGCTTCAATATCTGATTAGCTCTACACCTTGGGCAAGCCATTTAGCCTGTTTAATCCTCATATCTAAAATTGTGACAAGAATAGTATCTATGTCACAGGTTTATTGTGAGCACTGGAGGAGAATTTCAAGTGAAACGCTTAGCATGGTGCCTGGCCCACAGCAAGCCCTCATTAAACGTTGGCTCCTATTATCATTGTTACCCTCCTACTCCTTTTACTCCCTCTCCTCCTTCTCCTTGGCAGCTTTTCAGGGATGTCAAGGCAACCATCACAAAATACCTCTCTTCCAGGCCAGTAACCCTCAGTTTTCTTTTTTTTAATCCTTTTCCACATGGCAGATTCATATTTCTTCTCTCATAGACAGATCACATCCCAGGAGGAGGTGTTGTATTTCTGCACCCCAGAACTCATAAGGGTTGAAGCCTCTGATGCAATAAATGTAGATAATTGGGCTCCAGCTCTGAACTTCGGATGGCACTCATTACTGGCCCTGGTAGGGCAGCCGTGTGTGGCCTCTCATTCCGGGGAAGTCTTCTTATAGGGGAATTCTATGTGACAGTGTCTGTAATGAAGGGGGAGACTGGAGAGAGAGTATGGGAGTTTGTTTCCTGAATGCTTTTCATCCTGACATGCTTAGTTGAGAGTCAGAGCCCAGCCCACATTAACTCATTGAGTTCCTGGAGTTTGTTGTAGATTTTCAGCCTTTTTCATTATAGTCAACACCATAGGAGCCAAAATAATGAAAATAGTGTTTGATGAAGTGGGAAAAGCAGGTCTCAATGTCCATAGTGAAGTTAGAAAGGAGAAGGAGAGAAGGCTAAACGTAAAACAAAGTGCGCATTAGTTAGTAATAAGGTATACTGTGGACTTGGGGGAGCATGTAAATAAGTCAGGGAGAAAGAATTCTAGACATTGTACAGGAGATACAATTTTCCTAAGTCTTCTTTCTTTTTTTATTGCTGTTTATCTTGCAAGGGCAAGATAAATAAGTTTGATATTTTTATTTATTTATATATTTTTAAATTTTTATTATTTTATTTTTACATAAGTTATTTGGGTACAGGTGGTATTTGGTTACATGAGTAAGTTATTTGGTGGTGATTTGTGATTTTGGCGCACCCATCACCCAAGCAGTATACACTGCACCATATTTGTAGTCTTTTATCCCTCGCCCCCCTCCCACTCTTCCCTTCAAGTCCCTAAAGTCCATTGCATCATTCTTATGCCTTTGCGTTCTCATAGCTTAGCTCCCACATATCAGTGAGAATATACGATGTTTGGTTTTCCATTTCCATACTTCACTTAGAATAATAGTCTCCAGTCTCATTCAGGTCACCGCAAATGCTGTTAATTAATTCCTTTTTATGGCAGAGTAGTATTCCACCGTACATATGTACCACAGTTTCCTTATCCACTCATTGACTGATGGGCATTTGTATTTGTTCCGCGATTTAGCAATTGTGAATTGTGCTGCTATAAACATGCATATGCAAGTATCTTTTTCGAATAATGACTTTTTTTCCTCTGGGTAGATACCCAGTAGTGGGATTGCTGGATCAAATAGTAGTTCTATTTTTAGTTCTTTAAGGAAGCTCCACACTGTTTTCCAGAATGGCTGTACTAGTTTACATTCCCACCAGCAGTGTAGAAGTGTTCCCTGATCACTGCATCCAAGCCAACATCTACTGTTTTTTGATTTTTTGATTATGGCCATTCTTGCAAGAGTAAGGTGGTATTGCATTGTGGTTTTGATTTGCATTTCCCTGATCATGAGTAATGTTGAGCATTTTTTCATATGTTTATTGGCCATTTGTGTATCTTCTTTTGAGAATTGTCTATTCATGTCCTTAGCCCACTTTTTGATGGAATTGTTTGTTTTTCTTTTTCTTACTGACTTGTTTGAGTTTGTTGTAAATCCTGGATATTAGTCCTTTGTCAGATGTATAGATTGTGAAGATCTTCTCCTACTCTGTGGGTTTTCTGTTGACTCTGCCGACTGTTCCTTTTGCCATGGAAAAGCTCTTTAGTTTAACTAGGTCCCAGCTATTTATCTTTGTTTTCATTGCATTTGCTTTTGGGTTCTTGGTCATGAAATCCTTGCCCAAGCCAATATCCACAAGGGTTTTTCCATGTTATTTTCTAGAATTTTTAGCTTCAGGTCTTAGGTTTAAGTCTTTAATCCATCTTGAGTTGATTTTTATATAAGGTGAGAGATGAGGATCCAGTTTCATTCTCCTACATGTGGCTAACCACTTATCTGAGTACCATTTGTTGAAAAGGGTGTCCTTTCCTCACTTTACATTTTTGTTTGCTTTGTCAAAGATCAGTTGCCTATAAGCATTTGGGTTTATTTCTGAGTTCTCTATTCTGTACCATTGGTCTATGTGCCTATTTTTATACCAGTAACATAATGTTTTGGTGACAATGGCCTTGTAGTATAGTTTGAAATCAGGTAGTGTGATGTCTCCAGATTTGTTATTTTTGCTTAGTCTTGCTTTGGCTATGTCTAAGTCTTATTCTTAGTCATGGGTCACTTCGCTTTCTCTTAAGGTTGAGATCTGCTTTTGTGTGGTGAGGTACATTTGGGGAATGGGGAAGATAGGATCACAGGTAATCATAACATTTTGTATTAGTTAAATATTCTTCAAGCTCTATAACATGTTCAATCACATCCCTATGAGTAAGAAGTAAACCACATAACAATATTCTTGTCTAAGCAATGAGGAAAGTGACTTACCCAGTATCATATTCCATGTTATACCAGGCCAAGTAAGAAAACCCATGTCATCTTTTTTTTTAACTCTCATTTTAGGCTTCTGGGTACATGTGCAGGTTTGTTACATAGGTACACTCGGTCATGAGGGTTTGTTATGTAGATTATTTCATCATCTAGGTACTAAGCCTAGTACTCAATAGTTATTTTTTCTGCTCCTTTCCCTCCTTCCACCCTCCACCCTCAAGTAAGCCCCAATGTCTGTTGTTCCCTTCTTTATGTCCACGAGTTCTCATCATTTGGCTCACACTTATAAGTGAGAAGATGTGATATTTGTTTTTCTGTTCCTGCGTCAGTTTGCTAAGGATAATGGCCTCCAGCTCCATCTATGTTCTCACAAAAGACATGATCTCATTCTGTTTTATGGCAGCACAGTATTTCATGGTGTGTATGTACCACATTTTCTTTATCCAGCCTACCATTGATGGGCATTTAGGTTGATTCCATGTCTTGCTATTGTGAATTGTGCTGCAGTGAACATTCACATACATGTGTCTTTATGGCAGAATTATTTATACTCTTCTAGGTATATACCCAGTAATTGGACTGCTAGGTTGAATAGTAGCCCTGAAAGCCTATGTCCTCTAATTCCTGGTTCAGTGTCCACCCCATCTGATGCTATCAAAGGTTTATGGAATGTTCTACTTATACACCCTCTCACTGTTCCTCAGTTTTCTACACACACACATCCAAAGCTACCATGTTCTTCCAAGCAGCTCTCATCCTAGCCAGATGGCCCCTCTGGAAGTTCTTGACTCCCCCAAGCTGCCTTAGTACCTTCTCTGTGCACCCATGGAACTTTGCTCCTATCTCAGTTACTACACAGAGTTTACTGGATTCTAATTATTTTTCTTTACAATACTACCTCCTCATTATTACTTTCTCCAGGGCAGGGCTATGTATGTACTTATCTTTGTATTACCAGCTTCTTACAAAGTGCACAGCATATAGGGAATCCTCCATAAATGTTTGCTGAATAGTTGGATAAATTGATGGATGGATGGATGGGTGGTCAGATAGTCAGATGGACAGAAGTTCTTTCAGGGTGAGTGTTAAAGAAATATACGAGAAGCCAGCTTGCTATCAAAGGAGGATTTTCTTGACTTTCTGATAAAGATAGGATCCATCTGATGCTTTTGGTTTAGAACTAACACCATAATTACTTATCCATGTTCTGCTAGAAATTTCATTGCTGAAATCTGGGTTCGGTATGAGGCTTCAGTACGCCACAGAAAGAAGTATCTTGTCCCAGGCAATAGTGTAATATGAGTAGCATAGTCTCCAGATGGTGAGAATTTTAATCCTGAGTTATTGAGTGTATGATTTCTTGCTAGCAACTTAGCTTCCTCATTCCTCAGTGTCCTCATGTGTTAAATGGGGACAACATTGGTACCTCGTGTACAAATGGTTTGTGAGGATTAAATGATATAATAAATATAAAACACTTAGTATGCACCAGCACTTCGGACAGTGCCTGACACAGAGTAAGCGCTCAATGTGCCTGAGTCCTTTTGTCTTCCTACTGTGTACATATGCATCTCTGTGACCCAGAAAGTCTAGCTGAGTCAGCTCTGTATCTTGAGACTCAGTTCCTGCAGAGCCTGAGGAGGTGATCGAAGCTGCTCTGGAGACTGAACCAGGTGTAATTCACTGCATCCTTAGCCAAGTTACTTCCCATCTCTGAGCCTCAATCTCATTATCTGTCCTTGGAGAGCTGCTTTGATGATTTTGTAAGTTCAAGGTCATATGCTGAGTATCCTCGCTGCGCTTGGCCTGTCCCTGCATATGAATTGAACTGTAAGCTCTTTGAAAAGGGGGACTGTTTTATCCTCACCTTTTCACATCTGATCCCAACTTGCTCTTTAGAAGGCCCTTGATAAAGTTTTGCTGAGTTTGAATCAACTTCCCTAAATCGCTTAACATGCTCTTTTGGAGACTTAGTTGAACTCCTGAACGCTAAGCTCCAGAAAGGTTCTGGCCCATTAACCCTATTCCCCTGCAAACAGTTAGGTACTTAATGATCCTGCTGCCCCCAGCATGGTACAGAGCTCACCCCTTGCAGATCACTCCCAGATCCTTTCTAGGAGCCAGCCTCCAAAAACCCTGGCAGCACAACTTTGCTGGCAGCATTTGGGAAGTGAGGCCACGTCCTCTGCAAACTTAATGGAGTGGCCTTTTTTTAGTTTCCAGACAACAGCATTGTATTCAGAGGCAGAAGGCTCTCGTTGGGTTTGTAAGCTTTTTTACACCTGTGCCTACATAGCACAGATGTATAACACATTCATCATAAGGGGAATAAATGAATGAATGAATGGGGCATAGTTTTTTGGTAGTACCAACCTCAAGATGTGTAGCATTTAATACAGGAAGAAGTCTAGGGAGAACTACTTTTACTATTTTCTAATAAAAAATGTCTTATCCCCTGAGTGATTTTATGACCTCTATAAGCATAGGGCAGGAGAGGATGCAACAAAAGCTTTTGGTCATTTCAATAAACACTCTCTCCAACTCTCTGCCCTTTTCATGAATTCCCAGTTGAGAAATATCTGTAATAGGTGAGCAATGATAATGTCATTGAATAAAGATTGATGGAAACAGATATAAACCCAAAACGTTTTTAGTGCCAGAAATACTGTTTGCTCAACAATAAGTTACATCAAAGGACTTAAACATTTCCCACAGAGGTCAGCAATTCTGCCAGTGATGTACTGAAATTCACACCTCTGCCAGAAGCGCTCTGTTCCTGGCATGAAACAGAAAAAGTCACATCTGTTAACATCAATATCCCAAGGAGGCAATTTTGCCTTTTCTGATTATTGTTCAGGTGCTTTATTCTCCAAAAGCCAGCCTCTGGAAGCTTCTTGGAACATATAAAATTTAAAGCTTTGTTTTAAAATTTATAAATCCCTTTTATTTGTTTTATTTTCTTTTTTTCATTTTTGTAAATCCTTGAACTAAAAATAGAGCCTGTGGCTGTCTGTCCTATGGGAATCTTAGAGGTACTCCTGCTTCAGCAAATATCACCCTTATTCACGTAATTGGCCCCATCCTTAAACAAACCATGTGACCAAAACTACATCTTTGGTTTTCTTTGTGATATTAAAATAATATTGTCCTTTGTCATTCCAGTATTTGTTATTTGAGATTCATGATTTTGGAGTCAAGATATTTGGAATTAGAAAATAAGGATAATAATAGTAACATTTGCATGCCAAGTGGTTTTTCTTTCCTTACTTCATTGAACTCCTACAATTCCTGTGTGACCTGAGGGTACTATTATTTTGTTGTAATGAGGGAAAGGAGTTACTAGTCAAGGTTAGAACCCAGACCTTTCCAAAGCCTGCAACCAGTGCAGTCCTCAGCCACTCTCATGATCCAAATCCACCTTACCCGTTCAGTGTGTTTTAACAGCACCTATCAACTTCCAACATACAATTTCCTTATTTATTGTGTGTTTTGTTTATTGTCTCTTCCCTCACTAGAATCTGAGTTCTATGAACACAAGAATTACTTTTTTCTGTTCTATTCATGGATCTATCCCAAGATCGAGAATAGAGCCTGGCATGTTAATTGCACATATATTGCAATTGTTACCCTTACTTGTTTATTGATGGTCCAATGCCACTCTGTGTTTCACTGGTGGAAAAACTGAGGCCAGGAGCCACCTGGTGATTCACTAAAGATGACACCATGAGCAACCTTGCAAGAAAAACAAGATCTCCTAACTGCCAGCCCAATTCTTTGCCTAAATCTCAACTCTATCTTGCCCTACTTTTATTATGCTATAAAATGAATAACTGTTTATGAGTTCATTCTCAGGCACATTATTGCTTTTATATTACATCAAAGAACTTGAGATGGGCAAAAGATATAGCCCTATTGATTGTTCTCAGAAACTCAACTTTTCCATCCCGCAAGGAATCCTTGCTTAAGGCTCATTTTGAAGACAGGAGCCAGTCTCTAACAGAAGACTGTCTCCAACAAGTCTACCTCCCCATCAGGGCAGGGTCACTGTGATTATTGGTTTTAGAAATCTTGAAATCAATCAACTGAATTGTTCTGTTTCTATCCACCATACTCCTACAGAACATTAGAACTGACCAGAAGTCGAAATGCTAAGATGTTTTTGGCTCATGGTTGCTCAGTGAGTCAGTGTCTTCTAGGGAAAACCCAGATGCTACAGGAGATAGCATGGGAGTGACTTAGTGTGACTTTGAATGAGGCATTGAATCCGTGGGCCTAATGTATAGGAGAGAAGTCTTGGATGAAAGCTGAAAAAGAAAGTGACAACTCTAGAAGTAAGAGTGTATTAAGATAAAAGGGTTTGTGTTTGGCTTTCAGAAAAGAAGAAAGACTCCAGAGGCTGTCAAGAGAAGATATTTATTTGAGCATAAGTTGTTTTTACATCATCAGCAACAGAGCACACCTCCTAACCCTCATATTAATATCTCTCATTCTGCTTAAGCTGGAATATGTAACTCTTAGTAGAAGACTTAGAGACATTTTTCTATTTCTGATGATAAGTCTAGTCTACTCTACTGTCATACCCATTCTCGAGGCTGCTGGCCCAAAGTGGAGACTTACCTGTAGTTTTGACAAGTCAGATGGCCCCTGTGCATTAAACCTGTGATCTGGATTTGACCTGTCCCATGCTCTGCTGAGGGATGCATCACATTCAGTGCAGTGATTATGATCATAACTGGGAGTCCACCAAGAGCTCTGTGCACTTTAAAATGCACTTCCTCGGCCGGGTGCCGTGGCTCACACTTGTAATCCCAGCGCTTTGGGAGGCTGAGGTGGGTGGATCACTTGAGGTCAGGAGTTTGAAACCAGCCTGTCCAACATGGTGAAACCCCGTCTCTATTAAAAATACAAAATTAGCCTGGCATGATGGCACACACCTGTAATCCCAGCTACTCGGGAGACTGAGGCAGCAGAATCGCTTGAACCCCAGAGGTGGAGGTTACAGTGAGCTGAGATTGAGGCATTGCACTCCACCCTGGGCAACAGGAGCAAAACTCCATCTCAAAAAGATAAAAATAAAAAGCACTTCCTCACACATTTTTAAATTTTAGATTATTATAAAATCATTCTGAGGTAATTATGGCAGAGATTCTTATCTCCACTTTCTAAATTAGAAATCTGACTTCACAGAGGTTCATGACACTCTAGGTCACATAGCTGGTAAATGACAAAGCCCAAATCCAAGGTCCTCTGCTGCTTTGTTCTTTCCACTATGACATTCTGCCTCCTGCCCACATGGATGTCCTGCAGGCATCTATAATACATATCCAACACCAAATTTTTATCTTCTGCTCTTGAAAAAAACCCAGTCCTCCTCCTCTTGCTTTCCCTGCTGATTTAATAACTGCCCTTCCCTTAATTACCCACCCTAGAAACTTGAGGTCCTCCTGTCTTTTCTCCTGCCACCTGTCTTAGAGCCAACCCAGGATTTTCTTTTTTAGATGTCAAACAAAAACGTCTTCCCTCTTAATTGCTGTCACTGGTACTGCCATGATTCGGGCCTTCATTACCACTTATGTGGCCCACATGAATATTCAGTAGTTTAACTCATTCACCAAATCATCACTGAAGTTCTTCTCTGTTCCAGGAACTGTGCTTGGTGCGAGGGAGACTGTTCTGAGCAAAAAGCGAAACATGGATCTTATTTTCATGGTGCTGTGGTCTCAATTAAGTATTAATCAAATAATCACCCCAACGAATGTAAAAACGGCAACTCTGACAATTGCCGCAAGGCAAGCCATATAATCCCCTACCTGCAGAACCAGTATGGAGCAAGATTTCTAAACCATAACTATGACCGTGGCACACCCTCTGCTATGAAACTTTCCTAAATGCCCACTGCCTGCATGATAAAATCCAAACCCATTAGCCTGGTATACCTGTCTCTTCATGATCTGGCTCCAAACACTAGATTAGGTTGCAAGCCACTACAACCCCATCTCTCTCCCACCCCTCACTCAATTAACTCATCCTATGACTAAGCCATAGCTGATCCTTTTATTTATTTATTTATTTTTTACTTCTTGCCATTCCAGAAACAGATCTGTTCTTTCATTCTTCCACATCTTGGCTTAAACAAAACTCACGTCCAGAAATGCAGTCCCTCTAGCAATACAAGGAAATAGCCTACTCACGCTTCAGGCTGAGCTGAAATGACCCCTCCCACTCACTCTCTGGATGTGATTAATTATTCCTCACGGTTTCCAACACGTTTTCCACACTACTAACGTAGCACTTCTCCCACTGTAATCTGATTACTTACTTTTTCCTTTCATCCCACCCCCATCCCTCAGATTTTGAACCACTTTTGGGGAGAGATCGTTTTAATTAATAGAGGTTTGAATTTCTATTTATTTTATTGCATAGAGCCAGACCGTAAATACTAATAGACGAGACAAAAATATTTTGATCCCTTATTTCTTTTCACTATGAATATCTAATTTCTCATAGGCACTCCTTTCATCCTAATTTAACTTCAAGAAGTTTTCCCCGTAGTTATTTTTTTTTTAGAAATCATACGCAAATAATTCCAGAGGCCTTCATATCTTCGTATTCCACCACACGTCTTCTCATCTCAATGGACAATATGTCCCCCACCCCTCCTGCCTTTTAGATCTCTCAGGCAGTTGGCACAAGGACAGGTTTTGCCTATTTGCATAATCACTGGTTCAATGATTACAAAGTGACCATATCAAAATATGGAAAATGTGTTCTTTGGGAAGGCCTTGATGTGTTTGTTTTTTATTTTTGTTTTTGTTTTTAATGTTTGTAAAGCATCAGGAATTAATGAAGAAACTGTCAAGTCTGTTTCCGTTGCTGTTCCAAGCTTGGCCAAGTCTAGATCTTGTTTCTCTGCTAAAGTGGCTTGAATCATGATTTTTAGCAACTGACTCCTAGGGTTTGTAACAAGAAATTGAGAAACACATGAGAATAATGAGAACAGCTTTTTGAGAAACTGATTTTATAACATGATAGGAATGATAGAAGAAAAATGTAGTGATTAACTAAATTCTTGGGAAGGAGGTAAGGTGTTACTTAAAATGTACGTTTCTTTAAAGGGCCTATAGATTCCTAGGATCTGGCAACTGAAATGATCATTTCTTAGAGACTGTCACATTTCCTATTCTAAAACCTAACAGTCACAGAAGTCATAAAATACAGAATCATGGCCAGATTATTTATGTCGATTTAAATAGTGGATAGATATATCTTTGTAAAGTGGAAAATAAAATTTAAAAAATAACCCAGCAGAATTGCTGTAGAGAACACTATTCACCACGTCCATTCCTGAATAGCACGACGATGGAACTGTACACACCAAAAGGTTCACTCACACTGTTGTGTGCCGAGAGATACTGATTCTCTCAGTCCTAGACACAGAACTCCCAGGTTGGTCCCACCATTCAAGAACAGCCTCAACCATTTATCCAGAACTCCAGGCAAGCATTACCATTTTCAGTGTAAGCCATAGCTTTAACAAGAGTAATACGTACTTGAATGTTCATAATAAGGATATCATTCAGGTAAACAGTGGAAACTCAGGGATAAATTCTGTTTCATCCATTACTGTGTAATGAACTACCTCAAAAACTTAGTGGCTTAACATAACAACTGTTTTATTATATCTCACAATGTTGAGAGTTGCACGTTGGGGCAGAGCTCAGCTGAGCAACTCTCCAGCTTCACATGGCATTGCCTGTGGCTCCTATGTGATATTAAGCTGGTGTCAGGACTGGTCCAAGACAACTTTACTCACCTTCCTGGTGCCTTGGCAGGGATGGCTGCAAGACCTGGCTCAGCTGGCCTCTCCCTATCTCCATATATTGTCAGGATGTCTCCATGTGGTCTCTCCAGAAGGGTAGTAGAGCTTCTCAACAGATCAAATGCAAGCTGACAATTCTCTGACAGGCCAGGCCCAGAACTGGCATAGCATCATTCCATCATTCTCCTGGTCAAAGCAGTCAGAGGCCAACCTCCACTCAAAGGGAGGGATAATAGACCCCCATCTCTCACTGGGAGGTGATATGAAAGAATTTGTAGCTACCTTTAATCCACCCAAGGGTGTTCGTAAAATTACCTCATATGTTCAATTTAGGATTTGTACTTTAGATTTATAACCTAGATGGAATAGGTCATTTGTTCATTCTGTTATTTAAAAGGTATTTATCAAGCATTTGATAATTGTTGATATAGCTCTGTGCTGTCTACTGAGATAAACCAGGAAAACACACAGGGCATAGTCTCTCTCCTCTAGGAATTTGCGTCTAGATGTGAACAGAAGGCAAACCACACAGCAAGCAATTCGAGTATATAATAAAATAGCTAAAATGGCAAAATGCACGTCATAGACGTGTATGGGCAACACAGATGCCTACAAGGTTCAGGCAAACGTAAAAAAAGAGTGAGGTGAGGTGAGCTGGCCTGTGAACAGTAGAAAGGATGTTGGGGGCAGCGGAGACCCAGACAGTTCATGCCACATCTAAAGGGGCAGCTTTGCTCAGCTCCAGCCTATTGTTGCTTTAGAGAGTGTGAGACAATGATGTTACAACTGCCAATTTTTCAGAGAACTATAAATCTCCCAATTATTAAATGTTGGTAATTATTCAAATTTGGCCTACTGACCACTAGTTTTCAGCCCCTAAAATAGACGGTAAGTGCTTTAGGATTCATGGAAAGAGGAGATGAAGGTCAACTAGATGAACACTATTCAAAGTGTGGGCTGACAAGATATGGAATCAAGCTAAGTGTCTACCAATGGAAAAATTGATTTTAAAAAAATGTGGTATATATACACAATGGGATACTATTGAGCCATAAAAAAGGAGACACTGTCATTTGCAATAACATAGATGAACCTGGAGTATGTTATGCTAAGTGAAATAAGCCCAGCATCGAAAGACAAATACCACACGTTCTTGCTTATAAGTGGAATCTAAAAATGTTGAACTCATAGCAGAGAGTAGAATGGTGGTTGCTAGGGGCTGGGGATGGCAGGGGTGGGGGTGGGGAGATGTTGGTCAAAGGATATAAAGTTAGGAGGAATAAGTTTTTGAAATCTGTTGCACAGCATGGTGATTATAGTTAATAATAGATGGTTGCATATCCAAAATGTATAAAAGAATAGATTTTAAATGTTCTCAGCACAAAAAGCAAATGTGTAAGGTGATGGATATGTTAATTAGCTTGATTTACTCATCTCACAATTATATATATATCAAAATATTACATTGCATTCCCATAAATATATACAATTATTTGTCAATTAAAAATAAAAATGGAAAATAATAGTAAAGTGTGATCTGAGTACCAGTACCATGCTGTGAATTGTTTATTACTGATCCACAACGGGATAGATAAATAACTTGATAATAAGAGTTTAAGCCCTCATAGCAATTTAATATCCAAGGCTGTAATCAGTATACTTGTCTTCTTGAGTACAGACCAACTTGGGTGTTGCAGAACTTGGGCTGTGAGCTATACTTGGTGTGAGCTGCATGCTAGTCAGGTGCAGTAGGACCACATGTGACCAAGCACTGGAATAGAGAGGCCCATGGTGAGGCACCATGGAGAATTTGGACCTCAAATAACAGGCAGGATTGGGATTAGCACAGAGGACAGAAAGCTTTTCTAAGTATTAGGAACAGCACATCCAGAAATCAGAGTCAATAAGGCACTAAGAAAAATCGGGAGAGCTGATTTGTGAAGGGCATTATGGAGGGTGCAGATGGTTGGATAAAGATTATGGAGAGCCTTGGACATAGCCTTGTACAATTGAATTTATCCTTTAAGAAATGTGGAGCCACAGGAGGTTTTTGAATACAGATGGGCATCACTAACTTTCTAAAATACCCTTTCTCCTTTTTTTCTCCTCTCTTTCAAGGCCTGATTCAAATTCCACCCTCTCCAGGACTAGTCCATGCAATAGCAATCACTCCCTTTATAAAATCTAGTTAACCTTTTTTCTTTTTCTGAATCAACAAATACCTTATACTGTTAATTATTTTTCTGTAAAGATATTGTCTTTTCTTCCAAATATTTCAAGCACTTTATGGACAAAAACTCCCTTACCCAGTTCTGAATCTTCCTCAGAATCTAGCACAATCCCTCACCCATACTGATATTCATTTGGTATGTGCTGATGAGCAAGACAGGTTTTGTAGGGATACTGATCTGGTAAAAGTGTTTTGAATAGATGGGAGCAGAAAGTAGAAAGTTAGAGACCAGGCCCGGGCGCAGTGGCTCACGCCTGTAATCCCAGCACTTTGGGAGGCCGAGGCGGGCAGATCACAAGGTCAAGAGATCAAGACCATCCTGGCCAACATAGTGAAACCCTGTCTCTACTAAAAATACAAAAATTAGCTGGGTGTGGTGGTGTGCATCTGTAGTCCCAGCTACTTGGGAGGCTGAGGCAGAAGAATCGCTTGAACCCAGGAGGCAGAAGTTGCAGTGAGCCGAGATCGCACCACTGCACTCCAGCCTGGTGACAGAGCGAGACTCCGTCTCAAAAAAAAAGGTAGAGACCAGATGAAGACACCACAAGGGCCTAAACGATGAATGCGGAGAGGAAAAACTGATATAGAGGGTGGATATAGGGAATGAATATTTTCAGAAACATGTTATGCACACAAAGTCACATTAGCAGTTTCCTGAAATCTCACACCACATTCATACGCAGCTAATATTTTCATTGTCAAGAAATGTTGAGAATAAGCTTTATTACTTAAGAGTTTTCCAGATTGCTGAAACTTACTGTTTTAAGCACCTAGATTTCCAAAATCTATCATTATGCACATCAGTTATTTATTATGCTATGATACTCATATCCCTACCCTAAATAGCCCTGGACTGCTGTAATGTTGTATTTTTTCTGTTTCTTCACTTCTCTACCAACTACTAGTAATTGATATTATCTGTAGGTCTTGGCTACTTCTATGCTGCTACTTACTTCACAGAACTTGTTCTGAGTAAAGATTAAAATATAGATCTCTGGAGTAGAAAGCACTCAATGACTGCACCAAAAGCAATGGCAAGAAAAGACAAAATTGACAAATGGGATCTAATTAAACTAAAGAGCTTCTGCACAGCAAAAGAAACTACCATCAGAGTGAACAGGCAACCTACAAAATGGGAGAAAATTTTCGCAACCTACTCATCTGACAAAGGGCTAATATCCAGAATCTACAATGAACTCAAACAAATTTACAAGAAAAAAACAACCCCATCAAAAAGTGGGCGAAGGACATGAACAGACACTTCTCAAAAGAAGACATTTATACAGCCAAAAAACACATGAAAAAATGCTCATCATCACTGGCCATCAGAGAAATGCAAATCAAAACCACAATGAGATACCATCTCACACCAGTTAGAATGGCAATCATTAAAAAGTCAGGAAACAACAGGTGCTGGAGAGGATGTGGAGAAATAGGAACACTTTTACACTGCTGGTGGGACTGTAAACTAGTTCAACCATTGTGGAAGTCAGTGTGGTGATTCCTCAGGGATCTAGAACTAGAAATACCATTTGACCCAGCCATCCCATTACTGGGTATATACCCAAAGGACTATAAATCATGCTGCTATAAAGACACATGCACACATATGTTTATTGCGGCATTATTCACAATAGCAAAGACTTGGAACCAAGCCAAATGTCCAACAATGATAGACTGGATTAAGAAAATGTGGCACATATACACCATGGAATACTATGCAGCCATAAAAAGTAATGAGTTCATGTCCTTTGTAGGGACATGGATGAAATTGGAAATCATCATTCTCAGTAAACTATCACAAGAACAAAAAACCAAACACTGCATATTCTCACTCATAGGTGGGAATTGAACAATGAGATCACGTGGACACAGGAAGGGGAATATCACACTCTGGGGACTGTGGTGGGGTGGGGGGAGAGGGGAGGGATAGCATTGGGAGATATACATAATGCTAGATGACGAGTTAGTGGGTCCAGCGCACCACCATGGCACATGTATACATATGTAACTAACCTGCACAATGTGCACATGTACCCTAAAACTTAAAGTGTAATAAAAAAAAAAAGCACTCAATGACAACTATTTTTCTTGCAATGTATAATAAAATTCTCAAAGCTTTTTCACTAACATTTAGATTTATTTTTGATATTACATTTATTTTATAGGGGTTGGCAAACTTTTTTGTAAATAACCAGATGGTAAATATTTTGGAGTTTGTGAGTTATATGATCTCTATAACTATGCAGCTCTTCTGTTGTTTTGAAAGCAGCTATAAGACAATACGTAAACAAATGGGTGTGGCTGTGATCCAATAAAACTTTATTTTCAGAAACAGGAGTGGGCTGGATTTGTCCTACAGGGGCTATAGTTTGCCAATACTTGTTTTAGATTATTAAAATTGCCAGAGCCTAACATTTCAAATAGAGGGATTTGTCCTTAACTTGATTTATAAAGAAAATAATATATTTTTTCATGTCTATATTCCTCTAGCTTAAATATTCTTATTCAGATTTTTAAATAGTGCTGCAAGTAAATTCTCCTAACGTGTAACAACTGCAGTAGCAGCTTAGCCCCCTTGTTTAACCTTCGGTCTGAGGATTGGTCCTATCTAACCTCTGCCTTCACCTCCAGCCATTGTGCCACTGCACTTTATTCTCCTTTCTAGTTTATTACATCCATGCGCTCTAAGGCACCCTCTCCTAAGCCACTGATTTCTGTAGGAAACAAGAGCTTTGTCATCAGCCAGCAAGTCCTGGGAAAGAATTACAATTTCATGAGTATTATAGCTTTAAAGCAAAGATAAACAACAGTTATTTGTATTGAATTCAACACTAAGTTAACTTAAATGACTTTCCCCTACCTTCTGATTTCCAAATTAAATTAAACACTAAGTTTCTAACATCTATACCCACAGTAAATAGCATCTTGCATACATGCCTGTGAAAATGCTTCCTGCTTCAGTGATATTTGGAATTTTCTTGAGACAAAGAAGATATAGATATATTTCCTTAAGCCTCTTTAGCTGAACATCACACTACAAGATGAAAAGCTTGACAGTGTTGCCTCTTTTGGTGTAGATGACACTACCAAGGGCACACACTATGACCATCAGCTAACATGCTGCAGAAACCATAACCTGGGCATGCAGGCTGCTGCATGTTGAAACAAAAGGTCTTGACATCCTGACATAGAAGGTGAACAACAGTGTGAAATACACTTGGTGTCTGTCTAAAGTGACATTGTAGTTAACCAGATTTCTGCCTCCATATGGAACCTTCCTGTCAGAAGAAAAGGACTGATTCTAGTCC